>NC_000008.11:91964222-93214222 GCF_000001405.40 Homo sapiens | reverse complement strand
AGCTGTCTGCATCCCAAATCCCTAATTAAACCCCACCTCTCACCCACCCATGAATTTGCGGGAAGTATATTTTAATTACAGACAAAATATCAAGCATAAAATTTGTTTATGTTCTGTTTAGGAACCTAAAAATAAGAGATGAGAATGAACATCACAGTCACATACTCTTTGGAAATGTTTTATATTTATAAAGAAAAAGTTTTCTGTAATACCTTACATTTTGTTAAATTTCTCTCATGATCCACACACACATAAATAGTCCATTGAAGTCTTCTCATATATTGTTCATTTTTACTTCAAAAGTGAAATATAAAAATGAGGAAATTGTTATCTTTTTTTTGAGACGTTAGAAATTTTGTATAAAAAGGAGGATAAAACAGTTCATTCTCTGTCCAGTCAATAGCTATGGTAACTATTTAGTATGATGAAGATGCCGTAAGATATGAAATTAATGAACAATTGTCCTAATTTTCAGTAAACATTATTATTTTAAGGCCTCTATTGCTCAAGTCTCCTATTGTTTAAATTTTTATCTTCCTTTCCTTTTGAATGCTAGATTTAATGACTCAAGTGTTCACGTCAGAATTTTCCCCTTTTATGTAGCCCTCTCAAACCCCACAGTTCACATCCACTTGAAACACACATAATTATAAAAGATGAGAGACCAATTATTATCTTCTCTCCTCCCCTGTATCCTCACAGGTGCCTGGCTACTTCAAGAGTTGAGCTAATCACAGGGAAGATTCAGTCTCAGTTCAGCTGCCTCATTTGATCAGCTCAAGACTGAGTCCAACAAAAGTGGTCTGTCTAATGAAACTCATTTTCATTTTTTCTCATTAGTCTATACACGATTGAGACTGTAGAACGACAAAAGAATAAAAAGAAGAATGACAATTAAAAATCATTTTCTCTGGCCCTTGATTTTTGCCTTCTTTTTTTTAAATGTAGTTACGTGCTCATTTTTTGTTTCTTTTTTATTCTCTGCTCTTCTTTTCTATTGATTTTCCCATTTATGAAGGGGGAATTAGTAAATCCATGGTCTGAGTGCTGAGATGTTCTGATAGGCCTTCAAGTTTTCAGCTGTACTCTGAATCAGAATAATATACTCCATCAAGGAGACTGACATTGGCACCACCTTCCCAGAAATCCAGGAGCGCCTTTGCATGAGGAAAAGCAGAAGGGAGTAAAGTCATGAAACATTGTGTGTGTGTTTGTATAAAACTGTATATTTTTGCTCACATATAATAACTATATATTTCTGCTAATTTTTCCTTTTAAAGGCTATTAAGTTACTTAAAATCCATTGCCTAATAAAACTGCAATTCACCTTTGTAATTCACTCATTTGTTTGCTGTCACAGGGAAGATAGAAATTGAGCACGTTTTCGGCTGGGTGTGGTGGCTCACGCCTGTAATCCTAGCACTTGGGGAGGCCGAGGTGGGCGGATCACGAGGTCAGGAGATCGAGACCATCCTGGCTAACATGGTGAAACCTCGTCTCCACTAAAAATTCAAAAAATTAGCTGGGCGAGGTGGTGGGCGCCTGTAGTCCCAGCTACTCGGGAGGCTGAGGCAGGAGAATGGCATGAACCCCGAAGGCAGAGTTTGCAGTGAGCCGAGATCGAGCCACTGCACTCCAGCTTGGGCGACAGAGCGAGACTCTGTCTCAAAAAAAAAAAAAAAAAGAAAAAAAAAGAAAAAGAAAAAGAAAAGAAAAGAAATTGAGCACGTTTTCTGCTCTCCTTCAATACCAACCTCAGAATAAAGTGATGGCGGAGAGAAAACAAGGATCTTGTTTCCAAAATCCTTTAATTCCATGTAACTGAAAACATGAGTCCCACTGACAGTTTTTTAAAAGGTAAGGAGGGAGTGTATTACATAACTAATGGTCCTGAAGTAGTGGTCAGGTAAAGATTATTACATGGATTAACAAGGTCACTCAAATAACCATTTTTTCCCTTATGTCTTTCTTTCCTGTTGCCATAAGATGGCTTCCTACAGCTAGTGGGAATTATTTGCTCCTAATTCATATTTAGCAGGAAGTAACAGTATGTTTTGTAGCAGTTCTCTGGAGGATCAAATAAACTTTTTTTTCCAGTAAGCCTCTATCTGAGTGTTTGATTGGCACAATTGGTCACATTCTCTGAACCAATCATGCAGTTAGGAGGATGGGACCTGAGTGTTGACTGGCTGAACATGTGAACCACACACACGGAGGTGGGGTGAAGTCAGTACATAGGCTATATGGGTGCCATGCTGATGGCTGAATTATGAAAAACCCAAGGAAAAGGGTGAATGCATGTTGGGAGGTTGAAAACTGTACATAGTCACCTCAGAGATAAACATCGGAAGGGTTAGGCAATTCTTAAAATGTCATTCTCAGTCCTCGAATGACATTCAGAACCTTAGCCTAGTGTAGATCAATAATTTGTCACTCACATTATTAATAATGATAGAGTAACCATTAATTCAATAGCATTTAAAAATTCCTGTAAAATGAATTTTCCATAAGTAAAGTGAATTTTTACATTAGGTGAATTTTACATATACATGGTGAATTCGACTGGTTTTTGTATTTCAAAAAGAAATTTAGGCACAAGGGCTGTATGAGAGTTACATTTTACCAAGTTATCCACCAGTTATTTAATAATGGCTAGTCACACCACATGCCCTGCAGTGACACCAGTCTGTGGGTGTGAACTGGCCAGAAGGAAGTAGAGGATAGTAGGCCTGGCAGGGCCTATTGCACAAATCATAGCTCTAGGGATATATTAACAGGGCCCTGCAATAGTGCTGACTTTAGCACAATACAGGGTTTGCTTTGCACATTATAGAGAAAGCTGTACATGTTGGAGATATCAAAAGAACTTCACTTAAGCAATGATTTTCTTATTGTATAGACTGTTAGTTTTATTCTACAAATGTGAAAGCATAAGAAGCATAATATTCCTCTTTTTAAAAAAAATCAAACTAAATGTAATTTATTTATTAAGTTATTTTTCATTGCCTAATAAAACTGATAATGCAATTTTAGACATTATCAAAAGATTTTTCCTCCTTATTTTTCTTCTCCTCCTCTTGATAGTCCTTCTACCTTTAATTAAACCTCCTTTCCACAACCACAGTTGCTTCAAATTTATCAGTCTTCTAGCCTTTATATCCCAGTAAGTTTTTATTGCATTTTGAAACAAAGAGTTTCAGCACAGTAAGGGATCATAAGGACCAGGCTGTTTCATTTAGAAAAGGGAAAAAATGCAATAAGAATAAAAGATAAATTAATAATCCATTATATTGCCGCATATTACCATAGGCTATATTCTACAAACAGTTACATAGCGTTTTCTGCATTATATATTATAATCCACCTCCCCCACAACAACAACAACAACAACAACAAAAACACACACTAGAATAGGTTGCTAAAGGAAAGTGCAAAATAATTCCCTGGAGGTCTTCATGATAAATCTGAAAAATTCTTACCCTAATGAGTTTAGGAGATACTTTTTAGGTTTTCAGATTCTTCCTACATGGAAGCTTCTTCCCCTCCCTTTTCTGTCTTCACCTAATTCAATCTTGTTTTCCCTAATGACCTCAGGTACTCTTCTCTGTTCAAATTATCCCAGCATATCCTGGGCTTTTCCTTTAGAATACACAGAATTGGCAAATATAATTGGAATGTCATTAATTGGTTAATGTCTATCCTCCCTGTTAGAGAGTCACACTCATTTGGCCAATGGTCATGCCCTATCTCCAGGTTCTAACACAGTGCCTGTTATATAATGTGTTCCATAAATGCTATCAAACAAATGAACATCTCACTTGGTAGACAGAAAATGGAAAGGAAGAAGAAAAAGCATATAGTCTTTTGTAGTGCCTAGCATTGTACTAGGCATTACTTATTATTTTATTCTCATGGCAACCTACAGTGATAGTTGACATTATCTTCTTTTGCAGATGAGGAAACTGGAGCTTTAGAGATCATTTAACTTACCTGAAATCAGTCAGTAGGTATAAGAATATCTGCCTTCAACTAGCAGTGTGTTTTTCCATGACTCTATTTTCAAGATGATTTGCATCTTCTTTCAATAGTTTCTGGAATCTTGAAGGTGGGGAATGTGAAATATTGTTTTCCTCTTAGAAGGAAAAGACAGAAAAGATATTATCCTGAAAAAAAAAAATAAGGGAAAAGACATTTAAACTAGCTGTGGAAATTTAAAGAAAGGTGCAGAGAGTAATTTTACTGGGATGGCTTTTCTCTTAATGTGCCCTGAAGAAAGTACAGTACTGCGTACTGAGTGAGGTTCACTCCCAGCAGCAGGGCGGGTCCGCATGAACCATGTTTCCACCATGCCCTGGGCATTCACTGGCCCTTGCAGCACTCCTCCAATGGAGTTTGTGAAGTTCTCCCTAATTTGGACCTGCTTTAACCTTTCAGTCAAACAAAAGGATCGCTTTTAGTGGGTGCCCTGGTCAGGTGTTTCTCTGAGAATCGGATCTTTATAACACCCAGAAAAGAACACTCAGTAATTGTGCAACCACCCCTGTTTCATTTATATAACTGAGATTGATGAGAAGGGAAGGAAAGTGTTTACAGTGCAGGAAGATAGGAATTTTGGGATTAAGTAGGAAAGCACACCGAAATGAGCTGTCTGGGGTAATTATGAAACACATACTTCATATGTTTTCATTAGACATTACTGCTATACTACACAAGGCAAAGGAGTTTGATTAAACTACAGTTCAGTATATAAATGTATGCATAAATTACAGGGAAAGTGATTAATTCATTACATTTCAAAAACTCTTCAGGGACATTAAGTGAGTAGAAATTTAGTCACTAGGTACATAGCATAAGAAGTAAACCGTAGTTAGGTGATGGGTGTGAAGACACAAAACAGACAACAAATGTGCCTCCAAAACATGGCCAGTAAAACTTGATGCTCATGGATTGAAAACACAAAAGCCAAGGTAACAGTATATTGCAAAATCTAAGAAGCTATAACAACTTCATAGTTATTATTGGAATCTATCAAAATATCATTAAAATAATCTTCTCATGAACTATATGAGTCTACCAATTCCCATTTGATATGTATATGATTTGTACTTTTTTTTTAAACTTACTTTATATTTGGGGATACATGCGAAGGTTTGTTATATAGGTAAACTCCTGTCATGGGGGTTTGTTGTATGGATAATTTTATCACCCAGGTTAAGCCTAGTGCCCAATAGTTATTATTATTATTATTATTATTATTATTATTATTATTATTATTATTTGAGACAGAGTCTCACTCTGTTGTCAGGCTGGAGTGTAGTGGCGCGATCTTGGCTCACTGCAGCCTCCACCACTTGGGTTCAAGCGATTCTCGTGCCTCAGCCTCCCGAGTAGCTGGGATTACAGGCATACGTCCAGCTAAGTTTTATATTTTTAGTAGAGATGGGGTTTCACCACGTTGGCCAGTCTTGTCTCAATCTCCTGACCTCATGATCCACCTGCCTCGGCCTCCCAAAGTGCTGGGATTACAGGTGTGAGCCACAGCGCCGGCCCCCAGTAGTTATTTTTTCTGCTCCTCTCCTTCTTGCCACCCAATACCCTCAAGAAGACCTCAGTGTCAGTTGTTTCCTTCTTTGTGTTCATGAGTTCTCATAATTTAGTTCCCACTTATAAGTGAGAACATGTGATATTTGGTTTTCTGTTCCTGCATTAGTTTGTTAAGGATAATAGACTCCAGCTTCATCCACACTCCTGCAAAAGACATGATCTCATTGTTTTTTATGGCTGCATAATATTCCATGGTGTGTATGTACCACATTTTCTTTATTCAATGTGTCACTGATGGGCATTTAGGTTGATTCCTTGTCTTTGCCCTTGTGAACAGTGTTGCAATGAACATTCACATGCATGTGTCTTTATGGTAGAATAATATATATATTCCTCTGGGTATATATCCAGTAATGGGATTGCTGGGTTGAATCTTAGTTCTGCTTCTAGCTCTTTGAGGAATTGCCATACTGCTTTCCATAATAGTTGAAGTAATTTACACTCCTGAGAACAGTGTATAAATGTTCCCTTTTCTCCTCAACCTCACTAGCATCTGTTATTTTTTGACTTTTTAGTAATAGCCATTCTGACTGGTATGAGGTGATATCTCACTGTGGTTTTGATTTGCATTTCTCTAATGATCAGTGATATTGAGCTTTTTTTTTATATGCTTGTTGGCCATACATATGGCTTCTTTTGAAAAGTGTCTGTTCAAGTCCTTTGTCCACTTTTTAATGGTGCTGTTTTTCCTCTTATAAATGTGTTTAATTTCCTTATAGATACTGGATATTAGACCTTTGTCAGATGCATAGTTTGCAAATATTTTCTCTCATTCTGTAGGTTGTCTGTTTACTCTGTTAATAGTTTATTTTGCTGTGCAGAAGCTAATTTGATGAGATCCCATTTGTAAAATTTTGCTTTTGTTGCTATTGGTTTTGGTGTCTTTGCCATGAAATCTTTTTCTGTTCCTATGTTCAGGATGGTATTGTTTAGGTTGTTTTCCAGGGTTTTTATAGTTTTGGGTTTTACATGTAAGTCTTTAATCCATCTTGAGTTGATTTTTGTATTAATATATGGTGTAAGGAAGGGGTCCAGCTTCAATCTTCTCCATGTGGCTAGTCGGTTATCCCAGCACCATTTATTGAATAGGGAGTCTTTTCTCCATCGCTTGTTTTTGTTAGGTTTGTCAAAGATCAGATGGTCATAGGAGGCATCATGTTATCTGACTTCAAACTATACTATAGGGCTGCAGTAACCAAAACTTCATGGTACTGGTACAAAAACAGGAATATAGACCAATGGAATAGAATAGAGACCCCATAAATAAGGCTGATTTGTACCTTTTTAAGTGCTCAGCTCAAAATAAGTAACTTTTATAATATTATCTCAGGACATCTTTGAGGAAGCCTCAATAAGTGATCTGTTTTTCCTCTGATAGCCAACAGTGCTAGTCATAGTTTCTTCTTCCTGAACCACTCACATGCTGGGCCCTGCAGAGGCCCTGCCTTAGTCTTGAGTTCTAAGAGAGTTGAAGAAGAACATATATTTCCTCCAGCCCCAGCCACATGCATCCCATCTCCTCCTCAAACACTAATTAATAAATATTTTTCTTAGTCAACCACTATATCGAATTGAACTCATTTATTCCTTTCATGCAACAAATATTTCTTCTGCAAATGTTGGAGGGCCTACTAAGTGAAAGGCAGAATGTATTACTTTCTGAGAGCTGCTGTAACACAGGATCACAGGTTTGGCAGTCAAAAACAAAGAAATATATTGTCTTACAGCTCTGGAAGCCAGAAGTCCAAAATCAAGGTGTTGGTAGGTTGATTATTCCTGGAGGCTCTGAGGGAGAAAGCTCCTCATGCTTCTTTCTGAGCTTCTGATATTTGTTGGCAATCCCTGGAGCTCCTTGGCTTGTAGATCAATCACTGCAATCTCTGCCTTCATCTTTACAATGCTTTCTTCTCTATGTCCTTGTGTCTTCTCTTTTTCTGTGCCTTACAAGGAAGGTGTCATTAGATTTAGGGCCCACCTTAATCTAATATGATCGAATGTTGAGTTATCTTAATCATATCTGCAATAATTCTTCTTCCAAATAAAGTCACATTTTGAGGTTCCAGGTGGATATGAATTTTGGGGAAATGCTACGACACCCACTACACATATTAAGTTGGATTTGACTTGAAAAATTACTAGAGCTTTGGAGGTCACACATTTGGGACTTACTCAGTGTGGCACAGATGTCTGACAGGTTAGGCATCACATGAAGCAATTTCAGATTAAAGCTCAAAACCAGAGGTTTGGCCAAATCCCTCTGATTTGGTAGGATCAGAGCAAGGTTTTTAAACTGTGTCTGGGAGAATTCTAGGTCTTGAAAGGGCCATCAAAGGAAAGGGGTGGGAGGGTTAGGGAGCATCTAGGTAAATAACACTTTGATGAGAGCTGCTGGCCTTTTCCCTGTTTTGTATGTTGTGGCTCTGTGTAAGAATTGATTTATAAAGAGTGTCCACTTCAGAAATGATAGAAAATTAGTGGCCAAGAGCACCTCTTGCCCTAAACACTTATACTTATTTCAGAAGTATGTTTTCAAGTAGGGTAACACATTACAGCTTTCAAAGTTTGCTGTGGAATTAACCCCATCATCTCCAAAGGACCTCAAGGCTCATGGGGCTGGTGAGTTTCAAAAGAAGGGAGGACATGAATAGTATTTAAATAGGTTGTAGGCCCAGATGTGTTGGCTCATGCCTGTAATCCCAGCACTTTGGGAGGCTGAGGTGGGCAGATCACGAGGTCAAGAGATCAAGACCGATTGCTGTTCCAAGATGGCCGAATAGGAACAGCTCTGGTCTGCAGCTCCCAGCGTGATTGACACAGAAGATGGGTGATTTATGCATTTCCAACTGAGGTACCTGATTCTTCTCACTGGGACTGGTTGGACAGTGGGTGCAGCCCATGGAGGGTGAGCCGAAGCAGGTCAGGGCATCGTCTTACCTGGGAGGTGCAAGGGGTCAGGGGATTTACCTTTCCTAGCCAAGGGAAGCTGTGACAGACTGTACCTGGAAAAACGGGACATTCCTGCTCAAATACTGTGCTTTTCCAACAGTCTTACAAATGGCACACCAGAAGATTATATCCCATGCCTGGCTCAGCAGGTCCCATGCCCACAGAACGTTGCTCACTGCTAGCGCAGCAGCCTTAGATCAACCTGCGAGGCAGCAGCCTGGCAGGGGGAGGGGCATCTGCCATTGCTGAGGCTTGAGTAGGTAAACAAAGCAGCCTGGAAGCTCGAACTGGGCAGAGCCCACTGCAGTGCTGCAAGGCTTGCTGCCTCTATAGACTCCACGTCTGGGGGCAGGGCATAGCTGAATAAAAGGCAGTAGAAACTTCTGTAGACTTAAACAACCCTGTCTGACAGCTCTGGAGAGAGCAGTAGTTCTCCAAGCAAGGTGTTTGAGCTCTGAGAATGGACAGACTGCCTCCTCAAGTGGGTCCCTGACCTCCATGTAGCCTAACTAGCAGACACCTCCCAGTAGGGGCTGACTGACACCTCATACAGGCGGGTGCCCCTCTGGAACAAAGCTTCCAGAGGAAGGATCAGGCAGCAATATTTGCTGTTCTGCAATATTTGCTGTTCTGAAGCCTCTGCTTGTGATACCCAGGCAAACAGGGTCTGGAGTGGACCTCCAGCAAACTTCAACAGACCTGAAGCTGAGGGACCTGACTGTTAATTGGAAAACTAACAAACAGAAAGGAATAAAATCAACATCAACAAAAAGGACATCTGCACGAAAACCCCATCAGTAGGTCACCAACATCAAAGACCAAAAGTAGATAAAACCACAAAGACGGGGAGAAACCACAGCAGAAAAGATGAAAATTCTAAAAACCAGAGCACCTCTTCTCCTCCAAAGGATCACAGCTCCTCGTCAGCAACAGAACAAAGCTGGATGGAGAATGACTTTGATGAGCTGACAGAAGTAAGCTTCAGAAGGTCAATAATAACAAACTTCTTCAAGGTAAAGCAGGATGTTGGAAACCATTGCAAGGAAGCTAAAAACCTTGAAAAAAGATTAGAAGAATGGCTAACTAGAATAAACAGTGTAGAGAAGACCTTAAATGACCTGATGGAGCTGAAAACCATGGCACGAGAACTACGTGATGCATGCACAAGCTTCAATAGACAATTCGATCAAGTGGAAGAAAGGGTATCAGTGATTGAAGATCAAATAAATGAAATAAATTGAGAAGAGAAGTTTAGAAAAAAATGAGTAAAAAGAAATGAACAAAGCCTCCAAGAAATATGGGACTATGTGAAAAGACCAAATCTACGTTTGATTGGTCTACCTGAAAGTGATGGGGAGAATGAAACCAAGCTGGAAAACACTCTTCAGGATATTATCCAGGAGAACTTCCCCAACCTAGCAAGGCAGACCAATATTCAAATTCAGGAAATACAGAGAACACCATAAAGATACTCCTTGAGAAGAGCAACCCCAAGACACATAATTGTCAGATTCACCAAGGTTGAAATGAAGAAAAAAATGTTAAGGGCAGCCAGACAGAAAGGTCGGGTTACCCACAAAGGGAAGCCCATCAGACTAACAGCGGATCTCTAGAAAGAAACTGCAAGTCAGAAGAGAGTGGGGGCCAATATTCAACATTCTTAAAGAAAAGAATTTTCAAGCCAGAATTTCATATCCAGCCAAACTAAGCTTCAAAATGAAGGAGAAATGAAATACTTTACAGACAAGCAAATTCTGAGAGATTTTGTCACCACCAGGCCTGCCTTACAAGAGCTCCTGAAGGAAGCACTAAACATGGAAAGGAAAACCAGTACCAGCCACTGCAAAAACATGCCAAATTGTAAAGACCATTGATGCTATGAAGAAACTGCATCAGTTAATGGGCAAAATAACCAGCTAACATCATAATGACAGGATCAAATTCACATATAACAATATTAACCTTAAATGTAAATGGGCTAAATGCCCCAATTAAAAGACACAGCCTGGCAAATTGGATAAAAAGTCAAGACCCATCAGTGTGCTGTATTCAGGAGACCCATCTCATGTGCAAAGACACACATAGGCTCAAAATAGAGGGATTGAGAAAGATCTAACTACCAAATGGAATGCAAAAAAAAAATCAGGGGTTGCAATCTCAGTCTCTGATAAAACAGACTTTAAACCAACGAAGATCTAAAGAGACAAAGAAGGCCATTACATAATGGTAAAGGAATCAATTCAACAACAAGAGCTAACTATCCTAAATATACATGCACCCAATACAGGAGCACCCAGATTCATAAAGCAAGTCCTTAGAAACCTATGAAGAGTCTTAGACTCCCACTCAATTATCATGGGAGACTTTAACATCCCACTGTCAATATTAGGCAGATCAACAAGACAGAATGTTAATAAGCATATTCAGGACATGAACTCAGCTCTGCACCAAGTGGACCTAATAGACATCTACAGAACTCTCCAGTCCAGCCCAAATCAACAGAATATAGCTTCTTCTCAGCACCACATCGCACATATTCCAAATTGACCACATATTTGGAAGTAAAGCACTCCTCAGCAAATGTAAAAGAATAGAAATAACAACAAACTGTCTCTCAGGCCACAGTGCAATCAAATTAGAACTCAGGATTAAGAAATTCACTGAAAACCGCACAACTACATGGAAACTGAACAACCTGCTCCTGAATGACTGCTGGGTAAATAATGAAATGAAGTCAGAAATAAAGATGTTCTTTGAAACCAATAAAAACAAAGACACAATGTACCAGAATCTCTGGGACACATTTAAAGCAGTGTGTAGAGGGAAATTTATAACACTAAATGCCCACAACAGAAAGCAGGAAAGACCTAAAATTGACACCCTAACATCACAATTAAAAGAACTAGAGAAGAAAGAGCAAACACATTCAAAAGCTAGCAGAAGGCAAGAAATAACTAAGATCAGAGCAGAACTGAAGGAGATAGAGTCACAAAAAACCCTTCAAAAAATCAATGAATCCAGGAGCTGGGTTTTTGAAAACATCAACAAAATTAATAGACTGCTAGCAAGACTAATAAAGAAGAAAATAGAGAAGAATCAAATAGATGCAATTAAAAATGATGAAGGGGATATCACCACCGATCCCACAGAAATACAAGCTACCATCAGAGAATACTATAAATACCTCTACACAAATAAACTAGAAAATCTAGAAGAAATGGATAAATTCCTGGACACATACACCCTCCCAAGACTAAACCAGGAAGAAGTGGAATCCCTGAACAGAGCAATAACAGGCTCTGAAATTAAGGCAATAATTAATAGCCTACCAATCAAAAAAAGTCCAGGGCCAGATGGATTCACAGCCGAATTCTACCAGAGGTACAAAGAGGAGCTAATACCATTCCTTCTGAAACTATTCCAATCAATAGAAAAAGAGGGAATCCTCCCTAACTCATTTAATGAGGCCAGCATCATCCTGATACCAAACCCTGGCAGAGACACAACAAAAAAAGAGAATTTTAGGCTAATATCCCTGATGAACATCGATGCTAAAATCCTCAATAAAATACTGGCAAATCGAATCCAGCAGCACATCAAAAAGCTTATCCACCACTATCAAGTCAGCTTCATCCCTGGGATACAAGGCTGGTTCGACATATGCAAATCAATAAACATAATCCATCACATGAACAGAACCAATGACAAAAACCACACGATTATGTCAATAGACACAAAAAAGGCCTTTGACAAAATTCAACAGCTCTTCATGCCAAAAACTCTCAATAAACTAGGTATTAATGGAATGTATCTCAAAATAATAAGAGCTATTTATGACAAACCCACAGCCAATATCATACTGAATGGGCAAAAACTGGAAGCATTCCCTCTGAAAACTGGCAAAAGACAGGGATACCCTCTCACCACTCCTATTCAACATAGTGTTGGAAGTTCTGGCCAGGGCAATCAGGCAGAAGAAAGAAATAAAGGATATTCAACTAGGAAAAGAGGAAGTCAAATTGTCCCTGTTTGCAGATGACATCATTGTATATTTAGAAAACCCCATCGTCTCAGCCCCAAATCTGTTTAATCTGATTAGCAACTTCAGCAAAGTCTCAGGATAAAAAATTAATGTGCCAAAATCACAAGCATTCCTATGCACTAATAACAGACAAACAGAGAGCCAAATCATGAGTGACTCCTATTCACAATTGCTACAAAGAGAATAAAATACCTAGGAATCCAACTTACAAGGGATGTGAAGGGCCTCTTCAAGGAGAACTACAAACCACTGCTCAACAAAATAAAAAAGGACACAAATCAATGGAAGAACATTCCATGCTCATGGATAGGAAGAATCAATATCGTGAAAATGGCCATACTGCCCAAGGTAATTAATAGATTCAATGCCATCCCCATCAAGCTACCAATGACTTTCTTCACAGAATTGGAAAAAAACTACTTTAAAGTTCATATGGAACCAAAAAAGAGCCTCGTTGCCAAGACAATCCTAAGCCAAAAGAACAAAGCTGGAGGCATCATGCTACCTGACTTGAAACTATACTACAAGTCTACAGTAACGAAAACAGCATGGTACTGGTACCAAAACAGATACATAGACCAATAGAACAAAACAGAGGCCTTGGAAATAACACCTCACATCTACAACCATCTGATCTTTGACAATTCTGACAAAAACAAGAAATGGGGAAAGGATTCCCTATTTAATAAATGGTGCTGGGAAAACTGGCTAGCCATATGTAGAAAGCTGAAACTGGATCCCTTCCTTACACCTTATACAAAAGTTAATTCAAGATGGATTAAAGACTTAAATGTTAGACCTAAACCCATAAAACCCCTAGAAGAAAACCTAGGCAATACCATTCAGGACATAAGCATGGGCAAGGACTTCATGACTAAAACACCAAAAGCAATGGCAACAAAAGCCAAAATTGACAAATGGGATCTAATTAAACTAAAGAGCTTCTGCACAGCAAAAGAAACTACCATCAGAGTGAACAGGCAACCTACAGAATGGGAGAACATTTTTGCAATCTACTCATCTGACAAAGGGCTAATATCCAGAATCTACAAAGAACCCAAACAAATTTACAAGAAAAAAACAAACAACCCCATCAAAAAGTGGGCAAAGGATATGAACAGACACTTCTCAAAAGAAGACATTTATGCAGCCAACAGACACATGAAAAAATGCTCATCATCACTGGTCATCAGAGAAATGCAAATCAAAACCACGATGAGTTACCATCTCACACCAGTTAGAATGGCGATCATTAAAATGTCAGGAAAAAACAGATGCTGGAGAGGATGTGGAGAAATAGGAATGCTTTTACACTGTTGGTGGGAGTATAAATTAGTTCATTAGTTTAACCATTGTGGAAGACAGTGTGGTGATTCCTCAAGGATCTAGAACTAGAAATACCATTTGACCCAGCAATCCCATTACTGGGTATATAACGAAAGCATTATATATCATGTTACTATAAAGACACATGCACATGTATGTTTATTGTGGCACTACTCACAATAACAAAGACTTGGAAGCAACCCAAATGTCCATTGATGATAGACTGGATTAAGAAAATGTGGCACATACACACCATGGAATACTATGCAGCCATAAAAAAGGATGAGTTCATGTCCTTTGCAGGGACATGGTTGAAGCTGGAAACCATTATTCTGAGCAAACTATCACGAGGACAGAAAACCAAACACTGCATGTTCTCACTCATAGGTGGGAATTGAACAATGAGAACACTTGGACACAGGGAGGGGAACATCACACACTGGGGCCTATCATGGGCTGGGGTGCTGGCAGATGGATAGCATTAGGAGAAATACCCAATGTAAATGATGAGTTAATGGGTGCACCAAACCAACATGGCACATGTATACCTATGTAACAAACCTGCATGTTGTGCACATGTACCCTAGAACTTAAAGTATAATTAAAAAACATTTAAAAAATAAGAGATCAAGACCATCCTGAGCAACATGGTGAAACCCCGTCTCTACTAAGAAGTACAAAAATTAGCTGGACATGGTGGTGCGTGCCTGTAGTCCCAGCTACTTGGGAGGCTGAGGCAGGAGAATCGCTTGAACCCAGGAGGTAGAGGTTACAGTGAGCCGAGATAACACCACTGCACTGCAGCCTGAGCAACAGAGTGTGACTCAAGTCTCAAAAAAAAAAAAAAAAAAAAAAAAAAAGGAGGGAGGAGAGGGGAGGGGAGGGGAAAGCAGAGGAGAGTTGGCTGTAAGGAAATGTCTAGACACCTTAAGGTGCTGCTCGGAAGGACGACCTCCTTTCATCACTGTTTTGAAACCGGCAGCTTCACATAGGACTGTTGCTAGGGGTCATGAATATATTCTGAGAACAGAGCAAAGCATTTTATAAAAGGGTCCTTTCTCTCGAATGCTTAAGTGGTGAATGTTCCCAGCTTAGAGTCAAGCTCATTCATTGCCATCACACTGGCAAATGACTAGTAAACATGAATAGTATTTAAATAGGTTTTAAGAAGTAGACTCAGGCTGAGGTACCATGGTGATTATTCAGGGAAATGGGGAAAGCTTCTTTAACTCAGATTTGGGCTTCTAAGCTCTTTAGCAACCCCAAAGCAGTGAGATTGTTAAAGTTATAGAGGCTTTCTGGACCCTCACATCTGTTTATGAATAACCCCAAACCCTAAGCTAAGCAAATCTATTTAACTCAATGTAATTATAAATATGAGCTTTTATTATTCAAATGACTTCTTCATATGCCAGGAAAACCACCTTGCAAAGCTTATTAAGAACCACAGAAGAGAAATCTTTGTTCTCACGAATGACAGATGTCTTAAAGCAAAACAAAGCAAAATAATAACAAAATACCCAACCTCCTCCAAATGGCAGCTTTTTATACTAGATGAAGAATAGATATTTGACCTCCAAACCAGTGAGACATTTGGAAGGGAAAAAATGACTGTTTGGCCACTTGCTGCTCCATTTTGATTAACAGGCTTCTCCTTCAGTTGGTTTGGGACCCTCATAATTTAGTATTTCCGCTGCAATCATGTGGAGTCAACTCTGACAGCCCCTCACCTTCCCTCCCTCTCCTCCCCACCTGCCTTACTAGCATCACCAAATAAAGAGTAATTGTAAATTATACATTCTCTGATATTACTTTGATCTTAAGGGCATTGTTAGTAATGTTGGATTCTCATTCTGTAGTTTCTAATTAGTCTTATTGCCTTGATTTAAATTTGTCTTTTTGGAGATGGGACTGGAAAAGGAGGTTAAAGCACATGCCTCCATCAAAGTGTGTCTCTGTTCAGAATGAATTTAACCACGAGCACTGGTGGCTTGGTCACAAGGCTATGTGTCGGGGAGACAATAGAGAGATGAGGGTGTGTTTCCAAAGGTGAGCTGGTGGAGTCTTTGATTCTATTCAAGGGGCAGTTCAGGCAAGGTGGTGAAAGGTACATGGTCTGGGTACAATTCAGTTTCATCACCTTTTAGTTGATGACCTCAGACAAGGTCCTATGCTCTCTGTCATAAACATCACAAGAGTCAGCATGTATAAAGCATATGGACTTGTACTTAGCACTTTGTAAATGTTGTCTATTAAACCAGACAAGGATTCTGTCATCAGCTTCAGAATCAATCAATCAATTGGTTAATTTCAGATACTGGTATGAAATAAATAAGGAATAGAAAAGGGACAAGGGCCCAGCTGGAGAAAACAGCTTGGCATGAGGGGGTGAAAAAGGAAAGTATAGCTGGAGCTAGAAAGAGGGGAGAAGAGTGGGAGGTTAGGTGAAGGAAGCAGGCAGGAACCAGACCAGAAGGGACCTCACTCACTCTAGTAAGGAAATTGAATTCTACCCAAATGTACTAAGAATTCATAGAAGCGACACAATCTGATGTATGCTTAAAAAAATCCCTGGTTTGTGTGTGGACTATGAGTTGTAGAGAGCCAGACGCAGAATCAGGAAGACCATTCAGGACATTGGAATCACAGAATGGGTATGGGGATTAGAATGAGAAAATTTGTGTTTGACAGGGAATGTGGTTTTAGGCAAGCTTTATGAATGAGCCTTGCTTTTCTCATTCAGAAACATGGAAGACAATCATACTTACCTTGCAGGGTTGTTATAAGAGTGAAATGAGATCATGTATATGGAAATGTTTGGTGAAGTGTAATGATAAACAAACACCAGTTCTTAACATTGCTACTACTACTACCTACATCTGTTTTTCAACATGTGGTTCTCATACCATCTGTGTTAGAATCATCTGAAGCATAAGCACAGAGGTTTTAGTTCAGACTTCCAAATTTCCACCTACTTTTTCTAGTCACCAATATCATTACAAATAAGGGATTGCAGTATAGTGGTGAAGAGTGGGGCAGGACTACATGTTTCTAGTTCTGGTTCTGCCTCCTTAACTTTCTTTCCCTCTCTGTGTCCCACTAGCCTCATCTGTAAAATGGGAATGATAATTAGAACATGTATTTTCTGGGGTTTTTGAAAAGGCAAATGGATTAGTACATTTAAAAGGCTTAAACTAGAGATCAGCTCATGATAAGCACTAATGAATGTTAACCATTGTTAACAGGAAAGGTCTGATTGGGAGCAGATGTTAACGTTGGACACAACAATTCAAGACTCACCTCTTAACATGCAAAGACCCAGTCCTTGTTTGTGAAGTGCTTACAGTCTTGCAGAGGTGATATATAAATAGGTCAATACATTGCAGGGTAATAATTGGCACAATAAACATTAAAAAAATAACCATACATAATAGAACATTCACACTGATGACTTTTAAGTTGTATTACATGCCAATCTCTTTTTATTCAGGCTTAGTTTAATATTCATCTATCTTTAGACTCGTTAAACCTGGCTAACTTGTCTGGCAGTTAAAATCCCATTTAAATATTTGGTTCTGAGGAATGAGCCTTGGAGAAGAAAAAGGATTGCTTTACTCCCTTTATTTTTCTCATATACTTCCTTCTAGTTTGTGTTCCAGTAAACATTTATATTTATAGCTGACTGAATAAGCTTGCTTCAGCTTTAAAGAATTCAGTGCAGTCTGGCTTTAGATTTGAAAACATTAGCTAAGCTAAAAGTATGAGTAGCAAGCAGAATGTAAGTTGGAGGCTTGGAGAAATGATCTTTAAGAGTTTTGCTCTGGATGTGGACTTTTTAATTTAGTGTTGAGTTGTTTTTAGTATGTTCCATGCAATAATTTATTAAATGCCTATTGTGGTAGAAGGCATATTTCCTTCCTTGGAAATTGTGCATGAATTTCAGGAGGCATAGTATACCCAAAAATGCAATATATAATCAGGCAGGTTATGATGAAGCAAGGATTGTGCGTGCTGTACGCATTTAGAGAGGGAAAAGAGTCAGGAGAAGTGTCACAGAGACAATGGTTCTTGAGCTGGGACTAGGAGGAAGTTTAAGAAAGAATACATAAAATAGGCCAGGCGCGGTGGCTCACACCTGTAATCCCAGCACTTTGGGAGGCTGAGGCGGGTAGATCATCTGAGGTCAGGAGTTCGAGACCAGCCTGGCCGACGTGGTGAAACCCTGTCTCTACTAAAAATACAAAAGAATTAGCGAGGAGTGGTGGTGGGCGCCTGTAATTCCAGCTACTCAGGAGGCTGAGGCAGGAGAATCTCTTGAACCCGGGAGGCGGAGGTTGCAGTGAGCCAAGATTGCACCATTGCACTCCAGCCTGGGCGACAAGAGCAAAACTCCGTCTCAAAAAACAAAACAAAAACAAACACAAAAAGAATACATAAAATATTTTGATAAAGAGACATTCTAGTACTTAGTATAGGATATCTAAACAAAATAAATATTACTGTTTTGATAAGTCCTAACATATAATGAGATAACATTTTTGAAAATGTAATCCATCCCTACATTTCTGGAACTGATTTTTTCATCCTGGACAAACCATTTTATACATTGATTTAGTTTTTAGGTTTTATGGAAGCAATATGCATTGAAGTCAAGAGTAGGGGCTCTAGTACCATATTGCTTGAGGTTTGAAATATGGACTGTACTGGTTCTGTGTCATCCAGGGAAATTTAAATAAACCTCCCTAAGTCTCATTTTTAAAATATGATAATAACAATAATATTTACCTCATAGATGTTTTATGAAGGTAAAATGGAGTTAATGCATATAAGTAATTTAATACTAATAAATGATGGTGATTCTTTAAAAGTATTATTTTCAATAAGTATAGGGTATCTAAAAAGATAAATATTACCTTTTAATATAAAAATTCTTGAGATATGCCTATCCTTAAAAAACAATTATAACAACTTGCAACTTATGATCCAAACTTTTTTCTTACAAATAAACAAAATCCCTGTAGGCTATGATGAAAATTGAGAAAAGCTTCTCTCCAGTTGCCACCTACTGTTATTTCCAAGGATTCAGCATCTCAACTCCTTAGCACACAAACACAAACCATTTTGCTGGTGAGTTATCGATGGCATATTTAGACAGAGGATTGGGTAGAGGTTATGATCAGATCAATTCAAATTATTTATTTATTTACTTATTTATTTATTTATTATTTATTTTGAGACCGAATCTCACTCTGTTGCCCAAGCTGGAGTGCAGTGGCGTGATCTTGGCTCACTGCAACCTCCACCTCCCGGGTTCGAGTGATTCTCCTACCTCAGCCTCCCGAGTAGCTGGGACTACAGGCGCCTACCACCATGGCTGGCTAATTTTTGTGTTTTTAGCAGAGACGGGGTTTCGCCATGTTGGCCAGGCTGGTCTCGATCTTCTGACCTCAGGTGATCTGCCCACCTCAGCCTCCCAAATTGCTGGGATTACAAGTGTGAGCCACTGTGCCTGGTCCAAATCATTTTTATATTTAAGCCCTCTATTCAAGAGAAGAAGTAGATGATGGCCATATTTTTCTTAAATATTACCAAGGTAAAACTGAGTCTCAGGGAAGTTAAAGCCTCCTGGGCTCAAGCAATCCTCCCATCTCAGCCTCCCAAGTAGCTGGGACTACAGGCTCATGGCACCATGGCTGGCTAATTTTTAAATTTTTTGTAGAGATGGGTCTTGCTATGTTACCTAGTCTGATCTCAAACTCCTGGCTTCAAGTGATTCTCCTACTTCAGCCTCCCAAAGGGCTGAGATTTCAGGACCAAGCCATCATGCCTGGCCATGAATAGGATTTGAACAAAACAAATCCTTAATTTCTAGTTAGACAATGTTTTCTGCTGAGAACTTTGAACCTGAAGTCTCTACTCTTTCTGTTACAGAAGGAGTTTAACAAATTTCAAAGAGGCTTTTTGGAGCCTAACTGAAACTTTCTCCTTAATGTGATCCCTGGGATAGGTAAGTGTTTTCTTGATATAATTAAATGTACAAAATGAAATTCATGTGCCCATTAAAATAATATTTTTCACCACTAGTCATCCTGGCTTCGCTCTTCAGGAAACACAAACATACAAAATGAAACCCAAGTCTCAATGCTGTAATGTTCTACATTTCTCTTTGGTACTGGAGTTTGTGTTCCTTTAGTTATTCTTATTCCTTTAGTTATTCTTATTCCAGCTATGTGCTAGCTGACGGACTAGCTCACAGTAGGCACTTGGAAAATATCCACAGACTTGCATAAATTTGACAATATTAAAGTTGGGTTGAGTTTTGGTGAAGGTGCCTTATCTGTATTTAGTTGTACGCAGTATGATAGAAAGGAAACTTAGGAAACTTGTCTGTGAATCAGGGCATCTGAATTTTTACCCTGCTAAACTGAGAGTCTATGAACAATTAATTAATTTCTCTGACTATTTGTGATGATACCAAATCTGTCCCTGTTTATATATGGGGTGTGGGGAGAAGTTCAGGTACTGTGTATTTAAAGGGGCTGGAGCAAATGCCACTGAGAGAGGAAGGAGGACTGGATGGAGTTCCAAAGATAACCCTGCCCGGGGGTAGTCATTAGTCATTATTTGCCCTCTGTACTCAAGTTCTTCCTGCCCTTTAGTTTATTTGTGTATAAGAATAAAAGCATTACGCACCCTCCTTTAAAAGACAAAACGCTGTACTCAACCTGGTTTATTTTCTCATCTTTAAACTTTCTGTTCGTCATCTAGAATAGGGAGATAATGATAGTATTTACCTTCCGGGGTTAATGTGATGATTAAATGAGATAACCTGTGAAAGATTTAATCAGTGTTGAGTACATAGCAAGTGCTCAATAAAATATTAGTTTATTATTTTTACATATTAAACTGTATCTGAAAAACATATTGAACAACTCAGATTAAGCATCAGACTTATAACCCTAATGTTACATATGTTCTTTGTTTGTTTATTCATTTTAGATACAGGGTCTCGTCCTTTTACCCAGGCTAGAGTACAGTGGTGCAGTCACAGCTTTCTGCAACCTGTAACTTTTGGGCTCAAGAGATCTTCCCGCCCCAGCCTCCTGAGTAGCTGGGACTACAGACACATACCACCATGCTCAGCAATTTTTAAATTGTTTGTAGGGATGGGGTCTCACTATGTTGCTCAGGCTGGGATTCCAGGTGTGAGCCACCAAGCCCAGCCAACATACATTCTTATAACTAATGAAATTAAATTTGGTTAGTAACATTTGAATTTGTCCCTGTTTATGTTAATCTCTGCTCCTCCTCTCTGTATCTACTAAACTATATCTCTTTCCAAGGCTTTTGATATCAGTGAACAAACAACCCATAAGCACTTTTCACCTGCAATCAAAACATTGCTTTTCTTCATAGATTCCCAAGGAAAATAAGCCCTAAGGAAGAGGAATTGGCAGGGGGAGTGGGAAGATGGGACAATGTGAGGAAGACAGGTTTGATTTCCTCTGTACTTTAGGCACCTTGCTCTGACATGGTTACTTTACTTTCTGGATAATTTTAATCTCACCCATGACAAAGTTTGTGTCTCTGTCGAGCTAACAGTAAGTATTTAAGGTCTTTTTGGCCACTCAGTCTCACATACTTGTTGCTAAATAAAAAGATATAAGGCTCCTTATTGTCTATATTTGAATTAGCCATGGTTCTCTCTTATTATTATTATTATTAGCTTCTGTCTTTGGTCTCTTTTCTCTTCATTCCCCCTCCACCCCACTCTGCACTTTGCCAACAACCATTTGGATTTATTATTAATGTTTTGGCTGTGGGTTTGATGATCATTAGTTTGTGGTCTATGCCGAAATCTGATTCGTGAGTCTTCTGTCTTTATACCCTCTGATTTCATTCCATGATGTCTCTGTCTGCACTCGTTATTGCTCTGAAATCTCCTGTCTTATTTACTCCAACGGCTTCAATAAAATCTATGGCTACTTCTTCTTTCATTCCCTCTAATCACTTTTAGGCGTCATTATGCTTAAATATTTAGCCTCCCTTGATTTTCACTTGCACATAACAGTTTAGTTAAGACCATGATGTCAAATACCCTTTATAGCTTTCTCATTCCTCTTTTTCCTTTGTCATGCTTCTTTGCTCCTGCATATAATTTTCTTTGAAATTTTCCTGGAGTGACTTTCTAAAATGTGCCTCTATTTTTTTTTCCTTAGGCTGTAGGCTTTCTATTTCACTGCTTAGTACTTTTTCATCTCCTTCTGCTTATATTAACTGTCACTTCTCTCATTTTCTTTCCTCCTTTCACTCACTAATGAACACAGTTCTGATTCTTTATTCAATCTTCTAATTTAAGGAAGTGAATAAAATAGTGGACAAAAAAGTTTTCAATTGCAGCTACTCCAAAATTTCTGTTACATTATGTTGGATCGTAGAGAAAGAAGAAATGTTATTAATTAATATATGAAGGACCGTTATGGTAAGTCATCCACACAAACTAGAAGAAAGCAAAACATTATTTTTGTATGCAGGATTCTGGCCATGAGATGACTAAGAAACAAAGGTGAATGTCTGGATCTCTGAATTTGGGAAGGTAACGTGGGAAAGAGCTTTGCTATTCAAATCATGGTCCATGGGCCAGCAGCATGGACATCACCTAGATGCTTGTTAGAAATGCAGAATCTTTGGTTCCACATCAGACCCACACAATTGGAATCTGCATTTTTAACAGATGTATTCACATTAAAATTTGAAAGCACTGGCATAGAGGAAAGAATCCTTAAAACTCAGATCAAGCTCAGCTCTAGCATTTCTTAGGCAGACTTTGAGTAAGTTACCTAACCTCTTTGAATTTCTGTTTGCTCACCCATGAAATGTGAGCAATAATACCTACTAACCTTTAAAATTGTTGTAGGGAACAGAAATAAAATATGTACTTTGCATGGCAGTCAATAAATAGTAACAATTATACTTGTGGATTTCTTAAAAGAATAGAACGGGAAGGAAATTTCAGCTTCTCTAACTACATTTTAAATTTGTAGTCACTATACGGGGAAAATATCTGGTTAAAAGTATGTATGCAAACCAGAAAAATTGATTAGATGTGAACTCTGGTAACATTGCAAGAGCTTCTCTTTAGTAACAAGAATAATGACTGACTTGGGTTTGAGTCTCAATTCACTTACTAATATTGAGAGACTGGCGAGTCATGGAAACTTTTTGTCCTAATTTTCTCATCTATAAGATGTGGGAAATAATATTTGATTCATAGATTTGCTTTGAGAATGAAAATTATGTGATTTCTTACATATTCCTCCTCCCATTGATCCATCTATCCATTCATTCAACATATAGTTACTGCTTGTTATGTTCTGGGTGCTGGGGAAAGCACGAAACGTTTAAAAGTGAATAAGACATAGTTCTATCCAGGAGCTTATTCTTTTTACAAGACTATGTGTCAGTTTTAGCTACTGGTAATTTTTAAACACATCATAAATGCCAGGCACCACACCAAACATATTATGTTATTCTACTTGTTTCTCAGGAACACTGAGGCTTAGAGAGGCTAAGTAACTTGCCCAAGGGCAAGTTAGGAAGTGGCAGACACAAAATACAATAACCGCTACTAGTTTAAGTTATAGAGCAAGCACTGTGCAAAAGTAAACTATTATTATCAAGGCAGAAGGGCAGAACCAAAAACTAGGTGGCTTTATTGGAGACTCCCCTGCCACTAGATTCCCTGTTTGCATCTTTTGCTAAGAAATGAATTCCTTCCACTGTGTGCTGTTTTCTCTTGTACAGATGCCTCCCAGCTGGAGCTGGGACTGAGAAGTCACCTGCAGAATGTTGAGACTCACTCTCCTTCCATCCCCATAAGAAGAAAAAAAAATCTTCTGTGGTTAAATTTCATGAGCCATTTAACTCTCCAGCAGCCATTTGGTCTTTGCTTTTCTGTTTTGTGGATGAATTTATTTTATGTGCTATTTCCCCCTTAAATTTTAAGGATATGTATCTTCATGAAAAGAACAAAGGAAGAAAAACAACTTGTAAATTATCACAAGAAAAACCCCTGCTAAAAGCAATAAGTTTGCTGACAGATGGCAGAATCAGTTGAAAAGCGAGTACCATATTTACTAAGTCTAACCCATTTAGTAAGCCAAAAAAGTGTTATCTAATTCTATCCCCTGTGTATGCATGTGTTTTGGAATAAACAGATGCCTAATGAGGAATGTGTCTAGTGTAGTTTTGGAGGAACCTGGATAAACCCAGGTTCTGATTCAGGGTTTGATTTTGACAAATATCAGGTGCAAAGTTGAATCTATTGTAAATAAAGTTGTCAGAGCAAAAACAGCATTAAAAGGCTGTCAAAGCAACAATATTACTTTAAAAAACAACGCACCCCAGATTATTATACCACACAAATTTGCTTTTCACAATCCTTTTATTGTTTATATAGTTTTAGAACAACTACAAAGTACTTTTTATTTAAAAAAAGTACACATATTAGGAAACCTGGATGTGTGCCTGGCCAGTCTAACTAATTTGGATATTATCAAGCTTTTTACAAAAAGATGTGAAAAATAGTTCATCAAGACATACATTTGCTTATAATGCATGGAGCATGGCTAAGATACAACCTCCCCACCTGCCCACCCTGACCTCTTTTCCTCCAAAGCTCCAGTTTTCTAAAAGAAAGAAATGCTAATCCTACTACTGTCTTATTTTGAAAACTGAATTTTGAGACTCTGTATTCAGATGAAGATGTATCATGATGGAGTCTCAGTCACAAAGAATAAATAAAGTCTGGGATACTGTATACTTAAGAGGAACTTAGAATAGACTCAAATTCTAAGTGAGCCCATGTACCGTGATTTCTAGAAGGTGGACTTATTGGTTATTATTTAATGCCTCTGTGAGTTTCCTGAAGAATAATATTGAGATTGGTGTTTGCACAGGGTCAGCATAGGCCTAAGTATTACTCACTAGGTAGCCAACACATATGGAGGAAGGAGCCAAGGAATCAATCTTCCTTCCTTCCTTCCTTCCTTCCCTCCTTCCTTCCTTCCTTCCTTCCTTCATTCCCTCCCTCCCTCCCTCCCTTCCTTCCTTCCCTCCCTCCCTTTCTCCTTCCCTTCCTTCCCTTTCCTTCCTTCCTTCCTTCCCTCTCTCTCTTTCCATCCTTCTCTCCCTCCTTCCCTCCTTCCTTCCTTCTTTCCTCCCTCCCTCCCTCCCTCTCTCTCCATTCTTCTCTCCCTCCTTCTCTCCTTCCTTCCTTCCTTCCATTTCCTTCTTTTCTTTCTTTTCATTTATTCTTTAAAAAAATAATTTCTTTAATCTGGAAATATGATTAATTAATCAATCAATATCTCACAAAGAAAACTTCAAAACAAGAAGTAGAGCTAGAGATAAAGAAAAACATGCCATAATGACAAAAGGGTTAATCCATTAAAAATGCATCAGTCATTGATATGTATGCATCTAATAAAAAATTTCAAAGTATATGAAGCAAAAATGTCAGAAATAGAAAGACAAATAGAAAAGAACCCAATCATAATTGAGCATTTTAATACTCTTTCCTCAGTAATTGATTGAACAAACAGACAGTGAGGGAGAAAAGATATAGAGATGAAAAACGATCAACTTGGCTTAATTGACATTTATAGAACCCTACACTTAATAACAGCAGAATATACATTCTTTTTAATGCATATAGAGCATATGGCGTCTCACTGTTTTTTTGTTCATTTGTTTGTTCTAGACAAGGTCTGGCTCTGGCACCCAGGCTGGAGGTCAGTGGCTGGATGATAGCTCACTGCAACCTCGAACTCCTGGGCTGAAGCAATCCTCCGCTTCAGCTTCAAGAGTAGCTGGGACAACAAGTGTGAGCCATCACACCTAGATACTTTTTAAAATTTGTTGTAGAGACAGGGTCTCACTATGTTGCCCAGACTGGTTTGGAACTCCTGGACTCAAGCAATCCTGCTGCCTTGGCCTCCCAAACTGTTGGGATTATAGACATGGGCCATGGTGCCCAGCTCCTCAAATGCTTATTGAGTTTTAATTTTCATTTTTGTAACCAATGAGCATAAGCACACTTTAATATGTTTAGTGGCTATTTTGCTACTGATATAGATGCTGTTGGTGCCCTGTTCAGATCTCCTTAATCAGGATAGCGTAACTTTATCTCAGCTGCTGATAATAGCTTATATTTGCCTCTTCTTAGAGGATTGCCATGGGCTGATGGGAGCCACATAAGCTTATATAAATCAACTTGCTTGGATCACCCAGAAGGTGATACAGCCCATAGCCAGTGACTGATTGATGTGAGGTGCAACAGTACAGCTACCTTGTGTCTGGGCAGAGCAAGCTCTGCTGTACAATTCATGTTGTGGAGTTCCTTACAGGATGAAGTTGAGGCTAGACTTTTAAAAAAAGAGAATAAAAGCAAAGTGCTTGTGCTTTCCTTTTTCCCATGCCTGCCAGGGATGAAAGCTGTGTGGAAGAGGGCAATAAGGTGAGGGGTGTCGCCAATTCTTCCATTTCCACACACCTAAGAAAAGTAGTGAAACAGACTTGAGCTTTCCACTCACTTTAGTCCTTGTTTCTTTAAGGAAGAAATTGCTGAGTGGTGAGATAATCTGTTGTCTGCTTTTCATCAAAACAATGATGCACTGCATTACAGCTAGGGTACCCAACCCCTGGGCCGCAAATGGGTACTGGTCTTTGGTCTGTTAGGAACATGGCTGCATAGCAGGAGGTGAGCTGCGGGCAAGGAGCATTACTGCCTGAGCTCCGCCTCCTATCAGATCAGCTGGAGCATTAGATTCTCATAGCAGTGCGAACCCTATTGTGAACTGTGCATGCAAGGAATTTAGGTTATGCACTCCTTATGAGAGTCTAATTCTTGATGATGTAAAGTGTAACAGTTTTATCCCAAAACCAGCCCCCCAGGACCCCCCACCACTTCATCCCCCGGCACGGTCCTTGGAAAAATTGTCTTCCATGAAACTGGTCCCTGGTCCCAAAAAGGTTGGGGACAGCTACATTAGAGGATCAGAACAATCTTGATTTCTTTTATTTGGAATCCAGAAACCTTTTTAAATCCATGGTTACCAACTAGGCTTGGTTACCTTCTTAAAGCGGGCAGAGCTAATCCTCTAAAACTAGTTAGTAACACACATTTTCCAGGTGATAGCCAGTGCTTTCTCCTTTCTAAAACACAGAAAGTTCTAGCTCATGTAAAGGTCCCAGAGGAATTTCTTGACTTTTGTATGGGTAAGTTAAACCAAGATTCAAGTATATGGCTTCCTGTTTTTTTTTTTTTCTTTCCAGTAATTTGCTGAGCTGTGCTGTGTTGCTTGGCAAGCTACTTAACCTTTCTGAACCTGAATTTTAAAAACTCCAAAATACTTGACACATTTCTCCCAAGGCGCCAGTGGAATTAGCAAATGATTCAGCAAATTTGTTTTATGATTCCTGGAAAAGTAAGCTCATAGTTTTTATAAGCACTGAGCAATGTAAAATAAATCTTATCAAACACTTTGCCCATCTGTCCTAATGTACTATTTTAAATGAATACTCCAGTATTTCTGTTATTTATGTGCTTATTTCATTTATACCTTTCCTCTTTCTAGAAAGCCAACTTATATATCCTTCATAAAGGAAGTCTGGAAAAGCCAAACCTTGAATAGCGTGCATATCATACTGTACTGGTTTCTTTCTTTCTTTCTTTCTTTCTTTCTTTCTTTCTTTCTTTCTTTCTTTCTTTCTTTCTTTCTTTCTTTCTTTCTTTCTTTCTTTCTTTCTTGTTTTTGAGACAGGGTCTCACTCTGTCGCCCAGACTAGAGTGCAGTGGCATGATCATTGCTCACTGCAGCCTCGACCTCCTGGGCTCAAGTGATCCTCCTATGTTAGCCTCCAAGTAGTTGGGACCACAGGTGCAGGCTACCACCCCTGACTAATTTTATTTTTGATAGAGACAGAGTCTCTCTATGTTGCTCAGGCTGGGCTCAAACTCCTGGGCTCAAGCCATACTCCCACTTCAGTCCCCCAAAGTGCTGGGATTACAGGTGTGAGCCACCACAGTTGACTTCTATTTTTTTTTTTTATTGTGAAGCAAAAACATATTCAATCTGTCAAAACTTCAAATATGCACAGGTATGACTTAGATCAGGGGCCAGATAGTAAATATTTTTGGCTTTGCAGGTCATATGGTCTCTGTGATGGCTATTTAAATCTGCCTTTGTAGCATGAAAGCAACCACAGACAAGGTATAAGTGAATGAGCATGGGTGTATTCTAATAAACTCTATTTATAAAAACAGCGAGCTGGATGGCCTACAGGCAGTAGTTGGCCAACCTGTGACTTAGTTGGTGGAAGAATTCCATATTCATTCTACCTGCCACCCCAACACACATGAACGCCCCCTCCCACAACACACACACATTCTCATATCCTTTATTTATCTGTGGTTTTGTGCAAAAGCTTTAAGAGTTTTTTCTTTTTCCTGTATGTATTAATGTAGCAGAATAATCTCACAGGGAAATTAGCTCTATGTAATATTCAGCTGTTGGATAAGAATAAAAATAAGAGAAGTGGTTTTCTCCATCTGAGCACTTCAATCTGTCATTGCCACCATCCCAAAACAACTGAGTCTTCCTATCTTTTCACTTTCAAATTTTAAAATTTTATCTTTAGTCATTTTAATTTTACTTTTATTTTTTATTTAAAATTTGTTACACTAAACTTTTTATTTTCAAAAATTTCCAACCTACAGAGAGGCACAGTGAATACCCACACAATATCAACTTGAATCCACCAGTTATTGACATTTTGCAACATTTACTTTATTTCTCTCACATATATTTACTTTGCCTAATTATTTGAAAGTAAGTTGCAGATATACAAGTATTTTGACAACACTTGACCCCTTTATATTTCAGCATATGTCCCCTTAGAACAAGGACATTTTCTTGCATAAACACAGCATTGCCACACTCTCAAACTGACAATGACAGAGTACTATCATCTGATAGACAGTAGTCCCCAAACATCTCTCAGCTGTCCCTTTCCTGCCTACAGCCCTGAATTAGAATCCAATTAAGAATCACATTTGGCATCTATTTGCCATCTAACTTTGGTTTCCTTTAATCTAGTACAGCCCCTTGCCTTTTTGTTTGTTTTACATGATGCTGACATTTTTGAAGAATCCAGAAATCCAGATGAATTGACGCATAGGATGCCTTCAATTCTGGATTAGCCCAATAGACTCATTATTATATTCAAGTTAAACATTTTCTGCAAGAATACTACAGAGGCACTTCTTGGATTCTGCATTGCATCACATCAGAAGGCACATAATGTCTGTTTGTCTCATTATTAGTAATATTTACTTTGATTATTTGGAACTGTGAGAGCATATCTCCTTGTTTTCCTTTTGCAACCAGGAAATACTCTGTGGTATATTTTGAAACATGTGAACTTCTTGTCCCTCCATAATGCCCCAATCTTGGTGTTCGAGCAAAAGGATGATCACCTAATTTTTTCATTCCTTTCACATTTATTAGTTGTCATTCTTATTTAAATAAAAGATTTACCTTCTGTCTCCCGCACATTTTGGGGCGATCTCACGGATTCTTTCTTTGTTCAATGTGTTATAATCTATTACTGTCATTATTCCTTTTCATGCTGAAATTATAGGCAATTTGGCCAATGAAAGCCCATAGGCTGACTTTTGTTTCTTGTGCACATGACTGCATCATTCTTGGAGTGCTTTAGTGCAGGATTTTCTAGGTGTACTCTGAATTTTCCCTGTCTACACTTGAAATCAAGCATCTTTTCTAGCAGTCTTGTTTTCTTCTAGATAGGAGTGGTATTTAGAAACCAAGATCTTGGCACTAGGTGTACTCATTGCTGCTAGGATGTTATGGCTTCTAGGTTCTTTGAGCAACCAGTTAGAATATTTATCTTTGAAAACATCATGAGTTCATATGGGTGGCTCCAGTTAGAGTTCTTCTTCATCTCCTCCCCATTCCATATTCATATCTCTTTTTTCCCCATAGTGAGGAACCTGATTCTCAAATATCATTCTTTTTACTAGTGTTTTCTATCATGTATGAAAACATTTCAGATTAGTACTCTAATGGCACTACAAGCAAAAAACCCACGATGTAGAGTTTAAAATTTCTTTCCCAGTTTTTATTTCTTTAGACTATATTCCATTAAGGGTATAGAATATAGAAGCTGTGTTTGTTAGTAGCTTAATATTTTTTCTGTGTGATTATACTATCAATTTGATTAAAAATTAGGTTTATTTGTTTCTGTTTGTATTCAATTATATGGTTAGGTTTTCACATCTTTTCAGATTTGATTCTTTTAATTTAAAAATATTTATATGTTTCAAATGTTAAACTATATTTAAAAATATATTAGAGACATTTCATTCTTATCTCTATCCCTTCTACCACATTCTTTACCCCTATAGGTAACAGTTATTGTTGTTGCATAGTCTAAACTATCTAGTTTAGGCATTCATTTTTTTTTTTTTTGGTGAAATTAGCAGCATCTACCAACTCACACTATATATTCATGGTTTTTAATCTTTCTGTATATGCGCATGTGCATCTTACTTTGTTCACCTGACAGTCTATCCTTGAAATCACTTCCTATCACTTCATAGAGATCAACTCATGCTTTTGCATAGCAGTATATTATTCCATTGTACTGATTTTCCATAGTTTATTTAATCAGTCTTCTACTAGGCATTTAAGTTATTTATAATATTTTGCTAGAATAAATACTTCTGCAATGAATAATTTTGTTCATAACTGTATGTGCATTTGTATTTAAGAAGGGATATTCTTATCCTAAAGGCTTAGATTTCATAGTCTCCTAGGAGCCAGGGAAAAAGAAAGAATCAATAGAATTGAGTAAGAAATGAGTGGCAGACCTCTGAAGAAAGGGGTTGGGTTCAATGAAACAGATAAAGGGAAGATGCTAGATTCAGTAGCTGATAAAGTGCTAGACCAGTGCCACACAGTGCCTGAAGACATGCAGAAGCCATACAGGAGAGACTCATGAGGGGAATGGAAAGGAGTTGTAAGGGCCCTGATGTTTGGAGCCTAACAAATTTCCTGGTGGCTGAGTGGACTTGGAAGGAGAGAATTCTATGAACAACAAAGCTACTTATTCTCCAAAATACCTAGACTTGGGCAAGGTTCATCTCCTTAGTAGTCATTATAGAAGCAGGGACAGAATTTGTTTCCAATTTTCATGACTTTTAAGCCCCTAGACCTCTAAAATAATCTAAGGAAAGAAGAGGAAAACTCAAAATATTACTGAGACTGAACTTTCTACCAGGCAGAAGAGAAAAAGAAAGAAAGAAAGTTTCATTGCCTCCACTGTTGTGAAACAAATTCATTCCTGTTCCCAAAATGATTTATTATATGTATGTGTGTGTGTATGCATGTGTGTTTATAGAAATGGTATTCTATTTACTGAATAACATAACATTTTCTTCTATGCCTTTTTTTTTTAACTTAACAAAATATATTGGACATCTTGCATTTTTTCAACACTTGCAAAGTGTTTAACTATATGGATATATGCTGTCTTGTTCTTGATAAGGTGCTTTTGGAAAAAATAAGTACTAAGAGATCCAGAAAGTATTACATTGACTTTCTAGAAGCAGAGTTTGCAGCTGGTTATGCTGTTCTAAGAAAGTTTTAGCTCTAGGAAAGTGTGCATTCATGTTTTTCATAAAGAAAATAATTGCACAGTATTCTTTGTATTTTTTCAACACTGACAGATGGTAAGTGAACAGCCTGGGAGGAGGAGAAGTGACCCAACTTGCTTCTGCAGTATTAGAAAAGATATCAAAGTAAGAGGCAGACACTCCCAGTGCCAAAGATTTTGTTTTCTTTCTTACTCATCTCATTCAAACTGATCACAAATTGCTTTATTGCATTCTACTGTGTCACTTCATAATAAAGTAATTCCTTTCTACCTTTACATAAAGGAGTGTCTTAGCCTATGATGAAATGATTTTCTCAGTTCACCTGAGGTTGAGAGTAATTGGTAATGAAAATTATTCAGAAATCTGTCATAATCATAGCAATAGTATATAGAAACACAGAATATATAAATTTATTATTCGGCATGAAAAGACAAAAGGAAACTTTCTAATGAGCATTATCCTGTGGGTTGCAGGAAGCACAAGAAGTCAGGACAAATTTTGATGCTATTCCCTCCCACCAAATGTTTATGAGAATTGTAATGCTTTGCACAATGCTAGACTTAGGTTGTCAGTTGAATAAACAATAATATTGAGAGTATTTTCTGTATTGCAGGTGAAAATTACTTTATCAACTTTTCCTTTGTGTTTAGCATATTTGTAGAATCGGCCTAACAGTCTCTAAAGTAAAACTCTGAGACATCCAATTTGCATATATTCTTGAAAAAAAAAAAGGTTTGTTAACTCATCGAAAAAGGCTTTTGTCTAATGAGGCTGGGGGTGGTGGGGAAATATGAATAAAAAATAGTCCATATGCTTAATTTATGTTTTCAAATATATCGCATATCCAAAATAGCAGGTAGAATTGACAATAGTAATGATTGAAAAGTGCTGTATAATAGAAAGATTACAAAAACTCAAGTTAGAAAATTTGAGTTTTGGTTCTAATTCTGTCACTAGTTAACTAAGTGACTGTGGGTAAGTCACTTTCAGCGTAATTATCTGACAAAAAGTTTGTGTGTGTGTTAGCGAGGAGTGGTTGTTAGACTATGTGATTGTCAAAGTCCTAATGATTTTTCTGCTTCTCCTGACAACAAGCTTTGCACAAAAGTAACATGTGTTTAAGTTAATGTAATGTGATTTAGCACTCCAAAAATTTCTCTAGAGTTACATGAGCTTTTTTCAAAAATGTATTTATTGATGGCATATTCTGGCAAATAGAGAATATTTATTTCCATGGTATAGGTGATAAAACCTATAATATTCATATACTTTTTTCTTAAAGATCAGTATATTACAGACGTATAACTACAATTCAGAATCTCTAATTATTGATTTATTTCATTCACAAATGCAGTATATCCCCCCTTGATTCCCAATGGATGCCTGAAACTGTGGATAGTACTAAACCCTATGACCTATGCATATTGTGCTATGTGTTTTCCTATACATACATGCCTATGACAACGTTTAATTTATAAATTAGGCACAGTGAGAATAATAACAGTATCTAATAATAAAATATAATAATTATAACAATATGCTATAATAAAAACTCTGTGAATGTGGTCACCTGCCCATCAGTTTCCTAGTAGCTGAGAGATAGCAAGAGCATGAGATTTCAGCATGCTACTCAGAATGGCACGCAATTTGAAACTTACAAATTGTTTCTGGAATTTTACCTTCAATATTTTCAGGCTGGGGTTGATCACGGGTAACTGAATCCTCAGAATGCAAAACTGTGGATAAGGGGAGGCTACCGTATTCATTTACCGCATACTAGGAAGGGACTAACATGAGTTGAGCACTTAGCATGCCAGAAAGTTCGAAAACAAAGGCTCTGGAATCAGAAATGTCTGAATGTTAGTCCTAACTGCTATTTCTTAGCTGTGACCTTGGGCAACTTACATGATCTTTAGGTGGCAGAGAGAAGTTTATGAGGTAAGTCTCAACTCTTTGAAGGTGAAACATAGCTGCTTAAAAACTTTATTCTATTTCTGGTGCAAGTGTGCTATAAAATATTGCTTATGAATCTGGATTACTATAAAATTTCAAGTAGAAAGTTATATGTAATTATCAGAGTATATATTAAGCTTACCTTTATAAATGATCTAAGTTGGTAACAGCCAAGGTCATTAGTTAATATGATGATATTACATTGTGAACTAAAATAGCACCTAGAAGGAAAAAACTATCTGAAATGCTAAGTAAGAACCAACTTTCAAGGTAAGACATCTGGAACACGGGGTCAGGGATATGGAAACCCCACAGAGAGATGACACACTGCCTGGCTATTCAGCCCAGGATCCCTCTGATAGAAGCATCAAGGATTATATTACACTCAGTTTAGCAAAAAAAAAAAAACCTTGAACAGCCACCTAAAAAGATAAAAGCTTTGACCTATGCTCTTGGAGAGCTATTCAGGTTGTTTGATTGGATGTATAGTCTATGAGGGTCTCTGTTTTTTGAGCCAAGAATCAAGAGAAAAAAACAGGTGCTTCCTCCCTCCATTTCTTTTTTTGTTTTCTCTGAGTAAATAAAGATGCGACAAATAATCTTTAAAAATTAAATCTGTGATTTTAGTTTTAGTTCCTGGGCAGCCCTAAGGTAAAAGAAAATAATTTTTTAAAACCTTTAGGTATTATAAATTCAGATCCAAAAGCGATTCTATCTTATAGGCAAGCATAAAATGGGAGTGCTAGTAGTACTTGTTTTACAAGGCTATCTGGTGAATTAAGTGAAATAACTTTCGAGCAACTGAGCTATAACCTTGTAACCAGTCTCTACTTTGCCACGCATTCATGAGGAAAGTAAATGTGAGTCCACACAAAATACCTGAAAAATCATGAATGTTTTCTCTATATATCTTTTGGGAGCACTAGGGAGGAGCTTAGACAGTATGCCACACAGAAAACCAAATCTTTACCCATTTGTATTCCTTAGATCCAACCCCACAGGGCAGCTGCTTCAATCATTCCTAATTCTCCTCTACACTCTTCTTAAAACTACTCTTTCCTTCCTTCACCTTGTTTCTTCTCTTCCTCTTCCACTCACCTACTGTGGCCTGCTCCTTGTTCTATACAACAATCTGGTCTTGGTTCCTTCCAACTGTGTTCCAACTGAATACATTTTCCCTAGTGATCCTCCAATCCCATGGCTTTATATAACATATATATGCTAATGCCCACCAAATTTTCATATTCAGTGTCTATAGAGTTTGATAACCACTACAGACTCTTATAGACAACTATCAACTTAAATGTTAACTCCAAGCAACATGCTTGGAGTGGAACCTTTGATTCCCTCTTCTATTCTGCCCTGTATCAGCAAATGGCACCATCATCCACTAACTTTCTTAAAGGGAAGAGCTAATTTGTCCTTTTCCTTAATCCTTACATTGAATCTATCAGCAAAGCCTTTCTTTTCTGACTCAAAACATGTCACAAATCCATCCACTTCCATCATCCTAGATTCAGAAATAATCATTTCTCAAACCTCAAACTGGACGCATAATTATTGATACTTGACAGTGGGCTTTTAAAACTGAAACTATAATTTTTTAAAAAAAATTTGTAATTTATATCATGAAATTCTTCTGCTTGAATCTCTCCAGTGGCTTCCACTGTATTTGGGGCAAACTGGAAATTCTTACAATACCTAGTTCCTGCTTTCTAACCCCCAACCTCATTTTATAACACACCCTCATCTCTCAGGATGTCTCACACATTCTAGCCTTCCCTTTTGTCTCCTATTTCAAGCAGGGCCTTTTCACTTGCATGTCCTATGACCAGAATCTTCTTCCCAGCTCCAAATGATTGTCTTCTTTTTTCATTCATGTAGCAGCTCAGTTATCACCTGCAATGAGAAGCCTTCCCTTACCAACATTATCTGACAAATCTTCCTTCCAGTCAGTCCATTTTGTTTTCTTAACATCAGTCATAACTCTAAGTAAGAATTCTGTTTATTTGTGTATACATTTGTTCATTTTCTGTCTTCTGTCTGTCTGGCATGTGTCTTATTTGAGGGTAAATGCCAGGGAGACAGGAACCATATTTTTCACGTCTACAGTTATAATTACACAGCCTAGAACACTGAATGGTACAATAGATACTCAACAATTAATAGCAGAATGACTGCTGAATGGAGGAAAGACCTTTACATTTTTTTAAAATCACTGTCACACTGTTTTCCTAGTGAAACATTGTGCCCACTGAGGACACTCAGGCTTTCTTCTAGGCAATCTTCCTTTCCTATGTCCTGCTAGGTTAAGAGAGAGAATTCAAATGCCGTTACTTTTTTTTTTTTTTTTTTTGAGACAGAGTTTTGCTCTTGTTGCCTAGGCTGGAGTGCAATGGTGCCATCTCATCTCACCACAACCTCCGCCTCCTGGGTTCAAGTGATTCTCCTGCTACAACCTCCCCAGTAGCTGGGATTACAGGCATGCACCACCACACCCGGCTAATTTTTGTATTTTTAGTAGAGACGGGGTTTCTCCATGTTGGAGAGGCTGGTCTCGAACTCCTGACCTCAGGTGATCCGCCCGCCTTGGCCTCCCAACGTGCTGGGATTACAGGCATGAGCCACTGCTCCCGGCCGGCATTACTTCTCTTAACTGCATTGTTTATCACAGTTTCTTCTATTGTATCTTGAAGCCAAAGAATTAGAAAATGTTCTTGAGAGCAAATCCAGCAGTTTCAGACTTAATTTCGCCAGCATTCTCCATTATCTACCTAGCAAGAGAAGGGAGATGGGTGTCCATGCAGTTCGCTCCCTTGTTTGTACCTCTTGCCACAGTGAAATACTCACACGGGTATCACCAACCCTCAAGTATGAGACTATCTTGCAGGTGTCAGCAAATCGCATAATCATCCGGAGGTCTGTAAGGCACCCAGAATTTAATGTCCAGGCTTGCACAGACACTCTATTTAAGATCAAATCTGGCACATCAGAAGCAAAAGAGTCATCACAGTCTAGTTTGTCCACATCTTTAACTGTCCCTTACGGGTTTCCTAGGAGTCCCCAGCTTTGTTAAATTGTGATCATTCTCGCATTAATTCTTGCTGATCCAGCCATCCTTGGCACCTTCAATTTATTTATTTATTTTTTATTTGTACAAGTTTATGGGGTATGTGAACCATTTTCTTACATGTCTATAATATGTAGTGATCAAGTCAGGGTATTTAGGGTGCCCACCAACTGACTACAATATATTTTGGTTAAGCATTGCCACCGTACTCTGCTATTAAGCATTGAATTTATGCCATCTTACTGTATATTTTCATCCTTTAACCCAGTTCTCTTCATCCTCACCCCTTCCCCCCACTCACCTTTCCAGTCTCGTTATCTATCATCTCACTCTCTCCACACGATCAAACTTTTTAGCTCCTACGTATAAGAGAGGACATGCAATATTTGTCTTTTTGTGTCTGGTTTATTTCATTTAAGATAATGATCTCCAGTTCCATCCATGTTGATGCCAATTACACAATTTTGTTCTTTTTTACAGTTGAATGGTATTTCATTGTGTGTATATAACACATTTTCTTTATCCGCTCACCATGGATGGACACTTAGGTTGATTCCACATCTTTGTTATTATGGCATATCTGACTGAAACCTTCTTCTTTAGGCTTGATCCCTGAGGGCAGCCATGTTGTTCCCTTTCTCTTTCTCCTCTTAAACAAGGTTCAGTAATAACATGTATTTCAATGACCCCTTCAGTTTGAGGTGAAACCTAAATCTGTTCAGCAGTATTTTGCTGTAAATTGTTCAAAGCCTGACTTGTGTTTCTGATTCTTTAAGCTGTGCTCCACTATACCTTGCCAGAGGGCAGATTGAAGAAGTCAGTTCAGTGTGAATATCAACGGAAAACATTTGTCTACTCTGTGGCCATGTGCAGTTATAAGTTTCACACATGAATCCTACAAACTCCCCACAGCACTGTAGACCAGCAATTCTCAACCTTTTTGGCACCAGGCACCAGTTTCATGGAAGACAATTTTTCCATGGATGGGGTGGGGGAGTAGGGTTTCAGGATAAAACGCTTCCACCTGAGATCATCAGGCATTAGTTAGATTCTCGTAAGAAACACACAACCTAGATCCCCTGCATGCACAGTTTACAATAGGGTTTGTGCTCCTATAAGAATCTAATGCCTCCGCTGATCTGACAGGAGGCGGAGCTCAGGCAGTAATGCTCACTTGCCCATGCTCACCTCCTGCTGTGCCGCCCGCTTCCTAACAGGCCATGGACCGGTACCTGTCCATGGCTCCAGGGTTGGGAACCCCTGCTGTAGACTCTTCTGGAGATGCCTGACAATCCACTATGGGACCAGCTCCTTGGTGGCCTCCAGCTTCAGAATAATTATGATTGAACATGAAGACACTAGCCTTCATCAATTCCTAGCCTCCAATCGCCCCACCAGACTTTCTGTTGTGTGATCTAACTACCATTCTGAGTTTTCTCTCATCTCTAGCAAAAGGTTCCTCATCAGTTTCTCTGGTTTTGAGTAGCAAGCAGTTTAAATCATACATGCTTTAAAGCCTGTATGATTACTTGTCCAGGCTGAGGCAGACATGATTAGACTGGTACAGAACACTTGCCTCAAATTCTTTCACTCTATCTCCTCTAGTATCATCTGGTTCATATTACTGTCATCCTTTCTCTGACTCCGGCATCAGCCTCCTAACTGGTGTCCCTGCATCTGCCATTGCCCCAATTAACCTTTTGTACACTGTATAGCCTGGATGATCTTTTCAAATGTTATGTGTGATCATATCACTCTCTTGCTTAAGCATTTTAAAGATTTCCCATTGTTAGGGTAAAGACCAAAATCTTTAATATGACCTTTAAGTAGAGTGATCATATAATTTTCTTAGTAAACTGAAAACTCAAACTGCATTTGAGAATGAAAGGGTGTGCTATTGTTAATTATACTGAGACAGCAGACACCAAGTGGGGTGTCAGACACACTGGGGCAAATGTCATGTTACTCCAAGCCTCTGCATTTGAGTGTCCCTGACTCTCTTTCCAGCCTCCTGCCTCACGTCACTCGATCTTGCTTTCTACCCTTTGCCACACTGGCCTTCTCTTAATTCTCAAATGTGCTCTGCCATTTTAACTACAGAAGCACTTTTTCCTCTGTCTGGATTGTTCTTGCATCCACCTCAGCCCCATCCTTCTCTTGGCATAGTTAATTACTTTTCTTAAGTAAATCTTACTCTAATATCATGCCTCAACTCATGATCGTTTCTCCAGCAAACTTCACCCTTGCTGCCTAATTTAACCAGTTCTCCCATTCTGCACTCCCTGCACCTGATGCCTCACTGACACTCACTTACACTCTTCTAAAGTTTACATTTATTGATGTTATTATTTCATCAAGTTTGTCTCTCTCTGACTAGACTATGGGAGCAGCAGAAGACATAGCACTATTTTATCTTTGCACCTGGAAATTGCCTGACACATTGTAGTACCTTCTTAACAGCTGTTGAGTAAGCCAATTAATACTGTGCTTACTCTCACAGAGTTTATATAGGAGACTTAAGGTATATATAAAGTACACTTAGACAAGAATAGTCACCATGTTTGTGAGTTGTTTTAGAGCATGTTTTGTTTTGTCTTTTAAAAATATCAAATTAAAGGTATCTTCAATGCTTACCTACATACGCTACATAGCCATTTACATTTCTTCTTCTTTTAGAAGAAAAATAGAGGAAAGTGAATGTTCTGGTCTGCATAGGATGAGGTGACCAGCATGGAAATTCAAATTCATGGTTCAATGACTATTCCACATTCATGAAATGAATAGGCCATAGTATATCCAATATTTTAATTTCAGACACATTCACAATCATTACTGATCATCACAGTCTAGTCAATTGTTCAGTGATCCATGTCGATCATGATGACAGCTGAAATTCATTGATTGGATATGTCCTACACAGGCATAGTTGATGTTGGAAAAAGCATTTTTCAGGGAAGCAAGGCCAAGCTTAAGCCAATTTGTAAAACAACTGTCAATTGTCACATGAGTCCTCAGATCGTCTTGTACCCTCAGAGGATTCCTCCAATTCAAATGCCAAATGCTCGAGATGTATCCCCACCCTGAACAAAACTTACTTTCAGAAAATTATTAGTTATGTACATGGTAAGAATTCTAACTTCAGTTATGAGCACTTCAGAATTTTAAGCATCATCTCAATATGCTGAAGGAATAGGAGATTTGGCATGGGACTTATGGACCATCCTAGGCATTTCCAAAATAAAACCTATTGAGGGCTGTAACAAAGAATTAGTCTCCCTCTCCAGGGAAGGATTCTTTACATTAGTGATTTCACATGCATGTCTAAAATTCTGGTTCCATTTCTTAAGGTTTCAAGGATCTTTTTCCTTTTAAAAAAGCTTTCCTTTCTGCCTGAAGGATAATGGATAAGTTTAAACATAATTAAGTATAAAATAGTTAACCAATGTTGTTTTCAGCAAAAAATTAAAAAATAAAATTTAAAAAAGCCCTCAATTGACACAAAATTTGCTTTAAATAGGTTAGTGATGACAATATCTAACTTATGCCTCCTTAGTAGCTTATACCCAAAAATGTGGAGTTGACTTTGATATAGGCCATCAGACAAGAAAGAGAGAGAGAAAGGGAGGGAGGGATGGAGAGAGAGAGAGAGAGAGTCCCTATAAGTTTTCTATCATCCTCCTTTTCTACCTTATAGCACATGCACACACACACACACATACACAAACACACACACACACACAAACACACACACAGAGGCAGGCAAACATAATCTCATCTTCTGTGACATCAATGCCCAGTCAGCAAGTTGTATCTTCAGGGGAGAAGATCATTAGCTAGGTAAGGTCGATAGGTAGAAATCATGGCGATTCTATCACACTTTGTCATGGCGAATAGAGGCTGTCAAAAATGTCTGGAAACAGAAAAAATTTTATTGAGAAAACTTAATTTGTATTTTATGGACTTTTAAAACACCCTATCAAAGACCTACAGAGATTCCATTACTGTATTAGTCTGTTCTCACACTGCTATAAAGAACTACCTGTGACTGAGTAATGTATGAAGAAAAGAGGTTTAATTGATTCACAGTTCCACAGGCTGTACAGGTAGCATGGCTGTGGAGGCCTCAGGAAACTTACAATCATGGCAGAAGGCAGAGGGGAAGCAACTACGTCTTCACATGGCCTGCCTGAGAGACAGAAGGGGAAAGTGCTTCACACTTTTAAACACCAGATCTCGTGAGAACTCACTAGCACGAGAACAGCAAGGTGGATGTCCACTCCCATAATCCAATCACATCCCACCAAGGCCCTCTTTCAACATTGAGAATTACAATTCAGCATGAGATTTTGGTGGGGACACAAAGCCAAACTATATCAATTACTTTTAAAGTCATTATGTTTTCTCATGTTGAACATGAAAAGAACATAATTAATGGCATAACCCTCTGAAATGTTAGAATATTTGTTATGAAGAAAAGTAAAAGAAACATAATATGCTTCATCCTATGAAAATACAGGGGGAGTTTAAAGATCAAGTGATAAAACTATAGAATGAGATGATAATATTGAAGAGGCATTTCAGCATTCCTTTTTCACTTTAGCTTCATTTTTTGATCAAACTTACTTAAAATTAACTTTAAATGCTTTTTAACTTAAAAGCAGTATAAGTAATTTTATGTCCTTCTAATTTCTTATTATTCCCTGGGTACATATGATCATCCCATGTTAACAGTTGTTATTTTGGGATGATAACATTTTGCATAACTACTTTTTTAGTTAACAATTTGTAGATCATAGTATTGTTTGAATTTTAAATAATAAGCATGCATTATTTTTAAAGTACAATAAAGTCATCTAAAAACAATAAAAAAGGAAGTTAAAATCTCTCATAAATTAATTATCTGTGGATAATTATCTGTGGATAAAGAAGTCTGTTGAAATTCTTCTTTGCCAATGACTAACCTAATCATTTGCCAATGATTAGGTTAATCATTGGTAATTTCATGATGTTTCTTACATGTACATAGAGTTGATTCACTCATAATTCTTATTTTCATTTCTCTTCTGTTGCTGTACTGGCACAAAATCATTTTCTTAAATCCTAAAGTAGAAAAAAGTGTGTACAATTCATATACACAATTTAAAGAAAAACAAAGCTAACATCTAGGTCCTTGCCACATAGCTTATAAAATGGAATGCTCCCAGAGATTTTGAAGTCCGACTCCCTAATTTTTTTTCTGCCTTGCTACCTCGTTGTTCATTCTTTGACCTCTTTCTCCCTTGCTTTGCTTTATGAAATCTTCATGTATTTATGTATCAAAAATAAAATACTACTTAAATTTGTCTATTATTTAGTCTTATAAAAACAAGATCTTATATATATAGTCATTCTTCTGTAACACTATTTTTTGAGATACATTCATTTTATTTATTTATTTATGGATCATACTATATACTATATGCTCATCACTATATAATGCTGTATTGTAAGAATATTTCAATTTATTTATACATGCTTAGTGGACAACTGAGCTGGTTCTCAACTTTTAGCAATGAATACATAATGCTGTTATGAACATTCTTGAACATGTTTCAATGTGCATTTGTAAGAATTTCTCTGGAAGTTAATTCTGCCTGAGTGAATTGCTGGGCTTTAGGAGATGTGCATGATAATATTTACTGAAAATGTCAAATGCTTTAATGTGGCTTTTACCAATATGCATTTCCTCCAGCTGTGTTTCAGATGTACCATTAATCTGCATTGTTGGCAACATGTGGTACTGCCTGCCTTAATCCTGCCAATCTGATTTGTGGGAAATTGAATCTCTTTGTGGTTATAATTTACATTGTCGTGATACCTAACAAGGTTGGAATCTTTTAAAATATAAACGGACCATTTTTTTTCTTCTCTTATAAAATGCTTGTTCATAATTTTTCTTGTTTATTTGGTTGAGCTTGTTTGCCTTTTAAAAATATATACTATTAATTTATAGTAGTTCTTTGTATTCTCTAGCTATTAATCCTTTATAGGTTAAAATTGCCAGAAATATCTTCCAGTCATTTGTGGCATACCCTTTCATTCTTTTTATGGTTAGCAGAAGTTATTTTTTCATGCAGTCTAAAGTTTTGATATTCTCTTTTCTAATTTACAATGATCTGCTCTCCTACCCCAATATCAGAAAACACTTGTTTCTTTCTGAAATATTCATATCCTTAATATATCTAATGCTGAGTTTTAGTTATATATTAGTTACAGATTTAATTTATATTTTTATTTACCACTTTTTTGAGTACTCCTTTCTTCATTGATTTGCAATTCAAATTCCACACTTAAGATTTTCATATTTAAGTGGGTCTGTTACTGAGCTCAGTATTTCATTTATTTGCTATATTTATCAATCTGAATAAATGCCACACTGTCTTAATTACTATAGCCTCATAAAAAGTCTTAACAACTGATAGGATAGATTCTTTGTCTGATTTTTCTACAATAGTGACTTGTCCATTCCTGACTTTCTTACCTGCACTATTTTATAATTGTTTTTAACAAATTTTAGCCAAAATTCTTATAGTTTTTACTGCAATTGCTTTAAATCTATAAATCAAATTTAAAATTCTATCCATAAATATAGTATTGATTTAAAATTTTTAAATGTCTTTCAATATAATTTTTATAATTTTATATATGAAGATCATTGATATCAATTGATCAGCATTATTTTTCAGGTATGTATCTGACCATAATATAAATACATAATCTAAATCTAAATATAATATATATAAAGTTTATTTTTTCTAGTTTAAAAGTGAATTTTTCTATACTACTTCTTTGATTACAAGTCTACATATTTTAACATAAATATATTTAAATAAATTGAAGCTTTTATCTTTACCTAAACAGTGCAATAATTTTACAATTCCTTAATTTTGAGCATCCATTACATGATTATAAATGCTGTGTGCAATCAGTATTTATTTAGATTTACTCAAATTTTAATTTATACACATCCTTTCTTCCCATACCTTTTTGTATATTATATTTTATATTTGGGATAAATTCCCTGAGCCCAAAATACATTATTTAAAATTTGCTTTAATGAGAGTCTGTTAGTGGTAAACTCAGTTATTTTTCAGAAAATATTTTTATTTAACCTATGTTCTAAAAGATTTTCAGTGTATAAAAACTCAAATATACTACTATCTCTCAGTACATTGAAAATATTATCCCACTGTGTTCTGTCTTCTATTATTGAGGTCAGGATGTCAGCTGTCAGTCTAATTGCCATCCTTTATAGAAAATTATTTTTCTCCAACTTTGTCTTTGCTTTGTCACTATAATGGGTCTAGGGCTTGTTTGCTTTATTTTTCCTGTCAGAATATGCTGGGCTTCTGAATTGTAAAATTGTTCTCTCTCAACAGTTCATAAAAATTTGTATTTTGAATATTTCCTTTTAGCAATTTCCACAAATATCCTCTCCTAAAACACCAACTAGATATGTTAAAACTTCTCCTTTTATTCTCTATGTCTTTTAATCTTGCTTTAATATTTCCCATTTCTTTCTTTTGCTAGGTTATAGCCCGGGTAATGCCTGGGTTAATATTCCACTTTACAAATAATCTCTTCTGTCCACTCTTCTTTTCAAACTGTTCATTGAATTTTAAATCCTTGCTTTCGTGTGTTCAATTTATAACATTCTATTTGGATACTTTTTCAAATTTGTATGGTCTTTTGAAAAATAGTGTTCTCATATGTTCCTATTTGTGATTTCTCTTTCATATTTTTAAATATTAAGGACAGGAAAGAGTAGCTGTCTGAAGACACTCTCTCATGGGACTTCATTTCCTTGGGTGGTTTCATCACTCTTAACTATAAGCTCATGTTCCTTAGAACTTATCATCTGTGGAAACACTTTCATTCTGGATTGAAGTTGTGTTGCCCTAGAAAAGGACTACTCAGGTATTGTGAATTTTGATTGTAAAGATACATCCAACTTGTGTTTACAAATACTCAGGGACTATATTTATATTTTTCATCACCCAGTGTCAAGGCCTACACAGGCAAATTTCTACTGTTTCTTCTGTGCAATTAGCTTATGTTTTTTAGAATTCTGGCTTCATTTCCTATCAAACCGCCTACCTTGGATTTCTAAACTCTAGGATTTCTCTCTAGTCTACACTGAACATTGTAAAGAATCCCAATATTCATCAACAGTGTATTGGATAAATCAATTACGATTTATCTATGCAACATGCCCTACACATCAAAGAGAATAAACTATTGCTAGTTGCTACAGCATATATTCATGCTTTCAGACAAAATGTTAAATAAAAGGAATGAAACATACTTTTTTTTTTTTTTGAGATGGAGTTTCACTTTTGTTGCCCAGGCTGAAGTGCATGGCACAATCTCAGCTCACTGCAACCCCCGCCTCCCAGGTTCAAGTGATTCTCCTGCCTCAGCCTCTGGAGTAGCTGGGATTACAGGCATGCTCCACCACGCCCGGCTAATTTTGTATTTTTAGTAGAGACGGGGTTTCTCCATGTTGGCCAGGCTGGTCTCGAACTCCCAACCTCATATGATCCTCCCACGTTGGCCTCCCAAAGTGCTGGGATTACAGGCGTGAGCCATCACACCCGGCCAACATAAAATATTTACAACATGCAATTCTATTTATATAAAATCTAAAAATAGCAAAACTAATTCACAGTTTTAAAATCAGATTAGTGGTTACACCTTAGGGGCATTCGTGATTGGGATGAGAGTGACTGCTGGAGGACTAGCTAAGTTTTGTTTCTTGGTGTCTCTGGTATTACACGGGAATTGTTACGCAGGGGTATGTTCACTTTGTGAAAACTCATTGAACTAAACATCTAATCGTTGCTTTTCTGTATGCATGCTATACTTCGATAAGAAGTTGGCTAAATTTTTCTTTTGCTCCAAAACTGTTTATTGTCTAGCCCATTCTTTCTCCACTAATATGAATATTTAACCTGAGAGAGAGAGGGAGAGACAATCAACATGACTGCAAAAACAACAAATGGGACAGTTGCCTGGATCAGCCCCCTCCTGAATACTGGCTCCTAATTCTGTAGTATGCCAGTGGCATTAGGAACACAGGCTTATATTTGCTCTTTCCATGAAGTAATTGCTGGTTCTGTTTATCTCCTTCTGCTTCCTGACACATAATGATTAGAGGTGCAAGCACTGGTGCAAGCATTCTGGGTTGGAATCCAGATGTCATCTACTAGCTAGTTTGGATTAGATACTAACTTTTTTAAACCTCAGCTGTCTCATTAGCAATTTGGGGATCATCATAGCACCTAAATGAAGGGATTATCCTGAGGATTTAAATGAATAATGTGTATAACTCATTTAGCACTGTGTCTGCATAGTAAACTCTGACAGATTAGATATTATTATTATTATCAGTATTAACCTTTCACTTTTTAAAATTTCTTCTTACATTCTCTTTCTCCCTAATTTATTTAGAATAGAGCATCATCTATTTTGATTCTCATCTATCCACTTTCCCTATTCTCACCCTCCTTTCCATCATGCTACAGACCAAAGTAGATGGTGGCAGAGTGCCTGGGTACGTTTATGATTTCCAAGAGTGCTCTTAAAAGCTAACATGCAAATTGAAGAGAGGTAATAGCTTGATCTAAAATGAGAAAGACTTGTGTTCTCACATATTAGACAAAAGCCTTAAAACTTCTCTAGTATCTAGCAAAATAGTCTGTATTTAGATCTGGTATTAAATAAAATATTTTTGACCAGGATGGTGAGAAAAAGTCTGTTCACTTCACATACAGGTCTAGCATACAATGTAATTACAAATAACCTCCCACAGGAGTGGCTGCAAAGGTGGCTCTGTGCAATTAATGGTAATGCTGTGTGTCATTTATTACCTGTGTTATTTAATCTTTAGTCTTCAATTTGTGAACTTCCTTTAGTTATGAAATTTCATGACTAAATAAAAAGAGCTTTGGTGAGGTGGGCATACCAATTTAAAAGTTCTTTTTGTATTATCAGTTTATTGAGTTATATACATAGAATTACACCGATAAATGAGTACACTAACATATTACAGAGTGATAAAGACTAAAAGAACACATTTACATAAAGTTCCTAGCACAAAGTAGGTCCTCAAAAAATGATGAATTCTTCTGAGATCAGATGAGAGTGTTGACCTGGAGGTATAAACTGAGAAAGGAAAGGAAGAAACATCAGGAACCTACTTCTTAACTCCTTAGAATATCCTATTTCCTGACCCAGAGGTGGAGAATGGCCTCAAGCTGGAGACAAAAAAGACCCTGATGTTGGGCTGTGGACCAAATATCCCACTTTACTCAAGATACCATTTCCAAGTCACATACTGTGGTAATTAACGCTATGTTAGTGACACTTCTGTAATGGGTTACAGATTGTTGCTGTGGTGTATACAAAGCTTATTGGATAAATGTCTTTAGGAAAGGAAAAGACATTAGTCTCTTAGTGATCAATAGGATAATAAATTGTGCTTTGTTTCTTTACCTGGATTTCATGTTTATCTTTAGAATAAATGTTAGCTTGCTCACTGCTTCTGTGGTTTCGAGGCTTGCAGTGTTGTGAAACACATAATCTTTTTCTTCACAGTTAGCAAATCCTTAGCTTCTCTGCTGGACAAATAGTCATGTGAGTAGAGAGAACATAAAATCAAAGCAACAAGAAGCTAGGGCAGAGGATTTAGAGGGCAAGCAAGCATGGGCCAGGACTTTGACAGCATTCATCCAGCAGCATGCGAACTCCAAAGAGAACCCGATCTCCAAAGACAAGTAAGTATCCATTTTCTACCCACCAAAAACACCCACATTTTCCCCTCCAAGATGCTCAGGACTCTGTGACTTATTTTGGAGGAATTGTCCCTTTATCACATTGTCAATATTCATAAAATGGCAGGTTTCTGACTACCCAGTACTTAAGAGCAAATACAAGTAACTTTTTAAAATAATAGCAACTTAACTATGTTATCCATTCAGCTCTAGTTCAGATGTAATCAGGACTTAAGATTCTGTAAGAGCCCATGTGGAAATGTTTGTCATTAGCAAGGGTATAAAAGGAAGAGAGGAGAGTTTTGTTGTTTCTTTTCCTCTTTGCCTTCTTTTATCAGAGTAATTGAAACAATCAGCTTCCTGACATCCTAAAAGATAATGATTCAGCCATAAAGAATGGGAAGAGAGGGCGGGGTGCAGTAGGTCACGCCTGTAATCCTAGCACTTTGGGAGGCTGAGGCGGGCGGATCACGAGGTCAGGAGATCGAGACCATCCTGGCTAACACGGTGAAACCCTGTCTCTACTAAAAGTACAAAAAATTAGCTGGGCGTGGTGGCGGGCGCCTGTAGTCCCAGCTACTCGGGACGCTGAGGCAGGAGAATGGTGTGAACCTGGGAGACGGAGCTTGCAGTGAGACGAGATTGCACCACCGCACTCCAGCCTGGGCGACAGGGCAAGACTCCATCTCCAAAAAAAAAAAAAAAAAAAAAATGAAAGAAGGAATGGGAAAAGAGAATGTAAAATACACCTTTATAGCTTTTTCTTTTGATTTTCCTCTCTACTGACCCATTCTGAAAGAAGGAGTTATCTATTACATTCTTTGCCCCACTTTGGTTAGCTGGCAGAAATAGAGAGATTTCTCTCCTTTTCCCTTTTGCCCCCTAGTAAATAAAATCTGTCCAACATTGATTGTAAATGTAGACAATCATCAACAGATTCTTTGAAATCAAAGTTAAAATTAAACATACTCAAGTGTAGCCAGTAGTCCTTCCAGACGAGAATGTAACATGGAGGCATGGACATTATTTAACAAATATTTATGATCTTCCTACTGTGTGCCAGGCACTCTGCTAGCATCTTGAATCAGAATGGAGGTATTCAGAAGGAACAATTTCAAACCAAAGAGGAGGACCAATTGCAAGATGATTTTAATTTTCCTCACAAATGTTATAAAGAGTATGTCTTTTTTAGTAACCTTCCACACAAATGGGTGTGTTGATGAACAAATGCAGATAAGATGTGCATGGCTTTCACTGAGTTGCATTTATATGCCTCATTATTTCTACATAAATATGCCCAGCCTGGCTTTTGTTCACTGCCATTTAGAGTGATGGTGATTAAAGTAAATACAAAAGTACAAATAAGAATGCTTTAAAACAATGGTGTAATCATTACTAATTCATTTTATATTTATTGTAGTATTAGCTCTAATGAACCTTCTTGATATTAATGTGGGTGTTATAAGTACTCTAAATTTTTTACTGTGTCAGTATTAATTAAATGAATGGTTATTATTACCTGTGTAATGGGCCTAGGAGGGATATTATTTTGGTGTTTATAAAAATCAATAGTAATGCTTTAATAGTAAAAGCTTGTTTTTATTTTTTCATGTTGATTATTGGTACTGCTTAATTAATGTGTGCTTATTGTACAATAATATAGTTAGGCAGATTCCAAGCTCGTGATATTCTTGTAAGGTCTTCTCTGCCCACCGAAGACAGAGAAAACCATATTAAAGTAGCCCTGAGATGGAGTAAACTTTTTTTGGTAACTCTTTGAAATTGATAGCCCATGTGTGGTTTATACAGAATGCTCTCAATTAACCAATTATTAGAACAATCAGCATATTTTCCTGACAGTAAGTTAAATAAGCTGATATAAAAAGGCTTGAAAACTATAAATCAGCATTTTCTTCTACTCTACATTGATAGAATCTTTTATAGCATTCAAAAACCTTTCACAACCATTTTTCTACTCATTATTATTATGACAAACTTTTTTTGGTAAGAAGCAATGTACTTAGTTGATTACAGTGAAGGATTCAGTTAAGAAACTAATTTAGAAATCTTGTTTCTGGGGCTGAATCAATATGACTTTAGTCCATATGATTCATCCTAAGGATTAGTGTTATTATTTATAAAATGATACTAAAAGTGCCTGCCTCATAGATTTATGCAGCACCTCACTCAGTAACTGGCATGTCCTTCGCTTCCCATCTGTGTTAACTCCTACAGTTACTATAGACAGTTAGGTGGGGGATGAATGAAGCTGGAGCAGGTTATGGACCTATCTAAGGTAACACGGTTGTTGGTAACAGAAAAGGGACATGATGGAAGACATGCGGAAGGGAGCAGAATAAGGAAGAAAGTGACAAAGTTGGCGGAGTAAACAGCTCCCCCAGGCAGGTAGGCAGTCAGGAACCAGTACCAAAGGGTACGTCACATGTGGGAATTTACTGCCCAAAGTCGGACTCACTCTTATCAAATTTTATATACCTGAATTAACTAACGATTTGATTTAATTCATGAGTTAGCATGAAATACTGGAAGTAAAAAGTAATAATTCTTTCAACAGTACTTCACAAACTGTGTTTTGCATAAAATAGGATTACGATAAATGTCAAAATGTATAAGATATATAATTTTAATGACTTGTTTGTAATAAAAAATTATATTAGTCATGAGTATGTGAACTCTATATATACCAAAATTACTATTGTAAAATATTAGAGATTAGTTTTTACTTAATGTGAAATACCACATGATGTTTTAAATCTATACATATATATGACTTTCTAGATTTATAGATATCTAGAAATACATATGTATATCATACACACATATATGTGTGTGTAGATATATATCAGTTTCTAGATATAAAATATATATTATAGCAATATATATTACTTCAAAAGCAAAAACCAGACTGATAATTATTTAATAGCATACAAAATGCATATAATAGAATTTTTTCATTAAAACATGTTTAAAATTTAACATATTTGGAAAATTAACCTTAATGCATAAAGTATTGTAAAATCTCAATACATATATTAAATAAACACTCTGTTAATTTATGTTACCAAGAGTTTCATTACATGGTGACTTACAGTACAAATTATGGTGTAAATTGAAATACTCTTAATATCTAAGCACAAAGAATCAAAAGTAAAAGTGGGAAATTTCAAATGGAGAGAAAATTGTAGTTGGTATTGGGTTTTTTTCATTTTGTTTTGTAGAGAATACAAGATTTACAACTCATTTAATATTAAAGAAAAATAAGAACCAGATGCTTATTCATAAATAAAGCCAGTATTTTAAATATTGATAAATTACGTGTAAATTACATGTAATGGTTTGTTCTCTAGAGTAGCAGTGAAGGGTGAATGGTGGAAGAATAAAAGGGAGGGAAAATAGTATGAAAGTAGAGAGATAGAAATATGAAAGATATATTGAGGGGCAAAGGAAGTGATGAGAAATAAAGTGTAATTGAAAAGAAGGAAGAAGAGGAAATAAGACATACAGTCATATATTGCTTAATTATGGGGACACATTCTGAGAAATGCATCATTAGGTGATTTTGTAGTTGTGCGGACTTCATGGAGTGTACTTCACAAACCTACATGGTATAGGCTACTACACTCCTAGGCTATATGGTATGGCCTATGGCTCCTAGGTTACAAACTGGTTTAGCATGTTACTGTGCTGAATACTGTAGGCAATTGTAACACAATGGTAAGCAAATGTGTATCTAAGCATACCTAAACATAGAAAAGGTACAGTAAAATTAAGAAATTAAGATAAAAATATGATATACCTGTACAGAGCACTTACTACGAATGGAGTTTGCAGGACTGAGAGTTGCTGTTGGTGAGTGACTGTGAAGGCCTAGGACATAACTATACATCACTGTAGGCTTGGTAAACACTGTACACTTAGGCGACACTAAATTTATTTTTAAAGACTGGGTGCAGTGGCTCATGCCTGTAATCCCAGCACTTTGGGAGGCCGAGGTGGGCAGATCACGAGGTCAAGAGATTGAGACTATCCTAGCCAACATGGTGAAACCCCATCTCTACTAAAAATACAAAAATTAGCTGGGCATGGTGGCACGCCTGTAGTCCCAGCTACTCGGGAGGCTGAGGCAAAAGAATCTCTTGAACCCGCGGAGGTTGCAGTGAGCCGAGAGCGCACCACTGCACTCCAGCCTGGAGACAGAGCGAGGACTCCATCTCAAAAAAAAAACACAAACATTTAAAAAAATTATCTCTTCAATAATAAATTAACCTTAGCTTAACTTTTTAACTTTATAAACTTAAGTTTTAAAAAACTTTTTGACTCTTTTGTAATACCACAGCTTAAAACACACATTGTACAGCTGCAGACAAATACTTCCATTCTTCATATCCTTATTCTGTAAACTTTTTTCTATTTTTAATTTTTTCTTAAATTTTTAAACGTTTTTTTGTTAAAAGTTAACAGAGACACCCACACATTAGAATCAGGATCACCAATATCACTGTCCTCCACCTCCACATCTTGTCCCACTGGAAGGTCTTCAGGGGCAATAACATGCATGGAGCTGTCATCTCCTATGATAACAATGCCTTCTTCTGGAAAAACTCCTGAAGGACCTGCCTGAGGCTCTTCTTGAGGAGGTGTCACTCTTTTCAAAAATATGTCCATGGTGATTTGCTTGCTCTGTTTCTTTTTTTATCATAGGTTTTTGTAATAATGTATTGTGCTGCTATGTGATGACAGCTATGATGTCACTAGGCAAGAGGAATTTTTCAGCTCCATTATAATCTTATGAAACTACTGCCATATATGTGGTCCATCCTTGACCAAAATGTTGTTATGGGGCACATGACCGTGTAGAGAAAGGTGGGCATAATCATGTGGGGGATCCTGTGGGGATTCCCAGAGTGGGTTTCAGGAATTAAAAACCTGTTACAGAGTTTTGTAATAAAAATTAGATGGGAAACCTAATTTGTTAGCTTTTCAACTATTTTTTCATCATAGCTTACTGTTTAGAATAATGCAAAAAGTTATTCTCTGGGATTGTAGATCACAAAGCACTATTAGACTCATATTACAGGTAGGAAAAAAAAAAAGAAAAAAGCAAAACACCAAAACTGGGACACTGTGAGGTTTTCTGACTAGTACAAGTCCCAGCAATGTTGATAATATTTGCAATTTGTAAAACCACTTTCTCATGACAAAGAAAAAGATAAATGGGGAAAAAGGGGCCTCTGTTCAATTATTAGCACAACGATGGTGGCATCTTTATACATCTTCCACGTAAGACTAAGATGCTAAAATAATTCTAGTCTCACTCTATTTCCTGAAGTGTTAAATATCTCTTACACTTTCATGACACCAATATTACATTTTTCTTTTGATCCTACCATCTCTCTTTTGAAGACAAATGTGGCAAAGAAAGAACTTAAATGTCCACGTAATCAAAATAGCTATGGCTATTTAAAAATAATTGCTTCCCAGAGATATCTGATTCAGTAATTATTGCATTAAGTTGTGGATCAGATATTTGCTTCTTGGGCAGAGTGATGTTTTAGAAGCATGAATATTGAATATTGCTATTGATAAACAAAAAGCAGTCTGAAAGGGTTACATACGAGAACATGCCATGTCTCTGTAGCCATGTACGGGAGCTGTGATATCCACACTCAGCAACAATGACCCCTGGGCCTTGTGACATTCCTGTTGATTTCCTCATCCATGTTCAGGGTTAAATGATGTAGAGTCAATATCAAAAGTACAAATAAATAAATTGATTAAAAATTATTTTTAAAATCTTCTAGTTCACTGTGAGTTTCTCATTAAATCTGTGTCATAGTCATACTTTAAGCTATGTTTGATCTCGGTTTCCTTGGTTCTGTTTTTTTAATAACACTTTTATTTTTCCACTGTTCTTCTCAGATGAACAACACCCCTTCCTTTCATACTTGCTACCTGTTTACTATGTTATTTAGGGCAAATTAACAATATACTCTGAGCTTTTAGGTTTTTTTTAATTTTATGAAGTAGGTGTCATGGTATTTGTCAAAAATATTTTTGGTGACTGTTTAATGCATAATCATGTATACTCTTTTGGCCAGGACCTGGCAGACAGCAGGTATTCATACCTATTCCTGGTAGGTAAGTGTTAGTGTGCCTCCTTTGTTTGTATTACAAATGTACTTTTATAACTCATGATGGACAGAAAAGATACCATAGGCTATTACTGCTGCTTCCAACAAGAGCAAATGAAAAGAGGACAGGTTCCTCCACTCACTAGATGCAGCAGGTATTTACAATAATCAGATTGTCTAGAGAGATTTGCCTTTTGCAAGGTACTTCCACATTGCTCCTCATGGAGATCTGACATTTGGATCTAATATCTACATGCTCATTCACCATTAATACCTACCCTGAGGCCTCTCTATTGCTGTCAGTTGGCGCAGTCTGGATTCCATGAAGTACACTATGGATGCTGGATCTTCGATGCAGTCTCTTCAGCAGTTCCTTGGGCTTGAAAGTCTTTGTAACACCTATCTTCTGACGAGTTATCTGTGTTTTAAATGAATCAGCTTGGGTGGAATTCCTTCTGGAAGAATTGGCAATTGCAGTGACTCACAGAAATTTTAGAGTCTATTTTTCGTTGTCTTGTTAAGTTTAGCTTAAAGCTGTCTCCTTACATATTTTAAATTTGGCCTAAATGTTTCTCCACACATAGTGAACTGTGACCTAACTGGATGTGTAAACAGACTATTACCTGATCTTGTAACAAGTAGTAGAGTCTCAGCCAATCACAGGCAGCCAACTGTTCCAACTGTGTTCACATAAGGCAAGCACTAAGCTGTATACCTCACTTTTGTTTTCTGTACTTCACTTTCCTTCTTCTGTCTATAACTGTCATTGGACCATGTGGTAGTCCCAGAGCTGCTCTGAACCTATTTTGGTTCTGTGGGCTGCCTGATTTGTTAATAGTTTTTTGCTCAGTTAAACTCTGTTAATTTTAATTTGTCTTGAGTTTTTTTTCTAACAGTTTGCATAATAATTTGCCGTGTCAAATACTATTTTGTCTTGTGAATTATTCTTTCTTCTTACCAGTGAAGTGGCAAACTGGAGAAAGAATGTCACAATGAAAATCAAATAATTTATCCACAGCTGAATTACTTGGTAGTGTTTTATAAATACTCTTAAATATAGAATAATGGAGATACAGAATTTTAGAGTGAGGAAGGCATTAAAAGTCTTGATTTACCCTAGCTGTTGATCCAATGATTAACTCTCCCTCCACCCAGTCCAGGTGAAGCAGCAGTCCTGCTAGCATCGTGCTAGTTTAGAAGAAACATCACTTCAGTGACCCCTTACACTCACTTGGTCACCAAGAGTTGACTAATTAGCTATTAAATCTTGTGCGACCATCAGGGATAAAATGGTTTCAGGCTATTATATCCAGTTCCTGAAAAATGCCTCCCGTAACTCTCAATTTAAAAATTCATGGTTGCAGAAAAAGAATGAAATCTCATAGTATTAGAAACTGAAGCTTATAGTCAGCGATTTATTGGAGTCTGGGAGGAATTTTTTTAGTTACAGAATTAATTAGTTTCTCTTTCACTTTTCAAGTCTGTTTGAGCTGACTTTCTGAACCTAATCGGTGTCTTTTGGATACTTTAATTTCTGAAATAGAACCAGGTAGCTGAGCAGGTACAATGAAAGGAAGGGCTTCACCCTACTGTTTGACTGTTTTAGAGATACAGGGTATCTAAAAATTATAAACACTGCATTTGCTCCAGGGCTTTCAGTGACCAGATATGGTGCTTCTTTTTATATAGCTACTCAAAGATCACATTCCTCAGTAGACAATATGCTTAAGGTACTGAAGGCAGCGAGAGATACAGAGAGTCAGGAAGAAAATGAAGACTGGACCCTGTTATTTGCTATTCTGTATACAGTATAGGCTATTGTTTTGCCTGTCCAGAATCCAGTCACCTTTTTGGTAATACCTTCTCTGCCTTTTCTCCTCCTCAATCAGTTCTCATTCCAGGTAAAGACACAGGGCCTAGACCTGGTGATTCAAGGCATTCCATTCCTCTGGTGTCAGCAATTCACTTAGAGAGGGTCATGTTACCCATCTAGGTAAGTAGGACTTATTTCTAGGACTTAGGTTGGAATCGTTGGGAATGAGAAGCCTTCTTCTTCTTAGGGTAGCAAACCTGGTAGGAAGTGAGACTGGAGCTGATTTTGGCCTTTCTGAGAATTGTGAAGAGTATTTTCAGAGAATTAAGCCAACACAGAGGATAGCAGAGTCAGGAGATGGAGAGACAACTTACCTGGATCTAGCCATGCTTGAAGACACATCTTGCTTCTCAATTCCTTGAATCAAGCGGTGCCCTTTCATTTAAGTCTATTAGAAACCCACTGGCAAACAAAATATTCACAATTGACACGTTATCTTTCTCATCTCAGCTCAAGTATCACTTCCTCAGTGGAGTCTTCTGTGACACAGCCATAGCCTCTTTCCCCTGTCTTGGCCCTGGCTAAATCAAGTTCCTCTGTTCTGTGCTCTCATGAAATGGCGGTCATCTCTTTTATCTCGCTGTGAGATTATATATTAATGTATGTGATTATTGGGTTAAAATTTATCTTTCCTCTAATAATAATGATAATAATGATGATGGTGATATAATATATATTGAGACCTAACCATGCTTCAGGCATTGCTCTACTTGCTTGTACTGAACATAAACTCTTCTCACACCTGAAAACTGAGAAGCAAAGGTATAGATGTTCCTACCTCAGACCAACAGGGAAATGCTAATCAACAGTGGAAATTGGATTGGGGGATGGAAAAATAAATCGTCAATTCATTCACAACGTAAGATATGAGAATGGGACTGAGAATCTAAAAGTGGATGTTAGGAACACAGGCAAAGGCAAATACAAAGTATACGTGGGTTTATATGTGTAGAGTCATCCTAAGTCAAGGAGGAATTAAAAATAAATACAAATCAATAACATGGGACCTTTGGGGAAAAAAGATTTTGGCTTGAGTAAAATGAAGTATTATTATATCAAAGTCTCAGAGGAAATTACATGATTATAAATGGTTCGTTACAGGAAATAAAAAATAGACTTCTTGTTTTCAACAAGACAGACAAACTCACAGTCTCTATAGAAAAATAACAATAAAAAACCATAAGAAGAGATCAGAATTAGGTGGTAAAATTTAGGCTGACATGCAGAATGAAACTTTAAAAGGCAGATACTTGAAATAACAAAGTAATTATAATAATAAAATAAAAATTAAAAACCATGGAAACCAAAAAGAAAAATCACAGAATTAAAATTCGTATTGGTAATGCAAATGAACAGAATTGATTTTAGAAAACTGGTTCATTTATGTAATGAATCAACTTGAGAGCCTCTTCCAGGATGATGATGAGGAACAGGAAGACATTGCAAGCAGGCAATCTTGGCTGGCTGACCAACCCCATCCTTCACCCCTTTTCCCAGCCACTGACCAGCTGGGGGGTGGCATGTGACCAGTTCTGGCCAGTGAGGCACAAAATTGGTTTGTGAACTACCTCCTTGCCAAATAAAAAGACAGAACCTCACTGGGAGAAGGCCTCCTTCACCTTTTTGCTCTCCCCACCCCATTTCCTATTTGGAACATAGTTATGATACCTGTAGTTACAGCAACCATTTTAAAACCAAGAGGCAACAAGCCAGCATGCTAAGGCTGGCAGAGCAAAGAGATAGAATGAGCCTAACATTGTGATGTTATTTTGTAGTCATTGTGATGCAGGATTTTTTGCTCTTTAGTTCAGCTAAAATCTGGGTTCTTGTCTAACAACCAGGAAAAATTAGGCACGCGGACATATTGAAAGGTGAGGAGAGTGGAATTTATTAAAAGAAAGCTCTCAGCAAAAAAGAAGGGGTCCTGCCAACAGGCTCCTACCTCACAGATTGAATACCAAGAGGCCAGACTCCTCCCCACTGCATAAGGTGTGAATTCTCAGTGGCTCCACCCTATTCTCCCAGTGTGTAGGTGAATCCCCAGTCCATTGCGCACATGCCCAGAGAAGGCCCTGGGAAGGTTCCCTCATTTGCACAAAAACATCTGATGTAAACACTTGTGGGGAGGGTTGAAGACTCTCCAGGGACCCTCGCTTCTCTGCCTCCTGCATCTATCAGCTGCACTGGGCATAACCTGCCAGTCTCTGGACTTCTTGTTGTGTGAAATAAACAGCCCTATTTGTTTAATCCACTCTTTTGCTATATATTCTGTTATTAATATCTGAACACTTTCCTAACTGATAAAGACTAAAAAGTTTCAAGATAGGAAAGCAGACATGGAAGACAGAGGGTTAAGAGTACAGAATTTTCTAATTAAAAACCAGAGGAAACAGAAGGAACAATCAAAATTATGACAGAAGAAAATTTGCCTGACAAAGAAAATATGAGCTAGCTGATCAAAATATGCCATCGTGTATCAGACCAAATCAATAAACATTGATTCACTTTAAGATATAGATGGGACTTTTTTTAACTAAAAAAAAGAGAAAAAACTCTACATGAATCAAGTTAGAAAAGCAGATCATCTAAAACATAATAAGCATTAGAAATAGTCTCCAGTCCTTTGTCTCTGCAAAATCAAATTCCAGAAAAAATGTAGCCATGTCCATAGTCATATTAACAGCTCTGATTTAAATTAAAAACTCAGGGAAATTTTTGCTTGTGAAGACAATAGAAGGATATCTAGATAGGCAAAGGCTCAGGAAAAAAAGCACCATTTTCATATCATTACCAAAGAAAAACGTTTTTGCAAGATACATCCAATGCTGTATAAAGAGAATTAAAAAGTAGAAAACTGGGAAAATTGGAATTATAGCTAATTCTCAATAAGCCTTTAAGTAAACTAAACATGTAGAGTAAGGGTTGGAAAGGTGTACATAGGATTTTATATAAACAGCCTAAGTAATTTTGAAAATTACTGTTCAAATGCAGTTTCTCAAGCAGAGTCCCCACTTTCCCTTACAGTGGTTGGCCATATATCTGCCATTCTGATTATCTTTCCTCCATCAGGAGAATGACTTGAGGAAGAGTGTGTCCCTCCCAGGTTTAGTCCCTGGTGCTGCTTTAGTTATCTCTTGGTTAACATTGGTTCACTATTGTTACTCCCATTGTGGCAGGCATCAAAATACCAGTTTTTTTTTTTTTTTTTTTTTTTGAGCTCAGACATGGGTTCTTTGGAGGGCATCCACAATGTATTACCCATGTCTTTCATTTTCTGTATTCTTATTGACATCTGGGGACTTCCTGAACCTGGAGGGACATTCCCTTACATGGTTAGCCAATTCCTAGAGATCATAAGCAACTCCCTGGTTTAGGAACACGCAAACTGCTTAATCCAGAGCCCACACCCAATCACTTCCTTCATGGGGCTCTCACAACCCAGGCCACTACCCATTTGCCCTACTCACACCAAGGCCAGGTACCAGACAACTAGGGACAGACCCTACACTCCGGAGCCTCTGAAATTATTTAAATTAGCCAGTCCTACTTACCCTGCGTTGTGTTCCTTTCCACAGAAATTACAATAAAGGCTTTTGCTTGAATTTCCTCCAGCTCCCTCTGCTTCCTAACCAACCCTGGTGCTTCTCCATGTGCACCCCACCAACCCTCCCCACCATGCAGTGGTTATGCTTCCTGTTCCTAGGGAGCTGTGAGTATAATCAACTTTTTTCTTCATAAGAGCAATTTACATGTCTTTTTGTCTTACCATGTCTGATTAAAACAAATCTCAGATACTCTTAAAACACATAGGAATCTCCTTACCACATTATGCCCTGATATGGGTGATGTGTTCTCTGGCTGAGTTTTGGCATCCCTAATTTTTTAACCTCTTGTTGATATCTGTTAATCCCTACTGGCTTCACTTTTGTACACGGTCCAATCACAAGCACCTGAGCCCACGTGACAGGCACACTCCACCAAGCCAGCTGGCACAAGTGCAAGATTCTCCTTGTGGCAGCCCTTGCTTTCATGCATAGGTAGCTTCAGCCAATCTCAGGCCTTCTGAGCTCACCAGGTCAAAAACAAGCACCAGCCTCTGCACTTGGGGGCACAAATCACTCACCAAATCTATTTCCTGGCTCATGGTGGCAACTGCAGGGTCCAGCCAGGCAAGGGGTTTCCTGTCTCCTCTCATGTAGATCCTCCCAGTCTCAAGGGAGTTCTCTTAACTCCTTCTAGTTTGGCTAGAATAAGAGGGAAATGACACAGCTGTTATGTCCATAATGCTCAAATTCAATGGCTCTTCTGACTCTCTTTAAATGGAGATGGGTAATAGGGAAGAGGAACACTGATCATTTAATGCAAGTTCTGTTAACTTTTAGTAAATGAGCATGGGCTACCTAGTACTGCTGTTTAGAATGTAGAAGTACTTTTTCCTAATGACCTCAGCTTTGGGGGCCTAAACTACAATTTCAACACACCAGAAAAAATTCCATCATGCATCCTGTACCCCAACACTGTAAGAAGACTCCATTGTGGTGGAGTTTAATATAATGAGCCTCTGAGCTATTTGAATCTTAAATAAGCAATTTATGCCTTCATCGGATCCCTAGCACTACTGATATTTTCAGAGACTTTTCTTTGAAAGGTTCCACGGCATTTTTTCTAAAGTGGATGAATACAATATCAAATAATTTACCTCTTGACAATCACATTAAAATTCACAACACAATTCTTTAATTACCACTTCAATCTAATTCTCTCAAAAGTTTGTCCTAATTGCATTGTTGACATGTACAGATGCAAATAAGATGTTGGTTGTTTCCCTGTAGCAAATGACTGTTTCTAATCTGCACCTATCTATTCTCTTGCTAGAAAGGCTGGTGGGGGTTCACTGAACCACTGAAAGTTGTCTATCACAGATGATATAGCTAAACCCAGAATGCAAAGAGCACACCATCTGCCCTTCCACCTCCATACATTCACCCACACGCAGCAAAGAAATGTCCACAAATAAGGCAAGGAACAGCAGAATATTCCCTGTAGACAGGCAGGACGGAAGTGCGAATTGGACATTTGTGGAGCAGCAGTTGCCAGAAGGTATGTGAAACAAACAACCCCCAGCTGCTATGCTTTGCTTTTGTAAAAAGATCTTAAGGTTGTTTCACAAACACAGGTGTGAGAAGCAAGAAAGAGAAAGAGAAGGCAAAGGGGGAGGATGATGTATGGAAAACTAGCAACCACAAATAGCATGGCTACTCTTTAAGGGTAAAAATAGATGCCTTGATATCGTGAGGGGCATCTGCTTCATTCCTTTTAGTTATTTCTATCGATGCCTGAGGGACACACCGCAGCTTGGACAGGTGTAGGTGTACGTTGGGAACAGGGCCAGGGGTGACTTGGGGTGGGGTCTGGTTAAAATGCATTTTTTTTTTTGGCTAGGGCCGGCAATAGATGATTTATAATTTGTAAAATTACCTCTCTTTAAAATCATGTTTATATTCCTACAGGGCATAAGTAGGAATAAACATTTCCTATATGAATTTATATACATGTCCACATTGGGCACATATTCATTACTTAGTTTATTTCACTTGACATATTTTGTCCCTCTGCAAAATATCTTTGTTATGGAACATTTTTCAAGTGTGCTATAGTCACACAACTTGTAAAACTTCTATTTTTCCAATCATTATGTGGACTTGAAATTTAATTTTGCAAGTTGAACTATGTGAATGGCCCAAACGAAATTTTGTTTTGTAGATCAGGAATCAGATCTGGATAAAAGAGATCATAATAATCAGATTTTCTTCTAACTTCTGCCTGAGGAATCTTTGAGTGGTGACACACTTCTGATTCTTTAATACTTCAGTGAATTATTTCTTTCCTTAGATGGACATTTTGAAGATTGTTCCACTTATTTTCATTAAAACCTCCTGGAGCATTCAGGTTTATGGAAATAAAGTTGTTTAATAATTGGGGAAGAAGAAAGTAACTTTGTAAGTGAACAAATTGTCTTGACAAATTTTGGAATAATTCATATTCTCTCCAAATGTTTTAAAAATTAGGATTGCAAATTGGCATGTTGTCAGCATGTTACTTGTTTATACTGAAGAGGGTCTTCAATAACTCAGATGGTAGAGTTTCAAAAGGACAGAGATTTATTAGCTTCTTCCCTAGCCTATTCTTGGCAGATATTTGCATTTTTGCATTTTAGTTTGCTGAGCATCTATTCCCCTTTGCATGATAGCATCCCAATTTTCCTTAACAGAAGCACCCACTTTAGAATTGCAGATCAAATATAGGACTCCTAGTTAAATCTGAGTTCACAAAATTAATAGATAATAGGTTAATGTAAATATGTCCCAAATATTGCAGAGGACATACTTATACTAACGTATTATTAATTGTTTATCTGAATTAAAGTTTAACTGGGCAACTCGTATCTTCATTTGGTGAATCCGGCAATTCTGGCCCTTTTCCACTCTCAGGACAATTGGTTAAAGTGCGATTGACCTCCCCATTCAGCTTTAGGGGCAAGCATGTAACCCAGACTTGCTTAATCAAGTTAAAAACATCTCACAGCCTGGCATTGTTTTCAAAATAAAACCCAAAACACCTCCATTTAACTTTTAAGGTTTTCCTTAAAATGGTGTCTTCAACTCCAAATCATATTTCCCTTCTCCACCAGTCCAGCAACCATCCATGCTCACTGCACTTTTTGGCCTGGGCTTTGTATTTACCCTCATCCAGGCTTCTCAACTCAGACGGCCTCTGGCCTCCTTCTCTCTTGTGTGCTTTCCTAAGCCCCATATGTCCTCTCAGCTGTATACATCTATCACCTTTTCTTGACTTCCAAAGCACTTAACGTCTGTATCTTTCGTTTAATGACTGATTGTCTTATATTGCCCTGTAACTGCTTTCTTTTTTCTCTCTTTTTTTTTTTTTTTTTTGAGACGGAGTTTCACTCTTGTGGCCCAGGCTGGAGTACAATGGCACGGTCTCGGCTCACTGCAACCTCTGCTTCCTGGGTTCAAGCGATTCTCCTGCCTCAGCCTGCTGACTAGCTGGGGTTACAGGCGTCCACCACCATGCCCGGCTAATTTTTTTGTATTTTTAGTAGAGACGAGGTTTCACCTTGGTGGCCAGGCTGGTCTCGAACTCGTGACCTCAGGTGATCTGCCCACCTTGGCCTCCTGAAGTGCTGGAATTACAGGCATGAGCCACCATGCCCGGTCTTAATGCTTAATGGCCATGCACCATATTTTCCTAGCCATATTTAAGGTCCAGAATGGCAGGAATGTGTCTAAAAGATGGCAGATGTGAAAAGATAAGAAGTTTAAGGATGGCTGACTTCTGATTCTAATAATGAGGGGTTATGGTTAATTCAAACCAACTGTTCTAGTTTGGTTTAATAACTAGTCTAAAATTTAAGCAAAGATAGAAAATCTGAAACTCAGAGAAGTTAAAGTGAAAAATTGAGAACTAGAAACTATAATAAAAGGATATGTAAGTTTTAAAAAAGAACTAGAGAATTTTAGAAAATTTAAAATTACCTAAATAAAGAACTCAGTTGATGGATTTGACAACATATTTGATGCCACAGAAGTGAGGATTGGTGAACTACCAGATAAATCAGAAGAAAATATTCAAACTGAAAAATGGAGAAACAGAAGATGGAAATCAGAAAAGAAATGATATGAGACATAAGAGAATATAGAGAGAAAGTCTAATATAAGTAACCATACTCCAAGAAGAGAAAGATAAAGAAAATGGAACAGTTGAAATATTTGAAGGGATAATGACCAAAGCATTTACAAAACTAATACCAAGCTTGATTAAAAATAATTAAAATCTTCATTATCACAGATTACATAGTTGTGTACATAGAAATAAATCTACATTCAATATTAGAATTAATGAGCTTAGTAAGTTTGCCGGTTATATACCTACATAAAAAAATGAATTGTACTTCTACATACCAGTACCAAACATTTGGAAAAATAAAATTTTAAATTCTTAATTTCTGTGACACTTTACAATAGTATCAAATTATTAAATTTCTAGAGTTAAACACAAAACACTTTTAAAAATGTGTAAGATCCAAATGTACAAAACTGGCAAAAATTATCAAGCAAATGAGTACCTACGTAAGTGGAGGAAAATACCATATTCATGCATTAGAAGACTCATGTTGTATAGATACCAATTTTTTCCAAATTGACCTATAGATTTAATACTATCACAAACAAAATCTCATTAAGTTTCTTGTGTGTGTATATGTAGTTTGTGAAAATTGAGAAACTAATCCTCTATTTGCATATGGATATGCTAAGGGCCAAAAATAGCGAAAGCAATATTGCAGAAGAACAGAGTTAGAAGATCTACATAATCAGATATCAAGACTGGTTATAAAGCTACAATAATTACAACAGTGAGATATTGGTACAGAAAAATAAATAAACCAATATATCAGAATAGAGAGTCCAGAAACATACCTACATATATGAAGACACTCTGCCTTTCGTAAACGACGGCATTGCAGAGTCTTTTAAATATGTCCTGAGACAATTGGATATCTATTTGGAACCCACATCTCACATGGTAGACAACAAAATAAAAATTCTAGATGAATTTTAGATTTAAATATGAAAGACTAAATCGCAAACCTTCTATGAGTTAATTTAGGAATATATCTTGATTGTCCCAAGACAAAGAACTATTACTTAAATAATACATATAACATACTTATTTGAAAATTAATACAACTAAGAATTTGTGTTTATCACCATTAAGAAAAAAAGGAAGAAGAGTGTAGGATAAGCTATTTGTCACACATAATGAATAAAGAGCTGAAAACCAGAATTTTTTTTTAAAAACACCTCCTTTTTAGTCACTGAATGTTTGTGTCCTTCCCAAATTTGTATGTTGAAATTTTAGTCCCCAGTGTGATAGATTTGGAGGTGAGATCTTTGGTTCATAATTAGGTTTGGATGAGGTCATGAGTAGTTGGGTGAGATGCTTCGATCAGTGTCCTTATAAGAAGAAGAGAGCCCAGAGGTTCTCTCTCTCTGTCTTGTGAGGAAGAGAGCCCTCACTGAACCAGCTGGAACCTTGGTCTTTTACTTCCCTGACTCTAGAACTGTTGGAAATAAATGTCTGTTATTTAAGCCACCCAGTCTATGGTGTTTTGTTATAGTGGTCCAAGTCAGTTAAGACTATAAACTAATAAGAAAAATACAACCAAGTAGAAAAATGGGGAAGCAGCTGTTACAGGCACTTAACAAAAGTGGGTATATTCCAAAACTTGCAAAAAATCTGAAATACTTCTGGTCTCAAGCATTTAGGCTAAGATGTACTCAACCTGTATATGTGTGTGTGTGTGTGTGTGTGTGTGTGTGTAAAGGTACATATACAGACATATATAGTGATTCTATGTATATCAAGTACAAACACACAGTCTTTAGGAATGAATGCTTAGGTGGTAAAGAGGTAAAGGAGGTATTGCAATATACATTGATAGTAGCTATCTTTGGGGAGAGTGAGAGGGTAATGATTGAGAGATTGACAGCAAGGGGCCTCTGAGGCTCTGGTAATGTTTTATTTCTTGACCCGAATGATGATTATGAATGCATGCCTCTTAAACCTTAATATTTAAATATTTAAAATATTTAAAAGAAAAAATATTTAAAATATTTAAAAAGAAGGAAAGGGAGCAGGAAGAAAAGGAGACAAAAAACTTGAGGAGCAGATGTTGAGAATGGTCTGGTTAGCATTCTCTGGCTTGGAGACCTTAGGCAAATTCCATGATCTCCTTGAATGTTATTTTGCTCACCTTTAAAATGGAAATCATATCACCTTCCTCAAAGAAATGTCATGAGGATTAAAAAATCCTGCATGGGAACACACTTTATAAAAATATAAAGTAACTTATACATTTTGGGGAAAATAGTATATTAATATCTAATGCAACTCAGGAATTTTAATAGTCATAAAAATCTTGGGTTTGAGCGTGTCTTCAAAGATTAGAAAACTCTTAGGATAGAATTAACTTCATAGGAAACATTAAATTACATTTTTTTGTTATAAAGTATATTTCTTCAAATTTATTTATTCTGTACAAACAAGTCCCCATCTCACCCCCGCCCATTCTTTATTCTGGATTACATTATCATAGTTCTAGAATTTTGTACTCTCCTGAGCTCTTTTATTTGGACACAAGTAAAACCCCTTTCAGGGAAAGATTCAGAGATGTAGCTGGGGACTCAGTGGATTTGGTTGTTATGAAACACAGAGCAGAGCCCCTGTTGTACCCTGATAGTGTTAGTGCTTCCAGAGAGAAACTCAGAGAAATCCTGAGTTGAGTAAGGGACAGCAGGTCTTCCTAGATCCTTGAATAAATACTCCTCAGATTTTTGCAAGTCTTTGATTACTTTCCAGGTTTCTGAAAAAGTTGATTCTGCCCATTTTTGCCAGTGTTCTCATTGTTTTTATAGGGAAGTGGAGTTTCAGAGGCCCTTAATCTGCCATTTCAGCTGATGAATATCTTGTGTCCCCAGGTCCTGACATAGCCTCCATTTTGTCTACCCTCATTTCAATAACTTGCCCCTTAAAGATCTTCCTCACAAAGCTTGACACAGCTATGCCAGTTGTTACTTTATTCAGGTAAACAGAGTTGCTCTATTCGGGTAAGTAGCTGGTAGCCACTTTCTATTGGCACCACTCTCCTCTTTAAAGACTATCACAGTTCTTGCCTATGGGTTTTCTGTTTCCTTGCTCACATCCTGTTGCTTTGATATCATACTCCAAATATTCAGTCTATTTTGGTAAGATTGCATTTCTCAGTCACCCTTATGAAGCCTATTTTCTTGAAATTCCTATTCAGCCAACCACAGTGCACCTTACCTTTTCATTCCTAAATATCTAATGTCAGTATCTCTATGTCTAACCAAGTCTTGGTGTAGATCACTGCATTTCTTTAGGCTTTAGCCCCTGTGCTTTTTGCTCCTGCACTATATTCCTCAAAGAGCTCTTTCTTCCCCTAGTGTCAGCTGCCACAACCATACAAAGATTTATAAATCTCTCCAAGCCTTCTCTGATCTAAACTCAGGTCATATATCTCTAAATGTCTATAAGACATTTCTGCATTTATATATCTCTGTTAACCCAAACACAGCAACCTAAATGGAACTGCTATGAAACTGGCACATCTACTGTCACATTCAGGAAAGAAAAAAATAGTTTTGACATCCAAAAGCATTTTAAAAGTAATCCAAATAGCACAGTCACTACAAAACAGACAAAAGAAAAGTTTCCTTAATAACAAACAGCAAAAATTCTCTTAAAATTCCCTTTACTTCTCAAGGGGAATACTTCCATCTTTTGCCCATTTAGTATGATGTTGGCTGTGGATTCATCATAGATGGCTCTTATTATTTTGAGGTATGTTCCTTCAATACCTGGTTTGTTGAGGGTTTTTATCATGAAGGGATGTTGGATATTATCAAATGTTTTTTCAGTGTCTACTGAGACATCATATGGTTTTTGTTTTTAATTCTGCTTATGTGGTGAATCACATGTATTGATTTGTGTATGTTGTACCAACCTTGCATCCCAGGAATAAAGCCTACTTGATCATGATGAATTAACCTTTTTTGATGTGCTGCTTGACTCTATTTGCTAGTATTTTGTTGAGGATTTTTGCGTCTATGTTCATCAGGGCTATTGACTTGCTTTTTTCTTTTTTTGTTGTGTCTTTGCCAGGTTTTGGTATCAGGATGTTACTGGTTTCATAGAACAAGTTAGAAGGAGGATTCCCTCCTCCTCAATTATTTGGAATAATTTCAGTAGGACTGGTACCAGCTCTTGTTTGTATGTCTGGTAGAATTCAGCTGTGAATCCATCTGGCCCAGGACTTTTTTGGTTAGTAGGTTTTTTATTACTTGTTTCAAAGGTGTTCCCACTTATAAGTGGGAGCTAAACATTGGGTCCACAGGGACATAAAAATGGGAACAATGGACTCTGGGGACTCCAAAAGAAAGAGGGCAAGGGCTGAAAATCTTCTACTGGATACTATGTTCACTATTTGGACAAGAGTTTTAATAGCGGCCCAAACCTTAGCATCACGGAAACCACACTTTTAACAAATCTGCACATGTACCTCCTGAATTCAAAATTTAAAAAAAAATTTAAAAATTCCTTCATCCATGTATTACCTGAATCTTTGGAAATCATGTCATGGTGGCTAACCAAATATCCCTCCTTCTGTCTCAAAACTCTCCCAAACTCTCCCTCAAACACAGCACATACTAGATACTGCTTTTCTTATTACCGCCCTATCCCCATCTCATGGTCTTATCTATAAATAACTCTGTCCTTGCCAGTATGGATCAATCAGATCAAGTTTTTATATTGTGCCTGTCATCCATTACCCCAATTCTACACAATAAAACCTTAGAAATTAATCAGGCAGAGATGGAGTTCTTCTTGGAGCTTAAAGAAGGAGAAAGAGAATGTGAACAATCACCTAAATGTTATTTTTTCTAACATATCATGATATTCCAAACTAAATAAACCTTTCTTATTTCCTTCCTCAAATGATACCCAGGCACTGGTCTCCTTGGTGATTATCATGGCAAAATCTTTTAAGTGGCTCCTCCAGACTTCATGCACGAACTTAGAAGCAATCTTGAAGAAAAAGTGCCATTATGAGTTGTATTGATGCTGTGATTTTTAATAGAAGATATTATTATAATGAGAAAGAGCATTCCAAATAGCCACCCACAAAAAGAAATATTTTCCTCACTATGATCAGACCAGGAAAAGAACACCTGCAGTGCTCTTGACTCTCTCATTCCTGAATATCTGATGTCAATATCTGTATGCCTACCTGAGTCTTGGGGTAGATCACCGTGTTTCCTCAGGCTATAGCCCCTGTGCTTTTTACTCCTACACTGCATTCCTCAAAGAGTTATTTTCTATTCTGGTATCAGCTGCCACAACCATACAAAAGATTTACAAATCTCTTCAAGCTTTCTTGGATCTAATCGCAAGTCATATGTCTTCAAATGCTTATTTGTATTCAGATTATTCAATAAATTATTGAAATATTTCCCATGCAACTAATATTTTGCAAAGGTGATCCTTTGAATTGACAGCAAAGGAAGGCTCAGCAGAGACTTTTGCAGAAAATGGACTTTGAAATGGGCCTTGAAGAATGGGCACTATTTTATCAGGCAGTGTGGAAAATGTTGGGAGGCCATAGAAAGATGCAAGGCTGGCATCAACTTCTGCCCAGGGGCAGGACAAGTACATTGAACACAGTGAATACTCAGTTTGCTACCAGCTTGGGCACATGGCAGGGAGAATGATATCTGGCAGGATATCAGGAAGTGTTTCAATTAATTAATGGGAATAGTGTGAAATACAGATGGACCAGTAAATTATGGCCATTCAGTTGGCTATTCTGGGAAGCTTGAACAGTTTTTGGTAAACTATAGATAGTAAATATTTCTTTGAAGAAAATGTTTCCATTTTATATGACATTTTTGTACATGAAAGAGTTTGAAAGTTAGTGGAGTATGGTGAGCACAGGCACTATCATCTCTGTTAACTTATGTCTTCAGCTTCTTTTTTAAAAAAATTAAGTTAATTTATTAAGATATTTTTATTGATGCACAATAATTGTGCATGTTTATGGCAGATGTGATATTTTGATACATGCATATACTACTATATAGTGATCAAATCAGGATATTTAGGATATCCACCATTTCAATTATTTATTATTTCTTTGTGTTGAGATACTTCAAATCTTTTCTTCTAGTTATTTTGAGATACACAATAAATGTTTGCTAACTATAGTCATGCGACTGTGCCATTGAACACCAGAACTTGCTCCTTCTATCTAACTCTGTGTTTGTGCCCATTTACCAACCTTTCTTCATCCCCCTCCCACCATCCCCAAGCCTCTACTCTCTACCTCAAAGAGATCTACTTTAAGCTTCCACATATGAATGAGAACATGTGATATTTGTCTTTCTATACCTGGCTTATTTCACTTACCATAATGACCTCTAATTTCATCTATGTTGCTGTAAATGGTAGGATTTTTTTTATGGCTAAATAGTATTCCCTTGTATATATCTATCTCATTTTCTTTATCCATGCATCCATTGGTGGATCTTTAGGTTGATTCCATATCTTGGCTATTGTGAATGGTGCTGCAGTAAACATGGAGGTGCAGGTATTCCTTTGATATATTGATTTCCTTTCCTTTGGGTAAATACCCAGTAGTGGGATTGCCAGATTTTATGATAGTTCCCTTTTTAGTTTTTTGAGAAACCACCATATTATTTTTTATAATGCCCGTACTAATTTACATTCCCAACCCAAAATCATTCCCTTTTCTCTGCATCCTTGCCAGCAGTTGTTATTTCTTGTCTTTTTGATAATAGCCATTCTAACTGGGGTGAGATGATATCTCGTTGTGGTTTTGATTTGCATTTCCCTGATGATTAGTGATGTTGATCATTTTTTCAAATAGCTGCCGGCCATTTGTCTGTCTTCTTTTGAGAAATCTCTATTCATGTCCCCACTTTTTATTTGTTTGTTTGTGTTGGATTATATGGTTTTTTTTTGCTGTTGAATTATTTGAGTTCCTTGTGTATTCTGGGTATTAGCCCCTTGTCATCTTCAGTTTCTTTTTAGGTAAAATACCAATAATATTAAAACAGATTTTTCATGCAAAAGAATAAGTGAGGAAAAATTCCTACTTATCATTTCATGCCAATTGTAAATGAATTAGTTAATAAAATATGAAGAAAGTAATTATTGCTCATAGTTAACACTAATTCAACATGCCTCTTTTTTTTTCTTGCTTACTTTTTTGTTCCTTTCCCCCATTCATTCACAAGTCCTGAACCTTTTCCCTTTGAAATAACTTTTGTAGAATTTCTTTTATGAATTTGGCTGCAAAATTCATCATCTCTTCTTTAAACTCCTAGAAATCATGCAGAAACAATAACTGGAATTTTTTAAGGAAAGGAACCCATTTCAATGAGTCTAGAAGCAGATCTAATCCTCAGACACCAATATGCATATAAGGGCTTCCAAAAGCAACTAGAAGGGAAGGAACCCATGTCAGTGTGGACAGCAGTGAAGAGAAGACATGTGCAAAGTGGAGATAGACCCTGTGCATGAGATGTCAGAACACACCTTTAGAAACATACTGTCAGAGAGTGAGGATCCTTGCCACCCCAAAATGAATATTATAATTTATATTTGCAAGAATGAGTATAGAACTAGGGTGAGCAAGGCAGCCTGGGTGACAGAGCAAGACTCTGTCTCAGGAAAAAAAAAAAAAAGAGAGAGAGAAAGAAAGAGGAAGGAGGGGTGGAAGGTGTGGAGGGAGCATGCTGGATAGGAGGTGCTCAGTATGTATTCAGTATTCAGCAGTTGCAGGAAATGAGGGCAGCTGTCAGGTTACAAAGCTATGAGAACTTCAGGAGGGTCCTGACCACTGCTGTGTGATCCTCATAGAAGAGCTGTTTTGTGGGTGGCCCTTTCAGATTCCATGAGTTCCAAAGCAAGCGCTTCTAGCAATGCTGAGAAAGGTCAAGGCTGCAAACCACCCAGCTTATTACATTAACTAAAGTATTTCTCATTCATTTGGGTCCATAGTTTATCCACCGAATATAATAATGCAGCATTTACAATTGCATTTTGTTGTTGTTGTGAATAGAACACCCAGCAAAATCAGCGGAAGGAAAAACATTTGTAGTTGATCTCTTGCGAGTGTTTAACTGCAAGGTTAAGGAGAGGCACAGTGTGGGCTTTGGAGTCATGAAGATCTAGGTTAGACAGGGTGGGGATTATCATTTAATCATGATGCTAAATTTCTGCCTGATCTGCCTTTAATACCTGGCTCCTGACTCTCGGTTTATCTGGTACCTGGTCTAGTTTAATTCATTTGGCTTCCATCTGTGGTGCCTCTTCTGAACAACATGCTGGGTTTCTCAGACTCTAGATTTTTCATCCACTTCAAAGTATTGACTGTTCTGGTTACAAACTCATCTTTTGTAACCAAACCTAAAAGGAGAGTAACTAATTATAAAATAGGATTGTGGAAGCTTTAAAAAGTTCAGCCTTCTTGACTTAGCTATATGTCATAGGTTGGCATCATACCATGTACCATATTGTATGGTGTGTTTAGGTTTAGGTCAAACAATGTCCTTTCAAAAAAAAATCGGTGCAGACAATATACACTTTCAATTACACAAGTAGCCTCCTTAGACCAAAATTTTAAAGGGGGGTCTCTGTCCTTAAATTGTTTATTTAATTTCATTTTAAGAGAAAAAGAAAAGATCCCAGGTAAATTTAGGGGTAACATAAGATGTAGAGGGATGAAATTGTATATTCCACTTCCAATGTTAAAGATTCAGGAAAGCATCACAAAAAAAAAGGTTGAACTATATTCTGCTCTCGATTTGAGAATTAAGAATTTCCAAAAGTTCATAGTGAGACAACCCCCACCTCCACTGTCCTAAGGATTGTGAGAGTGAACAAAGACCAGGCATTAATCTGTTAACTGGAGTGAGGCTGTGCCTGATTGCATATCTGGCACCAAGAACATGATAGTAAACAAGGTGGCAGAGAGATGGGTACCCAGGTCCAGCAGGGTCTGTTCTGTACTCCCAGGGGAATGCTGGGTCATTTAGGTGCTTGGGAGAGAAACCCCTTCTCACTCATTCCCACCTCATCACACTGATTTTTGAATATCTCCAAAACCTTCCTTATCAGCCGCTGTGGAGGCAGCAAACTCCATGGGAGAATTCTTCTCCTTTTCAATTTGGGTAGATGTAGCCAATGTACCTACTTAATAGTGAGTGAGAAAGAAGAAACAATCATTTTCTGCTGCCTTCTTGGGTTCTACACTCAGGCTTTCCAAAATGCCTCATCATCCTTCTTAACAACGGGGCACAGGCTACGTTTTACTGCGCTCCTCACTAGCTGTAATGTGTGAAACAGATCTTTCAGTTTAATTACCTTTTATTTTAAAAAATAAGAATGGAATTTACATATGATAGATAGAAAAACCGCATAGCAACGGGAGTGTAGAAAAACAAGCAGGTGTTAATAAATTTCCAAGAAACATTAATCTGTTTCTGCAAATACATCCTGCTGTTCATTTAAATGGAATGATACTCTATAAATTTACCACTTGAGTCACTCTCTGAGCTATCAAAATGTAATATATAACACCTTCGATGATCAAAGTGAAAGTAAGTTTAGAAATCCAATTTGTTTTTTTCACCATTTAAGCTCTTTATTTAACTTTTGCATTCCAGCCCTCATTTTAATCAAGCTTCAATTTTATTTACTCACATTCCGTGTTGTAATGCAATTATAGGTATGCTTCAAAAGTTGTCCTGAAGTGTTGCAATTGCCAAAAATAAAATTTCATTCTAAGACAAATATATACAAATAAGAAAAAATATCCTCTGTCACATTTGAAGATTTAAAATAACTTACAATTGTGCGAGTCAAAATTGGAAAACATTGATGGAATCAGAGGTAACCTCAAAGGAACTGGGAATAGAGCTGTAATTTTTTGGATTAAAAATAAAGAAGTAATGGATCTGTGTGGCTTAAGTAGGCTTCCCCTGGTTATCATAACACATGGCCAATAGTTGAATCCTGAGGTCAATAATAAGGAAACTGCAGATGGAATTCATCATTTAAAGGGGTTGGCAAAAACACCAAAGGAACTAAAGCTCCCCAAAATCATATGTGATTGGCTTGGGGACATGGATGAGGGAATGGGCCAGGATGAGGTGGGGCAATAGTAAAAGGGAGAAACTTGCTTTTCATTCCAAATCTTTTTGCCTTATTTGATGTTTCACCACATGCCTATATTACTTTAATGAAATACCAGAATAAATAAGAACAAAATAATCAATTGCTTTAAAGTACTTGATGTCCACATAATTTAAATTATTTTAACGTTTTTATTTTAATGAATAGGTAATTGGGATTTTCATAGTCATTATCATCATCTATGGTCTGTGCTACTCAAATATAGTCCTTAAAAATATGTTATTTTTATTCTTTGTTTGTTTGCTTTTGAGATAGGGTCTCATCTGTCACCTAGGCTGGAGTATAGTCGTGCTATAACTACAGTCTCAACCTCCCCAATTTAAGTGATCTTCCTACCTCAGCCTCCCAAGTAGCTGGGACCACAGGAGCATACCACCACACCCAGCTAATTTATTATTATTATTATTATTTTGTAGAGACAGGGTCTCCCTATGTTTCCCAGGCTGACCTTGAACTCCTGGGCTCAAGCAGTCCTCCCACATTGACCACCCAAAGTGTTGGGATTATAGCCATTAGCCACTGCACCCGGCCTTATTTCTGTTCTTAAAGGAAAGAATGGACACTGTCTCTCAGTCTAGAAGGTGAAGCTCTTTTTATTATAAGGAAAGCAGAGAGAAATGGTTTATATGGTGGCAGAAATGCCAAGTCTGCTTAAAGGGTTCTGGTCTAAAATTAGGGACATGATAACTTACTAATAAAAATACAAAGGCAGGTAATAAGCTCAACTGAGAGGTTTATCAGGCAGCCCTGAGTGAAGATCAGTTCCAAGGAATAACAAGCAAGTAATGAAGTTTTAGCCAGGAAGTAGCAAAAGCTGTTATCCCAGAAAGCTGACATCAGGAAGCAGGTATTAGATAAAGTTTCAGGATAAAGGAACCTCTGATGCGACAAGAAGTCACTCAGGTAAGTCAGTTCTTTTCTTATACATCATTTATTGTGTTACATTTCAAAAGCATTTTCAGGTATCTGACATCGCCAGTTCTCTGCCTTTCTTACCCAGTTTGATTATGCTGCCTAATTCACTATCCACACGACAGTCCACTCTGCTTAGTGTGTGAGGACCTGACCCAAGGGCATCTGTGCATTCCTGTCCCCAGGCATTTTCATTTTCATGACTCTATTTGCAAATGGATCTATTGTTCACGTGGGACAGAAGAGAGTGGCAATCTTGAGACGCTCAAAAGTCTCCGTGGCTCCTAATTCAGTTCTAATGCTTGGTGTTTGATGCAGTTTCCAAGGAGAGCTGTGACACAAGGGCATTAATCTACCTCATGACAGCATGGGGTTTTAATGCGTTTTCTGAATCCACAGAAAGAGACTCCTATGGAGGTGGTGAAGGGAGTTATGGAGAAATCAATATCTTCATTTCACTGGGGCACTGACAATTTGTAGCAATGATACGAGGGATCACTGCACAGGGAGAGCTTGTTGGACAGAATCTAATGTACAGTACATATACTTCTGAAAATTGACACAAAGACTTGCTACAAGAGTAAAAAAGAAAAACAACAAAAACAAGTGAGTGGGCTACATGGAGCCATTATCTTTCTAGAAATATGTAGATAGCCTGTTGTACACCAACAACATGATTTCGGAGCAATGAAGGGTTCATTATAATTCTGTTCCTGGGAAGAAAAATTAATTCCATAAAGCATGTAAAGGAATCAATTGAAAATATGCTGGTCAGACATTGAAATCCCCAAATCAAAACTAAGATAACCAATAGGCTAATAAAGGCACAGACCAACCTAGAAAACCATACCTTAAAGTGCCCAGGATCAAGCATAAGGCCATTCAGCCTTGTCAGTGAGGTTGGCCAAGGAAAGTGAGGCTACATTCAGAGGTATTCTGGGATGGGGCATGAGTTAGAGTGTTTAACTAGACTGGCCTCTTTAATCCTTTGTGAACTACAGATATTAAATTTGATGCTGAAACCAGTACTACTTGAAAATAATATTTAATAGCCATCTATTGATTGCTTTCCTTTTCTTTTTTTCTGGGTACTATTGCTTAGCTTACTCTGATTTCTGTGACATTCCAGAATTCTATGTACACTGCTGTAATTAGCAGATATATATAAGACTATATCCTTATCTATCTGATACATTCCAAATAATTAAGAAAGATATATAAATGCACACTTTTAAAGATGAGTATTTATTGTTTTGGCATCTTCATAGCTTCCATTTGGTCTAAATACATACGTGAAAAAGCTTTTTTGTACCTTAAATTGATATACAATCTTGTTACCCATAGGCATTATTTATCTTATTTTATATACTCATAAAAATGAAATGGGAATGGTTAACTTTTCAATACTTTCCATGAATTTTATTGTTTCTTTTTTTTCTTCTGACAATCAATGTCAAGTAATTTTTAAAAACAGGTCCTTAGATTTGGGTGCTTTTAAGATTCTCTTTTCCTGAGTCATGAAAAAAGATCTTTTTACTGTGTTGCTCAGATATGGTGGCTATTTCTAAAGTAGGGTAGAGACAGGATGCATACAAGATGCAGATATTCAAGAAAATACAGTCTGCTGCAAAATTTCCCAAATGCGTGTTCTGTGGAAAACTAGTCTCAAAAGAGTTCCATCATCAAATAAGTTTGGAAGATGCTGCATCTTATCTCCCTTCTTGGAGATTTATAGCACACTTCAGAATATTTAAAGCTTTGGTAAATTCTGCAGAAAAGGAACTAGTTTAACAAATCCCAGCATTTCTTAAACTTCCTTGACAATGAAACTTGTCCTTGACAATGAAACTTGTCTTTAAAAATTTATAAAATACCCATTAACAACCTGCCTAATTGTGGGAAAATTAGAGTCTAACATCCTTTGCAAAATGATCTGCTATGCATAGGCAGAATACCCTGCACATAGACTGTTGAACTTAAACATATATGATTATTTCTCTGTAATACCCATGGTAGACTAGGGTAGAAGCTACAATATGAATCCCTCTATCACTCACCTGCCTTAATAGCGTCATCCATTTTCATTATCTTCTCCATTATTTCAAAAAATTGCTCTGAAAAATAACCAACTAAATGGTCATTTGGCCTGTCAAATTAAGTGCTATATGAATGTAATAATAATAGCGACCATTAATTGGGCACCCACTGTATGTCAAGCAATGAAGCACTAAGTCAGACACTTAGCATAAACTTCCCCTGTTTCACCAGCAGAGGAGAAATTGCTATCTTCATTTAAAAGATGAGAAAACAGTCTTGGAGAAGTCATACATCTTGCCCAAATTCACTTGCTACTACAGGATCAAGGCGGCATTGCATAACAACCTTTCTTTTGTCTCCCCAGACCCTGCACTTTTCACTATATCATGCTGTTTCTCTAAATAACATGAATTCATCTAGTCCCAGCAAGATAATAAAATATGAAGTGATAAGAATAATGATGCCAATAATAGTAATTAATAACAATCAGAATGGTATTAAAACTCTACATATTGTCATCGTGTAAAATTTATGGAGGTGCGGTGTTTTAATATTATAGAGCCCACTCTCTTTTCTCCCACCCCCACATCCAATTAATCACTAGCTCTGGTTGATTTTTTTCTTTAATATCTCTGCAATCCGTCTACTGTCACTAATTTTTGTTCAAGTCACCATCTTATCTGTTCTGGATCTTTAATACAACCAACACCTAACTGGTATCCTTGCCTTCCTTCAAGTTATTTTATGCACTGCAGCCACAGTGATCTTTCTAAAATACAAATCTGAGTACTCACCATTGTTTTAAAACCTCCAAGGCTTCCCAATGACAATGGGCTAAAGACTAAACTTAGAGGCTTCTAGGATCCCGCATTGATGTAGTTTGCATATGTGTCCCCTCTGACTTTCATGTCAAATTGTAATCCCCAGTGTTGGAGGTGGGGTCTGGTAGGAGGTGATTGGGTCATAGCGGTGGATTTCTCATGAATGGTGTAGCACCATGCCCTTGGTGCTGTCCTTGTGATACTGAGTTCTCATGAGATCTGGTCATTTAAAAGTGTGTGGCACCTCCTCTCTGCTCTTGCTCCTACTCTGACCATGTAATGTGCTTGTTCCTACTTACCTTCCACCATGAGTAAAAGCTCCCTGAGACCTCTCCAGAAGCTGAGCAGATGCTGGCACCATGCTTCCTGTACAGCCTGCAGACCACGAGCCAATTAAACCTCTTTTCTTTATAAATTACCTAGTTGCAGGTATTTCTTTATATGAACACATGACTGACCTGATACACTCATCATCCGGCCCATGTTACCTTTCCAGCTTCAACTTCACACTCTCCTACCTTACTCTAAGCCCTTTCAATAGCAAACTACCAATTTCATTGATTCCAAGTTGCACTTTGATTTCATTTCATATCTTCACACTTCTAAAATTAAGATGTGTTTTACAATCAATAATTTGTCCCATTTAAGTGGCAGCGATTTTTGTTTCTTGTTGGTGTATAAAATGAAGGGCCCTGCTACAGCTGATAACTTCAGAGATTCAGTGAGATGCCGCACTGCCATTTTCCTGATGCATCACGCTTTCTTATTTGGAGAGACATTTTCCTAACTCTTCTTTCTGCCTAAGGTGCTCTTTGAACTCTTCTTCACTTACTACTCCCAGTCTTAACTTTCCTGTGGGAAGGCTTTTCAAATTCTCCAAGTCTAATTTAAGGATGCCACTATTTGCCTGCATAACATTACTTTATCACATTTGTGGATAGTGATTTTAAGGGATGCCCCATAACCCTTTGCCACCCCTTCCTTCACATTAGGTGAAACCTAATTCCCCTGTCCTGAGTTTGGGTTCTACTGAGTGACTTTCTTCTGAAGAATAGAATGTAGTAGAAGTCACTGTGTGTCATTTTCAAGATTAGGTCGTAAAAAGACCTTGTGTGTTCATTCTTGCACTCTCTTGGATTGCTCTCTCTGGGGAAAGCTAGCTGCCATGTCATGAAGAAATTCAAATACCTTCATGAAGAGTTCTCATGGCAAGGATCCAAGGCTTCCAGCCAAGAGCTGTGTGAGGGCGCCATCTTGGAAACAGATTCTTAAGCTCCAGTCAAACTTTCAGATGACTGTAACCCTGGCCAACATCTTGCTTGCAATCTTATGAGAGACCCTGAGCCAGACCACCTAGCTAAGTTACTCCCAAATTCTCTTCCCACAGAAATTGTGAGATGATAAAAGCATGTTATTTTTAGCCACTAAGTTTGGGGTGGTTTGAAACACAGCAAGATATAACTAATATAACACTGAATTGAAATTGTTTCTTTTCTTCTCTGCACCTTCTTTTGGACTGAAAGCTCCTGGAGGAGAGGCCTTGTATGCTGCTTAGGTTATCCAGTGCTAAATGTACAATTTGACATGTATTGTGGATTCAAAAAGTTGTGCTGATGTATACATGTGGAAGAATCATATCTTATTCAGTACTTCAATTTAGACAGCAAATCCTCCCTCTTCTTCCCAAGCAAGTATTTGCAATACTTTTATATTCATGAGAATGTACTCATTTATTTATGGTACAAGGAAGGAAGGAATAGGGTTTTCTTAATGCCAATGTTTTATTTTCCCTACAATAGCCAGAATGATCATTTAAAACTGTTATGCTATCTGCTGAAAAACTTTTGGTGTTTTTTCATTGCACTTAGAATAAGATTTAACTTTCTTCCTGTAGACTACAAAACTCCCCATGACCTAGCTTCTTTCTACCTTTCTGACCTTACCTCTTGCTACTCTCCTAAGACTCTAGTCTTCTTTTTCCTCAAAGACACCAAGCTATTTCCTCTTCAAAGCCTTTATACTCATTCTTTCCTTGGCCTGAAGTTTTCCACTTGCTTCTCTTTGCAAAAATGATATGTTTTACATAAATCGGATTTATAGATTGTCAATTCTTCAAATGAGGCCCATCCAAGTTTCCCCTTTACCTCACTAGATATTAACATCCCCAATACCCTGATATATTTTCTTCCTATCAGAAATTATTCGCTTTATTTGTTCATGTGTTTGTTTTCCCTCCCCTCTCTTAACTAGAAGTGAGCCTGAGGGGAGAAACCTTGACTCTCCAGTTGACCACTGTGTCTCTCGACACACGGCATATGGTAAGCACTAAACAAGAATCATTTTCTGGGTGAATGAATACATGAAAGGGCGATGAATGAATGAAAGAAAAGTAGTACATGGGAGAGACGGAGAGGTGCCAGGGATGTCCAGGATCATGTTTCCTGTCTATATGTTCTCTTTTACTTTATTGGAGATGCTATTAAGAGAGAGGTCAGAATTAAAAGAGGAAATTTACATTTGACATACCTGGTGAGACTTGGCTCAAGCAGAGTTGCATTATGGCACAGGTGAAACGGTGTGATGAGAGGCATGGAAGGCCATTACCTCATTCACAGGAATCTCAGCATGGCTCTGCAACTTCAAAGAAGGCAGTTCGGGGAACAGCAGACACAGCTCCTTTGGAAAGAATATCTGCCGCCCGAGGATGGGCTCTGCCTATGGAGGCAACAGTGAGTGTCTTCAGAGCCCATCAGTGGCAGTGGAATTAATGAAGAAAGCAATGGCAGGAAAAGTTGAATAAAGCAGACCCTTCATGGTAAATCTGGTTGGTAAATTGCCTGTGACCACATGTGGGACAATCACTGGAGGAACCCCAGTTACATTTGGTCAGAGTGTGGCGAGGGGAACCTTCTCAGGAAAGAAAATAGAGGTCCTGTTTTAGGAAAAAAAATAAAGATCAGAAACCTGTTTTCAAGTTTTATTCATACTCTGACAAAATCGGAAACTACTGTTCCCATAGAATAGGAAGAAGAGTGCTGAATTTCGAATCAGAAAACCTGAGGTTTAGTAGTAGCTCCTTTGTAGTCCAGCTGTGTCACTAAGTCTTTGTACTTTCTGTTTCCTCATCTGAAATATAAGAATAATGATATCTACGTCTACTGAAGGGTGTTGTGAGGATCAAATGAGATAAAATTTGAAAATACATATGACATCTTTGTAAAATATAAATTGCCATACATTATTAGTTATTTATGACTGTAACATTTGGAATAGTCTGTCTAGCTTATAAAGATGCCTTTTGACTCTTCAATGCTTCTCTTATTTACATGCCTGGCAACCTCAGGAGCCATATTTGTTCTGGATCCTACCCCCTTGACCAAAGTTATTGGATTAGAAGTCCAATAACTTTGTTTGACCTAAGCTCATACAATCAAACTCTTTTTCCAGGCATTTTCAAATTAGGATGAAAAGAGGAGTCCAGTCTAAGTTGGTTTGTTGAATGACAAAGCCTAAACCCAGAAGCTATAGGATGTCATCATAAATCCACATGTTGCTGGAAGGCAAAGAAAGACAGTTAAAAGAGAGAGAATGAGTAAGCAGATTTTCAGAGGAGATCTCAGATTCAGACATAGAATATCTTTGTGTCTTAATTAGCAATGTCCCTTTCTTTCTAAAGTTAAATAAACTTGATTCCTCTTCTTTTGCAAGGAAAGAGTCCTAATCCATTACTATTTTAGATGCATACACACATACTTACATGGAGATGGCTAGCTCTGTTACTGAGTGATGGTGCTGGTTAAAGAAAAGAGGTTCATTGCAACCTTAAACACATGGAGCTTATTTTACAAGTATGTGGTGCATCTGCTTTGTTGAACTGTGGATATTAACATCTGTATGATAATTTAAAGTTTGTCAAAAGCGACATAATATGAAGTAAGGTGATAACTATAATAACACCAATAATAGTAATGCAGTATTTCATAAAAGTCAGAAAGATTTAAAAACTCCACACATGGCCCATGTGAAATGTTCAGCGGTGGACTATTATAACATGGGACATCATGGCTGGCTTACTTGGCTGTTACTCATATGATCTAGACAGTACTTTCATATGATAATAGCAAGAGCCATTGCGCTTCTGTCTGCACTCCTCTTACTTTTCTTATTTAAATGAATTCCATCTGTTTGGAAAGATTTTTTTCTTTCAGAAGCTCACAGTATCCATATTACTAATCAGACAAAAGAAATCTTCCAGTAAAAGAAAATAATAACATTCACTCCCATTATTTTGTCCAGTCATCTTCGGGAAGGCTTGCAAATGTCCATACTGATCTTTGACTACTATGAAAACCTTCAAGCAGATTGCTGTTTTCATATTTCAAAAATCCATGTGTTAATGAATTTCTAGGAACACATGTTACCAATGCTATATATAATTTCCATCTTGTTCCACATAATCCTACTGCACAACTAATGACCATGAACTGAAGCTTGCTCTCTTGGAATGCCTATTACTTTAGTAACAATAATTTAAAAATCAATAATATTTTCTAAAACAAAGTAATACATACATATTAAAACTCAAATATGGACACATTTTCTGGCACAGTCTTAAAATCAGAGAGAATACCTGGAATCGAGACTACATTGAAGGATCTGAGACCTATGGTGACAGCATGTATGTAAGATTGATCTTTATGATTCTTAAGGTCATTATGAATGTGCCTGTATATTATACATATGTGTATATGAATATAGACAGACTCTCTTAGACTATTTGAGCCTCTGTAACAAAATGCCTTAGGCTGGGTAATTAAAAACAATAGAAATTCCTTGCTCACAGTTCTGGAGGCTAAAAAGCCTAAGATCAAGGCTCCTGCAGATTTATTGTGTGGTGAGGGCTCACTCACTGATTTGTAAATGATGTCTTCTTCCTGCATCCTCACGTGGTGGCAAGGCAAAAGGAGCCAACATAAACATTCAGACCATAGCACAGACCTTTTATAAGGGTCCTACAAAGTGTACAATTCAGTTGTTCCCAAATTATTTTTTAGTAATACTTATCATTACCTTCAAGATCCTATTTTCACTAAGACCTTCTTTGATCAAAAATGTTTGCACACCTGAGTAGGCTGAGGGTAGCTTGCTGATGCCTGAATTAAGAAATCAAATACGCATTACAACCTCACTAATGTGTATGAAGGTGAGTATAAATGTTAAAAAATTTTGAATTATGTAATTTTATATAATAAATAAAAGTATGTTATTAAGTGAGCATTCTTTTCAAGTTTGCTTTAATGAATGATTAATTCTGCTGTTAATAGGCCACATTCATTGTCACACATAAATATGTTAATATACTTTAAAACTTCCTCTCTGAAAGTAGAGGTTTCTATAGAAATGTTTATATTCATTTTTAAAATGATACCCCTGGTTATATTATGCAAAGGCAAGTGGCCCAGTCCAGGCCAAAAAAAAAAAAAAAATCACAGAAAATCTTGAGTCTGGTATTATCCATAATACTCTGGCTCTGTTTCCATTATTTTCCATAACATGTTTTATTTTTCAGTTTGTATGTCCTTTTCTCCCAGTAGAATAAAAACCTCTTTAAGTTAGACATGTATCTTATCCTTTTGATCACTTGTGTATAGCAGTGTGACTTGCATGTCATATCTGCAATGATAATCATTTGTTGGTTGAATGAATGAATGAATGAATGAATGAATCTATGTGTTTGGCTTTCACTGACAATTTTCGTGGATTTCCTTGGTGAAGTAAAGAATGATTTACACACTAAAGGGCTCAGAAAGTTAAGATTCTGACAGACAATGAAGCCAGATAATGAATCTTTTGAAATGACTTTCAAGATAAATTCTTTAATATTTCCCCTTAAACAATTGTTTTTCTATCAAGGCATGTTTATTGGCCTAGAAAATATAAAAGCCAGTCCCATGAAGAATGCTAAGGGAACTTTGTCAGAAACTTTGAAGTAAGAGAAATTTTGGAAGTCGAAGGAAGACCTCATGGCCATTCAGTGCTCTTGGAATTTTCTCTACAAAGAGCCCTTACAGCTTTCTCAAATCGCATTTTCTCTTGAGGTTTAATGACAGTAGTATTTTATTGGGCAACAATATTGCAAAAGTTGATTCTTAAGTGAGCCTATACAAGAAGGCTTATGTTGCCTCTTTTTGTCATTCAAGGGGTCAGGGATCACAGTGCAATTTATAAACTTTGTTTTCAGCAGTTGTTGCTTCTGCAAGAATGGGCTCAATCTTCCTCCAAAAATACCTACATTTTAAAAAACCTTTAAGGGTAACCATTAGTAGTTTCCTACAACAAGTTTGCACAACCACTTTTTTTTAAGTTTTTTTTTTTTCCTTTTGTATTCTAAGTATCTGGAATTAGAAAAGATCGGTTCAATGTGAAGGAACCACAAATCTAGCCACTGGTTAATTCCAAAGCACCTGTATCCACCACTAGTTGTGCCTAAGGAGTGATAATTTTCCATCAGATCTGATGACTTGGAGTCACCATCAGCACAAATAGAAATCAGTTGGAGCAAATGACTGTCTATGTGCTGAATCTGTTCACTGAAGTCTCCTTCCACATGCAGCATCCATTTGCTCATGGACCTGATAACATCCCAGATGATTGCATTATTGCCAATCTCTGTCCCCGTAACTAAGAGATAGAAGGTTCCAGATCTTTACCTTGAAATTTCAGGTTTTCATTTGACATTTGGAAAAAGTGATCAGTGTGTTCAGAGTGAAGTTGGATTCTCCAGGTCATTTTATATATTCACAGAAACAGCCTCTGGGTTTCAGCTGGCATCGCTCCACAAGATGACCCAGGTGTCTTTATTGTAGGTTCCTTGGGGATTTTGCCTTTGTAGCTCTCTGAGAGCACTTATCTGCTAGAGGTGAATAAGATAGCAGATCTCCTCAATTCCTCCCTGCCCTTTTAAGGCAGCTAATGGGATCAGAGCTGCTCTGTGTTTTTATCTACCCTTCTAAGGTATCACCTGAGATAAAATATCAGGATTTTCCCCAAATCAAACCAAAAGGAAACACAAAGAAACACTCAAGGATGAGAAGCCAAGTTGGGACAGGATAACTTGTGCCTGTAGCTTACCTGTTAATGAACCAGAGCCGAGATCCAATCATATGTCATGAAAAAGAGTAGGAAGCAAATAAATTCTAGTCATTTCAAATTAGCTCACTCAATAGGACAGGAGCAAGTTAATTCTTAAGAATTTAATTCAGTCAACTGGCACTCAAACGAGGAGAGGCAGAAACAAATGGTGTAGGCTTTGTAAGGCTGTTAACCTGACCCAAGCTCATAAGAGTGAATTAAATTTTTCAATCTTCCCTCAATTCTTCAGTAGTGTGTAGATACACATTTTTCAAATGGAAGTTTAGTGTCTTACTCTATGACCGGTCTCAGGTTCACTACCACTTACTTGGATCATTTACTTAAACATTTTGTGCCTCAGTTTTCTTATCTGTAAAATGGAGGTACTAACAGTAGCAATCTTTATAAGCATTAACAGTAATGGTACATTTAAAGCATTTACTAAGTACTTGATTGACACGAGCTATCATTATTATTTCTGAATATTCGCACTTGAGACACCAATAGATAGGAATTTTAATACATTTCACCATTCTTCGGAGAGCCTGGTCTTCAATCAGGGATGGGAGTTCTTCCATGCTTAGAACACAGCAATAAATTTTCATGGGTTAATGTCAGCATCTACCTATGTAAAATTTATTTTCTTTATTATATTAAAACTAGATGATTATTAGTATTTTATATTTTTTTCTTTTTCTTTTATATAATCAATACTGCTATTTTACCCTCTTAATAAAGAAAAAAAATGTTGATGCTCGCATTTCTGTACTTTGGTAATTCCCCTGAGTGCCGTGCCTCTGATTTCCCTTCTGCAAAGTGCCATCTGTGTGCAGGGGATCTTTTGTCCGCTCCTTCTGTGATTCACTGTGACTCTTTATTATTGCAACCAGGATGGCCTTTTTTTTCTCTCTCTCTCCTAATAAGGAACAGAACCAACATGACTGGGATCACTTTGAATGCTGGCATTTCTTCTGAATATAGTTCTAACTAGATTGTATTTTTATGCTGTGGGTGGAAATGCCAGATAAGAAGAAACAGATGAAGACAGATGAAAGGGTGAGATGGAATGGGGAGGTCAGTTATTTGGATTTCCTTAGGTGGGACATTTGTTGCGGAAATGGCAACCAGCTCTTCTAAAAAATACATTTGGAGTTCAGTACCATTAACAATAGATAAAGAAACAAGGCAAGTAGCTACGTGGCGTTAATCTCACCCCTCACAAATAATGGCACCAGTGACATTTGACCATGTGACAGATGAGTGAGTGGAGAGCCCTGGGACTGTGATAGTGACAGTTTTCTTTTTCTATCCTTGTAAATTATTCAGCATTGGCACAGCACTGGGAAAACACAAACCTGAGAAAGGGTAGGAGAGAAAGGGAATTCTATTGCAAATGAGAATGGCTGCTGACAAGTCCATTAAAAAACAACCACCCAACATTCAAGCTGTGTCTGCTGCCTTCAAAATGTCCTTCAAAGGTTCGGTTCACTAACCTCTTTTAGACATGTAAGGTGGCAGAGAAGAGAGGAGAGCACCTGTTAAAAGCATCCTATATTGGTCTCTCTTTCTGAGTGTGTCAGTGTCATTATCAAAGATCGGATGGTACTTCTCATAAGATCACGTGAGTGACTAAAGCCCACTGTCCCGGCCACCATTTCCATCCCAGTAATTACATTCTGCTGACTCGAATGCTCCTTGTTGTTTTGGTTAGATGTGACTAACTTCCATCCCCTTCCCTCTTCTGTGTTAGGACTGCTACCCCAGTAGAAGTTGTGTTTCTGAATGTGGTTATGAAATTTCACAGACAAGTTGTAAAAATGCCACGGCTCACTTAAGGAAATTGGAATATATATTGATTTCTGAAGAGCTTTATTATTATTATTTTTCTCTACTTGGAAGGGAGACAGGGCAGTCTTTCCCTCTAAACACTCTCAGCCGAAATGGGAACCCAGTGAGATCTCTTGAAATGAGGCTGTGAACAAGGATTCTGACGGGTGAGCCAAACCAGTTTGCACTGCCCCAACCTTCTCTCCCACTAACATCTGCTGTGCAGCTGGAAGCCTGAGAAACTGATGTTTTTACATTGATTGTCCAGCAAGGGGGGCTAGAAACTACAATTCCATTTCTGTTGGAGGCGATTCCCCTCTGGTATATCCTGCTAGAGAAAAATCACTGGTAACATCTTGTATTTCTATAATAGATTTTATGTGACATTTTCAAAATATTTTACATTAATGTATGAAGCTTACCTTGGTAAGGTATAATAAGTGAACGCTTCATCTCCATTTTCTGGAAGGGTAAAATGATACAACAGCAGGCTTAGTGAGGAATAAATCTGCTGCAGTGTCATGTATGGCCCCCAGATGTTCTTTCCTCTGCCCCTCCTCCCCAGTGTTCTAACATTTCTTGCCCACAGTTTTGTCTTTACAACAATGGTAAGATTTTCAAAGCATGTCCTTTATCAGCCCTTTCCTGTCAGGAAATAACACTAGACGGTAGTGGGAACATCACAGAATGTTGCATGGTTTCACTTATGCAGTTGTGGTGATTAAATGGTAGCATTTTCACCCTTCCTGAGTGACCCACATCTAATTTTAGGCTACTGTGACTTTCCTGAGTCCCACTACAGCTGAGCATCACTAGTCTGGTACAGCATGGGTCTGAAATGTCAATCTCCTGAGGTCTCAATCTTTTACATTCTGTTTTGCAATACCTACCTCCCATTCACTCTCCACTCACCCACATATCCCCACGCACCCCAGTTTTGCCCCTGAACAAATGAAAGATCTTCCAATCAGATCTAATTTAAAACTTTATGTATTTATTTATTTTGAGATGGAGTCTTGCTCTGTCGCCCAGGCTGGAGGGCAGTGGTGCAATCTCGGCTCACTACAACTTCTGACGCCCGGGTTCAATTGATTCTTCTGCCTCAGTCTCCCGAGTAGCTGGGATTACAGGTGCGTGCCACCAGGCCCAGCTAATTTTTGTATTTTTAGTAGAGACAGGGTTTCATCATCTTGGCCAGGCTGGTCTTGAACTCCTGACCCAGTGATCCACCTGTCTCGGCCTCACAAAGTGCTGGGATTACAGGCGTGAGCCACTGCGCCTGGCCCAAAACTTTATTATTTTTTGTTATTATTAATGGTTCAGCAGTAGGATAATAAAATCCCTTTTCTGATAAGCTAGGCCTGCCCAAAGCAAGCTACTGGACCAAGTAACCAGGAGATAGAAACAATGCACCGTGGAACCTTAATCTAAATGTCTGTGACCACTATTTTAGTCCTTTAAGGGACGCATTTTCTTGAGGTTTAAGTAGGAATATATCTTTGCCCCAGATAATTTCCACAAAATGTTAATCCCATGATATTTATCCCCTGATTCTGGATTTCTTTTAGGATCCTATATGGTTATAATCTGCCAAGCTCACTCCTTAGTGAGCCTGGAAGACAGGTCATGTTCATAGAGGAACTGTATCTGCTTTTTATAGCATACCAGGCAAGACTTTGGAACGTCCATAGCAAGTGAGGGTCTAGTCGATGCTTGTCAGAAATCGGAAGCTTTGTTCATCAAGGGTTTATGCTTCAGTCAAAAATTAAATGCTCAAAATGGTTATTAGTGGTTAAATGCAATTTTTGTCTGAAAATTTTAAGACAGCGGCTCTCACAGGCTTGGTTTTAAACTGGATGTTGTTGTATAAGAGGTCTGGTCATTACTTTTTGGTGGGTATAGATCAAAACACGAAAGGAAGATGTCTGAGTGGAGCCCTAATTAGGCCACTCATTGTATTCTTTGCTATCTGAGTAGGGCAAGGAAGGCTCCAGTGTTTGACAGGAAAGAGCCAGACAGAGGTCTACCCTCATGCTCTTACACAATGGAAAGTATCTTTTACAATCCCTCCTCAGTAAAGATGAAGAAAGGTCCATCTCTCTTCTTGTTTTGCCACCCAGAATTCCTCAGGTCATACTAGTGTGGGTTCAAATTAGGGCCATTTTAACAGTAACAAATGACTGCTGGTACAAGGCCTCCAGCCTCTGATTCTCCCCGAATGACTCCTGGGCTTCGCCTCTGATTCTCCCCCAATGACTCCTGGGCTTCCCTCTGCAAACTGGTTTCATCAGGTGCCCTCTAGAGTGCTTCATAGAGAAGAATATCCTCTTCACAAGTCCTTCATACCTGCCGATACACCTTAGGCTGCTGCTGCTCAATTCAACGATTCAACAAATATCTGCCAAATACCTACTCTGTGTCAGAAATTGTGCTAAACTTGGAAAATCTCTTTGTGACTATGACATGGGGTTAATCTGGATTCCTTGCTATACTTTGAAATCAGTTTTTTTTTTTTTTTTTTTTTACTTTGGAAGTGCCTACTGTTTCAGAAAATAGAACATTTTAATTGATTGGCATACAAGTACTAAACTACAATGCTGAGGGTAGCTACGCACATAAATAGAAATAAATAATTAGGCCACAAGGCAAAGTTTTCTGTTTCCTGCCTATTCTTACCCTTGCCAATTGACCAAACAATTGCTGATGAGATGATGCATTCGTTTCACTGAGGGCAAAATAATACTCTTCTTTTTCCAATCAAAACTGAGGAAAAGAAAGCATCTAAAGAATATCCATTGTGTAACTTCTTGGTAAAGAAAAAAAGAAAGGTGTGATCTTCTCATTTGACAGGACACATAATGACTCTGTCATTTAGCCTCATAACTGGTGAGTTGCCTTTGAATTTTTATTACCTGTTACTGAATTAATTGAATTTTTAAAAAATTTCGACCACTCTGCAAACATCATTGACTGTTTCCTAAGATGAATGCCAAACCCCTCAAGTGGATGTCAGACCCTGTGTCTTTGAGAACGCTTACCTTCATCCTTCCTCAGTGACTGCAAATCATGAAGGAACTTGGTTTCTAGGGAAGGTGACATGGGAGACTCACTACCAAAAATATTCCACAATCTAATTTCAGAAAAATACATTTCCCTGAATTATAAATGGGAGAACACAGTTTTATAGGCATATAGATCTAAAATGCACTTCATTTTTCATTTTATATTATATCTGTGCGGGGGGAAAACAGTTCTTCAAGGTGATGCGTGGCAATGGATCTTAAAAAGAAAAATAGACTTGAGGCCTTATCGAAGCTTCAGAAATTAACCGCAGAGAGCTCGTATCCGATCTGCTTGAGCAGGTTCGAGGTGGCTATTAGCTTTATATTTTTATGAGGCTGGAGAAGTGGGATACTGTTCTTTTACTGAATGGGTGGTGTCTCTCATCAGAGGTTATGTCCAAGAGATGACAAAGTGGCAGTGGAAATCGTGTTTCTGCTCTCTCATGTTATGTAGGGCAGATACTGTTTGGTAGAAATGAAGAATCGTGTGGTGTGTGGAGGAGAGAGAGATATATATATATGGAGAGAGACACACACACACACACACACACACAGAGACAGAGAGAAAGAGACAAAGAGAAATCTTGTGTAAATTGTATTATTAGTAATTTTGTCATGATTTTTTGTTTACTCAGGATATATTTTCTGAATGACTTTTATAGGCCATATAGCATCCTAATGTAACCCAAAGTTACTCTTTTGAAATTTAGTTTAAAGATATATCTTGAATGATATTGGATAACCAAGATTAATGGACCTCTTTTAAAAAAAATTTTGAGACAGGATCTTGTGCTGTCACCCAAGCTAGAGTGCAATGGTGCAATTATGGCTCACTGCAGCCTTGACCTCTGGGCTCAAGTGATCCTTCAGCCTTGGCCTCTCAGGCACGTGCTACTCACACCTAATTAAAAAAAAATTTCTTTTGTAGAGATAAAGTCTTACTATTTTGTCCAGGCTGATCTCAAATTCCTGAGCTCAAGCAAATCTCCTGCCTGGGCTTCCCGAAGTGCTGGGATCATAGGCATGAGCCACTGTGCCCAGCTTTACTGGACCATTTTGATTTGCACTGGGGTCCCTGTGCTGTGTAGAATTTGGGACTTAACCACATCTTCCAGCTATCAGGTCTTTGAGGGAGTGATGGACTCAGCACTTCTCAGAGGTGGCTGAGAGCCTGAGAGGATGATGAGTGGTGGAAGGTCTAGATGCTGTCCAGGGTTGTCTGAGATACCAAAGAGCAAGGGGCACTACAAAGTCTGCTAACAGGAAAAGGTCTTAGCTATGGAGGACTTTGGGACAAGTGGCTGCCTCCACTGCCAGGAGGGTACTATCTAGGAATTATTACCACTTAAAGTGCCAAATGCCTCAACACCACCATTCCAGAGGCCACACAGGAAGCTTCCATTTACCATAGCTCATACAGTGTCTGCCTGGAACTAGGTCTCTGCATTTATCTGCCATGCCAATAGGTCACCCTTCATCTCCTGGTACTGACATTTGCTCTACTTGTATTCTTTTTTGAGGAGCAAGAGTGATAATTTCCTACCAGAAAAATTTCATAGACTTGGACTCAGATTTTCAGTTCATTTCCCAAAAAAGACCCACACATTTGATACTCATTTGGAAGTATACAGCCAAGAAAACCTGAGTTCAGAGTTAGACAAGAAATGCATTTTTTATGAGATTTTTGAGTCCAGCAGATGTGCGTCAAATCAATCGTTTAAATGCTACCATCCCCACAGCTGTAGATCAGTTGAAACCTTCTGACCTTGATCTTTTCATGTGGGGATTCAGGGAGTCTAACTTCACTCTTGGCTTCTCCACTCTTCCTCACACTCTTGCCTAAGTCAGAGTCAATGCTATGATCCAATTTTGATACTTTTGGTACTTATGATACAATTTTGGCTTTGTCATAAGATTCAGCCTCATCCAGCACACCCCTTCAGTTGACTGGATCCTTGCCTGGAGCCTGCCTTAGTAACCGGCTTGGGTGCCCTGGTCCTCCTAGGACTGAAGACTTCTGTTCTCAACTTACACATTTCCTTCTGCCCTTCAGTCCTGTGTTTATGTATTAGTCCATTCCCATGGTGCTAATAAAGACATACCCAAGACTGTGTGTTTATAAAGGAAAGAGGTTTAATTGACTCACAGTTCCACAGGGCTGGGGAGGCCTCAGGAAACTTACAATCATGGTGGATGAGGAAGCAAACATGTCCTCCTTCACATGGTGACAGCAAGGAGAAGTGCTGAGCAAAAGGCGGAAAGGTCCCTTATAAAACCATCAGATCTTGTGAGTACTCACTTATGAGAACAGCATCATGGGGGTAACTGCCAAACCATATCAGTTTCTAAAAGTCTATTATGAATTTTGGAATATTGACTATTCCTAGTTTCTCTTTTGATGAGTTTTACCCAATTACAGGACACCTTGTGTGTTGTTCTGCTTTTTGGAAACAACATGAACACAGATAACCTACTTTGCAACATGTCTAATCAAAATTCTTAGAGTTGCCATTTGTGGTTTCTGCTCCACAATCCCAGCCAGCTAACATTCCATCTTCTTTCTTCTGAAAATACTAACCTCAGTTTCTTTTGGGAGACCACTTCATTTCTGTTATTTGTTATGTGTGGGTTTGGGTGATGTTGAGACCACATCTACTTCCACACTGTGGAACACAGTGACACAATACAATTAACACAATGTGACACAATACAATTAACACATTCAATTTCCTGGCCAAAATGATTGGTTCAGATTTGGGAATATGACTAAATAGTCCAATAAGAAAAAGAGTTGGTATTTTTGTTCAAATTATTGCTTGGGTATCTGAGGGTACACTCTTTTCTTCACTTAGCTAACAGAGAGGAATGCAGGACAAAGTGACATAGTAATTTTGAGTCCTTGGTGACATTGGCCAAGTTCTGTTATCCCAACGATGATGGCATTATGCTACCTCCCTCCATTCTTTCCAGTTATATTTGCTAATAAGCTATTTTTGTCCTTGTCAATTTGAATTGAGTTTTCAGATACCTAAAAACTGTTGACTATTTCAGTTCTATTTTCCTCATGACTGAGGGCATGGTGAGCGTCTCTTCATATTGCTGTTTTGCTGCACTTGGACTTACTATTCAATCACATCAAAGCTACAGATAACAGGATAGAAATGTAAGCCACAGGCTGGCCACAACCATTGCGGGATGAATTATCCTAGGGACTAAAGTTCCAGAGAGTCTGCTAGAGTCAAACTAAGCAAAGAATTTATTTCCTTTGTATGTTGAAAAACCAGAACCATTCCTTATCCTGCTTCCACTTCCCATAAATGGCATGTCTGGAATAATGGACAGGGGATGGCAGAAAGTATGAGACACAGGCCTGCTCTCCCCATTAGACTGTAAAAGCTCCTTAAGGAAAAGTGCTCTATTTAATTTACTATTGTATCCCCACAAACTCGGCTAGTACCCGGCACAGGGCAGATATTCAATAAGAGTTGGCAGGCTGAACAAGTAGAAAATACTTACAATAGTGCTGCCTGTGGACATACATTGCTCCACTTTTTGGTCTTTGTTATCTGGGCAGTCTTACTACCCTAAAAGTTGTCCCAAGATTTGTGTGGCATTTGCAAGATATGCTTATCAGTCACAATTGCAACCACAAGCAAGTTCACAGGAGCCAGAACAGCAAGATTGCAGCAAAGTTCAGAAGGCACAGAAATGAACTTTCTAAGCTTCCCCTATTCACGGGATCCTGGAGTGCTGTTGATCTGGGAGCACTTTCTCTCCTTGTGTCAAAAATCAAAATAATGAAGAATTATCAGAGGCCCAGGCTGGAGCTAAATGATGCTTAACTCTCGGTTGTCTAAGTGGTAATGGGGGTCTAAGGGCTTCTTTCTTTCAGGACCTTGGAACACTCAGATACGGTGCTTGTTCCAAATTTAGCCAGCTGCAGGCCATGGGGGTTTAGCATAAGGGAGAAAAGATGAGGGTTACTTATATTTTGTGGAACAGAGAAGCTCAAATCTTCTGCAAGAGGGATTATTATACAGGCCCAAGAAGTGTGAGATGAAGTGCAGAAAGGCTGTAGCTGGGACTCAGCCTCCAGCTGGAGCTGCGGCTGGCTCCTTGGTGATCATGCTTTCATGGCAGATCATCCATTAACTTTGTCAAACCAATCACGATGCTCCCTGGGTTATCCGTACTGATAGTGGGGCAGAACTAATTAGGCAAACATAATCTCCAGGCATCCCAGAGACCACAGACCCTGTGGGGTCTATTAGCTCCTTCTTATCCCAGCCAGTCTAGATGGTTATATTTAAATAAAGGAGAAGAGAGATCAGGGCACATGCAGCTGAGAGTTGTGCCAGGGCTAGGACTGGGCCCAGAACTGCTGGGACAGGACCCAGGTGTTCAACAAGAAGTCTTTCTTGCTCGGAGGTCAGATGGAGTGAAAAACCAGCTTGAGTTGTTCAGGAAAGATGTGCTGGGCCTTTTTGTGACTAGAGGTCAAGTTAAATGAAAGCAAAGTCTTCCCTCTCAGTTCTCTCTCCTCTTCCTGTGTCCTGGCAGCTAGAGTCTAACTAGGGAAAACTTCAGATTATTAGCAACAACCTAAACAATGGCATTCCTCCAAATCATGATAAAACCCTAGGGAATCTTCAAAATGTGCATCTTTTCCAGGATTCGAGTTGTTCCCAGGGCTGGACAAAAGGGCATGAACAGAACAGCTTTGTTTTCTCTAATTTGTATAAACCTCTCCTGAAAATCAGGGCAGTCATGGGAGTTTTGCTGGGGCCACACTACCCAGATGCATGAATGCTTGGGATGGTGCAGAGGCTGCGCTCGCTCTGCTTAGCATACAGCTGAGACAGGTTTTAAACCCACTGCGTAATGTGAAGAAGAGAGGCAGGCAGGGGCTGGAATTCCCTGCTCTTGGCAACTCAGTTGCCATCATGCTACTTGTTGTAGGATTTAAGACACTAAGAAAGAACGAAAAAGAATGGCATTTAAAGTCCAGATAGAATCTAAAAATCAAAGAGAGAGAGAGGGGAAATACTTTTTAAAAATGGTTCTAGAAAACTCCAGTACCATGGCTGAAATATTTTGAATATACTAGTTTCTTCACATGAACAAATAAGCAAAAACTACTTGTGAAGGTAAGAGGGTAAAGGTCAATGGGGGCATTGAACTGCATTATTCAAACCACCTGGATTCTCTGCAGAAATTCTGTGTTATAAAGTATCATTTCTGTGGCTGTCATGACACATGGAATTCTCTGGCTTCTCTGAGTCCTCTTTCTTAATCTCTTCTCTGAATTCCTCTTCCATCTCATCAGGTTTTAGTCCTTGGTCTCTGTTCTCCTTCTATTACACTCTTTCCCTGATGAACATATTTACTCATTCATATTTAACTATTTATACCATTGGCAGTTGACTTTACTTCTGGTTCTGATCTTGTTCTGAAATTATTACCTTTTATTTCTCAATTGCTGTCATCACAAACTGAACATGTCTATGATAAACTTAGTATTTCTCTCATCCCAGTCCTGGTTTCTATTCTGATTTCTGTTAATGAAATCATAATATTCCCAGGTACTCAGGCTCCAAACAAACAAATAAACAAACAACAAACAAACAAACTTAGTCCTTTATCTCCTATTGTCATTCATTGTTCTCCATTAGTTCTCTTTATCTTTTCTTTTTTTCTTTCTTCTCTTTTCTACTGCCACCCCACAATTCATCTAACAATTGAGTTGTTAAATTTGAACTATATAAAATTGCTATTCTTTTATGTCAAACATGGCCAAATAGTGGCAATTTCAAATGGTTCATTCTAATACAGTAACAGCCCAGAGCTGTCTCCCTGGATTTAGGGGAAATAAATGAAGTTTAGATTCTCATTCCTTTAGGAAATGGCTCAACCTTGTCTTAACTCTCAACATTTGAAGCATTTTCTGGTGCTCAGCGTGCATCGAAGAATGTTGGCTTTCCAGGTGTACCTAAATAGTTAATTCAGGCATTCCCATGGCCACGCATCTTACCATCTTCCCAACATCTCCACTCCCAAATTTGGGGCAAGAGGCTCTGGGAATACATTTCCATGACACCACTTCAAATTCTCTTTGGGAGTAGCAACGGAATAAATTTTTAACCAGTCAACCATGGCTTTAATGCCTGTACTTTGCCTACTTGCTTCTGCCAAAAAGAAAAGATTTTGCAAGGAGGGCATATGACTCCGTTTGTTTTGCCCTCTGCTCTGACACAGTCAGCTGGCCTTCAGGGCACAGCTTAAGGCCCATCTGTTCAATCAAGCTTCTGCCTGATTGACATGGGAGAATCATCCAGGTGAGGGAGTCCCTTAGATTATTATCTTCTTCCCTTTGTACACGCAACCAGAGACCTCTGGTGCTGCAGCCTCCTCCAAGTGACCTAAATGAACGAATGCATAAACAATGTTTTCCACAGCAATAACATCCATTCCAAAAACTTCCTCCTCAAATCCTTGGTGGAACAAATCAGCATATAAATATATACATAAATAAAAAATTTAAAATATTTCAAATGATAGCTTTAAAAAATTCTTCCTGCTTTAAAAGCAAAGCTTTTCATATTTAAAACAAGCTCTCCTATTCTCATTTCAGCTGAAAAGATGAGGATGAAGTATTTTTCAGAAAATATTACTATTTGCCTAAGCATTTTAAAGTTTTTATTATTCAAACATATACAGCAGTAGAGAGTCTAGTGTAATAAACTCCCATTTACCTGTCATTCAGCTTTTACAATTCTCAACACTTTGCCAATCACATTTTGTCTATCTCCCCTACTATATTTTTCTTGTAATATTTTAAAATACATTAGTCTATTTTATTCATAAATATTTCAGTACGCATATCCAACTGATAAAGGCATTTAAAAAATATAACCACTTTCATGCATAAAGACTTAATAGTAATTATTTATTTCACTTAAATGCCCAGTCCACATTCAAATTTCCCTGATTATCTCAAAAGTTCCACCTACCGCAAATAGTTATGTCTTTAAAGCCCCATTATAGTTAACAGTGCCCCACCCTGTCCTCTTTTTCTATGACATGAAGTCACCATTTGTCCATCAGCACTTTCCACTCTGAATTTGACGAATGATTTTGTATAGTAGTGCTTAACTTATTATTCCATCACCCATGTCTTCTGTAAACTGGTAGTCAGATCTAGAGGCTTTTTTTCAGATCCAGGTTCAATATTTCAAGGGAGAATATTTAGTAGATGATACTGCAGATTTGCTGCTTCCTCATCTCAGGAAGCATATAACATCTGACAGTTCTACTTGAGGTTGCTAAGATTAATTAGAAGAAACTCAAGACCTCTATCTCAGACATCAAAGAAAGCCTGAAGTGGGGTCCACACCTACCCATTCAACAGATATTTCCGGAAAACAAACTTCAAAGTTCTGTGCTGAGTACTTGAGGACAATTGAGAAGTGTAAGTCTAACATAGGGCATTTGCCTTTAAGAGATTTATATCCCCATGAGAGAGGTAGAGAGACAAGAGACCAGCAAGAGACGTGAACAAGTGATGTCAGCTTTAGAAACAGTACAAAAAGGTATAGCAATGACTAAGAGCTAGAAGACTTTTACAGATGCTATTTGGCGTCGGAATACAAAAACCGGAGAAAGGAATGTGGTCAGGCAGTTTTCCTGAGGAAGTGGGCTCTAAGCTAGATTTGAAGGATCAGGAGGATTCACCAGGTAATGAGAGAAAGAGACGTGGGTACATAAAATGGCCGAGTGAAAGACCAGCCAGAGAAAAACACACAGGAGGCTCTGGGCACAGCACACACTTTAGTACAGTTTGTTCCATTAACACCGCTTCCTCATTATCTCTGTACTTGAATAAGTACCTGTGTAAAAAGGCACTCAGCAGGTACCAGTAATGACTGTAGCTGTCTGAATCAAGGGTGCCTTGTGTCAGGGTCAAATGCTTTGGTGGATGGGCTGAGGGGTGACCTCATTTAGGGCAGCGGTTTCCAAAGTTAGTAAACTTGTTAAAGGTGGAGACTCCCAGCCTGACACTCAGAGATTCCGGTGTCCTGGGTGGGGCCCAGGAATTTGCACTTTTTAAACGCACTCCAAGAGAGGCAGATGCAGGTAGTCGAAGAACTACATTTTTGAGAAACGCAATCTACCGGAATGCGCTGGGTAACAGCAGACAGTCGGCTTCCTGGGATCAAGGGAATTTTCTGAGCCTGCTCTGCTAGTGATGATGATATTGAGCATTCATATGCTAGGAGCCATGCTAAGCTTTCCACATGCTTTTTCACACTGAATTTTCACAATACCACCCAGAGAGTTAGACACTATTTTTATCCCCATTTTACAAATGAGAAAACTGAGGCTGAGAGGAGCTAAGATCACCCAGTAACAGGGAAAGCAAAAATTTAAATCCAGGTGTATTTGGTTCCAGAAAGCAGGCTCCTAACTATAATTCCAGTTTGACATTGAGACATGGACGCTTCCATTGCAAATAGTGACAATGTTTGATCTCTCTGTTCATCATGTGTACAGTATTCTCTGGCACCATTTTAAGGGGATGTACCCACTCTCCTGGTGCCATAGGTTTTGCTGTCGTTTCTGGCAAAGGGTCATGTTTTAGATAAATTCTTTGCACATGAAAAAAAATAAGTCTCTACTGTATGACAGAAATGTTAATTCTCAAGTGAAAGATAAAAGAAGTATGAGGCTGCTATTTGGCTATTTGTTCATAGGTCAAGAAATCTCCCCCAGTCATACCAGTTCTTTCTCATTCCCTAGCAGATGAGAAAGTCTGTTCTCCACTCTATTTGCAGCAGGAGAAAAGCTATGATTTCTGGAGGGTCTCAGTCAATAGCCCGAAATAGAGTGTTTCCAAAGATTTAACTTGCTTTTCTCACACATGGCTTCAGTTAAAGAGATGGAGCTGGGGTTGAAACTATAACTATTTCAGGAAATGAAATACAATTTTATATTTCCATGGTGTCTGTAAAATACTTTATGGCATCCTAATGTTTGTATATATATTTATATATATGTGTGTATATATATATATATATATTGTTCCTTTGAAATTTATAATATACTTTTGTTGGATGAAAGCTACAAAGGGGAAGGGGAATTCGGCACCTTTGCAAACATCTCAGTTACAAATAAGCGTGTAACAAGACTTTGATGTAATGTCAAAATCTTGGAGGTTGAGTGGAGGGTTGGATCACTTATGATAACTTCAGCCCATAATTGGTTTTAAAATGTACCTCCTATAAAAATAGTTGGGGGAAAAAGAACTACCTAAACTTGCTGGGTTGCTTGGCTTGAATGCTATCATATTTCCCTAAAAATATTTATTTATACATGTACTATTTATTCTTTGTATCTAGTGAGATGAATAGGAGTTTTGGGGAAGACAATGATTTCACAAGAAAGGCTGGATTTGCTCTTTATATAAAATAGGAAGCTGCCATTGAACTACCCGATTCTGGCATCCCCATGCAGAGACATACACTTTAACTACAAAACAGCATGTTCTGAGTCTGTGTTTTCTCTGGATGGTAGTAGCAGGAACACAGTGTTCATTTAAATTAAACCAGTTCCTTGGATAATAACAAAGTAATTAAAGAAACCACCAAGGAAAAAGAGCCAATTTATTTGAATCCTGTTCATAAAAACTACATCAAGAGCCTGAAGGTACAAAATAATGTGGATAAGATGGCAGACTGATGATTTTTAAAAATTCTGCATGGGATGCTTCTTGATATTAATTCAAATGAGTATCCCTCATTTGAAAATAATACAAGATGCAAAAATTTTATCCTTCTTAAGAGAAATGAAATTCTATTAAAATACCCACATAAGAAATTGCCACATAGCTCCAAGTCCACTTGACCTCTAGCAATACCTTAACATCAGAACATTATGATTTATTCATATTTTCTACATTCCCTTTGGAATAGAGAGGCCTTTGTCTTTAATGGTTTCAAGAGTTTGAAATTCATACTGATTTATCCTACATGACATTACCTGAATTATAAAGAGATATTTTGGGGCATCAATGAGCTTTCTATTTTTGCCAGTAACAAAAATCTAAATGCAGTAGAAATGTGGATCAAATTCACATTACCATTAAGCACTGAAAGAAAAGCACATCAATAAAAGACCTCTCACCTTTATCTCCACCAGTGCAATGGTGAGAAATTAAATCACAGCCCCCATAGAAAATTTCACAATTGCCCTTTGTGCATTTTAGCAGATGACTGCTTCTTTCTGAAGAGGAGTGAGCATTCCCTGTCATATTCCGCTTCTCCTCTTGAAATACAGGGACCACATGGATTTCATATATGTCAATGAAGGAAGTGAAGAAAAGCAGGCAATGGAGAGGGTCTATCTATGCAAGAATGGAGACTCTGTCTTTGAAGAACAATTTACAGAAAAATATGTAGGAAGAACGTAAAATGAACTAATATCAGAAAGGAAAAAGATACATAAAATTGCCAACTTGTTCATTAACAAAATGAAAAGAAAAGAACTTAAAACTTTATTCCATAAAGTAATAAAAATATGCTTCAGCTCATTGTCACAGCCAGTTAAACAGGAAGAAAGAAGCAGATCGTAAATTTATACATGGAAATAAAGGATAAAAGAGAAAGGTGAAAAACAAGGGAAATGGACTAGGAAGGTAGAATAAAAGGAGAAAGACAACAGGACCCAAACTGGAAGAGGAAATCCAGGAGGAAGCAGGAGAATATCATGGGGCAGGAAGAATCAAGTGAGCTTGCATTGCCTTTACCCTGCAGTCCCATCTCTTAAATCTGACTTACCATCCCTTAGAGCAATTGATTGATCCCCTTCCAGATTCCAAACTCTCCATCTCAAAAGTGTCTCATGCCCTTTGGTTGGCTCAGCCCTTTACGTGCATTCAGCCCCATGGGAATGACTGCTTTAAACAAAGTGCAGGCAAAGGAAGACTGTGAAGAGATTGGACATAAGATGTATGTCTTACCTATGGATTTTTTTCTTTTCCAATTTGTTGCATGGCTTTTGTTAACCTAAAATCCCAGATAGTTTATAGATATTTACTTTTAGAAAAATTTTCCCAATTGACCTAAGGTTCATCTAAGAGCAGAAGCGAGTATGGCTCCCTGCTCATTCTCTAATACTTGTTAGGTTTTTAGTGTTTAAGTGTTGTTGAAATTTTATCCAAAAGGAGTTTTATATTAGAGATCTCTGTTGATTTTCTGTAAGTAATTTTTGTTTATTGTTCTGTAAGTAATTTTGTTTAGTAGTATGTGTAAGAAGGAGCTTATATTTTAAAGGGACATTCTTTTAGTAATTTCTTGTTCAGCATCCTTGGTGGTTTTGCTTTTCCAAATCCTGTGACAGAGCCTATATCTACCATGGATCGTAACTTTTCTTAGTTTGTTTATTGCTCCTTAAAAGCAAGTTAAACAATCTGCTATGTTCTCAAAGATTCTGATGATGCAACATTAAGCTCTGCAGACATGCTAACATTCTCTTGTTAGTGAGAAAGAAAATTGCAGAAGTAGGCTGGCCAAACTTCAAAATGTTGTATGAGAGAGTCATAGATCTATATTTTCAAGACTAATAGGGGGAAAATCTCAAAAGAGTCCTCTGAGCAATGAAACAGTGTCTCTGAGATATTTTTCTGGATAACATAGCTGATCAACATTTAATCAATTTCTACTAAGTTCAATGAACTGTATTAAATTCTGAGGACTTAAAATTGAATTTAAACATTGTTCCTACCAAGAAGGATCTTATAATCAAGTGAAGGATTAATTGAAAATCCATTCTAATTCTCCTAGCCTGCTGTATTTTTTTTTTTTTTTTTTGGAAATGTTGGATAACATCTATCTCAAATTTGTATCTGCAACCTAATTTTGTCCAGAATAACTTTTGCTTCCGTAACTAGGCATCCAACCCTCTACTCAGACTGAATTAGGCCTTTACCAAGTCATTCTTGGTGTGACATCTTACAGCAAACATTCCATAGCCTATGGACAAGATAGAAACCTGATTCTGCCTGTTATTTTTTTTCTGTGTGCTGTGGTGCATTGTGGAGGTACCGTCTCTGGCATAGTGATTAAGGACAACAGGGATTGTCGGCAATGAGAAAGTTTCAGAGAAATGACTGTGATGGAAGGGGGAACCTTAAAAATAGGAGGCCATCCACATGCCATGCAAAGTTTGTGATTGATGGACTACCTTTGATAAAGAATGTTAGCACAACGGGTCATATGTCATACATTATAGTTTCATATATGATGGGTTAAGAATGCCATTTCTAGAGCTAGACTTCCAATGCTGCTACCTCTAGCAATAGGAAACTGGGTGAGTCATTTAACCCCATGATACCTCAGTTTCTTTAACTGTAAAATGTGTATTGCATTTAGAGTTAAATGGATGAATGCTAGTAAATGACATTTGCAGTGGTTACTCTGTGGTACCATACGGCCCTTCTACCCATCACTCTGTGGTACCACAGAGTAAGCACTAAAAATATTAATTTCTCTCCCATTCTCCAATTCTTGTTGTATTTAACTGGCCTGATCCTAGGGTGGATGATGATCAATTGAATTATTCCAGTAATGGATATCTTAGGCTGTTACATGTGACTCATATTCCTTTTCTATTGCTGTTATAACAGATTATCACAAATTTAAAATAACACATGCATATTATCCAAGAGTTCTGGAGATTAGAAGTCTGAAATGGCTCTCTTTATGCTAAAATCAAGGTTTCAGCAAGGCTGTGTTCCTTCTGGAGGCCCTAGGTGAGAAGGGGTTTCTTTGCGTGTTTAAATTGCGAGAGGCTTCCTGTGTTCCTTGGTTCATGCTCCCTTCCTGCATCTGAAAGCCAGTGCATGGCATCTGCAAATTTCTCTCTGACTCTTACTCACCTGCCTCCCTTTTTCACTTAGAAGGACCTTGTGATGAATTGGTCTGACCCGGGTAATCTAAAATAATTTTCACGTCTCAATATCCCTAAATTAATCACATTTGCAAAGTCTCTATTATCATGTAAGGTAATACAGTCACAGTTTCCAGGGATTATTAGGATGTTGACATCTTTGGGGGACCCTTATTCTGCTCACCATAAATATTGGAAAGTATCTGAAACAATGCTCATATACCCCCTCAAATGATAACCGTTATATCTGTTACCTCTATTTGATGGAAAAAATTAGGTATAATAGTACTCATTTGAATTTGTATTATTTGAATATTTATTATGTGCATGCATTATTGTCATTAATTCAATAAATATTTGTCTAGCAACTTGACCGTCTTTAAGTAACCAAACCAGCTTTCTTCTCAATTATACTGAAGAATCAATAAAGAAAATCAGCATCAGAGTATTATAAAGACTCAAAGATTTAGTTTCTTGTCAGAAACACTTGAAGGGCTTGAGTATGAAGCTTGTATGTTGTGCATCTCTGTTTCAAGTACATGAAATTGAGCAAAGAAATTTGAGCCAATGATCAGGGCTTCTGACTTAAAAACAGACAGATTTCTTGAGGTGTGAAAGTACAAGAAATTTAATAATATTTGTTCAATAGGTGAGAAGGTCTTCACTTTGGTGCTTCCAAACCAAGCAAGTATTATCATTTCAGGTAAAGAACAGCAGGTTTAACCTGCGTACTTGGATTTGAATATGTAGAATGAAAGTTAGAATGGTGTTAGCATAGCTTAGAGAATGAGGCTGAGAAACCAGCTATCGTTACATGAACCTCAGGAGGCTGAGGCCCTTGCTTTGAGTTGGATGTGGTTTGTAACATGTTAGTTTTCACTTTAAGTACTAGCTAACCAGTTTCATTTTAGGAATAGACAGTGCTTCTTTCTACCATGCTGCCACCTGAAGTGTGGTGCTTTAAGAATTCAGATACTCTGCAATATAATTTCAATATCTGAATTAATTTGAATAGGAAGAACAGTTAAACATGGATTGTTCACAGATTATTTCAAAAGGCAAGACCTTATTATTGCCATCCCACATGTCACTAGCTGCTGAATGACACCACACATCACATTTCATGGAAATAAAAGGAGAAACTCTTTTGTTGTAAATTCATTCATACACTCTTGGGAAATTAGGACACACAACAGATGTAAATCAGCCTTTAATCCAAGTCCCAGTGTGGACTGGGGAGAAGAGAGAGGTGGCGGGAGTCAGGGGAAAAAGAGAACTATGATATACCAAAGAATAGAAGAGAATATCTTGTTTCTTCAGTTAGGCAGACCATTTATATGTAGTCTTGGACACCACCTTATCTCCACGTTGTGGAATGCTCTCTTTTCTTACTGAAGTTGGAGTGGAGGGTGACCCCAGTTAAAGAAATCCCTGGCAAGACCTTCCCGGCTTAAAACAATAGAGCTTCATCTCACAGAGGGGGCTTGTTTCTAGGCAAGACACTTGGCAGGTTGTAGAAAAGTTATTAGTAGGCTTCCTTAAAAGTGTCTCTGAGTATTGCACTTCCAGAGATATGCAATTCCCACAAGACTAAGTACCCTTTTGGGTCTGGGTCTTGAAGCTAGCATCCTTTTCCTGAGCATGTCAGGAAGCCTCTATTCTCTCTCTTGAGCTGCCTCTGCACAAGCTTGTTTCTGCATGAGCATCTCATGGGCCAGGTAAGGTGGAGATAGTGATGCTTTACTGCTTCTGTTCAGCTGCTTGCTAGATAGTGAGTCTCCAGTGCAGTGCCTACAGATTTCCAATGCCACTCTATTAGCCTAATCACAGTATAATTCTACTTGGATGCAAAATTAGCAGCAGAATCTTATTTTACTTTTAGCTTCTAATTGGCAGCAGTCACATGCTTTTATTAAACTATTCCAATCAAGTCTCCACAGCATCATACATTCTGCTTATCACTAGGCCCACCTGCAGCCAGCTCTCTTCCTGGCCTCTTATCAGCAAAGCCAATTACTTTCTCATGTGCTTGCTTTGTGGTTTTGCTTATAGACTCCACCACACCTCCACAACTAAGCCCACAGGCTATTAGGTAAATTCTATTTCTTATTCTAACTCCCCGCCCTATATGAGTTACTACCTTGAGGTGGTATATAAGTTCCTGTCTTTGTCTCTATGGAGAAGTGTTCTTTTATTTGAATGTTTTCTTGCTTTTCTGGGTCTATTTATTTTTTTCCCCTCTTTTCCCTTCATTGCTTCTTCCTCTTACTCCTTTTTCCCTTCTCCTTAGCAAAGTTTTGAAAGCCTTTTTAAACCCTCAGTTAAGAATGATTTTTAAAACATATAATAGTTCCCTACAAATTCCTGTCCCAAATAACTCTAACTTTTTATTAATTAAGTTTCTAGGGAAGTAGTATTAATGAGAAAAAGCAGGAATTTTAATATCAGAAGTGAGTCCATCACTCACGAGTTAGGTAGATTTAGTGCTCTCGTTAGTTTGCCTTAGCCTCAGTTTCCCCATCTCTCAAATGGGCCCATTATGCCTGCTTGCAAGGGTACAAGGATTGCCTGGGCTGTCAGGTGGGACATGCTGAGACCTGTCATTATTCACTGTGTTGGCTTTCTAGCCCTTCATGGCTTGGCAAGTATATTTTTTAAGCCGTCAAGTAGGCAAGAAACTTTGGAGGATTGGAAAAAATGAAAAAAGTGACCTGTGACTCAGAGAAATTTATAATCTAGCAAATGAAATCGGAAGCAGCAATGTCAAAACCAGATTTAGGAGAAAATGGAACCCTACAAACCAAGCAATTAATTGACTTAAACCTCAAATACATTGTAACAGAAAAGAATATTGCCTTCCAGTAATAACATTGTAAAACTAATTATTCACCCTTATTTCCCCTTTCCTCTTTACCTGGAATATACCCCCTCAAGAAACCATGCAATTAACAGCAATAATATCAACAGTAACATAATTAATATCTGTGAAGCACTCTGAGGCAATAAAGTGGCATAGGAAATCAAAATGGTATGTATGTAATATTCATATTAAATTTAATAACTATTTAAATATTTATAAATTATCTGGCATTTTATGTTTGCAAAATGCTTTACAATCACTTTTTATTAATTATTAGACACTACTTACCCCTTGGCACTCAAGTTTTCAGATGCAGCAGTACTGATTTTTTTATGATTATCAATCTTAAAGAAACATTTAGCTTTATCAGCATTTTTCTAAGTTCTCATATATAAAGTATCAGACCACATGGAATAATAAAGAAATCATACCAATGATAGACATAATGGCATGTAATCTATTGCCATCATTTTAGAGTTCAGAAGAGTGAAATGATGCATTTAAGTTCACAGAGCTAGTCCTGTCGATGGCTGGACATGTAGGAGTTCTGGATTAGCATGATCCCTAGGGTTTTATTTCTGGATTTAAGAAATTCAGACTATTCTGGCTGTGCTAACTGGGTTAGTTAGAACCATAATCTAGTGACTGAATCTAAGCAATATGTTTTCATTTCTTCTGGGTCTGTATAAATCTGTCCTGTATAAGTGGAATAGTGCCTGGAACTGCTGAATGAAGTCCAGGTTCACATAAAGCCATGAATGTTTTCATACTAAATGTACTTCCCCAAATGGGTCATGATGTTTTGGAGGCAGCCTCATTCATGGTTTGCCCCCTACTGCCTGTGTGTTCAAATGCCTTTGTTTCTGCCCTGTGAGGATATGGGCCACATGGTAGAAGTCTATTTCATGTTCATTTCCCTATATAAGACTCTAAACTCACCAAAACCCAGGAACTTTTTATTTCCCTTCCACTTGGGTGATGCCTGGTATATATAAGACATTAAAATATTTTTTCACTACTCTATTGTTAGATGGCAAATCCCAGGGAGGCACAGGGATTTCATTTGACTCTAGAGTAGTACAGTGTTTTGCCTTTAAAGTAGTTTGCCTTTAGAGTAGTACAATGCTTTGTCTATAGCAAAGGTTCAATGGATATTTAGTTTATGAATAAAAAGAAACATATGCAGGCTGGGGACGGTGGCTCTCACCTGTAATCCCAGAACTTTGGGAGGCTGAGGTGGGCAGATCAGGAGGTCAGGAGATCAAGACCATCCTGGCTAACATGGTGAAACCCCATCTCTACTAAAAATACAAAAAATTAGCCAGATGTGGTGGCACATGGCTGTATCCTAGCTACTCGGGAGACTGAGGCAGGGGAATCACTTGAACCAAGGAGGTGGAGGTTGCAGTGAGCCGAGATTGTACCACTGCACTCCTTCCTAGGCAACAGAGCAAGACTCCATTTCAAAAAAAAAAAAAAAAAAGAAAAAGAAAAAAAGGAAAAGAAACATATGCAGGCATTTATTTGCTTATCATGATGCATGAAAGTATCAGTTTTATAATGTTATCTGATATAAATCAAGAAAACACTGACGAATAGCTAAGTAACCTTTCCAACTATGCAGAGGTCAAGCTGGAAGCCATCAGAGGCAGGTTCTAATTTGTCTTTTATATGTCTGAATGTTGCACAACTTTTAAAATTAATATAATTAATATGTTTTATTTTAGTAAAATATGTACAGCACAAAATTTACCAATTTAACCATTTTAAAGTATACAATTTAGTGGCATTAAACACATTCCCAACGTTGTGCAATCATCACCGCTACCTAGTTCTAGAATAGCACAATAGTTTTGTGATTTATAACACAGCTGTTTTATTATATTTGAGGGGGATGGGGGATCAAGTGTACTACAAATATAATATGGATTTTAAGAAATACATAGGAACTAATCAAGCCACAAAACTCCTCATTACATTTGAATAAGTACTTTTACTCTATTCTCATATTAAATTGTAGCCCAATGAGACATCATGGTAAGAGGATAGTATAGAGAGATAAGATACTGGTGAGGACACCATCCTGTCAGGATTCTGATGATCTAATCTGCCTGCTTGAATCTCAGGACCTGGGATACAGTTGTCAATTGGAATGTAACTGGCTTGCTCATCCTCACCATGAATATTTAAAGCTGTTTCTAACTACGAACTTTAAAGGTAAAAAAAACAAAAGGATTGTGGATTACCATAGCCCACACTAGAACAAGAGCTGCATATAATATAGTAAACATTTAACTTCAGCATAATTGTATTATACAGTGCAAATACAAAGGATATAGTGGCTCTGGAATTCACTGCTGCACTTCAACATTAGGAACAGGTGGAAATTTTGCCTAGGTGTGCTAAAGGGAACTACTATCTGAACACTGTGACCACCTATATCCCAGGCCAGCTGATGAAAACTTCGTAGTTTTCATATGTCTTTAACTTTAAGCTAAGAGTAGCCAATATTTGCTAAAAATTCAGGTACTAATGGAAATATATGAATGGAAATTGTCTCATCAACTCTATTTCAATGCACTCTAAAAATCTAGTTCTGGTCTCTTTTTGAGTAATGAAGTAGCTTATCTCTGTATTTCCTGAATTTTCTTCTGAACACTGATACAGCAATGGGAATAAGCTTTGGAATACAGGAAAGTCTTTTAGATTGAGTCTGATATTAAAAACAAGGCTGGGCGCAGTGGTTCATGACTGTAATCCCAGCACTTTGGGAGGCTGAGGTGGGGGGATCCCTTGAGCCCAGCAGTTTGTGACCAGCCCGTGAAACACAGTGAGACCTCATCTCTATAAAAAATATAAAATACATTGTCAGGGCTTGGTCACACATGCCTGTAGTCCCAGCTGCTTGAGTCACTGGAGCCTGGGAGGTAGAGGCTGCAGTGAGCTATGATCACTCCACTGCTTTCCAGCCAGAAATGACAGAGCGAGACCCCATCTCAAATGAACAAACAAAACAAAACAACAGCCCTCTTCCACTGCTTCAGTGAGAGGAAGTTGTGATGATTTCTTAAAGTACTATTGAAGGTCTCCTCTTTATAGCACCTGTTTAGAGTTTTACAGTTTAACAATTTTATTGCTGCTTTTATGCAGGCTAGTATAATAGTTCTCAAATTTCAGCTTGCATATGTTCATCCACAAAATTGCTAGAAATGCAGATTCTTAGGTGTCACCTCTAGAGCTTCTGTTTAGTATGTCTGAGACAGAACCGTGGGGTTTGCAAGTTCCTAGTTCCTTCAGATAACTCTAGTGCGGGTGATCTAAGGATCACAGTTTGAGAAGCAACATAATAGATTTTGTTGCAAATAGTGCCAGCACTTTCAGCTACGTGAAAGCTAAACTAAGAATGCTTTTTTATATCTAGCATCTTAGAACTTTGCCATATTAATAGCTTAGTTAGATAAACTTTTCTCCTTTGAAATGGGGATATAAAACACACTTCACAGGGTTCTTATAAGGACAGGATCAGATAATTTAATCAAAGGGATCAGTAAGTGCCTAGAATTTTGTAAGCACTCAATACATAGTTTTAAAATGTTTTCAATAAAATATCATCACCATCATCATAAACAGCAACAGCACATTAGCATGGATCACCAAAATGCCCTTAGGGAACTAATTGTCTACCTCCAGACTTTCCATTTGCTTTAACCTCATGGGAAGTTAAGGTTACCTGAGTTCAAAGTAAAGGTCATTATTTCTGGCTTCCACCCAATACGTGACATGCTATTGGATTCTGTGAAAATTACTCAGGCACTTCTGATTTCTTGGCTCCAAGAAGGTGAGGAGATATGACATAAATATAGTATTTAAGAAGGATGAATTAAGAAATTAATTTTAGTGAGAGGGAAGAGTCTAGGCTTCCCTGAGATTGTTAGAAGTAGCTGTTTGGGGCAGAGAAAATTCGCTCTTAGATGTTATTGAATTAACAAACTCTAAAGTCTTGTTCTAGTCTTGCCTTTTAATTTTTATTATTTTTTATTCAGTGGTGGATAGTTTCTCATAACTTTTTTTTTTTGTAGAGGAACAGAGTGTGACAGCAAATGTTAACCTTCCAACATTGTGACCACCCTTCCTTTGGGGGCTCACTTTGGAAACTGTTGACTACTTAATATCTTATCTGTAAAGACTGCTGAGGTATTAGTGCTCAGAAACATAATAACTGTAGGTAAACAAAAAGATGGAAAGTAACCATTTCTATTTGTGTAGTTTACAGCTTTCTACCTGTCATTGCTTACGTTAATCTTTTATGAAGGGAACTGAAATGTAACTGTCTAATCTGTGAAGGTGTCTTATTCTCCATTGCCACACCATGATCATGGATAGAGAGACCACAGATTTTCCAAAGGTAGTTTTGTGAAAAAGTAACTTTGTTTGGATTTAAGTTTCCAACTTGCTGACCTTACAACAACCTCAAATAACTTCTTCCTTCTTACTTGGAAAAAAGTACAAAATGCAAATGTATAGCTCTAAGATCTATATCAATGCAAACATCTGTTAGCTAATCCCAGTAAAAGAAATAGGACATTCCAGCACCACGGACCTTCTCCCACACACCTGAGGTGGCTTTTCCTAATCGCCAACCCAACCTTTCCCGTTCACCACAGGTAACCACAATCCTGCCTTTCATGTATTCATTTTTTGCCATTCTTTATCGTTTTGACACCAAAGCAGGTATCACTTAGGGGAAAAAAAAGTTAATATTTTTCATTTGTGAATTTTGCATCAATAAAATTGTAAATATATTTTTCTATATTTTTTACTCAATATTAAGTTTTTGATGTTTATTCATATTGTTTCATGAAGTTGTAGTTTTATTTTATTGCTTTATAGGATTTCTTCATTTGAATATACCATAATTTATCAAGTCTACTCCTGTTGAGCATTTTCTTCCTGTACTTTTAAATTTTTATTTGCTACTTGCATATCCTCTTTGGTGAAGTAACTGTGCTAAAATTGAAAGAAAAGAACCCCTCCCTTTTCCCACAAGCTATATCCCTAAGTGACTTGTGATTCTGACTCTGGTGATCAGTTACTGTTATTCCTATCACCCAGTCCAGGCCCAGTTATAGTTAGACAGTTCTAGTTATCTAAGATAGTGCTTAAAAAATTACTGGCAACTAATGGAGATATATATATATATATATAAAGTAATCCCTTAAAATGCTTAATGAAAAAAGAAGTTCCATGACCAATATCTTTGGAAAACATCATATAAAGGATTTGTCTCTTGGATATTCACAATAAACATATATAATAATAAAAGTTCTAAAGAGTGATGGAGTAGAGGAGCCTGTTCAACATTATTTAATCCAGTTTTTCTGAAACATAGTTGATTTCAGAACATTGAATACCATCTTGTGGAGCTAATGTTCTACAGAGCACATTTTGGGCAGACCTGGTTTAGAACAGTCCCCTCTTGTTGGCTTTTAACATTATAGGTCAGTGAATGGAGAATCATGATTAAAAATAAAGCTTCAATGAGGATATAATTATCTCAGAAATAAATTTACAAAGGATTGAAAATGGAAAAATGATTCATTTAGATTGGTTTTCTGCAGTTTCTTTAAATATTTGAGTGATTAAAAAATGAATAATATTAAAGAATTTGATATAGAAATGATTATAAAGGTCACATTCATACATCAGAAAGTGGAAAATGCAATTACATTTCCGAAATCTATTAACAGCTCAATAAGTTAATAGATCAGATGATTAGATGTTGTTCATTAATGGTGATTTGTGTGTGTGCATGTGTATGTGTGTGCATGCATATGTGTGTGTGTATGTGTGTGATGGAAAAATCACAGCTTTTTAATGTTTAAAGGCAGAGACTCAGGATGAAGTGGAGTTGAGTGTACTTTTTGTTTTAACATTTTTTTGTGGGCTTTTCAGTTTGGGAATGTACAGTAATTTGGCTTTTCCAAATTTCTCACTTGTAAATAACAACATTTCCTGAAGTGTAAAAGTTAACACTCAAAATCTTCAGCTTCTTCATTACGCTTAAAGAAAAAAAAGGTTTAGGACGATTAACTGCCTAAAAATATCGTTATTAAAGAAAATTGTCAATAAAATGGAAGCAGAGTTTTTTATAATCACAAATTTTCACCTATTATGGAGAAATGTGCCACTGTATTAATTAAGTAGATTATTTATTACTGTTAGACTTTTCATTGCTATTTTGATATAACAATGAAATAAGTTAGGCCACTAAATTTGCCATCACCTCATAGCTACTATGTCCCTATCATGTATCTACTATGCCTGATAATGCATCCGTGCAAATCGCACACATCCATTGGCCACTGATGTAGAAAACATTAGAATGAACCTATGAGGAATCCTCTTTGGCTGAGTATGTGATTGGAGATCACATTCACTTATCCATTTTAGCTTCAAGGCTCTTGGCTCTCTCTGCCTGTCACTCAGGGCAATGGTTAGTTACTGTCAGAATGCAGCTATAATTGGGAAAGGCACTTGTTAAACACAGAAGTTTGGGGGAGGTGAGAATTCATATCCAGCCTAGCAAGTCTGGGAAGTTTTCCAATCCTCCCAATGCTGTACTAAAGCACAAAAGCAAATTGAATTTTATTACTTAGGTGACATCAAACCATATTTACACAAGGAGACTCATTGAGAACATCCTTCTTGAGAAACTCATCGCGTTAAACTTCTTTTTTCCCCCTCAAGCTGGTCTTAAAGTTTGCATTCATTCTGAAGTTCCTTCCATTTAAATTCTTTACTTTTTCACAAAAAACTATCACAAAATAATGATAAGCCCATATTGTTATTAAGAGAAAAATTTTGTGATATAAATATTCTAAGCCATCTGGAAAAATAAGTGCAAAATTAGAAAGTGTAACTAAACGGAATGTTGTTAATAATGTTAGTTGCTAAAATTGATGAGTCTGTGCTCACAGATTTGAAAACTTAGTGTTTTTCTTACTTAAATGGGGAATACTTTGAAATTTTAGTCTGGGACTTATGCTTAAAAGTTAGTCACAAACTCTCTATTATCATCAGTACATGCTAATCTATTATTGGACTTTACACAGAATGGTTTTAGAAAGACATTTTTCTAGCTGTCTAGAAAATTAAATTGAGGGTTCCTTTACTTCATTTATGAAGGTCATTTATTTCTTCCAGATAAAACCTTCATCAAAAGTTATTTTAGATCTAGTTGTTTTTCTCTTCAAAATATTTTGCTTAGAACTTGCTGCAATTTTGGGGGATGTGAATTATATGTGTTCCTCCTTCTTCCAACAATTTATTTAATGCCTTCTGTCTTTCTGTAGTAAATTTTTATATGATCATTTTCTGTAATGTCTCTCATGTAGTTAATTGGATTTTTTTCATATTATTATATTTAACACAAAACCCTATTTTTCCTATACAGTTTGGTATTTTTCTTTCCCTCTTCCTTTCACCTTCTTGTAATTTTACAGCCTTTTGTCCAAATGTCTCAGCCTCAACTTCTATCTGTTCTATGTCCTTACATAGCTCATTTTAATTTGTTTTGAACTCATTACACTCACTGGTATTCCCTCTACCTACTTGCTCAGCTATTTAGATCAGTCCATCAAAATGTGCTTATTAAATATCGACAATAAATTTAACAGTGTTTAGATAAGACATAATTCCTGATAAAACCTTGCTTAGTGACATAAGGAAAATACACACTGAATAATTAAAGAGTATCAATTAATTAAGCACTAAACTGTAGTGGAAATTCTACTCTGTATAATCACAGTGTGTGTTTGTTTCAATACCCTTTCCAGCAAAGTTGTCCAAAAGCAATTTGTTGTCCATAGTGCACCACTCTTTATCTCATGAGATGTGGCTACCCTGCCTACCACTGCCTGGGCCAGAAATCTCTACTTTAGCCAAAGGCTTCAGATGAAAATGACACATCCATGGAAGGTCAGTGGGTTATAAGATGGCCTGACATGAACCCTGCACCAGGGAGCATTCTGTATTGAATAGGGTACAACAGAATCACCTTCTTCCTTTTGGGACATTTGGATATTAACTACATGGGAACATTCTGGAAGTTATAATAGTGGTAAAAGCAGTGAAACAAAGAAAGGTTTAGTTACCAATGATATAAAATGGCTAAAGTTTTGGTCAATTATAATCTGAACCCACTCCTGATGCAAGCAATTAAAATGGTAGAAATGTTAAATAAATATAACAAATATCTCTTTAAAAAGAAAGCAAAGCAAAAGTCCCCAGGGACTAATGTTCGAAGAGTGATCTGGAAGCCAGAGTTGAGCTGTTGCTGCTGGGCTACAGAAGCAGGGGTGCTAATGCTGGTATCAGTTTTAGGAATCTACAGGCATGGATTTTAGTTATCATGGGAATTGTTATGGATGAAATGTTTGTATCCCCGAAAATTCCTATGTTGAAACCCTAAACTCTAATATAATTATATTAAGAGATGAAGTCTTTGGGAGGCAATTAGGTCATAAGGGTGAAAGCTTTCTGAATAGAATTAGCACCCTTGTAAGAAGAGACACAAGAGCTTGCTTCTTTCTCTGTTCTCCTCCATGTGAGGATATAATGAGAAGATTGCTGTCTGCAAATCAGGAAGCTAATCTTCACCAGACGCCAGATCTGCTGCACTTGATATTAGACTTCCTAGCCTCCTTAAGTGTAAGAAATAAATATTTTTTTTGTCTAAGTCATGGTGTTCTATTATAGCAATGCAAACAGACTAAGATAAGAATGATTGGATGAGCAGGCCTGAGGCCCATGCAAGGCAGAAAGTTGGAACAGACCCCCAGACTTAAAACTTGGACACTGAAAGGGCTGAGGAAAGAAAAACCAGAAATAATCTGTCTATAAACACAGAGGTGAAAAAGATCCTGGTCTTTCTTGGTCTAGGCCCTGGATAGAAAAATGAAAGTCTACTCTAAGAATTTTTGAACTTTGCACTAGCTACAAGGTCAGATATCCTCCAAGCTGATACATCAAAATAAAAATTGGTTCTAAGGCAACGATAATTCTAGAGTATCTTACAGAATAAATGCAATATCTTTCTGGAGCAATACTTCATTACTTTAAGAAACAGAGTTCACAATCCAAACTTGAAAATGAACAACAACAACAAAAACTAAAAATATTAGACAACCTGAGTGAGAGAGAGGCCACACAAAGAAAAAGAAATATAGAAAGTATAAAAAACAGGTTAAACATAAGAAGTTTGATTAAGAATTTCAGAGAGAGTGGAGAGAATTGTAAGGAAATATTTTAAGAGATAATGACTAAGGAATTTTTGAAACTATTAAAAATATGAATCTTCCGTTCTAGAGAGTACACAAATTCTGAACACCATAATTACTGAGTAAGTGCTCCTATTATAGAGAAATTGTAGAATCCCAAAAAGAGAATGAGAAATAATATGCTACTTTGCAAGGGAATGACAATTATTTGTACAGCAGATTTCTTATTACAGTAATATATGTCAGAAGACAATGGAATACCATCCAAATACAGAGAGAGAATGATTATAACTGGTATACTTTGAATTATATACTTAGCACACTATCATTGAATAGTGAGAGAAAAGTAAAGACATTTTCAGACATGCAAAGACTATTACTATCAAGAGACCTTAATAAAAGATTTATTGAGGAAGGAACTTTAGGAAGAAGGAAATTAAATCAAAAAGTAAAGAATAAGTTAAAAGAGTGAACAAAAATGCTTGGAAATATGTGTCTGAATATAAACACATAATCTTATGTAAAATAAATATCAATAAAAATAATAACAGATATAATATAATATCTAATTTAGGATGTATGCAACAAAGAAAAATTAAGACAGCAATAGCATAGTCTGTGGGATAGAAGTTATCAGAAAGCTTATGAATTTCACCCCAAACCACCTTCCCTACTCCATCTCACACCACATTTCCAAACCTCTCAGTCTTTCTGGCCTCAGGATGTATGTTCCTTTTTGCTTTCAGGAAAATGGCACCATTCCAACATTTTGCCTCTCCTGTGTACCCTGACCTTTACTCTTCCTTCAGTAACACTGTCCCTTAGTGTTTTGAGTAAACAGTCTACTTGTGTTCCATTGTCCCCCACCCCCGACCCCAGAATTCTGTGTCTTAAAGTCTCCTCTCTTAATAACGGTGATCCATCCAGTTGGTTGTGGACTTGACTGGCAGGTCCTGGACACTTCGGAATGCTTGTGTTCTTCATATATGGTTTAGTGAATATTAAACATATAGAGATATATAAATATAGAATTGATATACTTTAGGTGACATCACTTTATTCCATTAATAGAAATGTTCACAAATCTTTTATCAACTTCATCAAGAATAGTTTTCTGGTGCTTTATGGTAGGAAATGGGAAGATCTGGATGAAAGCCTGCCATTCTTTGTTGTTTGGATGGCTGTTTATTCCTGCCCTGCCCTACCCCCACCCCAGGCACATCTCTAAAATAAGTTTATTGGAGAATTAGAGCTTTCAGGTCTTTAGGAAAGAATTTTGGAGTACAGTTTGGGCTCATAGTTCTAGCCCCTGCCTGATTCTATTCTCTTGGGCAATTTGAGTAGGATCTTACAGCAGGAAGGCCCTGGAGACCACCTATCCCAGCATAGTAGATATGTGGAGCAACAGGACTACAGCCTTTTAATTAAATTGTGTTAAATCAGATAACAAATGAGGCTTGAAGGCAAAGTATCTTCATTAAAAGAGAAGGCGGCCTGGCGTGGTGGCTCACACCTGTAATCACAGCACTTTGGGAGGCCGAGACAGGCAGATCACGAGGTCAAGAGATAGAGACCATCCTGGCCAACATGGTAAAACCCCGTCTCTGCTAAAAATACAAAAATTAGCTGGGCGTGGTGGCATGTGCCTGTTGTCCCAGCTACTTGGGAAGCTGAGGCAGGAGAATCGCTTGAACCTGGGAGGCGGAGGTTGTGGTGAGCCGAGATCACGCCATTGCACTCCAGCCTGGTGACTGAGCGAGACTCTATTTCAAAAAAAAGGAGAGAAGCCATTTTTATTAACAATTTATTCCTAAAATTCATATCCAGGTGGATTTATTATATTATGTGTAAATTGGGAAATGGAAATCAGGAGATTGACTTGGATAACCTTACTGAGATATCAATGGAGTACAAACAAAAACAGAAAGGCTGACACTTTCTCCATTAGATAGATCTGGAATGATCTTTGGAAGTATCTTGACTAAATATTTAAAAATAAGTAGGATTCTAACATCAGTTATTAAAGAGATATGAAAATATATTTTCAGGGAATATTTGCTAACTCCTTATTATGCTAGGAGTTTAAGATACTGACTCAAAGACTTTGAAGTGATTAGAGCTTCCTCTAGAGTACTGTGGCCTATGTGTACTAAAACATCTGATTGTCCGTCCAACTTGATAATATACTGCTATCTTTTGGGCCTCTGGTGTATTGTGTATTTCCATTATCTTCTTGCTATGAATCCTTGATGTCAAATGTCAGATATGGACACAGTAATGATGACAGTTACAATGAACCAGTGCTGATCCATGAAGGGAATATGGAGGAAAGAGTAGGAGCGGTGGTACCAGACTCAATGTGATAAAGAAGTGAGTTTGCTATTTGCTGCTGGGTATTTTTGATTCTGTGATAGTTAGTGAAGTTAATTGCTCCTATTTTTTCTTTTTAACCAGTTGATGTTTTCTTTACTTACAGTTCAGCTATCTTGATAATAATCATGCTCATATTGGGAGAATAGTCTTAAGTGCAATAAGATAAAACTGGGAAGAGAGTTCAGAGATCTTCATTGTCCAAAAAATGCCTTTCTCCCTCCTTTGCCACTGTCATTTTTGGTCACGGTAAGATTAACAATGGCCCCCTAAAGATATCCAGCCCCTAATCCTCTAAACCTGTGAATGTTTCCTTGGATGGGACATTGTAGTTGTGATTAAGGATCTTAAGAACATTATCCTGGATTATATGGATGAACCCTAAATGGAATCACAAGTGTCTTAGGAAGAGGGAGGCAGAGGGAGACTTGACACAGATGGCAATGTGACCACTGAAGCAAGATGCCACGCTGCTGACTTTGAATGCAATAAATGTAGCTCTGGAAGGTGGAAAAGATGGAGAAAGGAATTCTTCCCTAAAGCTTCCAGAAGGTGTGCAGCCCTATCAACACCTTGATTGTGGCCTAGTAAAATTTATTTCAGGCTTCTGATGTCCAGAACTGTTAGAAAATAAGTGTGTGCTGTTTTAAGCCGTCAAGTTTGTGATAATTTGTTGTGGCAGCCAGAGGAAAACATATACACCAGTCAAGAATGTATTAAATGCCAACTTTGCTAAAAACTATTTTCAGCATTATCAGATAACAGGAAGAAATGTAAAACTAGGACTCTGCTCTTAAGAACTGCCTTTATGGACTAATTTAAAAAACGCAACTAGCAAACTGATATTTTAAACTAGAATGTATACTAAGTACCAGCCATGTCACAGTGTAAAAAAAAAAAAAAAGAATGCTACCATAGTTAGACATCAAAAGGTGCTTCAAAGAGAAAACGGGCTGTTTCTCAGAGGTGGAGATGAAATGTAGAGGTAGAATGTATGGAGAACATTCCACATGGTTGTCTGACTGTGACAGATATGAGGGAATAGTGCCAAATGAGATTGATTAGGGAAAATGAAACCACAATATGAGAGCCTCAAAAGTCAAGCAAAAGATGTAGCACTTGCTATAGCGCTTAAAACAGTAATTTATTGTAGGTCCCTTCTAAATAGAAGTAATTAAGTATCAGCTGTTCCAGTCTTGCTTGTGCTAGGGGGGCAGATCTGTGATATATGATAGGCTACTTCTAAAATGGACTCCGGTGATCCTGCTTCCTGGTATTAACCCGCTTGCACACTCCCTTGTATTCCAATACTCTTTTGTGGACTGGACCTAGTGATTTGTTTCTAAGGAACAACATGTAATAAAAGAGATAGGACATCACTTCCGAGAATCAGTTATAAAAGACTGTGATTGTGTCTTGCTTGTGCGTGCCTCTTCCTCTCTTGCTTTGGTGAAGCCAGCTGTCATGATGGAAGCCGCCCTATGGAAATGCTTATGTAGTAAGGTCAATAGTCAGCATTGAACTGAAGCCTTCAATCCAACAAATGGCGAGTAGGATCAATCAGCCAACAGCTGCATGAGTGAGCTTGGAAGTGGATCATCCCCTAGTCAAGCCTTGAAATGACTACAGCCCTGGACAACACCTGGATTGCAACCTTGTGGGAGGCCCTGAGTCAGAGGCACACAGCTAAGTCAGGCCCTGACTGATGACTCATAGCCATTGTGAAATATTAATGTTTATCATTGTAAGCTATTAAGCTTTGGGAGTAATTTGTTACACAGTGCGATATAACTAATACAGAGTAAATCACTGTTCTTTTTTTTTTTTTTTTTTTGGAGGTACTACTTTTTCTTTGGTCTCTCTCCATCTTGCCAACAAAGATTGACATCCCTTATATAAGGAATAGTCAACGTCTACCCCTGCCAAAAAATATCACCCTTGATTTGGAGAATAAAGAATAAGATGGCAGGGTGGATAGCAGCAGAGTATAGAAACGTATCACAGAAGAATGTTGAGACCTCTTCCTTTTCAGGGAAGACAGTTCCACAGTGGAGTAGCTCTATTTTCCTATCTGCCTTCCCCATATTTTCTTAATATTGACTGTCCTGAATATGGTGGACATTTTTGTTTGTCAGTTTTTTTTATTTTCTAGTTCTGTTGGTTTGCCTTGTTTTCATTCTTGGCCACCAAGATTTTTTTATTTGGGGTGACTCTGCATTGTTAGGCAACCTTGTTTATTCTCTGTAAGGAACACTGATGTATTTTTATGCAATGATTAATATTCTGTATTATGCAGCCTAAGATGTTTGAACAATGACAATAAATGTTGCTTTATATGAAATAGTAACCAACAAAAGCACTCCAACCCTGGATATAGTAAGGATAAAGTGAAAAGAACTGTGTAACATATACACATGCACAACATATTTGTTATGTATATTAAGCAGCCTGAGAATAAGGTAAAAGTAAAACAAAGACAATAATAAAAATATTAGGCAAATTGGGGAACTGATAAAGTATGAAGGCTAAACTCATACCTACCAAAGTAAGTTGACTTGAAGAACTGACTTTCTAAATGTCACAATAATCAAGGCCTAGAGGGATTTCATTCATCAAGGAAGGATCAGTTGGTGTGATGACAAGTACAGACTATAATGTGCCAAAAAGTGACATCATGGCTTTTTGTTTGGTTGTTTATTTTACCCTTCAGTTTTGAAAGAAAAGACCACTCTGGAAAATGACCCTTTTAGTGAATAAAGCATATAAATCCAGATCTTGAATTAGTTCTATACATGTGAAATATTATTAAAAAACAAAGAGCTCAGAGTCCAGTGCCCTAAGTACATGGTCTAACAAGCTACAACAGCTTCTCTAGTGGTATTATAGCCACGTAACTCAGTCTGCTGCAAACAATAAACAATGCTCCATCCTCAGCCCCACAAATCACACTTGTAAAATGATATAGACTTTTAAATACTTTAAAAATGACTGTTTTAGAAAATTATTTTCCAAATTTAAATTTAAAGTCTTTATATTAATGGCCTGTATCCTGAGAGCTTTCAGATTAACAGTTTTCCTTTATTCTTAGGTTTTGATAGAAGGACTGAGTATATCCTTTATTAGGGAGAATTCCATGGAACTTCTGTTCACTGTCTTTCCCTCTCCCTTTCCTTCCATCCTTCCTTTCTTTCTTCCATCCTCCCTGCCTCTTTTTCTATTTTCTTCTTCCTTTTCTTTTTTTTTTCTTAATAAAACTCCTTTCCCTACTCTGAGTAAAGCCGTAAGTTGCATACTCTCTACATTGAGCAGAGTCAAAATTATAAATGTTGATCTCACCTTCAGAGCCATTTTTACATTAATAACCAAACATATTAATACACAATAAGAGTAGATTAATCCATTGTCCTATGTAATCGCAAAAATTAGATCTTTCTTCTCATATTCTAAAGATCCTCAGAGGACGAATATAGTTTGTGTGCCGTTGCTTGTTATCCTAATTTCCTATTACTTCTTTGGGCTGTTTCTGGGATTTCCTTGAAAAGATGCTGCCACCATTACAAAGGCATCAGTGAAGGGGCCAGGGCAGGTGGTCCTTCTCCTCTCACTATTCTTTTAATTTTCCATAGCAAAACTTTTTACAAATACTTTTTATTTTGAGACAGTTCTTGATTTACAGGATTGCAAAGATAATACAGAGTGTTCCTGTGTGTCCTTTACCCAACTTCCTCTAGTTTAACATCTTACACAATCATGGGAAAAGTTCACAATTTTGAAACAAGAAAGGTTGCCTGTATTTGATGTGAATATTTTTATATATTAATTCAATAAGTGGTTGTTAAGCACCAACTTTCCTAGGCACTGGGGACACAGTGATGAACAAGATAGAGTTCCTGCCTCATGGAGCATTTTGACTTCTTCTATCTCCCTATTACTACTGTAGCCAGTGTAATTGCTGTGTTTGTCAAGCCATTTTATTACAGCCAATCTTATGAAAAGTGTCATCCTTCTTTGAATTTTACTAACACTATCGGTATGACCTGTGCATGTTATTTTGTAAGGCATGTCTTCTTTCCACAATTTCTGTTTTTCACATTGTCTTTCTTTTACTTGAGTGACTGAAATATACTAAGGAGTCTAGATTGTAGAAAGTTTAGCCTGACCTTCATCACCTAATTTTTATGATAACATTGTCTGCTTATCTGAATTGAAATTTACCTTGAGTGATATAGCTAAGGCAGATTTGAAGTCAAATTCAGATATTTGCATATGATGACCATGTGTCTCTTTTTGATTAATGCTTGCGCTTTTTTGGTACAAGTATTATTGATAAAACAACCATTACCTATCAACAGCTACTGAAGCCCATTCTGTAGATTATCACTTCCAACTTTTTCTGAAGTTTAACATACCTATGGCTGTCTATAAATTCGCTGGACAACTTTATTATGCCAGTATCAAAATGTGAAGTGATGAGGAAACAACTTCTTTCCATGTCTCAGAACACATAGGGAGTTAAATAAAATTAAAAAATGAAGATCTCAGTCTTCTAAAGTAGACAATAATTGTTAATGTCAATAATTATTTAAATGATTTATTTTTATTAGCATAAGATGACTAAAAAGATGCTGATTTAATATATATAAGATATACTCAAGTTAGTCTTTTGGAAATATAGATCTCATTTGAGGCTTGGGGTGGTCTTTAAAAATATTTTTTTCTTTGCAAATTTTTATAATTTTCTTTGTCTTTTAAAAATTTTCTTAAAGTATACATATTTATGTATAATAAATGTAATATATTATAATTATATATAATATAATGTGGAAATATTACATTATATATAATTATGTTTATTATATAACCATCTCACTGATTCTTTTTTTTCTTTTTTTTTTTTGAGACCAAGTCTCACTCTGTAGCCCAGGCTGGAGTGCAGTGGCACAAACTCAGCTCACTGCAAACTCCGCCTCCTGGTTCATGCCATTCTCCTGCCTCAGCCTCCTGAGTAGCTGGGACTATAGGCGCCTGCCACCACACCCGCTAATTTTTTTTTTTTTTTGGTATGTTTAGTAGAGATGGGGTTTCACCGTGTTAGCCAGGATGGTCTCGATCTCCTGACCTCATGATCCGCCCGCCTCGGCCTCCCAAAGTGCTGGGATTACAGGCGTGAGCCACTGAGCCCAGCCTCACAGATTCTTTTAATAAAGCATGAGTCATAGTTATGATCATAAATTCTCTGGATGGTTTCTGCTAGTGAGTTAAATCATATAATTAGAAACCATTTCAAATATTTCCCTTATGTTACCCCTAACAGTAGAGAGAATTAGTACTTCAACAATGATAACGGTAGGTAGAATTGGTCTAAGATGGTGCCTCTACCTTGGGTTAAATATTGTATTTTCACTGTTGTCACAGATGAGGAGATGTCCTTCCAACCAAAAGAAGTCACGGTAGTTTTAGCAGAAGACTCTCTTCTTCTTCTTCTTTTTTTTTTTTAAAACAATTTTCTAATTGTAGTCTCTCAAGTCTTGCCACAGTTTCTTGCTATCTGAAGGATTATTGCCATGTTTTGATTGGCATTCTCCCGCTCTGTGCATCAAAAAGTACAGAGAAATTCAAGTGAGGAAGAGTGTACCCACATGAAAATTAAGGCAGGGGAAAATGTTCAGGTTTCACAAGAGATCAGAAAACAAATGTTCAGGGGTATAAAAATAGAATCATGGCATACAGCCATGATGATGTTGCATATGGCTTATTATGGGAGGTATCTTGTGTTCTTTGGTCAAGCATATGCATTCAGTTCTTGCAAACTTTCCAGAAGATAACACTATGATAGAAAATTGGGTAGGGCAAAGACTTGGCTCATCAGATCACAATCTTAAATCTCTGTGATGACATTTCCAGTATCTGTGATTCTCTGAATGCATAATTCACTTGTGAAAATACTCAATAAACTTGCTAGGAGGGATTCAAATTTGCTGTTACTAACGTTCTTTTCGTGGTCTATTAAAATCGCTTTGTTCTTTTTGTTCTCTTCTTCACAAGAAAATCTTGTCTTTATATTCATATTTGTCCTTTTCCATTGGGGCTTGCCAGTTGTAAATTGTTTTGGTAGTAGCGGACTTTAAATGCAGGTCTGCAGAGCATTTTTAACAGTGGTGCACTGGGTTTGGAAGAAAGGTGTGTTTCCTCTTCTGCATTTCAGTAATGGAGGGAAATTTAAGATTCTGGGTTTGTACTGAATAAAAGTGTGTGGAAGTAGAGGTGAAGGGTGGGTGTGGAGGGTGTGTGGGATGGGTGTGAAAAAGAGCGAGTGAGTGAGATTTTTTTAGCATAAGAAACACTGAATACCAGACTCAATAGAGATAACTGAAATTTATCTGTCTTTGAAATTTATCTGTCTTTAAAATTTATCAAAAAATCAATATAGCAGTTTTTTTTAAAATCTCAAATTCAGGTTTGTCTGATAAATAGCATTGCTCGAAACTTCCACTTTCTATTTGGTTCTTTTGCTGTACCTCTCTTAAACATACAAATATCTCAAAGAGAAATATTAGCTTAAAATCAGTTCAATGAAGTAATGTCTAAATTTTCAGGGAAACCTTATTGTCAAGAAGAAAGTTAAAATCAGAATTTGGCTCCCAAGCCAACACAGAGAAAACTCATGTCCTAGACTCTCACCACCAGGAGCCATCTATGCCAGCACACCTGGACCAAACAGCCCTTCCCTTTCCTCCAATTTGCTCAGGATCCCACACATTTAAATAACTCACACCTTAAAATTGATGCTTGCATTGTCACTCCTGTTATTGGCAAATTTTATAAATATTGCAATGTCTCTGTTAAAAAAATTATTTATGATAACAAGTGAAATAGGGTGCTAATTAAAAAGAGAGAGAGAAAATGAAAATCCTTAATTCTTATTGCTAAACCACAGACCAAAACAGCAGGAAATGTGTAGACTGAAACTTAAAGACTAAAGAAAGAAAAGATATAAGAGTCAAGCAGTGTTCCCAGCTGGCTGGAACATTTCCCTGTGGTGCCAGCATGTTTGATCCTACAATTATTCAGAAAGAATGAGAATTATTAACAGGAATAAATCAACCCTCTTAGGTCTTCCAGGATGGATATAATAATAAAAAAAAATTATCGACTCTCTGAAACATCTTTCATTTATGGATCTCATGATATTTATCTGATATTATTTAATTAAAATTTACACTACTAAATTTGGGGGAGAGAATTTCTGTATTTTATAGATTGAACAATTGCTTTGCAGGAAGAGTGAGCATCTTGACCACACTCAAGTTATGGTTAAAGTTGAAATAGACACCACTGCCTTCTTTCTATTTCCAAATAAGGCTTACCAAGCTAAGCAATTAAAACAAGCAATTTTTGAAATCCAAATGATGCAAAACTACCAATGTTGAATTTGGGAGAAGTGTTATGCCTCTTCCTTTACTGAATTCACTGAATATTTTTACATAGCATGAATATTTGCCATTCATACTCAGTCTTTCTAAAAGCTAGTAAATATAAGAAAGCCCTTTCAAATTTCTGGGTTTGCCGACTAAGTATCTTGATCACTTTACAGTTCATTCCTTATCTGCTCTGAGCTACTTTTTTTTTTTTCTATGAAAGTGCTAATAGGAGGAAAATACCTCCAAACAGAGAGATGCAGTAGGATTGAAGGAAAATAACAATTTTTTTTTTTTTTGGACACAGAGTCTCGCTCTGTCGCCCAGGCTGGAGTGCAGTGGCGCGATCTCTGCTCACTGCAAACTCTCCCCCCGCGTTCACGACATTCTCCTGCCTCACCCTTTGGAGTAGCTGGGACTACAGGCGCCCACCACCACACCCGGCTAATTTTTTGTATTTTTAGTACAGACGGGGTTTCACCGTGTTAGCCAGGATGGTCTCGATCTCCTGACCTCATGATCCACCTGCCTCGGCCTCCCAAGAAAAGAACAATTTTTAAGAAAGAAAAACTTCTTTGAAATGTTCACTAGTTTGTATTTGCTATAATGACTGTAAATTAATGTCGGTCTAATATGAAAAATTTATTCAGCTTTGCTTAGTCAAGCCAGTTGTATTGTTAATATATAATCTATCCCTTTTGAATTTCTTGTGTATAGAAGTAGATGGAGTATTAGTAACAATCATGGTAACATCAACAACAGCAATGACAGTGATAATATTGATAGATATAGGTCAAACGTACAGTGTTTATTTTGTGCCAAGCTCTGTGCTAAGCACTTCAGTGTTCCCGTCTCATCATCTTGTTTCATCCTCACCTAGGAGGCAGGTACTATTGCTAATAGGTAAGCTGCTTTTGTTCGAATGTCAACTCTACTGCCTCCCAGCTCTCATACCTGGGATGAGTTACATAAACTCCAGATGCCTCAGATTCATCATCCACAAAATCACATTGATGAAAGGGTTATTGTGAGAACTGAATGATTAATACACAGGAGAACCTTGGAAGAATGTGTGATACTTAATGGAGAAGGACTCAATGTATGTTAACTATGATACAAATGAAGGTACTGTAACTCATCTGTGTTATAGTTAACATATATTGAACTGAACATATATATACCACTGAAATAAAAGAGCCAGGATTTAAAACCACTTCTTTCCAACTTGAAATTCTGGACTATTAACTACAATTCTATTATCACATTTAATTCTAATTGTCAGTAACCTCCAATTAGTTTTGAGTTTCTTTAGCACACAAAATATAATTTACATATCTTCATGTTCCCAGGCCTCTGCCTTTCAGCATAGGTCCTATGCTGCACCGCTTAATTCAATTTGAAGTAAAAAGTAAGTCTATGTTGGCTGTTTTACCGAGCAAGGATACAGCATTCATCAAAAGAGCAAAGATGGTGTTTCATATCTGTTATTTCCCTTTTCTGTTTTTCTGTGTATAAAAGGCATGGTCATGAACCTAGTGACTGCTATATTAAATGCAAATGTAGAGCTAGGAAGAATTAATTCACCTTCATGTTCTTAGTAGTATACCGTGTATCCCAGTTCAGTGCAGGAAATGTCACACAGATAATTGTTAACTAATTCTTCCATACAGAGACCCTCAATCTTATTTTCGTATGACACTAAAATCCTTTAGCTTTTGCATAGATTGTTTGAAAATAATATTGTGCTATTAATTCTTGATAGCAATCTCAGCATCTTTCATCTATAAAGTCTTTTAGTTCTAGCCAAAGAAAATGAAGGAGGTGAGAGTTCATAAAAATATTGAAACGTCTATTATTCTAATTGCATTTTGAGAGAGACTCTGAGAAGTTGAGCTCTTATCTTCTACCAGACAAGATTGTGTATATATTATCCTGGAGAGAGTGTGCAACTGAATAGCAGAGAAATTTCTACACTCTCTCAGACATTTGTTTCAACTACAACTTTGAAAAAGTCGTTATTTGGATCTAACCTATAACTTCTGTATTCATGTTCCACGGAAGACAAATAAATGTTGCCTGAAATATCTTTTGGATTTGAATATACACTAAAAATATATCTTTAACAATAATATGTATTTCCAGTATGGGTGTATCCTGTAACATATTTTGTTTCGGAACTATGATTTTTAAAGATAATATGTCCACTTTTTTCTGAGAAATAATCTGACAAAAACAATAACAACAAAATCGTAGTAGGTAAATTGAAAAAGAAGCATGCATAACTGGCAATGAAAATGAAGTGGTCATTACGTACTTTTTTTTTGTACTTTACTCTTTTGAGTCTGATAATGGTGTTTAGCGCAATTCAAATGAGCAAATTATTGTTAATGCAGAAGAGCATTTTCCACTAGGAAAAACAGAAGTGATTGCATTCCCCATAGAGAGACCAGTAATGCTGCAAGTGAACTGCTTCCAAAATGTGTGGTAATGATTGACCTGAAATCACTTCTCTAACTTATGTGAGTTGAGCTGCTATTGTCATTTGTTATCGCTAGAAATTAAGATTTTGTAACATTTTCCAATGATAATGTTCATTTAAAATGACTTTTTAGAAATTATTTTCAAAGAGTTATGCATTTATTTTTAGCATGCTTCTGTGGCCTGACATAGAAATAGATGGGATTTAAAGGTTGACAAGGGTTTTGTAAGATTGGATATTTCAATGGAAAAACTCAGGGCATCTGTCTTTTGCCTCCAATTCTGTTGTGTTCTCCACATTTCTTTCTTTCCTTTAATATTTGTTTTGGCCTTTTTTTAATCCATAGGATTATAGATTTGGGCTAGATTACCTATTTGGCCCTCTCAAAAAATATTGTGATATGTACAGAGAGTAATTCAAACATGCTCAGCATTGTCCGAGATGAAACAAAACCTTTTTTTCTGTAGCTTCCATTTTGTTAATGTCACTGTGTTGTTACAATAGCATGAATGGACAATTCCTCATTTTTTGAATTTGTCCTCTAATTTACTTCTACCTGTCTTTGCTTATACTGTGCCTTTAAACTTAAAGAAGACTCTCTCCATGTTAACACTGGAATTCATGTTTATTATTCAAGATACAGGCGAAATGCACTCTCTTTTAAGCTCTCACATCTGAATTTTTCCAATTTAACAGACCATGAATGACCCATCTCAAAATGACTTTTAAGGTGTGCCATGGGGACTCCTTCACCTATCCTAATATCCCAGCAAAAATCCAGAGGACTTTAGGACCTAGAGACTCAAACCAAATAGGAAGTCAACACACAACCAAAGCCCTTCAAAGCTGTACTAAAAATCAGATGATCTGAGTTCCCAGTTAAGTGATTTCTTTTGGCATTATGGTAGTCAGCTGAAGGGAAGTCTATAGTCATGTAAAATGATCCACACTCAGGGCCCGTGTGCCTCAATTGGCCCTTTTGTGCTTTTGATTCCCATTTAAAATGAATGATGTAATTCATGAGCAATTCAGTCTTCTCATCTTCGCTGGCACTTATTTTCTGCTCTTAAATAATGGTATGGTCACTAACAGCTTTATACAGAAGCCTTCTTCATTATAACAAGCATCATTTCCTGGGAGGAGTGAGATTGCCATGGGGATTCAGAAGCACATCTACATTGTACAGTTGCTGCTGCACTTGTTATTGAGTAAAAGGAGGCCTACAAAAAATAAAGAGTCTTGAAAAAGATTATTCCTCCCTGTGATTATTATCTTGACTTCGTGAAAAGATGCAGGAGTTAGTAAAGAGTTGTATGGGGCCATATAGGAGTTGAGGGTTGGGGTGCAGTGTTAGCTTGTTTGTCTTTACTTTTACTTTCCTGAAATCATAAATCTTGCTAACCTCAGCCCATGGAAAAGTCTGAGAGTCTGAAATGTGTACGATGTTCTTATGCTATACATACAGATGTCCATGTTCTGTGTCTCCTACTGAACACTACTCATCAAGGCAAGGACCACTGTGTTCCCTCTGCTGTCCTGCATATGAAAGGATCTCAATAATACTTACTAAATAAATAGATATTGGGGCCTTCCCTGTCAAATATTGGAACCTAAATACAAGATGCACAAATGAATCCTCTCACTCCTTGTTTTCACAATTAAACTATTTCTAATAACTTTATGAATATCTATTACTACATAGTTGAGTTCTGTGGAGTGGTGTAAAACCTTGGCCACACAGGAGGAATTACCCAGAGAGCATTAAAAACGCTGATGGCAGGGCCCAAGTCCCAGAGATTCTGATTTAGTTAATCTGGAGTTCAGCTTAAACATTTTGTTTTTAATCTATCTAGATGACTAATGCTTAGCCAAGACTGCGAACCAAGGTAGAAGAGCAACAATAGCAAATAGTTCCAGGACAAAGGAGCAAGGAAATTCAATACCATGAACTACTTGTGGGCAAAATCCTGTAGAGAACAAACGATAAGTAAGGGCTCAAGATGGTTGTGATTAGGGACATGTATTGGACATGATTCATTACAAAGAATCTGTTAAGTGTCTATTTTACCTTACCTATTCTACTTTAACCTTGAGTTAAACAGATACAAAGACTTGGCAATTTTGCATCTTCTAGTGACGATTTTAAGACATTGGTTATTGTCCACCATACAGGAAAAAAATACAAAGTTTCTTCAGTGAAATGAAGGTGGGAAAGACCAAAGTATTCACCGAATCCCCTACCAATAAATTTATGTAAAAAGAGTCAGACAGCCACCTCTCAGACCCGAAATGTCAAGCTTGTAAAAATAGTATTCTTGGGAGTTATATTTGATCATTTGTTAAATATGAGGATATAAAATGTAGAAATCCATGTGTAATGCTTCAAATCCCTAATCTGGTTTAAAAGGTCAGTTGAAGCCTAAAAGGACTTGACATTTTGCCTTTAAAAGTCTGACTTTTGGACTTAAGACTTAACAACATTTCAGCCTGAATGACCCGGAGGATAAATACAAAGCTGGTTTCAATTGAACTATTTAGAAAGCAGGGGATCTTCTAATTTGTAAGATAGCATTCAGAGAGCTTTTTCCATTAAGAACTCAATTGACTGAAAAATGATTTCCTTGGGTATTCCACAATCTTTCAATGCTTGTGTAAATTTTACGCAGGAGGTGGGCGGTGTGTGAGGCTCAAGACATAAAACACCATGGTACAAAGGAAGAAAACCATCTTATGAGCCATAGAAAACTGGTGATCACCTATAAGCAATGCACAGTGCCTCTGTTTACCAGTTCTTCCCTCAGGTGAAACACAATTCACATACCAGGTAATCATTATGGTTTTATTTCCTGAAGGAAGTTCAATGGCTTTTGCAAATAATCATTATCATCAATTAATATTTATTGAGCAGCCACTGGGTACATATTATAGAAAGGGTGGTAAACTATTATATAACAAATGTCTTACTGTCAATTGTACTTTATGTACTTTTATTATATTTTCACAGGACCAAATTGCTGTCTCTAATTTGTGTGTGGTTTGTGCTAAGATGTTACTCGTGTGAAAGCAACCAAAGATTAGAGCTGTAATCCCTAGAAACATTTTTGTGTATTATTTGTGTGTGTGCGTGTGCGTGTAAAACATGTAACTTAGGTCAAGATTTATTGGGCCAATGTTTTGTTATATTATTTAAAACAAATGATACATTTTACCTCATTGATAAGGTAGCAAACATTTTAACAAATAAAAATATATAGAGAATGAATCAAATATAATGTTGAACTATTTCATATGTTTAGAATATTATCTTTTATGACATAAAAATGAAGTTCTTCTGAAGGGTTGGGATTTCTCTTATCTACAAAGGCCGCTTTAAATTGGAGTTTCCATGAGACTATTTCTAAGGTTTATCCAACTACAGACCAGACCTATTGACACATTTCTGTCTTACTCAGAGATACTTCAGGCTGAAGTATCTGTAGAAGAAAACATTTCTTTTTTCTTACTTAGCACTATGTCCGTGTTAGAAGGAGAGTCTGAGGTAGTCAAGATCCTAGGTGGCTTGCTCAGATCTCATAAAAAATGAAAAACAAATTTATATTTTTGTCAGGCTCATTCTCTTAGTAACTCATTTAATGACTATTTATTGAAAATGTGGTATATATAAATTTCCATGATGGTCTCAGTGGAAATAAAAAGGTAACTCAAACACCTGTCCTGCCTTTAATGTGATTTTCCAAATCATCATGCTTTATAATTTCCACATTACTTTTGTATTTTTAAATTCTATTAATATGGAAGACCTTTATGTAAAAATACTTGCAGACGTCTATAAACTTTCAAGCATGGAATGTTTGTAGAAAACTTTAATTTATGAAAAGACAAATCACAGAGGTTGAGCTGGCTGATGTGAGGCTATCCTAAATCTTCATGATTAAATACTACATTTTCAGCTGTACAATAAAATAGGGATAAGAGTGAAGCTGGAGCGCTATGCTTTCTTTAGGCTCCAGAGAGACAACCATCAATGGTGTGGAATTCATGATCTTTTCCTAGAGGTCATTCAATGGGAATTGAGCTGGGCATCTAAAAGAGAAGGAAATGCACAGACTGGTGTCCTTAATGGTAAACATCACTCTTCCATCTCTTCTTAGTGTAATTCAGTAATTCAGATGCTAGGATGGAAGAAGGAATAGCAGATGTATAGAGGTGACCTGTTCTTACCTTGTTCAAGTCTTCAAATATGTGTGTCAAAGGGTTAAAGGGAAGCACATGTTGGTAAATAAATCCCTAAGAAAGAAATTGAACCAGAGCACATCAAATTCTATTTTTTAAAAATGATTATGTCTAAAGCAGCCAACTGGGGTAACAGAAATAAAGTCATTTTAATAGAACATTATCACAGGATCAATGTCTCCAACTTTGAAAAAATAACCGTTTCCCCTTCACTTTGATAGATATTTTTGATAAATGCTTCGGCTTTACCTCAGTATTAATTTCTCAGACAGGTACTATTATGCTGTGACAACCTTCTATTCCATTGTCATTGTGTCAGGTTATGGAAAAGGATAATAAGTAGATATATTTGCCTTCAGAGTGTTAAAAAATAAATGGCATTCCTTTGCCTTATTTATCTATAGTACTTCTTAATTTCAGAGAATGGTCCTAGTGATAATTACTATATTTCTACACTGAGAGAAAACTGGAGCATATGTTACTAATAGTGCAATCGTATATTTATGAATTGTTTTCTTCTACAAATATAGAAATTTAGTAATCATCAAGATTGCTGAATTCGTGAAAATTTGAAGATAACCCATTATCCCTTTGAGTAATCTGGTCTGTTGTCTCCCAATTAAATAATATAAAGAGATTTTAGAAGTTTTTCTCACCATCATACAGCTAACAGTCAATTTTTGTTATCTATGGTCTATAGGTTCCACGTCATAAAGTTCTCTCATTTTGTTTCTAACAGTTTCAACAAAGAACAATATCAAGACAGTATAAAACAACCCTCAAGTTACTATTTAGTGTATATCTAAAAGTTACTGTATTAAGTAAACTAAGTAATTGAGGGGTGGGGCACGGTGGTTCATGCCTGTAATCCCAGCACTTTGGAAGGTCGAGATGGGCAGGTCACCTGATGTCAGGAGTTCAAGACCAGCCTGTCCAACATGGTGAAACCCTGTTTCTATCAAAAACACAAAAATTAGCTGGGCATGATGGCGGGCACCTGTCATCCCAGCTACTCCGGAGGTTGAGGCAGGAGAATCGCTTGAACCTGGGAGGCAGAGGTTGCAGTGAGCAGAGATTGTGCCACTGCACTCCAGCTTGGCTGACAGAACAAGACTGTGTCTCAAAATAGTAATAAGAGAGGGATGTGACAACTGTTACGACCAACAAATAGTGTTTGGGGTTCAAGGTATTTTTTTGTTATGTAGCTGAAAAAAATGAGCAAGAATATGTGTGTGTGTGTGTGTGTGTATGTGTTTGTGTATGACTGGAATTTAAATTTGGGAAACATCTTGGAGAGTAATTTGGCAATTTATAGTATATTAAAGATATGCATAGTATCAAATACTCTATAAAGGTTAAAATTAACTAGATTTACATATTTTAAGGCTAATAGATTTTAAAATAATGTGTAAAAAATCAATGCAGAAGCATAACAATAGAAATTCTACTTAGTTGTTTTTAAAGCATGCAAAATAGTACTATATATTATTTATGAATGCATTTTTAAAAATAGCCTGAAATGATGCATACCTGGAATACTACATTCTAATTTCAGAAAAATATTTAATTCTCAAAGGGAAAGAGATAATGTGACTGGTGATGATAAAAGAATTTCAATGTCATTTAAATATTTATTCTTTAAAGGAAAAAAGTTGTCAATGAAATCAAACAAAATATTACTGTTTGCAATTGTTTCTGTAACAAGCACATGGATGTTTGTTAAATTAATGCTTGAATTTTCTTTTATGCTTTAAATATTTTTGATAATAAAAATACCTTGGTTAACTGTACAAGGTGCATCTTTTTCTATGCATTCACCACCAGTGCATTCTCCAGGTTGAAGTATATTTCATTAAACGAATATTCATTGAACAATGGCACTTCTCCAAGTACAGGGCTGCATTCTAGATAGTGAAAGTCAAATAAGATGCCCTCAAAACCTTATAGTCTAGTTAATGAATTATATAAAAACCCTTTACCATTCTTTAACATTCTTCCTAGGTTTAGCAGTAGTAGTTTCACTTGGTTAGGAAATGCCCCATCATCCACTAAAAATACCTGCATTATCTTTCTGTATGTATCTCTGCTAATTAAATTTGTTTAATTAGAGCTTTGCTAATGATTAGAAGTTACACTAATAGAAAGTTAGATTCCTTTGTGTCTGTAGGGTGCACTTAGAACATTGCGGCCTCAGAGCCTTGAATTAATGATTCCTTATCTTCTGGGGTTCATACATCAGAAAAAGCAGCAAAGAATGTAGACCACTTAAAAGAGAGTGGTGACATATATTTTGCTCTCATAATATTACCATCTACTAATTCTGTCATTTCATAGAAGAAATGATATTTTAATACAAAAATATAGAAATATAATCATTTAAACTCAACAAACTTGGCTTTCTGATAAATTTGCTACATAGTCCTTTTATCTTTTTTTCTTTTTTAAACTTTTGCTATGTGTCAGTAAACATTTTATCATGGGCTAAGACTAACATTTGAAAACTGCTGCCCTAGATGATCCCCATGCTCCTGACCTCATGTAACCACACTGAATTTGTGAAATGTTGGTAAATACATTTTCAAAAAGCCTCTAGCTGGTATGAGAGGGATCTCTTCTCCTGAACACTAACAAAATTTTTATAATGCTTATATGCATGCTTATCAGTGAAGGGAGAGGAACTTAGGGAGAAAAATTATTTCAAAAGATACATGTTCAGTCAAAAACTAACACTGATGAAAATAATAACACTTGGAATTTGTACAAGCCTTTTATTGTTCTAAGACACCCATACATCTTCTCTTTCTAATGCACAGTGCTGATGGAAAAGTCAGAGAGTAAAAGAGAGCCAGTGGAATCCCCTTAAGTATTGGGATTCAGTCAGCCTAGTATCTACACTGAGCTGTATTCAGAGTCCAGGCACCAGAAGATACTTAAAAAAAGAAAAACACTACTCCAATCTTACATAGAATTATTTATAATACATTTCAAAATCATAGCAACATTTCTTTTTTACTTTTTATTTTTCTATTATTTTTATTTTTTATTTATTATCATTTTTTTTTTTTTTTTTTTTTTTTTTTTTTTGAGATGGAGTCCCGCTCTGTCGCCCAGGCTGGAGTGCAGTGGCGTGATCTTGGCTCACTGCAAGCTCCGCCTACGGGCTCACGTATTTTTTATTTTTTTATTATACTCTAAGTTCTAGGGTACATGTGCACAACGTGCAGGTTTGTTACATATGTATACATGTGCCATGTTGGTTCACAGCAATATTTCTTAAACTATCTTCCCTTTCTCCCCAATTCTCCATCTCATAGCTTCTCCTTAGCCTTTCATCTGGACCCTCTTGCCAATTTCTCTCGCACATCTTGCCATGGTTCTCTCTCTCTCCATCCTAACTCTCATATGTACAACGTCTTAGCCTTCCTGAGTTCTTTAAAATGCCCTCTCTACTTTCCAATGATCCAGATTCTCCTCAATAAAGTCTAGACTAGACCCAGCAATCTAGAATCCTTACCCTTTTCTTCTTTTCTTCCTGTTTCTGTATGTCTCTTTCCATTCTCGTGATTCAGCATTACAAAATGCCTGAATATCAGGCCAGCAAATCCTAGACTATCCTTAGGAGAGAAGAGGAGCAGGGATGTTAAGTAGCCGAAGACAAATTTTTCTTTAACAATTGAGAAGCGGGAACATTGGGGAAGGCTAATAGCATGTTAGTAAAAGTTTTCCGGATCATAAAAGATCATAAAAGAGATAAGAGAGATAAAACAAAAGAAAATGAAAAAGGCATTGGCATGTTAGGGCACCGTTACAAAGGTGGAATATCTGCCTGCCCTACTAAGAAGTGATCATGGTTGGATGCTTCTCTGACACGTACATGGGTAAAGGCGGTCAGAACCATTGCCCAGTAGATGAGCTTATTCCCAATATAAAAATTTGCCCCTTTGCATTTGAATAACAGAGCCCTGCCTCCCCGACCCGCATGATTTAAATCAAACCTTCAATTAGGAAAATCACAGGGGTTTGGTGTCTTTGACCTGTTCCTGTTTGTTTCCTATTCTACAAGTGGTGAAAACGCCCATGGAAAAGCCATAGGATGTGAATAATTAATACTCAAAACAACAGTACAGGCAGACTCTGCTTATTCACAAGATTACTGGGGCTGTGGCTCTATTTAAAAATCTGATAAAAAGCTGTGGAATTTCCACAGTATAACAGATCATCGATGCCGGACAGTGATTGCTTTCATTTATTTCCCAATCTGCCAGAGGAGCACATATTACCAAGATTTTTATCCCTTCTGGGCTTCCATTGCCTCATACAGATAAAGAAGTGGAGCTGGGCGATTTCTGATTTCCCTTCAAATATCAACGTTTAAAGACTAGGAGCTTAACAGTTAGTTTTTTATTCTCCAAAATTATTAACCACAAAGTGCAGGTAAATAGACATAGCTCTAAAGCTGGCCATAGTCCTAAATGCAAACGATACAAACAACGTGAAAAGCAGAAGAGAAAAACATTCAGAAAATCTTCATCCAAAACCCAATGACGTAATGATAATATGTAAGTTTTTCTTTGGTCAACTGTCTTTGTGAAGGGTCCTTCATGAAACCAACTACCCAAGTTTCTCATCCTCTGTTTCTTCTAGATGTGGTAGGTTGAATTGCTGTAGGCGCTTCCTCCAGATGCATTGCATTTTAAAGCACTTACTCTCAATAACTTTTTGAAGTTCGACTGGTACTACTTTTCTCATTGACTCATGTTTAGATTACAGCAACAAATGATCAAGCTGAAACTCATTCTGAAACAAAATTCCTTTTCCCCCCACAATATAGTACATAAACTGAGCTGCAGCCTTTGCATTTTTCACCATCTGGCCCACAGTGTGAGATGATATTAGTAGCATGTCAGGGAATTTTTTCCCCCTCTCCTTTCAAAAAAAAAAAAAAGAGGAAAAGAAAAAAAAATAATCCTAATCTATAGTATGAAGAGTATTAAATGAAACATCTGCCTCGCTGAATGAGTAGATGAACTTTGCAGTCTGCAAGCTGCTGGTGTTTGTCAAGTACATGTTTACATTGCTGACTGCTGTAAATTTTCAAGATGGTGACATGAAATTGGCTTACTAAAATATCTTATTCAAATCTCTTAAAACACATGTTTCATTTTATTTTTTTGTCATTTTTTTCCCTTTAATGTCCTTATTCTTGATGAAAGGCATTGCCGTTTGAAACAGTGAGAGGTTGCTGAGATTCTAGTCAAGCTGAAGCCCTGAATAGTTAAAGAAAAATTACATAATAAAATCTGCCAAGAGCTAGCACTAACCTCTTGTTAATGTAGAGCTATAATCCTGGATGCTAAAAGATATCAATGGGAGTCAGAGGATTTAGGCAAATTCAATGAAAAAATGCACAAGATGATGCCTTAAATACTTTAAAGGAAAGTTGATTAATTTATTTAATTTTTAAAATTGATATATAATACTTGTACATATTTTGAAGGTACACATAGTATTTTTGATACCTGTATACAATGTGTGATGATCAAATCAGGGTAATTGGGATATTCATCCTGACAAACATTTATTTTTTTCTTTGTGTTGGGAACATTACAAATCCTCTCTTCTAGCTATTTTTAAATAAACAACAAATTTTAACTATACGTTCCCTAGTGTACTATCGAATACTAAAAGTTCTATCTAACTATCCTTCTATCTAACTGTATTTTTGTACCTCTTAAGCAATTTCTTTTCATCCCCTTTTCCCTCTTCCCTTCACAGCCTCTGGTAACCTACATTGTATGTGGTACTTCCATGAGATCCAGTTTTTTCACTCCCATATATGAGTGAGAACATGCAACATTTGTCTTTCTGTGCCTGACTTATTTCATTTACCAAATGACCTCCAGATCCATCCATGTTGCTGCAAATGGCAAGATTACATTCTTTTTTATGGCAGAATAATATTTCATTGTGTATATGTACCACATTTTCTTTCTCCATTTATCATTGATGGATACTTATGTTGATTCCATGAAAGTTATTTTATTAAATAATATTTATTTGATTGCTAATTATAAACTTTATTACAGTCAGTCCTACCCAGTGAATAAGGATCAATAGCAGAACATTTCTCAAAATTGTCCTAAAACATTATCATTTCAGACAAAGTACCACGTAACCAAATTAAGAATTTGAGTTTCATTCTTAATTTGGTTACGTGGTACTTTGTGTGAAATGATAATTGAGAAGAGGTCTAAGTTTCAAATTTATTTCTTTCTGCAGTTAAATATCCCCGTTTTCTCTATCAACACTAATGTCAACACACATACTAAAAACAAACATTTTTTAAAAACTTGTGGAATATTGGGAACCCAGAATTGCTTATGCAGTTTTCCCTCTAGAATGGCTGATAAACCTATGTTAGTCTTGGGGGGAAAAGGTATTGTGTTACAATATAAGGTCTAGAGAATAAATTAACAGTAAAGTTTTAATGACATAAAGAGACATTTATTCACTCTCATTACACTTTCCATCTTTAATGTAGGGAAGGGTGACCTACCAATTTATTTCCAATGAACTATAATTCCCTGAAAAAGACTTTTTAAAATCAGATGTGCATTATTTAGCATCTACCGCTGCATAGTATTTCTGCATTGCCTTCTAGACAAGGAGAAGTGCGTTTAATTTCTACTGCCTTGACTAACTTCTTTCCTTCCTTCACAAAACACAATGCCAGTCTTATAGCTGATATAGATCTAGACAAGGAGAAGTGGGTTTAATTTCTACTGCCTTGACTTCTTTCCTTCCTTCACAAACACAATCCCAGTCTTATAGCTGATAGAGATAAGTAAGCAAGCAAATATAATACAGAACAATATGGGCTGCAATGAGAATAACTGCACAGGACTGTGGGATCCCATAGGAGAGGGATTTAGTCTAGATGTGGAGGTCAGTGAAGGCCTCTAGGAATAAGCAATATCTAAACAGGAACCCAGGGGACAAAAGAGTTAGCCAACCAAAAGGTTGGGGTGGAAGAGGAAAGCTCCCGGGCAAAGGTTTTGTTCAAATGAAGCACCAAGAAAGAGTATGAACCATTGAGAGACCTGCAAGCAGTGCAGTTGTAGCCTACGGTGAAAGTGGAGGAATTGCAGGGAATAAGTTTAGAAAGCTATCTAGGGACTGGGTGAAAGACCAGATAATCCCTGTCTTCCAGAGTTTGGGTTTTATACAGAAAGTAATGTGTAGCAATTCAGAAGTTTTAACTTGCGGAATCATAGAATCAGACTCTTCCATTATAGAAACTACCTTGGTGGATCTTTCTTGGGGGAGAATAGTTTAAAAAATAAACAGCAAGACCTAGAAGAGGTGGGAACATCTAGGAGACCATTATAGTAATTCAAATGGAAGGGAGGTAGTCATAAACTTGGAAGTCGTATGGCTGGAAAAAGAGGGGGCAGTATTGAGCCATCTGAAGGGGTCTGTATTTATAGAAATGATTGCATTGGTACATGAAAACAAAAAGGGAGAAAATAAAGATTCGGTGTCACCCTTGTCTTGTTGCTATTCCAATGTCATTGCTACTTCTCCCTTGATCATTGAATGACTACTTGAAGCCAAGGACAGGCACATCAGAAATAAGATTTAAAATAAGAGTGCACTGCGATGAAAACCAAGACTTGGGCCAAACTCACTCAAACCAAATGGCCAAATAACTATGAACCCTGGGTACTCTTCCCACATTTCACCTGCCCTTCAGGTCCAGCTCAGATGCCATTCTAGATTCTGCCATTCAGAGCAAATCATTCTCTCAACCTCACAGCTAATAATTTTTAGCATGCACTTTATTTATTTACATTTAATTTGGCTGTTGTGACATGTTTGTATTTCCCATAACACTGAGAGATTCCCTGGGGGCAGAGATCCTGTCTTTATATTCCCTTCCCCACCAGCAAGCCTCTAGCACAGGGACTTGCACATAATAGATGCTCACTATATATTTGCTGAATTGAATTTTTCATGTTCCCTTAGACCACATGTTTCCACAGCTGTTTTCAGAAGCAGATTGTTCCTTGCCTTTTTTTTTTCATCCAGGAGGCTAAAAAGCAGAGGACTAAAATTCGGGACTGTGACAGATGTGATGTTGCCTAAGACAATGGCAGGAGCAGGATAAACTTGTATATAAACTAAGAGATGCCATCCACTCACATAGGATTAATTTTTTACGATCTTGAAAAGTGATGCTACTGGGAAACTTGAACCTGAGTGAAGCAATGAAAGAAAAGGGAGTTACAAATTAGTAGCCAATGATAAAAAAAAATGACATTTATGTCTACCGTATGTTTTCCTTTCAAGAGTCAGGTTTGGTATTTATGTTTCTTCAGTTGTAAGACATCGCTATTAAAATAATGGCTTAGTCTCTGCATATGTGTGTAAATGCACTAAAACACCATATCCACTCAACAGAGAAGATCAAAGAGAGGCAGAACAGCCAAGCATTCTGCTTCTTTTTTAAGTTAACCTATTGCCAACTTTCATAAAAATGTATGTTTTTCTTCACTTTAACCAGTAACTTATAGATCTGGAAAATACTTTGAAAGTAGTCTCAAGCATCTGGTGTTTTCATTTAATGTTCCACAGATTCCTACAGGTTCTAGAGAACGTCCTCATGAGCATCCAGGGGAGAGGTGAGCTGCCTTAGACAGAGAACACTTTGGGATCCCACCTCTGCTTCAACTAGAGTATTTAATTTTCATCTTATGCCTTTGTTCCTTTGGAAAAATAATTTTGGAGCTAAAGAAAACCTAGACCTAAACTTAAACTGACTCATTTATTGATGGCAATATTAAGATTCAGAAAGCATTATGTTAAGAGTCTGTAGCAGAAAAATCAAAATTCGTATCCCAGCGCTACTGCTTTCAGGTGTCTTAGTTTGGGCTGCTATAACAAAATACCATAAACTGCATCGCTTATAAAACAACAGACGTTTATTTCTCACAGTTCTGGAGGATATAGGAAGTTCGAGATCAAGGCACCAGCAGGTTCAGTGTCTGGAGGAGGGCCTGCTCTCTGACTTACAGATGGTGCCTTCTTGCTGTGTCCTCACATGGTAGAGGGGGCAAGGAAGCTCTCTGTGACCTCTGTTACAGTGACACTAATCCCATACTCCCAGCTTCTAAGATCACCTACTAAAGACCTCATTTTCCAAGACCAGCCCATTGATGATTAGGTTTCATTCAATATACGAATTTCCAGGAACACAAGATTCAGACCACAGCATTAATGAGGCAAGGATCAGGTAAGGGTCAGGCAAATGACCCTTAAAATGCTACTTGACTTCTTGGGGCTTTGGGATCTTTATCTGCACAATGGGTTTCTGAAAGGATTAAATGATTGAATGTCAATAAAGCTTTTGTCACAGTGACTGGCGTATGGCAAATGTTCAGCAAATACAGGTATTGGTAGGAGTGGTAGTAACACCAGCAGAACTTTAGCTAGAACCCAGATGTTTCTACTCACCCCCCAATGTTTTTGCCTATGTGCCTCAACAAACCAATCAATAAACACTCTCTGCATTATGATCTATCTAAAGGATAAATAAAGTGAAGGGAGTGATTTCAGGGAAAGTGATACTTTTCATTGTCTTCTCAGTATATGTCTGGACTTTAAAATAAGGAAATAAAGGAGCTTGGCTGCGGTATGTAATGTATGTAACTTCTTATTCTAAGAAGTAAACATTTTTGAGTAATATATAGTTAATTGGGTGGCAGATATAAATGAGTTACTTCGAAAACCTACTAAATTGTACCACCACAGACTATAACAAAGTATGTCTATTAACAAGAGCTTATATTTTGATCTCCAGGAAAATAACTTACAACATTAATAAAATAAAATATGTAAAAAATGATTAAGAAACCAAGGGCTTTTCTTAGTCTTTAATTTAATTTTAAAGTAATTCCTTGTAATTAGTTTATTACCATGCATTCTTCCCACAGCATTACAACATTGCTTCACACTTGGTTAAAATGATTCAGAATTCCTGGGACAGTTTTGATTTGGGAAGAGTAATTTTGAAAGATTTGGAAACCCAAAATTTATGCTTGATTCTCTTTTGGATTACGGGTATGACTTCTGTTCATTTTAACAAGAGGTGCCTAATATTACTTCAAAAGTGGATTTAGCCATATAAGCATAGAGTCCTTTAGCAATTTGATCAAGAAATATTCATTTAACCTCACATTTTTAAGGCTTGGTGGTGTTTTGCATATCATATTTAAAAAGAGACTGTTTTAGAGAAACTACCTTAATACTTTGAGTGAAATAGATATAATTTTTCTTTCTCCTTTTTCCCAAGGGGGGAAAAAGCCCACAAATTTGTTGACTTTGTCTATAGTTAGGAATAAAATTGGTATAATTAGGCTTTAATCATATAATTAAGTTTTAATTGGTATAATTATTTTTACACAAAACTTCACATTTCTTTTATGGGGCACCAAAGTATTTTTTAAGAATGTTGTTTTGAAAGACTCCAATAGGGGTAACACTTGGCATATAAAGTATGTTACCCTCACTAGAAATTTAAGGTGAAGAGTAAAGATGAATGGTTCTGTGGTTTTTTTCCACAAAATCATTTATTTTCTGATATTCGTTTGTCTGTGATCACTAAGAATGATCGAAGTTGCCAAATAAAACTAGGGCCTGTTTCACTGTTAATTCTGACTTCAAATTTTCCTGATGGGTCCTCATTTCCTGGCACAGTCACCTCATCTATAAAATGGAATTATTATCAATTTTGATGATTTTAGGAATTTAATAAAATATTAAGTTTGAAAGTTTGGTCAAAATCAACTATAACAAACATAGATGATTAAATTTTATTTTTGGTGTGAAATTTCATTTATATGTAGAATCTGAAAAAGTCTGACTCATAGAAACAGAGTAGACTGGTGGTGACCAGGGGTTTGGTTCATGAGTGGTGGAAGTGGGAGTTGTTGACCAATTACTCATCTTAAACTTTCAGTTATAAGATGAGTAAGTTCTGGAGATTACAGTTAAGTATTGTACAGTTGAAATCTGCGAAGAGGGTAGGTATTAAGTAGTCTCTCCAACCCGCATCAAATGGTAACTACATAAAGTGATGTATATGTTAATTAGCTTTATTGCAGTAATAATTTCACAATCATGCATATATATCAAACATTATGTTGTATGCCTTAATATTTATAATTTTTATTTCTATATTATACCTCAATAAAGCTGGTAGGACAACAAACAAACAAAACGAACAAACAAAACACCACAAATACTGATCCAAAATCAAGTGCGTGACTGAGCACTGTCCCTGAAGCTTCAGCAGCTGACAAAATAGACAAAGCGCCTTTACCTCTAGCATCAAACGTTCTGGTAGTGTAAGAGAAAATGAATAATATAATAGTAGACAGCCAAGCAGTCTGAGGAAAAAGAAATCAGCGTAAAATGATAAAGGAGTGGCAAACTTGATTTCATGAAATAAAAATTAATTCCAGATGGATTAGCCAATTAAATTTTACAAATGAAAAGCTGTAAAAAAATCTGTAAAATGCTGGCAAATGTTCCTTTGATCTTTGAATGTGCAATGTCTTTATAAATATAAAAGCAGATAAAACCATAAATAAAGAAATCAACATGTTGGACTGTATAAACATTAACAACTTCTCTCCACCAAAGAAATTAATAAAACTAAAATGCAAGTGGAAAAATAGGAAATATTTGCCACTCTTATGAAAATGAGTTAGTATTAAAATATAAAGAACACACCAATCAATGACAAAAATATTCAGTATAACATAAATAACTACTAAACTAACAATAGGACAAAAACTATCTTCCCAGTATTAAAGATATGGCAATTAAAATAACTTCATATACAAAAAAATGTAAAAGTATAAACTACTGGTAAGGCTGCAATTAGATGGACAATTTTATATAAGACAGAAGTGTGAGTCAGTATCTGTGTCTGAAAATGAAAAGTGATGTCTGTGAAGAATTCTAAACAAACTCATTTTCTTTGGCCCAGCAAGACAAGTTAAGTGATACTAATTATGTAAAAAATCACCATGAAACTACTGGGAGAAAGCCCATTAAAATTTAGAAGTATTCATTGCTGGATTAGGATTCTTGGGGATTTTAACTATCTTCTTTATACATTTTTATACTTTTTAATATTTTCTGCCAAGAGCATTTTATTATCAGAAAGAACAATAGGCAATACAGAAAAGGAAATGAATAAGTAGAAGCAAGAATAAAAGAATGTTAGGAAAGTTTTCTTGACTTTTTTTTTTTTGCTTATATATTGAAACCTCAACCATTTTCTTCACAAATCAGAGATATATGTATTATGAAGAGAATGGCAAAATTTCTGAGAAAAAGTAAGACCCAGCCAAGAAATCACACTTTGAAAAGTAATTAACAGTGCAAAGATCACAGCTATCCCCTTGAGCTAATTTTGTGGATTACTCCTGAGTGTAACTATATATCACAGAAGAGCCCTTCTGAAGAAGGGGTAATGAGGGAAATCTCTTTGTAGGATTTCAGCTCTGTTTTTCTCATTGCTTAAACTTGAAGGTTTCTGGAAAGATATTCAAGCAGCTACCCTTGCATTCAGGTTCTAGAGACTTAGACAAATCAGGCATTTGTTAGTACATGTGTTAATGGTGATGATGATTTACTCCTTTTATTTTGGAAAAATCCTATCTGAATTTTCCCATTAGCCTAGGGACACAGCTAATATGTCATGGATATTTTATCAGGTCACTCAGAGGTCTGGATTTCTTGACTGACACTTCATTTAAACAGGTCAGTTAGCAGTAGTAAACAACCTTTTGAATTGGTTCCTCCCAGGGTAAAGGTGTGGCACAAAATGAAAAACTCATTCATATATTCGCTTTCACCACATAAAAGAACATTTTATTATTTGTTTTATTTTAGAATTAACTAGGAATGCTCTGGTAATTAAACACAGAAACACTCTGAATGTGTCCAAGAATAAACACAGCTTTGATATAAAATATTGATTTGGTTTGTGTAGAGCTTAGACTACAATGCAAAAATGAATAAATCCTGTTTCAACCTAATACACGGTCAAAGAAAAACCAGAGCTGGAGGGTAGAGTGGTAAAAACAGATTTTATTTAGGTTTATCACATTACAGGAAAAGATACTTCCGAAGAGAATGAGGCTCAACTCTGAATATAACATGGGCAAGTAGCAATTTATAGCCATGGAGCAGTGAGGGGTCAGTGGATAGAAAGTTAGGAGAAACATCAGAGGTAAGGAGAATTTTGGCAAAACTGAACTAACAGGATTCTTGTTGAAGACAAGTCAGGGTGATCAGACATCATCCGGGGAATAGTAAAGAATGGGAAACCCAATGAGATATCAAGGGGTTATATGATATGGTGGAAGAGAGGGTTCTTGCTAGAACTTAGCAGGGTTTTCACTAAAACTGAATTTTACAAGGAAGTGCACAGATGGGCCTAGGAGAAGGTTTTAGGAGCCTGACTAAAGTTTGGTCAAGCTAAGAATCTTCATACAAACATACTTGAATGAAGGCTTCTAAACAGTTTAGAAAGGTTTTTTTTAAGTATTTCAAGTGTTGTCTTAACACATGATTGTAATGTATTCAATAATGCATATTATGCTATTAAACAATAAAACATTGATAGAAATATATTCTAAAGCACAGAGTATTTTATCATGTTAAAACCTCTATTTGTATTTCAGAACCTTGAGGATCAATGCTGTCCCATGTGTTTGAGATTTTTGAGGCACGTATCTGTGGTACTTGCTTTAGACAGAGTTTTCAGTCAGAGGGAGGCTTTCTGCTACAACCTGACCTCTGGCTAGAAGTCTCAGAGAAGGCCAAGGTTACTGATTTGGATATTATTTGTTTAGAAACCCTTCCATTACTATTTTAACTATTGAAATTGTAATTATGATTGCCTTATAATAGGGAAATTAAGATTTCAGTTACGGAATCTTTTTCAATCAGGGAAAATTAATGGTGAGGAATAAACTGGTCTACCATGAGCAAACCTTTCAAGCTAAGGACTTTGGGTTGAACTTTCCTTTCATCACTGCTATTCTATCTCCCATCATACATTCTTTACATCATTCATATTTCTGATTCAATTTTCCTAATTTTCACACGGTTTATAGCAGTAACTTTTAACATTCTTCTGAAGCATACTGTTCTTAAAGGGCAAGAGTTTTTTTCTGTTTTGTTCATTTCTTTATTCTCAGTACCTGGAATAGTGAGTGCCTGGAACATTGTAGGAGCTGTTAAATTAATGGATAAAGTTTAACATAAACATTGAAATAGGAGATAAATCAACTGTTTTATCCCGATTATCTATAAGGAATTTCTGCCTTCAAGAAAATAAATTGCACAATGTAAAAGCTGTCGATTTTTGTTAGAAAATCAATCAAAATTAATACTCTTAAGTATGATTTTATAAATATATGTAACTTTTCAAATATGACATTCTTAATTACTTAACAAAATAATCTATTTATTGTTATATATTAATATATTAAAAATAATATATTTTACAACTACATGTTTTGGAAAGCAATCTATGCAAAGACTAAAATTAGATTAGAATACTAAACTGTTACAAGGAAATGCTCAATTTTATGAATCCCTCTGCCAGCCATTATTCCCTTCAAATTATGAGAGTTAGATAAAGCCCCTGATAGTTGCTACCCTGCAAACTTAATGTTTCTCTAGCAGCTTGCACACATATTAGACGGTAAATATTTCACTAAGGACGTAGTTTTCTTAGCAGGCTCCAATCAAGTGGCTTCTGCTTTACTAGTTTATCTGTCAGACACATTATGAGAAACCTCTTCCTTGTACAGGAATTTTTCTGTGTTGTTTATATAAGTATCACAGAGCGATGTGCTTGATATAAGTTGTTTCAGTTGGAAAGAACTCTGCCAAAGAAAACAGACAGGCAGCTGTTTGCATAGTGCATAAAAAATTTTTTTGTTAAATATGGCCACACCTGTGTAAACACAAACTTTATTTCCAAGAAGTACACTTGCAGCTGCAAAGACTTCCAGACATAGCCAGAGCAGTTATTTTTATTATACCATGTAATGTATGTAATAGGTTTTGGTCAGTTGTCAATCTCAAAAATCATGTAAGAAGGTTCATTTATTTTAATATAGACATTTTATTGTATTTTTCTAAAAATTTAATATGAAGATTTTATTTCCTATTTATGCTTCATATTGACTTAATTATATAAGTTTAAATTAATCAGAAATAATGTTCTAATCCTGCAAAGCACAGGAGAAAAAGCAGTTTTCCTCATTTATTCATTCACTTACACTTTCTATTATTTTCCCCAAGCAATAGCCAAGATACAGTAATCTTTTTTATTGTACATAATAATTGTACATATTTATATGGTACATGTGGTATTTTGATATATGCATACAGCATATATATCTGTAATGATATTTGATATGAAATGATCAAATTGGGGTAATTGGGATATCCATCAACTCAAATATTGATCATTTCTTTGTGTTGAGAACATTCCAGATCTTCTCTTCTAGTTATTTTTAAGTATACAATAAATTATTGTTCACAATATAAATCTATGCAATGTGTATAACATTCATATAATGGGATTAAAATTAGAATAGAATGGTAAACTTCTACGAAAAAATTTTTAATTTTATGAATCCCTCCACCATTCCTTTCAAATTACTGAAGTAAGATAAAGCCCCTGAGAGCTGCTACCCTGTAAACTAAATGCCCTACTGTGCAGTAGAACACCAGAACTTAGTTCTCCTAATTGTAACTTAGTCCAGTATCTCCTTATACTCTCCTCTTCCCTCTCCTTTTCAGCCTCTGGTAACCACCAATCAACTCTCAATCTCCATGTGATTCATGTTTTTATCTCTCAAATATGAAAGAGAATATGCCATATTTGTCTTTCTTTGCCTGGCTTATTTCACTTAATAGAATGACCTCCAGTTTCATCCATGTTGCTGCAAATGACAGTCTTCATTCTTTTTAACAGCTGAATAATATCCCATTGTGTTTATAAACCACATTTTCTTTATCCAGTCATCCACTGATGGACACATAGGTTGATTCTATATCTTGGTGATATGGTTTGGCTATATCCTCACCCAAATCTCATTTTCAATTCCCACGTGTTATGGGAGGGGCCAATGGGAGGTAATTGAATCATGGGGGCAAGTCTTTCCCATGCTGTTCTCATGATAGTGAGTAAATCTCAGGAGATCTGATGGTTATCACAAAGGAGAGTTTTCCTGCACAACCTCTCTTTTTGCCTGCTGCCATTCATGTAAGGCATGACTTGCTCCTCCTTTCCTTCCACCCTGATTGGGAGGCTTCCCCAGCCACGTGGAACTGTAAGTCCAATTAAACCTCTTTCTTTTGTAAATTGCTCAGTCTTGGGTATGTTTTTATCAGCAGCGTGAGAACAGACTAATACACTTGGAATCAACTATCATGAATACTGCTGTGATAAATATGAGAGTGCAGATATCTCTTTACTATACTGGTTTCCAATCCAGCAGTGGGATTGCTGGGTCATATCATAGTTCTATTTTTAGTTTTTTGAGGTAACTCCATTCTGTTTCCCATACTGATTGTACTAATTTACATTCACACCAACAGTATATGAGAGTTCTCCTTCTCTGTATTCTCACCAGCATCTGTTATTTTTTGTCTTTTTGATGATAGCCATTTTAACTGTGGTGAGATGATATTTCATTGTGGTTTTGATTTGCATTTCCTTGATGATTGGCAATACTGGGCATTTTTTCATATATCTGTTGGCCATTTATATGTTTTTATTTGAGAAATATCTATGCAACTTATTTGCCCTGTGTTTTTATTGTTGTTGTTGTTTGTTTTGTTTTGTTTTGACAGGGTCTGTCTCCATTGCCCAGGCCAGAATGCAGTGGTGCAATCTTGGCTCACTGCAAACTCTGCCTCCCGGGCTCAAATGATCGTCTTGTCTTGGCCTCCCAAAGGCTGGAATTACAGACATGAGCCACCACACTCAGCTATTTGCCCATTTTTAATCAGATAATTTGATTTTGTGTGTGTGCTGTTGTTTGAGTTCCTTGTATATTTCTTACATAATCTTGTTATTAAGCCCTTGTCAGATGGATATTTTGCAAATATTTCCTTGCATTCCATAGTTGTCTTTCGCTCTGTTGATCATAAGAAATACAATAAATTTTACATTACTCATTGATACACATCATATTATTATTTCAAAAAGTCTGTACTTTTATGTCTGGAGGTGACTCTAATTATATGACAAAATTATAACCATGAGAGGGCCCAAAAGAAGTGAGGATGTTTCCTTCACCTACAGCACTGTTGAAGGACTCTCCAGGATTTTCTTAAACTTCACTTACGTGCAGTGAGTTTTGTATCAATATTAAATTATATTGAAATACTAGTAAATAACTCTGATTTTCAAGTTTACCATATTTATTTATTGAACCTAGTTTAAGTACTACCCTCTTAAATGTGTGATTTCATTCTTTGTACATATTTTTCCAAACTTTATGTTGAGGTATAGTTGACAAGTAAAAACTGTATATATTTAAGGTGTACAATGTAATATTTTGATATATATGTATACATTTTGAAATAATTACCAAGTGAATTAACATATCCATCACATCACATAGCTACCACTATTTTTTGTGTGCATGTGTGTGTGTGTGTGGGGTGGGGTGGTGAGAAAACCTAAGATCTATTCTGTTAGCAAATTTCACATATACAATAAGTTATTAACTGTAGTCTTTGCATTACATTCCCAGAATTTATTCATTCTGCATAACTGAAACTTTGTACCCTCTCTGCTTTTATGAATTCAGCTATTTTAGATTTTTACCTATAAGTAAGATCATGCATGAGTCATCTTTCTGAGCCTGGCTTATTTTACTTCACACAATGTCTTCTGGATTCATCTATGTTGAGTGAAATGGCAGAATTCCCTTTGTTTTTTGCAGATGAATATTATTTATCAGATAGGTAGGTAGGTAGATAGATAGATAGATAGAGAAAATATTAAGGGAAGCATTTTGTTCTTCTATATGTGAACCCATAACTTACTAAACAACATTTGTTGAAGAGATTATTCTTTTCTTATTGTTTTTGGCATCCTTGCTGAATTTCAGTTGACTGTAAATGTGTGGACTTATTTCTCAGATCTCTGTTCTGTTCCATTGGTCTTTGTGTCTATTTTTAGGCCAATACCACACAGTTTTGATGTCTGTAGCATTGTAGTATATTTTGAAATCAGAAAGAATGATACTGTCCACTTTGTTCTTCTTGCTCAAGATTGCTTTGGTTTTTTAGGGTTGTTTATGGTTGCATACAAATTTTAAGATAGTTTTTCTATTTTTATTAAAAACGTCAGAGACGTTGATAGAGATTGAATTGAACTTGTAGATAGCTTTTGGTGGTATGGTGATTTAAAAATATGAATTCTTTTCATCAGTGAACACAAGAAATGTTTTCATTCATTTGCATCTTCTTCAACTTCTTTTATTAATGTTTTATAGTTTTCAGTATATAGATCTTTTGCCTCCTTGGTTAAATTTATTCCTAAGTATTTTATTCTTTTTAAGGCTATTGTAAATGGTATTGATTTCTTAATTTCTTCTTCAGATAGTTCATTGTTAGTGTATCAAAATGCAACTGAATTTTGCATGTTAATTTTTGTATCCTGCAATTTTCCTCAATTTTTTAATTGGTTCTAATAATATTTGGTAGAATTTAGGGTTCTCAAAATATAAGACCATGTCATTTGCAAGCAGAGATTATTTTACTTTTCCTTTCTCATTTACGTGCTTTTTATTTATTTATTTTCTAGCTTAATTGCTCTGGCTGAGACTTCCAGTACTATGTTGAATAGATTTGGTGAGAATGGGCATCCTTGTTCTGTTCCTGATTTTAAAGAAAGAGATTGCAGTTTTTCACCATTGAGTATGATGTTAGCTGCCGACTTGTTATATATAGTCTTTTTTATGTTAACGTATATTCTTTCTACATTTAATTTCTTGAAAATAAAATATTTATCACAAAAGGATACTAAGTTTTGTCAGATGCTTTTTTGTGTCTGTTGAAGGGATTATATAATTTTTATCCTTCACTTTGTTATTGTGGTGTATCATATTTGTTGATTTGCATATATTGAACCATTCTTGCATCCTAGGGATGAATTCCACTGAATCATGATGAATAGTCCTTTTAATGTGATGTTGAATTTGATTTGCTAGCATTTTGTTGTAGATTTTTCCATCTATATTTATCAGAGACATTGATCTGTGATTTTCTTTTCTTGTAGTATTCTTGTCTGGATTTGGGATGAGCATTATGCTGGTCTCATAAATTAAACTTGGAAGTGTTCCCTTCTCTTTAATTTTTTGAAAGAGATTGAGAAAAATTTGTGTTAATTTTTCTTTAAATATTTGATAGAATTCACTCGTGATGCCATCTGTTCCTGGGCTTTTCTTTGTTTGGATTATTGATTCAGTCTTCTTACACATTATTGCTTTTTTTCAGATTTTTCTATTACTTTATGACTTAGTATATTCTATGTTTTTAGGAATTTGTCAATTTCTTTTAGGTTATCTAATTTGTTGATGTATAATTGTTCATGGTAATTGCTTATGATCTTTTGTCTTTCTGTTGTAATCAGTTGTGATGTCTCCTCTTGCATTTATAATGTCATTTGAGTCTTTTCTTCTTAGTCTACATAACAGTTTGTTAATTTTGTTTATATTTTCAAAAAACCAAAGTTTAGTTTTGCCAATCTTTTCTACTATTTGTCCAGTCTTTATTTTACATATTTCTGCTTCTATTTTTATTATGTTCTTTCTTCTGCTAATTCTAGGTTTAGTTGTTTTTTTTTAATTTCTTGAAGTATAAAGTTATTCCTTGAAAAATAAAATTGTTTTAGATCTTTCTTTTTTCTTAATGTAGGCATTTATCATTATAAGTTTCCCTCAGAACTGTTTTGCTGCATCCAGGAAGTTTTGGTATGATGTGTTTCCATTTCCTTTTGTCCCAAGGTTTTTAAAGTTTTCCTTTCCTTTTTCTTTTTCTTTTTCCTTTTCCCTTCCCTTCCCTTTTCTTTCTCTTTCTCCACTTTCTCTCTCTCTCTTCCTTTCTTCCTTCCTTCTTTCCTTCTTTCTTTCCTTCCTTCCTTCTTTCCTTCCTTCCTTCCTTCCTTCCTTCCTTCCTTCCTTCCTTCCTTCTTTCTTCTTTGGTAGGAAAGGATTATGTTGTTTAATTTTCATGTATTTGCCAATTTCTCAATTTCCTATATTATTGATATCTACTATAACCATTATATTTGAAAAAGTTACTTGCTATGATATCAACCTTCTTAAATTTCTTAAGACTTTTTTGTGGTCAAATATGTGCTCTATCTTGGAGAATATTCCATGTGTGTTCTTGAGAAGAATGTTTATTATGTTGCTGTTGGATGGAATGTTCTGCATGTGTATGTTAGGTTCACTTTGTCTATACTGTTATTCAAGTTTGCTGTTTCCTTATTTATTGGATGATCTATCCATTGTTGAAAATGAGGTACTGAAGTTTCCTATTATTATTGCATTGCTATTTCTTCTTTCAAGTCTGTTAATATTTCCTTCATATATTTAGGTGCTTTGAAGTTAGGTGCATATATATCTACAACTTTTGTATCCTCTTGATGAATTGATCCCTATATCATTATATAATGACCTTCTTTGTCTCTTGTGACAATTTTTTACTTAACATCCTGTTTTCCTGCTGTCAGGATAGTCATTACTACTCTCTTTTGGTAACCATTTGCATGAAATATATTTTTCCATCCTTTCACTTTCAGCCTATGATTGTCTTGAAAGCTAAACTAAGTCTCTTTAGACAGAATATTTTTGGATTAAAAAATCAATTCAACCACTTGGAAAATTAAATTCATTTACTTAAAATTTATTATTGATAGGCAAGAAAGTACTATTGCCATTTTGTTGTTTTCTGTTTTATAGTTCCTTGTTTCTTGCTTCCTCTCTTGCTGTCTCACTTTTTGATTTGATGATTTAATGGTATAACTTCATTGTTTTCTTTTGTGTATCTACTAGAGGTTTTTGCTTTGTTGTTACCATGAAGCTACAAAAAAATTTTATCATTGTAATAGTCTATGTTTAGTTGATAACAACTTAAATTTAACTGTATACAATAATTGTACACTTTTACTTCTTCCTTTCCCAATACTTTATTATTGATGTTATTATTGTTATCGATGCCTCAATTTATATGTTTGCATATTATGTATTAATAAATATTGTAGCTACAGTTAATTTTAATATTTTTGTCCTGTAGCTTTTATTCTAGTTAAAAGCAATTTATAGCCGGATGCGGTGGCTCTCATCTGTAATCCCAGCCCTTTGGGAGGCCAAGGCAGGTGGATCACCCCAGGTCAGGAGTTCAAGACCAGCCTGGTCAACATGGTGAAACCCTGTCTCTACTAAAAATACAAAAAAATTAGCCAGGCTTGGTGGCAGGTGCCCGTAATCACAGCTATTCAGGAGGCTGAGGCAGGAGAATTGCTTGAACCCTGTGGGTGGAGGTTGCAGTGAGCTGAGATCATGCCATTGCACTCCAGCCTGGGTGACAAGAGCGAGACTCCATCTCAAAAAAAGAAAAGTGATTTATGTACCACTATTGCAGTATTAGAGAATTCTGAACTTGACTATACATTCACCTTGATGAGTTTTATACTTTCATATATTTGTATGTTACTAATTATTGTCTTTTTATTTCAACTTGAACTCCCTTTAGCATTTCTTGTAAATCAGGTCTAGTGGTGATGAATTCTCTTAAACTTTATCTCTCCTTCATTTCTATAGGATGGCTTTTCCTGATATAGTATTCTTGGCAGCTTTTTTCATTCAGTACTTTGAATATATTATTCTACTTTCTCCTGGCTGCAGGGTTTCTGCTGAGAAATCCATTGATAGAATTATGGGGGTTTCCTTGTGTGTGATGAGTTACTTTTGCTGTTATCAAAATTATCTCTTTGTTTTACTTTTGATAATTTGATTATGAGATCCTCAGTCTAATCTTCTTTGGGTTGATTTTATTTGGTGAGTTTCACACTTCTTAAGGCTGGATGATCATATCCCTCCCAATATTTGAAAACTTTTGAGCCATAATTTAAAAATATAATTTTTTGTCCCTTTGTTTTTATTTTCTCCTCCTGGAATGCTCATCATGCATATATTGGTTCACTTGATGAAGTCCCATACATCCAGTAGAACTTCTTCACTCTTTTCTATTATTTTTTCTTTTTGTCCTTTGGGTAATTTCAAATGACTTGTCTTCAAGTTTAAAGATTGCTTCTTCTTGTTTAGTCTGCCTTGAAGTTCTCTATTTCACTTTTCATTTCATTCATTATATTTTACATCTCTAGAATTTCTGTCTACTTCTTTTTTATGTCTTCTACCTTTATGTTAAAGTTCTCATTTTGCTCATTTATCATTTTTCTGATTTTATTGAGCTGTCTATGTTCTCTTTAAGTTTGCTGTTCTTCCTTAAAACAGTTATTTCAAGTTTTTGTCAGTAATTCATAGATCTCTATTTCTTCCTAGCTGGTTACTGGAATATTATTGTGTTCATTTGGTAGTGTCATGTTTCCTTTATTTTACACATTTCTTGAATTCTTGCATTGCTGTTTTCACATTTTAAAAAGCAGTCACCTCCTCAAGTCCTTACTGACTGTGTTCAAGAGAAAAAGACCATCAGAATCCTAGGGACTCTGGAGTTCTTTCAGGCCTTCTCTATGGATGCATCCACTTCACTTCTCTTGTTACCTCATGGACAGTGGTGGGGAAGATATCCTAGTATTATATACCTTCTTTTGATCCTACAAAGCCAGGCCAGGTGATGAGACTCTCTCTATTTTCTTTAGGGCAGTTCCCTGAGGTATTCAAGGTTATACACCTTCTCTCAATCCCACAGAGCTGAGATGGCTGTCTGCTTGTGCTTATGCACAACCTGCAGAAGTTTGTGCACACTCTCTGCAGGTATGTGCACAGGTAGTCAGCTGTGGGGAGGGTGAGGGATGCATGGAGTGCTGGGGGGCACACATGGGCTAGTTGAGGGGTTTGCAGGTGATGTATTTTATGAAGTTTACAAGTAGGCATCTTAGTGGAATAATGGAAGCAGTTAGTAGAAATTGTGGCCTTTGGTTGACTTCTGTGCCTCAATTGCTGTGGGCCTCCAGCTCTTTCCTTTTTTCTGTTTTCCTCAGACTAATCAGCCATTCAGATTGCTTCAGTATTTTGGGTGGGTCAAGAAAGAAGAAAGCCTCTTGTGTAGCTGTGGAAGCCAGACACTCCATGCTCTCATTTTCCCTCATGAAGGAAATCTTAATCCCTGGTGGTCTCTGTTGGCACTGGGCTGTGCTGCCTGAGAGGAGAGGTGACATGGGTAAAGTGAAACTGTTCCTGTTACACTTTTCTTTGCATCTATTCTCGGATTTTTTTTTCTCTAACAGGGTTTTGAGACCTCTCTGCTTGACTCTCAGACTCCTACAAAAGTATTCTTGTCCATGGGCAGGTGTCAAAATTGGTGTGTGTGTGTATGTGTGTGTAAGTTGGGGGGTTATGAATTAGGGTGAAGACTCCTATTCTACCATTTTGCTGACATTACTCTTCCACTTGATTCCTTCATAAAGTTTTAAATTTCCCATAGCCCTGTTTAAAGAAATTAAAATTTAATAGCCCAGATCTTTGTTTTTAAAAAAAAAGAAAAATCTTAAGAAACATATTTATAATAAACTTTTTATATGGAAAGATTACAAGCATTTATACAAACACTACAAACATTCTACAGGAAGTGCCTCCTCTGTCTGAGAGCCCAGAACAGACTTATGACACCTGTGGACAGTCAACGGGTTAATAACCCGCTCCTTTGAGAAATAATTGGCTTCTCCTTACCCCAGTGTAGGTGTGAATTTATGCTTACAGTATATCCATTAGTACCTCAAAAGGGTCCTATAGATTAGCACTTCTTAAAATTTGGTCCAGGCAACCCTTGGAGACTCTGTAAGGTAAGATTGTATTTATAACAATATAAAGATATTATTGGCCCATTTTGCTCATTCTTTTGCAAGTCTACAGTGCAGTTTTCTAAAGATTATATGGTATATAATGACATTTTAAAATAAAACATGTTAATATTTGAAAGTTAGTAAATGAATATTTTCTAAATTACCAATGCTTGACAATATAAAATCATCTATGAGATTAAAAAAAAAATTCTAATCACACAAGGAACCACAAAGTTGTAATGTCACTGGGTACAAAATAATCCATTGATCAGGTTTTATATTCTGCATTACAATTAACCTTTAAGAAATTACCACTTGTTGAGTTTCAGTATAATACTAAAGAAAGATGTCCACAATTTTCTAAAAATTCTATTTAAATGCTTCTCCTGGGGATTCCTGGGCAAGATGGCCAAATAGGAATAGTTCTGGTCTGCAGCTCCCAATGAGACCAATACAGAAGGAAGGTGATTTCTGGATTTTCAAGTGGGGTAGCCAGTTCATCTCACTGGTACTGGTTAGACAGTGGGAGCAGCCTATGGAGGGTGAGCAGAAGCAGGGTGGGGTGTCGCCTCACCCGGGAAGTGCAAGGGATTGGAGAACTCTCTCCCCTAGCCAAGGAAAGCCGTGAGGGACCTTGTCGTGAGGGACAGTGCTATCCAGCCCAGATACTACACTTTTCCCATGGTCTTCGCAACCCACAGACCAGGATATTCCTTCGGGTGCCTACACCACAAGGGCCCTAGTTTTCAAGCACAAAACTGGGTGGCCCTTTGGGCAGACACCGAGCTAGCTGCAGGAATTTTTTTTCATACCCCAGTGGCACCTGGAATGCCAGTGAGACAGAATCGTTCACTCCCCTGGAAAGGGGGCTGAAGCCAGGGAGCCAAGTGGTCTTGCTCAGCGAATCCCACCCCTAGGGAGCCCAGCAAGCCAAGATCCACTGGCTTGGAATTCTCACTGCCAGCACAGCAGTCTGAAGTTGACCTGGGACACTTGAGCTTGGTAGGGGAAGGGGCGTCCACCGTTACTGAGGCTTCAGTAGGTGGTTTTCCCCTCACAGTGTAAACAAAGCTGCCAGGAATTTCAGACTGGGTGGAGCCCACCACAGCACCCAAAGCCACTGGGCAGGGCATCTTTGAAAGAAAGGCAGCAGACCCATTCAGGGGCTTATAGATAAAACTCCCATCTCCCTGGGACAGAGCACCTGGGGGAAGGGGTGGCTGTGGGTGCGGCTTCAGCAGACTTAAATGTTTCTGCCTGCTGGCTCTGAATACACCAGTGGGTCTCCCTGCAAAGTGCTGGAGCTCGGCTAACGGACAGACTGCCTCCTCAAGTGGGTCCCTGACTCCATGCCTCCTGATGGGGAGACACCTCCCAGCAGGGGGCGACAGACACCTCATACAGGAGAGCTCTGGCTGGCATCTGGTGGGTGCCCCTCTGGGACAAAGCTTCCAGAGGAAGGAGCAGGTAGGAATAATTGCTGTTCTGCAGCCACCTCTGGTAATACCCAGGCAAACAGGGTCTGGAGTGGACCTCCAGAAAACTCCAGCACACCTGCAGAAGAGGGGCCTGACAGAAGGAAAACTAACAAACAGAAAGCAATAGCATCAACATCAAGAAAAAGGATGACCATGCAAAAACTCCATCCAAAGGTCACCAACAGCAAAGACCAAAGGTAGACAAATCCATGAGGATGAGGAAAAACCAGCACAAAAAGGCTGAAAATTCTGAAAACTAGAATGTCTCTTCTTCTCCAAGGGATCACAGCTCCTCACCAGCAAGGAAACAAAACTGATCGGAGAATGAGTTTGACAAATTGACAGCAGTAGGCTTCAGAAGGTAGGTAATAACAAACTCCTTTGAGTTAAAGGACCATTTTATAACTCATTGCAAGGAAGCTAAGAACCCTGATAAAAGGTTAGTGGAATTGCTAATAGAATAACCAGTTTAGAGAAGAACATAAATGACCTGATGGAGCTGAAAAACACAGCCCTAGAACTTTGTGAGGCATACACAAGTGTCAATAGCCAAATCAATCAAGTAGAAGAAAAGATATCACAGATTGAAGATCAACTTAATGAAATAAAGCATGAAGACAAGATTAGAGAAAAAAGAATGAAAATAAATGAACAAAGTCTCCAAGAAATATGGTACTATGTGAAAAGACCAAACCTACGTTTGACTGGTGTACCTGAAAGTGATGGGGAGAATGGAACCAAGTTGCAAAACACTCTTCAGGATACTACGCTGGAGAACTTTCCCAACCTAGCAAGGCAGGCCAACATTCAAATTCGGGAAATACAGAGAACACTACAAAGATACTTCTTGAGAAGAGCAACCCCAAGACACATAATTGTTTGATTCACCAAGGTTGAAATGAAGGAAAAAATGCTAAGCGCAGCCAGAGAGAAAGGTAGGGTTACCCACAATGGGAAGCCCATTGGACTAACAGCAGATCTCTCTGCAGAAACCCTACTAGCCAGAAGAGAGTGGGGGCCAATATTCAACATTCTTAAAGAATAGTATTTTCAACTCAGAATTTCATATCCAACCAAACTGTGCTTCATAAGTGAAGGAGAAATAAAATCCTTTACAGACAAGCAAATGCTGAAGGATTTTGCCACCACCAGGCTGCCTTACAAGAGCTCATGAAGAAGCACTAAATATATAAAGGAAAAACTGGTACCAGCCACTGCAAAAACAAACCAAAATATAAAGGCCATTGACACTATGAGGAAACTGCATCAACTAATGGGCAAAATTACCAGCTAGCATCATAATGATGGGTTCAAATTCACACATAACAATATTAACCTTAAATGTAAATGGGCTAAATGCCCCAATTAAAATGCATAGACTGGCAAATTGGATGAAGAGTCAAGATCCATTGGTGTGCTGTATTCAGGAGACCCATTTCACATGCAAAGACACAAATAGGCTCAAAATAAAGGGATGGAGGAATATTTACCAAGCAAATGAACAGCAAAAAAACAACAACCACAACAACAACAACAACCAGACAAACCATGGGTGGCAATCCTAGTCTCTGATATAACAGACTTTAAACCAATGAAGATTAAAAAAGATAAAGAAGGGCATTTCATAATGGTTAAGGGATAAATGCAACAAGAATGGCTAAATATCCTAAATATATATGCACACAATACAGAAGCACCCAGATTCATAAAGCAAGTTCTTAGAGACCTATAAAAAGACTTGGATTCCCACACAGTAATAGTGGGAGACTTTAACACCCCACTGTCAATATTAGACGGACCAACAAGACAGAAAATCAACAAGGATATTCAGTACTTGAACTCAGCTCTGGACCAAGCAGACCTAATAGACATCTACAGAACTCTCCACCCCAAATCAACAGTATATACATTCTTCTCAGCACCACATAGCACTTATTCTAAAATCAACAACATAATTGGAAGCAAAACACTCCTCAGCAAATGTAAAAGAACAGAAATCATAACAAACAGTCTCTCATGGCACAGTGCAATCAAATTAGAACTCAGGGTTAAGAAACTCACTCAAAACCTCACAACTACATGGAAATGGAATCACCTGTTTCTGAATGACTACTGGGTAAATAATGAAATTAAGGCAGAAATAAATAAGTTCTTTGAAGCCAGTGAGAACAAAGACACAAAGTACCAGAATCTCTGGTTCACAGCTAAAACAGTTTTTACTGGGAAATTTATAGCACTAAATGCCCACAGGAGAAAGCAGAAAAAATCTAAACACCCTAACATCACAATTAAGGGAACTTGAGAAGCAAGAGAAAACAAATTCAAAAGCTAGCAGAGGACAAGAAATAACTAAGATCAGAGCAGAACTGAAGGAGACTGAGACAAGATAGAGACCATCCTTGCTAACATGGTGAAACCCCATCTCTACTAAAAATACAAAGAAAATTAGCCAGGTGTGGTGGTGGGTGCCTGTAGTCCCAGCTACTCGGGATGCTGAGGCAGGAGAATGGCGTGAACCTGGGAGGTGGAGCTTGCAGTGAGCTGAGATTGTGCCACTGCACTCCAGCCTGGACAACAGAGTGAGACTCCATCTCATTAAAAAAAAAAAAAAAAATCAATGAATCCAGGAGGTGGTTTTTTGAAAAAATTAATCAAATAGATAGACTGCTAGCCAGACTAATAAAGAAGAAAAGAGAGAAGAATCAAATAGACACAATAAAAATGATAAAGGGCATATCACCACTGATTCCACACACTACCATGAGAGAATACTATAAACACCTCTACGCAAATAAACCAGAAAATCTAGAAGAAATGGATAAATTCCTGGACACATATATCCTCCCAAGACTAAACCAGGAAGAAGTTGAATCCCTGAATAGACCAATAACAAGTTTTGAAATTCAGGTAGTAATTAATAGCCTACCAACCAAAAAAAGCCTAGGACCAGATGGATTCACAGGTGAATTATAGCAGAGGTACAAAGAGGAGTTGGTACCATTCCTTCCTAAACTATTCCAAACAATATAAAAAGAGGGACTCTTTCCTAACTCATTTTATGAGGCCAGCATCATCCTGATACCAAAACCTGGCAGAGACAAACAAAAAAAGAAAATTTCAGGCCAATATGTCTGATGAACATCCATGCAAAAATCCTCAATAAAATGCTGGCAAACTGAATCCAGCAGCACATTAAAAAGCTTATCCACCATGATCAAGTGGGCTTTATCCCTGCGATGCAAGCGTAGTTTGCAAATCAGTAAATGTAATCCATCACATAAACAGAACCAATGACAAACCCACATGATTATCTCAATAGATGCCAAAAAGGCCTTTGATAAAATTCAGCACCTCTTCATGCTAAAAACACTCAATAAACTAAGTATTGATGGAATGTATCTAAAAATAATAAGAGCTATTTATGAAAAACCAACAGCCAATATCATACTGAATGGGCAAAAGCTGGAAGCATTCCCTTTGACAACCAGCACAAGACAAGGATACCCTCCCTCACCACTCCCATTCAACATAATATTGGAAGCTCTGGCCAAGGTAACCAGGCAAGATAAATAAATAAAGCATATTCAAATGGGAAGAGAGGAAGTCAAATTATCTCTGCTTGCAGATGAAATGATTGTATATTTAGAAAACCCCATTGTCTCAGCCCAAATACTTCTTAAGCTGATAAGCAACTTCAGCAAAGCCTCAGGATACAAAATCAATGCAAAAATCACAGGCATTCCTATACACCAACAATAGACAATCACAGAGCCAAATCATGAACAAACTCCCATCCACAATTGCTACAAAGAGAATAAAATACCTAGGAATACAACTTACAAGAGATGTGAAGGTCCTCTTCAAGGAGAACTACAAACCACTGCTCAAGGAAATAAGCGAGGACACAAACAAATGGAAAAACATTGCATGCTCATGGATAGGAAGAAACGGTATTGTGAAAATGGCCATACGCCCAAAGTAATTTATGAATTCAATGCTATTCCCATCAAGCTACCATTGCCTTTCTTCACTGAATTAGAAAAATCTACTTTAAACTTCATATGGAACCAAAAAAGAGCCTGTATAGCCGAGACAATCTTAAGCAAAAAGAACAAACCTGAAGGCATCATGTTACCTGACTTCAAACTATACTACAAGGCTACAGTAACCAAAACAACATGGTGCTGTACAAAAACAGATATATAGACCAATGGAACAGAACAGAGGCCTTAGAAATAACACCGCACATCTACAACCATCAGATCTTTGATAAGCCTGACAAAAACAAGCAATGGGGAAAGAATTCCCTATTTAATAAACTTTGGGAAAACTGGCTAGCCATATGCAGAAAACTGAAACCAGACCCCTTCCTTATACCTTTTACAAAAATTAGCTCAAGGTGGATTAAAGGTTGAAATATAAGACATAAAACCATAAAAACCCTAAAAGGAAATCTAGGCAATACCATTCAGGACATAGACATGGGCAAAGACTTCATGACTAAAACACCAAAAGCAGTTGCAACAAAAGCCAAAATTGACAAGTGGGATCTAACTAAACAAAAGAGCTTCTGCACAGTGAAAGAAACTATCATCAGAGTGTATAGGCAAGCTACAGAATGGGAGAAAATTTTTGCAATCTATCCATCTGACAAAGGGCTAATATCCAGAATCTACAATGAACTTAAACAAATTTACAAGAAAAAAGCAACCCCATCAAAAGGTGGGCGATGGATATGAACAGATACTTTTCAAAATAAGACATTTACATGGCCAACAACCATATGAAAAAAAGCTCATCATCACTGGTCATTACAGAAATGCAAATCAAAACCACAATGAGATACTATCTTATGCCAGTTAGAATGGCCATCATTAAAAAGTCAGGAAACAACAGATGCTGGAGAGAAAGTGGAGGAATAGGAACACTTTTACATGGTTGGTGGCAGTGTAAATTAGCTCAACCATTGTGGAAGAAAGTGTGGCAATTCCTCAGGGATCTAGAACCAAAAATACCATTTGACTGAGCAATCCCATTACTGGGTATATACCCAAAAGATTACAAATCATTCTACTATAAAGACACATGCACATGTATGTTTATTATAGCACTATTCACAATAACAAAGACTTGGAACTGACCCAAAATGCCCATCAATGTTAGACTGGATAAAGAAAATGTGGCACATATACACCAAGGAATACTATGCAGCCATAAAAAAGAATGAGTTCATGTTCTTTGTGGGGACATGGATAAAGCTGGAAACCATCATTCTCAGAAAACTAATACAGGCACAGAAAACCAAACACCGCAAGTTCTCACTCATAAGTGGGAGTTGAACAATGAGAACATATGGACACAGGGAGGGGAACATCACGCACTGGGGCATGTCTGGGGATGGGAGGCAAGGGGAGAGATAGCATTAGGAGAAATACCTAATGTAGATGACGGGTTGGTGGGTGCAGCAAACCACCATGGCACATGTATACCTATGTAACAAACCTGCACTTCCTGCACATGTATTCCAGAACTTAAAGTATAATTAAAAAAAAACTTCTCCCTTTTCCCATATCTGTGTAAGATGAGATTTTCTTCATATACCTCAACTAACTAACATAGCACAACAGATCGAATGCATACACATGTACAGGAATCCAGTTGTCTTGTATTGAGTCAGACATTAATGAAATTGAAAATAATAAAAAGAAGCCATTCTCTGTTAATCTTCCACTTGGTTGTTAAAAAAAATGGTCACTTCAGCATACATTGGATTTATTATTATATTTATTTATTGATTCTTTTACTTTTTTTTTTGTAGAGATGGAGTCTTGCTCTGTTTATCAGATTGGAATAGAGTGGCTATTCAGAGGCATAATCATAACACATTGAATCCTTGAACTCTTGGGCTCAAGTGATTCTCCTGCCTCAGCCTCCCAAATAGCTGGGATTACTATTTCATGACTCCATGCCTGGCTCACTATTCTTTTAAAATAAATTAATAAACACATATTATAAGAATTTAGCAGTAATTATCAATTGATGCATACACATAGGAAAAATCTCATGAGTATTCACCATCATTTTTAAATGTGTAAAAGATTCTTGAGGCCAAAATTTTGAAAACTGCTGCTACAGATCATGTTTTAATGCTCCTAAAAAATATGAAATGAATGTCTTAAAAAAGAAAATACTAAGTTGACTTTCTTAAATGAAAAATAGGTACAGAACCCATGAACACATGCTAAAATTGTAGTTGTCAAGTATGGCCTCTTTTGCATACTCACAGTCCCTTTTCATTTATCATAGGTTTTTCTCTTACAAAATTGTATAAGAGGATGGTCAGAAATCCATGGTTTTATTTACCTTGTTGATGCTCGTGTATTCAGGAGACATAATGGGAGTTAAGCTTTGCACCACCTTGTGTCATAGTACTTTAGATAGGGCTTGAATAAGTAATAATAATAGGGAAGTAATTCTATGGTATAAACATGAATGTTTGGCTTGGCTGGACACAGTGGCCCATGCCTATAATCTCAGCACTTTGGGAGGCTGAGATGGCAGGATTGCTTGAGGCCAGGAATACGAGGCTAGCCTGTGCAACATGGCAAGATCCTGTCTCTATAAATAAATAAATATTAGTCAAGTGTGGTGGTATGCACCCATAGTCTCAGCTCAGATCCTCAGTAGGAGGATTACTTGAGCCCAGGAGCTTGAGGCTGCAGTGTGCCATGATTGTGCCACTGTACTTCAGCCTGGGTGACAGAATGAGACCCTTTCTAAATAATAAATAAACAAATATAAATATGTCTAATACTACCAAAAAAATCTTGGGTAGATAGTACCTAATTCAAATAAACCCCTGCTTAATTAACATTTCATTCAATCCAGCATTCATGGAATGGATCCAAGCTCTGTGTTAAACCCAAAGATCACACCGTGAATTATTCACCCAAGGTTGGAGAGACATTTCCTTTAATCAACAAAGCAGTCAAGAATCCTTTCTATAAAGACAGATAATTTTTAGCTGTACCTAACAAAAGAAATGTATTTTAGTAGGCCTAGAAATTATTATTAAAATTGTAACATGTTTTATATAATTACCCATATATTTCTTTGTAAGGACAATTAACAATCTTGTTCTCAGGCACAGAGTCCAACAAGCCAACTCCTGAGAGGATAATACACGGTCATTCATAAATGATTACTGGTGGAAATGTACTCTTGGCTTTCATGGTCTGGAAGATCATTGCTGGCTCTGGAGTATGCATTCTCTGTAATTTGTTGGCTTCACTTTTCAACTCTAAAGTCACATTTCCCAACAAGGAAGCTGTCTCAGCCTGTGTGGGGGTCAAGTAAAGCCTTTCTATGATGAAAGTATGCTTCATATGTTTAAGTGTTATTATATGCCACATTTTGCCTTGTGATACTCACATTATTTCATATGTTAGTCCTTTCCACACTGGCTATAAGTTTACCAGTTATACCAGGTAGTTTTCACGTTACGTGTTATTCTCTCTGTGATTATCTTTTCTCTTCATTTCCAGATGTTCTTTTCTTTCTTCAATGTCTTCTATTGGTTTTCATTTTTATGAAATTTCTTTTGACTCTGCCAGAATATTTTAGGAACATCCAAAATGGAGTGAATGCATTCTAAGGGCGTGTGCAAGATAATTCATTAAGGTACAGAAAGAAAACAGCAGTGCTATTCTTCAGATTTATTTTTGCTTCATTTAAATATACTTATTGTAATGGTCACAGTATATGAGTTCAGAAGTGCATGTGTGTAATTTATATATGAATATCCATATATGGTGAATTTATCTCAGCATTTATTTTTAATGGCATATACTATCAAAAAATATTTTGGGAAGGGGCTAACATGGCTGACTAGAAACAGCTGCAGTCAGACATACTCACAGAGAAGAATGAAAATGGTGAATAGAATCCTGCACTGGAAACTAAAGTATCCAGGTTCTCTTATTGGGACTGACTGGGTGGTTGGCATGCCCCACAGACAGCAAGGAAAAGTATGGTGGAGCAATGGCCCACCCAGGAGTGGCATGAGGAAAGAAGAGATCTCACTCCCAGCCAAGGGAGGCTGTGAGTGATTGTGCTACCCTGCCTAGGAAATCATGCTTTTTCCACAGATCTGTGCAACATACAGATCCGGAGATCCGCTCTTGAGCCCATGGCACCAAGGCCTTGAGTCCTAAGCACAGAGCTGTGCAGATTCTCAGTGGCCCCTGGGCTGGAGACTGACTAAGACTACCGAGTTCCTTGGGGGAACACATGGCCACCATCACTTTGGCTGCCAGCTGCCTAAGATGACTGAGCTCCCAGGGGGAGGGGTGGCCATCATCACTGCAGCTGCCTGCTGCCTAAGAGGACTGAGCCCCGCCAGGAGGGGTGGCAACCATCACTGCAGCTCCAGCCTGCTGTTTTTGCCCTGCCAATGCCAGGGAGACTGGGTGGATTGGACCCAGGAGGAAATCCTCACAGCGCAGAGCAGAGGCCATAGCAGCTCGTGGTCAGACTGAGTCTTTAGGACAGGCCTGGACCCATCCTTCCTCACTGGGCAGGGATCCCTGTGGGAATTTCAGCACCTCCAGCCTGGGGTTTACAGATAGAACTCTGATCTCCCTAGGACTGAGCCCCTAGGGGGAGCGGTGGCTGTGTCTCTGCAGATCAGTGAACTTAGTTTTTCCCCTGCTGGCTCTGAGGTAACCAGGCAGTCTGCACAAGTGGGATTCCCCCCAGTGCAGTGCACCCCTTCTGCCAAGGGGTAGCAAGAGTCCTTCATTAAACAAGTCCCTGGTCCTGTGCCTCCTGAATTGGTGAGACCCCCCACAGGGGTTGCCAGACACCTTATATAGAAACATTCCCACTGGCATCAGGTTGGTGCCCCTCTGGGATGGAGTGCCCACAGGAAGGAGCAGGCAGCCATCTTTGCTGTTCTGCAAACTCCACTGGTGACACCTCCAGGTGCAGGAGGGACCCAGGCTAATAGGGTCTGGAGTGGACCTCCAGCAACCTGCAGCATCCCTACCGAAGCGGGGCCTGACCATTACAAGAAAAACAAACAAACAGCAACAACAACAGCATCAACAAAAAAGTCCCCACAAAAACCCCATACAAAGGTTAGCAGCCTCAAAGATCAAAACTAAATAAACTAAGGAAGATGAGAAAGAATCAACAAAATATGCTAAAAATTCAAAAAGCACAGAGGCTGTGGCAGCTCATGGCCAGAATTTGGAGAAGAGTGCCCGTTTTCCAAACGATTGCAACACCTCTCCAGGAAGGGCACAGAAATGGGCTGAGGCTGAGATGGCTGAACTGACAGAATTAGGCTTCAGAAGGTAGGTAATAATGAACTTCACTGAGCTAAAGGAGCATGTTCCCACACACTGCAAAGAAGCTAAGAATCATGATAAACTATTAGAGAAGCTGTTAACCAGAATAACCAGTTTAGAAAGGAATATAAATGACCTGATGGAGCTGAAAAACACAACACAAGAATGTCACAATGCAACCACAAGTACTGATAGCTGAAAAGACCAAGTGGAAGAAAGAATTTCAGAGCTTGAAGACTATCTTGCTGAAATAAGAAAGGCAGACAAGATTAGAGAAAAAAGAATGAAAAGGAATGAACAAAACCTCCAAGAACTATGGGATTATGTAAAAAGACCAAACCTACAAATAATCTGGGTACCTGAGACAGACAGGGGCACCATAATGGAGTTGGAAAACATACTTCAGGATATCATCCAGGAGAACTTTCTCAACCTAACAAGACAGATCAACATTCAAATTCAGAAAATCCAGAGACCCTAGTAAGCTATTCCATGAGAAGATCAACCCCAAGACACATAATCATCAGATTCTCCAAGGTCAAAATGAAAAAAAAATTGTTAAGGGAAGCCAGAGAGTAAGGCCTGTTCACCTTCACAGGGAAGCCCATCAGAATAGCAGTTGACCTCTCAACAGAAACCCTACAAGCCAGGAGAAACTGGGGGTCGATATTGAACATTCTTAAAGAAAGGAATTTTTAACCCAGAATCTCATATCTGGCCAAACTAAGCTCATAAATGAAGGAGAAATAAAATCCTTTTCAGAGAAGCAAATACTGACGAAATTCATCACCACCAGAAATGCTTTGCAAGGGCTCCTGAAGGAAGCACTAAATATGAAAAGGAAAAACCATTATTAGCCACTACAAAAACACTCTGAAGTACACAGACCAATGACACTATGAAGCAACTACATCAACAAGTCTGCAAAATAACCAGCTAGCATCATGATGACAGGATCAATTTCACACATAACAGTATTAACCTCAAGTGTAAATGGGCTAAATGTCCCAGTTAAAAGACACAGAATAGCAAGCTGGACAAAGAGTCAAGACCCATCAGTGTGCTATATTCAAGAGACCATCTCACATGCAAAGACACACATAGGCTCAAAATAAAGGGATGGAGGAAAATCTGTCAGCACATGGAAAGCAGAAAAAAGCAGGGGTTGAAATCCTAGTTTCTGACAAAACAGACTTTAAACCAACAAAGAACAAAAAAGACAAGGAAGGGAATTACATGATGATAAAGCATTCAATTCAACAAGAAGAGTTAACTATCCTAAATATATGTGTATCCAATACAAGAGCACCTAGACACCTACAAAGACACTTAGGCTCCCACACAATAATAGTGGGAGACTTTAGCACCCCATTGTCAATATTAGACAGATAATAAAGTCAGAAAATTAACAAAGATATTCAGGACGTGAACTCAGCTCCAGATCAAGAGAACCTGGTAGATATCTGCAGAACTCTCCATGCCAAAACAATAGAATATAGATTATTCTCAGCACCACATGGCACTTACTGTAAAATCGATCACATAATTGGAAGTAATGCACTCCTCAGCAAATTCAAAAGGATGGAAATAATAACGAACAGTCTCTCAGACCACAGCACAATCAAATTAGAATTTGAGACTAAGAAACTCACTCAAAACCACACAACTACATGGACATTGAACAACCTGCTCATGAGTGACGGCTGGGTAAATAATAAAATTAAGGCAGAAATCAAGAAGTTCTTTGAAACCAATGAGGACAAAGAGACAAGGTACAGACTTTCTGGGATACAGCTAATGCAGTGTTATGGGGGAAATTTTTAGCACTCTTAAAGCTAGAAAGATCTCAAAGCTAGAAAGGTTTCAAATCGACATCCGAAAATCACAACTAAAAGAACTACAGAACCAGTAGTAAACAAATCCCAAAGCTAGCAGAAAACAAGAAATAATCACGATGAGAACAGAACTGAATGAGATAGAGACATGAAAAACCCTTCAAAAAATCAACAAATTCAGAAGCTAGTGTTTTGAAAAAATTAATAAAATAGATAGACTGCTAGCTAGACTAAAAGGAATAAAAGAGAGAAGAATCAAATAGACACAATAAAAAATGATAAAGGGCATATCACCACTGACCCCTCAGAAATACAAAAAACCATAAGATTATACTATAAACACCTCTGGCATATAAACTAGAAAATCGGGAAGAAATGGATAAATTCCTGGACACTTACACTCTCCCAAGACTCAACCAGGAAGAAGTTGAATTCCTGAATAGACCAATAACAAGTTCTAAAATTGAGGAAGTAATAAATAGCCCACCATTCAAATAAAGCCCAGGACCAGACAGATTTACAGCTGAATTCTACCACAGGTACAAAGAGGAACTGGGGCCATTTCTTCTGAAACTATTCCAAACAATTGAAAAGGAGGGACTCCTCCCTAACTCAGTTTTTGAGGCCAGCATCATCTTGATACCAAAACCTGGCAGAAATACAACAAAAAAAGAAAACTTCAGGCCAGTATCCCTGATGAACATCGATGCAAAAATCTTCAATAAAATACTGGCAAACGAAATCCAGCCACTCATCAAAAAGCTTATCCACCATGATCAAGTCGGCTTCTTCCCTGGGATGCAAGGCTGGTTCACCATACACATATCAATGAATGCAATTCATCACATAAACAGAAATAAAGACCAAAACTACGTTATTTTCTCAATAGATGCAGAAGAGGCCTTTGATAAAATTTAACATCCCTTCATGTTAAAAACTCTCAATAACCTAGATATTGATAGAACACACCTCAAAATAAGAGCCATTTATGACAAACTCACAGCCAATATCATACTGAATGGGCAAAAGCTGACAGCATTCCCCTTGAAAATTGGCACAAGACAAGGATGCCTTCTCTCACCATTCCTATTCAACATAGTATTAGAAGTTCTGGCCAGGGTAATCAGGCAAGAGGAAGAAATAAAGGATATGCAAATGAAAAGAGAAGAAGTCAAACTGTCTCTGTTTGCAGATAACATATCCTATATCTAGAAAACCCCATCATCTCAGCTCAAAAACTTCTTAAGCTAATAAGCCACTTTAGCAAAGTCTCAGGATACAAAATCAATGTGCAAAAATCACAAGCATTCCTATACACCAACAATAGACAATCAGAGAGCCAAATCATGAATGAACTTCCTTCCATTCGCAATTGTTACAAAGAGAATGAAATACCTAGGAACACAGCTAACAAGGGAAGTGAAGGACCTCTTCAAGGAGAACTACTACTGCTCACAGAAATAAGAGAGGACAGAAATAAATGAAAAAACATTCCATGCTCATGGATAGGAAAAATCAATATTATGAAAATGGCCATACTGCCCAAAGTAATTTATAGATTCCATGCTATTTCCATTAAACTACCATTGATATTCTTCACGGAATTAGAAAAAGCTACTTTAAAACTCATATGAAATCAGAAAAGAGCCCCTATAGCCAGAACAACCCTAAGTAAAAAGAACAAAGCTGGAAGCATCATACTACCCAACTTCAAACTACACCACAAGCCTAAAGTAACCAAAACAGCATGGTACTGGCACAAAAAAAGACACATAGACCAATGGAACAGAATGGTGGTCTCAGAAATAAAACCACACATCTACAACAATCTGATCTTCCACAAAAATGACAAAAATAAGCAATGGGGAAAGAATTCCCTATTTAATAAACAGTGCTGGGAAAACTGGCTAGCCATATGCAGAAAATTGAATCTGGATCCCTTCCTCATACCTTATACAAAAATTAACTCAAGATGGATTAAAGAATTAAATGTAAAACCCAAAACTAAAAAACACTAGAATAAAATCTAGGCAATACCATCAGAACATAGGCACTGGCAAAGATTTTATGATGAATACATCAAAAGCAATTGCAACAAAGGCAAAAATTGACAAATTGAGTCTAATTAAACAAAACAGCTTCTGCACAGCAAACAAAACTATCATCAGAGTGAACAGACAACCTACAGAATGGGAGAAAATTTTTGCAATGTATCCATCTGACAAAGGTCTAATACCTAGAAATTACAAGGAACTTAAACAAATGTACAAGAAAAAAAATTAACAACCTCATTAAAAAGTGGGCAAAAGACACGAACAGACACTGCTCAAAATAAGACATTTATGCGGCCAACAAACATGAAAAAAAGCTCAACAGCACTGATCATTAGAGGAATGCAAATCAAAACCATAATGAGATACCATCTCACACCAGTCAGAATAGTGGTTATTAAAAAGTCAAGAAACAACAGATGCTGTTGTTTCATCTGTCAAGAAACAACAGATGCTGATGGGGCTGTGGAGAAATAGGAGCACTTTTACACTGTCGGTGGGAATGTAAATTAGCTCAACTATTGTGGTAGACAGTGTGGCAATTCCTCAAAGACCTAGAACCAGAAATACTATTTGACCCAGCAAACCCTTTACTGGGTATATACTCCAAGGAATAGAAATCATTCTATTATAAAGATATGCACAGTTATGTTCATTGCAGCACTACTCACAATAGCAAAGACAGGGAATCAACCCAAATGCCCATTGATGATAGACTGGATAAAGAAAATGTGGTATATATATATATATATATATATATATATATATATATATATATACACCATGGAATACTATGCAGCCATAAAAAAGAAAGAGATCATGTCCTTTGCAGGGACATGGTTGGAGCTGAAAGCCATTATCCTCAGCAAACTAATGCATGAACAGAAAACCAAACACCACATGTTCTCACTTATATGTAGGAGCTGAACAATGAGAACACATGGACATAGGGAGGGGAAAACACACACTGGGGCCTGTCGGGTAGAGGGGTTGAGTGGAGGGAGAGCATCAGGAAAAATAGCTAATGCATTCAGGGCTTAATATCTAGGTGACTGGGTTGATAGGTGAAGCAAACCACCATGGCACATGTTTACAAACTTGTAACAAACCTGCACATCCTGCACATGTATCTTCGAACTTAAAATAAAATAAAATAAAAATTAATTTAAAATGTTTGATGTTATTTTTAACGTATTGATTATATTTCATGTGTTTTTGTAAGTCCCCATTCCACGATTTCTTGGAATCCTCACAAACTTCATTTTTATTCTTCCCCAAAACTTGAAACCTTTCACTAACTGAACAAACATTCTAAGTAACTGACATTTCTAATTATATCTTATTCAGTGTAATTTTAGACTCTTTGATGCATTCTTTGTGTTTAAATAGGTATACATGTTTAACTTTAAGATTGGTTGGAATTCTAAGAAGAATTTCAAACATATTAAGTAAAAAGAGATAAAAAATATCCACATTATTACAAGCAGTCACTGGTTTGTCACCTGTGTCATGGTTAGTATCTACTGCTGTCATTTATGTATGGCTTCCAATGACTACCCATCCCTTGGCTTCAGTAATTATGTATAAATTTCTCACCACCATCCCCCACCTGAAACACAAATAAGTTAACAAATCACATATCTAATACTATATTTTCTCCGCTCTGATCATCTTTGTGGCATGGAAAACAAGTACCCTAATATCTGTTCCATTCTGAAGGGTTTAAAAATTTCCAGTATCTTTGGAAGTATAAGTGTGGTTTTTATTAAACATACTTATAATATCAAAGGTTTCGTACTAACCTAGTCCTGACTTATTACAATAAAGTTACATATTAAAATGCAACCTCAAAGATGATTTAACTCAACTCCTGGTTTTACTAAGAGAATATGTTCCTTAAAAGTTTAGGGAATTTGTTAAAGATTGTATATTACCTAATGAAAAAGCTAGAACTTGAACCCAATCCCTGAATTCCTAAAAGAGCCCACTTCCACTAAACTGGATCTGGGATACAGAGCATTTTGAGGATAGTGTTTGACTATTACTTGGATAATATGTTTCATTTTTAGTTTATTGATTTATTCTCTGACTTTCTCAGTTACCTGATATTTTTCTCTCCTACATTGTTAGAGGTTACAAGGTATCTGCTTATCTTACATTATAACATGGACACTTAAAGCCACGTAATCAAAGTGGACCTTAAAATATGTTTGAAGGGATGAATTGAGACACATCATAACCATGAAATTTTCTCATTATAAAACAGATCCAGAATGTTGGGTGTATTTTTGATGCAGGTGAATACTTCTGCTTATTGCAAAAAAAATTGATAAATTTGAGAAGCAGATCTCTTCAACATCACTGTCATTAGTTTACAGCCTAACATAAGCCTGGATGAAGAGAATACTGGAGTGGGACAGAAATTTATAAATGTTCTTTCTTCCAAGGGACATTTACAAACACCCTCATCCCCAAGAGAAACATGTGAATCGTTATTGAATATTACGTATCTATTGATAGACACTTTGCAATACCAAGCTCTAGAATAGTACTAATAGTCGTCTCATTGCTTCTGGAATATAATTGCATTTAATGGGTTCCTAGTCTTCTTTAAAAAATAAAATTTACTGGATATTCAACTTATAGTAAATGCAGTTTCATTTCCTTTTATAGTTTTTAAAAAAAATACAAAGGTGTGTCCCAGAGCTCACATTTCAGAAGTTTGAAATGATTCTTTGTATCTGATTTTTATTGCACTGTGAATGTTACAGCAATTTTGGTTTCAATATATAAACCAGAGCCTGTTTTATGCATAAAATCATGTAGCTCAATCTCCAAATACATTGCCCACCCATGAAGGATAATTAATTTTTTATTGAACAAAGCCCTAAAATATAAAGCATTAGTTGATTATGTGTAACCAAATGATGTTAGCTGTCCAAGGGCAATTATGATAAAATATTAAAGCAATTTTATATGAAGGGAAGGATAAAAATATACAGCCACAAATTTTTTATTCTGTTACTTCAACTTTTTGCACATTAAAAATGTATATAAGAGCTGCTAACTCAATTGCTTGAAATATGAAGTTATTTTTGAGAAACTCCAAGTTTACTGAAATGCATTTGAGACACTAACAGTCACAGAAAGTTGCTACCATTAAGCCTCCTCTAAGCCAAGGCAAGCTCATGATCCTTTTTTTAATAATAAATTTAGAATCCTTATTAGAAAATGTGCCACAGTGTAGCACTCAGAGATAAACTATGTTGCTGTAGTCACTTGAAAAAAAGAAATAAGTCGCTTAATAAAGTCTAAATCTTTCCTTAGGTTAGCTAATAGAAGCACCCGTGGTTATAAAATTAATCAGTCCCTGCTATTACAGCAAATTGGTGAAGATTGTATTGACACATCTTCATCTGCATGTCTCATCAGAGGTGTCCGTGCCATTTAGCTACAAAACCCTGGAGGCTTCCTCTGCACAGAATCTTATAACACTTCAATTAAGGGACACCAAGCTGCCAACCAGACAGCGGCGCATTTATTTCTTGATGACTCCTTAAGTTGTGCCACAGGCCTATCATTAAGAGAATATTTTTCACAGCAGGTTGCAAAGATCCTCGTGCCATTAAAAGGAATTGAAAAACCATCAATTTGTTGTTTCCACCTAACACAGATATTTTTTCATTGCTGGAACAGCCATTAAAAACAATCTGTTTTATTGCATTCTGAAAAGATCACATGAAGTACACATAATGATTTATTTTAAGGATGACATTAGGATTAAAACCACTGTGAAAATGTAGTATTTGAAATAAATATTTAGGAAAACAAAGTCTCAAATATGCTTTTCTTCTTTACACAAAATTATTAGTAGACATTTATTGATACCTTGAATCAGAGTTCGAAAATTCTCCAAAAGAATGCCTTTTAGAAGAGGACGAAGATGAGCTTCTCTGCAGAGGCATGTCTCAGAAGAATGGCATGCCTTGATTTTTTAAGTGGAAATTCTTTGAAAAAGTAGTAAACCAGAACAGCATGCTTTAAAAACATAACAGATCAAATGTTTCTTTGGGACAATTCTGTGGGGATTTTCTTGGGGGGGAATTTTAATGCCAATGCTACATTGTAGAGAATTGACTTAAGCCAACACCCAGTTATTTACTTATATTAAGGAAGCTGCTGACTATGGATAAAACACTCAGTTATTTACTTATATTAAGGAAGCTGCTGGCTATGGGTACCTACCTGATACTGCAGTAGATGTAGTGATTTAAGACTTCTTTTCTCGATATCAACGTTGGTCATTATTTGACAGTCTGGATCAACAACACTTTAAAACAAGGAAGTTTTCTTTTTTTTTTTTTTCTTTTATTTTTATTTTTATTTTTTTTTTTTTTAATTGATCATTCTTGGGTGTTTCTCGTAGAGGGGGATTTGGCAGGGTCATAGGACAATAGTGGAGGGAAGGTCAGCAGATAAACAAGTGAACAAAGGTCTCTGGTTTTCCTAGGCAGAGGACCCTGAGGCCTTCCGCAGTGTTTGTGTCCCTGGGTACTTGAGATTAGGGAGTGGTGATGACACTTAACGAGCATGCTGCCTTCAAGCATCTGTTTAACAAAGCACATCTTGCACCGCCCTTAATCCATTTAACCCTGAGTGGACACAGCACATGTTTCAGAGAGCACAGGGTTGGGGGTAAGGTCACAGATCAACAGGATCCCAAGGCAGAAGAATTTTTCTTAGTACAGAGCAAAATGAAAAGTCTCCCATGTCTACTTCTTTCTACACAGACACGGCAACCATCCGATTTCTCAATCTTTTCCCCACCTTTCCCCCCTTTCTATTCCACAAAACTGCCACTGTCATCATGGCCCGTTCTCAATGAGCCGCTGGGCACACCTCCCAGACGGGGTGGTGGCCGGGCAGAGGGGCTCCTCACTTCCCAGCAGTGGTGGCCGGGCAGAGGCGCCCCTCACCTCCCGGACGGGGCGGCTGGCCGGGCGGGGGGCTGACCCCCCCCCCACCGCCCTCCCGGACGGGGGAGCTGGCCGGGCGGGGGGCTGACCCCCCACCTCCCTCCCGGACGGGGCGGCTGGCCGGGCGGGGGGCTGACCCCCTCACCTCCCTCCCGGACGGGGCGGCTGGCCTGGCGGGGGCTGACCCCCACCTCCCTCCCGGACGGGGTGGCTGCCGGACGGAGACGCTCCTCACTTCCCAGACGGGGTGGCTGCCGGGCGGAGACGCTCCTCACTTCTCAGATGGGGCGGTTGCCAGGCAGAGGGTCTCCTCACTTCTCAGATGGGGCGGCCTGGCAGAGACGCTCCTCACCTCCCAGACGGGGTCGCGGCCGGGCAGAGGCGCTCCTCACATCCCAGACGGGGCGGCAGGGCAGAGGCGCTCCCCACATCTCAGACGATGGGTGGCCGGGCAGAGACGCTCCTCACTTCCTAGATGGGATGGCGGCCGGGCAGAGACGCTCCTCAATTTCCAGACTGGGCAGCCAGGCAGAGGGGCTCCTCACATCCCAGACGATGGGCGGCCAGGCAGAGACGCTCCTCACTTCCCAGACGGGGTGGCGGCCGGGCAGAGGCTGCAATCTCGGCACTTTGGGAGGCCAAGGCAGGCGGCTGGGAGGTAGAGGTTGTAGCGAGCCGAGATCATGCCACTGCACTCCAGCCTGGGCACCATTGAGCACTGAGGGAACGAGACTCCATCTACAATCCCGGCACCTCGGGAGGCCGAGGCTGGCGGATCACTCGCGATTAGGAGCTGGAGACCAGCCTGGCCAACACAGCGAAACCCCGTCTCCACCAAAAAAATACGAAAACCAGTCAGGCGTGGTGGCGCACGCCTGCAATCGCAGGCACTCGGCAGGCTGAGGCAGGAGAATCAGGCAGGGAGATTGCAGTGAGCTGAGATGGCGGCAGTACAGTCCAGCTTCGGCTCAGCATCAGAGGGAGACCGTGGAAATAGAGGGAGACCGTGGGGAGACGGAGAGGGAGAGGGAGACCGTGGGGAGACGGAGAGGGAGAGGGAGAGGGAGAGGGAGAGGGAGAGGGAGAGGGAGAGGAGGAAGTTTTCTGTCAAGGTTTCCTAATGCTACTGCTTAGAAAAATCTTAGATGGTTTTCATGAGTTGTTTTTGACAAAAACCTTCAAAGAAAAAAATAAAGAGTAATTTATACATTCCAATAAGAATAATAAATTACACAGTATTTGGGTTCATCTTCTAAAGAACAACAACAACAAAATAACCTCATAAAGGAGGACTTTATTCTCTTCTTTTCTTTCTGCTTTAAAATGTGATAGTACTCTGATAGTACTAAATTTGGGGTGTCCCATATTAAAGCTGGCTTCCTTGAAACCTACCAGGACCTCCACATAATAAAAAGGACAGGGTGTATGATAACAGTTAGAGTGAACTCTTGATGTGATTCTTCCTTAAGGACTCAAACACTCATGAGTCCTACTGATGTCTGGAATGTTGGCAGCTGACAGCTCAGCTCAGTCCCTTTCAAAGCAATGTTCTGAGTAGGAGAAAGCCTCTGTGGACAAGGTCACTCCTCCTGCCCACATCCAATGGCTGTCTTAATTCCACTTCCCACAGCTCACATCCAGTGGCTGTTCTTTCTGGGGGTGGGGATATACAGGCCCTGTGCCCTACTGCAGAGTGACACAACAACTGTGATAGACCATATCAGCTCTAGAACTCATCTTATGTGACTGTTTGATGGGTTTGTTTTGCATGTGTCACATTTCAAATCTTTCATCCACCCAAACTGACTTCTTTCGCTGTACCACAGGCTTTGACCCCAGGAATATGCCCCAGGAAACTTCCTACGTGTGCAAATATTCATCTCAAATCTTGTCAGCAGAATCAACCTGAAACATTTTTGTCACCTGCTTATTGTATGGGAGTTGATTAGTTAGTCTGAATAGGTTATGAATATCAGAACCAAATTTAGAGAATTATGGATTTATGGGGTCAACTATTTAAAAATAAACAACCCTAGATGTGGAGTACCTGAAACATTCAAAGCTGGTCTTGCTATTAATAAAATATATCTCATGAATTCTCTCCCTTCTCTATCCTCAATGATACCATCTTCATAATCTTTCCTTGTTTTCAGGCTTAAACTTTTTTTTTTCAATTCCAGCTCATTCATTCTCTTTATGGCAACCAGAATTATCTTTCTAAAACTCAGATCTGATTATGTAACTCTGCTTTTAGAAACTTCTAATGCTTACACATTGGTACTGAATAAAAAAAATGGGGATTTAGCCCTTAAAACCCTCATCCTGGCATTTATGTCACTTCACTCTCTGCAGCATCCTCCTTAGTGATCTCAACCCTAGTGACTATGCACAGATACTTTGAATGTTTCACTATTTCTAATATATATCATGTCTTTCTGTGATTCAGTGTGTGCTTTTGAACCTGTTCAGCTCTCATGCCTTTTTTCTACTCCCATATCTTATCGATAAACTTATGTTTATCCTTCAAAAAAACCCTCAAATACCATCTTTGTTATCTGTTCAATTGTTCCTGATTCTCTCACTAAAATAGCAGCTTCAGATTTTATTTTCCAATTTTATTTGTGTTTTGTATTCTTATACCACAAAGCTTATGTTATAATATATCATTCTTATATTTCTATGTATCCCAACAAAGCACTGAATTTTGCAAGGGTAATGGCATGCCGTTTAACTTGTACTCTACTAGCCAGCTGTGCCCATATTAAATACTGAAATAAATGAAAAAACGAGGATGTCTTAATTTTGATATTCCCCAAAGCAGAGCCTAAAACAAGGTCCGGAGTGCACATAGTTTATTTGGGAAATGTATTTGAGAAGCAAGAGTGAGCAAGAGGGAATGGGACAAGGAAGGAAGAAAACACAATAATGGGTTGATCAGTTATTGAAGTGGCCACCACTGAGGCTGGTGGGTAAGAGTCTCTGGGAACTTTACAAGGCCAGTGTAGACAGCACCTCCAAAGTGTCCTTATGCAAGACAGAAAGATGTGAGCATTTATCCACCGACTCCATCACACAGTGTTTGGTGCCCCAGCAGTAGTAACTCCCCGTCATTTCCAGACTGCACCTGCATGGAGAATGGGTGAGATCCTGGGCTTGGAAAAAGTCTTGAGGGGAAAATCTGAGAGAGGAGAATGACAGTGTACATAGAACTGTTCACGGTAGTTGCAGCTGAAACCACAGGTTGACTTAGCAGATATAAGCCAGAGTACAGAATCATTGCAACTGGGGATTATTCACCTAAAGGTCTGGAATCATAAATTTTGAGGGAGCAGTATTGGAACCTAATCAGGAACTCCAATTTAAAGGGTAAATGTAACTAAATACATTTTCTATGCAAGTAAATATATACCAGAGCTTATATTCATGACATTGACTGATTTTCCACAAAGGAGTTTTCTTGGTTTTACTTCTCTTTTTTTCTTTGTTGTCTTCCTTGTAATTTCTTGTATGACTACAGAGCAAGCATGTATTAACTTGACCATTTAAACTCTCTGAGCCTGTATTTTCTCATGTGTGATGAGAGGATAAGAATTTCTCATAGGACCATTTTCCATCTATCTATTTGTTCATTTACTCATTAAACAACTTTCACAACGTTGTGTAAGAGGAATGTATAATTTAGACTGATGCTTCCTCAAGGACCTCATGAAAATGCTAACCATTAAACTAAAACTGGAAGAGTGATCTGGAATTGGCCAGGTGGGAAGTTAGAGTGGTGAGGAGAGCACTATGCATGAAGACTATGTGGCAGAGAAGGAATATAGGGCATATTCTAAAGAAAGTGAAGCTTCTCGGAACAAAGTGAAAGAGGGGAAGATAGTCTGTGCAAAGTGAGGTTGGAGGGGTAAACAGGGATGAGAACGTATAGAGACGCGTGGGTGGGCCCTAGTAGTCAGCATGGGTGGGCGCAATGGGGAGTCTTTGAAAGATTTTAAGCTACAGAGACATGTGATCTGACGTATTTCTAGAAGATTGCTCTTACTACTGTGTGTGGATTGGATGAGTGTTGGACTGTAGGAAGGGTAAACTGTTAGGACCACAGTCCTGTTCAAAGATACTTATTTCATAAAGTGACTCATGTGCCGGCTTTATTTAGTGCCTACATAGAGTTGGTAGAATTTAGCTATGCTCAGTGACTTATTCCTGTAATCCCAGTGCTTTGAAAGGCTGAGGTGGGAAGATTGCTTGATCCAGCCTGGGCAACATAGCAAAACCATATCTCTAGAAATCGATTTAAAAAGTAGTTGGGTTTGGTGGCATGTGTCTATTGTCCTAGCTACTCAGGAGGCTGAGGCAGGAAGATCTCGAGCCCAGGAGTTTAAAGTTACAGTGAGCTATGACTGCAGCACTGTACTGTAGCCAGGGTGACAGAGCAAGACACTGTCTCTAACAACAACAACAACAAAGAATTTGGTCACATTTCCCTTTATCTTCTTATCTTCTCTGCTTTACCTTTCTTCCTTCTGTTCATCACCATGTTCATCAGCATATTTTTCCTTCTATCTTAATAATTTACTCTTAGCATTTCTTAAGGAAACTTCATGAAGACAATGAAATTATATTATTTATAACCAATGGCTCATCACACATCTTCTGTCATGCTCCTAGGTAATTTGTGCTGTGGAGAAAGGGAAGCCACCAAGCCATTCTGCTCAGAATTTGTGGGGAAAGGGGAGGGAATCATGGTCTTCATGGTGTTGTTAGAGGTGAAGGAGCAGAGGGTAGGAATCATTTGGCAGATGAAATTATGTGTAAAGAGAGGTCAAGAGTGTTGGGCAAACTAGAAGAGATGAATTAGATATGGGAGTGATGATTCATGAAAGATATTTCTGCGTATCAGAGCAGCAGGCTAGGAAGTGAACATATTGAGTTCTAAGCAAGCATAATGTAATCCTTTCATGATAGAAAAAGGAAAACAAAGAACTATAGGTAACAAGCAGGATAATATTGGCATATTAAAGTGGAATATCTCTATATATGTATATATAATGTGAATTTTAATTCCCATAAATAATTACAAAGATAATGAATTAGAAATATTTTGAAAGCCCTCCAATAAAAATTGATAATAATGAATGTTTTTCTGGAAAGAAACAGCACAGAAGCAAAGAAAATCCTAGACAGAATATATATAAGAATCACCATCCTATTCCTTCATGGAAAACTCAAATAATATTTTTATTTTTGGATATTAGATATGAGTTTATTGATCAACATGATATCACTTTATGTTTCTATTTTGTTTCTTTCAACTCTATTGAGGTACATTGTCATGCATATGTAAAGTGTGTACTTCCATGATCTTGATATATGTATACCTGTGAAACTATCACCATAATCAAGGTAACATACAATTATATCACCTCCAAAAGCTTACTTGTGCCTTCTTTGTAATTCTTTCCTTCCTCTCTCCTATCCCCAGGCAAGCACTGATATGCTATCTGTCGCTGTACTCTAGTTTGTATTTCCTAGACTTTTATGTGAGTATAATCATACAATATTATTCTGGTTTCTTCTATTCAGTATATTTATCTTGAGATTCACCAAGTTGTTGCATGTGTCATTAGTTAATTTCACTTCATGGCTGAAGAGTAGCACAGAGTTTGAATGTACCACAAGTTGCTCATCAATTCACCTATTAATGAACACTTTGATTGAATCCACATCTTATTTATTACCAACGAAACTGCTATGAACATTGTTGTATAGGTCTTAGTATGGACAAATGCTTTTATTTCTTTTTGGTAAATAGCAATGGAATAGCAAGGTAATACGGTAGGTGCATATTTAAATTCAAGTAAGCTTCCAAAATGTTTCCTAAAATGATTGTACATTCCCACCAAGGGTTTTACCTAAAAATTCCGTAGACTGGCTTTGTCTACGTAAATTCAACAACAGCACACCTGTAAGCTAAGTATTATTTTCCCCATTGCATAGAAGAAAACCTACATTCAGGGATGTCAAGTGAATTAATTTTGTGGTCACAGAGCAAGTGAATGGAAGAGCTGGAATTCAGACCTGGGTCTGACAGCACCCGACTGCGTTCCAGAATGCCTACAAAAAATTTTCATAAATGGAAGAGTGATTCTTGCTTTTAATAAATGTGAGTCTCATCCACTGAGTTGCTAGATCCTGCTTGACTTAAATAAATGAATAGTATGGGAAATTATTTCAGTCCAAGTGAGGGCTCATTGGCCATATAAGGTCAAGGTATAGCTTTATATGATTGACTGGAATTCAAACCCATGACTTGCCATCAGTTGAAGAAGAAACATGTAAGACCCTCCAATAAACCAACAATCTTCTTAATTTAAAAGAGCAGCTCCAATTCAGATGGAGAGCTACTTAAATTAGCAACCATAGCCAAGCTTTGATTGGTTTAATGGCCTTTTAAAAAATTGTTGATTTTTTTCAAGGAACAGATAAATATGCAAGGACTGGAAAGCAAAAAACAAATAAGAAATACAAAACCAGCTGGAGGAGAAAAAAACAGGAGAGGATAAAGCACCTGGAGGAGATTAATGGACACAAGTGCTTTCTCTTTGTTTTCATTTTTAATAAGACAAACGCATTATGTAAAATTTAAAATGTGAGAACTGAACATAGATGTATGAAAAGCAGCCTACAAGAAGCTCTGGTAGTTTTTGATGCTGCTGTTGGCACTGTTGCTTCGAACTACTGACTGGCACTTTGGTTTCTGTAATGGTTTAAATGCAAGCCTCTACAGTAACGTAAGGTAGAGGAGAAACAATGATAAAATTACTGCTTCTATCTTGGGGACATAATATTTTAACACTGAAATTAAAACAAACAGAAGTCTTTAACCCTTTTCTCTTTAGAGAAGAATCAGGTGTAAGAATGCTCTGTATGTAGACGGAGTTAGTAACTGAAGGTCCGAAAAGTCAACATCAGAATCACTATTCCTCCAAACCCTTAATTCTGCTTCGTTTCTATTCCCATCAACTGCGATCTCTCCTAACTAGATTTAGTAAATAAAAATACAGGACACATAGTTAAATTTAATTTTCAGAGAAAATAATATATTTTTTATAGTAGAGAATATCCCATGCTATATTTGGGAGACGTTAGTACTAAAAATTATTCATTGTTTATCTGAAAGTCAAATTTAATTGTGTCCTATATTTTTATTTGGCAATCCTACTGCCAACAGACTTCCCCTCCTCTTCCACTCCGACCGCCCTCATTGCAATGGTAGCAAAATGAAATATCAACATTTATTGAAGTGGAACATCTGAATTTAACAGGAGACATTGAAGATGACAATTATTTGTTTCATTAATAATATTTTGCATGTCTAAAATATAAGGTATCACTCTTGTTAAAATTATAACTAACCACCATTGCATCATCATTGGCACATACTCAGTGTTCAAATTTCCAATTGTTTCACAAACGTAATAATTATTTTACAGTCTCAGGATTCAAATAAGTCTCACATGTTGCAAATGGTGGAAAGTCTATATATTTCCCCTCCAACAACTCTTTTTCTTTCTTATAATGTTTTTATTGAAGAAACCAAGTTGTTTGTACAATAAAGTTTCTTAGTCTGGACTGTGCTAATTGCATTGTATGGTGCAGTTTAACATCTTCCTTTGCCCTCTGAATTTTCTGTAAATTGCTAGTTTTTATGGAGACTTGATACCATTCAGATACAATTTTTTATTTTATTTTTGGTCAGACTGCTTCTTAGGTGGTGCTCCTCCATTTGGAAGAATATAATTCTCATTGCATCTTTCTTTGAAACGCCAACAGCCATTGGTGATCAATGTCTAGATTAATTAATATAGAAGACATTGCAAAGTAATGATACTGTAATGCTGTAATAATAATTCTTCTTCATTATTAGCTGAAGTGCTTCTATAAGAAGAAATATTTCTTTATCTACTACTTAATTATCCATAGTATAGTTTGTACAGAAATAGCAGAATAAATGCTTGATTACTTTAGCTAATATAAATTTGATAAATAAGAACAATATGGAAAACTCATTCTCTTGAATATGAAGACATTTAAAAGTTTAGTAATTAATGCAGTCTGGTATTGATGCAGACATACACGGACAAAGCAATGTAATTGAATAAAGAACCCCACAACAAATATTTATTAAACCTTCACACTTTTTTAATTCACAAACAATGAGTCAGTATGTTATCAGCAACCCAGAAACCTCCCTCTTATTTCTTTTCAGCTACTGCTTTTTCAGAAGATAACCATTATCTGACATCTAAGCATATTCTAATATTGCCCATTTTGTTACTTAAATCACTGAAATCATATGGTATGTACTTTTTTAGTATTGGGCTTTTTAAAATTCAGTATATTTCTGACTTTTTTCATATTGCTGCATGCCATTATAGATCATTTTTGTTCTTATTTCTGTATAATATTCCATCGTGATAAGCATGGTTCTAGCAATGAGGAAAAAGCAGGTAACAAAGGAAAGTCACTGATTTCATGGAGCTTGCATTCTAGTGAATACAATATATGAAAATATATATATATAGGGAAGCAACATAGATGTTTGAGTTGTTGGGCTATTGAAAAACTGCTGCTAGGACAATTTGTTATCCATTTGGAAAACATAAAATTTAGAATAGTACTTTATGCCACATACACAAAAAATTATGCCAAGAAATTTAAAATTTTAAATGTAAAAGGCACAGCTTTAAAACTTTTAGAAGAAATGTCCATTTACTAATTACATTTGTAATTTATTAAACATCTACTTGTACCAAGCAATTTTGTGTGTATAATGGATACATCAGTGAAAATAAAATACAAATATCTTTGCTTTTATGAAGTATACATATAATTCATTAAGACATAATAAAAACATAAACAAGCAAACTTAGAAACAAGTAACAAGTAACAAGTAAACAAGACAACTAGAGCCAATGGGGAGAGGGAAGTAATGAGTGCCTGCAGAGCTGGGGCTAGGGTTGCAATTTTAAGTAGAATGGTGTACTTGTTGGTTTTGCATTACTATGAAAGAAAACCTGAGACTGGATAACTTATCAAGAAAAGAAGCTTATTTGGCTCACAGTTCTGCAGGCTGTACGAGCATGGCACAAACACCTGCTTGGCTTCTGGTGAGGTCTCAGGATGCTTTTACTCACGGCAGAGGGTTAAGTGGGAGCAGGCGTGTCACCTGTTGAGAGCAGGAGTGAGAGAGAGGGGAGAAGGTGCCAACTTTTTTTAAACAACCAGCTCTCTGGTGAACTAATGGAGTGAGAACTCACTCATTACCATGAGGACAGTACCAAGCCATTCATGGGGGATCTGTCTGTGACCCAGAGACTTCCCACTAGACCCCACCTCCTACACTGGGAATCACAATTTCTTATGAAATTTGGAGTGGCACACATCCAAACCATATCAGATGGTCAGGGAATTATAGGAGAAAATTCTCTGTAACCTTAGGATATAGAAAGATCCTGAAATAAGACTTAAAAAACAATTTAAAAACTCCACAAACCATAAAGGGAATGCTTAGTTAATTTGGCTGCATCAGAGTAAATACTTTTATACATCAAAAGACACCAGAAAGAAAGTGAAAAGAAATTGAGAAGATATTTGCAATCTGTAATTCCTCCAAGTATTAGTATCCAGAATAGGCAAAGAATTTTAATGAATGTGGAAGAAAAATACAAACAACCAATAGAAAAAAATAGACGCAGGATATGAATATGCAACTCATAAAAGAGGAAACCCAAACTAAACCTAAGAAAAAATACTCAGTATCGAGGAAAATATAAATTTAATCCATACTGATTTTTTACTTAGTATTCTATTTATCTGTCTATCTTATCAAATTAGTTAAGATTCTAAAAGAAGGATTTCACTGAGATGGGCACAGCCATGAACGGTTGCTGGGATCAGAGAGGTAGCATTATTCTGAATTTGACTGAATGCTTTTGCACCTCCTGTCAGAATAATGGCATGTGCTTTTGGGTTACATTGGATATAAGAACCACGAATCTAGGAAGCAATTGAGTTCTGGCTCTACTTGTCCTTCTGAGCTATGCATAAGATTAAACACACCTCCCTTAATGTCTATAGTAAATGTAGATTTCTTCTTCTATGTATAGAAGTCCTTGAAGATGAAAAAAGGAAGAAAATGGTACTCTCAAGAACCAAGGGCATTTGAAATATACCAAGCCAAGTTGATGTCTAATTACTTAAGAAACATCAATTTATAGATTACCCAGGACCCTTGTTTCTTATTTTCTTTCTTGATGCTCAGTTAATGTTTATTTCAATTCAATACTTATTAAAGTCCATCGAAAGTGATAAAATCCAGTCTTATAAAAATATTGCTCATTAAAACTGCTATAAAAATGAACTGTCCTGTGCATGATGTCAAAATGAACTTTCTAAAATGCACATCTGGTCACTACACTCCCATATACATTCTGTATTCCAACTTTAATAAATTACCTGCCTTTCTGAAAACAGAAGATGCTTTTGCAACTAACACATTCTGTTCTCTCTATTCTAGAAATATTTATGGGGCACCTATGATATGCCAGGCACTGTTATAGTCCCTGGGGTTTCAGCTATAAATAAATAATAAACATCATGTTTTCATGAAACTTCTATTAAAGTGGGAGGACATATACAATAGCATTAAAAATAAATAATATATCAGTGTCCTGAGAACAATTTTTCAAAAAGGATATGGGGATAGAGTGATGGAGCAGGGCTATTTTAGGTAGAATGGTAAAGAAAGACTTGGATTGGAAGAAATTTGAGCAAAGATTTGAGGGAAGTGAGGGAGCCAGCCAAGCAGTTACCAAAAAATGAATGCTCTGTATTTGTCAACAATGTAATCAAAATAGAGGGTTAGTGCTTAAAGTCTAAAAATATGAAGGGCAAGATGCCAGTATCTGAAAACAAATAAAATATTTTAAACATTCTCACTCTGCCAAAGAATATTTTTCTCAGAAGTAAAAAGAAAATGGTATAGCCTTTTGAGATTCACAGACTATCCTCCTAGTGGAATGATCAATTCTGTAAGCGTTGGACCACAGAAATATTTAACTTTTGAAATTCAATATAGATATATCTTATTCTCATAAAATATTTTCTATAGAAAAATAAAAGGGTCTGATATTTAACTTAACGCATGAGCGTGATTCACCTATTTTCTTCTTACCTAAGACAATTCTTTGTATTCTCTTTGTGTGCAGAAGTTGAGTCTTGCTTTTTGTACTGTATTTTCTCTGCTATTCCTTCCTCCAGTTAAGATACTGAGATCTAGAATGAAATTACCAACAAGCACCTGAACACTCCTGCAAAACTCTTTAAACAGGTGAAATATGTGTATCTGGACTTTACTGGGGATATTTAAAATATAAGTAGTAATCTGAGGACTGGTTATCATCATCTTCCATGGGGCTCAACCAGTCTTTTCAATAACTTGCTTTCTCAAGGGTTCATTTCGTGGCTAGAAGTGTAACCATCACTCCAAGCACTGACAGCTGTCGCAATGTCCCCTGTCCAGCTCCCTAAACACATAGTTCATTCTTGAACCACTCTGTCTTTCTTGAATTTGTAAACTATACTGGATGTACTAACACCAAATAACACTCATCCCACCACATCCTTCCTAGTAGGACATATGGGTAAATGAAAGAGAAGGATACAAAAGTAAGTATTTCTGGTCATATGAAAAATATAATTAAAGACAGGGATAAAAGGTATTTTTAAAGACATCTTGATTACAAATTAAACATTTAAAATAGCCATGGAGTACTGGGGAAATAAAATGGCAAATTGGCCATTTGGAGATCTATTCATTTTTTATTCATTCATTAATTTTTCAGTAAGCATTTCTTGAACATTTACTCTACATCTGACATCATGACAAGATCTGGAATTAAACAGTTGTTTCAAAATATAATCACTGTTCTTGAAGAAGTAGTAGGTCATAAACACAAAAATTATTACAATATGATCTTGTGAGTGCTCTGTGAAAGCTTTATGCAATCAATTTAGAAATGTAGGGAGAGAGACCCAAAACCCATTCTGAGTTGGGGAAGACAGGGGGTCAAGCAGAGCTTCCTGGAAACATGTTTTTTCTTTGAATTTGAATAATAATTCTAGTAAATTAGCATTTCAAAGCCCAGAATATTTCCTTTCCATAAACTACATAGATTAACCATTTCCCATTATTTGCACACGCTTATATGCCTTTCCTTTAACTATGTCTTCAGCTACATCAAAACAATTGGGGTCACCACTTTTTCAGACCATTCCCAGAAACGCTCACCCCCTCCCCCTCTCTCTTGGCCAGTGGCTCTTCCAGGAATAAATGACGACACGATCTCAAATATTTCACAATATATGAAACTGTTGGGTCATTCCTGGAAATACTGCATTCAGGGATTGACACATGATCAGAAGCTTGAACCCGTAAAGATTTCATTTGTTCTGCTTGGACCCCTGAAAATTATCTTTCAAAGCAGAGATATCCGTCTCTGGAGGGAACTTGACCAGACTTCCACAGTAAAGAAATATTTCACCTAGTTTGTACGGTACAGTTGATTTCTGCAGTGATTTCCTTTTAAAGAGTAGATGAGCATCAATAAAGGCTCATTCACCCTGAACTTTCAGCAATCGACTCATAAGGAACTTTAATGTAATTTGTTTTTACATAATGCAGGCTCATAAAATGCATCATTTTTCTTACCCAATATATAGTTGGAAGATTTATCATAGAGAGGTTTTATTCAAGGCCAGGCCCTTTAAAAATCTAAACTTTTTAAATTTTTTTCTCATTTTAGCAAAAATCCTCCCGTTAAAGAACTGAAGTGCTTCAAACACCCTAGTAATGGTACAGTAAATTACATTTTCTCATTTGGAACATTGTAATAGATTTCTCTACAGAGTGATTTATCATGCAACAATTAGGAACCCAAGGGAATTAGATGACCATTTTAAATTTTATCAGCTTGTTTCAATAAACTGTTAATGTGACCCTAATGTTTGGGAAGCACTTTAATATAATCAGATTTTGGTTGTTCAATCTACTGACATTAATGGCTACCTCATTAATCATAGCATTCTCGCTGAGACCTTGGAGGCTGAGCCAAGTTCAGTGGACCAATTCTTACAATAATAAAAACAGGCAATTTTCAACAGGGAAATATTCTCACTTTAACTAGAAAATGTGTTTTGTTATTCCTTAGAAATTGACAGGGGTAACTGGAAACTCTAAAAGCTTACAAAATAACAATTAAAAACCCTTTAGGCTTAATTCCCAAATTGGTCAATTAAATCAAGACCTCCTATAATCATTACCTATAATGATTTTCTATTATTTAAAAATAGAGAGCTATACAGCAAGACCTAAAAGAGGCCAGACGACAAACATATAATAAATGTCTGTCTTCCAAGCCTGGGTAGCATCTGATGGTTTGTACAAATCCTGCAGAGCTGAAACATGCCTTCAACTTTCAAAACCCTGTAGTTAATTCCTCAGTGGTCTTTCAGGAGGGATATGGAAAAAAGGTACTACAGGGTGATTTATACGATTTCAGGAAATTGTGTGTAAATGCAGAGGTTGATTTTAGTACTTCTGACTTTTTCCATTTTGATAACAGACACTCTCCCAGTCCCTCAAATATCTACAGAGCTGAAAGAAACAAGATTTTTTGTTTTTAAATCACAGTATCACTATAGTTTCCTGCTTGGGTTACTGCTATAAAACGCCTTTGTATTATATGTCATGGTTGGAAAAAAAAAGGACATAGTACCATCTGTTTCTGGAATCATGGTTTTATTTTATTAATTTTTCTTGTTAAACTTAATAGAATATGATCCTATTGGAAACAGAGTTTATAAAGCCATACAGTTAGCTGGAAACGGAAAAATCAGATGTTTTTAAGTCGGGCTAAAATACTCAGTGCTTGAAAAAAAATTTTCATTTTTGATTTCAAGGAAATCTCATTATTAAGTGTATGGTTTGTATCCTCGGTTTTATATTATCCTTAAAGATTAAGCTATAGAAAATGCAGCTCTTAAAAAAATCAAATATAAAAATTCATAAAAATGTGACCAAACGTATCTTCCCAAAGCAGAAAATTTTGCAAAAATGTAAGATGAATGAATCACTAGTCATACTGTTTTTGGTTCTCAACTTTTTTTTTTTTTTTGAGACGAAGTCTCACTCTTTTGCTGAGGCTGGAGTGCAGTGGTGCAAGCTCGGCTCACTGCAACCTCAGCCTCCCGAGTTCAAGTGATTCTCCTGCCTCAGCCTCCTGAGCCGCTGGGATTACAGGGACGCGACACCAAGCCCGGCTAATTTTTGTGTTTTTAGTAGAGATGGGGTTTCACCATGTTGGCCAGGCTGGTCTCAAACTCCTGACCTCTTGATCCACCCACCTCGGCCTCCCAAAGTGCTGGGATTACAGGCCTGAGCCACTGCACTGGGCCTAGTTCTCAACTTTTTATATACTGAAAATACATTATTTTGAATAAAGACTCTAGGGTAGAGATGTTTAAGAGGAGTATGGGCCCTCTGAATATGTTCTAGTGTAATATATCTTCTCAAGGTGACTGCGAATCCCATTGCACAAAATGGTATCAGTTAATCCATTCACTCACCAAATACTCGCTGAGCACATTCTATCTTATGGTTGCTGTGCATCCTAGATTCTGAGAATAACGTTCAAAATGCATATTCTGTGCATAATAGTACGTTAAGAATTTGAAAGATATGGTATTTGTTTTGTCTGGCATTCAGCAGACACTTACTTCATTACTTCATGCTTGTTAAATGGATACACGTATCCATGAAATAACAAATTTTACAAACTGTGGAAACGTAGCCAGGAATCCTTCAGTTAGTTGAAGGTGTCCTGTTTTAGGACAGATTATTTGTAGAGAGAGGTTTTTCTGTGAAAGCAAAGATCAAGGCTAATTGATTTTCAGATTGATTAAAAGGCAGAAGTGGATTTATTGTCTGCCAGGTTAGAATTGTTAACAGTTCTTCAGAATCAAAGTTTCCCTCCTTGGAAAATGTGGAGACAGTGGAGACATACTGCTCAGATCCTGCCGCGGGGAGCGTGGTTGACTGACAGACCCAGCTGCTCTCCCTGTGGATACACAATCAGCGCTTGTCTGGGGCCAGGCTGCGCCAGTTGGGGCACTGTGCGGGTATTAGCAGGAAACGGGACTCCTCTGAACGGTAATGTTGGCTTGGGGACTCCACTGCCTGGCCCAAACTTTCTTAGGACTGTGCTGCAGTCTTTGTGCCTAAGCCTCCTTTCTTCCCCCTCTCCTTTCGGAGATGTCAGACGCACCGTGGTCTGAAGCTCTCCCTGCCTACTCCTGCTTCCCCACTTTTATTCTCCACAGGAGTTTCCCTCAGTAAATCTCTCAAACCTTGACTCCTACCTTAGCTTCTACTTCTCAGAGGACATGAATATTTGTTTGGTAATCCTTGCAAACTCTCTTAACATATGTGGTAGAAAAATTGGCTCTTATTTTGTTTGAAAGAGCATTAGCTGCTATTGGAAGGCCATAATCATAATCATTGTTCTCTCTTCAAACATGTAGAATAAAAACTCTGCCATTCACCTTATACTTTTTAAATCAAAGTTTTAGTAGTATGAAACATATTTTTTTTCATGAGAAGCAATTTGTTACTATTATAGACCAGCATTGACAGCTATTAGGCAAAAGGGGAATACCATTGTATGTTACATCACAAGCTTTGCCTCTGTTGCTTGGATTCCAGTTAGGCATGGATAATATGCAGAGATGACATGTTCCAAAACCATGTACACTTGCCAGTTGATGGCCCCAGGCTATGCCATAAATACATTATCTTGAAGAATACTGTGAATAGATGAAAGTTTATTGCTACTAAACACTATCTTATCTTCTGCTAATGCTTTATGACATAGACTTTTTATTGGACAGTCCTTTTCTGGTTATTCCTCTGGCTTATTTTGTCCAGTAATTTTCAGACCTTTTTTTCTTTAAGCATGAAATCCCTCCCACCCCCCAAACAGATGCATGTCTATTAAGCGAATAAAAGTATTAGTATTTAAGGGCCCAGAGATTCAACCTGTTGATCTCACTTCTCCCCAGGATGACTAGAATTCTACCTTGAATTTTGAAAACGACCACTTAGATATTGCAATCTTTTGGATCACAAACTAAATTTATACCCCCACATGGTGTAGGAAGGTATTTACGGACCTTGTTCCATATGGTGTCTTTTTTTTCAACTGTGACAGAACTTTCTATGAATGACAGTGGAAATTACATATCTGAAGTGGGTGAAAAATTAATCTTAGCTGGCACCAAAATTTTTCTTGGGAGACAATTGTCTTTGTTTAGAAAAATACTTTGGTAAGTGTTTTAAAGAGTGGCATCTGAGACCCTCAAACCATGGGCTTTAAAGACAAATTTAAAAGTGATATCTGCTCTGCAAAAGAAATTTATGAGAAATAGAGGCTTGGAAAAGAAAAAAGGAGAAAGATTGGGGAGAAGAAGGGGCAGGCAAGAGTCAGGCAGGACAGTGATAGAAGCCCGAGTTATATTTGTAAAAACCAAACTGTGGGTTATTCTCCATCATAATTTCAATTCTATATTACAACCACATATAATTTTAATTATTATATATCCACTTTATGGAGCATTAGCTGTGTGCTAAGATGTTTTGTCTGATTTTTTTCTAACCCAGATAATAATTCCATAATGTACAATATATTCCCACTTTACTGGTAAGGAAAAGTAAGACCAGGGCTCTCCATTTATCTATTTATTCCCTGAGACACGTATTTATTGAGATCTTACTAACTGGAACATACCCTGTTAGATGCTGTGGGTATGTACAGTAGAGAGCAAAGGAGGTGATGTTCCTGGTCTCAGAAAGTTTACATATATACACTTTATGCTGGCGATGAAAGATTCAATTCTAAGTATATATATTTTTAAAGAAAACACACTCTAATAAGTCAAACTATTCAAACAAGGCCACTCTTTAAGAAGTTAGAAATCTTGGCTTTTCTGCTTCTTCATGTCTTATAATAGACCTGAGGTGGGTGGATAACCTACTGGAACTGCACACCTTACCATGTGTTATTGATTACTTCAGGCACCTTTCATAGCTACTCACAGGACTTGGAACAGTGCTTTGAATTTAAAATGTCTTCTTCTGTGCTTGATGTGCCTAATTATGTCAGCACCAGCTGGAAGGAGATATTGACAAGACAGTACAACACGGCTATGTTCCCTACATAATTCAAATTCAGTGGCAGGCTTCCACCTCCGTCTCCCCCTTCCACCTCCATCAGCATGAAGTGGAGCGAGTCTACTGCTCCATATTAAATGCACAAAAAGAAAGGGCACACAAAGACAGGTTTCACTATGCTTTCAATTCTTCAATATCAAAGGTCTTTAATATCAAACTTTTCAGGAATAATTAAATTACTTAATAGCCACAGGAAGTACACAAAAAGTTAGGTTTCAAATGATGTTCTAATGCCTTATTAATTTGTACTTCTGATAACAAATTTTGATCACTTTCCTTCCCCTTCCTGGGGTAAAGCAGTGAAATATCCCATCTGCTTTTATCATCTTTGGAGCACAATGGCCTGATAAGTCTAACAGTGACTTGAGAAGTGTGCATTCAATGGAGGCACATAGCTGCTGCAATCAGCATATAAGTAAATAAATTATTTATAGTCCTTTAAAAGGTGGCTGTATATGCTTTATTTTTTTACTTGTATAAGTTACCAAAAATTTATTGGATAGCTATTATATTCCTGATGCTGGGTACACAAGATACAGGAAACAGTTCTACTCCTCTAGAATTTACAAGCTAGTGAGGAACACCGATGAATAGGCTAAGGCGTTAACTGAATAGATAGAAATTCACAGAATGCTATGAGAGCATTTGGGAGGACAATTTAGTCTTATAATGGGTTTTCATTTTTTTGTTTAAAACTGTTTCTGAATAAAATGTTTATGTGCACTCAATGTAGCAAAATAAAAACACCAGCTATTTAAATAGAATAATATCTAGAGAATTAATTATATGAACAAAATTCAACTGTGGCTGCTTGATACAATTTGTCAAAGCTATAAATTTTTAATAACTGAAAAGACTAATCATGTTTTCTATCTATAAGTTAAAGCACAATATTATTTTTAGAAATTATATATCCTCAAACTTCTGCAATGTAAACAATGGAAAAAAGAATATTATGTCAAAATAAATCTATAATAATAATTATAATATCACTATATGAAATTAGAATAAAGTAACTAATAGGTTGTATTCATATAAGTGCTTAAAATGTGAACTATTAATGGAAATATACTCAGAAGATCCCCCCCAACCCCTGGATAGATTAGGCATGGAAAGCAAACATAAAAAAATCTTGCTTTAGAATGTACAAGATTGCCCACTATTAAAATACTGCAAACGTAACTTTTTTTAATTACTGAACATAGGTACACCAATAAACAACATTAATGTGGGACATATTTTAACTTCAAAAGTTAATGTTTGTGTTATTTTGGTTTTTCTATAGGGTCTTTTGTTTGCAAAGAACAGAAATTCATTCACGTCACCTCATGTAGGCAATGCTGTAAAATAAAGAAAACAGGAATCTTAGCCAATCTTCTAGGAAAGCCAGAAAGAAAGAAAAAAATGGTTTTAAACAAGAATAGGAATCACTGAACAGCCAGGTCTTGTAGCGACTGGAGTGCAGCCTTGTTGAGCCAGTGTGACTGCCTATTTACCTCATTGCTTCCTTGGCTCCCCATAGCCCATCCCTCCTCAGTCAGCATCTGATTTCAACCTGTTTAGGCTTCCTTTGGTGTGTATTCACATCTGCTTCCACCACCAGCCAGCTACCTTTCTGTGTGTAGCTATCTAGTCCCACCCAGGAGGATGCTCTGATTAGTTCAGAGGTCAGTGTCATTGGGAGGTAAGACTCTTATGTCATGCAATCTCAGAAGTTTCTGGCTTCCCTGCAGTTGGGTGCCCACCCCAATTAAATTGCTGTGGTCACAATGGCAGGGTTAGGTGGTAGAGAACACAGCTACCTGTGACTGAGCTGCTGCCTGGAGTCCTCTCTACAGGAAGTTTGTTAAATTACGAATATTTACTTCTGACACTTACTTCCAGAGTGTGACACAGCTTCTTTGGCATATGCTGACACTAACACTCTTTGTAATAAAATGGTGCATTATTCTCAAAAGGCTTCAGTTTTCTTGGGAAACATGAGGAACATGTAGACAAAATTGAAACCAGAACAAGTATTTTATCTTTTGCACATCCCTTATTCAAAAATAACGGTAGTCAATATCTGGCATTATGTAAAGTGGATGACATAAAAATAGGACTTTAGGCTCTAGGGATTTTCCAGGTGAAGCTTTATTAACACAGGATAAAACAATTCGTTGCCTCACAGAATTAAGTAAAAGAGGAGGTCAAGAACCATGCACTTAAATCAGTTCCATGTTTTCATTGTTACTCAAGTGTTTTGATGTTACATGCCTATTACTTAGGTTGGACATGCTATAAATATGCAAACTTATATGTTATTATTAATAATTTAAAGTGTCAGTAACCCATTTGCTAGCATTTATTGACTGCTTACTGTGTGTTACATATGCTGCTGAGTTACTTTGACACATTAACTTATCTAATGTCCAATGAGTTAGTGACTATTAACTAGCTTCACTTACAGACAAGGAAACTAAGTCATAGATTAAATTACTTGTTCAAGGTCAACTCACAGCTGGTAATAGTTGGGGTCAGGATTTTGTTATAGGTACCCTGAGTCCAGAGCCTATTCTCCTCATCACTGTGTCATACTGTCTCCTCGAGAGAACTGTTAAAGAACTAGTTTATTCCAACTTTGGGGGAAAATTTTGCTTCTCTGTGTGATCTTCCTGAGAAAATAATTTAAATTTTTTTTTTCTAAATATCTAGACAACCAAAAGTTCAAGAAGAAGACATGCTAACAAAAAGCAGGAAACAGTTATGGAAGAGGATCCTGAAGATAGATTTTTAGGAAAATTGGGTTGGTCTGCCAATATCATTACTCTTGTTCTCATCCTCTAGACACTTATCCATGAATTACACCATGCAAAGTACTTCCCCTCCATTTTTCTTACTGTCCAAGAGTCCACTAGCTTTGTTTTTAAAACACAATTTTGTATAAATGTCACTGCTTTTGTCTCCTTTGGTCTTAGTACTATAGAATATTGTGTTCCCCAATTTTCCTAAAAGAATCTGGCTCTAGCTAAATTTATGCTAGCCCTATTCTGAGTCATAGGGATCAGAGAAAGTAGGCATGAGCAAGGCTGTGCATGTATGTGTGTGTGTCTGTGTGTGTTTGTGTGTGTCTATGCAGTGTTGGGGCTCCCTGGAAACTAGCTATTTAAATGCAATACCAGTGAGGCTTGATTCAAGCAACCTTAACCTTACTTAGAAGTATTTTATGCAACTCATTTCACTATGAAAACCTCCCTTTTTTGTGTTTGTGTTAAAAGAACTCTCTTTAATGGCCAGATTATTTCTCCCATCACTGCTAGAATATTGGCTAATGGAAGACAGTCTTCAGCAAAACGAAATGACACACAGACTGGACCCTGGGTACTTGGACAGTATTTTTGTTCCAACACCTATCTGAAACGATACGCTCTGAGGGGCGACATCTTTCTTCCACTCATGGTTTCCATGACGAGGGATTTTCCGTAAGCACATGCCAAGAAACAGAATTGGAAGGGTGCAAAAATAGCACCAGAGTTGGTGCCAAATTTTTTTCTTCACCAATTTTTATTTTGCCTTCTTCTCTTTCCTTTCCCAAATGATCTTTAACCTAGGAAATTGACCTCAGGCTCATAAATTCAGTAGTGGTGTGGCTTCAAAATTTTTTTGTCAGCTCTTCTTAGAACCTAACCCGTCTACAAGGTATTCACCTGCCTTCAAAATCTGTACCTAACCTACCTTTACTGCTGAGATATGTCCAGCGTTATATGCTCTTTGTGTAGAAATATTTCAAACTTAGAGAAAAATGCGGCAAATATTATAATGCCCATGTATCTTTCATCAAAAAATAATGAGGGTTAAGATTCCTTAACATTTTCTTCAGGTCATTTAAAAAATATTTTCAATTGACAATAATTTTATGTATTTGTGGGGTCCAATATGATGTTTTAATGCATGTATACATTGTGGAATGACTGAATCAACTAATTAGCATAGCCATCACCTCACATTCTTATCATTTTTTTTGTGGTGAGAACATTAACAATCTACTCCCAGCAGTTTTGGAAGATGCAATACATTATTACTAACTATAGTCTCCATGCTGTACAATAGGTCTCAAAAACTTACTGTTCCAGTCAGACTGAAACTTTGTACCTTTTGACCAACATCTTCCCATTCCCCACCACTTCACCCCCAGCCCTGGTAACCACCAGTCTTCTCTCTATTTCTATGCGTTCAGCCTGTTTAGATTCCACATATATGTGACATCATGCAGTATTTCTGTGCTTGACTTATTTCTTTTAACATAACGTCCTCCAGGTTCATACATGTTGCCACACGTGATGGAATTTTCTTCTTTTTAAAGGCTGAATAGTATTCCTTTGTGCACATATACACCACATTTTCTTTATTCGTAAAAGATATGGTCTTCATGCATTCAACAAATATTTTTGAGCACCTACTGTGAGCCAGCCAATCTTGTTGGTGTTTGAGACATACGAGTGAGCAAATGAGATTCCAATCGTTGTTCTTGGAAGCTTGCATGCTTTGTAAGTTATTTTTAAACCCTTTAGAGGAGAAACAGTTACTGCCCACTCCTGCTGTTTCCTCCTATATAAAGGTGACTTCCGACACTCCGGCAATTCTGGCCTCTCCAGCCTCTTGCCTTTCTTCTGAGGGGAGCCTTTTATCCTGCTGGTGAGTTTGGGAAAAGGAATTGGATCGGGGCATGCAGCGTCTCCTTATCTGCAAACAGGCCTGCCGGTGGGAATCATGGTACTGTTCCCCAGCAACACAACATTAATTTCAGAGGGAGATGCTCTGCCACTACAGGAGTGGGTCTGTGTAAGTCTGGAATTGTGCATGGCAGTGTGGACAACTGTGTCTGTTTTCAATATCAAGAAGCCTATTTTGCTACAGTCCTAAGTCACATCCCTCAGCCTAGACCTGATCATAATAGAGGTGATATTTTCATCTCCAGATGCTATTTTGCTTGTTCGTTTATTTCTTACTTAGTCCTGAAGTGACTGAACGAGAGCGTCATTTGTTGGACTTATCTAAACATGCGCAGTCTTATTTATCTTCCACTCTCCCCAGAGCAATAGCTTCCTGATATTGGTATATATTCTTCTGGTCCATCTCTCTCTCTCTCTCTCTCTCTCTCTCTCTCTCTCTCTCTCTCTCTCTCTCTCTCTCCAAGTATATATATTGCTACATTTGTGTTTAACTATTAAAAATCAGTATTATTGAATGTACTTTTAAACTTTACATAAATGTTTCATGTGACATATATTATACTGTAGCTTGTTTTTTCCGTTGAATTTTAAGTTACTAAGTTCTATCCATACTAATATGTGTATAGCTAGTTTGTTTAAAATTGTTGTATATTACATCATATGCATATGCCATACATTTTTTAATTCATCCCTTCTGTGCTAGCACTTCTTTTGCTAGCCTTACATCTTTGCTTTAGCTGTACCCCACCTCCTGATGTGCTACCTACCCAGCTCTGAGGCTTCGCACCTGCTGCTGCCTCTGTCGGGAATACCTCCCTCCACTCTCCTCATCACCCATCCAGTGCTCACTGCCTGGATGACTGCAATATTTAGGACTTAGCTCAGACATTTCTATCTTCATAAAGCCTTCTCTCATCTTCATCATGCCTTGCCTTTCCCAAATTGTTATAAGGATCCACATTTTAAAAATAAGAACTGAATTTAAAAAGGTTTTATACATTTGAGTTCTCTACAAAAGTGAAATATTTGTGGAACAAACTTTGTAAATTTTTTGCATTAAATCTTAATAAAATTAAAAGTAAAAGTAAACTTTGCTCCATTGTTGATAGAACTGTTTCTCCAAGACTAGATTAGAAAACTAGTTGTTAATGAAGCCAAATGTGCATCTTATATTCCCTTTTGTACACATTGCACTGAATAATTTCTGATTAGATTAGAAAATAACAACTGATTTTAAAACCTAAAGATAATGCCAGAGGACACATGGAAACTCAGAAAATTTGTCTTTTTTGAATTACCAAGTGGGAAACATATTTTTAAAAATCAGTAGGATTGTTTTGTAAAATGTACTTTGTTCATTTATTGTGATGACACTACTCTAAATTATTTATGATCAGACTTTATACTATATTTTATACTCTGAGTAATGTGAGTCCTTACTGAAGCTCTTTGCAAGTAAATCTTTGCTAAGAAGCATTCAAGATCATCAGTTTTCAATGAGGATTTCAAGAATTAGTAAAGAATTAGGATGTTTTTAACATACATTATATTTATTAAGTTCAGTTCTGAAGAATATAAATCTCTATGCATAGCTCAGGAAAGTTCTGTTTTATTTATTTTTTTACTTAAAAAAAGGTGTTTTTATTTTCTGATGCACAAGGTGTTTTGTGGAGAACACTCATTAGGGTTAATGGGAGTAAGATGCAAAAATCTCTCCTGCTTTGTGAAAAGTACAGGCCCCATAATGCTTCCAGGAGGAATACTCTGAAACCTTCATAAAACATTTATATCAGTTGAATAGAAAAAAAAGAAAAAGAAAAACCTCCTTTAATAAAACATTTGCCCCTATTATGCTATGCTGCTTTAGAATTTTATTTATTCAAGAATCATGAGCAATAAATTTTCATTCCATGTACATTTTGCACAGAATGAGAGCATGCCAATACCCTTATGTTATAAAGAAAGATAGCATCCTGAACAGCAAAAGCGAGGATTTGTTAGAAAGTTGCATCTTTCTCCATCGTTTTGGGTTTGTGTGTGTGTGTCATTCCTAGTTAGAATTCAAGCTATACACCTTAAATAAATAAGATAAAGAAGCAAAAAAAAAAAAAAGCTTATGCTTTTTTAACTTTCTGAGTGAGAAGTTAGCAAAACTATAAAAGTAAAATTTATAATGGGGAAAAGGGTTAATTATTTAAAAAAATAAAACATGCTTGCAGAATAACCACCACTAAATTTGCTTTGTAGTATTATATTACTTTGGTTATATGTTAAATCTGACAATTTAGCTGGAATTTTAGAAATACACTAGAATTATGTAAAGAAATTTTAAAATAATGTAAAGTACTTTTTGAAAAGCATCTAAGTAAAACAAATTTTTAATTACAAAAGGAAAACTATCTTTATATATTAGTTCATATACCTATAAATAGATAATTTTATAAATTTTAATAAAATGTTGTTATTGCCGGATACATTTTAAAAAAGATTCTGATATTTTGATAGTCTTTAAAAGGTCAAGCAGTTACAGTTAATGTTTATATATCTTGAATAAAATAGCTCACTCTTCTTGAGGAAATGTTAAAATGTTGAACATCTATGTTCTCCACAAGTAAATAACACATTATATGGCTACATTATGACCAGATTATATCTATTAGTTACTGCTGTGCACCATGTAAATCTCTAGATTCCCCTGGGAAATGAGAAAATCATTTCAGACTTCAATAACTAACAATCAGTTATTGCTCTGGGCAATAATAAAGCTGAATGCAATTACCTAAAGTGAAGTTAGCAGTGTAACAAATGAAATACAGATTTTTTCCCCTCTCTTAAAATAAATGTAGCATCTCCTCCTCCCACACTACTCTGTATTATAATGGGTTCTTCCAAAGAGTGTATTGTCTAAACACTCTATTTGCAATTTGAAATATATGTGATTAAAAATTATAAAGTAACTTTTTATGATGTCATTTGGTTGGTGCTCTAAACAGCAATAACAACACAACAACTCAGAACAACCACAAACCAAAAAACCAAAACCAGTAAGACTCACAAAACTGTAAAACATAAACATCTATTTAATTTAAAATATTTACTAGACAGTTTTGTTCTTCAAAAATGCTAAATTTTCTCAATGCAAATGTTAAGACTTTTTTCCTCATAGTTGTTCATATAGCAAAATGGCCAGAATGAAAAATGATAAAATCATATTCAGAGTTAGTAATAACGGGCTTGCATATATATCATTACTCTACATTATTATTAAAGTATTTATTGAAAGGAATATTAAAGAGAAAGTAGTGGGTCACAGTAATGCCTAATTTATAAATTTTACTCTTAGAATTTCTTTTTTTCTGTAACATTGTTTATTCGAAATTGATTTCTAATTCATTATTTGCATATATTTCCTATTTGTCACAACAGAATGCAATTATACTGAAACAGATTTCCCAGTAGAAAGTTAATCCTGCTGTTTCACATTTTGTTTAACCATTTTTTATGTATAATTGTAGCCTGTGTTTTGGCATAGACTACTCGTGAAACAGTAGATTTTCTGGCAATTTGGCTGTTAGCATACATTTGATGGTGAATATAGCCTTTCATTAGCTCTGTATTCAAATAGCACTGCCAAAGTATTTTTCATGTTCTTTACTCATTTCTGTTTATAATAAATCCTTGGAAGCTTGAAACTGACATCTGTTTTCTGAAGTAATCCTTTCTCTTTCCTCTATATGGGCACATACTGACTTATTGTGGGTTGTTTATTAGAATTGGGCTGCTAGCAATTATTATTATTTAAGAAAATGGAATTGTTTTGTGGGGAAAATACATAGAAAAACTGCATGAATAATGTTACCAAAGGATATGTAAAAATTGGCACCTACAAATATTAATGGCATGTACTTAACCACATATTTATATTCTTAGTTGTATCATATGTTGAGTAATTTGAGGGATGCTTCTATTTCTCAGACCACACTATTTGAAAATAAAATTCATGTACCATAATAAAATCATTACTGAATGTGCTTATCTAAAAGCCCTCTTTTAATTCCTTTTTTCATTCAACTTGATCCCTCTTTCTCTTCCTCCCTCCCAACCTCTCTTCTGCATTGTCCTTCTTCCCACTAGCATTTATTGACCATAGACTGTGTTCCAGGATCTGTCACTTCCATAGGTCATGCAAAGGTCAATAAGACATGTTTCCTAACCACAAGAAGCTAACCATCTATTAAGCAAGACAGACAAAGAAACAGAAAATTATTATTTTTTTAAGTTAGATGAGATGAGAGTCAATCCAAATAGTCAAGTGTTACTCAATAAAAGCTTATCGAATCAGCATATTTACTCTTTAATTGGGAATTTTCTGAAGATGGAATATTTAGGAGACTGTGCATTGCCGTCTCGTCTAATCACCATTGAGCGACCCAAAGTTTTCATAGTGGTAGTCTTAGAAACCTTCTCATTGTATACCATGAGTAATCCTGAAAACATTTAGCAAAGCCTGTTTGATTCCTGTTGTGTAGGACATCATGGTTCTCAGACACCCCTTCACACTATGCACACAAAGATCCACTACACCAGTGGTTTTCAGCTTTAGCATGCAGCAGAATCACCTAGAGTGCGTGTGAAAACACAGACCACTGAGCCCCAGCCCTTGTTGTTTCTGATTCAATACATCTAGAGCTAAGGTCTAAAAATGTGCATTTCTGATGAATTCTCAAGCGATGCTGCTGCTGGTGGTTCCAGCACTACATTTTGAGAAAGCCACTGCATTACATTATTTAGGAATATTTTTTACCCTTTTATTCAGAGGGTTTAGTAAGAAAACAAACCTGCTGACAAAATGCTATTGGAGTTCAAGATTTAAGCTGGTGCGTCACTTTGTTAGGAGATAGTGAATTATAACGGCTTTATGGTCTTTTCTGGTATCAATGTGCAATTATGGGCAAGATTAGAAATGTATCTAAATTTTGCTTTAAAATTAAAGAAAAAAAAGCAGAATTAAAGACCAGAAAAATCTCTCAATAGTTTATCTAGTTCAGTTTTCCTTAACCATTTCTGAATATGACCAAATTTGACACCATATATTCATAACCACAATGAAGAGTTGGCTTTTCTGAAAACGCTGGATCTACATATGACTGCAAACACCACTTCTCCCTCTAGTTTATATATTCATGAGATTTTGGCATATGGACAGAATCGTGGGCACTCTGTTTTACCTGATCATCAACAAAGACATTTTCTGTGTATTTGGTTAAATGTATGATGTTTCCCAGCACAAAGAAAAGACAGAATGTTAATTATTTTTACTGCCAAAAAGAAAAAGCTGAACAAATATTTACCCTTTCAACAAAGTTTCTGCCTGAAGACTTACAGGAGTATGATTGATCCATCCAATTTCAAGAGTTCAAAATTAGCCCATATTGCTTTCCCAGCCATTTCTAATTCCTATCAATTTATTCCCTTGGCTTTTTATTTTTTATTTTATTTTCTATTTCTTGCCTTCTGAGTACGTATCTGCTTCATGCACTGTCTAGATACTTTTCTCCAGCTTACAAATATTTTCCATCTGTCCCCAAACTGTCCACCATCTATCTGTATCTTGTACTCTCAACATCTGCATCTATCTTGGTTTCGATACATTTGCAGTAGGAGGGTGGTGGGTAAGAGAATGGGCTTTAGATTTAGACTAGGTTTGAATCCCATCCCTACCAATTAGTTGTTTTACTTGGATCAGGTTTCCTAACCTCCCTGGTCCTCAGCTGCTTCATCTGTAAAATAGGGTTAATTCCCAGTTCATAGTTTTATGGTCATGGTTGAATGACAAAATGTTTGTAAGGTATAACCCAGTCTTTGGCACATAGTGAATGCTATTTGATGATGTTCTTCTTCCTTCTCCTCATCTTTTTCCCTACTCATATGTTTTTTCTCCACAAAACCTAGATTGCTACAGTCTTCCCATTTCTTCTACCACCTCTTTGACCAGGAAGGGGAACCTGAAAATGGTGGTGTTGTTCTTTGATGATATTTCTTTTAAAAGAAATAAGTTGTGTGTAAGCTAAAGCTCATTTTTGAGTTGCTGTTTTAAATACTACCTATAACCACCACCAATTTTTCCATCTGTATCTTGCCTACTGAAGAAATTATTTTCTACTTGTGAGTTTTAAAGTTAAAAAAGTAAATATTGTTGTAAACAAATTTACAGTCAGTTCCACTGCTTAATGATGATTTCCACAGAAATAATCATTTCTGTGTAGTGAGATCATTCAAAATCCTCTCTTTTAGCTATTTTAGTACAGTCAGTACTGTAATTAAATGGGTCAACAGAAATACCTCCTGTATATATATATATATATGTGTGTGTGTGTGTGTGTGTGTGTGTATGTATGTGTATACACACACACATTCATACAGTTTATTAAGATCATATGAGCATGTGTGACACTCAGAATCCTATACGGTCCATTAGCACAGAATGACCATTAACCTGAAAAATCCATTTTCATAAGTATCACCATTTTGGTGCCATAAAATACATTGTGAGTTATGCCATAGCTGACATGCTTCAAAGTGCGTGTGGAATTTGAGAGGCAAAAATGCTTAGGTAAGAGAAACAGTAAATTAATTGTTAAATTCTTCTTTCAAATAGCATAATAGAGGAGGTAGAGCATTTGACTGCAAATAGCATGAATGAAGCATATATGTGTACAATTAAGTATTATTTTCTAGGAATCCAAACACCTATTTTCCCTCTTTATGTTCCAATTTGTGTTTCTAAAAATTTTCATGAATTATTGCAGTATTTGCAATAGTTGCATGTGATGGCTGAGAAGTATTTTATAGTATTAATCTATATTACTCATAAATTTCTGTATATGCCGTTCTATAAAGTGTGGCATTTATATTCTATACTAAATGGATGCGAAACTAGAATTACAAAGGTTTTATTCTTATAAAAGTATTTAATGAGATATAATTACATTTTTAAAAGATGTAAAATACTGCTTTAAATAATTTTAATTACAAATTCATATAAATTATAATTTGTACTTATTTTTTAATGTTAGTGATTTTGGATAGTTTAGAATAAAAATATTCTTTTAAACATGTATTGAAATACTTCTTATGCTTTGACTACCTTAAGTATTTTATTTTTTTAATGGACACATAATATTGATACATACTTATCTAGTACAATGTGATGTTTCAATACATAGATACATTGAGTAATGATCAAGTCATGGTAATTAGCATATACATCACCTTAATCATCATTTCTGTGTAGTGAGATCATTCAAAATCCTCTCTTTTAGCTATTTTAAAGTATACAATACATTATTGTTATCTATAGTCACCTTACTGTGCAAGAAAACACCAAAATTTATTCCTCTTATATAATGGCAGCTTTGTACCCTTTACCCGTCTCTCCTCATTCCCCATCCCTCCTACTCTCCCCAGTCTCTGATAACCACTGTTATACTCTCCACAAGATCAACTTTTATAGATTCCTCATCTGAGTGTGATTATATGGTATTTCTCTTTCTATGTCTGGCTAATTTTACTATCATAATGTCCTTTAGCTTCATCCATGTTGTTACAAAGGACAGGACTCTATTTTTTTATGTCTGAATAGTATACCATTGTATATCTACACTACATTTCAACCTAAGTGTTGGACACTTAGGTTGATTCCATATTTTAGCTATAGTGAATAGTGCTACAATAAACAGGAGAGTACAGATATCTATTTGACATGCTGATTTTTTTTTCCTTTGGATATAAACCCAGCAGTGGTATTGCTGGATCATACTGTAGTTCTATTTTTAATTTTTTGAGGAACCTCCATAATGTTTTCCATAATAGCTGTACTGGTTTACATTCTGAATAGCCTGTGTAAGGGTTCTTTTTTCTCCACATCCTTGCCAACATTTTTATCTGTTGTCTTTTTTTTTTTGAGGCAGAGTCTCACTCTGTCACCCAGGCTGGAGTGCAGTGGTGTCATCTCGCCCACTGCAACCTCTGCCTTCTGGGTTCAGGCGATTCTCCTGCCTCAGCCTCCCGAGTAGCTGGGATTACAGGCATCTGCCATTATGCCTGGATAATTTTTGTATTTTTGTAGTAATGGGGTTTCACCATGTTGGCCAGGCTGGTCTCAAACTCCTGACCTCAGGTGATCTGCCCACCTCGGCCTCCCAAAGTGCTGCAATTACAGGCATGAGCCACTGCACCCGGCCTCTTTTGTCTTTTTGATAACAGCCACTCTAACTGGAGTAAGGTAATATTTCATTATTGTTTTAACTTGTATTTTCCTGTTGATTAGTAATGTTGAACATTTTTTCATGTACCTGTTGTCCATTTGTACGTCTTCTTTGGAGAAATATCTATTAAGATTCTTTGACATTTTAAAATTAGATTATTTGTTATTTTGCTATTGAGTGGAGTTCCTCATATTTTCCGGATAGTAACCCATTGCTGTTTTCAGGGGATGAATATGTGCAGTTTACAAATAATTTCTTCTGTTATCCATATTGTCTCTTCACTTGCTTGATTACTCCCTTTTCTGTGCAGAAGCTTTTCAGTCTGATGTAATCTTATTTGTCTATTTTTGCTTTTGTTGCCTGTTTATTCAAAAGAAAACCTTGCCTAGTCCAATGTCATGAATCATTTCCTCTGTGTTTTCCTAGTAGCTTCATGGTTCCAAGCATTACACTTAAGTCTTTAATCCATTTGGAGTTGGTTTCTGTATGTGGTTAGAGAGGGGTCTAGGTTTATTATTTTGCATGTCGATGTATAATTTTTCCAGCAGCACAATGAAGAGACTATCCTTTCACCAATGTGTGCTCTTGACATCTCTATGGAAAATCGGTTGGGTGTCAATGCATAGACTTATTTCTGAGCTGTTTAATCTTTTCCACTGGTCTGTGCATCTGATTTTATGCCAGTACTGTGCTGTTTCTATAGCTTTGAGGTATATTTTGAAGTCAGGTTGTATAATGCTTCTACTTTTGTTCTTTTTGAAGATTGCTTTGGATTCTTAAGGTAATTTGTAGTTCCAGGATTATTTCTGTTCCTGTGAAGAATATCACAGGATATTGATATTCTTTTGATAGAGAATATCAAAATGTAGTCATCTACATTGAATATGTAGATGACTTTGAGTAGTATGGAAATTTTAATGGCATTAATTCTTCCCATCGAAGACTACTGGATACTTATTTGAGTCCTCTTCAATATTTTTCAACAATTTTTAAAATTTTAATTTGATTTAATTTTAAGTTCCAGGATACATGTGCAGTATGTGCAGGTTTATTACATAGGTAAATTTGTGCCATGGTGGTTTGCTGCACTTATCAGCCCATCACCTGGGTATTAAGCCTAGCATGCATTAGCTATTTATCCTGATGCTCTCCCTCCTGTCCACCCCCTACAGGCTCTAGAACCTGTTCTTCTCTTTCCTATGTCCAGGTGTTCTCATTGTTCAGCTCCCACTTATAAGTGAGAACATGCAGTATTTGGTTTTCTGTTCCTGTTAGTTTGCTGAGGATGTTGGCTTCCAGCTCCATCCATGTCCCTGCAAAGGACATGGTCTCGTTTCTTTTTATGGCCGTATGGTATTCCATGGTGTATATGTACCACACTTTCTTTATCCAGTCTATCATTGATGGGCATTTGGATTAGACTATGTTGTTGAAATAAGACAGGCAGACAAGATTAGCTTCCTCTGTCTTATTTAGACAGGGATTAGATTGCTTGTCTTATTTTAGCAAGATAGCCTTCAATCCCTGAAATGTTTTCCTCTGCTTTCTCTATTCAGGTATTGATACTTGTCTTTGCATTGTGAAGTTCTCGTGCTGTGTTTTTCAGCTCTGTCAGGTCATTTATGTTATTCTTAAACTGGTTATTCTGGTTAACAGCTGCTGTAAAGTTTTATCATGGTTCTTAGCTTTTTTGCATTGGGTTAGAACATGCTCCTTTAACTCAGCAAAGTTTTTTATTATCCACCTTCTGAAGCCTACTTCTGCATTTCATCCATCTCAGCCTCGGCCCAGTTCTGTGCCCTTGCTGGAAAGGTATTGCGATCATTTGGAGAAGAGGCACTCTGGCTTTTTGAGTTTTCAGTGTTTTCTCGTTGAGTCTTTCTCATCTTCGTTAGTTTATCTAGCTTTGATCTTTGAGGCTGCTAACTTTTGGATGGGGTTTTTGTGGGGACATTTTTGTCGATTCTGTTGTTGTTGTTGCTTTCTGTTTGTTTTTCTTTTAACAGTCTGGCTCCACTTCCATAGGGCCCGTAGGCCTATGTGCTTCCGTAGGGCTGCTGCAGTTTGCTGGGGATTCACTCCTATTCGTCTGGGCCCCTCCTGTACCTGGAGGTGTCACTAGTGGAGGCTGCAGAACAGCAGAAATGGCTGCCTGATCCTTCCTCTGGGATCTCTACCACAGGGGCACCAACCTGATGCCAGTGGGAAATATCCTGTATAAGGTGTTTGGTGACCCCTCTTGGGGGGTCTCACCCAGTCAGGAGGTACGGGATCAGGCACCCACTTAATGAAGCACTCTGGCTGCCCCTTGGCGATGGGGGTGCACTGCGCTGAAGGAATCCCACTCGTCGGAACTGCCCAGGTTCCTCAGAGCCAGCAGGGAGAAGACTAAGCCTGCTTATCCACAGAGACCGTGGCCACCCCTGCTGCTAGGGGCTTAGTCCCAGGGAGATCAGAATTTTGTCCCTAAACCCCTGGCTGGAGTTGCTGAGATTCTTGTAGGGAGGCCCCACACAGTGAAGAGGGAGGAGTCTAAGTCCTGCCTAAAGAGGCAGTCTGGCCAAGATGGGCCACAGCCGCTGTGCTGGGCTGTAGGGAATTCCTCCTGGGTCCAATCCATCCGGTCTCCCCAGCACTGACAGGGGAAAAGGGGCAGACTGGAGCTGCAGTGATGGCTGCTGCCCCTCCCCGCCGGGAGCTCATTGTCTTAGACAGCAGGTAGCCTCAGTGATGATGGCTGCTCCTTACCCTGGGAACTCAATAGTCTTAGGCAGTCTTAGTCGCCACTGGGACTCTGCACAGTTCTGTACTTGGGACCCAAGGCCTTGGTGGCGTCAGCTCACGAGGGGGATCTCCTGATCCGTGTGTCGCACAGATCTGTGGAAAAAGAGTGGTTTCCTGGGCAGGGTAGCATGATCACTCACTGCCTCCCTTGGCTTTGGGGTGGGAGCTCCCCTTTCCCAGGTGGTCTGTCTCACCACTCAGCTTTTCCTCACTCTCTGAGTCATGCCAACCGTCTAGTCAGTCCCAATGAAATAACTTGGATACCGAGTTGCTGGATCAGGATTCACTTGCTGTTTTCGTTCTTCTAGATGGGAGCCTCTGACCACAGCTGTTTCTAGTCGCCCATTTTGGCCCCTCCCCACAGGTGGTCCTCGTCAATGTTTTATAGTTTTCAGTGTAGATCCCTTTCGCCTCCGTGGTTAAATTTATTCCCAAGTATCTTATTATTTTTGTAGCTATTGTAAATAGGATTTTTTTTTTTTTTTGCTTATTTTTTAGATAGTTCGCTATTAGCAAACAAAAATGCTACTGGTTTTTATATATTGATTTTGTATCCTGAAAATTTACTAAATTCATTTATTAGATGTAACAGTTTTTTGGTGGAGTCTTTAGGGTGTTTTACCTACAAGGTCATGTCATCTGCAAACAGGGACAATTTGAATTCCTCTTTTCCAATTTGGAGAACTTTTATTTCATTCTCCTGTCTGATTTCTCTGGGCAGGGCTTCTAGTACAATGTTGAATAGAAGTGTGAAAAACCACTTCTATTAAGTAGAAGTAGAGAAAAACCACTTCTATTAATAGAAGTAGAGAAAAACCTTTCAATTTTCCCACATTCTGTATATTATGCCTTTATGATGCTGAGGTACGTACCTTCTATACCTAATTTGTTGAGAGATTTTATTGTGAAGGGATGTTGAGTTTTGTTAAATGCTTTATCTATGTCTATTGAAATAATTATATGGTTTTTGTCCTTCCTATTGTTAATCTATCACACGTCGATTTGTGTATATTGAACCATGCTTGCACCCTTATGAGTCCCACTGATATGGTTTGGCTCTGTGTCCCCACCCAACTCTTATATTGAATTATAATCCCCAGTGTTGGGAGAGGGACCTAGTGGGAGGTGATTAGATCATGGGGGTGGATTTCTCCTTTGCTGTTCTCATGATAGTGAGTGAGTTATCATGAGCTCTGGTTGTTTGAAAGTGTGTAACACTTATCTCTTCACTATCTCTTTCTCCTGCCACCCACAAGAAAATGTGCTTGCTTCCTCTTCACCTTCTGCCATGATTGTAAGTTTTCTGAGGCCTCTCCAGCCATGTCTCCTGTACTGCCTGTGGAAATGTGAATCAATTAAACCTCTTTTCTTCATAAATTACCCAGTCTCAGGTAGTTCTTTATAGCAGTGTGAAAAAGGACTAATCCAGAAAATTGGCATCAGAGAATTCAGGCATTGCTATAAAGATATCTGAAAATGTGGAAGTGACTTTGGAACTGGGTAATGGTCAGAGATTGGAATAGTTTAGAGGGATCAGAATAAGACAGGAAGATGAGGGAAAGTCTGGAACTTCCTAGAAACTTGTTGAATGGTTGTGGCCAAAATACTGATAGTGATATGGACAGTGAAGTTCAGGCTGAGCTGGTCTCAGATGGAGATGAGGAACTCATTGGGAACTGGAGTAAAGGTCACTTGTGCTATGCTTTAGCAATGAGGCTGGTGGCATTGTGCCCCTGCTGTAGGGATCTGTGGAACTTTGAACTTGAGAGAGATGATTTAGGGTATCTGGAGGAAGAAATTTCTAAGCAGCAAAGCATTCAAATTGTGGCCTGGCTACTTCTAAAAGGCTACACTCATTTGCATGACCTGAAACAAGAACTTATATTGAAAAGGGAAGAAGAGCATACAAGTTTGGAAAATTTGCGGCTCAACCATGGGGTAGAAAAGAAAAACCCACTTTTGGGGAAGGAATTCAAGGCTGCAGAAATTTTCATAAGCTCAATGTTAATAGCCAAGACAATGGAGAAGATACCTCCAGGGCATTTCACAGACCTTTGCATCAGCCCCTCCCATCTCAGGCCTGGAGGCCTAGGAGGGAAACATTGTTTCGTGGGCCAAGCCCAAGGCTGTGCTCTGATGTGTCCCAGCCACTCCAGATCCAGCTGTGGCTAAAAGGGATCAAGGTACAGCTCAGATCATGGCTGTGAGGGTGCAAATCCCAACCTTGGCAGTTTCCATGTGGTGTTTGGACCATGGGTGTGCAGAAGGCAGGAGCTGAGGTGTGGGAGCCTCTGCCTAGATTTCAGAGGATGTACGGAAATGCCTGGGTGTCCGTGAAGAAGTCTGCAGCAGGGCTAGATCCTTCATGAATAACCTCTACTAGGGCAGTGCAGAGGAGAAATGTGGGAGCACTGGGGCACTGCCTAGTGGAGCTGTGAGAAGAGGGCTACCTCCTTCAGACTGCAGAATGGTAAATCCACAAACAGCTTGCACTGTGCACCTGGAAAAGCCACAGGCACTCAATGCTAGCCTGTGAAAGTAGCTGTGGGGGCTGCACCCTGCAAGCCACAGGGAGAGAGCTACCTAAGGCCTTGGGATCACACCCCCTGCAACAGCATGAGCTGGATGTGAGACATACAGTCAGAGGAGATTATTTTGAAGCTTTAAGATTTAATGACTTCCCTGCTGAGTTTTGAATTTGCATGGGGCTTGTAGCCTCCCTTTTTTTTGGCCAATTTCTTCCTTTTGGAATGGAAGCATTTACCAAATGCCTGTACGCTCATTGTATCCTGGAGGTAATTAACTTGTTTTTGATTTTACAGGCTCATAGGTGGAAGGGTCTTGCCTCTTCTCAGATGGGATTTTTGGACTTGGACTTTTAAGTTAATATTGGAATGAGTTAAGACTTTGGGGGACGGTTGGAAAGGCCTGATTGTGTTGTGAAATGTGAGAAGAATATGAGATTTGGGAGGGACCGGGGGAGGAATGACATGGTTTGGCTCTGTGTCCCACCCAAATCTCATGTTGAATTGTAATTGCCAGTGATGGGGGAGGGAAATAGTGGGAGTGGGAGGTGATTGGATCATGGAAGCTGATTTCTCTCTTGCTGGTCTCATGATTGTGAGTGAGCTGTCATGAGATCTGCTTGTTTGAATGTGTGTAACACTTCCCCCTTTGTGCTCTCTCTCTCTCTCTCTCTCTCTCTCTCTCCTGTAAGCGGGAAACATGCTTGCTTCCCCTTTGCTTTCCATCATGATTGTAAGCTACCTGAGCACCGCCCCCACCCAGCCATGCCTCCTGTACAGCCTGTGGAAGTGTAAGTTAATAAAAGAGCCCAGTCTCAGGTAGTTCTTTATAGCAGTGTGAGAACAGATGGATACACCCACATAATCAGAGTAAATAGTCTTTTTAATGTTAAGAAACTCAGTTTGCTAGTATTTTGTTGAGGATTTTTGCATTTATGTTAATTAGGGATATTGACCTGTAGTTTCCCTTTTTGTGTGTCCTTGTCTGGTTTTGGTATTAGGGTAATGCTGGCCTTGTAGAATGAGCTTGGAAGTATTCTCTTCTTTTCAATTAATGAGGTTTTTTTTTTTTTTGAGATGGAGTTCTGCTCTTCTCACCCAGACTGAAGTGCAATGGCAGGATCTCGGGTCACTGCAACCTCTGCCTTCCGGGTTCAAGTGATTCTCTGGCCTTAGTCTTCCAAGTAGCCGGGATTACAGACTCCCCCTACCACACCCGGCTAATTTTTTTATTTTTAGTAGAGATGGGGTTTCGCCATGTTGGCCAGGCTGGTCTCGAAATCCTGGCCTCAGGTGATCTGCCCACCTCGGTCTCCCAAACTGCTGGGATTACAGGTCTGAGCCACTACACCTGGCCGAGTTCTTTTCTATAAGACACTTTTTATTACTAATTTAATTTCTTCATTCATTATTGGTCTGTTCAGATTTTCTACTTTTTCATAATTCTATCTTGGTAGATGTATGTGTCCAATGCTTTTGTTCATTTTTTGCGAGGTTATCTATTTTGTTTGTGTATAATTGTTCATAATAGACTCTTACGATCCTTCATATTTCTGTGATATCTGTTGCAATGTTGTTTATTTTTATCTCTGATTTTATTTGAGTCTTCTTTCTTTTTTGATAGTCTAGCTAAAAGCTTGTCAGTTTTATCACTTCAAAAAACTCATTTTTTGTTTCACTGATTTTTAAATTGTTTTTGTAGTCTTTATTTCTGCTCTGATATTTAATATTTCCTTTTTTATTAATTTAGTTTATGGGGTTTAGCTTTTACTTATTTTTCTAATTCCTTGAGGTGCAATGTTTGGCTGTTTATTTAAGATGTTTCTTTTTTATACAAGTATTTATTGCTGGAAACTTTCTTCATATAACTGCTTTTGTGGTATTCTGTGGGGTTTGGTATGCTGTATTGCAATTTCCATTTGTCTGAAAAAAAGTTTAAATTTTTTTTAGAATTTCTTCATTGACTCCTTGGTCAGGAACATGTTGCTTAATTTCCATGTATTTGTAAAGTTTCTGAAATTCCTACTTTTATTCTAGTTTTATACCATTACAGCCAGAAAAGATCATCAATATGAGCTCTGTCTTCTGACATTTGTTGACTTGTTTTGTGCCCTAACATATAATCTATCCTGGAGAATGGCCCATAAGTAGTTGAGAAGAATGTGTATTCTGTAGCTATGGATAAAATGTTCTATAAATGTGTTAGGTGCATTTGATCAAGGCTGCAGTTTAAATTCAATGTTTCTTTATTGATTTTCTGTCTGGATGACCTGTCCACCTTTGAAAGTGGTATATTGAAGTCCCCTACTATTCTTCTATTACACTCTATATCTCCCTTTAGATATAATAATATTTGCTTTATATATTCAGGAGCTCTGATGTTGGGTTCATATACATTTATAACTGTTATATGATTTTGCTGAATTAATCCCTTTATCATTATATAGTGACCTTCATTGTCTTCTTTTTACAGTTTTTGACTTAAAGTCTATTTTATCTGGTATAAATTTAGCTACTTTTGTTCACTTTTGGTTTCTATTTGCATCGAATATCTTTTTCAACAGCTTCATTTTCAGTCTATGTGTGTCCTTACGGATGAAGTGAGTCTTTTGTAGGCGGTATATACTTGAGTATTGTTTTGGTTTTGCCCATTTAGTAGCCTCTCTATATCATTTTTTTTTTTTTTTTTGAGATGGAGTCTGACTGTGTTGCCAGGCTGGGGTGCAGTGGTGCAATCTCAGCTCACTGCAAGCTCTACCTCCTGGGTTCACACCATTCTCCTGCCTCAGCCTCCCCAGTAGCTGGGACTACAGCTACCCGCCACCATGCCCCGCTAATTTTTTGTATTTTTAGTAGAGACGGGGTTTCACCGTGTTAGCCAGGATGGTCTTGATCTCCTGACCTCATGCTCTGCCCATCTCAGCCTCCCAAAGTGCTGGGATTACAGGCATGAGCCACTGCACCCAGCCTCTATACCTTTTAATTGAAGAATTTAATTCATTTACATTCAAGTTTATTATTGATAGGTAAAGACTTACTTTTGCCATTGTGTTAATTGTTTCTGATTGTTTTGTAGCTCTTTTGTTCCTTTCTGCCTCTTTTTTTTTTTTTTAATCCTTTGTGGTTTGGTGGTTTTCTGTAGTGCTATGTTTTGAATTAATTCTCTTTACCATTTGTGTATGTGCTGTAATTTTTTTTGTGGTTACCACGAGGCAAACATGAAGAATCTTGTAGCTATCACATACTATATTAAGCTGATAACAACTTAAATTTGGTTGCATATAAATACTCTAGACTTTTACCCTTTTCCCACAATTTATATTATGGTTGCCTTAATTTATATCTTTTTATATTGTGTGTTCCTTAACAACTTATTTGAGATATTGATATGATTTGGTTGTGTCCCCAACCCCCACCCAAATCTCTTCTTGAATTGTAGCTCCCATAATCCCCACATGTCATGGGAGGGAAATGGTGGGAGGTGACTGAATCATTGGAACAGGCTTTTCCCAGGCTGTTCTCATGATAGTGATTCAGTCTCACAAGAACTGATGGTTTTATAAAGGGCAGTTCCCCTCCACATGCTCTCTTGTTGGCCACCATGTAAGATGTGCCTTTGATCTTTCTTCACCTTCTGCCATGATTGTGAAGCCTCCCGGGCCATGTAGAACTGTGAGTCCATTAAAGCTCTTTTTCTTTGTAAATTACCCAGTCTCAGGTACTTCTTCACAGCAGTATAAAAATGGACTAATACAGATATAGTTATTTGTGACCATTTTGGCTTTTAACTTTCATACTAGAAAGTTGAAAGTTATCCTTTGAAAATATGTTTGAATATATGTTAAGCTAATTTTATGCTTTAACTACCTGTTTCATATTTTGATGCAAATTTTGATACTTTGAATACAAATATATTTTTAAAAATTGTTTAATAGTGTTTAGATCACGGAGAATGAGTAAATATAGAGACCATGATGGAAGTTGAAAGTATATGTAGAGCTCAGAAAAAATAAAATAAGATAAAGAAAATCTTCAATGAGGGTATTTGAGTAAGTTTTTAACAACTGAAATAATGAAAGTAAGCAGGTTTTTTGTCAAGTATAACTCACTTCAAATTTACATATGTAGAATAATACATTTTTAATTTAATGGAGACTTAGTTACTGTTCAAACCAATGGAAAAGGAGAAAAAATTACTCTCATCAAATACAATTTGATCAAACAAAGTCTCTGAAAAACCATTAGTCTTTATCAAAAGAACAACAAAATGCTGGTCAACAATGAAAATAATAAATTATTTATATTACTTTAACACTCAGAGGCAACAATTCCATTTCTGGCCTGTGCATCAGAAGATGAAGAAAGTTAAATTAACGAAGTCCACAAATTGGGTCAGGAAAATGATTTTTTTGGAGATTCACTGTTTCTTGGTTGATGACACTGGAACATGGCCATTAAGACCTTCTGAATTCATACACCATTTCTAACAAAATGTGATCTGGTTTAAACGAGTAGTCAGAATATTCCATTTGATAATTACCAAATTTCTGTAAAATGGATTAAAAACTTAGAGTAATTAGTATATATGTTCAGAGACTACGTGTTTTTTAACTTTGCCATAAATTTCAAATTCAACAGCCAAGTCTGTCCTTAGCTAATAGATTGAAACAGTTGGGTTTTCAATAAAAATATTAAAAACAAAAGAATTCAAAAACCAATATGTCATTTGCACAGAAAAACACAAGCCACTACTGGAACTGTAACATAGGTTTAATAAACAGCAATAGCTAGTATTCAACAAGGGCAAGTAAACACTTTATTAAATGTTACCAAAATCTTTGTAAATATTAGCCTGGAACAACCTGAAGTTGGAGATAATGTCTGGTTTGTTCTTCACTGTATATTCTACACCTCAGATATCTGGAACATAGTAGACACTAAGTAAATATTCAATTGTGTTTGGACAAACCATGCTCTTTCATGACCCTACAACTTAGAATCTGATAGTCCTACAAGTCCATCTCCCTCTACCAGAGAAATATTTCCTTTCCTACCTGAGAGATTTTCTAATGGTCTTCAAAGACATTTTTGTAAATCATTCCCTAACCTCTGAAGTGTTCTTTCTTTGTTGCTCCCAGAGTCCCCTGGTCTTTACATATTAAAAATATTAGGCTGTCCTGGAAATGTTGTCTTATTTGTCTGACTTCACCACTAAAGTATGAGTCCCTTAAGGTTGTCATTTCATTTTTGTAGTCCTTATGCCTAAAATAGCAACAAGAGTAGCCCCTTTATTTTTTCAAATGAATAAAAACTAATGAAATTAACATTTTATTTGAGATATTAATAAAATTCATTTTCTAAAATGCTACTGTAATTACATACTTACCTACAACTCATCTAATGTTATACATTAAATACTTGTCCTTTTCACCAAATGGGGGAGTTTTGTTTCTATACAGTCTTTGATGAGATATAAAATGCATACATTTGAAACTATTGACTTAATTTAATTTTCTGCCTTTGTACTGTGCTAACACTAATCTCTTAAGAAATTTTCCAATTTCTTTCAGTAAACTGTTCTATTATCAAACAATCTTCTCTGCCAAATTGTCTTTCTTAAACGAAATATAAATCCCTCACACTAAAGCTTAAACCCATTTCCATTTCTCTCTTTTTTATTATAACTGAAAATTAATGGAAAGAATTAAAATGAATACAAAAGAGAGTTAAAATATATCAACATTAAGCTAAATATTTAATATTTGATTATATAATGTAACCATTAATTATTCATTCATTTATCCTACAAACATTTACTAAGAGTTCACTAAAGGTCAAGTACTGTGTTGGGTCTTTAAAGTCTTAGCAGAAAAAAGTTTAGCCTTGAGGCTGACTGAGCATTTATACTGTTTTCATTTGTATTAATTGCTCTTGTTTCTCATACTAATCATATACATACAGAAATATATTATTTCTGTAAATATTAGGAAAATCAATAATGTAATTAATAAATTTAGTTTAATGAGTACCATAACACTTCTAAATTTCACTTTGTTTGATTTTTGTAAGTGTTGTCTTACAGTTTGAAATCTTATAATAATAAACTTTCTATTATTAGAACTTGAAAGGTGCTTAAAATTAAAATTCAAATTCTTTACATTTATGGATTTTAAAAAAGCCCAAAGGTGTTAAGTCAGAACTAAATCCAGTTCCCCTGGCTCATTCATTTGTTCCTTTTCATTAATTCATTCATTCACTCAATTATTCATGCACTGATTAATTCATTGATTGATTCATGCAACAAATATATATCAAAGTGCACTATGTGCAGGTGCTAGTGCCTTTTTCAGTGTCCTCAAATTTGCTCACTAGAGCTTACAACATCAAGAAAATATTCTTCAATGTTTCAAAATCTACGAGTAAATCACAAATGTCAGTTCTCACTATTGCTGACTATGTAAGGACAGAAATTGAGTTGCATTTAAAATGACGTAGTGCAGTTCACTTTAACAACCCCACCCCTGACACAGACACACATAAATTTGTAACCTAGATATCTCAAAGTACTTTGTAACCTAACGTCCTAAATCCTTTAGCCTTCTGAGGTTGATAGGGTTTCGGTTGCCCTTTCTTTTAATATGCAAATAATATCTCACATGTACTGTAAAAAGTCCAACAAGATCCATAATATTTTTGAAAATTTCCTAAAGTACTTATTTCCTTGTTCCTATGCACAGTCTGAATTCCTAGTGCCAGTATGTTTATTGTGCCTGGTGCCCACCACTGTCTCACTTTCTGTGGACCTCCTCTCTCAGTTCCTCTCTACCCAATCATTAATTCCTTAGAACATCACTAGCAAAAGGCTTTTATTTGTAACATATTCTACTGAAAGCTTGCAGGAAGTGAAAAGAATTACTACCCTAGTACTAACAGAGAAACAATGTATGATTGAGTATTGGTCATCATAAATTTTCTAGTCACCTTCAACACAGGAATTTCTCAGTGGACACGAATGTCCATGGGTCTCACTCTGCCTGTATATTGATTACTCCCCACTTCACTGAGGTGATTCTCCCATTCTTTACTTCCTCCACCAACACTTTTTTCTGCTTGCTAAGATTTCTGTAATTTATTTTGAAGAGTAAACTATTTTTCAATATCTGCGATAGTCTTAACCATGGTACTATCTATACACACTTACAAAGACTCCTTATTAAACTTCCCAAAAGAAGAGCAGTCTACCCAAGCTCTAATCCTTTAGTAATAATAAAACAGTAGAAGCTCCCTAGAATTTAGAAAGGGTTAGGATCACTTATTTCACTATGTAATATGTTAACATAACCATTCAATATTAATAGATAACCAGTATTGAGATATTCAAAGAAGAATTAATTATAGTTTATAATATCAAGGTGATTACAGTCTCTGAGTTCATGTCACTTCCTTTATTAGCCATTTTCTTAACAACTATTCAATTCACATACATATAGCCACTTGCTCCTTAATGCTCAACACTATTCCTCACATATGCCTATTATAGAATCTATGAGATATTACACACAATTTTGCTTACATGTCTTGATTTATGGTTCAATGCAGTAGGCTGAACAATTGAATTTAACTTTTTGAACTTATTGAAATAACTAAAAATACATAAAATTAAAATGCCATGAGAACATTGGAAAATAAAAGTACAATTGAGAGACCAGAGAATTTAAACTATTTTGAAAGAATAGAAAACAGAATGGAAGACTTACACCAAGTGTAGTGCTGGAGATGTAGCACAAAAATTATGCAAATCTTGCAGACCACAAAAAAGAGTTTAGATTTAATTCCAAGTACAATCAAAAGTCATTGAAATATTTTAATTAAGAAAGTAAAAATCATTTTATTTACATTGATAAAATCTCACTCAGGGAGGTTCTAAAAACAAATGGCATTCTAAACTGGTGAGAATGAAGATCAGAGTGGCCTCCGTCTAGTGCCTCAACAGAGATCTGACAGTTGGTAGTTACATATCACTTTCTCACAAGAAGCCAATTATATCTATTCTATTATTCTTAGAATTCCCGTCACATGACTATCCCGGGAAACCTGACATAGCTACTAAAGTTGAATAAAAATCATGAGTAGATGAATGAAAACATTGATAATGCTAAAGGAATGAAGCAGAACCCTTAGAACAGATGGCCCCTGTGAACTAGAGCTGTAAGATGTGACACATAACCGTGTTCATCAACTTCAACAAACAAAATACTAAGTCCCTTTAAGTAGAGTCAATTATAACATATGTTTGACTTTCTGGAAGAAACATAGATAATTTTTGAATTAAAAAATTATTAGTAGCTGACTTGAGGGAAGATGATCACTGTTGTGAACCAAATCAGTGAATGGAAAAGAAGGGTAAAACTACTTCAAACACAGAGTGAAAATAAAATGTGAAAAAAAATAAGATAAATGATAAAAATCTCATAGGATAGACCCAGAAGACCTAGCATAAGTTAAAAGAAAAAAATGGAAAAATACCTTGATTTTAATAACAAAGACCCTAAAGATTGAAAAGGCTCACTGAATACCAGGCAGGGTAGATGGGGAATAAAAACACACATATTCTGACAAGATTCCTGAAATCTAACAATAAAGAGAAAAATGCAGAAGCTCATAATCAGAAAGAATAAGTTAAAAACTAAAGGATAAAGAATCAGAGTGGCATTGAACTACTTATTCATAGCACTGGTAACAAGGGAATAGCGGGATAACAGGCATTAAGATAATAAGAGAGTAATCAGAAAATTCTATACCTAGCAAAGACATAATTCTCAGATCAAGACATAAAAAATGACATTATGGATATGCAAGGACCTAGAAAATATAGGTGATCTATGTGAGAAAAACTCTCCCCTAACAAATAAGGAATGAATTATAAACCAGATCCCTCCATAAAAGTAGAATAGCAAGGAAAAATACAATGAGCAATAAATCTTTCAGTAGAAATAGTTTAGTGAATATATTTAATAATATTGTGACTGTGAATTAGTAACATAACTGATAAATACAGTTTTTTTTTAAGAGAAGGAACATATTGTAATGGAAAATCAACAGTACTCTAGAATAAAAGTTCTAAACTCTGTTTAGAAGTTTGTAGGGGGAAACAAGGAGTTTGTAGGGAGAAACAACAAAAATCAAAAGTGTTCTAAGGGATTTATTTTGACAGGAATTGGAGCAATAAGGCAGTGGATAAATAGAGTAGTATAAGGTCAGAGGTGGTATCTGGTTTGATGTAATATTATAAAAATATATATTGGATTGAGTGTCAAGAATTGGAAGAAAGAGAAGGACCAGGACTTGTAGATTAACAAAGTTAAAACTGGAATAAGTAACCTAGTAAAAAATTAGAAAAAGGAAAAAGAAGAAACAATAAAATAAATTAAGTGGTAAGCATACATAAAAATGAAAATAATAAACAATTATTTAAATTGTTCCTCTAAATATGAATGGACTGGATTTTTTCTATTAGTGCAGCAGTTGTCAGCCTTGGAGGAAAAAAAATTATGTGATTTTTAAAAAATAAAACACATTTGAAACAAATAAATTTTTTAAAATGTTGAAAAAAAGGAGTAAGCAGATAGACACTAGGGATATATAGATAAGCAGATAGACACTAGGGATATATAAATAAAAGAAGAGCAGTCAGGGAAGTATAAATATAGAAGGTGGAATTTAAAGTTAAGCTCAGTAAGACAGAACAGAGAGAAATACTATGTGATAGTAAAAGGCATAATTTATGAAAACTTTAAACCTGTATACACGATACAATATTAACTAAAACTATTAAAAAGAAGATAGTGCACTAAATTTTCATGGAGATTTTAATATACCTCTTTCAAAATTGCACAGAGTTAGTGTACAAAAATAACTAAGGGCTCTTTAGTCAGTTCTGTGCCATCCACACAAGGAGAAACAGGAATAGTCTTTGTGGTTCCTTTCTGGTTCTTTCTGCCCTTGTTCCAACTGCCCGAGGAAGTGTACCATCAAGAGGAGTAGGTGGAAACCTTTGCCTCCCAGGAAGTTTGCCTAGTCTTTTATCATCAATATCTCTTACTCGAATAAGGAAAATAACAAACCTCTATTGTTTCTGATACCCTGGACAAGATTTGCCATTAAAGCCTAATAGACAGTTCCAAGTTAGATGGCTAGTCATAAAGAACTAAAGGTAGACATCATTCTCGATCTCCCAGACTGATCCTAACTCTTGCAGACACGGGAATTGGCATGATCAAGGCTAATACCATCATAATAGTTTATCAACTATTGCCAAGGTTTTAGGGAAGCTTTGCCCACCGGTGCAGATATCTCCATGATTGGATGGGTTGGTGTTGGCTTTTATTCTGCCTACCTGATGGCAGAAAGTTGTGCTCACTAAGCACTGAAAATGAGCAGCGTATCTGGGTGTTTTCTGCTGGGGACTCCTTCACAGTCTGTTCTGACTACAATGAACTTATTAGCCTGTGTATCAAAGTGATCTTTATCTTCAAGAAAATTAGACTGAATACCTAGAAGGAGGCTTGTCAGGAAGCAGTGAAGATGCACCCTTGTTTCACTGACCATCTCATTGCTTTTTCTTTGGAGAAGAAATGAAAGAGGAAAGCCAGAGATGAGGAGACAGATGAGAAGAATAAGAAAAAGGTGAGCTAGGAAAGAATGATGGGGATAAGTCTGAGATTCAGATAGGGAAGATAACAGTGACAAGCACAAGGGAAAGAAAACAAAGTAGATTAAAAAGAAAAATGTTGATTGGGGAAAGCTGAATAAAACTCACTTCATTTGCACCAGAAACCTGGATGACATGATCCTGGAGCCTTACCAATGATGTAACAGCCTTACCAATGACTGAAAAGACCAGTAGAAAATCAAATAGGTCTCTTAGAAGATCCTAGAATTCAGGATATTGATGGCTTCTCTTCATAGGTTCCTTTTGACCTCTTTGATTGGAGTGTATGAAAGAAGAGTGGAAATTGAAAGAAATAAATCTCAATTCTTCTCCTGACTGGTTGTTAATATGAGTAAATGAATCAGTCTCTTCATAAGTTGAGCTAGTTTGGAATTTTGTCATTGGTGTCACCATTTCAGTGCACTAGGACTTCAAATTCTTCCAACAATGGGGTGCTCTTCTTTGGCTTAATGAGGGTTCTGGGGTGCCGGAGGTTTTACTCAGTCTTCTGTTTCATTCTCAGCTTTCAGCAGACCCCACTCAACTGCCCCACAGAGGAGTCTGTCTTCATGGTCTCGCAATAAATAGCAAGCTCTTGGAGTTCTCAGTTCTCTTGATCCTGCCTCAGCCTCAGGCTGGCCCTGTGCTTCTTGGCCTCAGAGGTGCGGCTTTAACAGCATTCCTACACCTCTCCTTGTGGCAGCCAAACTGTGTCATCTCTATGTGAAGTCTTGGGCCTGAGACAGTATCCTGGCTTTCTCTCAGACCCCTACTTGAATCAGTGCAGGAGTTTGGCTCCTCTCCTCTCCCATGAGCAGATGACCTTTGTCTCTCACCCCTACTGGTGCTATTGCACCTTTGCCTGGCACTGTCCAGTGGTAGACTGATATTGTTTGTTACTAGTACAAGGCTCCCGGTAGAGGCAGGAAGATCTTCCTCCCCTGTCCTCAGAGGCAGAGGGTTTTGCTTCTACCTCTCCCTCAGGAGCAGTCCATCTTTGCTCTTCCTCCTCCTTCAGAGGCAACTTCCATTTCTCCTCCACTCCCCCAGGAACATTGCCTGGGTCCTGGGGGCAGGAGTTTCCTGTTTCTCTCCCAGCAGTGGATTGCTTTTGCTTTGTGTAAGTCAGAGAAGGGTACAAGCAGAGTTTCATGCCTCTGTGCCACTGAAAGGACTCCCTAGAGTCTTTTGCAATGCTCCCAATTATTATCATTATTTTGAGACAGTGTCTTGCTCAGTCACCCAGGCTGGAGTGCAGTTCTTCCATTTGTTTGTGTCCTCTTTTATTTCGTTGAGCAGTGGTTTGTAGTTCTCTTTGAAGGGGTCCTTCCCATCCCTTGTAAGTTGCATTCCTAGGTATTTTATTCTCTTTGTAGCAATTGTGAATGGGAGTTCACTCATGGTTTGGCTCTCTGTTTGTCTATCGTTAGTGTATAGGAATGTGTGTGATTTTTGCACACTGATTTTGTATCCTGAGACTTTGCTAAAGTTGCTTATCAGCTTAAGGAGAATGTGGGCTGAGACGATGGGATTTTCTAAATATACAATCATGTCATCTGCAAACAGAGACAATTTGACTTCCTCTCTTCCCATTTGAATACGCTTTATTTCTTTCTTTTGCCTGATTGCCCGGGCCGGAACTTCCAATACTATGTTGAATAGGAGTGGTGAGAGAGGGCATACTTGTCTTGTGTGTTTTCAAGGGGAATGCTGTCAGCTTTTGGCCATTCAGTATGATATTGGCTGTGGGTTTGTCATTAATAGCTCTTATTATTTTGAGATACATTCCATTAATACCTAGTCGACCCCTGCTGGAAGGTGTCTCCCAGTCAGGAGGCATGGGGGTCAGGGACCCACTTGAAGAGGCAGTCTGTCCCTTAGCAGAGCTCAAGCACTGTACTGGGAGATCCACTGCTCTCTTCAGAGCTGGCAGGCAGGAACGTTTAAGTTTGCTGAAGTTGCTCTCACAGCCACCCCCTCTCCCAGGTGCTCTGTCCCAGGGAGATGGGAGTTATATCTAAAAGCCCCTGACTGGGGCTGCTGCCCTTTATTCAGAGGTGCCCTGCCTGGAGAGGAGGAATCTAGAGTGGCAGTCGGGCTACAGTGGCTTTGTGGAGCTGCGGTGGGCTCCGCCCAGTTTGAACTTCCCAGTGGCTTTGTTTACACTGGGAGGGGAAAACTGCCTACTCAAGCCTTAGTAATAGTGGACCTCCCTCCCCCCACCAAGCCAGAGTGTTCCTCGTCAACTTCAGACTGCTGTGCTGGAAGTGAGAATTTCAAGCCAGTGGATTTTAGCTTGCTGGGCTCCATGAGGGTGGGATCTGCTGAGCTAGACCACTTGGCTCCCTGGCTTCAGCCCCCTTTTCAGGGCAGTGAATGGTTCTGTCTCGCTGTCATTCCAGGTGCCACTGGGGTATGAAAAAAAAACTCCTGCAGCTAGCTTGGTGTCTGCCCAAATGACCGCCCAGTTTTGTGCTTGAAATCCAGGGCCCTGGCCTAGGCACCCAAGGGAATCTCTTGGTCTGCGGGTTGCAATGACCATGGGAAAAGCATACTACCTGGGGCCGGAGTGCACCATCCTTCATGGCACAGTCCCTCAAGGCTTTCCTTGGCTAGGGGAGGGAGTTCCCTGACCCTTTGCACTTCCCAGGTGAAGCGACTTCCCACGCTGCTTCAGCTTGCCCTCTGTGGGCTGCACCCACTGTCTAACCAGTTCCAATGAGATGAGCCGGGTACCTCAGTTGGAAATGCAGAAATCACCTGCCTTCTGTGTTGATCTTGCTGGGAGCTGCAGACCGGAGCTCTTCCTATTGGGCCATCTTGCCAGCGACAACTACGTGATCTTCTTTAATTTAAAAACCAGTAATATAGACAGGTTTGGCAAGTGTAACCAAAAAAATACAAAGAAAGCACAAAAATAAAACACAGGAAATGAAAAAGGAGCATCACAGCAAAAATAGCATCCACATTAGTATCATAATTGACTGGAATTCTTAGAAAAGCAGATGTTCTGGTTAATTTAATTTTCTTATTAACTGACAAAAAGAAGCTCCCGATTCTTGAGAAAATCTTTATGACAAGCATTTCTTCTTGTGTTGTTTTAATAACCAATGTGAAGAGCATAATATACTGTTTCTTTGGTGATTCCAGCTTTATAGTTCCATCTTACCTCATTCTGACCATTACGGAATGTTGTTATAACAATACTTTATTTTTAATCTATGTTTTTATAAATTGCTTTTTTATGATCTTTGTTATGAAGTTTTAGTATTTTTTTAAATCACTTATTAGTAACTCTTTATTAAAGTCATTAATCTCTGTGGCAATCTTCTACTACTTGTTATGTGCCTTTTAATTCTCTGATTTTTTTTTAAACAAATGAGGTTTCTGTAAAAAAATCTTTTACGTAGTCAAATGTGTCAATACATTCTTTCATGATGTCTTCACCTACTTTTATGCTTAAATGCAGTGGTCCCAATCTTTTTGGCACCAGGGACCAGCTTTGTGGAAGATAATTTTTCCATGGACCAGGCTGAGGGATGGTTTCAGGATGATTCAAACGCATTACATTTATTGTATACTTTATTTCTATTATTATTACACTGTAATATATAATGAAATAATTATGTTACTCACCATAATGTAGAATCAGTGGGAGCCCTGAGCTTGTTTTCCTGCAACTAGTTGGTCCCATCTGGGGGTGATGGGAGACAGTGACGGATCATCAGGTATTAGATTCTCATAAGGAGTGTGCAACCTATATCCTTCACATGGGGGGTTTCCAACAGGTTCGAGCTCCTATGAAAATCTAATGCTGCAACTGATCTGACAGGAGGCAGAGCTCAGGCAGTAATGCAAATGATAGGGAACAGCTGTAAATAGAGATGAAGCTTCACTCACTTGCACATTGCTCACCTCCTGCTGTGCAGCCTGGTTCCTAAAAGATCACGGACTGGTACTAGTCCATGGCCTGAGGGATGAGAACCCCTGCTTAAATGGTTTTGATTATTCAGGTATTCTGACATATTTTATTCTAGCCCTAATTTCTTCTATGGTTTAGTGTTAACGTTTGATACACCTAAAATTTACTTTGATTTTGGGAATGAGCTGTGGTTCTAAGTTGACTATTTTAAAATAAAACATATTTATAGATTAACCCCTCCATTCCTGATATGCAGTATTATCTTTATCACATATTAAATTCTCATGTCTACAGGGTTTGTCAATGGCTATCTGATTTATCCATGTATTCTTGCATCTGTAACCCACTAATTTTCTTATCTTTTCTTGTTATTTTTCTGAATAAAATTTAGAATAGTTTTTGCATACCTGCTGTCAAAAATAAATAAAACACTGCCATGTTTTAGTTGGAATGAAGCTAAAACAACAAAAAGGAAGGAAGGGGTGAACATTTTTATGATATGCAGTTCAATATATATTTATTATATAATATTTCAAGGTCTGAGAAGTTAAATAAGATATAATCCCTGATGTCGAGAAACTTATGTTCAACAAAATTTGCTAATTGTTAAGAGAGATAAGTATCCTTTGATGTAATGAGATAACAAAACTGATATGCGGGCCAAACAAAGGATCTTGGAAATCTGCAATCTTCTGAGTTGACCAATTTTTTAAGTAAAAATGTTATGCAAGTACATGTTGAGGGTTAAGTAGAGCAGAGATAATTTCATATCAAATAATTTAGGAGATGAGTGGAATCACTGATCAAATTGTAACACTTGAAAATGAAATCGAGTTTATGATTTCTAGCACGAGAGTAGAAAATAAATTTAGCAAACCAATATAGTACCCTACCACATTTAAATGTCAGAAAAAGTGGCATAAAATGTAAACACACACATACATACACAAACATACATACTTTTCTTTTCATTTAATTTATCCATCCTTTTTCGACAATAAATATTATGAGTTCACCTTTTGGGTATAATAATTTAAGAAAGTATAGGCTGGGTGCAGTGGCTCACGCCTGTAATCCCAGCACTTTGGGAGGCCGAGGCGGGTGGATCACGAGATCAGGAGATTGAGACCATCCTGGCTAACACGGTGAAACCACGTCTCTACTAAAAATACAAAAAAAAAAATTTAGCCGGGCGTGGTGGTGGGCGCCTGTAGTCCCAGCTACTCAGGAGGCTGAGGCAGGAGAATGGTGTGAACCCGGGAGGCGGAGCTTGCTTGCAGTGAGCCGAGATCGCGCCACTGCACTCCAGCCTGGGCGACAGAGCAAGACTCCGTCTCAAAAAAAAAAAAAAAAAAAAAAAAGAAAGTATAAAGTATGAACTAAAACTAAAAACGACGATTATGTCATCTAAAGATGATACAACCATGTACCCTATCTGCATCTGTATCTGTGTCTTTTGTATCTATATGCGTATTTCTATCTCTTCATCAATATCATTATTGAGATCTTAGTAAATATTCTGTTTATTAGCTTGAATTTTTACTTGAGAAACTATCCCCATGTTTTTAAATATTCTTCAAAAACAAGATTTTAATACGTGCATAGTATCCTAGAATATGAATGTATCGTGAAGGTCTTTGCATTAAAATTAGTATAAATAATTTTTCTAATAATCATTTTGAGAAAATTATAATTTTCTTTATTTTGATGAATCATATATTCACCCACTACAATTTTGATTATTATTTACTATGCTAAGCAATTACTTCTGGTAATAGCTCACCAATAAACTAAGCTGCTTCTTAAGACTGCTAGTATTCAAAGACAATAATAGTACCCATTCATTCTATGTTTGTGCTAATTATGTAGGAGAAACCCAAATGCTTATCATGTAAAACCAAATGACATACACACATATAAGCCTATACATTAAATAACTCTCTGTAGAGTTCCCATTCTCTGGAGGAAAACTAATTCTCCTTTTAGTTGGTTTTTAAGAAACTGATGAATACATTCTTTGGAGAATCTAGAAAGCTTCTGACATCTGCTCATAATTTTAGATTTACAGAGCCATCTCTTGAAAGCATCAGTCACTGTACTACAAGGTAGAGGCAGAAGTGGACTTTCTGATAGAATGTCACTTAAGTAAGTCAGTGGCTGATGCTTCAATGGCCTATGTGATGGCATTATTTTCTTAAAAAAGAAAACACTTTAATTAGTATTCCAGACTTGATTAGATTCAGGGATGGTGACCATAGTATGTTAAATTATAAGAAATGAAAAATTCTGAAAGACAATTTACATTTCAAATTAAAATGAGAAATAAAACTTTATAGCTGACCATTTCATTTATTCCTATTAGGAAAACATCTGGGGAAACAGGTCTGTTACTTGGGTAGCTTGTCATGTGTCATGTCCTGATTTATAATACTTTCAAGATATGATTTCATTTCTTTTATTTCTAGATTATTAGAGGACAACCATCTTAACTATCATCCTTAGATGGCACCCAATTATTTCCCTTTACAGATGTGTACGTCTCTGCACATTCACCCTCAGCCTCCAATCTCTGTATTTGGGAATGAATCATTGCAGAACATCGATTTTGCCTTCTTTAGCATGACTACAATGAAACAAATTTTATCCCTACTCTTTTATTCTGCATGTATAAAATAAGAAAGTAGAACTAAATGGGAGATTTGGCCCCGAGAAAGTATTTCACTAAAAGTAACTGAAAAGACTTCTAGTCTTCACATGTTCTGTATTACAGAATTATCTAGAAAGTTGTGTGACTCACAGAACATGAGTTATAAAGGTGTATTGTCATTAAATCAGTGTAAAATTCTCATGGTAAATTAAGTTGTGATTATTAGTAGCTAAAGATTTGATGAAAAAGATATTCTTGTTTATTCCTATAAATACATTTGCTAATTGTACTAATTTCTGGGTTCAAATATTTTCCCCAAATGGTTGCATTTTGTCTGTAGAAGAAAAATCTTTGAAGTTAAAGGCTTTTATGTGAATTTCAGATGAAGCATGTGTCTATTTGTTAGTCACAAAACAATATGAAACAAGATAATATTGCATTGATGCTTGGCAAAATAATGTGGTGCCTTTCAAGAACTTGCAAAAAAAAAAGTTTTCTTTATAGGTTATCCTATGTAATACATGTTAGTATACATGAAGTTATACTCGATTCTGGCAGAGATATGTAAAATCATCTTAATAGATCCAAAATAATCACAGCCAAATTCTGCTATACATTCAAATCACTCAACTGGTGCCTCCCTGTGATTGAAGGCCACAAACACCTTTCTGGTAATTGACATTGCATGTAATTAATATATAGGGAAAAATGTGCTAGTCAAATAGAGGAAAGTATCTGGTACCCTTAACAACTTTAATTAGTCGTTGTAAATTATTAAGTTCATGCTTTGGCTTTATACATCAGTGTTTATGAACTCTGGCAGTGTGTGACAATATTGGATTCTTACTAATTTTGGTAAACTGAAAAGTCAAGCTTCCTGGCCTGTAAATATGAAAGGATAGGATCCATCTATCATATCTGATCTTATTGACAAGAGCCTGGGCACAAAATGTGTAATACAGTTTTTTAACAACAATTACATCGGCAACAAAAACTCATTTTACAAACATTTTATTACTAAAAAGCATGCTTCAGTCAAGTTTACCAGAGGTTTTATGACAACCTGGCCTGGTGAAACCTTGAAGGATTTAAGACATGTCAGCTATGTACAAACAATAAGTATATGGGATTGTTTGACTTTGGCTTCCAATAGCAGATGGCAACTGAAAATACAGTGAAGCTAAATCTCCTCTGATGTCTCTACACTAAGCTATCCCCCAATTTTTTGTACCAGGAATAGATATGTTCATTAATTTCACCTACACCATAGTATATGATGGTAGCTACTAGGAAATCAAAAAGTAGAAGAAGAAACAGTGGGTGGAATCCAGGAGCTAGGAGGAATGGAATTCATGAGGAAAGGAGAAGTTTCCATAGCCACTGACTAAATAATGAGCAATAATTTTACAGACATTCCCTCTCTTCTTCTTCTCTCTCTGTGTTTTGTGCATGTGCATGTGCATGCGTGCGCGTGCACACACACACACACACACAGATAATCTCACATATAAGCCAAAACAACTATGTGTTCAAGAAATGGTCTTTAACTTTGAAGCACAATATGGTCATTCAAAATCAATCACAGTGTCATTTGACTTTGAAACAAAGAAAACAAATGAAACAAACGTATAATAGTATCAGATTTCAGTCTAGGAAAATAATTAGGACAATAAGTTTATTAGCTTTAGAAACATCAAAGGCTAAGATAAATTTTTCATTAAAATTGCAAGAATAAGGAATTTATTCTTAAATTTATCTCAGAAGTAACAAGAGCTGCATTATACACAACAGTTGAGTATTCTTTTTTGTGGTTTCCAGATATTATGGAATATGAAAACACACAAAATGTCTATACAGTCAAGATAACCTGTGGAAAAATAATGAAGACAGTGGAGGAAAGGCAAAATGGTAAAGAAGAGAAGAGAGAGAAACAAAATAATCATTTTCCAGCCTACCTAAAATAATAACCTGGACTTTCATAAAACTGGCATATCTTCTGTTTTACATGGAAAATTATTTTATCTTAAGTTTCCATTTAGTTGATTAAAAATAGGGTTATGAATGTTAAATAAGTGATGATTTATTGCAAAGGAAATATGTTTCGAAAGGTCGAATAATGTCTGTAACAATAAAAGGCAAACTAAATGATTTTCTGTTTTCAATCCTTTGATGAATAGTTAGATTAAGTAAGACCTATATTATGCTTTCTTTTTTATTCTCATATCTAAATAATGCTTATGACCAACTGAACTCACACTTTTCAGATCCCTGTCCAACTTGACCTCTAGAAACACTTTTTTCCCCCTTGACATAATCTGAATCTTTGCCTTTCAAATCCTTGGCTCGTGTAATGGTAGGATCTGGTTCACTGTGATGACTTCATACTGTTTTTATATCATAACCTATTTGGACTCTGTCAGTATAAGAAAGTGTTAAATAAACATAGATTCCAGCTGTATAACACATGTGAAATTCAAATATATGCCTGACATTTAAGCAGCATTATTTGCACAGGGATGCTAATAGACTTGATGAAGACAGGGCAGAGTGGTAATGGAATGCCAAGTCAGTATTATAGTATATTTTCAACCATCTTTCATTAGCAAAAATAATGCCTCTCACTTCCTAATTTATAAATACATTTTCATGTATTATCTCAATTTAGCATTCCATTTCTGTGATTTAGACAAATAGATATTTTTCACGTAACCGAAACTTGGAGAGGTCGGAGTGACTTGACCAAATTTACAGAATTAGGCATAGGAATACAGCACTGAACTAAAACCTGTTGAGCTGAACTGATTAGCAAATCCCAAACCATTCTCATGTTTATTTTTCAGTTTAAGCAATAATTGTATGTTTATTTTGAAGACCATAAGAAAAGAGTGTGAAAAAACTTAAGTGAGGAAATTGAAAAGTTCAGTGGACTCTCGCCCCTTATCCTGGCACCTGATCAAACCACATCTGTGGCAGAAATGACACTATGTGTTTACCAATTTCTTTCCACCTTAAACACACAGATTACATCTGCAAGCCTCCCCTCTCCCAGTAAGTGAGAACATGTGACTGAGTTCTGGCAAATACAATATGAGAAATTCAGAAATTATACATACTTTTTGTTTGTATGGTCCCTAAAAATACACCCATGTGATTCTTTATTCTTACTTTCTTTTACTTCTTGCTTGCCAGATGTAATAAATTAACCTGCGATCTTCAAGACACTAGGAATAATGAAACCTCTAGGTTAAGGAAGACTGACTCCATGAATTACTGCATGGCACAGAGGCTTCACTGCCTACTTGCATTCTACTGAGGAGTCAGCAGGAAATAAATCTTTACTATGTTAAGCCACTGAAATTTGACTGTTGTTTTTTTATAGCAGTTAATCTAGTTTGTGTATAAGAACAGTCACAAAATCTTTTGTTTTGACTTGAATTGAGATTTTTCTCTCCTTTGTCTGCCTCTGCCTTGTGTCTTCTGTGACATTATTTCTATTTCAGCAGTCTGACAAAACTAGTAGTGTCCCAGAGCATGGGTAGCAACCCTGCTGTCTCCTTAGTCCAGCACTTCTAGAGTAAATAAAAATAATTTAGAATCAGTTTTAATTTTTTAAAATATACAATTTCTACCATGGCTTCATTGTATTTGTAACTTTAAAAACATTATCTTATTTGATTTTTACAGCAGCCATATGAACTGGATATTGTTATCCTAATTTCATAAATGAGAACATTAAGGCACAGAGACATTAAATAATCTACCCAATGTGTCACTTATAGATTGAATAGACCCAGCATTCAAATTCAGTTCAGCAAGGACCCGACACTCTTCAAAATGGATTGCAGTGGGTTCCAGCTTTCTTTAAGCACCACCCTCCCTTACCTAGGAGGAGGAAGAAGTCTTAGTATCAGATTACAACTTCATCCTACTTCTGGAGTTATAATGTGACCCTTTTTGGAATGCATAAAAGCAGAAGATGGTTGCATATAAAAAGAATATAATGTCTCCCATTGATATTTGCAGCATCTGATTCTATGGGAACACTTAAAAGACCAACGTATTCTTAATCTATTCAACCATTTAACAATAGCAAAATATTTTCTGATTTTTGCATGACATCTGGCCAATGTTCCAGGACAAGAAAATTGGAAAGCAGTCAGTCATAACCTCTCCTTCATCCTGGACATTCCCTACCACTAAACAAGATAGAGTTAATTCAGTAAATGTCAGGTTACTGAAGAAATGTTGTCTTGTTTTGTACACATGCATTTTGTTGACTGACAAAATACTTTATTGAGTTTTCAGAGTACAGTTATATTTTAATATTCCATAAGAAACACGTAATACATAAATCTTTATTTCTATTGAAATTCAAGGAATATACACTACTAAAATTAATGATAGGCCAGCTATCTAGTTTTCTCTTCTTTAACTGAATCTCCAAACTATATATTCCATAGAAAAATATCCAGGTGATGTAGTACTGAAAATTATGCAACTGCTAATTTACCAGATTTCAAATAAAAAACTGTCAAAAAGATGTCCAATTTACAAAATTAATAATTCTTTTTCAATAATTATTGATAATTTTAAATATTTATTTTTCTAAGGAAAAACAGAAAACCTTATTTAAACTTATTTTTAGATATCTCGAAAATAAGGCTTTATTGAATTGTTCATAATATATAATAAAAGTTATTATTTTCATATAAAAAAGTAATACCCTTGAGATGTCATAGTAAGCTGTAAGTCTAAAAATGCTACAGTGGCACACTAGGTAAATGCTCCACCCTCTCTTTCTATTTCAATTTCCTGGAGTTGATAGTTAAAATATTTTTAAAATATACATGATTACACTCAAAAATGAGAAAGATATCTCTTTTTAGTATGGCAACTATGAGAAAATTTAGAAGACTCAAATCAGACTGCATTCGTTGGCAATAGAAAAGCTTATTCAAAACAAAATGACACAGAAATATTGGAGTAATAAAAAAATGAAAACAAATAAGCCAGTAAATTGTTAAAAAGTATAGCAATGTTAATATTAGACCATTTAGAATTTACAGTAAACAGCCTTAAAGGGACAGAAATAGATATTTTATACTGACTTAATATAACATAGGAATTTTAACAGTATATTGCAGTAATGGTTCTTTATGTACCAATCAACATAGTTACAAAATACATAAGGTGAAACTAAAAAATATAAAAAAGGATAAATCCACAATCATAGTGAGAAAGTTTAAAACTTACTATTAGAAACTATTGATTTCATGAGTTTGAAATAGAAATACATAATAAATAATGATATAAACTATTTGTGTAACACAACGAGCTTGATCTAATAGATAGACATAGAATTTTTTAGAAGTTTATATTCAACAGAGGATTTAGCACAAAAGAGAGATCAAAAGAAATGAGAAACAAATGACCATGTACTAATAAACTACAAAGAGACCTCAAAAAAGCCACCGAAAACAGACCTCACGAACAGGCTTTATTCACTGAACGTATTGCACGAAAACAAGAAATTAATCACAAAAAATAGCTCTGCTTTAAGTTCCCTTCAAACCTATAAAACTATCAAGTAAAGAAGATGCTTCTAAATAATAATTTATTAAGAAGAAAAGATACATTAATTATAAGCTATTTTCAAAGGATATTTATCAAAATGTATACTCCATGCTCATAATAGAACTCAGAGAAAAATTTATGCACCTAGAGGCATTATTATAAAATAATAAAGATAAAATTAAATTAAAGCATAGAACTTAGAAAAACCAGAAATAAATTAATAAAAATGAAATATATATTAATAAAATGAAAATGAAATGGCAAAAATATTTCTAAAGTTATTTAACAGAAATCAAAAGCTAGCTTTTTAGATATATTAATAATCAAAAAACTGGAAAATATGATTATGAAAAAAACTAAAGGAGAAACACATTATGAATCCCAAAATTGACAGTGGAACTGAGTAACATTTAAAATATAAGAGAATGAGTAATTATATGCCATTAATTTTAAAACCTACATAAAACCTACATAAAATGTATATACTTCTAGGAAAGTATGCATTTCTAAGTCTGTTCATGTGATAGTAGAATAACTGAATTTAACATTTAACCCTAGAAGAAACTGAAGCAGCACCAGGTCCAGATACTTTTTACCCAGATAGTGAGTTCTGCCAACTCTTTACAAAATAAACAATTTCCCATCTTGTACAAAGATTTTCGTAACAAAGAAAATGAGATGAAGCTACCTAACTCATTTTATGAAGCTAGTGTATTCAACAGGTACCAAAATGAACACACACGCGCGTGAGTGCAGACACACACACACACACACCCCCATATGCCAATTATAAAATAAATGCAAAAACATAAAGTATTAACAAGTCAAATTTGAGTAGCATATTTTAAAAAGGAATAATCAAATAGCATTTCTCTAGATAAAGTAAATTCCCATATTAGAATACCTATTAATATATATTAACAATGAAACATTATTTGTTCATTTCAATGAGTAGTGACAAACATTTACTGGAAATAAATACTCATTAGTAATAAAGACATTTAGTAAAAGAAGTCCAAAATAGAGTGTTCTTAACTTAATAAAGTACCAGAAATTTAAGTGAACATCAGATCTAATGGTGAGACATTATAAATCTTTCTAATTTGAGTTGATATTGAGATGAAGACACCCTCTATTGTTGCTATTCTTCAACATTATGCTAGAAGTCCAACTAATGAAATAATGAAAATAAAATGATATATACAGTTAAAGGGAAGAAGCAACTCTATCTTTCATATATAATTTCAAGACAGTCTATCATTATTGCTACATGACTTCAAATTTTATGACAATCTGCAAACAAACTTTTAAAACAACTAAGAAATTAAAGTAAGTTGAATGGGAAAATACAAGATGAATATGCAAGCTTTTTCACAAATGAGGGACCATTAGCAACCAATTAGAAAATATAGTAAAATGTAGTAGTTGCCATTAAGAAAACTATAAAACTATAATATTTGAGTAATAAACAGAAAGGAATACATGACCTGAATGTAGAAAAATGTGAAACTTTAATAAGATATTAAAAAAAGTAAGTTCAAGAATAAGGACAATTGTTATTACAAAAAACCATTTAAAAGTTAATGGCAAGGTCTTTGCAATACCCATCCATATACCACTAAGATTTTTTGTGGAACCTGAAAAATTGATTCTAAAATATATATGAAAGTTGAGAGTTCCATATCTGGTGATATGCTTAGGCTTAAATGTTCAGATTGACCTCTGGCATTCTGGAATTCTTCACAGTGAAAACAACTAAAAACATTGGATATATATGAAAAAATTTGAAAGGATATTGCAAACTGCATCTTCCAGAGAGTGACAACAGTGTCTTTCATCCTACAGATCTTCTATAACGTGATCTGACATTGCTGTGAGAATTCCAATACACTCTGAGAGGTTATACACAGGTCCTCCTGTCAACAGTTCCACCTAAACACAGCTAAGCTTTCATCTTATCATAACCCAGGTAGCAGACAATTATGCAGAAAAGCTTAAAGATGATTCCAACTGCCAGCCATTTGAGTCATTCCCCAGCATTTAGGGTGTCCCAGCTGAGACCCCAGATATTATGGAACAAACACTTTCTGCTGAATCCTGTCCAAATTCTTGACCCACAGATTTTTGACATGAGAAAATCATTGTTGTTTTATACCACTGATTCATGGTGGTGTGTTATGCAATAAGTGTTCATTGGATCAGCTGTATTTCCACTAGTAGCAGGAATAGTAAAATTGCTTATGTCCTGAGGGTGTATGTCACAGCTGAAAACTTCAGTGATTTTCGCAGCCTTCAGTGCTTTTCACAACCAGAGCTCACTCAAGTTGGAAAATATAGTAAGAATCTCTCAAACATTGAGTTGGAAACCTTAATATAAGGAGTAAGCAAAAATGCAAAAATAAATATGTTCATTCCTGTCACCAAAGGACTGTGGTTGCCCTGACTCTGAGCAGAGAAAGGAAAAACAAATCCCTGAGAAGTTGTACCCATAAGTGAGTTTTCAAATGTTTGCAGTTCAAAACTTGAGGTCCATACACTTCAATTAAGTTTAAAGTGGACTTTATTCTTACTGCTGTCACATGCTTATAGTGGCAGTACAAATCCTCTGGTTACAAATGAAACATCCTCCTAGACCCCCCAAATTACGATAAATAATTTTTGAATACAAATTGAGCGGCTCAAAACTTCTGCTCCCAGCCATGATGAACTAACAGAAATTGGATTTAAACTTCAGCTGAAATCACTGAAAATTTGGACAACATCTATTAAACAATGGTTTTCAGGCACTGGGCATCAAGTATCATGGGACAAAAATCCCAAAGAGGGAGTAAACAAATGCATAAGGGCTATGAATGCCTGTGATTAGAGCCAAAGTTTCCAGGCCACAGCACATGGAGAGGAGACCCAGGTAGAGCCTGGTGGTGTGCCTGAGTTAAGAAGATGTAGTTGGGAGTCTGGCAAAGTCAAAGCAGCTACAATTCACAGGGAAAGGTGTCAGACAGGAGACAACTACAGAGTAAGAGCTCTGGATAGATACAATGCATTCCTCTTGAAAATTCAACTGAGTACTGATTGATGAATGAATATGAGGAAATAATCTGCATTTGAGAAATGAATCACCTGGAAAAAGCAGAGAGAAAAATCCATAAGACCAACACATGGTCAGAAATAGTTTGTATTTATTCCAGCAAAAATGGAAATACAACATAGTTCCAAGAGCAATGGCTATAACTAGGTCAATAGTAAGACAAAATTCAGAGACTAAATGCTTCTCTGTTTCTGCCTAACAAAACTTAAATCTCAAAAGGATTACACTGTTTCTACATGACAATTGTACTTCAAAAGAAAGCTCAAGAATATTTGTATGAACACACAAAAATATCCAGAACCCAACAAGGTAAAATTAAAAATGTCTAGCATTCAATAAAAAAATGCCCAGGTGTGAAAACAAATAAGAAAATATGCTCCACATAATGAAAACAAATTTCAATCAATAGTAATAGAGTAAGAAGTAATTTAGATAATATAGTTAGTAGAAAAGGATGATAAGCAGTTATAACTATCTTCCCAATGATCAGGAGGGTAGAGAAAAGGATAAGTATGTTAAGGAAAGATACAGATGGTATTAAAAAGTACCAATTTAAACTTCCAAATATAGGGAAAAATGTCTGATTAAAAATGTACTAGATGGAATTAATATTGGAAAATATGAGCGAACTTGAATATATAGCTATGAAGCAAAAAAATCGATTTGAAATTATATACAGAGAGAAAAAAAGAGAAAAGTATGAACATACCAAGTAGCCTAATGCATATGTATTTGAAGTCCCTTTAAAGTAGTGAACGTCATTAAAGTACTGAAATGAAAACTGTTGACTTAGAATTATATACCCAGCAAAAATATCATTCAAAAATAAATGAAACATAAAGACTTATTTAGACATACAAAAGGTGAAAGACTTCATCACCAGAAAGCACACTTCATACAAAATGCTCAAGAAAGTCTTTTAAGTAAAGAGAAAATAATACCAGATGGCAACATGGATCCACACAAAGGAACAAAGAGCACTGGAAATGGTAAATATGTGGGTAAATATACATTTTTTCACATTTTAAAAATCTCTTTAAAAGAATATTGAATTGTTACAGCAAAAATAATCACATGTATTGTTGGGTTTAATATATATAGAGAGATAAAATACATGACAATAGCACAAAGACTGTAGAAATGGAAATATACTGCATCAAGCTTCTTTAACTATATGTGAAATAATATAATATTTCTTAAAGGTAGATGGTGGTAAGTTAAACAGCTATATTATAAGCCACAAAAAAACCATTAAAAAGTTACAGCTATGAAGTCAGCAAAGGAAATTAAATAGAATCATAAAAGTATTCTATAATTCCAAAATAGAAAGCAAAAGAAAAGAGAACAAAGAAGGGATTGAACGTATAGAAAATAAACAGCAAGATGGTGCATTTAAACCCAATTATATCAGCAATCACAGTAACATAAATGGTCTAACACCTCAATTACAAGGCAGATGTAGTCAAATTAGATTTTAAAAAACAAGACTCAACTACATGTTGTCTACAAAAAAGAGAACACTTGAAAATATAAAGACACAAATTGGTTAAAAGACTGGAAAATAAAACCATGTTAACACTGACCAAAAGAAAGCTGACATGATTATATTAATATCACACAAAGTAGATTTCAGAGCAAAGAACATTACCAGGGATGAAAAATGTCATTTCATAATGATGAAGGAGTCAGTTAATCTTAGAGGATATAACATATGCACATAATGACAAAGCTTTAAAATACATGAAAACTGATAAAACTTCAAGAAGAAATGCACAAATTCATAATTATAGTAGGAGAGTTAAACACCTTTCTCAAGTAATTATTAAAACAAGTAGACATAATCAGTAGAGATATACAAAATCTGAACAACTCTATTAACCAACTAGACATAACTGAAATTTATAGAATGCTATTGAAGTAAAGCAGAATGTGCATTCTTTTCAAGTGTACATGGGATATTTACCAAGAAAACCTATATAATAAAATAAGTTTCTATACATCTTAAGTAATGAAAATCATAGAAAGTATATTCTCTAACCGCAACAGAATTAAATAGTAAATTACTAACAGGAAATTATCTGGATAATCTCCAAATATTTGGAAAGTAAATAACATATTCTAAGTAACCCATTAGTCATATCAGAAATCAAAATGAAATGAGAAGTTTTTTTAAATAAATGAAAATTTAAAAATGTTCAAATTCATGGGATGAAGCTTAAGTATGGATTGGAGGGGAATTTATATTATTTATCTCCTATATTAGAAAAGACAGAAAATACTCTAATCAATGGCTTCAATCTCTATCTAAAGTAACTAAAACAAGAAGAGCAAATTAAATCCAAAGTTAGCAGAAAAATGAAATAAAGATAAAAATGGAAATCAATAAAATAAGAATCTGAAAAGCAATAGAAAAAAATAAAAATAAAAGCTGCTTCTTTAAGAAAGGTAATAAAATTAAAGCTCTAGCCAAGGAGATCAGAAAAATAAGACAAACTGCCACTACCAGAAATATGAGAAGTGAGGTCACCACAATTCTACAGAAATAAAAATGAATATAAGCAATATTATGAACAAGTTTATCTCAATAAATTTGCCAGTGTATATAATGTGTTCAAATTCTTTGCAGTATACAAACTACTAATGGTCACTAAAGAAGTAGAGAGTTTGAATAGTCCCACATCTACTTTAAAAATTGTATTTGTATTAAAAATTCTCCCACAAAAAGTCTAGGCTTTGGTGGCTTCCTCGGAGATTTCTACACAAAAATTAAGAAAGTAACACTGGCAATGCACACAAATTCTTCTAGACAATGAAGAAAAGTGAATACTTTCAAACTTTTTCTATGAGACCAGCATATCTCTGGGACCAAAATCAAACCCTGGCTCCTCCAGCCTGTGGAAACTGGGGAGGCCATGAGAGCAGGCCCCCTGGGGGCAATACACCTTAAGCAACCAGGTATCCTTGATTGTGGGAGTTCCTTGGAACATGAGCAGAAGGTGAGCATCCCTGAGAGCCAGGCCTGCCAGAAATAGGACAGTAGAGGTAGATTCAGAGGAGAATGGAACCCTGAAACCAAAGCTGTCTTTCAGCTCTCTCCTCAGCTTCTGTGGAAAAAAATAGCTAGTTATTTCTGTCTTCTTTCTTCTTTTGATTAAAATCCAATTCTTGGTCCCAGGCAAGGCCCTGCAGAAGACATAAGGCTAAAACTGGTAAGGTGCCCATGGGTTCCATGGAACCTCCACATCCATTTACAAAGCCCTCTAGGAAGACTGGGCTAGTTGCTTTCTTCAGCTTCAGTATTATGGGTCAAGTGGGTGAATGAGTCAGGGCCACTGGCCAGCATCAAGGTTGGGCTCAGGAAAGCCTGGATTACAGTCTGCAATTGATGAGATTGCTGGATGTGATGGAGCTCCTTCAACTTTTCTACCTTATGGTTCAGTCTTTGAGATGTATGTCTAGATACTATCAGTCAATTAAGAACCCCTCCTGAGAAGAACTTCAGCAACAACCAAGCTTCAGTCTCCATACACCATCTATAGAATAATGAATTTCTTGTTTCAGGACTTATAGTCAAGATACCCTTCCCTAAAAAAGGAGGTCACAAATCGTGGTTGTGTGTTGGTTTGGCCCTTTTGGAATGAGATGAGCTCATTGAAAAAGATTCAGACTGAAGAGCTTGGACTTCATTTTCTGTTGGATTGGTTTGAGGTGGGAGCTGTTGGATAAGGTACAAGGCTCACTCCGGAAGACTTTGTGCTGTCGTAGTTGGATGATATACAAGTTCTGGCCCTGCAGCTGGAAGCTGAGCCCATAGTCCAGGATGTCCAGCAGCTAGTAGATGTAGAAGTGCTGTTTGTTACTGGGTATGTCCTTGCTGTCAGGGAAGTGCACCTGTTTCAGGCTTTCCTGGCCAAAGAGCTCCACTTCTCTGATGTGGCCTCCAGCTAACTGTTGACAAGGTGACAACCATGTAGGTTGCTGCTGTTGATGGCACAGGGATACCAGCCTGAAATGTAACTTGACCTTCAAGCACTTGATGTGGAGCTATTGAGCAGATCAGGCAGAAGAAATGGGTTGTCTGCACAGGGCAGGTTTGCAGCCAGCAGCAGGATATGGAGGAAGCAGTTACCCAAAGCTAGTGATTTCACAACGTAAATATACCAAAGTGGTGCAGTTTCAGATAAGGGGTCCCAGACTCACATACAGTGGTGATCATTTAAACTCCTCCTTCTGTAAAGAACAGAGTACTATAGGGGACGAGAATGTACTAGACCGGAATGTACTGTGCGGCTCAAATTTGGTAGCATCCTCCCGAGCTATTCCTTCTCCTTCTCCCACTTTGCACCAAAAATGTTATCCTTACTAATGTTTTCCTTACTCCCACTTTGCACCAAAAATTTTATCCTTACTAATCTTGACTCTGCAGAAGCTGGATCACCAAAGTCAACCTTTGTATATCTTTTAATAGTGAAATGATATCAGTGCAAGCTAAATAATTTGTTTAGCCCAGGACAAAATGAAAGTGTGTGGCCCGTTGTTTAAAAAAATTTAAAAAAAAGTAAAATGTGCCATCAAAGGCATAAGACAGAAAACGTTTTATTGCTTTCTTCCAAAGTCTCTCTGAAGTTATCGTGGTGTTTTATACTTGCTATTTAACGCTGCTCTAAGTAGAGAAATTAAAATTTTTCATCATAAGTGTGATTGCTACTGTTCACCTTCATTTTGTGCAATTGCAGTTCTAAACAAAAATATAAGAACATTTACTGATATCCAGAATCACTGAAATTACATAGTTCATATTTCATAGCTCATATATGCATATGTATATTGTTGTTACTGAACCAGTAGAAACTGCAAAAAATACCAACTCAAAATTGTTCTTATTTCATTTCTTGATATGCACACATTCTACCAATACTCAATGGAAACAAAACAAATGACTTTGATAACAGGCTTACCTCACATTTGCTTTGAGTCTCGCCGAACTCTCACCTATGATGGGTCCATCAGAATTCTGTGCTCACGAGGCACCATGAACTCTATGTGCAAGTGAGATCACAAGAAATAGTAGAGAACTTACTGTGAATATCTCTTCTGCTCATGCACACGCTTCATTATCCCATTAGACTGAACTTACAAAAAATAAGTTCAAAGATAAAATTATTAAAAATTTCAGGACAGCAATAGTAGATCATTAAACAAACAGGGGAACCTTCTGACCATGGGTGTTGTGGGCCTGTACAGTTCTCATACCGTGAAGCTGGCCCTGAGTGACAGGTCTTGAAACACAGTAAAGATCAGCTGGAAGTTGTGGCTTTTGTTAAGGGCTCAGCACTGCTTAGCCTTCTACTTAGTGGGATTGGCCTTATCCACTCTTCTACTTCACTTTCCTGTGTTCTTGGCCCGGGTGTGAAAGATAGTGTTGTTACCCTCCTGGATGGGGACATGCCAAATGGCATAATGCCAAAGCAAGTAGAAAGTTGGAGCTAGGCAGAAAACTGGGGGGTGGTGTGAAGGAGGAGCACAGGGCACTACTCTTAGAACATAATATTAAATGAATGCAACATTGATGATTCTCAGCATAACAATATAGATTGTTACCTCTAGAATAACCACAAATAAAATAACAAAAAGAATATAGCTAAAGAACCATTAGAAGCACAAACTGGAAGTCTAAACATTTTTGACTAAAGCAAATAAAAAAAGGAAAGTATAAATGGAGGAGAAAGGTAAAAATGAAAAATAAAAAATACAAAGAAAAATGATAGACTTATACCCTTCATATTAATAACTATGTTACATGGAAATTGAATAAATATTTTTATAACAAATCAAAGATTGTCAGACTGGAAAAAATGCAAATTCAACAATATATTGTATACAAGAGATAGAGCTATAAAGGCATAGATAGCTTAAATGTAAAGGCAAGGAAATGGATCTAGTAGAAACAACAGGCATAATACATCTAATCTAAGATTATTAATATCAGGCAAATATTCTTCACCACCAAGTATAACCAGAGATAAAAAGGTCAACATTGCATAATGATAAAAGTGTTGATTCATCAGGAAATCATAATAATTCTAGATGTGTATGAGCCTAGTAACAGACCTTCAAAATATATAATGAAAGAATTAACACAACTAAAGAAAATATAGTTTGAAGTTGGATACCGTGATGCCTCTAGCTCTGTTCTTTTTATTTAGGATTGTCTTGGCTATATGAGCTCTTTTTTGGTTCCATATAAACTTTACAGTAGTTTTCTCTAATTCTGTGAAGACTGTCGATGGTAGTTTAATAGGAATAGCATTGAGTTTGTAAATTACTTTGGGCAATATGGCCATTTTCAGGATATTGATATTTCCTATTCATGAGCATGGAGAATGTTTTTCCATTTGTTTGTGTCCTCTCTGATTTCCTTGAGCAGTGGTTTGTAGTTCTCCTTGAAGAGGTCCTTCACATCCCTTGTTAGCTGTATATCTAGGTATTTTATTCTCTTCGTAGCAATTGTGAATGGAAGTTCATTCATGATTTAGCTTTCTGCTTGTCTATTGTTGGTGTATAAAATTGCTTGTGATTTTTGCACATTGATGTTGTATCCTGAGACTTTTCTGATGTTGTTTAGCAGCTTAAGAAGCTTTTGGGCTGAGACAATGGGGTTTTCTAGCTACAGGATCATGTCATCTGCAAACAGAGACAGTTTGACTTCTCTCTTCCTATTTGAATACCCTTTATTTTTTTCTTTTGCCTGATTGCCCAGGCCATATCTTCCAATACCATGCTGAACAGGAGTGGTGAGAGAGGGCATCCTTGTCTTGTTCCCTTGTGTGTGTAACTTTAAACTATACTACAAGGCTACAGTAACCAAAGAAGCACGGTGTTGGTACAAAAACAGACACATAGACCAATGGAACAGATAGAGAACTCAGAAATAAGACCACACATCTACAACCATCTGATTTTTGACAAACAGGAAAAAAACAAGCAATGGGGAAAGGATTCCCTATTTAATAAACAGCGCTGGAAAAACTGACTAGCCATATGTAGAAAACTGAAACTAGACCCCGACCTTATACCTTATACAAAAAATAATTCAAGATGCATTAAAGACTTAAATGTAAAACCCAAAACTATAAAAACCCTAGAAGAAAATCTAGGCAGTACCATTCAGGACATAGACATGGGCAAAGATTTCATGACAAAAGATCAAAAGCAATTGCAACAAAAGCAAAAATTGAAAAATGAGACCTAATTAAACTAAAGAGCTTCTGCATAGCAAAAGAAACTATCATGAGTGAAAAGATAACCTACAGAATGGGAGACAATTTTTGCAGTCTATCCATCTGACAAAGGTCTAATATCTACAATCTACAGGGAACTTAAACAGATTTACAAGAGAAAAACAACCCCATTAAAAAGTGGGCAAAAGACACGAACAGGGACATCTCAAAAGAAGACATCTATGTGGCCAAGAAACATATGAAAAAAAGTTCAACATCACTGATCATTAGAGAAATGCAAACAAAACCTATAATGAGATACCATTTCACACCAGTCAGAATGGCAATTATTAAAAAGTCAAGAAACAACAGATGCTGGTGAGACTGTGGAGAAATAGGAACACTTTTACACTGTTGGTGGAAATGTAAATTAGTTCAACCATTGTGGAAGACAGTGTGGCAATTCCTTAAAGACCTAGAAGCAGAACTGCAGAACCACCATTCCACTCAGCAATCCCATTGCTTGGTATATACCCAAAGGAATACAAATCATTCTATTATAAAGATACATGCATGCGCATGTTCATTGCAGCACTATGCACCATAGCAAAGACATAGAATCAACCCAAATGCCCATCAATGATAGACTGGATAAAGAAAATGTGGTACATATACACCATGGAATACTATGCAGCCATAAAAAGGAATGAGATCATGTCCTTTGCAGGAACGTGAATGGAGCCAGAAGCCATTACCCTCGGCAAACTAATGTAAGAACAGAAAACCAAACACTGAATATTCTCACTTATAAGTGGGAGCTGAACAATGAGAACACATGGACACAGGGAGGGGAACAACATACACAGGGACCTGCTAGGGGAGGATTTGGAGAGGGAGAGCATCAGGATAAATAACTAATGCATGCTGGGCTTAATATCTAAGGGATGGGTTGATAGGTGCAGCAAACCAGCATGGCACAAGTTTACCTGTGTAACAAACCCACATATTCTGCAAATGTATCCTGGAACCTAAAATTTAAAAAAAATTAATTTTTTTTAAAAAAAGAAAATATAAACAAATGCACAAGCATAGTTGGAGATTTAACACCTTTCTTTCAATAAGTGATAGAATATGCTTAAAAATGTTGGTAAGGATCACTATGGCATATGTATACCTAAGTAACAAATCTGCACATTCTGCACATGTATCCTAGAACTTAAAGTAAAATGAAAAAATAAAATAAATAAATAAAATGTTTTTAAAAGCAAAAAAAAAAAACTGTCATAAGATATAGACTATAATCAACATTTAGAGCATACTGCATTCCATAATTTCAGAATACACATTTTTTTTCCAAATACACTGAGAACAGTCATAAAGATAAACCATATGTTGGGTTATAATATATGTGTCAATAATTTTCAATAAAATTTGAAATATTACAATATATATTTTCTAACTACAATGGAATTAAAAGTCAATAACTGTAAGATATTAGACAACTCTCAAATACTTGGAAACACAGAAACATAATTCTAAATATGTAACCAAAAAAGAGCCCATATAGCCAAGAAAATCCTAAGCAAAAAGAACAAAGAGGGGCATCATGTTACCTGACTTCAATCTATACTACAGTAACCAAAACAGCATGGTACTGGTACCAAAACAGATATATAGACCAGTGGAACAGAACTGAGGCCTCACAAATAACACCACACACCTACAACCATCTGATCTTTGACAAACCTGACAAAAACAAGCAATGGGGAAAGGATTCCCTATTTAATAAATGGTGTTGGGAAAACTGGCTAGCTATATGCAGGAAACTGAAACTGGACCCCTTCCTTATACCTTATATAAATATTAACTCAAGATGAATGAAAGACTTAAACGTAAGACCTAAAACCATAAAATCCCTAGAAGAAAACCTAGGCAATATCATTCGGGACATAAGCATGGGCAGAGACTTATAACTAAAATTCCAAAAGCAGTTGCAACAAAAGCCAAAATTGACAAATGGGATCTAATTAAACTGAAGAGCTTCTGTATAGCTGAAGAAATTATCATTAGAGTAAACAGGCAACCTACAGAATGGGAGAAACCTTTTGCAATCTATCCATCTGACAAAGGGCTAATATCCAGAATCTACAAGGAACTTAAACAAATTTACAAGAAAAAAACAAACAACCGCATCAAAAAGTGGGTGAAGGATATGAACAGACACTTTTCAAAAGAATACATTTATGCGTCCAATAAGCATATAAAAAAAGCTCATTATCACTGGTCATTACAGAAATGCAAATCAAAACCACAATGAGATACCATCTCATGCTAGTTAGAATGGTGATCATTAAAAAGGCAGGAAACAACAGATGCTGGAGAGGATGTGGAGAAATAGGAATGCTTTTACACTGTTGGTGGGAGTGTCAATTAGTTCAACCATTGTAGAAGACAGTGTGGTGATTCCTCAAGGATCTAGAACCAGAAACGCCATTTGACCCAGGAATTCCATTACTGGGTATATGCCCAAAGGATTATAAATCATGCTACTATAAAGACACATGCCAACGTATGTTTATTGCAGCACTATTCACAATAGCAAAGACTTGGAACCAACCCAAATGCCCATCAATAATAGACTGGATAAAGAAAATGTGGCACATATACACCATAGAATACTATGCAGCCAATTATATTTCAATTTGCTAGAAATGTAAGTCAATAATATATGTCTTTATATGGTAAAGAAATAAGCATATAACATACATCTGGAAGTTTTAATTTTACATTAAGCTATTTACTTCTTGTTGTATAATATCTTACATATGTGAGAATATTCAATGCATTTGCTGTACAAATGCATTGCTGTACATCTTTATGTAATGAAAATGGACTCAAGTACATTCACCACTTTTATTTAAATCTTACAGCATTTATTTATATATTTATTAATATATAATCATAACTCTTTCTTTTTAGTCTAAAACTAATTTTTTTTTTTTTTTTTTTTTGAGATGGAGTCCCACTCAGTTGCCCAGGCTGGAGTGCAATGATGCAATCTCGGCTCACTGCAACCTCTGCCTCCCGGGCTCAAGCAATTCTCCTGCCTCAGGCTCCTGAGTAGCTGGGATTACAGGTGCCTGCCACCATGCCTGCCTAATTTTTGTATTTTTAGTAGAGACGGGGTTTCACCATGTTGGCCAGGCTGGTCTGGAACTCCTGACCTCAGGCAATCCGTCCACCTCAGCTTCCCAAAGTGCTGGGATTACAGGCATGAACCACCACACCTGGCCAAACCAAATATTTTTAAAAGATTAAAGAAAATGGGGACTCTGAGTCATACAAATCAAGAAAGTTTTATAGAGAGTTATTCACATTTAGCAAGCTTTCAGAAGAATTTGGATATTCAGCAGGTCAAGAGTGTAAAATTATTTGTAATTGGAATGGGTTTCTTTTATTCCAACAATTGCATCACAGTACGATGAACATTTTAATTGAATCTCAAGGCACTTGTCCAGAGGTACTCTTTTTTTTTTTCTTTTTTCTTACTACAACCGTATCTATCAGACAAGATAAACCCTTCTGGGTTTTGGTTTAATATGGAAGGAAAAAGAGTTTCACTATTTTAAAGCCACACACATAAGTAATCTGGTTAAGTGTATTAATATAATCTCATTTAACTCTACCTTTATTTCTGGGAGAGGAACTGGAGACCAGAAAATGATTTAGGAGGACGGAAAATAAAATTACATTTTGGATTCAATTCCTGGCCATAATATTCTGTGAGATTTCAGAAAGCCTTCTGGTTAGTCTATTTATACTTGTCTCAGTTTTTTTTTTTTTTTTTTTTTTGTATGCTACTTTCTTTCTCAAGGGCTTTTGGAAAAAGATATGATGGGGCTGGCCTAGAGGAAGGTGACTTTTATGTGAGCAAGAGAAAAATTAAATTGGAGGTTGCATAATTTTTTGAAGGAATTTTAGATTTAGTTCACCACAATATTAAAAAATGATGGCTGCAGGCACTTAGATTTGTTGAATGGTTGAATAAATCTAGCCTTTCCTAGCCTGTGTTTCATTGTCCATAGGCTGTGGATAATACTCTTAGTGGGTTTTGTAAGGATTACATGAGTATAATTTATAAAGCATTTAATATTTGAATACTTTTCCAATAAGTAACATCTTAATATTTCATTCCCATTTTGTAGATGTGAAAATTGAGTACCCGAACATAGGCTCCTAAATCCTAATTGTCAGTCACGTTTTTGCAATCTTTCCTAAATTTATTAATCTCTGGTTAATGTTAATATAAAACGATTTTTTTTTCTTTTTTGCTGTTTGAATGGGCAATTAATTGATTGTTTACACAGACAGTGCGCCCTTCCACTTAGGGACGCTCCTTAGGGATGATCCTGTGAATTGGGGAGTGTGTGTGTGTGAGATGGGAGGGTTCAATAATCAAAATAACATATTTTTCCGTTTTATATTAACTAAACAAGTCACAGTCTTTATTTTTAATTTCTACAGTCACCTCGTGAGACAGGTATTAGAACTCCGGAGTGGCATCAAAATGAGGGAAAGGCCTCAGGGCCAGCGCCTTTGCGTCCTGGACCGGCGTACAGACGGGAGAAAGGCCGACCAATCCGAGAGCAGGCTGAGGCCTGGTCCCGCCCCTGGGGGCAGAGCCTCGCCTCTTTTCCGCCTCACCCTTTGGGAGTAGGGGTGTGCGGCTGGCTTGTCCCGCCCCTGCCCCTGAGTGACAGAACCGTGGACAGCAACATTTCCCACAGGACACGAAGTTTGTCGGCCCTTGCCTTGGCAGAGCTGAGGTGTGTGTCCGGCGAGTGCGAGGGGATTGGGGAGACCCTGCCCGGGAAGCTCGGGGTCCGGGAATGAAAGCGGGCGCACCTCTTTAGCGAGCCCTAAAGCGTTTGGGAGACGATCGTTCCGTCCCTGGGAGCGGCACTTGGTGGGGCTGGGCGGAGGGAGGCTCTGCAAGAGAAACCCGGAGTCCGGGAAACCCAGTAGGTACGGTGATCACTGAAGGACCCGTTCCCGTTGAGTAGGGCGCTGGCTGCGGGATGGGGGATGGAGGGTGCTGGGTTCGGTGGGCGTGGCCATTGCGGTTGCTAAGGAACGCGCGGTTCCCGCCCTGCCAGCGTGTCTGGCGCCAGCCGCTGGGCCCTGGACACGTTAGTCCCGCCCACCTCCCAAGGTCTTCCACGCGGCTCGGGATTGGCTCCTTTGTGCTGACCGATTACTCGCGGTCGCTTACTTGTCAGTGCAGCTCTCTGGGTTCTGCCGTTCCCTTTTGGGGCCCCCTTTCCCATGGTACTCCTCTTCACTCTTTTTCCTGCTTCCTCTTATTAATGAACGAGTATTTGCATACCAAAACATTTGCAGAGAAGAGATTCAGACAGGATTAGGTGGCTTTATCGGTGGTGGTGAGGTTGTGGGGCGGGGGTATTTTTCTTGGAGCTTGGTGTATTCCTGAATCCATCAGATGTTGGTGTCCGCGTGGATGACTAGGAAAAGGGGATTGGAGATTAGGTTTCTTCTACTTGGAGTTCTCTGCTGCTTGTTTGAGCTTAATAAGCCTCCTGAAGAAGTTGAAGCAATTTATTGCTAGAGGAGCCCCAATGTATAATCTCCCTTTCATTCTCTACTGTGGAGAGGTGTGCTAAACCTGTAGAGCTGTTTTTGCTTCACTCGGCTCATACTTAATGATCAACAAGTATGGTGTGAGATGGTAACCTCAGATAACCATTTTAAATCTGCCTTTGTTTGCTCATATACTCTGTCTCCTAATGATTCAGCACAACAAACATTCCAGAGAGAAAAAACAAAAGAGGTAAAAATCTTTTATTTTCCTCTGGCAGGTTTACAGTGCAAACCCCCAGGAAGGAAGCTTGTGCTGCTTGTTAACATTGGGAGGAGCATTGGCCTACAAGTCAGGAAACTGGCATGGTTAAGAAATGTTTGTCCTTGGGCAATAATTGTTTCGTTATCTGTAAATTGGAGACTCTAGGATATGCCCTTCCTTCCTAAAAAAGGAGGAATAATTGGTTGTGAAAGTATCATTAAAGTAATGATCCACACAAATGTAAAGCATTATTGATTACACTTTTAATCTTTTTGTGTATATGATCCAAATTTATAAACACGTATAAGTATTGCCATTCAGCTTTAAGTATTTTCAAATTTCCCTTGTGATTTTTTTTTTTTTTAATCTTAGGGTTATTTAGAAATGGGGAAGAAATTAACTCATCTATTCATTATTGATTCTGTGTTGGTTCTGGTTAGGTAGAACCTGTAATGTCTTGAATGACACCTTTTCCTCTTTAATATCACTAGATATATATATATATATAGATATATATATATACCTGAAAAGATTGGGAAACATTACCTTTTAATGCGAGGATGACTAACCTTTTTGGTGTCATTTACCACTTTGAGAAACCAAGGAAAGCTATTGACTTGCTCCTCAGAAAAATGCACAATTTTAAGCCTAAATGGACCCTGTTTTTGTTCAACTTCTTTAGGGATAAGGAAATTATTCTCTCCCACTTGCCTCATCCTACAGAGAGACTAAGTAACTTTTACCCAAGGCTACATAGCTGGGAGCAGAGTGGGGCTTTTGCCTTTCTTCCACAGTGCCTCTTACCATAACATACCTTTGTTCAAGGCCTTCAGTCATCTGCAGTTCCCTTTTGGGGCCCCCTTTCCCATTGTACTTTTTTGTTTTTTTGAGCACTAACAAACGGGAACTACTAATGTTCAGTTATTTGTTGCTATCTTACAAAACCATGTAATCTATGTTTTATCCCAAATGCCCTTTGATCATAACCTCTTAAAGCATATTCTGGTATTTAAACAAGTAAAAAGAACATTGTCAAATATTTTGAGAAAAATGTGAAACTGTATTTTTTTTTTTTTTTTGAGACGGAGTTTCACTCTTGTTGCCCAGGCTGGAGTGCAATGGCGCTATCTCAGCTCACCACAACCTCTGCCTTCCTGGTTCAAGCAATTCTCCTGCCTCAGCCTCCCGAGTAGCTGGGATTACAGGAGTGCACCACCACACCTGGCTAATTTTGTATTTTTAGTACAGACGGGGTTTCTTCATGTTGGTCAGGCTGGTCTCGAACTCCCAACCTCAGGTGATCCGCCCGCCTCGGCCTCCCAAAGTGTTGAGATTACAGGGGTGAGCCACCGCGTCTGGCCAAAATTGTACTTTTGAGATGAACATTAAATCCATAAACTTTCTCATCTATCGAGGTCCGTTTTGGACAAAGAAAAGCTGATTATTTTTAGTACATGCCACTGGAATATCATTACTTGATACTTAGAACTGTTTTTTTTTTTTTAAACTTAAGTGAATAATCTTTTATAACATTTTAATTTGTGGCTAAAAAGAATTGTGGTTGTTTTCACTGTGGCTCTTTTCCTGATTTCTATATTCATATAGAAATCTGTAAATAGAGTTCATTATTTTCTTTGGTCTGATTCCCTATCTAGCTTTATCAATAAAAGTGGATATCAGTAGTAGATATAAAAAGTTGTTATTGGATAAGGAAAAACTTGAAGAGGTAAAGAGCTATTGCTTTTGTAAAACGCATAAATGTATATATGCACCTGTTATTTCGTTAGTACTTGTAATTTTATTTGAACTGTTTGGTACTTGACTCTTTCTTTATTCAACTCTGTTCATTTCTGGTAGAGAAACAGGGATAAAGACAAATGGCTTAGAGAGAGCATTACAATGGATTTAGAGATTTTTAGGGGCTCAATAATAGCTCTTTCCTTCCTCTCTTGCGTTTGTAAACAGACATGTGGCGCCTGCCATATCAACTTCAACTTGCAATAACAAGTCGAGTGGGGATAGTGCTTTATGCAAAAATGAGACCAAAAATGAGTACTAGTACTTCCTATCCCCTTTTACTCCTACTCTCTTTCCCAGAACCTAGACTTTAGTTCAGCTGAGAGAAAAATTTCAGATTGCGGAACAGATACGCTTACTTACAATTACTGCTTTTCATGGTGTAGGGCAGAGGTCTAATAAAAGATGGAAAATCTCCAGTGCTTAGTGGTTTATAATGGGTTAGCTCTACCGGTGGAGTAATGTGAACCGGTCAGATACGTCTCTTTTTGGTAAGCTGTGAAGAAGAAGTGGGATCTGAGGCCAGGACTGTTAATCTAGTGCTCTGGTTTTCCATTTCCAGAATGGTTTTCCATTCTGGGTGACACCTCTGGGGTATTTGAAATATGCCAGGGTGTTTTAAAATTATTCTAATTTCTTTAAAGGAAGTACTACTGGCTTTTGGGATCCTGAAGTTCAGAGATGATAAATATTGTGTAATGTAGAGATCTATCAGCTCAATAAAGAATTTCTTTGTCTCACTCCAATGCCAAAGCATCTTTTGAGAGTCCCTGCTCCAGTGGACATTCTTCTATGTAGAAACGCGAAACTCAGCCAGCTTTCTCCTTAATCTTTGTGCATATGTATCTGTGTTTTTGATATCAGTAGATTTGACTCAAAGTGTTAATGTCTTAAACAATATTACTTAGAATTTTGTGGTTTTTTGGTATTCATCCAGAGTGACTAAAATAATACTAATGGAAAATAGTGATACATATTTGATCATATTTGATATTCTCAAATTTCCTATTAAACAGATAAGGATCATGTAGGCCTAGAGCTAATTTTTCATACCATTATATATATTTATACCTTTTTTATATGGTAGAAATGTTCAGCATCTTTGCAACAATAGAGTGAGATAGGTGTATGTTTCCATGAAAAATAAATGATTCCTACTTAATTCGTAATTTTGAAATGTTAAACAATAAAAAGGTAAATACTCCATATTCAGTGGTTTAACAGTTTTTTTGACTCAAAAGGCAAAGACAGTTCCATTAATGAAAGACTCTTGTCAGTCACATGACTTTTAAGCCACTGAAGTGGAGAATGACAACAGCATAAACTAGCTTAGTTCTTCTGTAGTAGTATTATTTAGTGACGTAGTTGCAAAAATAACAGACCAATTGTATTGAACAATTTAAAAGTTTGACAATGACAAAAGAAAGATAGGTTAATCCAAATAACATTTGTTTTACATACTTTGAATGTTAAAATATTCAAATATTGCAGGGTATGGAATAATGAACTATATGGATACCTGTGGCAAAGTCCTAATTGTGGATTATAGTTTATTACCTATAGCAGGTGGAAGGTGCACTGTATTGAAAGTTTTAGACTTAGCTCTGTAGGTAGAAATATCCTTTGTTGGGTATTAATAACTTTCCAGTCAAGTTAATTATCTATGTGGAAAAGGTTGAAGATTTTTCTTTTTTTTGAACAACATGCTTGAGCATTATAATACGTTGCCGTCATTCACAGTGACTCAGTATATAGTACTGAATCTCTCTGGGCAGAGGAGGTATATCAGATTTTTTTTTTCAGGATGGGAAGGTACAGTTTTAAAAAGAACCTCCCAGTTTCCGATTCTGCTTTGTCTGCATTCCTAGGGAGTTCATTTTCTGCCTCCCCTCAACACCGTCCCCTTTATCGATAAATGGAAAACACTGGCTTATGTAGAAATTATCTATACAGTTTTTTCAGTGCTAAAATATTCTGGATAAATTAACATTTGAAAATAAATCAAGTGAAACAAGACATCCTACAAAATCAAGGCAGAGGTTATCAGTAGAAAACTCAGAGGCATACCTATGAATCTCTAAAAATAATTTTAAGCTAAGGAAGGAAGAACATTTCGGGGAGTTATTTGCCGTCCAACACATTCAAGAATACATGGCTTCTATGGATAGGAGAACTTCATGTAAAAATAACAGACAGTGATGAAGTGTCAGAGAGAAGATAGTAAGAGAAAACAAAATGATGAGAAACTGAAAATATGAGAGCCGTATCAGTTTTGTTCCTCTTATAACACATTACCCCACATTTAGTGACTTAAAATAACACAAATTTAGTATCTGACAGTTCTGTGGTTCAGAAGTCTGATATAGGTCACTTTGGGCTGAAATCAAGGTCGGGACAGGGCTGCATTCCTTTCTGGAGGCTCTAGGAGAGATGGTTGGTTTCCTTGTCTTTTGTAGTTTCTGGAGGCTGCTCACATTCCTTGGCTTATGGCCTCCTTCTTCCAACGTCAAAGCCAGCAACATTGCAGCAATCTGACTTATTTTGTTGTCATGTCTCCTGACCACATCTGGAAGGGTTATCTACTTTTGAAGACACATCCAGATAATTCAGGACAATCTGTCCATTTTGAGGTTCTTCATTGAATCATGTCTGCAAAGTCCCTTCTGCAATCTAAGGTAACTTATTTGTAGGTTATGGGAATTAGGACTTGAACATTTTTGGATTGGGGGAACATTATTTTGCCTATCACAAAAGCATTAAAAATCTATATTTGAGGCAGTAACAAATAGAATTGATGTCGTTGTACAAAGTTTAGTCGGTGTAGAGAATAGATTTGAGAGGTTATTTTAGTTAAAAAATTGGAAATCATAAAAAGATGATATATGGAGAATAAAGAATAGAGTCCACTGTGTGGATATTTGGAGTCTCTGAAAAAGAGACAAGAAGATAGATACATAGATAGATAGATAGATAGACAAATAGTTGTTCCTGAAGAAAAGAACAGAGTATTTGAAAGAAAAATAATTTTAAAAATAAATAGGAGAAAAAACTTTCCTGAGCTGAAAAAGACCTATGAAGGAAGAAAGGGCCTTTTTTATGTAAGGCATGACAACTTAAAGAGACACAAAAATCACAAAATTGTCAAATTATGATGATAAAGAAAATAAATGTTTTCCATATCAAGAAAGAAAAGAAAAAAGCATGTTATTAGGCTGGCCTCAGACTTCTTTTCTGTAGTATGAAATGCCAGAAAACAACAGAGCAACATGTTTATAGTTAAAAAAATTCCCAGGCAGTTTGTAATTCTTGTGTGATGGCAACAGAAAACCACTCTTACGTATACAGTCCGTCCCTGATTTACAATGGTTTGACTTATGGTTTTTCAACTTCATGATGGGTTTATCGGTATGTAACCCTATCATAAGTTGAAAAGCATCTGGACTTAAGATGGTTTGATTTACAATATTTCAATTTTACTATGGGTTTATTGGGGTATTAAATGCATTTTCGATTTAAGATATTTTTCACCCACGGTAAGTTGAGGAGCATGTGTATAAAGGAATCTAAACTACTTCGTGTTTCCTTTTGAGGAAAAAGACCCGAAGATACCAGCTTATTATGAGATAATGCAATATCAACACAAAAGCCATTTTGTGTGTGTGTGTGTGTGTGTGTGTGTGTGTGTGTGTGTGTGTATGCATATATATAACTGATGGTATACCCCAGACTTTAAATAGTTTTGTTAAATATAGCTAAAAATTGACTGCTAATATAAAACATTGTTTGCATGAGAAGATAATACTACACAATTAATTCAATAAGAACGACCTAGATTTAAATAAAATTTTGTGAACTTCTGACTCATTTATGCCAGAGAGGAAACCTGATAATCCAAGAGTATGAATAGATTAAAAAATATCCCCAAACCATTGAATAGCAAACTACGACCAGCAAGCCAGATCTGGCTCACCTTGTGTATCCTATGATCCGTGAGCTTGGAATGGTTTGTACATATTTAAACGGTTGAAAAAAATCAAAAGGATAATGTGGACATGGGGAAATTATGTAAAATTCAAATTTAATTGTTTATAAATAAAGTTTTATTAGAAAACAATCACGCTCATTTGTTTATATGTGATGTGGAAATTATGTAAAATTCAAATTTAATTGTTTATAAATAAAGTTTTATTAGAAAACAATCACACTCATTTGTTTACGTATTGTCTATGGCTGCTTTTACAGTACAATACAATACAGCAGAGTTGTGTAATTGCCGCAGAGGTGCACATGAGGCACTTTCATTGCCTTGCTCTGCATCTCAGCACACTAAAATCATAGTCACATTGTTATAATTTGATTTTCCCTCTTGACATCCAAAGCCTATAATATTTGTATCTAGAAAGCAGAAGAAGTTTTCCAACTCCTGACCTGAATTGTAAGACATAGTGTACTTTTCTTTTCAGTTCAAGGGACTCAGATTTATTCAATTTTTGCCCTTCAGTGTTTGACTTACCCCAGCATCTGTTTGGTCTTATATGGGTTAAGGTTAACCTCAGGAATCTATTATTATTTGAATTTTATAATCCACATCTTCTCTTTTCCATCTCTATTCCATAAATGAAACAAAATTCATGTAAATATTTTACAGTTTTATTTCCAAAGATGAAAATCAGGTAATATCTCAATATTATAATAAGAAATAATGGATACTATTATATGCCAAAAATCTAGATGTTTATAGAGATAAGTATGTACAATATTTAATAAGTGAGTTATGAGTTACATATCAATCAGATAACCAAAGATTTGTCCAGCAGGTATAGGTGACTTGTACAGAGAAAGTACGTAATTGATTGAAATGGGGTCTTGAAGGGTGCCTATGAATTCAAGTTAGACAAGGCTAGGGCTGAGCAACATTGAAATAAGTATAATAAGATTTGTAAAGCTATTAAGCTGTCAATGGGTTCTTGTGATTGGAAAATCAAAAGAAGTTTAGTGATTGGGGCCTAATCTAGAGAAAAGTGGCTAGAGTTGAGGCAGTATGAACCTGCTGGCAAAGGCTGAGGAGGCTCTTATATGACATGCAAAACTATTTGCATCTTGGAGGCAATGAGGATCCATTTCAGGTTTTCAAATGGAGAGCAACATGATCAAATTGGTATTTTGAAATGGTTCTGAAGCTTTTTCAAATACTGTACCACACTTTCTAAAGTTCTTTAATTCTATGATTATACTTTCATGGAATAAAAGTTGTACTGAGGTATACACAGGTTTTCCTTTAAGGGGGAATATATAAACAATCCCCTAGTTACCCTAGGAACTTACGTGGTAGGTAAACTTATGTGAGCAGGCTGTTAAATAAACGTAAATCATTAAACTTTTTTAGAATATTAAGAAGTTACTTATAAAGTAAAAACGTAATCTGTTCTGGCTTCTCCTGAGTAGATAGAACTAACTGCTTTAAGACAAAACATAATGTATATGCTTGCATACTGCACCCCAAAAACTTTATGAAAGTTTGAGATGATAGAAGTTTAGTTATAGACCACTTGAATATATTTAGATTTTCTTTGCTTAGATATTTAAAACCAATGTTTAAATTAACACTTTGCATTTCTTCTACTAAAATTAATACGTTTGTTTGGAATGCCTTTGTAAAATTTAACTGAAAACATATCCCCTTTGAACCTTGATTTAGATATATAATGAAAATAGTTACTCAGATGATATTGTCTTATATTTATGTAGATCTTTATATTTGACACATTTTCATAAAAATACTTCATTTCATTCTTACTTCACATATATATGTGTATATATGTGTATCTGTATGTGTATGTATACGTAAATATACATATATTTTATGTACATACATTAATTTTATGTATACATACATGCATATGTATATTTATATACATACTTACATATATGTATATATGGTTATGTACACATGTATGTATATGTAAAAAGGCTCTTACTCCATTTTACAGAGGTAGAGTCTGTAGTTCTGGTGAGTGGTCTGAACATACTCTAATACATAGAGGAAAGAGAGTAAGCTCTATAATCAGATAGATTTGAGTTCTAATCTCTGCTACTTTCCCTGTCAACTTTGCATGCTTGGGCAAGTCAGTTAATCATTAGGAAACTCAATTTCCTCAGTTGGGAAATTGTACCTGTCATGCAGAAATGTTATGAAAATTTGTGGTATGTGATGTGCTTACCACAGTGTTTGCCACAGTAGTTGCTAGTCAACAAATGCGTAGCTGCTATTATTACTAATATTAACAATCATCATTAATAAGGCTCCCAACAACCATCACTTGCATTTTCAAAATCCAAAAGTTCTTCAAAATTAAACTTTGTCAAGTTTTTTACAAACTTAATTGAGACAAAAAACAGACTTGAAATGACATGGGACTATTTATGTAATTAAATGGCATAAGATTTTTCTATGAAGTATTAATATGCTTCCCCCACATCCTTTCAGGAGTGTTATGTAATTATGGTAGATGAGGTTTATTACATTTTTATAATCTAAAATCATTCAAGACATATCTGGCCCAAACATTTTAGATAAGGACTGTAGAGTTGTATTTTTATGACACTTGTATTTTAATAACAGCTTTATTGAGCTATATTTCACAATCATAAAGTTTATCATTTTAAAGTGTATAATTCAGGAATTTTTACAATATTCCCAATATTGTGCAACTATCTAATTTCAGAATATTTTCATTATCTCAGATAGAAATTCTGTACCCATTATGTCAGTTCCCATTCCTTCTGCCTCTGCACCCTTAAGCAACCACTAATCTATTTTCTTTCTCTATTGACCTTCCCATTCTGGACATTTCATATAAAGGGAACAATAAAAGTTATGTATTAAGTGGACTTTTGTGACTGACTTCTTTCACTTAGATACATGTTTACAAGTTCATCCATGTTGCAGCATTATCAATATTTCATTCTTTTTAATATTCCACCATATAGATATATACCACATTTATATACCTGTTCATCATGAGTTATTTCTACTTTTTGGCTATTAGAATAATGCTGCTATGAACATTCGTATATAAGTTTTTGTGTGGAGATGTTTTCATTTTTCTTGGATATATACCTAAGACTAAAATTGCTGGTCACGTGGTAACTCCGTGCATTTTTGAGGAGCTGCCAAACTTTTCAAAGTGTGGCTGTAACATTTTACATTTCTACCAGCAATGTATGAAGATTCCAATTTCTCCACATTCCTTATCTCCACTTGCATTTTTTTAAAATAGCCATCCTACTAGGAGTAAAGTGGTATCTCATTGTGGTTTTTATTTGGATTTTCCTAATGACTAATGATGTTGAGCATCTTTTCATGTGCTTTTTGGCAATTTGTATGTCTTCTCTGGAAAATTGTTCAAATACTTTGCCCATTTAAAAATTGTATTATTTGATCTTTTATGTTGAGTTGTGAGAGTTCTTTATATATTCTGGATATAAGACTTTTATTATATATATGGTGTGCAAGTATTTTCTTCTATTCTGCAGACTGTCTTTGCACTTTTTTGGTCATGTTCTTTAAAGCATAAAATTTTTATTTTAATGGAGTTCAATTTGTCTGTTTTTTATTTTGTTGCTTGTGCTATTGGTGTTGTATCTAAGAGACTATTTTCAAACTCAAAGTAATAAAGTTTTATTCCTACGATTTCCTTTAAATGTTTTATAGTTTTAGTCTTTGCATTTAGTTCTGTGATTCATCTTGAATTAAATTTCGTGTTTGGTGTGAGGAAGGGTCCAACTGTATTATTTTGTAGCACCTTTGTTAAAAAGGATTATTCTTTCATATTATTACTCTTGACTTGTATTGTTAACACTATTTAAAAGTAACCCCAAAATTGCTATTTTTAATTATCTCATTAGAATTAGTAAAGTAAAGCTTGTGTTCCCAAATAGTTGGGGTTAAATTTTAAGTTGGTATTATTATTAGATCCCAGTTTGGAAATACTTAAATTTTATACTCTTATCCATATGAGAGCAATTGCAGTGTAAAACTTGACATAAGTTCATTGCCTGACATTTAATATGTATTTGGTAAATATTCACTGAACAAAAATGAATAAATCATGCATTACCTGCTTATTATTCCATGTTGCTTTTAAAATGTGCATTTAGAAAGTAACATATACTTAAACATTTACGACTGAATAAATACAATTGTTTTTAAAGTCAACCTTGTGCAAATTAAAATAACAGAAAATAATTTTATATCAGTATTTTTACATTTATGCTTGACTTTAGAAAACAGTGGAAGTATCTCCTGCTACTTTTCAGATAATTGTTTAAGACACACTGGGTCACATAAATTTAAATAGATTCTTCTGTTACAGGACTTCTCAGAGCCTTCATAATAATATAAAAATGTGCCTTGTTAAAATGGGGCATAATATGCAACATTTTCCAATTATATTTGGCATAGAAACGTATTCAGATGGAATAAATAACAGAGTTAGCAAACCAAGAAACACCTTTTGGAAATGATTTCCCTGTGATTTAAATTTGTGGACTATTAGGGAACTGGAGATCATCCATTTACTATTTCTATATACTTTGTTTTGAATTTCAGTAAGAAAAATCACCAAGAATATTATTTTTGGTATTTGGAATTGAATTTGCCAGGAATGCAAGCACTGCTACCTAACTAAAGACCTTGGCTTTGGAAACATCTTACCCCTTGGCAGCTCTCCAGAGTTTAGACTTGGCAGCATCAAAGACACAACGCAAGGTGTGTTTATTTGATTTAACATTTTGCAAAAGGTGTTTTGATTTGTGGTTTGTTTTCTTTCACTTTGTACTTATTGCTTTGGGTTGTTTTTTTCTGGCAATGAACCTGGGTTCCAAGCATAGGTTTTTCTTATGGAAGGCAGTTTTACAATAAGGAAATGTTTTTACTTGTATTTATTTTGTGATATTTCAGCAAATCCAAATAAATGTAGTAACATTTATAAAGCTATACATTTATAACTGATTTATTTGTTAAATATTTAGTATTATCAATTGTCTGTTAAAGATTTGTTGCTACATTAAATGCTTGGTCTGTCTTGATGTTCAGTACATTATTATACTTTGGTATATTGCAATATTTTGATAATTATGTATTGGTTTTAGTCACTGTTCCTGCATATTAAGTAATAAACAGATTAATATCATCATAAAATATCATTTACTCAGCAATATTTCTTAGTAAATTGATACATCCATTTTTCTTATGTATTGTGGAGAGAGGAAATATGACATAAAATGGAAGAATATGGGCCTCTGTTTATCTCTGACCTCATCGCTTACTGTTCTTTCCCACTCCTCACTCTACTCAAAGCCTTTAAATAGCTCTCCATTTTACTCAACATCAAATCTAAATAAAGCTCTTAAACTGGTCTAAATGTCTCTACAGTACTTGAACCTTTGTTATTTCTCTAATTTCATCTTCAACTCTGCTCATCGTTATTCTCTTGCCCTGGGCATACTGCCTCCCTTTTTGTTCTCTGAACGTGCCAGGCATTTTCTCATCTCAGAATTTTTGCACTTGCTATTCTTTCTACTGAATTGCTCTTCATCCATATATAGCAATTGTATGACCAATTTCCTTACTTTTCTTTTGGTCGTTATTAAAATTTCACCTTCTAAATGGAGTCTTACCTGATGACCATCCAAAGCTTTATATTCTTTCTTTGCTCTATAATTTTTATCACTATCTATTAAACTATATATTTACACTTATTTGTGTTGCTTATTATCATTATCCTTCATAAGAATATAAGGCATATGAAGGCAGGAATTTTGGTTTGCTCTGTTTTCACTCTATCTCTAGTAACCGGAGTGGCCCCTGGCCCTTGATGAGTGAACATATGAATGATCAATGAATCCAGAAAATGTGTTTTAACTACTTACTATGAGCTAGGCATTAACAGTTCCTACCTTCAGGAGTATAGTTTACAAAGGAAATGGATAATTCCAGCAGCCATTTTACTATAGTATTGTGTTATAATAAGAGCATGAATAGAATGCTGTCATCACTTGGAGAAGCAGCATTTAAATCAGACTATGTTGTACTTATGAAAGGCTGCTGGGGAAAAGTAACCCTTTGTATCAGTCAGAGGAGCTCAGGTTATGCTGTAGAAACAAGCAAGCCCAAATTTCAATGTCTTAACACAACACACAGACTACATATCCAAAATAAGTTGGTAGAATGGTTCTGGACCCAAGATATTGAAGGTTTTATCTGAATATACTTCCATGATCACTGCAGCAGTGGGAAGGGAGTGTGGCTCGTTATGCAATGGCATTTAGAGTTTCATTGGTCAAAGCAAATTGCTAAATTTTGAATGGGGAACTATGAAGTGCAGTATTGCCTTCTATCCAGAGGGAAAGGGGAATTGTAAGATTAATGAGTTGAATTAATGACTGTCATACCTTTGTACTGATTTAAAGGAGTATAAGATATCCAGGTAAAAGATATTTAAAAGCATTTTCAGATGATACACCTAGGTATAGTTTTTTTTGACATTTATCCTTTTTGGTGTTCTTTGAGCTTCTTGGATTTATGGTTTGGTGTCTGACATTTATTCTCAGTCATTATTGTTTCAAATATTTCTTCTGTTCTTATCTCTTTTTCTTCATCTTCTGATATTCCCATTATGCGTATGTTATACCTTTTAGAGTTGTACCACAATCTTTGGGTATTCTGTTCTGTGTGTGTGTGTGTGTGTGTGTGTTTTATCTTTGTTTTCTGGTTTTGGAGGTTTCTATTGATTTACCTCAAGCTTAGAGATCTTTCCTCAGCTAGTGTTCAATCTATGAATAAGCTCATCAAAGGCACTCTTCATTTCTGCTATTGTGTTTTTGATCACTAGCATTTCTTTTGGTTCCTTCTTAAGATTTCCATGTCTTTGCTTACATTCTCCATCTGTTGTTGCATGGTGTCTACTTTATCCATTAGAGCCCTTGGCATATTAATCATATTTATTTTAAGTTTCCAGTTTGATAATTTCAACATCCCTGCCATATCTGGTTCTGATGCTTGTGTATCTCTTCAAATTGTGTTTTTTTTTTTCCCTTTTAGTATGCCTTGTAATTTTTTCTTGATAGCCAGATATGATGTACTGGGTAAAAGGAACTGCTGTAAATAGGCCTCTAGTAACATGGTGGTAAAGTATGGAGCTATGTGGTACACTCTGTAGTCCTATTATTAGGTCTTAGTCATTTAGTGAGCATTGGCTTTTGGACTGTGAACTTCACAAGTGTTTTCCCCTCCTTTAGTGAAGACAGGATGCCTGGAGTTGAGTATTTCTCTTCCTCCACATGGAAAGCTAGAGTGGGCTAGAGTTGGGGGTTTTCCTTTCCCCAGATCAGTTAGGCTCTGACAGTACCCAGCAAGTTAGCCTTTGATTAACTAGTTTCTCCTGAGGACAGATCTTGTTAAGAATGACAGAGTGCTGTAGTGTATTTCAAAATGGTTCCTTTTCCCCTCCCACTGGGATTTTTCTCAAGTATTTACTGTGAGAAGCTAGTCGAGCTCCTGGGGGTAAAACTCACAGAGTGTGGGAGTCCTTCTCTGTCTTGGTTCCCCTAGAGTTTTTCATTCAGACTTTTTCATCCTGAGCCTCTAGCAATTTGTCAATTACAGTTCAGGTTTTTCTACCACAGCACTGGTTCCTGTGACGATTTCCTCTCACGGGTTTCTGTCTGGTAAGCTGTGACTCTCTGCATTTGCCTATTTCTCCAACCTTGAGAGTCAGAGTTGTGCTCTGTGTCCTCATTTTTCTTAAGAATCCAAAAAGAGCGCTGATTTTTCAGTCTGTTTAACTTTTTACTTGGAAAAGGGATGGAGTAGTGACTTCTAAGCTCCTTACATACAGAAATGGAAACTGGAAGCCTATGATAGATTTTTTAGATCATAGATTTTTTTAGTAAAAAATTTTCAGTTGGCCCTCCATATCAAGGGTTTTGCATCCATGAATTCAGGCAATTGCAGATCAAAAATACTCAGGATAAAAAAAAAGCAATAAAAATAGCCATACAACAATAAAAAAATAACAGAAAAATACAGTAAAACAATTGTTTACATAGCTTTTACAGTGTATTAAATATTATACATAATCTAAAGATGATTTAAAGAATACAGGGGAATGTACAACATAGGTTAATGCAAATGCTACACCATTTTATGTAAGGAATTCTAGCACCTGTGGATTTTGGTTTCCACAGGAGTCCTGGAACCAATCCCTGATGGCTATGGAGGGAGACCTGTATAATGTTATACTAAAGTTTAATATTCAAAAAGAAAATAGAAAAGTAGAATATTTATGGAAATTTTCTTAAAGGTTTTGGAAGATATTCGTTGGAATGTACTATAAGGGCTTTTCTAAAATTTTATTTCTTGTTTGCTATTATGTGTTAGACCTAGGGTTACTTTAAATATTTGAGATGCTAAACTTATCATTGGAAATTAAAGGTTTGAGGCTCTTATGGCAGAACCAGTTTTATCTAAAGTCAGGCTATTGCTCTAGTAAGAGGAACAGTATTAACCTGCACAATGCATGTAGTGGATATATAAAAGGAATTGTGACTTACAGACTTAGTAGAAAAAACATCAAGAAGTTTACAACTCCTAAAGAGAATACAGAATAAAGAATTGTGGAAGTGTTTACCTGAGAAATTTTTTCTTAGACTGAAGGATAATTTGCAAATTCCTACAACGATTAGAGATTAAGTTGCCAGCTTTAAAAATGGGGACTAGTGTGTAAGCCTTTTGTATGTACATATGTACATGCACTAAGTATGTAAATACATACATATTGTGAGACTAGGTTCTCACAGTAAATATCTGATAAAAATCCCTGGGGGAGGGGAAAAGGAACCATTTTGAAATACACCACAGCACTCTGTTCTTAAAAAGGTCTCTCCTCAAGAGAAACTAGTGTATATAAAAAACTTACTTTCTAAATGTAACTGTTACTCTACTAATCCAGAGTTTCAAACATGTGTGAACAATAAGATAGCATACATAATTTGGCATTTTAAAAGTTATCCAAAGATACTTTTGTAGAAGCCACTTAGCTGATGATAGAAGATATTTAAAAGATCAAATAATACCAGATATTGTACATCGTATATGTAATTAAGTTGTTATAGGCTTAGTATATTCTGAGAGCATTCTTATATCCTAAGAATCTTAAATAAATGGAGCTCAAAAACGAATGTGAGATCAAGTTTATATTTTTTTCTTTTTTCTTTCTTTCCTTCCTTCCTCCCTCCCTCCCTCCCTTCCTTTCTCTTTTCTTTTCTCTCCCTTTCTTTCTTTCTTTCTTTCTTTCTTTCTTTCTTTCTTTCTTTCTTTCTTTCTTTCTTTTTCTTTCTTTCCTTCTCTTTCTTTCCTTCCCTTTCCTTCCTTTCTTCCTTCCTTCCTCCCTCCCTCCCTCCCTTCCTTTCTCTTTTCTTTCTTTCTTTCTTTCTTTCTTTCCTTCTCTTTCTTTCCTTCCCTTTCCTTCCTTTCTTCCTTCCTTCCTCCCTCCCTCCCTTCCTTTCTCTTTTCTTTCTTTCTTTCCATCTCTTTCTTTCTTTCCTTCCCTTTCCTTCCTTCCTTCCTTCCTTCCTTCCTTCTTTCTTTCTTTTTCTTCCTTGACTGCATACTGCCTCAATAGTAATTGGTTACATCAGCATGATGTAATGATGATGATAACATTTATTGAGCACTTACTATGTGAGAAGCACTTAATATAAATTAACTATTTAATTTAACCATTACAACATAGCCATGTGAGATAGGTATTCTTACTGTACCTATTTTGAAAATGGAAAATAAGCCTATCTTAGTTAATCACCAAAAAGGATCAAAATCAGAAAGGAAACAAGTAGGGAAGAATTAACCTACCCTTTATCAGGCTCAGATTCTCATAAAATATAGCATTAAAAGAAAAAACTTAGACAAATTAAATTTAACAAGTTTAATTGAGCAAAGAATAATTCTCTAATCAGGAAGCCTCCCAGGCCAGAATAGGCTCAGAGAGAGATTAGCATAACCATGTGGTGGAAGATTTATGGACAGAAAAAGGAAAGTTATGTAACAGAAAACAGAAATTAGGTACAGAAACAGCCAGATTGGTTACAGCTTGGTGTTTGCCTCATTTGAGCCTGGTTTGAACAGTTGGCCACCTTTGGCCAAAACTCAGTGATTGGCACAAAAGTCGGTTGCAGTCTGTTTACACATGGAAAGGTTACAGTTTACTGTGCACAGAGAAACCATTAGGTCACATTTAGAATATATAAGGAGGCAGCATTGGGCTAAACTTGACAATTGCTTATTTTTGAAAACTCAAAGCATTTTCAATTAAGTTTACAATAATTAAACATCAAATACGTAAGTTTCAAATTAACATAATTGTCTTTTGGAGAATAGTTACTCAAAAATGTCTATTGAGTATATACTATGTGCAGACATTGTCCTTATTGTTTGAGATTCTTCAGTGTACAAAACAAAGATCCCTGCATTCTTGCTCAGGGAAGTGAGGAAATAAACAGTGGACTAAATTTAATAAGAAAAAACCTTTTAAATATTTTAAACTAGCTGATAGGTATAAGGTAAAACAACTTTCCTGTTGCAATGATATGATATTGATAATCATATTGTTGCAATGAATTCATTGTTGCAATGAAATGATAATCTCATTGTTCATTTCATTTCATAATATCTACATTAATCATGAAAAGGAAGAAATATTGATTGCTGTAAAATGATCATTTGTTTTAAATACTTAGAGATTAAATGTTGTTAACCATTACTGTGGCGAAATTTCTCTGTCTCCTTCCTCTTTACTGAAGATGCAGCATTCCAAGTAAGCAATTAAATGTCATTTGCCATTTGTAGAGCAACTTTGTTTTCTATAATTACAGACCTAGGTGGTCCATAGCTAAAACAGAATAAAAGTGAATTAAAAAATACAAAATGGTCCTAGGATGTATTTTTCCTATGAAGGACAAATGTAAGCATAATCTTTGTGCCTTTACTACAAATGCTCATGATTAAAAATTCAGTTTTGTTCTTTTTGTTTGCAGTATATGGGTGTGTTTTTATGTGTGTGAGAAAAAGAATAAGGGAGAGAATGAATATGAAAAGGAGAATTAATTATGTCAGGGCTCCCTATGTGCATTTGTTTCAGTTGCCTTTCAGAATCCTATCATTGTAATTCAAGGAATTGACTAAACATATATATTTTTAAAATAGAAGATGCCATTTTTTTCCTGTCTTAGTTTTCTTCTACCGTCCCTCAAGTCATCTCAGTGTTACTATACTTAATATTCCTTTACGTTAGATGCAACCAGTATAACCCTCTGGACTGCTCTATTTGGTAAACCATCTTGTATTAATGCTTTCTTGTGAATATTTTAAAGAATTAAGTAATGGATGTAGTTTATGGGCTTCATTATTGAAATAGTAATGGTGTGGTACAGTGAAAAAATTAAATGTTCAATCACAAGGATTAAAGAATGAAAAATAGTGAAGGGCAAAAGAAAAATGAAGGCTTTTTTTTTTTTTTTTTTTTTTTTCCTGAGGCGGAGTTTCACTCTTATTGCCCGGGCTAGAATGCAATGGCGCAATCTCGGCTCACTGCAACCTCCGCCTCCTGCGTTCAAGTGATTCTCCTGCCTCAGCCTCCCGAGTAGCTGGGATTACAGGAGTCCACCACCATGCCTAGCTAATTTTTTGTATTTTTAGTAGAGACAGGGTTTCACCATATTGGCCAGGTTGGTCTCGAACTCCCGACCTCAGGTGATCCACTCACCTCAGCCTCCCAAACTGCTGGGATTACAGGCGTGAGCCACCGCGCCCGGCCACGAAAGAAGGCTTTAAGATAAAGTCCAAACTTGAGTGTATATATATATATATAAACACTGTTGAGAGAGGCATAGGAAGGATTTTTGCAGAGGATAGAATCTGTATTAAAAGAAAAGTCCAGTCTCTTAATAACTAGATTTTTGTACTGTTAGAGATAACATGGAGGTCTTTAGAATAGGCTCTAAAAACCTTTTAGAAAAAGTAGAGGTGACACACGTAGTTAAAAAATAAATGAGCCAGGCGCAGTGGCTCACGCCTGTAATCCCAGCACTTTGGGAGGCCAAGGCGGGCGGATCACGAGGTCAGGAGATCGACACCATCCTGGCTAACACGGTGAAACCCCATCTCTACTAAAAATACAAAAACAAAAAATTAGCCAGGCGTGGTGGCAGGCGCCTGCGGTCCCAGCTACTCTGAGGCTGAGGCAGGAGAATGGCGTGAACCCAGCAGGCGGAGCTCGCAGTGAGCCGAGATTGCACCACTGCACTCCAGCCTGGGCGACAGAGCGAGACTCCATCTCAGAAAAAAAAAAAAAAGTAAAATAAAATAAAAAATAAAAAATAAATGGTAGGGAGTATGACACATAAAGGAGAAATATGGTTCAATCAGAGATTATTATTATGGCTAGTAATGTGAAAAAATTAGAAAACAACACTTAAAAATATTAATTGCTTTAGGCAGTTTATTCATTGAATAAAAGTTGTTTGCTTTCAAAAAAATCTCATTTTCTGATCTGAGCTAAATAGGGCAATTTTAAAGACAGGGGTTCAGAGTAGTTCATCGCCTTTTTATTACATTCATTTTTAAATGCCTTATTTGAAAGGGAATGTCCTGGTTTATGAGTTTCATACTTTTTCCCTTTAAGAAAGAGGCAGATGGTATGAAAACTGGACTCCCTTATTTAAAGGGAATGTTGATATTTATAACCAAGCTTATCTCCAGCAAGATTTGTTTTTTGCAGCTGTTCCAGGTTGGAAAAAAATATTATATTAAAGCTCTGGCTTGTTTTTCTTTCCATATTTAGGGGGGGAGATCTTCAAAATGTGAAAAAGTGATGTTTGATTTTAAACATGAATGCAATGTAAACTGTGATTTTTTCCATCTATATGTGAATTTTCTGTTTGTATGCTGTGATATTACTCTTTTTGTTTCACTGATCTATTTCCTAGATATATCACACTTGAGAAATAATTTACTCATTATTTTCTGTATATCATCAAAGTATCCTAGGAAATGTAGTAGACTTTCATTAAGGCTTAGCCTTTGTTATTATTAAATAGACCACTTTCTAATTTTCCGTTTTGATATTTTAGTCATTTTTTTTTCTGCCCAGAGCATATTTTCACTGGGAAAGTAACTTTATTTTTAGTTCTTAATTATATTATTTAAGTTAAGATATATATTTTTCTTTTTATATTCTATTCTTTGCTTCTATTTTTAATTAGAAATGCTGCTTTTTTCTGGACATGTTTTAGTACTTTTTAAAATAACTTAATTGATAATTAACTGTATTTTATATCCTAAATTTAATACATATAGCTACCTCTTGGGGCAAATGCTAAAACTAGAATGAATATCCATGCCTGCACATGCATATAATCTTTGAACAAATATGTATCTATATACATACCTATATGGTACATAAGGAGGAAAAAACAAATGTAAGTTGGTCACTAAGCTGTCCACAGCTGCACGAGCAAACACAGACTGTTGCTTAGTCATGTGAAGCATCTACAGACAGGCTGTACAGGACAAGTCAGTTAGATTGAGGAAGAAAAATAATTTATCTGCCAACATCTTCCTATCTCTCATTTCACATTGGTCAAAGCTCACCTTATGGTATGTTACTGTCCCTATACTTTCAGATTATATCCCCTGACCCCAGTAGGCAATTGTTGGGGAAGTTAGATCCTACACCGTATGCTTTGTGGCTTCACTGGAATCTGGAGGTGGCAGGAGGAACTGAGCTTCCATGTGTCAGGGTGTAGATATTGCTGTAGCTGTGAAAGTGGTGATAGGGCTGTGCCTTCATCTTCACTACAGGGGAAGCAACGTCAATCAGTGGTACTGGAAAATGAGTTGAAGGTAATGGCCAGTGCTGTCCATTGGGCAAGTGACTGAAAGTCCAGTATGTAGTGAATTGGGTGAGATACATAAATTGGGCCCAACATAGGATAATGGGTAATGATTGCATCTGGCCAGCTTCTTTAAAAATTATTTATCATATGTAAATATGCCTTTGACAGTACCTACACCACAGTCAGCACTCATTATCTATTTAATTTTTTTATTAACTTTGTTTTATTAAGATATAATAAATATACATATTTATAGGGTACAGTAAGATGTTTTAATACGTATATACATTGTGCAAAATCAAATCAGGGCATTTAGCCGGCATATCCATCACCTTATATATTTATCATTTCTTTGTGGTGAGAACATTCAAAATTCTCCTATTTTAAAATATACAATACCATATTTGTTAACCTTAGTTATCCTAATCTACAATAGAACACCAGAATTTATTCCTTCTAACTGTAACTGTGTACTGTTAACCAAAATTTACCTGTACCCTCCTCCTTTTCCCTTGCTAGCCTCTGTTGACCACCGTTCTGCCTTCTACTTTTATGACGTCAACTTCTTTAGATTCCACATGTAAGTGAGATCATGCTGTAGCTGTCTTCCTGTGCCTGGCTTATTTCTCATAACATAGTGTCCTCAAGATTTATCTATGTTGCCATGAGTGCCAGGATTTCATTCTTTTTTATGGCTGGATAGTATTTCATTCCATATATATGCTTCATTTTATTTATCCACTTATTCGTTTATACAGACTTAGGTTGATTTCATCTCTTGGCTATTGTGAATAGTACTGTTATAAACATTGAAGTGCTGATACCTCTTTGACAAACTGATTTTATTTGTTTTTGAATATATATCCAACAGTAGGATTGCTGGGTCATATAGTAGTTCTATTTTTTTTTTTTTTTTGAGTAACCTTCATACTCTCTTCCATAATGGCTGTACTAATTTACATTCCCACGACAGTGTGTAAGAGTTTTCCTTTTCTCCACATGCAAACCATTTGCTACTTTTTAATTATCTTTTTGATAATTGCCATTTTAACAGGTGTAAGGTGCTGTCTTGTTGTTTTGATTTGCATTTTCCTAATGATTAATGATATTTTAATATAACTGTTGGCCATTTGTATGTCTTCCTTTGAGAAATGTCTATTCAGGTCTTTTGCACATTTTCAAAATGAGATTATTTGGGGTTTTTTTTGTATTGAGTTGATCGACTTCCTAATATAGTCTGGATATATAGTCCTAATATAATCTGGATATTAACAGATGCATAGTTTACAAATATTTTCTTCCATTCTGTAGATTCTCTCTTTACTCTATTGCTTGTTTCCTCTGCTTTTTCCTCTTCTAAAAAGCTTCTAGCAGAATCCCATTCGTCTATTTTTTGCTTTTGTTGCCTGTGCTTTTGGGATCTTACCCAAAAAAATCCTTGCTCAATCCAATGTGTGTCCAATATGGTGTTTTCCCTGTTTTCTCCTAGCATTTCTCCTAGCAGTTTTATTGTTTCAGGTCTTATATTTAAGCCTTTAATTCATTTTGTTTAATTTTTGTATATAGCAAGAGACAGGAATCTAGCTTCATTCTTCTGTATGTGGATGTCCACTTTTCCCAGAACCATTTATTGAAGAGACTGTTCTTTTTCTATTCTGTGTTCTTGGCACCTTTGTTGAACATCAGTTGGCTGTAAGTGTATGGATTTATTTTTGGGTTCACTATTCTGTTTCATTGTCTGTGTGTCTGTTTTTATGCCAATGCCATGCTGTTTTGGTTATTGTAGCTTCATAGTATATTTGAAAGTCAGGTAATGTGATGCCTCTAGCTTTGTTCTTTTTTGCTCAAAATTGCTTTGGCTATTCAGGGTGTTTTCTGGGTCCATATGAATTTTAAGATAGTTTTTTTCCACTTGTATGAAGGATGTCTTCGGGATTTTGACAGGAATTGCATTGAATCTGTAGATGATTTTGAGTAAAACAGACATTTTTACAATAGTGATTCTTCCAATTCATAAACATGGAATGCTTTTCCATTTATGTATGTCTTCAATTTTTTAATCAGTTTTTAAAAATAGTTTTCACTGCGGAGAGTTTTCACCTCCTTGGTTAAATTTATTACTAAGTGTCCCATTTTTTTTTTTTTAGCTATTGTAAATAGGATTGTTGTCCTTATTTCATTTTTAGATAGTTTGCTTTTAGTATATATAAATACCACTGATTTTTGTCAGCCAAGCGTAGTGGCTTATGCTTGTAATCCTAGCACTTTGGAAGGCTGAGGCAGGCAGATTGCCTGACCTCAGGAGTTCAACCAGACTGAGCAACATGGCGAAACTCTGTCTTTACTAAAATACAAAAAATTAGCCAGGCGTGGTGGCAGGCACCTTTAGTCCCAGCTACTTGAGAGGCTGAGGCAGGAGAACTGCTCAAACCCCTGAGGCAGAGGTTGTAGTGAACCAAGATTTTGCCACTGAACTCCAGCATGGGCAACAGAGCTATACTCTGTCTAAAACAAAGAAGAAATACTACTGACTTTTGTATGTTGAATTCAAATCCTGCAGCTCTAGTGGAATCTTTAGTATTTTCTCCATGTAAGATAATGACATCTGCAAACGGGCACAATTTAAATTCTTCCTTTCCAACTTGGAGGCCTTTTAATTCTTTCTCTTGCCCAATTTCTCTGGCTAGGACTTCCAATACTATGTTGAACAGAAGTGGTAAAAGTGAGCATCCTTGTCTTGCTCCAGATCTTAGAGGAAAGCTTTCAACTTTTCCACATTCAGTATATTAGCTGTGGGTTTGTCACATATGGCCTTGATTGTGTTGAGGTGCGTACCTTCTATATCTAATTTGTTGAGAGTTTTTATCATGAGGGGATGTTGAATTTTGTCAAATGTTTTTTCTGCATCTGCTGAAAAGATCATGTGGATTTTGTCATTCATTCTGTTAATGTGATGTATAATATTTATTGATTTGCATACGTTGAACCATCCTTGCATCCTGGGGTGAATCTCACTTGATCAGAATTAATGATATGGGCTCTTCCTAGTATTTTGTTGAGGATTTTTGCATCTATAACCATCAGAGTAGTTTTCTTTTTTTGTTCCATCCTTGTCTGATTGCATTATCAGAGTAATTACGGCCTCATAGAATGAGTTTGGAAGTATTCCCTCCTCTTCAATTATTTGGAATAATTTTAGTAAAATTAGTGTTCGTTCTTTATTAAATGTTTGTAGAATTCAACAGGGAAGCTATCATGCCCTGGGATTTTCACTGATGAGAGACTCTATTACTAATTTAAGCTGGTTAGTTATTATTGTTCTGTTCAGATTTTCTATTTCTTCATGATTCAATCTTGGTAGGTTGCATGTTTCTAGTTTATCCATTTCTTCTACATTATCCAATTTGTTGTCATACACTTGTTCATAATTATCTCTTGTGACCTTTTGCATTTTTGTGATTTCAGTGCAATGCCTTCTTTTCCATCATTAATTTATTTGAGTCTTTTCTCTTTTTTAAAAATGTAGTTTGGCTAAGAGTTTGTTAATTTTGTTTCTCTTTGCAAAAAACAACTAACTCTTCATTTGTTGACTTTTTGTATTTTTTTAGTTTCTGTTTTATTTATTTCTGCTCTGATTTTTATTTCCTTCTTTCTATTGATTATAAGTTTCATTTCTTCATTTTTCTAGTTCCTTGAGGTGCAATGTTATGTTGTTTATTTGAGATCTTCTTTTTTGATGCTGGCATTTATTGCTCTAAACTTATTTCTTAGAACTGCTTTTGCTGTATCTCATAGGTTTTGATGTGTTTTTATTTGTCTTAAGAAATTTTTAAATTTCCCTTTTGGCTGGGTGCAGTGGCTCATGCTTGTAATCCCAGAGCTTTGGGAGGCCAAGGTGGGCAGATCACCTGAGGTCAGAAGTTCAAGACCAGCCTGGCCAACAGGGAGGCTAAAATACAAAATAAATACTCCACTAAAATACAAAAATTAGCTGGGTATGGTGGCAGGCACCTGTCATCTCAGCTACTTAGGAGGCTGAGGCAGGAGAATTGCTTGAACCCAGGAGGCGGAGGTTGAAGTGAGCCAAGATCACGCCACTGGACTTCAGCCTGGGTGACAGAATGAGACTCTGCCTCAAAATAAATAAATAAATAATAAATAAATTTCCCTTTTAATTTCTTCATTAACCCATTCATTTTTCAGAAGGATGTTGTTCAATTTCTATGTATTTGTAAAGTTTCTAAAGTTCTTCTTGTTATTGATTTCTAGTTTTATACCATTGTGGTCAGAAAGATACTTGATATTATTTTAGTTTTCTTAAATTTATTAAGACTAGTTTTGTGATCTAACATATGATCTATCCTGGGAAATGTTCCATGTTCAGTTGAGTAGAATGTATATTCTTCAGCAGTTGGTTGTAATATTCTGTAAACATCTGTTAGGTTCTTTTGGCCTAGAGTGCAGCCTAAATTCAATGTTTCTTTATTAGTTCTCTGTCTGCATGATCTGTCCATTACTGTAAGTGGTGTGTTGAAGTCCTGTGCTATTATTGTGTTGGAGTCAATTTCTCTCTTTATATCTACTAATATTTGCTTTATTTATTTGGGTGCTCCAATGTTGGGTGCATATATATTTACAAACATTAAATCCTTTTGCTGGACAAGTCCATTTATTATTATATAATGACCTTCTTTGTCTCTTTTATGGTTTTAAAATTTAAAGTCTATTTTATTTGATATAAGTATAGCTACTCCACTCTCATTTGCTTTCCATTTGCATGCAATATCTTTTTGTGTTACTTCACTATCAGTTTGTTTGTGTCCCTGACAGTGAAGTGATTCTCTTGCAGACAGTATATACAGTTGGGTCTTTTTTTTTTTTTTTTTATTAAATCTATTCAGCAACTCTAAGTCTTTTAATTGGAGAATTTAATCCATTTACATTTAAGGTGATTATTGATAGGTCTGTACATTTGAGAAGACAGCCCTGGCTTCTCACATTTACAGGAGTTCTTTGACATGGATAGAATTTCATTATTTTGTCTAGCCTGTGATTCATGAAGGGTCAGCTGGTGATGACCCTGAAGAGAATTTATGTATTCTCTAGTTGGCTGGGCCACTACCTTCGCTGTGATGTCAGATAATGCTACTCTCTGGGTTCTGCTGACTGGTGAGACCACTGACTGGGCTCTCCTATTAGGTGGAGCTGCTGGCTGGGTACTGCAGTGGCTTCTGGTCAGCCCAGATATAAGACATATTCCTTGGCTGGGTAATTCTGCTATTTGGGATCTGTGGTTGGGCAAGGGTGCAGGCTGCAAGGTTAGGTGGAGTTGCTGCTCTGGACAGGTGGGACCTGAGGCTATGCTCCTTAGGAATGCATGATGAGGGTTTGCTTCCCTCTGGGTATGGTACCCTGGGATGGGCATTAGGCTGAATTGAGTGGCTGTTTGACCTCTCGGATCAAGCAGGACTAGTGCCTACATTTCTCCCAAATGCATAGAGGTGGGAATCTCCCTGCCTGAGTAGGGTTGTAGGGTGGGTTTGTTGGCTGTGTTGAGCCACACTGCTTGCCTTCCCAGGTCAAATAGGTATAGCCCCTTTGCTTCTCTGAGATCTGTGGAGGAGGACATCTCTTTGCCTGGGGAGGTTGTAGGGTGAGCTTTTTGGTTGTGTGGAGCCATTGCTTACCTTCCTGGGCAAAGCCAGTGTGGCTTCTTTCCTTCTCTGATATCCCTTCATGTCTCTGACATCCATGAAGCTGGGAGTCTTCCTGCCTTATGGAGTCATTGGGTAGGCATTTTGGCTGTGTGGAGCTGCTGTTTACCCTGCTGGGTCAAGCCATTCTATCCCCTTTGCTTCTCTCAAATTCACAAATAAAACAATTCTGTGAGCTCACACAGAGTGGGGAGATATTAAGGTTTGGACCACTCAGAATGGCACGTCTTCATAATCAACCAGGGCATTTAGTTGAGACCCCACTGGGGATAATGTTTTAGAAGTAGGCTGATCTATACCTAGATTAAAGGTTGCTTAGATGCAACCTAGAAAAAACTTAAGTAAAACCTGACCATACTGATTTTAACTCTCTTTCTCCTCTCAACAAAAAGCCCCAATTGTTTTAAAAGAGTAAAATAACATTTAGACATTAAACAATGTAACAATTGCAGTTCCATTATCTGGTAAAAATTACTAGTCATGCCACAGAGCAGGAAAGTGTGATTTATAACCAAGAGAAAAACAGTCAATAGAAATAGATCTATAAATGATAGATTTGGTGGAACTACCAGCAAAAAATGTAATCAGTTATTATATTTTTAAATATTTAAAGAAAAACCTTAACATAAGAGGAATATAGAAGATATTAGAAAGAATCAAAGGAACTTCTAGTGGTGAAAAGTATAATTTTTGAGTCACAACTTTCACTTTATGGTATTAACAGCAGATAGGACACTGCAGAAGACAAGTTCAGTGTGCTTGAAGATATTGCAGTAACATTGATCCAAAATGAAAGGCAGAGTGAATAATTGCCCCTCCCAACAAAAATCAACAGTGCCTCGGTTAGTTATGAGACAATACATGGTCTCATATATGTGTAGATGTAGTCTCAGAATAGTGGCAGGGGCAGGGGAAGAAATAAAAAGTATTTCAAGAAATCATGTCAGAAGTTTTTCCAAATTTGATGAAAATTACAAAACGATACATCTAAGAAGCTCAGAGAAGTCTGACCAGTATAATAGTAGACACACAGACACCAAAGCACATCAAAATTAAATTGGTGAAAACAATAATGCAAAAATCATTAAAAGTAGCAAGTATGGGTGAGGAATATAAACTAAAGACAAATTTAAAATGGTTGGTGATGGATGTGTTAGTTAATTTGATTGTAATAATCATTACAAATTGTATACATATATCCAATCATGTTGTACACCTCGAATATATATATATATCTCAATTAAAAATTTTAAAATATAAAAAGGTAAACCTAAAGATAAGTTTGAAGACTGTTCCACAAAACTATCCCAGTTGGTAGACAAAGGAGTGTTAGCTTTCAAGTACTGTAAGAATAGTTGTGACCCTAGAACCCTAGAATTCTATTTGAAGAAAAATATTCTTCAAAAATTAAAGACAAAATAAAAGTTTTTGTCTCTAAACAAAAGCTGAGAGAATTTGTTGCCCAAAGACTTGCACTGCAAGTAATGTTAATGGAATTCTTCAGAAAAAAGGAAAATGAAACATCACACAAGGAACAAAGAGTATTGGAAATAGTAAATATGTAGGTAAATACAAAAGGCATTTTTATCATTTTTAAGGTTTTGAAAAAGATATGTTGACTCTTTACTGCAAAAATATTATCAATGGTTTATATTGATAAAAACATAGATGTGAAACATATGACAATAATATCCCAAAGGATAGAGGGTTGAGATTGGAAGTTTACTTTTGCAAGATCTTATATAATATGTAGAGTAGTATAATATTATTTGAAGATAGATTATGAAAGGTTACATAATATGTATTATAAATTCTAGTAACTGCTAAAAATGTAAAACAGAGGAATGACTAATAAAAGTGAAGATGGAATAAAATACTAAAAAATGCTCAATTAATCCCAAAGAAGCAAGTAAAAAAAAAAAACAAAGAAGATGAGGTAACAGCAGATGGGACAAATAGAAAATAAATTGTAGGATGAGGGATATAAATGCAAACATATTTAATTACATTAAATAAAATGATCTTAATTGTACATTTAAAACACATGTTTTCAACTGGGTAAAACAAGCAAGACCCAGCAATATACTGTCAAGAAATCTGATTAAATAAATAACCCTGTGCAAGCGATCTTAATTGTACTTCCTCATTCCTGCTATATAACCACAGAATTTGGCGTTTATCATTTGGGTGCATGTGTGTGTGTGTGTTGGTATAGGTATATTTTTCCCTAAATAATATTGACTATTGATTTTTCATGTTTTAAGTTGTTTTGTAAGTGTATAAATACATGTGTCTTTGTTCACACATTTTAACTGCTTTATATTTCACTTATGAATAAATTATGTAGACATACAGAGTTTTATTTTCCTTTTTTGCTGTTATTAAAAACATTTTCAGTGAGTGTACTTACTAGTGTTTTTGTGCACATATAGAATTGTTTCCCTAGTTCATATAACTAGCAGTTGATTAATGGTTCTTGTAGGTACATAATCTTTAATTTTACTGGGTATTGCCACATTGCTCCCTCAAATATTTTATTAATTACTCTTCTTAACTTATTGTAATAATCTGAGCTCCTATAACAGTTCAATAAGTAGTCATGCATATACTTTTAGAGGTATTCCATAGTATTTATAGCTGCTTTATAGATTTTGTTGCTATACTAAATTAGAATTTTATATATAAACTTTATATATCATAACCTGGCTGAGCTCTTACAAATAATTTCATACAGATTCAAATATTTGTCTGTAGTTTCTCTCCACTTTGCCACCTGGGAGTCATATTATTTGTGAATCATAATGTTTTCTTTTTCCTTTCCAATCCCCTATGCTCTTTCCCCTTTTGTCTTACTGTGCTATCTGGATGTCTCACTGCAATGTCTTTGTCTTGCTTATGATTTTTAAAAGAGAACTTTTAATTTTTCTCTATTTAGGATAATCTTTGCTTTGTTTGTTTGCCTATGTATCAACAGGGTAAAAAGTTCTTTTCTATTTCTATATACTAAATTCCTTGCTTTCTCCTTCCTGCCTCCCTCTGTTCATCCTCTATCTTTCTTCCTTCTCTCTCCCCCTGTAATAATGAATGGGTATTGAATGTAACTTTTATTTTTCTGTATTGATTGAGGTCTGTCAGTATTTTCCTCCTTTAATCAGTTAACAAGAATACTACTAAGATAATATCTAATGTTAAATTGCCCTTTCATTTTTGTGATTAGCCCAGCTTCATCATGGAATATTTTATCATTATGATTATACATACTGGATTTGGTTGTCTAATATTATGTTTAGGATTTTTGTATCTTTGTTCATAAATAAGATTGGCTTGTAATTTTTCATTCTCATAATGATCTTGCCTTGTTCTCATTTCAAGATTCTATTAGCCTTATGAAATGAGTTGAGAAGTGTGCCAATTTTTAGGCTTCAAAATAGTTTAATATTTTATATACCTGATAAAGCTTGTTGTAGGGATTATGTGTTCCTTGAATGGTTAATAAAACTTCCTTGTTGACCATTTAATCTTACCTGTTTTGTGTGTGTATGTCTTATTTTTTAAGGGTAGATTTTTAAACATTGATTGACTTAAAAAATTATAGTTCCACTGAATTTTATTCTATTTGATCTCTACCTTCTTCAGCTGCTATTGGTAAGTCTGTTTTTTAAGAAATGTGTTTTAATTTTTAAATTTATTGATATGGCATTTTTAATAGAATCTTCTTGTTATATAATGTTAATCTCTGCTGAATATTGAGTCTTTTTTTAAATATCTAATACTGTTTGTGTATTTTTTTCTTATTCCGTCAGGACAAGAGTTTGTTCCATGTTATTATTTTTCAAAGGCTCAGTTTTTGTCTATGTTGATCATCCCTTTTGACTCTGTTTTTTAAATTTAATTATTTATTGCTTTTAGTTTATGACTTTTTGTAATTTGAAGGGCTTTATTCTTTTTCTATTATTTCCTTTTTGGTTCATTATTTTTCAATCTTTTGTCTTTTCTAATTTGTGCTTACTTATCACTTTAGCTACATTACTAATTTTTCAAAACTTTCTGTTGATGCATAATACTGTACATAAAGGAACGTGCACAAAACAGAATATGTAGACGGTGAATTTTCACAGAATGAACACGCTTTTAACCAAAACCCTGATTATTTTATTTTAGCAATAATTTCTAAACATTTGCTGTTGAAGTGTTTTAATATTTGTAGTTCACAACATTGATCAAGTTGGAATCTTTTATTATCTTGAACAGTTTATTCAAAAGTATATTTTTCGTATTTTCATTTGCTAGCTTTTCTTTGTTATTTTTTGTGAGACTGAATACTCTTAAAAAGGCCGACAATTAACTATCAAGCAGAACTTTGACATCTTTTTAAATGAAATACCTTATGAAAGGCATTACAGATTTGATAGAGTGGGAATTAGGGAATAGGAGATGGAAGATAAAAAGCTGGCACAAAGTAGAACTTCTGGTTTTTTGTTTGTATTACAGTTTAACTTGGGAAATTCTTTTCTCCATCAATCCATTGTAACAGGAAATCTACTTATGCTTTTTCGTATTGTACTATTCCATCTATTTTTACTTATTTATTTGTTTCTACATAGTAGAGTTATATTAGCTAATAGCCTAGTGCTTATTTCCATTAACCTTTTTCCATGTTGTTTTCTCAATTTTTTAAGCTCAAAAATCTTTATTGTATTTCTCTAGTGGAAAAATTCGGTGGTATTTTAAAAGCATAATTTGCATCATAGCTGATAAATACATGTTATAATACCACAATCTGTTTGAAAACTAGCAGTCTGCAAATACTAACAAAGTGCTAATGCTATAATCACCTGGGACTTCGATATAATGAATGCGTTTAGTACAACTTCTATGAAATTGGATATAGACCAGTTGTTTTTATACTTTTGACATTTAATTACTAATAAAGCTCTTTTAAATAAGTCATACAGCATTTTGAAGCTATTACATTGGAAGCAAAATTTCCATAAAGGGCCTTGTTATTGTTGTCTTGAGCTCTTTGTTTCCTCTTATATACTTAAGCTTATTTCAGTACACATAATTTCCATTAGTTTTAAGATATATATGCTTAAAAGTTATGTACTTATTGTTAGTTCTGTCTTAATATTTAAGGATGTGTTTCTCGGCATGAAAATAATTACCCTTAGCCTGATACATATGCTTATGTATTCTATGTTTTTTAAACTGGAAGAGAGTTTAGCAATTGTGTAAGAAGGGAAACTGATTGACTTTGTCAATGTCATCTAGTCTTTCATTGAAAAGATGTGGCTAAGGTTTTATGCCTTCTTGTCTGGTACATTTCCCTACTATTCTTTATTTAGTCAAGGGATAATCATTGAACGTCTTTTGGAAACTATCCATGTACCAAACTAGAACTTGCTTTTTCAGTTCACCATTGAAATAGCCACCATTACAAAAATAATAGAGGTTTTTATTTCTTTCACACTTTCTCTCCTGCTCTCTCTGTGTGGAACTGAGTGACTTTCCCTAGTCACTTAAGGATTTTTTTGTTGAATTTGGAAACCTAATTACTTGAAATTGATAATACACATAGAAATGACTAAAAATTAGCATAAGTGATGCTTGCCGCTAAAATAGATCAAGGAGATTCAGTGAGTGATATGTTATCTGTGTACTTTATAGTCAGAAGTGTGAGAATCATTGTGTTTAAACCTTAGATTAAGTGATGAATCAATATACAGAAACATGATTTCACAATATATATCTTGAATGTTAGCAATCTGATATAGACAAGCTATATTTTTAAATGTATAAATACCCATGTAAACATACAGTATGTGGCTACACATAGGACTGATGCTTTTAGTTTTCTATCTAGAATCTTTATGCCTTATCTTCAAAGAACACTGGTTTTATTCTTTTATCTACCCATTTTGCAGACAGTCATATGTTTAGGAGAAACAGACCCCATGGCCAGCTTCAGCAGTAGGTGTGGTTGGTTTAAGCACAGTCTCATTTTCCTTGCCATAGCGTGGAGCATATGTCTATAAGGTGTAAAATAAGGTGATAGACCTCTATGGGGTATTTAATATTTGATATTACCATTATCACCAAGTTGGTCTATATGAGCACAGGTTATTTATTCTGTAGATTTAATTCAAATCGGTTCTTATCCTTTGTTTCATAGGTGACTCACAAATTTTAGAAATATTAGGTATTAATTGTTTTGTAAAATATTATACAAAAAATTAAACATGAAAACTTTCATTGATAATAATGTCTGACAGGTTTCCTAATGTTAGAGAGGAAAGCTATGAATATAAATGTGGAAAGGGCGTAGTAGAATGAGAGCTGTGTGATGTTGGATTGGAAATTGGAAGTACTGAGCTCACACCAATACATATATTTCCTAGCTCTCTCTCCTTAGAAGGCCTGTGAACAGTATCAGTTTATTAGAAATGAGCATATCTTGTCCCCAGATCTTGCTTTCTAAAAAACATTCTCTACTAAAGGGGAAGTGGGCCCTTAGAGAAATGGCAGGTCCCAGGGCAGGAGCAGGGAAAACACACGCTAAACCGTAAATATCTGTGTGTCAGAAAATAAAGAGGTTCTTAAAAAAGGTGATATGCCAAAAGGACACAAACCACCTTGAAGGAACTTTCACTGGCCAAATCCAGGACAATTTGGGAATCAAAATTTTAAAAATGATATACATTAATTCTAACTAATTGAATAAAAATATCTATGAGTACATACTGCTATAAACGCATATATGAATAAATAAATGGAGAGAAGGAAATGCTTTTTAATAAAGTAGGATACTAACGAATAAATATGGAAGAAATGAGGAAATTATAAAATCATCACATGGCACCTGTCAGAATATAATTAATTCAACCGAGAAACATCAATAAATGCTAACCAAGTAGTGGTAAATTTGATGAATAGGATATTTACATAGTTTCAAAGCACCTCCACACCAAATACTTATTAATTACAAAGGGGAAAAGACTAAATTCTCTCTCAGTGGAGAAATTAGGCAGGTACCACCTTAATCAAGTGATCCAAGTTAACACTGTCAAAAGAGGATAGCATGCAATGAGAACACTGTATTGGTCAGTTTAGTTAAAACAAACAAAAAAGGTAGAAAACAGGAGAAACTTGCTAGTTAAAGGAAAAATAAGAAATTCACATTGATTATGCTTTGTTAGAATGATGCTAGATGTATGATTGAAGAAGTTAGGGGTAGTTATATAGGACCTTGGAATATATTTGAGGGAATGAGGTACCCAAGGAGGGCGTAATATATAAAGTGAATGAATTATGGGGAACACGGGAACACAAACGCCATAGTTTCATAGGCACCTAGAGGAAGAATGCTAATGAAAGAGGTAAAGAAGAAATTGAAATGTAGAAGGAGAATCAGGAAAGTGCTGACTTGGAAGCTGACGGCTTGAAGTTTGACGACAGAGTATTCAGTAGTGCCATGTGCCAGAGGATGATTTTGTAAATAAGGACAGTCTATCTCAGCATAACCTACTATTGTGATATTCTCATATCTGTTTCAGGTATTGCCTAAAATATTAATCTGTTTTCTGAAATGCAGTATTTTAAAAGAAGACTTGCCATTCTTTCCTGGTACCGCAACACCTTATGGGTGATAAAACTAACTGAGCTATGGTGTATGGTAAACTGTCCTTGTGTGCTTCATAGTTGGGGCAAGGGCTGTCCTGGATGGTCCTGGTTTAAGTTTATCTTGCTGTAATGAATGGGGCCCTCTTTGACTCTCAAAAGTGTTCTGGCTTGGATGGTAAGTTATATGGTCATCCTATTATAGGTCTCTGATGACAGGATATTCCTTTATCACAAGCTGGGGAAATGATTGATAAGCATGTCTCTTAGCCAGTTCTTGATATCTTTTATTCGTTAACCAAAATGCTTATTTTGTTCTGTTATGATCCATTTTAATTAGCTTTCCAATAATCTAGGCCTCTATTTCCCAAACTTTACATGAAACAGATGCTTCTTGGGATGATAATGTGCATTGTTTGAGAAATCGGGCAAGTAATATTGGGTAATGTGACTTATGTAAGCCCCCTCTTAGATTGACAGAGCACATGCATGTAGAGACTCAGAAAAGGTTTTCAGTAGACTTCCCAAACTTATTAATAGTAGTTTTATCCTAAAACTACCAAATTTTGGCAACTTGGTTCACGTTTTGTTTCAATGTAAAATGCATATAAATTAAGAAAAATAAAAATTTTAACATTGGATAAAACAAACTTGGTTATTAGTAGTGATTTTGATAAGACTTAAAGTGTATCAGAACATTTTGTTTACACTGAACACAGATGTATTACTCAGAAATTCTTAGTCAAATGCAATTAACATTTGGGCTAAACATAAAGGCAGTGTCTTTTTTGCTAGTAAATTTTTGTTTCAGAAAAATTTATTGAAAATTCTGAGTCATAAGAATTCACTAATATTCCATTAGAGCCAAGAAAAGGCCATTCATATAGAGGAATTATGATAAAAGAAATTACATCCATTTAGTCAGGAATTACAGAGATAAAAGTATATACCATCTGAGATGTTTACCTCTAGAGCTTATTGTTTTCCTTCATTTTTTAGCCCAGTTTTTGGTACCAGCTGGATGAAATAAAGTTTTTTTATTCCTGTGATAATTCAAACAATCTTGAGTTTTATTTAATTTTCTTAAAATAATCCAATTTAGAGGGATTGTAAGCATTGAAAACTCAAAGTTTGTGATCTTTAGATCATAACCCCGTTTTCAATTACTCTTTGTCTCATCAGGAAAAGCAGTCTGAAGGTTTGTCGGGTAATAGTCAAGTGGATATGAAACTGCCCTTTGTGAACCTCAGAATCCCTGAAGCTAATGGTACCCTTGCTTCTTCTCATTCCTTTTGTTTGATTAAGCTCTTAGCGTGCAGTGGTACAAGCTGCCTCCCTTACTGGCTTTACATCATAATTGTAGATGTTTGTTCTTTTTACATGTTTGGATATGTGTTTCTTCTTGTATTAGCACTTTGTAATCCTGAAAACAGGGTCTGCAGTTTCATTTGTTTGGTATCATATTATTGTAATCTTTTTTTTTTTTTTTTTTTTTTTTTGGAGACCTAGTCTCGCTTTGTTGCCTAGGCTGGAGCTCAGTGGCTCAATTCCGGCTCACTGCAACCTCCACCTCCCGGGTTCAAGCGATTCTCCTGCCTCAGCCTCCTGAGTGACTGGAATTACAAGCATGCACCACCAAGACCAGTTAATTTTTTGTATATTTAGTAGAGACGTGGGTGGGGGGGTGTTTCACCATGTTAGCCAGGCTGATATCAAACTCCCGACCTCTGGTGATCTGCCCGCCTTGGCCTCCCAAAGTGCTGGGATTACAGGTGTAAGCCACTGTGCCCAGCCTATTGTAATCTTTTTAAAATTTATTTATTTATTTATTTTTATTTTTTATTATACTGTAAGTTCTAGGGTACATGTGCACAACTTTTAGAAAGTTTTTAAAACTTTTAGAAAGAGCAGTTTTCATAAAAAAATCTTTATTTAAAGGATAGTGTAATTTATGCGATTAATTACTTTTTAGTTTGACTACTAAGAGTTACATTATAGACCAATCCTAGCTTAACTAACCTATCTTCTTTTACAAATATAATCCAGAAGATTAACTCAAGTACATTTCCCATACTGTTGAAGTCAAACCCTGGTGAATCATAACAATCATTTTCGTACTTGAAAAAATTGCTATTTAATAGAAGTTATCTCCCTCATGTGGCCTTTCAGATTTGAAATGCCTATCCCTTTTATATTTGTGAAAAGTTTAGAATTTAAAAATATAATTCCATGGGACCCAGCTAATGCAGCACACCCCTCCCCCAATGATGAGCATTGTTGATGATGCTTACAAGGCAGCTTTTTGTCTATTCCAGGCAGTATAAATTTAATGTGTTGTTTTCAAGTGTGTCATGTGTCCAGATGCCACAACAATCTGTGCATTAAAAAAGCATTAAAATAAAAGTAAGTAAAATATTTGTGGGTATTTTTTGGTGGGGGCTGGGTTATTTGTGACATAATTATGTTTAGATTAATTAATTCTATTAGGTTTTGGGAAAAACAAGTGCTTTGTTTTCTTATTTCTTGTTTTAAACATTTTGTAATGTAGATTTCTAATGCTCCTCCACCCTCGTCAGCCACCCCATACCTACTTCTAGATTACCTGTTTTTGTTAATGACATTACCATCTGTCTAACGCAATATTTGCCAAGTATGGTCCACTAGCCACCTGAATTTGAAAACTGGCAGGGAGTAAGTGCTTATTCAAAATGCTGCTTCCTTAGCCACTCCCCAACATTATTGACTGGGTATTTTTGAAGGGTGAGGCCTGGACTTTGTATTTTAGCTAACTATCACTAAAATTGAAAAACATTGTCATCTTCAGTTTTTCCTCTGCCTCATTGCCCCCATCCAAGCTGTTCCTATATTCTAAAAAGTAAAACACCAAATAGAACTTCCTTTCTACTTGTTGCATTGATTTATCACTTGGTAGATTACTTTTGGAACTTAGCTGCATTTTTCTAGCCTACTTAGTTAACTTCAAACCTCCTAGTCTTTCTAATCTTATTAAAAAGTATCTGATTTGGTTACCTCACTGCACTAAATCCTTTTATGTTTTCCTACTGAATTCAGAAAAAGTCTAAAGTTTCAGGGGATCATTAGAAACGTCCACAATTTGATCATGCCACCCCAACCAGGCCTTGCTGGTCCACCAGAGAGGCTGAAGGGCTTCACAGTCCCTGCTCAGGCCTCCCATCTACTTCCAGCTGTGTTTCTCAAATGCTAATATGCAAAAGAATTGCCTGTGACCTTGTTAAAAAGATAATCAATGGTTCTCAAACTTTAATGTTGGCAGTAATCACATGGGAAATTTAAAAACAAAACAAAACTGGAGATCCATATACTTTAGCCCCTAAGATTCTGATTGAGTAGGACTGTGATGGGGCCCAGGAATATGCATTTTCATGAGTATCCCAGACAACTCTAATGGTGATTATGGACCATACTTTGACAAATACTGATCTGGACCCTCCAGTTGCTCCCAATGAATAGGTGGTACTAACTAGACTCTTGAGATCTGAGGCTTTCTTCTGTGGTGCTGAATTCTAGCCAGCTGACCTTTCCTGGAGGGATGGGGACTCCTCCATTTACCAAGGCTACAGCTGACTCCTGGAGAGGCCTGAGTACTCATTGCAGTTTTGAGATAAAGGTAGTTCAAGATACTACACATTCCTGTTAACTTTTCTCACTGCCCTACCTGACCCATTTGGTTATAGGTCCTCCACTAAACACTTATGCCCATATTATTCTGTATTATCTTTGGTTTTTCATGGACTAGTCTCCTGCTATTTCCTTCCCTCTCTATCTTTTTATATCCCCCTTGAACCCAGTTAATCCCAAACGCTTTATTAATTTTACCTCTTGACATTAATTGGAACTTGATTCTTCTTACAAGCACCACTTTCCTGAAGCCATCTTAAATGGAAACTATTCTTCCATTGTTCACATACCTGTGAATCAAGAGGTTGATTTTTATCATTTTATTTTTTTATTGCCACTTCCAGAACATTTACATTTCCTGCACATAAAAGCAAACAAGACAAATCAAACAAGAAGCCCAGCTCCTTAGTGATTCATTCCATTTGACTGTAGTGTCCTCTACCTCTCTCTTTTGCTGTTTATCTATGGACATCCAGGTCCCTTCTCAGTCTTTCTAACTGAGTCTTTCTTTGTGTCCTCACCCAAATCCTGCTACTATCCTGGGTACCCTCATGATTCACATGTATGACATATGCATTATCCTGGTCTTTCAGTTCCTTAACATATCTGCCATAATGTTTTCCTACCACTTCAGTCCTTCTGGACCAAAACTTACTCCATCTCAATAATAATATTAATCGCCTTACACTCACACTGACTAGTGACCTTTAATAACCTTTCTTCTCTAGTAAAATAACTTTCACTCCTAGTATTTGGTTTTTGGTTATTTTTTTACTCCCAAATTTTGTTATTTGTTTTTTTTTTACTTTCAAATTTGGTTATTTAACTTTATTAAGTCCAAAGATTGTTCCACTTTCTGCTTAACTCTAAACCACTACTGTCTTCACTTCCTTTTCTACCTTTAGATACCGTAGAACATCAAGTCACCCACTTTTTATAGTATCCTAAAGTTTTCTGTCATGCCTATCTGGGAAAACTTAAATTTTACTTACTCTAGTAGACTACCCTTCCCTATGTCAGCACTAGGTAGCTAAGCACTCAGAAAGAAAAATATTATTTGCAATCAGATAGTCCAGTGCTATAATAGATTCATTTTTTTTGTAATAGGTTACAATTTTTTTTGGTCTCTTGGTGTTGCCCATAAATCCTGTTTTCATTTTTTATTTTTATACTTTTTAGAGATGAGGCCTCAAGTCTGTTGCCCAAGCTGGAGTGCAGTGGCATGATCAGAGCTCACTGCAGTCTTAAACTCCTGGGCTCAAGAGATCTTCCCACTTCAGCTTCCAGAGTAGCTGGTATTACAGGCACAAGTGACTGCACCCAGTTAATCCTGTTTTCTTTAGACAACTCTTTCCATTCCTCCACAGCATTAATTCCAGCTCTGCACTTGCAAACCTCCAAACTTCCCACCTTTCCTTTCTCTCATAAGGAGATAATCTTGCCTTTTACTTCATAGTGAAAACAGAGCTACTGCATAGATATCCCTCTACTTTTGGTTACCAGACCTCAAGTCTTATGTATAATTTTGCCTGTTATTTTCTCTTTTTCTTGTTAAAGTGACTCATGGACGTAGTGTGCTATGATTATTACTTGAAATGAATACTGGATTCTATGCTTTCATACTTTTTTTTTCTGTATTTTCACCCTCTCACTTTCTGGTTGTTCCTCCCAATTATTATTTAGACCAACTCAAATTTTCATCTTTAATCAGAAACAAGCCCTAAAGAGTAAAAACAAAGTATAACAAAAAAAATCTCTTCCTCAACCTCAGTTCCTTTCTACTTACTATGCTATCTGTCTCCTTCCTTGTATTTATTTTATAATGGATTGGTCTGTAATTTTCATTTCTGCTTTCTTACCTCTCACTTATTCTTTAGCCCATAGGAAATATTTTTTTCAAGTATTTTCAAGGGAGTAGAGGTCACCATTGTCAAGTGATGCTACAAGAACAAATAACACTGATGAATGACCATTTAAGTACAGAGACATCATGGTTTCTTTTTCTCTGCATAACATTGTTGAGATTTATCTCTATTGCCTATGTTCAGTATTTTTTTTTTTTGGCTTGGTAGTATTACACTGTATGAATAAACCACAGTTTATCAACTCTTCTGTTGATCAATATTGGGGCTGCTTCCAATTTTTTTTTTGGGGATGTAGTCTTGCTCTGTTCCCCAGCTGGAGTGCAGTGGCGCGATCTTGGCTCACTGCAAGCTCTGCCTCCCGGGTTCACACCATTCTCCTGCCTCAGCCTCCCTAGTAGCTGGGACCACAGGCACCCGCCACCATGCCCCCAATTTTCAACTATTATGAACAAAGCAGCCATGACCATTTTTGTAGAAAGTATTTTTGTAACCATATACATTTATCTCTCTTACATAAATATCTGAGAATAGAAGTGCAAAAATTGCTGGTAGTTAACTTTGTAGGAACAGTCAATTTTATAAAGAAGTTGTACCAGAAATTTCAGTTGCTCCACATTCTCTTCAATATTTTGTATATGAAATATTTTTTATTTGAGCCATTCTAGTAGATATGTAGTAGAATCTCAGTTCTAATTTTAATTTGCACTTTGCTGATTACTACTGTTGTTAAGAACTTTTTCATGTGCTTGTCATTTATATATCTTATTTGCTGAAGTTTCTAGTTCCTGTTCAAGTTTTTGACCCCTTTTTAAATTATTAGGTTGTATACCTTACATTATTAAATAGTTTTTTAATGCATTCTGGATGCAAATTATTTTGTCAGATACATATGTTATGAATACTATCTATCTGTAATAACCTATTTTCTTATTGGTGTCTTGATAAGCAAATATTAATTTTGATGTAATCCAGTTCATCCTTTTTTTCTCTTTTATGATATATCCTACTATGTTTTCTTCAATAAATATTTGCCTCTACAAAGTCATGAATATAATATTTTCCCTAGTAACTTTGTTGTCTTAGCTACTTCGTTCAGTTGTATGATCTATCTTCAATTAATTTTTGTGTATGATATGAGATAGGGGTTAAATATTTTTGGTTGTTTGTTTTGTTTTTCATGAAGAAATATATTTGTTCTAGCACTATTTCCTAATACTGTATTTTAGTTCCGTAGTTTGGCTGGAAGGTGAGTCCCAACGACTAAGATTTCTTTTCTGGAACATGACTTTTTAGGTTTACACAGATAAGTGTCCTGTACTTACTTTTTGTATAAATTTTCATATCAATGTTGGCAAGTGATCAGGATTTTAGAAATCATCTTTTTGCATATTTCAGTTTTTAGATACTTTTTCTGAGGCTATAAAGGACATTAGTTTGTCAAAGTATAGGTGAACTGGGCACTTCGATCTCTGAAAACTTTAGAATAACAACTGTTTAGCTCTCCAGTTTTATACAGTACGAATTTGTTCCTCAGTGTAATAACTTGTCTCAATGACAATATGATAATACTATTAATATGAGTAATACATATAATTAATTGAAATAATTAATATGACTTATAATATTGAAATAATTAATATTACTTATAATACTGCATTTTAATATTATAATTGTGTATACCTTGTCCACTTCACACTTGATAGTCTTTCAAAAGACTTTTTTTTTCATTTCCTTAAGTGTGGAGAACTATCTCTGAATATCTGAATCATGAATGATGCCTGTTAGGCAAGATCTGAATGATTACTCAGAGATGACTCTTGTGTGCAATATTACAATATATAGGTTTCACAAGTGGGGATGTATTGAAAAGACATTTAAAGCAAATTGCAGAACATAGTAAATTCCTGGAAACACGAATGAGCTTGTCAAAGTCAAGGAAGTAAAAGCTGAATTTCCTAGTGCACTGGAACATGAGAAAGGAACACATGACAAATTCAGATCATTAATAGTTCTTAATATTAAGGATTTTTGCTTTATCTAGGAAATGTGTCATCATTTCAATGACTTAAATATGTTAAGTGAATGAACAACTTTAAATTTGTAATACTCTGGAAATGGTTAATGTGTGATAAGATCAGGGACAAATATCTTCTGTGTTTATTATATCCTCAGCATCTAGCATGAGGTTGTATTTTCATGATTGGTTCTCAACTTTGATGCAGCCATAACCAAATACCTTTTCTGCCTAACTATAGCTTCACGTTTAGCGAAGAGTTTTCTTAGTAAGTGTATTTCTTTTAGCCTTAAAAACTAAGATAATTATTTTTTCTGTGGACATGGGTTGAACTTTTTTTAATAACCTGTGTTTTGATATGTATTTAAATGTCACAGTCTGGATTTAGTGCTTTTTCTGGAAGCAGAGACATATGTGAAGGCTTCAGATTTCTTATTTCTTTACTTGTTCTTTCTGGATTTCATAAAAAAGGTATAAATGAGCAATAAAATAACTTGGTCGGAAGGTGATTGAATATAATACTACTTTTGTTTTTAAAGGTCACATATTATGCTTTAAAATACAGTTCGCAAAATTGCTCTGGAAAATTCAGGTTAAGAAAGCATACTAAAAACAAGAATGCTATGTTTAATCTTAAAAGTCCTAATGAGTGTAAAGTTTAATTAGATAAAAATTAACTGAATTATTTTAATATCCAATTTAAGTATTAAATAAAATCAGCATTTTTCTTCTTTAAATATGTGTTATCAAGTTTCAAGAATGTTGGAAACTTCTGTGATGATTTAATCTGAAATCATTCCTACAGCAAAATTCATAAATAATAAATATTATCTTATTAATCCATATTTCAGTTTAGCTAGGTCTCAGAGCAAGTTAGTTCCTCAGGGAATGCAGTGTTCTTTACAAAAGAAGGTGATGAGACATAATCTCCAAGGAATTAAATTGTGAAAACAATCTTGGTATTGTACATGCTAATATAAGTCTGTTATTCCCTTTCCGCATCTATCACAACACATTTTAAATTGTGGCTGATCTTGTATGCAAGTAGCTGTCTTATTAGAAATTGCGGCTGTATGTGCTAATGTCTCCCTGGATTTCTTGGGAGTTTGCTATCTAACCATCAAAGCAATAGAAATGAATGATGATTACTGCAAGGCTTTGAAGAACAAAGAAAAGTCAGAACATTTTAAAGGTTCTACATGTCTGAGTCATTGACAGTTTGCATCATACAGATGAATAGGTATCTCTTTAGGTCATTTAAAATAGCCTCAATGTGTTTATTAGTAAGGCAAAATGCTTTCTATTTTTTTGTGTGTTTCTTGCAGCTAATAAAATGTAAGTAATTTATGTAAGAATGTGTTCTATAAGCATTTTTTGTTTTATCATTTGGTAAAACGTTATTTTACTTACTGTATAGAATATAATAATTTCAAAGACAATGAGAAAGTTTAAATTTTGAAATTTTGATTAAATAATACCAAACCACTAAAAATAACTAGAACAAAAATTTTAAACCAGTTTTTCTCTAATGTATCTTGGTTGAAATTCTTTTATAGCTTTTATATTCAGTGATTATTATACCTATAAAATGTCTGTTCATAAAGCATAGGCCCCTCTGAAAATTTAGATTCTTTAGATTTTTCCGTGGCATAATTTTTAATGTAAAGTATATTAACATATAAGTAAAATTCAGCTACTTTGGTAAAAATATATTTTTGATAAACCTCTTACTTTTTTATTTTCTGTAGGTAGTGAATGAATAAAGTATTGACTTCTGAAGTGTTATCTCTGCTGGGATGTTGGCTTAAATGACTAGAAAGGAATTGGGGGAAGCATAATGAGTAACCATTTTGGCAGATAGCCTCAGTGATTTGCTTTAAGAAAAAATTAAGCATAGTCTGTAAAGGCAAAAAACAAAACTAAATTGAAAAGGGAATAATATCTTGAGTGTTTATTCATTTAATCCAACTTCTCTCCTAAAATGGAGTGGTATCTTCCCTAGCCACACACAATTAAGATTAAAATAACTTGATTCCTATTTACAATTAATAAATGCAAAATACTATGCAAATAGGATTGCTATATGAATAAATTATAATGTATCTATTGACAATTTTTATGGTGCTTGTCTTGACAGAATTATTTTTAATGTTTTGAATTATAAGAAGTAAGACTATAGAATTAGGTGCTGTCTTGATTTTATTGCTAGAATTTTAAAATGTTTTCTTAGATGTAATAACTACATGGTTTATTAGAGATGAAAATTTAACTTATTTGACTTTGTCATAATTTGAATATTCCTAGATATTGCAATAATACCATGAATATGAAGATTATTATGATTAGAAAAATAGGTTTTTAGCTGAACTTATAACTTTGTCACATATGGATAAAAATTATTAAGTTGGAGATGGCTTTCACTGTATTGGGTGGGATCACTGTTAACTATCTGTGTGACAATATATATAGATAAACAATACAATTTTGTCTGGACAGATTTCAAATGCATTTAGTGTTTTAGAACCTTAATAAAGCTCTTTAGAAAAATTACAGTTTGATAATTGCATCAGTTTATATGGAAACATCTATACTTGTTTGTTTTAGTTTCAGTGATGACAACTATTGTAACAAATAAATGCGAAAAATGTATAGTACTGCAAATGCTGCAAATTTATTTTTTCTTATCACAGCAATATGAAACAGAAAAACAAGTTGGTTGGATAGCTGTCCTCCATGCAGTCATTCATGATCCAGGCTGTCATCATCTTCATCACTCATGTTCAGAGTTACCCTAGAGGTCATCTCCATTTCATCCAGATAAATGAGTATGCAAGGAACGTTTTTATAGGTCAGTTCTAGAAGTAGGAAACATTAATTTACTCACATTCTGTTGGTTGAAAATAAGTGATGTGTCCACAACTAACATCAAAGGAGGCTGGGAAATTAGTCAAGAGTACCCAGAGGAAAAAAAAAGGAGAACATGTATTTTAGTGAGTAGCCAACAGTTTTTTTAATAATTTATCTTTCTGGCACGGAAATAACTATGCACATTATTTTTTTCTGTCTCCCCAATAGAGAGAACCTAAACATCTAGCATTTATTGCTTCTAGCTCCAAGCCAAGGATCTCAAGCTAACACACAGTCCTCTCTCAATTTGCCTGTGACATTTTTCTACTCCTCCCCAGCATCACAAAACCCCTAAGAAATAATGATTAAGCAGTGGATAACTGCTTTATACCTGCAATAATCATTCCCATTTATAAAGGGAAGAATGGAAAACAGCCACAGGAGTCATTGGTCCATTGTGATGATAAAACCTCTGCTCACGAGACCACTGAGAAGATCCACTATACTGAAATAGAAGTTTCAGTTTATGGTCTTTTTGTCCATTCTTCATGGCTCTCCCCTCTGGATGGTTATTCCTTTCTAGTCATGTGTGAAGTGGATGTTATAAACTCTATAGAGTTTGCCTTCCTTGGGTACTGCTGTATATTGGTTTAAATGTAGAGGCCCAAAAGTTGGCTTTCATTCAAAGACTTTTTTAGATTATGTTTCTGGTTTCTTAGTAAATATAGTTCCCTCACATTTTAGTAACCTTCTTACCATTTCTACTCAGTTGCATGTGCCAATAAACACAGTGCAATTTCTTTCCTAGACCTAATTCTCATGTCCACTTTCTTTCTGTGCTTTAGAACTCCTTGACTTCTCTTTTTCTACCCAATAGTGTCTGCTTTGAAGTAATCTGAAATAATAGGCTCAGGTGAGACAGTGAAAACCCCTAATCTGCTCTTTGTCTCTCTCTCTCTTTTTTTTTTCTTTTTTTTTAAGCTGATAAGTTTTCATGGGTCTTTGTTCTTCAAAGCCTGTTTTCATTTTTCTCCTGTTGGTTCTCAGAAGAAGTTGGCTTTTCCAACATTTTTAGCCCCAAATTACTGGACTTTCTATTCTCTATATTTTTGCTTGTGACATGACTAGTTCTTGTCTGACTTCATCTTCATCTTGTAATGCCTTACTAGAAGGAATGAGGAACAACTTGCAGACACCAGTTTGAAGAATACTTACGACTGTAACATTGTATTCTATGAATAATGACATATTGTAATTGAGGCTAGGAAATAGAGTCTGTGCTAGGAAGAAAAGGAGAATATGAATGTGGTAATCAGGTTGTACTCTCTGCTGCAATATTTAAATTCAATAAAAATCATAAAACTTATAGAGCAGAAATAAATTTTAATTGTGACAAAAAAATACAAAAAAAATCAACAAAACAAAAAGTTGTTTTTTGAAAAGATAAGTAGAATTAACAAACCTTTGCTTGCCCAAGGAAAAAAAGGAGAAAACTCAAATAAAATGGGAAACAAAAAAGAAACATTACAACTGATACCACAGAAATGCAAAAGATCATTAGCGACTACTAAGAACAACTATATACCAACAAATTGCAAAATCTAGAAGAAAAGAATACATTCCTGGGCATATAAAACCTATCAAGATTAAACATGACAAGACAGAATAGTTGAACAGACCAAAAATGAATCATGAGTTTGAAGCAGGAATAAAAAATCTTCCATCAAAGAAAAGTCCAGGACCTGATAGATTCATTGCTGACTTCTACCAAACAGTTAAAGAACTAATCCCATTTCTACTAAAACTATTTCAAAACATTGAAGAGGAGGGAATACTGCCAAACTCATTTTACAAGGCTGGCATTACTCTGATACCAAAACTAGACAAGAACACAATAAAAAAAAGGAATACTACAAGGTAATATCGCTGATGAACATAGATGTAAAAATCTCAACAAAACACTACAAACCAAATTCAGCAACACGTTCAAAAGATAATGCATCATGATCAAGTTGGATCACGCCAGTGATGCAGGGATGGTTCAACATACACATATCAATAAACATGATGTATCACAACAGCAGAATCAAGAATAAACACCATACGATTATTTCAGTAGATGCTGAAAAAGTATTCAACAAAATTTAACATTCCTTCATGATAAAATTAATCTTGTTAAAATTTCTCTACTACCCAAAGTGATCTACTGATTTAATGCAATCTCTATCAAAATACCAATGACATTCTCCACAAAAATCCTAAAGAACAATCCTAAAATTCACATGGAACCCCAGAAGATCCCCAATAGCTGAAGCAGTTCTGAGCAAAAAGAAAAAAGCCAGAGAATCACACTATCTGATTTCAAATTATACTACAAATTTATAGTAACGAAACAATTGGGTACTGGCATAAAAATAGACACATAGATCAATAGAATAGAACAGAGAACCCGGAACTAAATCCACACACTTAGAGTCTACTCATTTTTTATAAAAGTACTATGAAGTTACAATGTGGGAAACGATTGTCTCTTTAATAAATGGTCCTGGGAAAACTGGTTTCTATATGCAGAAGAATGAAAGTAGATTCTCTATCTTTCATCATATACAAAAATCAACTCAAAATGGATTAAAGACTTAAATGTAAGACATAAAACTATGAAATGACTGGAAAAAAACATTGGGAAAACACTACAGGACATTGGTCTGGCAAAAATTGTGGGGGGGGGTAAGATCTCAAAAGCCCAGGCAACAAAATCAAAAATAGACACATAGGATTACATCAAGCTAGAGAGCTTCTTCACAGCAAAGAAAACAATCAACAAAGTGAAGAGACAACTTACAAAATATGAGAAAGTATTTGCAAAATATTCATCCAACAAAGGATTAATACCCAGAATATATAAGGAGCTCAAACAACTCAATAGCAAAACACAATTCAATTAAAAATGGGCAAAAGATCTGAATAGACATTTTTCAAAAGAAGATACAAATGGCCAACAGGTATTTGAAAAACATTCTCAACATCACTAATCATTAGGGAAATCCAAATTGAAAGCACAGTGAGATATCATCTCATCCTAGTTACAGTGGCTGCTATCAGAAAGGCAAAAAATAACAAGTGTTGGTGGGGATGTGGAGAAAAAAGGAAATGGTCATACACTGTGGGTGAAAATGTAAATTGGTACACCATTATGGAAAACAATATGGAGGTTCCTCAATAAACTAAAAATAGAACTACCATATGATCCAGATATCCTACTCCTGGGTATATATCCAAAAAAAGGAAATCAGTATATGGAAGACATATCTGAACTCTCATGTTTATTGCAGCATTATTCACAATAACGAAGATATGGAATCAACCTTAGCATCCATCAGTAGATGAATGGATAGCAAAAATGTTGTCTCTATACACAGTGGAATATTATTCAGCCTTATAAATGAAACGCTGCCATTTGCAGCAACATGGATGGAACTGAAGGTCATTATGTTAAGAGAAATAAGCCAGGCACAGAAAGACAAATATTGCTTTTTCTCACTCATTTGTGAGAGCTGAAAAAGTGGATCTCATGGAGGTAGAGAGTAGAATAATGGCTACCAGAGCCAGGGATGGGAAGTGGGTAGAGGGTAGAGAAGTTGGTTAAGGGATACAAAAATACAGTTAGAGTAGAAGGAATAATTTCTAGTATTCAATAGTACAGTAGGAAAATTATGATTAACAATAATTTATTATGTATTTCTAAATACTTAGAAGAGAAGTTTTGTTTTGCTCCCAACACAAAGAACATGTAAATAAGGTGATGGATATCCCAATTATTCTGAACTGGTCATTACTCATTGTATACAGGTATCAAAATATTACATATATCCACCCAAAGTAGGTACAACTATTGTATATCAATAAAAATAGGTAGATTAAATCGAACAGTGCATATAAGGTAATAAGCATGAAAATATTAATAAATGGTAGTAGTTTTTATTGTTTACATTAAGAGGGGCAGAACTAGAACTGAAATTCATCTGCTTTGTATGTATATGTTATGCTTTTTAAAATAAAATACAAAATACTTGAGATTCAAACTTTAGCCTTACTTTTAATGTAACATAGTAAGTATATATCCAAACTATATATACTTGGAAATAAGCATGTTGCCAAAAGTATGCCAAAAGCCCCAACCTATCTAAGTAAATACTACATGATTTTCATATTTACAGATAATGTTATTTAACAATATGGTTTAATGGAACACTGATAGTACTTGATAAGATGAATGTTATCAAAAACAAATGATTGAGAAATTTAATTACCAGCAATTGTATCATTGATAATTTATTTAAAAGAATTTTGTTTTCTTTATGAATATTTAATGGAAATAAGTCAAAGTATTTGTACCCATTGCTTTAAAAATGAATTTTATAGAATAAACTATTTCTGGATTTTATAGACACTCCTTTTTAAAAAAATTTTCATTATAATTGTTTTCTTTTCAGCAGGCATTTTGGAGATCAAAGATGGGTAGAAAAGATGCTGCTACTATAAAACTTCCTGTTGATCAGTACAGAAAACAAATTGGTAAGCAATGAATTATCTTTGATACACTCCTATTAATTGAGATAAAAACACAATTATGCATATTAAGAAAATAAATTTTCTCTAATACATATGATACACAGAAATATGTGAGTGAAAAAGGACTTTATAGAGTTTTATGGAAGCAAAATTAAATGCAGTCCTGCTTACCAGTAAAGATATGAACTTCATGTACTTACGATTTTTCAGTGCTCTTATAATTTTAATTAATTTAATAAAACAAAAAATAAATATTATTCTTTAGGCTGAATGCTTTTATATAATCAGCATTTTTGATTTTATAATCCATTAAATCATTCCTTTGTATACATATTATAACTTTTAATTCTGTTGACTCTTATTGGCAATAATTTGATAACTTCAAAATTCTCCTGTAAAATATGCTAAATAAAGTAGAACAAATGTTCTTTTATATGGAAACCTGAGTTCAGAAAAAAAGAAAGAGAATTCTCCAGAGGTCATATGTGAAAGAAGGATTAAGGAAGACTGGAAATAAGGATTTGTAGATGGAATTGAGACTCCCAAATATACTTGGACCCTCAAGGAGATACTACCCTAGTAGAACGGTGGACTAGAAAAGCTCACTTAGCACAGGAAGATAACAGGAAGCTTATCTATTTTAAATTAGGCTCTAGGTGCAGGATTTTCTTTTCAAGGATACATGGAGTATTTCTAAAAAATTACCTACCTACATACTAAGTCACAAAGAAAGTATCCCAAGTTATAAACAATCAATATCCTATAACTGCATTTTTAAATCAAATGTAGTAAATTAGAAATTAGTTAGAAGCAAAAAGGTAACTTCCCCTTCTTCACCCAACCCTCTCCTTTAGTGCACTTTTTTCCATCTGTACCATTGCTTTGGAAATACAAAATAAATTAATAAAAATAACACTTCTAAATAACTAAAGGATAAACAAAGAAGTTACATTAGAAGTCAGAAAATAAATATAAATAATTGATACCAAAATATAGTATATATCTATTTCATAAATAAGACACAAAAAGTACGCTCTATAAAGCAAAATATATTTCTGAAAAACAAAAGACATGCAAACAAAGTAAAAAATATTTGGAATACATATAGCCAATTAAGAATTTGTATAGTACAGGCCGGGCGCGGTGACTTAACGCCAGTAATCCCAGCACTTTGGGAGGCCGAGGCAGGTGGATCACAAGGTCAGGAGATCGAGACCATCCTGGCTAACATGGTGAAACCCTGTCTCTACTAAAAATACAAAAAAAAAAAAAATTAGCCGGGCGTCGTGATGGGCGCCTGTAGTCCCAGCTACCTGGGAGGCTGAGCCAGGAGAATGGCGTGAACCCGGGAACCCGGGAGGCAGAGCTTGCAGTGAGCAGAGATCATGTTACTGCACTACAGCCTGGGTGACAGAGTGGGACTCCATCTCAAAAAAAAAAAAAGAATGTTTATAGTACGTATTTAAGGTGTACAACATCACTTTTTGCTATACACACACAGAGTAAATGATTACTACAGTCAAACCAATTAAAATATGCATCATCTCACATAGTACCTTTTCTGTGTGTGGTAAGAGTCCTAAAATCTACTCTCAGCAAATATCCAGTGTACAATACAATATTATTAACTGTAGTTCTCATGTGGTATATTAGATCTATAGTTTATTCATCCTACATAATTGCAACTTTATACCCTTGACCTACATCTCTGCATTTCCCCTTCCCTCCAACTCTGCTAACACCATTCCACTCTCCTTTTCTACATATTTGACATCCGTTTTTTAAGATTGAAAAGATAAGAGAGATCATGCAGTATTTTTCTTTCTTTGTCTGGCCTACTTCACTTAGCATAATGTCCTCCAATTTCATCCATGTTTTCCCAAATGGCAGGACCTCCTTTTTAAAGGGTGAAATATATTTTTATATATGTATAAAATAATTTCTTGATTCCGTCATCTGTCTGTGGACACTTAGGTTGTTTCCATATCTTGGCTATTGTGAATAATGCTGCAGTGAACATGGTATCTCTAAAATGTGGAGATTTTATTTTCTTTGGGTATATACCTAGGAGAGAGATTGCTGGGTCATATAGTAGTTATATTTCTGATTTTTAGAGGAATCTCCATACTATTTTTTTCCATTTCTACTAAGAATATACAAGGATTCTGTCTTTTCTGTATCCTCACTAACATTTATTACGTTTTTTTAACATAGTCATCCTAACACGTGTGAGACATTATCTTATTGTGGTTGGATTAGCACTTCTCTGATAATTAGGGAGGTTGAGGACTTTTCCATGTACCTGTTTGTCATTTTCTCCATTTTCTTTGGAGAAATGTCTATTCAGACCTTTTGACCATTTTCTAGTCAGGTATGTTCAATCAAGTTGTCTTTTTTACTATTGTAAAATATAAGTTCCTTATATAATTTGACTTAACTGTTTCTCAAGTACATGGTGTACAAATATTTTCTCCCATTTTGTAGATTACCTTTTTATTTTGTTCATTGCTCCTTATGCCATGCAGAAGATTTTTAGTTTAATTTAGTCTCCTTTGTTTGTTTTTGCTTCAGTTGCATGTTCTTTAGTGTTACATCCAAGAAATCATAGCCAAGACCAATGTCAAGAAATAAAAATGAATTAAAGGCAAATATAAGACATAAAACTACTAGAAAAAAAGAAGGGGGACATTCATTCTATACCTAAAAGGCAAATATAAGACATAAAAGTACTAGAAAAAAAGAAGGGAGATATTCATTCTATACCTAATTTATTGAGAATTTTTATCATGAAATGGTGCTGAATTTTATTTTTTGTTATACCTTAAGTTCTAGGATACATGTGCAGAACGTGCAGGTTTGTTACGTAGGTATACATGTCCCATGGTGGTTTGCTGCACCCATCAACCCGTCATCTATATTAGGTATTTCTCCTAATGCTATCCTTTCCCTTACACCCCACCCCCTGACAGGCCCTGTTGTGTGATGTTCCCTTCCCTGTGCTCGTATGTTCTCAATGTTCAACCCCCACTTATGCATGAGAACATGCGGTGTTTGGTTTTCTGTTCCTGTGTTAGTTTGCTGAGAAAGATGGTTTCCAGCTTCATCCATGTCCCTGCAAAGGACATGAACTCATTATTTTTTATGGCTGCATAGTATTCCATGGTGTATATGTGCCACATTTTCATTATCCAGTCTATCATTGATGGGCATTGGGGTTGGTTCCAAGTCTTTGCTATTTTAAATAGTGCTTCAGTAAACATAAGTGTGGATGTGTCTTTATAGTAGAATGATTTATAATCCTTTGGGTATATACCCAGTAATGGAATTGCTTGGTCAAATGGTATTTTTGGTTCTAGATCCTTGAGGAATCACCACAATGTCTTCTACAATGGTTGAACTAATTGGCACTCCCACCAACAGTGTAAAAGCGTTCCTATTTCTCCACATCCTCTCCAGCATGTGTTGTTTCCTGACTTTTTAATGATTGCCATTCTGACTGTCATGAGATGGTGTCTCACTGTGGTTTTGATTTGCATTTCTCTAATGACCAGTGAGGCTGAGCTTTTTTTCATATGTTTGTTGGCCACATAAATGTCTTCTTTTGAGAAGTGTCTGTTCATATCCTTTGCCCACTTTTTGATGGGGTTTTTTTCTTGTAAATTTGTTTAAGTTCCTGGTGAACTTTGTGTTAAATGCTTCTTCTGCATTTGTTGAGATCATCATGTGATTTTTATTCTTCATTTTGTTAATGTACTTTATCATATGAATTGATTTTCATGTGTTGAACCATCCTTATAGCCCAGGGATAAATCCCACTTGGTCATTGTATATGATCTGTTTTATGTGCTGTTGAATTTTGTTTGCTAATATTTTCTTGAGGATTTTTGTTTTATGTTCATAAGAGAATAGTGGTCAGTAGTTTTCTTCGGTGTGGTGTCTTTGGCTTTCAAATCAAGGTAATGCTGGCTAGCTTTATAAAATGAGTTTGAAGGTGTTCCCTCTTTTTCCATATTTTGGGAGACTTTAAGAAGGATTTTTTTTTAATGTTTCATAGAATTGAAGTCATCTAGTACTGGGCTTTTCTTTATTGGGAAGTTTCTGACTATTGATTCAGTCTCATTTGTTACTAGTTTTCAGGCTTTCTATTTCTTCTTGATTCATTCTTGCTTGGTTGCATATTTTTAGGAACTTACCCATTTCTTCTAGTTTATTCAATTTGTTGGTGTATAATTGTTTATAAATGCCCCTTATGATCTTTTTCATTTCTGTGGCATCAGTTGTAATGTCTGCTATTTCGTGTGTGATGAGTTTTATTGATTTTTTCCACATTGTTTTTCTATTCTCTATTTCATTTATTTCTGCCAGAATCTTTACTATTTTGCTTTTTCCTGGCAACTTTGTGCTTAGGGTTGTTCTTTTTCTAATTTTTTGAGGTATAAAGTTAGGTTATTTGAGATATTTCTTTTTAAATCTAGTTGTTTATTGTTAATAAACTTTTTTCTCAGTACTACCTTTGCTGTATCCCATTAATTTTGTTATATTGTGTTTTCATTTTCATTCCTTTCAAAACATTTTCTTATTTTCCATTTGATTTCTTTTACTGAATGATTGTTCATGGGTTCCTTGTTTACTTTTCATGTATTCGTGAATTTCCCATTTTCCTTTTGTTATTGATTTCTAGTTTTATTCTATTGTGCTCATAAAAGATACTTGGAGTAATTTCAGTCTTCTTAAATCTGTTAAAACTTACTTTGTGACCTAGCATGTGATTTATCCTGGAGAATGTTAGTGTACACTTGAGAAGAATATGTATGCTGTTACTTTTGCTTGGAATGTTCTGTATACATTTGTTAAGTCCATTTGTTCTGTAGTATTGTTTAAATCTGTGTTTTTTTCTTGAGTTTTTTGTCTCAATAATCTATCCATTTTTGACTACTATTATGGTATTGCTTTCTATTTCTTCAGTTCCATGGCTGTTTTATGTATTTAGATTCTTTGATGTTGGGTGCATATATATATATATATATATGTCTACACACACATATACATATATATGTACACTCATATATACATATATACTTGTGTATGTAGATATGTATATATACATATACATGTATGTACATATATACACATATATATGTATATATGTATATTTATTTATGTACACATATGCATATATGTGTATTTTTAAATTTATAATCATTATATCTTCCTGTTAAGTTAATTCATTTATCATTATGTAATGACCTTCTTCATCTCTTGTAACAGTTTTTGGTTTAAATTCTACTTAGTCAGATATAAGTATAGCTACTCCTGCTCTTTTTGGGTTACGATTTGCATGGAATATCTTTTTCCATCTCTTTACTTTCGGCCTGTGTGTGTCATTAAATCTAAAGCTAGTCTTTTATAGACAGCATATAACTGAACCTTTTTTTATCCATTGAGACACTCTATATATTTTGATTGGTGAGTTTAATATATTTGCACTTAGAGTAATTTTTGATAGTAAGGGCTTTTTATTGTCATTTTTTGTTAATCGTTTCCTGTCTGTTTTGTATTTCTTTTGTTCCTCTCTTCCTCGCTTGGTATCATCTTTGCAATTTGATAATTTTTGTTGTGATATACTTTGATTCTTTCTATTTATCTCTTCTGAATCTAATATTAGTTTTTTTTATCTTTTCTGTATCTATTATTAGTTTTTTTTCTTTGTGGTTATCATGAGGCTTCCATAAAATGTTTAACAGTCTATTTTAAGCTAATAATAGCTTAACTTTAATAACATTCAAAAGCTCCACTCTTACTTTTTCTCAAATTGATTTTTAGCCTTGTTTCTTGTACCGACAGTGTTTTGTGTATGATATCAGTTTTTGATATTAGTATTTCCTGTCTGAATTAGTATGCAGTCAATTTTGTTAACATTCCCTGTGCTTGAAAGGAATAGGTATTCTCTAATATTAGGATTCAGTACTACTTATATTAATTATAGTTTTCAACTCTATTGTGTACTTTTTATATATTTTAGCTGTCATTTAGTGAAAAATGAGAATTAAAATACCCCAAGACTATAGTTTTCAATTCTTGTAATGCTATCAGTTTTTGCTTTATATATTTGAAGCTATGTTTTCGTTGCTTAGCATTTGTAAATTGGTATATATTTATGATAATTTCCCCTTTTCTATTATATAATGACCTTTTTATTTATAAAGTACTTATGAAGTGTCTGTTTAGACTTCTTTTTGTTTTATATTAATATTGGTAAAATACTTTTTGTTATTTTGTTAAGTACTCTTGTATTTTTCTTATCCCTTTATTTTAATCTATAAATTAATGATATAATTGATTTTTTAATATAGGTGGAGAATCTTTGTTTTCAAGCAAGCAAATTTAATTCTATATAATTTACTATGAATTAAAAATCTTGATATATTTTCACATTTTTATTTATATTTTTCATTTGTAGTGATTTTTCCTTTGCTAATCTCCGCTCTAACCTTTTTTCTTGAAACTTTTTGACTATGTTTCCTTTTTCATTCTTCAAATTTTCAACATTTTCCATTCCTTTTTTTTCTTTTCTTTTCTTTCCTTGTTTTGGGAAAGGGAGAGGAGATTCTCAAGTTTTCATAGTTGACTTAATAAAGTATATTAATATCCTTATTTAACTTAGACAATAAGGATTTTTAAACTTCTAAATGTGATTACTTTCTCCTATCTTTCACATATTTTTTTAATTGTACTTACTAGAATTTAAATAGTCTTGAAGACAGAAGCTCCATCTAATTTTTTTTGGCATCTCTAATGATGTTCACAGAAGGTACTTAATAAATATTTAAATAATCAATAAAGCAACTGTCCTAATTCTTAGGTGATTACAATTTTATATACCCTTTGTTTAACCTAACCTGTTTACATTAATTTGAGTATTTTATCATTTTTCTTGAAATAGTAAGCAGTATGTTTAACTAAATTGAATACTTACTGAAACATGTCGTTGTTTAATTTTTCTTAATTTTGCGTTTTAGGTTCCCTGTTATTCTTTTTGTTGTTTGTCTTTCTTTTACTTCTCTACATCCCCATGGGTACCTTGGATACAACCACTTCTTAAATGTTTGTGGACTTTTTTGAGTACTAATTGCAAACTCAAGATTGATATTATTTATAACATCTTCTATTTAACTATAATTCTCCTCCATGTATAAATTTTTGCTTGGTTAGCATTTTTAATATGAATTTTCTTGGAAATTAATTTGTATTTTATGAGCAACTTGGTTTATCTTTAGCAGCTCTAAGCTTAGTGCTTGTTTCTTAGTACTTAATGTGGTGTTAAATGATGATGTGTTTTCTGTAATGGTAATGCATGACAAGCTGTTATGTCCAAGCATTGAAAAATTATCATTGGTTTGAATTGTTTCTATAACAAAATTAAAATGAAAAATTTGCCCGAGATGTTTATTTTCAATGATGAATTTACCAGCCTGCTCTCTATATTCTGGATATCTCCAAATAATTTTGAGAGAAGTTTTACTTTTTGCGTAGTTTACCTTTGTAGGTAATACTTGCTTTTTGTCTTTAAGGAAATTGTTATCCTTTGCACGATTTATTAAATGTAAAGGTACGTTATGCTGATGGTAATCTCCTGGATTATTTCTGGCTTTGTAGTTATTTTCATTTTATCAATTTGATTGGTTAATGTTTTACCTAGTTATTTTCCTGTGAGCATTTGTAATTTTATTCATCTTGAAGGTGTTAAAATGCAGGCCATTTGTTTACTGACATAGTTACTAGAGTTTTTTTAACAAGATTCCATACGAAAGACTATTGACCCCTAGTTTTGTAATGAGTCTTCTTTAGATATTTGTAGTTTGCAATATAATAACTAAACATTGTGTTCATATGGCAGCTGCAGATTTACTTTATATGACAAATTGTGTTACTTTTATATGTAACTTAGGTAATACAAGAAAAGTAAGATTCCAAGTAGTATATTGCTTTTTGACGAAGGGAGGAGGGATTGGAAGCATTTGGTGAGATTTATTCTAAAAATGTTGAAGGAAATATAAAAGTCTTTATTGTTGATTACCAAATATTATTTGCCAGTATTTTTGGCATGCTGTAAATAACTCATCTTCCAATAATTCATTTGAGTAATTAAATTTAGATTGCAAATTTTTCTTTTCAAATATTTTGACTCTTATCTCTCTGCTTTTCTATTGTATCTTAATTGGTGTGGTCTATATAAATGGACAATAAATTATATATCTTTGTTACAGAGATCAGACAGTGAATAGAACTTGGTATTTATCCCAGACAGAATTATGATTGAATGTATTTGCAAGATTAAAGCACTGAATTTACTTTTTTCTAATTAAAGGCAATTAAAGATTTCTAGACACAAATAAAAGACAATGAATTGAGGAATAAGTGCAGGAGCAAGTCCATTTGCAGGTGAAAAGATGTGCCTTTGAAGCAGAACCAGCTGTATTTTCATTGAAAGAATAACAGTTTAGGAAGCTTTTCTGCATGTGCTTGCTTGATAGCATAATGTACTCATAAGCAGCTTATGCAGTATTCAGAAAATAACAGTGCATTAATTTTTAAAGCAGCAAAGGCAGAGGAAGAGCAGTACTGCCACATGATGATAATGAGTGTGGCTAGTGTAAAGTCGACTGTTGAGAAAGAAAGAAACAGTGAGCTTCTAGAAAATGAACATTTATAAAACAATAACCAGATATTCACGTGATAATGAGCTTGAGCAGCAATATCAACAAAGGGCAAAGATGTAGTCTTGTTTCTGGGCAAGGGTAAGGAATTGAACAACAAAAAGCCAAAAGCAGTAAAGTAATCTATTTTGTTTTTTTAATTTAAACTAAGGAAGCTCCCATGAAAAAGTCATGTCACAGTTAAAATGATTGCTTTAAATATGAAATAATTTCTGGCATAGATAACTTTTTAGAACATATAAATGACTGTGTCCATCCCTAAAATAGTGTAATATGAGGAATGGTAAATGATGACAATAAGGTATTTAAATAGTTATTATTTTTATTAAATATGTTTTTATATCTCTCAATATTAATATTTGTTTTAGTAGCTATCTTTGTATGTACATAAATGTGTGTTTTTTTTATAGGGACAGCACTAATGCCAGAGTTAAACCTGTTTTATTCATACTGAATATATAAGCAAAGGAACTTTTAACACAGATAATATCTACTAATTAGAAATTATAACTTAAAATGGCTTTTAAAGTATTTTGTTTAAAAAGCTGACACTACAGATTGTCTGTATTGTATATGCAAGTAAAAATTATGAATTTGTGTGCTACCATCTTTGCTATCAAAAACTCCAGAAATAATTTGAAAATTCTTTTATATTAATGTTTACTTTTTAATAACGACTTTGCTTTTAGTTAATACTCATAATCTCTGTTTAAGACTTGAAACTGGAAATTCTGTTGATTATGTACCTTGAGTTTTCAAGTATATATTTTTAATCCATATTTAACAGGAGGACACAGAGAAGAACTAGTTTGGTTTGTTAAATTTGCTTGAATTGGTAGCTATACACACACTGTTAAGTGAATCTTAGTCTTATGTAATTGGAAGAAACCATTCACAAAGGTAATCTTTTAGGGCATGAGAACGATGTTTAAAATGATCCCAGGCAGAAGTATCCATTCCACTTTGGTCTTAGTTTTATAGGATGTGAGCCACAGATGGAAATAGCCATGATTCCAGAGAAAAACAAGAAATAGAAATGATGGTAGAAAGAGAAAGTCCTTCAGTGTCAAAACTTCAACTTATGTCAATCCCTACAAAAATTTTTCCTTTTCCCTTATTTTTTGGAATCAATGAATCAATCTCAATCTCTTTCTCTCCCATTTTCATGTTATTTCAAGATGGATTTCTGTCATTGATAATGAGAATAATTCTGAAAATGATCTAAGGATATCTCCAGCATCCTCCACAGCTACCCAAACATATATCCCAATCAAGCTTGAGCTGCTGTTCACTAAGTCCAGTATTTTTTTTTTTTTCTTTTTGAGACGGAGTCTCGCTCTGTCTCCCAGGCTGGAGTGTAGTGGCGCTATCTCAGCTCACTGCAAACTCCGCCTCCCAGGTTCACGCCATTCTCCTGCCTCAGTCTCCTGAGTAGCTGGGACCACAGGCGCCTGCCACCACGCCCGGCTAAATTTTTTTTTTTTTTTTTTTTGATAGAGACGGGATTTCACCGTGTTAGCAGTCTTCCCTTTATTCTATTGTGATTTGGCATAAAGGAAGAGGAAGAAATGTTTTTAAAATTTTGATAATGGTGACTTTATAGGGAAATTGTTTGTATGGGGAAGATGAGTGTTACATTCTAGGAGCAAGCAAAGAAATATAGGTTCAGGCTATCATTCTCAGTTCTCTAGTTGGTCATAGTAGTTGTAACTTATGACTTCCCTTCTTAATTCAAGAACCTTAGTTTACTGAGGGTCTTTGCCTTTAAAAATTTAAAAATTGTATTAAATTTTATGATTGGTCAAAATAGTACTTGAGTTGTCCCAGGAATTTCCTTACCTCTTCCCATACTCCTTTAGGCATGCGCTATGTATGAACAAACCATTTCAACGGACCTTGATAACCAGCATAAATTACCTCAGCCAACACTATGATTGACCATTTTACTAGTTTGCCTATAGGTATGTAGAATTCAAACTGCCTAGGTGGCTGGCTCAGCTTTCAATTCAGGAGAACTAGTATCGTATCTTTTCTTTAGGTTACCTCTGTTTCCAGGTAAACTGAACAAAATATACTACTCAAATTTTGGCCACTGGGACAATTTCCCTTTTTCATTGCCCTTTGGGTTCATCTTCAATGATAGCTATAATACCATAGCAGTCTATTTCTAGCTGGTGTGAGAATATGATAAAGATCTATGTACAAATGTTTTTAATGCTAAAATACCTAATCTTATAGTTTATTGAACTAGATAACCTCCAGTTCATGACTGGAAGCTCAGGCCAGATGATCCCTGAGTCTCATGACAAGGTAGTCAGTTCTCTATCCATTTGGTAGCAATCCAGGAGTTGTTTCTTAGCAGATGCTACTTGCTGAAGGGGGTATGGCACTGTTCCAAAACCCTAGAGACTGACACTTTTCTTTTATTCATACCTGCTGAAGGGTTGCTTCTATGTCTCAGTTAGCTAACAGTACTTCAGATTCCATTGAATCTACCATGTCATAGACTCCAAGAGATAGAGTATCTGTCACAGCAATCTACTGGAGAACCTTTTATTGTCCCATGCTCTACTCAACTCTAGGAACTTTTCAGGTCCCCTACATAGATAAAATAAGTACTATAGGTTTAAAAAACAAGAACATGAACAACCATGGATCCGCCATCCAAGTTAAAAATTGAAAATACACCAGTAGCTAAGAAGCCTTTTATATACTCCATCGCAATTGCAATGTCCTCCATCTTTCCGAGGGATTACCACAATATTAATTTTGTATTAATTCTCTTTAAGGATTTGCCACTTAAATTTGTGCCAGTAATCTATCATTTAGTTTTGTCAGTTTATATAGGTGATCTTTATATAAATGAAATCATGTTGTATATATTGTTATAAAATTTGCTTCTACTGAACATCATGTTTTAGAGTTTTATTTTTGTTCATGGCTGTTGATATAGTTCATTCATTTTCTGTGCTTTATGGCTTTCCATTATTTCTATATACTGGTATTTTTCTTCTAGTCTCCTGATTTTGGACAGTTATAAATTATTCTCAGTTTTTTTTTCTATGAATGCTATTACGAACGATGCTTCTATGAATATTTTTAGACGTGTCTGTTCATCGATTTACATGTACAAGTTTCCCTGCAACATATACCTAGTAGAAGAGTGTTGTGTCATAAGTATGGATGTGTAATAATCAAGTTGTGAGTGTTGTTTTTATTTTTTAAGAAGTTGAGCCTTTGCACCATGCTTGCTGGTGATGGTAATGGTAAGTAAGGTGTGGCAAGTTAACCTTTAATTCTGGGAGACAATTCCAACATGCAGACCTCCATAAATTAGACTTAGGTAGCAAACCTCTTTTAAAAGAATGTTTATTATTGTCTCTTTTATGTATATATCTGAATGAGATGTCTCAGACACTTTCCATGGCTTCTCCAAGACTTACATCATATCATTGTCATTGTGATATACTGTGGGGTTGTGAAGCAGTTAAAATCTCTGGGAATCATATTTTTAACACTGAGATGTGGAGTTTATCTACTCCTGCAGTAGGACTGTAAGTATACTGCTGTCCTTTCCAGTAAGGACAGACAGCCTCTTGCAGTATCTGTGATCAGGCCTGAGAAAAATGCATTGGCTTGGTTAATTAGCTAGTTATGACCATGTGCTAGGGACTTCATTATTCTGCTACAGTAAGAAAATTCTACTATAATTTTAAATTTTCAGTAGTACTCAGTTGGTTTCCATGATATAATTAATCACAGTGAGGAAATAAACAGGCCAGTGAAAATAATCAGTGTGACTGCACATACAAAGTTATTCATCATATAGTCAACCTCTGAAATTCCCCCAGGAGTATACATTTCCTTTTCTTTATCATTTTAGTAAAGAAAGGGAGTAATAGTTCTACTTCACACTCATTAACAAAATAGCTGTTAGAGCACATATTGGGGAACCATGCTGGAGATCCTGCCTATTTCCATTATCATTTGAGCCCATGTATTCAAAAACTGGAAAATGAACATAGGGTCTGTTCTGGATCACTGAGTCTGCCATTAGGAATTGATTTTTTTTTAATCAACTTATCTGTTAAACTCCTTCTAGGAGTTAGTGTTTTTTGAATCTTTGCACTTCAATATTTCCAATATTTGAAATTGCTTCTATCATCTACCCACATGGCTTCTTTGCTAACTTCATTTGAGTATAGGCTCAAATGAAATCTTATTAAGGAGGACTCCTTTGACTGCCATATCTAAAACAATACATATCTCGCTTTGATTGTCTGCCCATTGCCAACTGTATTCTTCTTTTTAGTGCTTTTTATCACCTGATAAATTGAACAATTTTTGTTTGTTTATTATTTGTCTTTTACACAAGGTTTGGGATAACAGGCACTTGACCTGTTTCATTTACACATTAGTTATCACCCTGAACGTAATACTCATTTCTGTACTTTGTTTTGATGACATACTATTGAGAAAAATTTATTGATACAAATAAATAGTTAAATATGATAACTATCTTATTAATAGTATAGATCTAGCAATTTCAGGATACTCTTCAATTAAACTGATCACAACATGAGAAAAGAGTAATAGGAAATTTTATTCTGCAACAGAATCACAGGCACCTATAGCCTGCAGTTTTTATTATTAATATAAAATGTCAGCAACCAGAGTATAATAATCCTCCTAACTATGCATGTACCTTTCACATTTTATTGCAAAACTATTAGGCTATAATAAGAACATGCATCAAGCAGGGACACCAATATCTTGCCTGGCATTTAATTATCAAAAACACCTGTGCTACAATAGTATATTCACGTGTATAATTCTTTATATGTAGACATTTAAGTGCTTGAATTATTTAAAAAATCTACTGTCTGGATAAAACTTCCATAACCAATGACAAATGTCAAAGCTGCTCTTAAATGAGCACAGCAAAGTCAAATGATATAAACAATAACTAGCAAAGTCAACACTAAAAATAAATGCACTTCTTATTTCCATTACATTAAAATGTGAAATGTATTGGGTTACTAAAGTTTTTAAAATGTTAAAATTTTAAACATAATTTAGAATATATTTAAAAATAAGAAATTGAATAAAAATTGATTTGAGTTAGTCTGGAAAGTTAAAATATGAAATGTATTGGATTACTAAAGTTTTTAAAATGTTAAAATTTTAAACATAATTTAGAATATATTTAAAAATAAGAAATTGAATAAAAATTGATTTGATTTAGTCTGGAAAGTTAGGTATATATTTTATAATTTCTAGGGCAACCATTAAAACATTAATCTAGAGTCAAAATCACAATACATAATTTAAATGGAACACTAAAAATTGTTCAAGTAATACAATAAGAAGGAAAATGAAAGAGCAACAAAAATCAAAGGGAACAAAGAGAAACAAAAAAGTTAGACCTTAATGAAAACATATCAATAGTTTTATTAAATGTAAACACCTAAACATACTAATTAAAGGACAGATTTTCACATTGAAATTTTATAAAATTACTTAAATATAGGCTATATATAAGAAATTAACCTGATGAGCAAAATGGCTGAACAGAATCCTCTAGCGATCATCCCCCCACAGGAACACCAAACTGAACAACTATTCACACAAAACAAGCACCTTCATAAGAAGCAAAAAACAGGTGAACCGGTACCTGGCTTTAACATCGTATTAAGGAAAGAGGCACTGAAGAGGATTTGAAAGACAATCTTGAGTCACCTATACCACCCCTTTCCCGTACTTCACCTTTGGCCATGTGGTGTTAAGAGACAATCTGTGCACTTGCATGAGGGAGAGTGCAGTGATTGTGGGAATTTGCCTTGGAACTCAGTGCTGCCCTGTCACAGTGGAAAGCCACACAGGGAAGAACTTAGCTGGTGCCCACAGAGGGAGCATTTAGACTAGTCCTAGCCAGAGGCAAGTCTTCTATCCTGGTGGTACGAACCTGAGTTTCAGCAAGCGTCATCACCACGGACTAAAATACTCTGGGATCCTAGATAAACGTGAAAGGCAGTCTAGGCCACAAGGACTGCAATTCCTTGGCAAGTCCTGGTACTCTGCTGGGCTCGGAACCAGTGGACTTGGGGTGTATGTCATCAGAGATGAAAAAGGAGGCATTACAAGTGATATTTCAGAAATAAAAAATACAAGCTACTTTGGGTAACTGAATGCCAATAAATTAGTTAACCTAGAGGAAATGGATAAATTCCTAGACTCATACAACTCACTAAGATTGAACCATGAAGAAATCCAAAACCTGAACAGAACAATAACAAACAATGAGATCAAATCCATAATACATCTTTCAACAAGGAAAAGCCCAGAACCTGATGGCTTCACTGCTAGATTCTACCAAACATTCGAGGAAGAAATAATACCAATCTTACTCAAACTTTCAAAAAATAGGGGAGAAAGGAATACTTTCAAACTCATTTTACAAGGCCAGTATTACTGTAATACCAAAAACAGACAAGAACACATTAAAAAAAAGAAAACTACAGGCCACTCCTAATGAACATTGATGCAAAAATCCTCAACCAAATTCTGGTAAACCAAAGTCCAACAACACATTAAAATATTATTCATCATGAGCAAGTGGGATTTATCCCAGGGGTGCAAGGATGATTCAACATACACAAATCAAACAATGTGATACATCATATCAATAGAATGAAGGACAAAAACCCTATGATCATTTCAATTAATGGTGAAAAAGCATTTGATAAAATTTAACATCCTTCATGATAAAAACCCCTCAAAAAAACTGGGTATAGAAGGAACATACCTCAACGTAATAAAAGCCATATATGACAGACCCACAGCTAGTATCATACTGAATGAGGAAAAAGTGAAAGCCCTTTCTCTAAGATCTGGAACAAGACAAGACTGCTCACTTTCCACCCCCGTTATTCAACATGGTACTGGAAGTCATAGCTAGAGCAATCAGACAAAAGAAAGAAAGGACATCCAAATTGGAAAGGAAGAAATCAAATTATCCTTGTTTGCAGATGATATGGTCTTATATTTGGAAAAAACAAAAGACTTTATGAGAAACTATTAAAATTAATAAGCAATTTCAGTATAGTTGCTGGAGTTGATTTTTGTACAAAATCAACCTACAAAAATCAGTAGGATTTCCATATGACAATAGCAAAGAGTCTGAAAAAAAATCAAGAAAGTAATCCCATTTGCAATAGCTGCAAATAAAACAAAACACCTAGGAATAAACTTAAGCAAATAAGTTAAAGATTTCTATAATGAAAACTATAAAACAATGATAAAAATTTGAAGAGAACACAAAAAAATGGGAAAATATTCCATGTTCATGGATTGGAAAAATCAATATTGCTAAATTGTTTATCCTACCCAGAGCAAACTATAAATTCAATGCAATCTCTATCAAAATACCAATGAAATTCTTTACAGAAATAGAAAAAGTAATCCTAACATTTATATTAAACCAAAAAAGCCTCAGAATTGCAAAAGCCATCCTGAGCAAAAAGAACAAAACTGGAAGAATCACATTAACTGACTTCAAATTATACTGCAGAACTGTAGTAACCAAAACAGCATGGTACTCACATAAAACCAGACACATACACCAATGGAATAGAATAGAGAACTCAGAAACAAATTCTTACATCTACAGTGAGCTCATTTTTGATAAAGGTGCTAAGAACATACATTAAGATATGGACAGTCTCTTCAAAAAATGGTACTGTGGAAACTGGATATCTATATTCAGAAGACTGCAACTAGAACCCTATCTTTTACCATATACAAAAATCAAATCAAAATGCATTAGACTTAAACCTCAAACTATGAAACTACTAAAGGAAATCATTGGGGAAACTCTCCAGGAAATTGGATTGGGTAAAGATTTCTTGAATCATAGTTCACAAGCTCAGACAACCAAAGCAAAAATGGAGAAGTGGGATTACATCATATTAAAAAGCTCCTGAACAGCAAAGGAAACCATCAGTAAAGTGAAAGGGACAACCCACAGAATGGGAGAAAATATTTGCAAACTATCTAACAAAGGATTAATAACTGGAATACATGAAGAGCTCAGACAACCCAATAGGAAAAAATTTAATAATCTGAGTTTTGAATGGGCAAAATATCTGAATAGGCATTTCTCAAAAGGAGCATACAAGTAGCAAACAGGTGTATGAAAACATGCTCAAAATCATTAATCATTAGAGAAATGAAAATCAAAAATACAATGAAATATCATCTCACCTCAGTTAAAAATGGCTTTTATCCAAAAGGTGCAAGAACGAATGCTGGTGAGGATGTGGAGGAAAGGAAACCCTCATACACTGTTGGTGGGAATGTAAATTAGTACAACCACTATTGAAAACGGTTTGGAGGTTCCCCCAAAAACCTAAAAATAGAGCTACCAGATGATCCAGCAACCCTACTGCTAAGTATATATGCAAAAGAAAGGAAATCAGGATACCAAAAAGATATCTACACTCCTACGTTTATTGCAGCACTATTCACAGTAGCCAAGATTCAGAAGCAACCTAAGTGTCCATCAATAGATGAATGGCTATAGAAAGTGTTACTTATACACAATGAAGTACTGTTCATCCATGAAAAAAGAATGAGATCCTGTCATTTGCGACAACATGGATGTAACTGGAGGTCATTATGTCAAGTGAAATAAGCCAGGTACAGAAAGAAAAAGTGGGCATCTTCTCACTTATTTGTGGGAGCTAAAAAAATTTAAACAATTGAACTCATGGAAATAGAGAATAAAAGGATGGTAACCAGAGACTGGGAAGAGTATTGGGGAGGGGGTGGAAGGAGTGGGAATGGTTAATGGGCACAGAAATATAGTTAGTAAGAATGAATAAGATCTAGTATTTGATAAAACTTATTGTACATTTAAAAATAATGAAAAAGGCCAAGTGCAGTGGCTCATGCCTGTAATCCCAGGTGTGATTTGGGAGGCTAAGGTGGGCAGATCACGAGGTCAAGAGATTGAGACCATCCTGGCTAACATGGTGAAACCCCATCTCTACTAAAAATACAAAAATTAGCTGGCCATGGTGTCATGTGCCTGTAAACCCAGTTACTTGGGAGGCTGAGGCAGGAGAATCAGAGGAGTCAGAGGTTACAATGAGACGAGATTGTGCCACTGCACTCTGGCCTGATGACAGAGTGAGACTCCAGAAAAAAAAAAAAAAGTAGTATAATCAGATTGTTTGCAACACAAAGAAAGGAAAATTCTGGAGGAGATAGATACCGCATTTACCCTGATGTGATTATCATGCATTATATGCTTGTATCAAAATAGCTCATGTACCCCCATCTATATATATATATATATATATATATATATATATATATATACACACACACACCTATTATGTACCTGCAAAAATTAAGTAAAAAACAAAAAGAGAATTTGAAACATTCAGCCTGAAATAACTGATAGATTACCAACACTGAGCTTTTAAGCAGCAACCTCTGTTTGACTCAGCCATTGTATCCTATTTTATGGTTATAAAAATTGTAAATGAATGAAAATTAATGTAAAAATCCAACATACTAACTTTAAATGTGATGATAGTAAAATTAAAGCTATGGAGGAGAAGTACTTCTTGAGTGGAAAGTAAAAACCTCTGAAAATCTGCTTTTATATAAAGCCAGTGAGAACACTGGTGAAAACTATCAAAATCAATGTTTTCCAGAAACCTGAAAATTAACTAAAATCTTAAAACCATCTAAGGAGTGTTTATTTCAGAAAAACAGGTGAATCTCAGTAATATCTGCAATCTTTGTGGTGTTTTAACTTGCCTTAATGCCATTTTCTTTTCTTTAGCCTTTCAACTACAGTAGTTACGGAAAACGTTAGCGTAGCAGCCACTGGAGAAGGCAAAATTCATTTGGAGATATGCAAAGCCCCCATCCTCAAGACTTGTCACAATTTGACCAGTCTGGAAACTCACTGAAAAGCCCCTTTCTCAAAACTTGTCTTTATTTGACTTTACTTAGAGCTAACTCTGTGTGAAGAGCCCTTTCTCTGTGGCATTTGACAAAAACAATGAACAACAAGTGTTTAACATTGTAGTTGCCTGAAGCATCATTACTAGTGGGGTTAAACATGAGACTGACCAAAGAATAAAAGCAAAAACAGGGGAACAACATGCCCATAGAATTTTTTAAAAGGTCTGACAGATTCCTGAGAATCTAGAAGGTCATGTGCACGAGCAGGGCTATATCATGCCCATTAAAGATGTGAGGAACCTATAATCTCTTACCTCTTGGTGGACTTAAGGCTCTTCACAAGCAGAAGTGAAGGCTAAGGCATAACTATAAACCTCTGTTGTAGCATGGAGATGTACCCCAACACAAAAACATACACATATACCTGCATGCACATATACAGACACACACACAAATAGTCACATAGCTCCTCAGCAAAATTAAGAGACTTAGTGGTTCAAAGCATTTAAGGAAATATCTGTCCAGTCATTACATGATGTCTTAGTCCATTTGGTGCTGCTATAACAGAATACCTGAGACTGGGTAATTTATAAAGAAAAGAAATCTATTTTTTAAAGTTCTGGAGTCTGGAAAGTCAAAGGTCAACGCATCATCCTAATGGGGAAGAATAAAGGACAAAAGAGCACATACAAGAAAGCAAGAGGAAAGGGACCAAGCTCATTCTTTTATCATGAGCCCACTCCTGTGATAACTAATTCATTCATGAGGGCAGAGCCCTTATGACCTAATAATCTCTTAAAAGTCCCACCTCTCAATGTTGTTGAATTGGAGATTAAGTTTCCAAAACATGAACTTTTCAGGACACATTCAAATTATAGCATTCTAGCCCTGGCCTTCAAAGTTCATGTCCTTCTTACAATGCAAAATACATTCATTCCATCTCAATAGTCCCAAAAGTCTTACCTCCTTCCAGTATCGACTCAAAATTTCAAAATCCAAAGTCTCATTTAAAATCACATGTGGGTAAGACTCAAGGCATCATTCGTCTCGAGGCAAATTCCTCTCCATCTGTGAGCCTGTGAAATTAATCAAATTATCTACTTCCAAAGTACAATGCTGGGGCCTGGCATGGTGGCTCATGCCTGTAATCCCAGCACTTTGGGACGCCGAGGTGGGTGGATCACCTGAGGTCAGGAGTTCAAGACCAGCATGGCCAGTATTGCGAAACCCCATCTCTACTAAAAATACAAAAATTAGCCAGGCGTGGTGGTGCATGCCTGTAATCCCAGCTACTTGGGAGGCTGAGGCAGGAGAATCACTTGAACCTGGGAGGCAGAGGTTGCAGTGAGCCAGGATCATGCCATTGCACTCCAGCCTGGGAGACAGGAGTGAAACAACATCTAAAAAAAAAAAAAAGAAAGAAAAAGAAAATGCAATGTTGACACAAGCCTACCACAGACATTCCCATTCCAAAAGGGAGAATTAGGCAAGAAAAAAGTAGTAACAGATTCCAAGCAAGTCCAAAACCCAACAGGGAAAACAACATTAAATCTTAAAGCTGGACATAATATCCTTTGACTCCATGTCCCACATCCTGGTCACATTGGGGCAGGCATTGGGCCCCTAAGGCCTCAGGCAACCCTCCCCATATGGCTTTGTTGGGTTCAAACCACCCAGCAGCTCTCACAGGTTGGAGTCTCTTGACTGGTTCTTTCCCAGACTGTAATTGCACACTGGTAGCTCTATAATTCTTGAGTCTCTGAGGTGGCTTTTCTCCTGTGGCTTCACTAGGCATTGCCCTAGTCAGGGCTCTCTGCAGTGGCTTCATCCCTGCAACAAGTTTCTGCCTGGGTCCCCAGGCTGTCCAGAACATCTTTTGAAGTCTAGTTGGGGGCCTCCATGGCCCCACAGCTCATGAAATCAGTAAGTCTGCAGAATCAGCACTACATGAACCCTGCTAAGACTTATCCCTTGTGTCCCCGGAGCTGCAGCACAAACTTCACCTGGGCCTGCTTAAGCCACAGCTGGCATGGCTGAGGGGTGCTGTGCTGGAATGTGAGAAACAGAGTCCCAAGGCAACTCCAGGCAGTGAATACAGAGGTCCCCTGGAAGCCTCTCTGGAGATGTTGCCCTTAAGATCTTCTGGATCTATTTTGGGAGGGGCATTCTCAGAGATCTCTGAAATGTCTTTGAGGTCTTTCTCTCATTGTCCTGATGAATAGCACCTGGTCCCCTTCTCTCCCTAGTAATCTCTTTAGCAAAGGGTTGCTTGGTCACACCTTTAGTATTCTCTCCTCAGCACACTTTTTTTTTATTCTTTACATGGCCAGGCTGAGAGTTTTATAAATCTTTTCCTCCTGTTTCTCTTTTAATTGTAAATTTTACCTTTTAGTCATTTCTTTTTTTGCACATCTCACTATATGAGGTAAAAGGCAGTCATACAACTCCTTCAGTAATTTGCTTAGAAATTTATTCTGGCAGATACTTTAGTCCATTGCTTGTACATTCTGTCTTCCATATAAAGTATTTGACATGGAAGCAATTCAGCCACGTTCTTTGCCAATTTATAACAAGGATAGCCTTTACTCCAGGTCCCAATAAGATGTCTCCCATTTCCATCTGAGACCTCATCAAAATGGCCTTTACTTTTCATGTTTCTACAAACATTCTGATTATGACTACTCAAATAATCCCTAAGAAGATTCAGACTTTCCTTACATCTCACCATTTCTTCTGAGCACCCCCCAGAATCACCTTTAATGCTTCCTTCATGGCAATACAGGGTTTTTCTAGCCTGCTCTTTCAAATTCATCCAGCCCCTCCCCATTGCACATTTCCAAAGCCACTTCCACATTTCCAGGTGTTTGTTATAGCAGCACCCCTACTTCTTGGTACCAGTTTTCTGTCTTAGTCTATTTGGTGCTGCTATAACAAAACCTTTGAGATTAGAAAATGTGTAAAGAACAGATATTTATTTCTTATGATTGTGGAGACTGGGAAGTCTAAGCTGGAGGGGCCTGCCTCTGGCAAGGGCCTTGTGAATGCATTATCCCATGGTGGAAGGCAGAAGGGCCAAAGAGCATGCACAAGAGAGAATGAGGAAGTAAACTGAATTTATCTTTGTATTATGAACTAACTTCTATGATAACTAACCCACTCTCACAATAATGGCATTAAGTTATTCATGAGGGCAGAGTCCTTATGATCCACTCTCCTCTTACAGATCCCACCTCTCAAAACTGTTGCACTGGAAATTAAGTTTCCAACATGAATTTTGGGGGACACATTAAACCACAGCAGATGACCAATAAGGTAACTGTGCAGAGACTTCAGTGACCATATACTATTGAATACAGTCTCTATAGAATTAGTTCAGTAAAGTTACTAAACAAAGGGATTCTAACAACAACAACAAAGAGCAAATAACAGTAACAACAAACCTCAGGGACGATCTAGTTTGCAGAGTTTCCACATTACATTATCAAATATGTTTGATTTTCAATTTAAAATTATGAAACACATAAAGAACTAATAGGTTAGTTCATACACAGAAAAATGCAGTAGAACCTGTTCCTAAGGAAGCTCAGACATTGGGCTTGATTGAGGCCCCAGATTGGCTTCATAGGCTTGAATTACCAAGTTTTTCTCTCCACATAAGATTTAATGAGCAACTGTCAAATAGCTACTTTGGTTATTGCATCACTGATACAACCAAAATCAGAATCAGTTGTGTTCAAGAAACAGTCTACATATAAAATCTAGATTATGTAACTGTGTTTTTTTTTTCCCTTAGGTGTAAGTACGCAGAAGTCAGGGACTTCTATATTTTATATTTTTTACAATCATGTGGGCATAGGTATCTTTCTTGAAGCCATAAATATTTAAATGTTGAAAACCTCTTTGGGTACAATGGAATGATCTGGCTTTAGTTATAAAGAACCTACCAGACACTCCTGTAAATGTTGTCACTTAGTAAACTAAAACCACATTTTGCAATATACACTTTTGGATATCATAGTCGACAAGGAGAATGCTAAATTTATGACAGATGCACTGCTTGGAAAAGTACCAGGTATACAATAACTTTTAATACTGTCTTTTTATTATAAATACAGTTTCAAATGTTAATATCAACTTGAATACAAATCTGGAAGTATTATTCTCTAAGAATATGAGAGTTGAATTGAAATAGAATACATTATTTAACCAATGGTTATATGGCAGTTGAAGTAGAGTGAAAAATTCTCATTTTAGTATTGACTCTTAGATATTTGCATGTGTTTTATGACAGATACATTATCCAAAATATTTCATATCTGTATAAAAAATATGAATTAAGATAATCCTCTTGCATCTGTTTATTCCTGCTGCTCACCCCCCACCCCCCGCCATAGCATCAAGAGATTATTATAGGGCATATACAGGATAAAACAAGAAGTTACTTTGTGATAAATCTACAATCTTCAAATATCTTTCAGAATTCTTGTTAGAAACTTGCTTGGTAACCCTGACCGGAGGCCTTTGATGTGTCACCATTTTCATTGTTCTGAACTGTTTATAGCTCAGCAGGAATAATGACATGAATAGTTTGACTGTAGAGATGTGAAATTAGAGTGAACACTTGTCAAGATTTTTTTCATCAGAATTAAATATTGCTAATTTAAAATGGGTCAGAGTAACATTTTTCTCATGTATTTTGTTCATTCCATTATTTAAATTTAGATCATTTGATACATATTATGACAATTGTCTCATTTCTAGATCATCAGACCCCATCATCAAATAATATTTATTAAGCTTCTGCATGCTCATTGATCCAGAGTTATTGCTATACAATAGCAGTTAAGGAAAGAGAAGACAATCCTTTAAAAACAAAATACCTTGCTTTCCAGCCAAACAAACACTTTTATGTGTCTAATGGACATAAATATAATGTTTCTTCACTACGCCCATCCATTTGACTACCATTTCTAGTTCTAAAACTCTGTATGAAATTTTAAAGATACTTTTGAATCATTAGCAGACACATTAAGATATATTGCACATTAAATTTTTATGATATACTTGAGTTTAGACCAATTGCTTTTCAATTTATTTCAATGTGAAGAAGATGTGGAAATTAATGTTAGAATTTGTATTATTTAGATGAAGGGAATGTAGCGATGAGTTTTGTAAAGGAACTGGTCATCGAAAGGAAGGGGAAAAGATGAAAATAAAACAAAATAAGAATATAAAATAGCCAGAGAGATTATACGATCATGTATTAACTCCTCCTGAGAATAAAATATTATATTGTTATGTTTGAGGCTCATTTTGACTCAGTTCCTAGTTAAGAGTTGGCTAACAAAAAGTATATCATTGTAATGAATGCTTTCACTGTTCTTGTTCTTGTTGTTAAACCTATATTCTCCCCAGGCTGTGTAATCCACTTTTGTTACTCTTTGCTGGAGTCACTAGATGATACACAAAGGAAATTTTGTGGCACTAACTCAGTTTCGCACATTTTTGGCTATGAAATGTGGAAGAAATTATTGAAACTAATATCTAAATGTAGCTATTCTATAACTTCTATCTAGCCATGTTAATTTTGTTCTCTATTAAGAGGAAATAAAAGAGGAAATAAAAGAAATATTTTTCTAATGAATTCAGGGTGGGGCTAAAAGTTAAATATTTATAGATTTCTTCTTTAGTCTTTTACTTAAAGGAAACTTGGGGATATTTCTCACTTATGTTTTGAATGCTTAACGTATCCATAATAAAATACATTTATAATTAGCTGTTACTCTTAGGAAGACAAAGTTAACTTTAGCTGTTAATAGGATCTTACATATACTCATTTACTTATGCATCTGTTTCCAAATGCTTCCAAAAGTTTTATTTTCTTTACTTTAAATTTTGTGTTCTCTAAAACAAGTTTTTATCTTTTTTGACATTCACTATACAGCAAATTGAAGATGTCCGTCAGTATCCTCTTCCTGAAAAAGTAAGAGAGAAGGAAAAGTTGACCTTTTGGTGACAAGTTTATGGTTACCACAACTGGGAACTACTTTGCAACTCCGTGTCCCTGTTTCACTGTATTTAAACATTCTTTGACATTTCAAATGATTGTTAAACTTAATTATATATGAGCATAACTCATTGTCTGAAACTATTTCTTTCTAGGTAAACAGGATTATAAAAAAACTAAACCTATTTTACGAGCAACCAAATTAAAAGCAGAAGCAAAGAAAACAGCAATAGGCATAAAGGTAAACCTCTATTTGATAACTTTAAAATTTGATATGTGCATGCCATTTCATTTTCTAAAACTGGATTGCATAAATGTTGAATTCTAAATGTTTTATGACATTTCACAATCTAAATAGAATGCCAGACTTAAAGGTTTTTGTAAAGAATTTACTTAATGGAAAACATCCTTCCTATTCTGAGATTTTGAAGGGTCTTAAAACAGTGTCACTTAAGAGAATCAGTTATACTTAAAGGTGCAATTTATTTTCTCTCTAGCTACTATGTGTATTATTCAGACATTTCAGTGATATATGTGGCCTTCGTCAGAAATTTCTTTCGTTTTTCAATAAATCTCATTTTATAGTTGTTTAAATTGTAGTTGTAATTATATATACTGAGATCATTAATTATGTAATTTTACTCTGCTTATCTTATTGTTGTCAGTACTCTCTGATGAAATTATAATGACATTCCTAAACTTGTTCTTTCAGAATACCAGTGTTTTATCTGCTTAAGAGGGATAAATGCAACTGAGAATGATGTTAGCAGATATTAATTTAATGTGCTAACACAATGAAGCTCAACAAATTGCATTTACATTATTGCCCATGTCAATCTTTTGCCAGGTATTTAGAGTTGAATTAAACTATTAATAGAAGAATTAATTTGGCAACTCTACTATCAAAGGTGTAAAATAAAAATGACCAGTACATATATTTTATTTAAATATTAACATGTTAAAAGGAGATTTTGGGTTTTATCTGGCAGATGAAAAATCAATTTTTCTAAGTTATAGCTTACAGCAAATGCCAAGGTATTACTACCAAGCTGTAACAGCTGTTGAACTGCCAGATGATATATTTGGTTGTCTTCCAGAATTTGCTATTATGATCACGAAACACTGCCTTCTTTTCGCTCCTGATTGCTGATTTTGATCAAGCATTGCCGTGTGATGCAGTATGTTTGCACAACACCATCTCTTCCATGCTGTGTGTCAGTTTTTATTGAAAAAAAAGTAAATTGCCTTTTTGTTTAAAAGAGAGAAGATTCATCTTTTGAAGTATTTTTCTAATTTCATGTGAAATCTCATTCATTAAAAAAATTCTTTATGACGTGACTTTTTAAAAAGCAGTGTTGAGATTTTTTTAAATTTTACATTTGGCTACTTGGTGATCATTTCTTAAAGCGAGAACATTGTCTGTCATTGCCCTCAAAGGCAATATGTCATTTACTTTTATCTTTCACAATACAGTGGGATTTTTGTTGTTTTAATTAGTTTGTTTGTTTCTTAGAAAAATATGGGGTAACAAAATCCTCTTGTGGCACAATATGATGAGAAGTTAAATATCAGGATTTGAGAAATAGTGCAGCTATTTATTTATTTATATACCAGTTTTATACACACACATCTTTTTTATACATTTGCTCTTATAATTGTTGTTAGTCTTTAAATTTGAAGAAATAATAATGTTCCTAGTATGAGATAAGGTCTACCTTATAGTGCAGTTATCTAGTGTCTTTTTAAAAACACTGTAGAATTTGCTAATCTTTCTATGAGAAAACATTTTTCTTAGATTTTATTTAATATTTAAAGTATCAACAGAAAACTTTCAAACTGACAGCAGAACATAGCTCCTTTTTAATAAGCTAGCACATCATTTTGATTTGTAAACCTGTGGAAAACAAAAACTTTAACCTTAAATATTACTTACTTTGCTTGACAATTTATGTGGAGAGCCTATTAAGATGATATGAAACTTTTTAGAATCAGAACCTTGAAGGTGTTTTACATTTCAAATCTGGCATACTAATTAATTTGCCCTGTCAAACTTTGATTGCCTTGTCATTTTGGCATAGGATTTTAAATAACAAAGTTTCTTTCAGCAATTGCCATTTAATGCTTTTTAATTTCCCCAGTGAGTGATTTTATCCATATTGATAATGTCAGAGAAGCAACTAAGGACTAATGAACAACAAGCATATTGTACTCTTACCTAGTTGATATAGAATGACCATAATATTGTGATATCTTATCACTTTACTACATAGTCTTTTGAATGAATCATAGATATACTCTTCATTTAATTCATATCTATAGAAAATATGAACAGATGCATGGATAGAAAAATAACAGCAATGAGAATAGCACTGAGCTCAGGATAAGGAGGCCTAGAATCCTATCCCCTTTGCCTCTTCCTTTTGCCATGATCCATCTAAGTCTAAGCTGGCACATTTATAAAATGGAAATTTTGCCATTTACCTCATAATGTTGTCAGGAGAGTTCAATAATACACTAGAAACATTGAACATTGAATTGAATGTGTAGAAGTCACTTATGAATTATTAGCTGATTGAGAAAACATTTGTTTGAATTAGCCATTCCCAGTTTGTGTAAGTAAGTCTCTCCTTCAGTGTTTGTCATCGGCCTTAAGATACCCTCCTAAAGTGTGCATCGTGTTGCCATATTATATATTACAAAATGTTCTTAGATTGGCTTTGGAGGTAGTATTATGGATATTAGTGTTATAAAGTTTTAAAAACATTACTAATTTTGATATCCCTGTATAACGATTATATAAATTTTACTCAATCTTTCATTATTTATAAATTACCATAAATATTATAATAGTATAGCACCTGTGAAAAGAAAGATGAATAAGACATGATCATCTTGGAAGAGCTTATACAAGAAATCACTTATAGATTTAATTACCATATCAAATCAACAGTACTGATTGAGAAATCATGGGCTAGAGATATGCAGAATTATACAATAGGGGCTTAACCCTCAGAGGCTTCTAGTGCTTTTTGTAAATGTATGTTTAGTAATAGCGTTTTAAGGGAACAGTTAGCAATTTCCATATAAGATATTAATACATTGTTCTGAAACCTAGACTTGATTTCTACTGAGGAGGTACTTTTTATTTTTTGTGTTTTAGAAATACAAAGAAAATGCCATAATTTATGGCCCAGTAATGCAATGAGTGCCGCCTAAAAAATGTTTGCACAACTAAGTTTGCTATTTAGTTGCTGCTCAATTAAAAGATTATTTTTTCAAGAATTACAGCATCACCAACTTTTTTTTCAGAATGCAAATACCGGTTTTCTAGCATTTAGAAGGAAAAGATTTACATTTGTTAATGAGTTGCTTTTTTATTTAAAAGGTTTATATGAAAAGCATAATTATAGTGAAAGAATAAGGATCACAAGTTTAGTTTTGTTACATAAATAAAATATTCAAGTGCCAACCAGATCCTGCCCACAACCCCTTGGGATGAGCCAGCTTGAAATGTTATGTTTGTTCTTTTTTGTTCTTTTTGATTTAAAGCTAAAAATAGCCAAAGGGGGCAAGGGAGTCATAAATGCCTATAGGTCTCTAAGTTATGGTTAGTTTCACCAGCATCCTGCAAGCATTATTTTCAAATTTTACCATCGTTTCAACTCTCCCGACATTCAGCCTCTACAATGCTTTTCTCCTCAATGAAGAGATAATTTTTGGAGAAAATTATTTGCTATACCTTTCCACCTAGTACCTTTAAGCCACACCCACACTGTACATTGAACAGATGTAATGAATTAATGGGTCTTCTGAAGTTATGTTCTATGAATATTCTCTGCTTCCTATCCCTTAAATGCCTTTTCATGCCTCTGGATGTTCTGAAAATATATAGTGAAATGATACAGAGTTGTTTTAAGGACAAGGAGTTGAAAAGCAGCAATTAGAACTGATTATCAATAAGATATGAATCATGGCCTCCAATCAAGAGTACAAACTTAATTCTTGCATTAAGCTTGGGCGAATGGGGACTGCTGTTGAACAGTTTTGTTGTCCACTATACAGAACAGATGGAGTTTGCAGTTGTGTGTCACTTGTTTATTACATCCTCTTAAAATTAGTAGCTGTGTAACCAGATGGGTCTGGGAACACAGCTGTGGATATAAGAAAATAAATGAAACCTGTCTGATGCTGCCATGCCCTTTTGAGATGCCAAAGTGTTTCTACTGCAACAAAGAAAAAATTCACTTTCCTTTGACATTATATTGGTATATTAGATTTAAAAAATGAAACCTTACAAAGATCTTTGACACTTGAGTTTTTCAACCTCTTGGTTTTTATTAATATTTATTTTCATAGTTTGGACATCTAAATAAATGTAATTATGAAGCTAAAAATCTGTATAAAAGATCTATTTATAAATTCAACATTCATGTAAAAATTCCATGTTGATTATAAGCCAAATTCATTTTAATGTTTTTAAAGTTTATTATTACTGACTTACCTTCTTGTGAAATGTAAACTATATTCATGTAAATGCTAATGCATTGCTTCTCTGTAAAGCAGTGCTAGGTAAAGGGCATAATATACAGTAGAAATTAGAATATAGTATGTAAGCCCTTTAGGATACTGAACTGGCATTCTATTTGCTTTTTTTTTCTTTTTTGATTTAGTCAAATGATATGTTAATGTTAAGAAAGTTCTGGAAGGTATACACACAGAGATATATACATATACATACTTTTTGAGAGATAATATGATTTTTATCATAATATATGAGTAAATTTTTTATCATTATTACAATATAGTTGATTAATTTAATCCACATCACATCACAAATGAAAAATCTGGGCCCATCCTTCAAAACTGTGATAAATGTATTGTATTATGCTTCATGAGTGAAGAGTACTTTGTTTTGTTCCTCTGCAGTGTAAACTATAGACTTTAGGATTTAAAAATTAGAGTTTCAACAAAGTCACATTTAATGAGTATGTATACATCTATATATAATCTAGAGACCAGTTACAACTGTTTCTTTACAATGAAAAGGAATGATAATTAAAAAAAAAACTGTGCCCAAATGCTATCATTAATACTGAATGTATTGAAGCCACAAATAAAGTTAAACACACTCAAATAGAAAACAGATCAACTGTGTAGATACAAACTGCATTGCTTGTATCGAACATCCTGATATCCAAACTATAAAAATATATTAAAATGATACATTTTTAATATTACTATAAGGAAAAAACAAATTAGCTAGAAATAATAATACTAATGACTCACCCACTGGTGTATTTGCCATTTCATTGGGACTTGCCAGTACAAAACAGTTTCTTAACGGCAAAAAATGGTAAACAAAAAGGATATGATTATTAGGTTCAAATTATTCATTCTAGACTGTGGAACAATATGGTTATTTTATCTGGTGAAACTAATAATGTTAACCAATCTTTTTTCATCAATTTCAAGTCTACTTTTTTTTTCTTCCCAGGAAGTTGGCCTTGTACTTGCAGCTATATTGGCACTACTACTGGCTTTCTATGCTTTCTTTTATCTCAGACTCACCACGGATGTTGACCCTGATCTGGACCAAGATGAAGATTAGCTAAGCAACAATCAATGCATGAAAGAGAAATAACTTTACGAAAGCACCTTTTGGGACCAAAACTTTCAATACTGAAACTGTAACATCTTTAATTCTTTCTGCTAATATTTTCAGTTTGCAGACATATGATTTTTGATAGTTGCATAGGATGTCAGGAAAAGAACCTTACCTAGCAATGCAGTATAGTATGTGCTACTGGATACTTTTATATATCTTTCTGCTTTGACAGCCACCCTATACATGGTACATTTAGATGAAATGGGAACCAGATCCTAAATTTTTCAAATGTCATTGCCAATTTATGTGTATAATTCCATCACTTCCTGATGAGTAAGTCTATTTTTGTTCTATATACATCATAAGTTAGTATATATTCTTATTTACAGAAACATGCTCAAATCACATTCAGAAAGAACAAAAAGTCATGGGAAATTTTTTATTTTACAACAAAGCCCTGCTTTCTTTCTGGACGTATTTTACATCATTAGAGAGACTATCTGCACATACATCTACCATAATCTTTTTCCTTCTTTGCCAACTGTTCAGTGCACATGTGCTGCATCAGAAATGGCACCTGGATGACAGAAGCTCAAAGAGTCACATATGTCTCTAAAATAGAGTTCTTTTCCTCTTGGGCTGTCTGAACTGGTGTAAATAGAAGCTCAGTTGATCTTGGTTTTAATTAACTTATTACTCTATTAATATAACCTTGGAATTCTATTCTAATTATGTTGTTCTGGCTGCTTGTAGTATCAGTTCGCCCCTCTTGTTAGGGAGATATGTAACAATCTGTCATTTAATTGAGCAGTCTTTTTCACATAACAGTAATAGCAAAAATCCTACCTACTCAGAATCATCTTCTTAGGTTGTCTCCTAAATCTGAACAATACAGTTGTTTTATAAAATTACATTTTGTCTCTTGAGATTTAATCAATTAGAACTCTTTAGGGAGAAAATAAATAATAGAAGAAAATATATGCCTCATATTTCATATGTAATTATCTGTTGATATAATTTTTCAATGTATTTTGTATTTGTGGGAGCATAATGACCTGTACATTCAATATTTTTACTGGTAATTCAATTTTTAAATATGTTTTTACAATGCTTGAACACATAAACCTTAGAAAACTGGAAAATACGTGTCCACAGAAAGAGTTATTAGCTACTACCTTATGTAAAGATGCATAGAAAATGAAATTGTTGGAAACATGTGCACAAAGTGTTTTATATTATATACATTGTATTTATGAAGAATAAATAAAATATTAAGATTGTTTTCCTGCTAGCCAAGAGAAGAAATCCTTGGGAAATATCTAAGGAGTATATGGGGCTTTATAAGCACTGTTTCTAAAAGATATTCTCTGGTACTTTTGCAAAAAGTCGACTGTGACTGTGTAGCATTATGTTCTGTAGAATTTTTTTCAAGTAGCATAATTTATTTCATTGGTGTGAAAACAGCCAAAGGTTCCAATATCCTCACAAATCATTTATGCCAAACATCTGAGGGCAAAATTTAGCCGGTGTTATTTACTAGATTCTTCCCTTTGAACTCACAGACTCAAGAGACAGACCAAGAGTTCTTATATACTCACCACAGCGGACCAATCCAAGTGGCATTTTTAGGAAAGGTTGCAGCATTTAATGCCATGTGGTATGTCTGTTCGTCAAGTGGGTGGCAAGGGAATATCCAAGCTGGCATTTTGGATATGATGGGCCTTTTACTTTCCTGAGTGACATGCCACATGTCAAGAAATACTGCTCCCCACCCCCCCACTCCCATCACATTTACGTGAACAATTTTCATTTAGTTATTTCCCGTTCCATATGGTGTTAAAACAGTCGTATTAAATAAAGATTATTTCTAGTTTTCAGTGGTAATTTAAATGAGAGGATATGTAATAATTGCTTATTAGATACTTATCCAAATGAAATATAACAGAGTTTACAGTACTTAAAATGGCTGGTTATGGTCTTGGAAATGTTTGAAAATTCATTATCCTGAAAAAAACTTTACCATTCTGTTTTACCCTTGAGGTATTTTTTGGGGAAAAATGTTTTTGATAACTATTAATCTAAATATAGTATAATTATAGGCAAATTTCACTGCCTAGTTTTATTGATATCCTGAGTCTACAGCTAGTCCATTCGTATGACTGATTGATTTATGATAGCTCCAGAGAACCATAAATTTCAAAGGCTAAACTCTCTGATTTTAGTAAATAGTAGGTAAAGTGACACAATATATGTTTACACAACACTGTTTTCATGAAATGCAAACTTTGCAAAACTCACATTAACTGGGAAGCAGCCAACCCTCTGTAGAGAAATCCCAGATTGGGAGTCTGGTTTGAATCTTTGAAGACAGAAAGGTGATATCCGGCCTGCTGTTTTAAAGGGACCACACTTTTGAATACCTACTGGTGTTTGGCAGAAATCTGAGACTGGCACCAGACACAAATTTTAGACATGGGTATCTTCCCTCCAGTAATTCACTGCTCAGAGTAATTTAGAAGACAAAAACAGAAAAAATTGTAATGATTTTTTAAGTGTTAGAATATGTTTGTTAACATACTCTGCAAAATAAATTTCAACTAATGCAATAGACTTAAAATATAGCCTATGGAATACTGTGATTGAAGTTTGAAGGCTTGCTGGTTCTTATTTTGCATGCAAGTTTAGACAGGGTAAAGAATGTATAAATTTATTTGAGATGAGATACAGTATTGTAAAAATATAACCTCATCTAGAATTGCTTTTAAAACAAGCAAAAGCCTATTTTAGTACAAATGTAGGGTGGGTAGTTGTTTTAAGGTAGCAAAATACTTCAAGATTTTCTATCTTTTTAATTTTTCATGAAGACAGAAGAAATACTTTCACCCCAACCAATGACTGTAAGATCTTGAGAGTATGTTCTTACTCATTTCTGTAATTGCAGTAGTGTAGTCATCTGCATATAAATTTAATAAATGCATGTTAAAATTTAAGTTGATGCCTTTTAGTCCTCTCAGAGTCTGTCACAGTTTCTTTGTGTAAATGATAAAAAAGTTTGAATTTAATCAATAAAACTTAAAAATCACAATATCAATCAACTCGGCATTTACCATTTATGGTCCTTGGTTGTACTGAGATATATACGTGTTTCATCCTGATTCTCTTTAAATCAAGACAACTAGCATTAAGGTCGCTATAAAATAGAAACATTGCTCTTTTCTAGGGAATCAAATATGCTATTTTTATCTTAGAATTTATTAAAAACTATACTCAATGTTTGAATTCAACTTAGCATGCATTTTCACTCCAAATGAAAATAGAACTCAATTTTCATTATAATGTTTATGTGACTACTAAAACACTGTATTTTCCAGGTTCTAAAATTATATACTCAATGATAATTCAGTAGAGCAAATTGTGCTATACATCAGCGTCAGAAATATACTTCTAGAAATTAAACCCAGCCTATTTTAATGTATTTCATCCATAACATAAAGTTGTTGAGCCAGAGACTACCTAAGATAATTTTGTATTCTCTCCTCACCAACAATTAGACTTCTTTACACTTACCTGGGGCTTCTCTGGGAGATTCCTACCACTTCTCCCTTAGCAGCACTGCCTTCTTTTATTAGAATTGCTCCAATGCAGCCTGGATAGAATGCTGTTTGCTAGATTTTGTTCCACTTAAACCATATTTAGAATCAGTGCAACCCACGGTTAAAAAAAAAATGTAGCAGATGAATTCAACCTACAGGAACATTCTTACCATTTTGTTGATATTTTAGCTATAAAGGTAAGTAGAGAGGGAACTGGGAGAGTCATGTAAAGAACTATATCAGTATGGAAATATCCATAGTGGGTCAGTAATTGAGTTAAACAATTGAACTGTAGCCACATTCAGCATAGTGCCTCCTTGTTATACAGTTTTTCTATCCCTAGCAACAGATATGTGATTCTTATTTCAAGAAAAATAAGATACGTTACATGCCAGAAGATTTTTTGATGACAGTACTCCCTCCTATTCTTCATTTTTTAAAACAACAACCAAATTGGTGGGGAGGCAGCCAAAATTTGAGGTACCAATGCCTCTCGAACAGATGTCGCACCATTATTTTTTAGCTCGTTTAGATGAATAAACATGTTAAACTGTGAAGTATTACATTTTAGATTTTTTCATTAAAAAAAGAGACAATCTGTTTACTGTCCTAATTGAGACAACAATCCTTGTGGTTGCCAGTTTTGGCAGTCATAACAATGAACTATAAATATTTGGACCAATCAAGTAAATGGTGACTATGAAGGCTATAGCATGTGTAAAGTTCTGTTTTCATGGGCACCCATCTTAGTATGGCATTTTTTTCCCTGACTTCTTCAAATACAATTGTTTGTGTGAAACTGAAGTATCATGGTAAGCCTAAAAGAAATTGATTTCAATATCTAATTTCTTTCTAGCTTATCATCCTTTTTAGTGTTCAACTATCCATCTGCTTGTAACAAATTGCTTCTGCAATTACTCTGTTGAATGTGACAAGGCAGGTCTTCACTGGATTGCCTTCTAGGTATGTCCTAGGATAACACAAAATTCAGAGGGATTTTCTTTTCATGTTGATATAGTGAGATTGAAGATATCTTTAAAGTCTCTTAAATTGCAGCAATTTCTAAAATAAGATTTTATAAACAATGTTGGATATAATTCTTGCTGTAGTGGCCATGAGGTGGAGTTTATAATCTTAGCGCCTATTAGGATGCTTTACACTAAACAACAGTGTGGAAGTTGGTAAACTAAAGAGAAATACCCCATACATGAAAATCTTTTATGATGCTACCTCCCAAACATTTGTGATCCAGATAGGGAGTGCCCTTCTAGGTAGCTTAAGAGTGCTTTTGCTCCCTTCTCCAGCTCTTCAACTTCTACCCTATTTGCCTTAATTCTAAGTTCCAGGCAGTCTCTCTTCTTTCAGTTTTTTTTTTTTTTGAACCTCACTTCTACTTTAATAGGTTAGCACTCTCACGTACTTAACTATGTACTTACTGTGTTAACTACCTCTACCCTTTTATTTAGACTCGTCATTGATCCTCACCTGCTTTTCCCCTCTCTCTTACTTCTTGCTTGCTTTTTTTATCACTAACCACATGTATTACACAAAAGTAGAGAGAATAATGTAATAATCTCAATCTACCCATTACCTAGTTTCAATAATTATTAATGTATCCCCACTCTTTTGCATATTTTCACCATTTTTTTATACTGAGGTATTTTAAAGCAGACTTCAGATATGATGTCATTTTACTGTAAATATTTCAGTATGCATCTCTAACTGACAAGAATGTTGGGATTTTTGTTGGTTGGTTTTTTGTTTTGTTTTGTTTTTATATTACCAGAAAGCTATTGGTAGAATATATATATATTTCCTAATATAATCTAATACTGTCAATATTCAGATGTCCCTAATTGTTTCCAAGATGGCTATTTACAAGAGATTTTAAAATTAAGTCCATGCTGAATTTGGTTGCGTGTCTCTTAAATTTCTTTTATTCTGTAAAAAAATAATCCAGGCCATTGAATTGCTGAAGAAAACAGCAATTTTGTTTGCTGTTTATTTGTCCTTTCGAATGTCAAGTAATCTAGATTTAGTACTTTTCATTGTGTTAGTCATTTTATTCCTATATTTTTCTTATTTTCTATAACCCGATAATGAGATATTAAGCTAGATTAGGTCCAGTTTTTTATGACTGTGGTTTGTTAGTTCTTAAGCTGAGAGTATTTCGTAGTACTTAATGAGTTACATAATACTTGGTGGTCTCATTTGTGATGTTAGACTTATCAGTGAATTGATGTGCTAGTAATGTGATTTCCTGCAAAATAAGGTTTTTTCATCAACATCACCTTTCCTGGATGCATTATCTCATCAGGCATTGCAAAATGGTGATTTTCTTTCATTCCTTCAGCATATATTAAGTGGAATTATTATGTTTAAAAATAATCTTCTTTATCAACTATTTGATCATCTGAAAATACAGCTTATACAGGAGAGGAAGGATAAATACTTGAGTCTTTCCCTTTCTTAAATTTCAGATTAATGAATTAGCACTCTCTAATGGTGGCCAATGAAGATTTGCCATTGTTATTGCTGTTGCTGCTTTTATTATTATAATCTAGTTATATATTTTATATATATGATGTGTTTCAGCCCATTGCCATCATCATTCTTTTCAGTACTGAGATGAGAATTCAATTATCATGCTTAATATTAGAAGTATTCTCATTAAAATCATGAGTTTAATGCTTTTACATTGTTATACATTTTTCTGAAAGTGATAGCCAGTGTAATTCAGTTTTTAAGACAGCAGGAATAAATAATAAATATGGCAAAAAATGGAAAAAACTAAAATTTTAAGATTATGTGGTTGACTAGAAAACTAAGAAAATATTGTATAAGATTTATATAACATATTTCTTTAGATAATAAGTATGTAATAATCAATAGTTTTATTGTTCTCTATATTAACACAATAATTAGAATAATTAGTTAAATATCATAATAGAAAAACGTGTTTCACCATTGCAATTAAAATTATGGACTATGTAGAAAAAATGAGCAGAAATGTATGAGTGTTCATTGAAAAAAAAGCTCTACAAGATAACATAATGAAGTTTTAATTGAAAAGACACCAACTGTCTCCATGGATAGGAAGGTTCAACATTGTACAAATGTAAATTTTCCTCTATTTTGTAAACAGAAAAGGGAAACTTGATCTGCAATATATTAAAGTATATTATAAAGTTATAGTAACTAAAATAATGTCATAGTCAATGAAAAGTAGACAGATCAACAGAAAAAAATGCAGTGTCCAGAAACAGATCTAAATATAAATATTCATTTAATGCATTATGTATGTCATGCAGATGGAAAGATAGATTAATTAAATGTATTGGAACAATTTAGTATCCTTTTAGAAATTAAAAGATGCCTATATCATGACTTAAAACAAGATGAATTCTGGTGGAATTTATGATTTCTATATAAAAAATGAAACCATAAAAAGTATTAGAAGAAATTATAGGTAGACGTTTTTAGAATCATTTTGTAAGGAAAATTATTTCTAGGCGTTGATTCATGAGTTAGAAATCATAAAGGGAATACTGTTGGATTATAACACATTAAATTAAAATCTAACATGCAGCCTGGTACTCAGTGTTAATTAAGGATGTGAAGAAACAATCTCTTTCATTCACTGCTTGAGGGAATGATAATCTCACACACTTTCTGGAACGCACTTATGTTTCAAAAGCTTTACATTTCATATATACTTTAGAAATTCGTCTATATGTGACAATGACAGTAGTATGCAAAAATGTATTAACCGCATCACTGTTTATGACCAAAAAAGTGAAAGTGATGTAAATATCCAATTTAGGAGTAGGTGAAAAAGCAGTTATAAAATATTAATGTGATGCAATTCTATTTTGTTTAAAGATACTGGTCTCTGTGTGTTTAACTTATGGGAGGACTAGAAGGAAAATGTTTTGTTGAACTACAACTTGAGTCCATATACCTAGTAGATCTGTCTGCTAGTTTCCGTTACATTCTATATTCGTTTATTCAGTATTCACTCATTCATTCTATATTTATTTGTCCGATAACTCTTGCCCTTCTAGATGCTAATATGTCATCTGTCACAATTCCACAGCAAAAGTACTATGGAAAAAGATGGGTCTGCTTTATTCACTGAAAAATTAAAGAACACTTCAAAAAGGAACTGATACTTGAGTTTATTCATTGTTCATTCAAGAAATATACTTATTGAGCACTTGCGACATGCTAGTCACTGTCCTTTGTGCTTGCAACAAATCAGTGAACCTTAAAAACAAAAACACAACATACTCCTGTTCTTATGATGTAATCTTGAGAGATGGTGATTGTTTCATCAAACAGAAAAAAAAAAAAAAAGGATGAGACGGTATTCCAAGTAGAGAAAGCCACACTTGACTTTATTTATTTCACAATAGTTATCAATTTATTTGTGTGATTCTCCCACTGGACTCTAAGTTCCTTAAGAAAGGAACTCTGGCTTGTACTGCTGTATCTCTGATGCCAAACATTGTTCCAGACCCATAATAGGCACACAGTAAATATTTTTGAATAACTAATACTATACTTCATTCCCTAGAACAGAGTTTCTTGATGTTGGCATTATTGGCATTTGAGGCCAGATAATTATTTGTTGTGGGTGTCTACCCTGTGCATTGTAGAATGTTTAGCTGCATCACTGGATGCTAGCATGCAGCTAGATGCCAGCAGTACCTCTCCTGCCTGTTATCAAAACCAAAGATGTTTCCAGGCATTTTCAAATGTCTGTGGGGTCCAGAATCACCCCTATCTGTAGAGAATCACTGTCCTAGCACTGTGAAATTAAGTGAAAACTATGGAACAATTCCAGTGAATATAATGTGGAAATCGGGAAGAGTAGAATGAGACTTTCTTTTCAGTTACTTTGAGTCTTTTATTAGAGGCATTGTATTTTATTTTTTGTCCAAGCACTCTTAATTCTATACTGTTTGTTGATTCAATTCCTATACTGACTACCGTGCTTGTGAGAGATGGGGACATCACATGTAAAGATGAGCGATGTCTGCATTTAACCCACCTTGCTGGTCACATCCCTAGTGGTACTGCAACTTTGTTTTGTTTTCAAAAGAAAGGAGGAAAGACTTTAAGATGTTGCTTTTATCAAATAAATAAGCTAGTGTTTTTTCAAGAAATTTTAGACACACTCTAAGACAAAACTCCTAATGCAGTTTTTTAATACCTTTTATAATGTAGGATTTTTTAATACCTAATATTTCATCTTGAATTGCAATCCCCAGATGTTGAGGGAGAGACCTGGTGGGAAGTGACTGCGGTTTTCCCCCTGCTGCTCTCGTGAAGGTCAGTGAATTCTCGCGAGATCTGATGGTTTTATAAATGGAAGTTTTTCCTGCCGCTGACACATGCATTTCCCTGCTGCTATGTGAAATGTGCGTCTTCTCCTTCCGCCATGATTGTAAGTTTCCTGAGGCCTCCTCAGCCATGCGGAACTGTGAGTCAGTTAAACCTCGTTTCTTTATAAGTTACTCAGTCTCGAGATGTCTTTATAGCAGTGTGAGAATGGACTAATACAATAGCTAAATAATGCCTTAGAAATCAATATTTAATTCTTAGTTTTTGAAACTTTACCGCGTAACTTTTTCATGGATGCACTAATCATGTCTGATCTCCGTTTTCTCTTCATTTTGTAATCTGAAATGATTCACATATAAAAGATGCATATATTGTATATATATCTATATGTCAGTGAAATAATAAAATGAATACCCATGTATCCAGAGCCCAGCTTACCAACATTTGGTATTGCTTGGCTATTTTAATTTTTGCCATTTTGAAGTGTGTATAAAGATATTTCATTTAAAAATTTTTATTTTCTTTATTACTGTTGAAATTGAACATCTTTCAGTATACTTTATCTATTTATATTTTCTCTCTGAAAGCTCTGTTCACATTTATTGCACATTTAAAAATTTTTTGTGTCTTAAAAATGAGTAAGAATTACTTATATCTGTATATTCTAGTACTAATCTTCAGGGTTTCAAGTGTGTATTTGTGTGTCACAAATATACTATTAGAGATTGTGTCTTCTATTTTCACTTTCTTTGTGGTATCTATTAATAAAGTTCCTGATTTTAATGTAATCAAACACATCAATGTTTGTCATTTTAAACAATTATTGAGATTTAAAGGAAGGCTTCTTGCCCCAGGGTCATGAAAATATGTTTATATTTTTTCTTACAGTGCTTTTGCTCTTACACTTAAGTCTTTAATCTCATCTGGCATTGATTTTGTACATGGTGTGAGGTTTAACTTTTTTCCATTGGCCTACTACTAGCTCAGTGAGGCCTACCCTAATTACCCAGGGTAAAATCATAACTTCTTCACCCACCCTGGGACATCCCCCTTTACCCTGCTTTAATTGTCTCTCGAGCACTTCTTGCCACCTGTCACATTCATGTTCTATGTTTCTTGTCCCAGTACCATTTATTTGAGTTGCCCCCTCCTTTCCATACTGACCCCCTTTCCCACCTCAGTCAAACATCAAGTATAGATGCTGTTATCTGGACTCTGTATTCTGGCTCATGATCCAAATATTTCATTGTTTATCTCTGTGTAATCACCACATTGTCTTAATAACTGCACTGCTATAATGGTCTTAATATTATAGGGCTAGTCCACCACCTCATTCTGCAGAAGTGACTTGGTTATTTGTGATTGTTTAAACTTCTATCAAATATTGGAAATAGTGTTTCTAGTTCCCTGACAAACCCTGCTAAAAAATTTTTACTGAAACTCCATTAAATCAACTTGGTGACAATTGTCACATTTAATATATTCAACCTCCAGCACAGTGAAAATGGTACCTTTCCCTAATTAATTAGGTCTTTTTAAAAAAATTATTTAAGCAAAGCTTTAGAAGTTTCTTCATGAAAGTCTTGTAACTTTTTGTTAGAGTTATTCATAGATTACTTTTAATATTTACATGTGGTAAATATTTATTTTTAAACTATATTACCTATTTGTTGCTAGTGTATGGAAATACAAAGGATTTCTAATGTTATAAAAATAGTATTATTAACTAAGTTATTAATTCTAATAATTAGCCAGAAGATTCTTTTGAATTTTGTATGAGGACATAACAATGCATTCAAGTAATGATAATTTTGTTTCTTACTTTCCATCTCTAGTATTGTTTATTTTCTTCCATCCTTAGAGTTTGATCTAATAAGTTCAGTACCTTATTGGACAGAAATGTTGATGGTGAGCATCTCAATCTTGTTCATGCCATATCCTGCAAGTCTTCATGCAAGTGTCGTCTTCTTAGTGAGGCCTAACCTATCCCCCATTTAAAATTGCAAATTCCCAAACATTCTGGGCCTTCCTAGTCCTCTTTAACTGTTTTATATTTCTCTGTAGCGATATTACCATCTGACATAGTCATATTTTATGTGCTGGTTTATTATTTATCTACCACCATCATGAGGCATGGACTGACTTTCTACCTAAGTTATTTTGAGCAAATAACTGAATGAATAATGTATTTTATACCTTATACTGCCAAATTATTGTTACACATAGTTTTTCCATTGATTCTCTATGGATTTCCAAATGTGCTATCCTGTCATCTGTAAATAAATAATGTAAGTTGTTCCTTTCCAATTTTTATGTCATTAATTGTTACCGCTTATCTAAGAACATTGAGTAATTAGTGCCATCAACATAATGTTAATGATTATAGAGATAGTGGCCATCATTACTCCTGACCTTACTAAGAATTACTGTGTTTTACTACTAAATAAAAATCTGGCTTTACTTTAGGACTGATTGTGTGTGTGCCTATGTGTGTGTGGGGTGGGATCGGGGGGAATAGATACATATATCTAGTCAATGGTATATAATTAGTTATTTATCAATTATATAAAATACAAAATGGATTATAAGTTTTCAAATTATCAAGTCACATATATAATTTATCATATTTATAATTTATAAAATTATATACAATTATATAATATACAAATAAGTGAATATATAATTGTATATGAGTAATATAATTAATAAAATTTTACATGTATAAATCTGTATTTATATATTTTATATAAATATGTAGTACATAATATATAAATACATAATTTACATATAATTCATGAATACATAAAATAAATGCATGAATATATATATCCAGTGTATGTTTACGTTAAAGAAGTATCCATACATTTCTATTCTCTGTTTTACTAAAATAGTTGTTGAATGTTTTCATCATATATTTCAGCATCTATGGAAATAATCACATTATTTTTCTATGTGAAAGTCCCACTATAGGGATACATTTTGTAATATTGTACTATCCTTGCATTACTGGTATCAATTTTACCTGCCTTGCTGTGTTACTTTTTTATGCAGAGGTGTGTCTGCTAATTATTTTTCATTTTTGCATCAAATTCATATATGATATTGTTCCTTAATTTTTTGTGATATATTTTTCAGAAGTAAGCACCAATGTTGCACTTGTTTTATAAAAAGAATTTAGGAGTTTTTCTTCACTATATACACTCTGAATCAATTTATGATGTGTTACTTCTACCTAAGAAAAGTCATCTATGTCTTGTTATTTTGTGAAGTGCTTCTTTGATATTTTCTCTCTTTCTTCCTTGGGAATTGGCCTATTTAAATTTGTATTTCTACTGAGGTTAATTTTCGTAAGTTGTATTTTCCTAAGAAATTATCTATCTCACTGAGGTCTTCAAGTTATCACTAAGAAAAGTAGTCTCTTACTAGCTTAGAAAAGTATTCTCTTTTTATTTAAAACATTTTATCTGTATCAATAATTATTTTCCCTTGTCATTCTTATGTTGTATATTTGGATTTTCTCACCTTTTCTTGATTAATTTATCTAGTGGTTTTTGTTTATTATTTCCAAAGAATAAAGATTTTTATTTTTTGATTTAATATTTTTATGGTTTTTAACCTACTGTGTGCTTTTCGTGGTTTTAGTATTTTACCACATTTTTATTTTCTTAAGTTGCAAATGTAATTTACATTTTAAAATTATTTTATTTTACTGATCTAGATGTTTTAAGATGTTAAATATCCTTTCATATATCTGTTTTAGTTTATTTCAGAAATTCATTATTCAGAAATTCTGTAATTTTTGTTTGGATTTTCCCTTTTATCCAAGTGTCATTTAATAAGAAGGTACACATATATTTGTGTATATATATATATGTGTGTGTGTGTGTGTGTGTGTGTGTTTTATATATGTATGTGTTTTATCCAAGAGTTCTTTAATAGAAAGTTTTATATTATGTAAAATATATTTTATTTTTATTTATACAAACACACATATACGTATACTTACAGGTAGAAGAGCTTTATGTTTAAAATTTAATTTTTAAGTTTAAATTTTACCATAGTGTAATTAGAGTTGCTTGCAATATTTCTGTTTTATGAGGTTTGCTGATGTTTTCTATTTGACCTAATATGTGATCAGTTTATGGGAATGATTCATACTGAAGAAGGAGGTACAGTCTATTATAAGGAATATTGTCCAGTTTTGATATAAAAAATCAGACTTATTATGCTTTATAGATCTTCTATATCCTCACTTATTTTTTTTCATTTGACTTGTTTCTACTGAGAGTCATATTTTAAAGTCTTCTTTTATTATGTTTTTTTCTCCTTGCATCTTTTGTAGTTTGTGCTTTTCGAAGTGGTGACTCTGTTATTTGCTGTGTTGATATTCATAACTGTTACATCTTTGAATTGCAGCTTTAAGCGTTATAGAGTATCCTTAAGGCCTTTGGCCTGAATTCTGCTTTTTCTTATATGAATATTGCAGTTCTTCCTGTTTTATTGTTTAATTTTCCTGCTATATCCTTTCCCATCCCTGTAATTTTGGCCTTGTCGAATCAGTGTATATTGTCTGCCCCTCACATAGAAAATAAAGTTGGGATTTGCTCTATGAGCCAATTTGAAAATTTTCCTTGCAACAGATGAATTAAACCTATTCTTTTTGATGTGGCTGATATGTTGGTATCAATTCTATACATAAGTTTATGTTGCTGCTACTATTTGTATTTTGTTATATATACTGTGTTTCTCTGTTTAGTATATATATGTATACTGTATTTTGTTATATATACTGTGTTTCTCTGTTTAGTGCTTCTTTGCTATTTAAAAAACATTTTGGTGTTTTTGAAAGTGGGTAATTTTATTCTAATGGTTACTTTAGTATTTATACTTTTATTGCCCTTAATATACTTTTTTTTTTTTATAAATTACCTTTTACTATGTGGACTGTAAATCTTACATTATACCCTTTTACTCTCATCTTTTACTTATAAAACAGCCAATAATCTTATTCTGCTTTCTCTGCAGTTTAATTTTTCACCCTTGTAAGTAACTTGATCTTATTGCCTGTTTACCTTCAGTGATTTTTTTTTTCTTTAAATTCTAGTTGTTTTCTAGGAGCCATCTCAGACTTTCTTACTTTTGAGTTTTCCATGCATACAGTGGGGCCATAAAATATGTAAAAATAAGTTTTTTTGGTTCTGATTTTTAAGATTATAGTTTTATATATCAGTTATATTAGACTGTTTAATTTTTCTCCAGACTTCAATTATATGTGTGTTAAACATTTTTTGCATATCTTCCATTTCAAGCATCTTTTCTTTGACCCTTTTATTTATTTATCTCATTTTTATTCTCTTTGTTGTTTTTCTGCTTTTCTTCAAAGTCCCTTATTAAACTTTCAGTAGAATCTGTTATAAATCTGGGGTATCTTTTAATTTATCTTTTATTTCTGAAATGGACTTGTCTTTTCCTCCAATTTCTTTACTAAGATCAATCAACTTTTATTGCATTACTTCCTCTTTTTTTCCACTTATATTCTTTGTTTTAAATTTCTGATTCTAGTTTATATTTATATCCATATTGATATCTACATATCTATATCTAATTTCCAAAAGCTTGTTTGAGATTTTTTTAATTAAACTTGAAATTAAGCTGAACTAAAAAAAAATTGTGTTAGACTATTCTTTGGTTTTGTGGCAGTTTTCTTCTTTTTTGATAAATAACATTTCAGTGTCCGAAGTATTTTGACTTAAATTTTCTGTTTTCTTCTTCCATTAGCTCTGTATGTCATTGGCTTTTTTTTTTTCTTTTTTTCCTATTCCTGGGCATTTTGGGGGTAGGGGTAGGATTCTCAGCCCAGAAATCCCTGCTTCTGTCAGTATAGTGAGGCCATTTCTTTAATGAATGTCATTGTGGTAGGGGAGAAGCAAAGAACTGGCATGACCTGTTACTGTTTAATTTCTGAAAGATCCTCAATTATCTCCTCTTCTTCTTTCTTATTTCTCCTACATCATCAGGACATAATTCTCTCTCTACTTTTATGATTCTTTCTAAGAAGGAATGCTTTACAAAGCTACTGGCTGCTTTAATACTACTCACTTTTAAACATCTTTCCTATACCAAGTGTTGTGAACTACAAGATACCATACCCAGAGTTTTTCCACTTAGTATTGTACTTCCTTTCTCTGGGGTCTGTGCCTCGTCTATGTGCTCTACATTTTTATGATGTGTCTTAAGTTTCTTTCTTTCTTTCTTTCTTTCTTTCTTTCTTTCTTTCTTTCTTTCTTTCTTTCTTTCTTTCTTTCTTTCCTTCTTTCTTTTCTTTTCTTTTCTTTTCTTTTCTTTCTCTCTTTCTCTCTTTCTCTCTCTCTTCTTCTTTCTTTCTTCTTCACCCACAAGCTGACAGTTATGTCAGGAGGTTTGTTGTGATGTGACATTTATATCTGTATTTATAGACAAACTGATGTTCATAGGATTTTCTATTTCCTGGTAATACTAAAGTCTTGAATCACTTGTAATTTCATCTGCACTGTTTTTTGATATAATCTGCAGGGAGGACTTGAGGAGAGATTCAGGTTCAGGAGGGCACCCTTTTTCCCAGTCTCAGAATTTACTTGGAAAGAGAGTTTTTGAATCGATTGCTTTCCAGGTTGACTATATGCAGTAAAATCACCTTGGAATTGTTTCTTATAGAATTTTTATGTTTTGCATTTAAAAAGTTTTTTGAGGCCTTAAGTTGTATATCCATAATTGAACTCAATACTTTATGTAAAGGGGGGGTCTTATACTTTTGATTTTCACCATACTGTCTGGTATAATAACTTACATATGATAGTTTCTCAATAAATATTAATTATTCGATGTTAAGATTATTATATATTGAAAGTATTTTATATAAGAAACTGGAAGCAAAGCATTTCGGTTATTCATGTTCTTTGAAAGTTTCTTACATTGAAAATATTGAGAAATATCTTCTAAAACAAATAAATATAGTTCTTTTTTAAAGCAGCCATATTTTGAGGAAAACATGCATTTAAGAACATATTCTCATGAAAAATCTGGAAAAATACAGACTAATTTCTCCAATTCTTATTTTTCTCTATACCTACTCTATACAAAAAAAAAAAAACAAAAACAAATGAAGACCCATAAATTTTATTCTTTATTTTAGCATGTGTAAAAATTAAGGCAACAAACAATAAGAAAATAGAACACATTATTTTAATCTCTGCTATTTATTAATTCATTTAATTTAAATGCAAATTATATGTTTTAATAATCATAAATTGCTTGGCATCAGGTTGCTCCTGGTAATGAGCAGTTCGAGAGATGGCACTTTTTTGAAATTCTAATAAAGCATTCCATGGAGCCTCCTTCCTTTGTGAACATGGCTGTCATTGAAACACCCTGAAATACAGAGCTGAAATGATTTAAAACCTCAGAAGAAGGTTTTTAAGGTTGGAATAGGAAACCACTCTTGGTTTCATGGCTAGATCTGAACATTGAAGTTAAGAAGCAATTTCAAATCAATCGGTAGAAAGATTTTACTTCTGATCATGAGCAAGAGGCCCTTTCTCTGGTAGGTGTCAGGAATCATGTGATGGACACTAATGATGTCTGCTGCCTTTTATCATCTGTCAGGGACAAGTCACATTTATTTCCACACAGACAGTAAGAACATTTAATGAAACAAAACAGCATTATCGAGCTCCAGGTTCCCAATTCTCTTTGGTCCTAGAAATGAGGCTCCAGGTTCATTAAATTGTGGCTTGTGGAGGTACACCACAATTATAGTCTACTCAACCAAAAATTATAATAAGATCCCAAAGCAAGGCTCACATACACTGACCCACTTGTTTCTACTTTAAAAGTTCAAATCAATTCAGCCGATCACAGGTTTAGATCGTATGTATATGCAGATAGATAGATAGATAAAATTATATATAGTTTTGTTACTCTTTAACATACAATTATATGTTCATTATTCAAAAAATACAAAAGCAAATTAAAAAAACCCAAATTATATTGCCCAGATTTATCCTCTGTTAATATTTATATATTTGTGGTTTTGCTCTTTAGCCTTCCAGACTTTATGAAACCTTCATATTCATTTAAAAATATGTAAATTATTTGTTCCCTGTTCTCTGTCTGATTACAAGAACACCCAAATTTTTGCTCCCTTAAATCAAAAGATACGTAAATATAGGGAGATACAAGCATATTGTATTGCTATGTTCTTTTTTTTTTTTTTTGAGACAGAGTCTCGCTCTGTTGCCCAGGCTGGAGTGCAGTGGTGCTATCTAGGCTGCAAGCTCCGCCTCCCGGGTTCACGCCATTCTCCTGCCTCAGCCCGAGTAGCTGGGACTACAGGTTCCCGTCACCACACCTGGCTAATTTTTTGTATTTTTAGTAGATGCTATATTCTTTTTAATATATTCATTCACTCAACAAATATTTATTGAGTTTCTACTACATGCAAGATACTTTTTAGCCATTGGAAATACAGCAGCAAACTAAAACTGATAAATTTCTATTATAGGGCTCACATTCTGGAGAAGTAGGTAAACAGAGATATAAAATTAAAAAATGAAAAAAAAATGCATGCAAATATAACACACATTTTATTCCAGGTGGTGAGAAGTGCTATTTAGAAAAAGAAGACAGACAAGGGGGAAATCAGCATTTCCATTTGCCCCACTTACTCTGCCACAGCCATAATTCAGACTTCTCTTGATTTCTCCAGATATGCTTTGACCTCAGGGGCTTTACAATGACTCTTCTATACTACACACTCTTTCACCTCTTTCTAATCTTTCTTCAAATGTCACCTTCTTTATTGAGGTACCACCCTAACTACCCTATTTAATATTTCAACCTGGTGCCCCCGGTCCTGCCAGAGCACTTCTAAGCCACTTGCCACCTCTCTACTACTCAATGATTATCACTTTTGAACATCCCATCTATTCTGCTTAGTTATTATGCATATTGTCTATTTTCAGTTTCCCTCCACTGTAATGAAAGATCCACAGGAGCAGAGATTCCTGTCTGGTTACTGTTGTGTTCAAAGTGCTAAAACTAGTGCCTGGCATACAGTAAGTGCTCAAAGAATACTTGTTAGTTGATTAAAGTAGAGATGTTGAATAGATGGTTGAATATCTAAGACTTGAGATTTGGGGAGGAGTCCAGGCTGGAAATGCAAATTTGGGAGTCATATAAGGTGACATTTTCAGCCATAAAATTTGAAGAAATCTGGGAAATGAGTAAAAATAGAGAAGTCCTATGAAAAAGTTTTAAAAATCAGCAAATTAAGCCCAGGACATCTCTTAAGTTTTATGTGACATCTCTTGTTTTACCACTCTTTTAACTACTATATTACAAGATAACCTCTGTAATTCTGCATTGTAAAAAGATTTTTATGATAACTCTAGTTTCATTAAATGTATTATAAAGATTCTAATTTTTACAAAATTAGCCACATGCAATATTGTAGCACATAAACTGCACTGCAGAGCTGTCAATGAGCAGAGAATATATTGAATGCCTGAAGATGCATAATCTCTACTTTAGATACCATTGATCTAGAAAATAAGATTCAAAAGGACCTCAGATTGAGATCATCCAAAGAAGACTCCATTACTTTCTTTCTTTGTTCTCTTCATCTTCTAAAATTTTCTACTTCTATCAATGGCACATCTTTCTGTAAAAACCTACACAATTCCTCTTCCTTCCCTCTCAGCCAAATGCCAATCTATGGTGGCTTCACATCCTGTCCATTTCACATCTGTGCTCACTTTTGAATCCTTCCGTATTCTTCCTTACTGTGAGCATCTTATTTCAGGCCTTGAATGCTACCATTTCTGTCTTCTCTTCTAACCGAATGTCACATTCTCTATTAAGTTTCATCTCCATTCACTATATCTCCTTTTCACCTTCCTTTCATTCCTGATCTATTGTATTTATGCTTATATTCTTACATCTCCACCACATCTGCTCTAGCTGAGCTTACTAATAATCTCCTAAATGCCCAATTCAATGGACACTTTTCAGTTCTTACTTTGCTTGTCTCTGGCATTTGATACTGTTTGAAACTGTCTTCTACTTGATACCTTTCCTTCTTTTGGCTTCTGTCATACCATGTTTTCCTACCTTTTCACTTTCTTTTCTGATTCTTTACAGCCTCCTCTGTGGCCTCCCTTTGTTTCTCTTTGGCCCTAAAATTCAGTGGTTCTTAGGGTTCAGTCTGAGGTCCTCTTCTAGCTCCTCAAAGTCTTATCTACATGAACCCCTAGTCCCAATCTAATTAGCCTCCTCTATTCCCTGATGCTCACCTATGATTCCCCTCTCTGCTCTTGGATCATTCTGTGCCTACTTTCTAGGTTCCTTCTCTATTGTCACTAGCTACTCAGTCACAGATCTCTAGTATTGGTGCTTCAAGACTCAACCGTAATTACATTTTCTCTTTCTCATCAGAGTATTTCAGCTGTACCTTTCATAAGGCACTTTCCACAGCCCATTAAGCATTAGAATTATTTATGTAGCCTGCTATCTTTCCATGGGCTGACTCCATGTCTAATTTTTTCTTTCCTAGATTGTCATTGTATTGTAGCTGGAACTCAGTCAGTGGACTGAATAAAGAATAAATAAATAGGAATGTGCCTCATATTACCATAGCACAGTACTAGTCACTAGGAAATGGTCGTTTAGTTAGCAGCCTCCAGAACTGCCTAGCACACTCCCAAATTAAGGACTGAAAAACGAATTTCTTGTCTGGTTGGGTGCATGGTGCTTGACGAGGCATCCCAGTGAATGGTGGGTACAGCACAGATTCATGGGGAAGTACTTTTCCACAGCTCTAACTGGGCACCAAAATATGCAAATTATAGTGGTTGTGTTTTCTTCATTATTTTCAGTGAGCCATTTATGTGTGCATCAATACTGTTTTTTCACATGATTTTATAATGTTTTAGGCATTCATTATGCATGACTTCACAGTTCTCTGACTACTTTGGCAGGGCTCACTCTGAAATAAAATTAACATTAATGATTATTAATATGATTTTAATGGAGCATTATATTAACATGTGAGAAGATTAGGGCTTGTTACTAATATTCTTCATATGATAATTTCTTTAACAGTTTTTAAATTTATTATGCTATTATATTGGCCCCTTTTCCTTGAGCATTGCTTAGGTTTACAACTACCAAAACCACTATGTTTAATTAGCAAGGAATAATAATAGCAACAAAAGCTATCATTTATTGAGCACTCTGTCACCCTAGGCCCACTGGTAAACACTTTAAGTGTATCATTTTCTTTGATCCTCACAGAACCACAGAAAATAGATAATATTGTTATACCCAATTTACTTTGAGGAATCTAAAGCTTAGATAATTTTTTTCAACATCGTATTCTAGAAGTAATGGATCTTGGTTGCCAAATAAAAATGTCTGACTCTAGAGCCAGATTTTTTTAACTACACTTATTTAGCTCTAAATTGCTCTTTTAGTAAGAGATATATTTGAGTAGGTCGTACTATTTCCATTTAGTTTGCCAGTTTTTATATTTAACGTCTAAGGTCATGCTGTACTATGCTCTAGAAAAAAAAATAAATGTTCCCAAATAGAGAATTTATTAAACACAGTGTGGTATGTAGTATAGTTTACTGCATTTCCATAATGTTTTCTTTGAGAAACATTATCTCAAAAGAAAATGAGCCCAAGATAGGTTTTTGTTAAACAAAGTTGACTTCATTTTAAGTACTCACAAAATATATTTTAAATAGTCCATTCTAAACTCTTGCCTGGAGTCAAGTTCTCTGACCTGCTTTTGTATGTCAAGACTAAGTTTACCTACCTCTAGTCTTCCAAAACTTGAATTCTTCATGATTTCTTAAGAATACCAAGGGTAGACGGATAAACTGATTAAGTTTCCTAAAGTTCTAAATAAGTAATATATAAACGCTAAGAGACAATTGAGGCAGACAAATTCTTACAGTTTTCTTATAAACTTAGGGCTTCAACTTCCTTTTACCAGCATTTTTCCTGCCTTTCCTATATGAAGATGATTCTCCTTGATAACGAAAGCAGAAAACTCAAGGGGCCTTATCAGATTGGTTTTCTACTTATTGTCTGTCAGTGTTATACAACTGGACCTCAGCAACAGGTAAACCTGGACCTTCCCTCCCTGACCTTTCTCTTATTTGGAACATAAACAACTAAAACTTTTTAATATTTGTCTTTAGGAATTTTCACCCACCTCAATACATTTGGGGGCTTAGAGTCACTGATGGTATTCTTTAGAAATCACTGCTACTTTCTTGGTATGTACTCTTCTTTAATATTCCCTTTTGCATTGAAATCTGCTTGAAAGCTCCCTTTGGGGGGTATATGTAACTTCTAAATTGGTGATTCTGGATACATTTTGAATTAACAAACCCGTTTGAAAATCTCATGAATACTCTGGGCTTTTCTCCCTGGAATAATGCACCTATAAATTCATGTTTCACGTAAGTCTTCACTCTGAATATTTTGAAGACTACCTTCATCAGATTTAGTTACTGCCTGAATTTCTACCACAGTTGTTTTGTATTATTGGTTTATTTAAGGCAGTGTGCATAACTTAAAAATTCAGTACTTTGAACTGTAATGTAATTCAAGGTAGCTAATATCTCTAAGCTAGTGTTCTCTGCAAATGTGCTTAGCATCTATCTCATTGTTGGTTTGCTTGTTTTATAATGGGTTTGATGATGGGTTTGATGATGAATTTTATAATGGGTTTATGATGAATTTGATGGGAATGTCAGCTCCCCTAGAGCAGGAATGTCCTTGGTTTTGTTAATGTTGTTCCTTACCACTTGACCAGGATAATGCCTGGCACACAGTAGGTACTTAATGAATATTTATTGAATGAATCAATAACTTAAACAAAATTGTAGCAGACTGTATGTCCTTAGTAATGATTCTTAATCACAGTTATTAAATTATCACTTCAGAAATGAAGCACAAGTAAAGAAAGCACAAGTCAAGTAAAACCAGCGCAAGTCAAGTAAGGAATTTTCTGGAACGTGCCTTTTAGCTGATTGTCACTTGTAGCGGATATTTAGCTCATTGAAAATTCCCATTACTACTTCATTTTTGTCATAACTTCCTCAGAGATGCCTTCCTTGACAAACCTAGCTAATGTTAACTGCTTCTGTCCTAAGCCAAGAACTCTGCTATATTAGTCTGAGTTTCTTCACAATCTAAAATGACTTCATTTATATGTTTAATTTGCCTTTCATCTCTTTCCCCCACTAGAGAAAAAGTTTTCTGAGAGTAATTACTTTGTCCTATTTAATACTCTATCTGTAGTGCCAGACACTAACAGGCACTCAACAAACATTTGTTAAAGAATGAATGATATGTGATGCTTCCTCCTCCTAAGACCTCAGTTCTGCTCACACCTGCTAACACGTGCAGATCTTAGTATCACAGAACATGGAACCCTACTTCCTTCCTCTCTAGAGGGCCCAACTTTAGTCATCTTATTTTCTGGGAACAATCCTGACAGTATTTTTCAGATTCTTCTCCCCTCTTTGTTTGCCATACCCTAAAAACTACTTATAATTCTGTAGCAGACACTTATAATCCTCCAGCAGGCATCTTCCCCTTTATCCTGCCAAACAGAACCCAAAGTTTATCCAGGTGTTTATCCATACTCCTCCCTATAGCCATTGTTTCTGGGGTGGTCAGGCCAGTTCTAGCTGCAGTCTTCATTACTTTGAGCAAACTATATGGTCTCATTCCCCTTTCTGGTAATTGGCTTGAATGTGGGCATATGACTCAATGTTGTCCAGTGAAATGGTGGGGTGGGATTTCCTGAAGTTTCAATGAATTGATAACCATGTAGCTTTAAAACCATATTCTATGCTTCAGAGAACTCTAGAGAGCACTAGAATATGAGTATAAGACAGCAAGAGTAAAAAGAAACAGTGAAAAAAATGATATTGAGAGAATATGAATGAATGAAGAGATGAGGCAGAATCTAAAAGAGAGACTATGAGAAAGAGAATATATGACAAAAAAGAAGAGTATTTTTCTGCTTTCTGCTTACCATTAAATGACTATATGATAAAGTTTTATTCAATTTTTTAGATTATCTTAGAGACTCTAAATAGTTCGTCAAACTATTTACTGATAGAATTTAACAAACAAGCTATCTCCTAAGTATCCAGAATCTTGGAGTTTCTATAGTAATGTGTATTGTTGTTTCTTGGTGATGCTCAGCATCTAGTTGCATGACATCATTATACACTCCCTGTGAAGAATGCCTAGGAATGGCCACAGGTGTCTGGCACATTCTGACTATGGCCAGGAGACCCATATCATTAAGACAATGACCAAGAGTCATCTTGCTTGACTATGTGTTTGAAATTGAAACAAGAGGCAAAACCAACATACGTGCGGTTAATTTAAGGCACTTTCTCTCTATTTATTAAAGCTAATTGCAAATCTGGCTTACAATTAACAATTGCCAAAAGGATTAAAATGTCCATGGCACTTGACCTAACGGAGTGTCCATGGCATTACCCCTAGATTTAATATTTCCAGGAGTGGGTTTCATTGCCTGAGATGTTACGCCTAGAAATAGCCCTGCTGTAAAAATAAGTATCGACAATACCGTGGCAATGCCAAAGCAATTTATGATTTTTATAACCGTCTATACTAGTGGCTAGCATTAAAACAATACAGCTGGAGACTAATTAATGGATGCAGGTAGGATCTTCCATCCTGTAAGAGGGAGGTTGCCTGTTCCCTTACCGGCTGCTGGCTGTAGCTGTCATACTGATAGCATGTTGTTGCCAATGTTGCCACCTCATTAGAAAATTAGCTTTTAATTAACTTTGGAAGCTGTTGCATGGGTTTCAATAGGAGGCAGACATTTGTACACATCTTGTTGCAGAATTAAACTGCCCCTTCATGTTTCTAATGGGCCTCTCCTGCCTTGCAGAAAAGCAGCAGTCTAGCCGCTTGCAGGCAGCCACTCCATGGGTAGCAGTGGCCACACAGCTCCAGCCTGCTCCCAATTACAATGAGATGTCCTTTAGTGCCCTCATGAGCAGCCCCTTACTCCAAGGCCACTTGAGATATTAAGCAGCAACAGAGAGGACCACAATTCCAGATGCTCCCCGTTTATTCTTCTGACCCCCAACCTGGCTTTAATAGCACATAGTCTGGGAAGAATGTGCATTACCTCATTTTTATATTTCAGCATCTCTGCCTTAGCACAGTGGTGATAAAACTACAGACAAGATAAATAGCTAGATTATCACTCTTCTCCCCAGGGGAATGCTGTGCTGTCAATTAGGCTAATGGTGGTTCCAGGTTCAGCTTTGGCATGCCCTAACACCAGGGAAGGCTTTTTGCCCTGCATAGCTGCAAAGCCCAAAGAAGGATTTGAAAAGTGGCTATGACCCTAGGGTGGACAGCCAGCAAAGAGAGAAGTCAAGAAGCCTGATGATTAATCACCTGCCACAACAATGGGAGGGTGAGGAAGATGAGGCCCAGGAGACCAGATCTTTTGAGCTTTGTTATAATTACACATTGCCTCTTTCAATTCTACTTGGTGGCTTAAGAGGAGATATGGGTGCTCACTGTTTAAGAAGTGAGTCTCCATTCTTTACTAAAAATAAACGTTCTTTTGTCATACTTTTTCAAAGCACTTACTCTGACATTTGATCTTATTACCAGTCTCTGAGGGACTTAGTACAGGTGGCATTTTTCTTGTTTTGCAGATGATGGAGTTGTAAAACACAGCAAAGCTTAGTGATTTCCCTGTGATCACACAGCCAGCTGTGATGACACCAGAATAAAAGCCACATAATCTAACTATTGTAAATCTTTACTTATGGTTCTCCTCTGCCTTGTACTTGCACTTCCAACTACAGAAACTAAGTTACAACATGTTAACACAGTATTTTTATAATTTTAATAATTACATAGGACACAAACCTATAAAGGAACTTTTCCTGGAAAATACAGCCTGCTAAACAACAAAGTAATTTATTGAACACCAATATAGAAAGCATAGTTATAGCTCTGATTTTTTCTACAGTTGGGGGCATATAGAGATGACCTTTACTTAGATGCCAGCAGAAAGTGACAGACTGTGCAATGCTGGTATTTTTCCATTTGAAGACAAGTTCTCTGCAGTGTGGAGGTCAGATTATGAATCAAGTGACACCATATTCTGTTTTGCCTGCGCAAATCTCAGATTTCAGCTATTCCAAGCATTCCATTGGTTTTAGCAATTATCCTGGATATAAATGGTGTAGTTGGATAGTAAATTTTATGGCACCCCAATTTTAAATCTAAGATTTATTTTCTGGCTGTCTTGTCCCACCGAGGAGCCCACCATTCCACAGTTTAACTTTTGGGAGTTTTCAATAAATACTTTATTACTCATATACTTCCAGGGCTTTCCTGCAATCAGATGACAGTGGTGATAAAGATGGATGTTTAGCAGTCATTCACTCTGTGCCAAGTGCCAGGCTTTATAAAGTACCTGCATTATTATCTCTTTTAATCATTTCCAAATCCTCTGAGGTGTTTACCATTGTTACTCATATCTTACATAAGAGGAAACTGAGACTTACAATGAGTAAGTAACCTGCTCAAGATTCAATAGCAAGTAAGTGACAAAGCCAGTATTTTGACTCAAGTGTTTCTAGCTTCAAAGCCCAGACTCTTAACAGCAATGATTTTTCAGTTGGCAAAGTCTCAAGCCAGATCCTCAGTCTATTCTCCCTTGTGTTTGACTCCTACCAATGGTGAAAGATGAGGAGTCCTGTCTCAGCCCTCCCAGGCAATTTTCCCTAGCTTTACACAAATAATTGCTTCTCATGAAATGCACATTCCTGAGCCCATCCTCAAAGACTCTAATTTAGTGGAACCTAGACATTTCTCTTTCAATAAGCTCCATAAGTGATTCTGATGCTAGTGGTTTCTCAACCATATTTTGAGAAACACTGATCTATATATTTCTAAGTATTTATTGTGTGTGAAAAATTGGGTCTGAATAGAGATTACCAGTGGCTGGAAAAGTAATGGATAGATCATCTGTATCACTGAAAACTCCTAAAATGAAGAATAGTAAGGATGCATATTAGGCACCTACTTTGCACTAGACACTTTGCATATATTTTATTGCATTTAATCTTTATAGGAATCTTGTTAGAGGCGTGTGTGTGTGTGTGTGTGTATGTGTGTGTGTACATTTTACACTGCTAAGGGACCTCTGGAAGGCTATACAGAGCACTACTCAGGGTAATCCCACCTGAGGGTTGAGAATGTCAGAGTATTAATTCTATTTTCCTCCTCATCTATTTTCTTCCCAAGCTTTTCCAGCCTTCCTTGTCCATGAGATGAGAATGCCCTTGTGATCAGAGAAAGCCCTCGGGCAAAGGGCTTCTCTATTAAAGGTAGGTTCTGGTTTATATTTGTATTATAGCCTACACATAGATTTATTTTTCTGTTTTTAAATTTTTAATTTCCACTGTTTTGTTGAAAACATATAGTTTTTTTGTTCATTTGTTTTGCTTTTTAGGAAAGTATCACCCTATGTACATTGTGCTAGGTTTTTACCTTCATGTACAGGACAAACTTAAATTTGAAATCCTAGGTCTCCGAGGACCGTGAGATAATGAAACAGGGGATTCTGGAATATTGAATATGGTGTTTCTTCTTCATGGAAAAGGGTGGGAGATCTGTGCTGCATCCACTGTCTTGGACACCCCAAAGGAAAGCTCAATCTTACTGATACAATGAACTGACAGGTGAGACCTCACAGTCTCCATCAATCATGCCTAAATCAGCTGAAATGCTGCTATTGCTCTTTGGGGAGCAGCAGTTCAGCAGAGGAGCTGCCTCCAATAGACAATGAGGAAATCACCTTTGCTAATTGAGCCTTTCCTAAGAGAATTGACAAGTTTGTGCTAAAAGCAGATAGCCCTCTCCATCTCTCCAGGAAGGGACAAAATGGATGGACAAGAAGACCAATAGATATTGGATCACCATCATATCCCTACCTGCATTTACTGCCCTCACAAATCCATATGAAAGTAGAGTAAACTTGCTGGGCGTGGTGGCTCATGCCTGTAATCCCAGCACTTTGGGAGGCCGAGACTGGCGGATCACCTGAGGTCGGGAGTTCGAGACCAGCCTGACCAACATGGGAAAACCCCGTCTCTACTAAAAATACAAAATTAGCTGGGCATGGTGGCACATGCCTGTAATCCCAGCTACTCGGGAGGCTGAGGCAGGAGAATTGCTTGAACCCGGGAGGTGGAGGTTGTGGTGAGCCGAGATCACGCCATTGCACTCCAGCCTGGACGGCAAGAGCGAAACGCCATTAAAAAAAAAAAAAAAAAAAAAACAAAAAAAAAACACAGAGTAAATTCTGGGCTGCATAAGGGCTGCATAAAGAGAGGCAACTCCATCTCCTCACTGTTGCCAGAAATCCAAAGATAACCAAATGTTGAAAACTAACACTTTTTGAAATTTCTTTAATATGGAGAATTGAATGATGGTACCAAAAGAATGTGATGTAGGAGTCCTCAAAAGCATATAGTAGCTTGAGCTGCACAACAGGAAGTGTTTGCTTCTCTTCCTTCATTCTGTATTTTGGCCAAAGACATTACTGTATGAGAACAAGCCCTCTTTGTTAATATCAGACACATCTTTCCCTTGAGATCCTCAAGATCATGAATTAAAATATTTTCTTCCTGCAATATTTTATCTTCTCCAAAATCTCTGGATTGATCTGCAGGGAGGAACAGTCACAGGCTCTAAATACTAGACCCTCAAGAGAATATAGATATAACAAATTCTAAATATGAAGATTACATACCAATGCTTAAAATATAGTAAACTACAGGTGTGGAGGAGAAATCTGAAGGCAGAAGAAGGGCTGGAGACTGGGTCTTCAAGTTCATCCTTGAAGCCCAAGCTTCACAGCTATCTCAATCTGAACCACACTCCATAGCAGCATCACAATTGCTCTTGGTGGGGACCCAGTGATTTTCCAAGCAGGAGCCCCCTATCTTGGCAATATGTTTAGCCTTACCCATGAAGGTTTTTCCAGTGTGAGAAGAGTTACTTCCAACTTTGTGCCCTGGAAGCCTTCTCACCCCACTCCAAATCTTTCAACACTCTCTACCCACCCATCCCCACCCACCATTCCAACCAAGACAGTAGTAACTTTCCCATGTGACAGCAGCTGTAGCTAAAACTATTCACTTTTCCATCTACCCCTGGCCATTTGCAGTATCTTTAAACAACATTCTGTCTTGATGAATCTTGGATTCTTTGTTTTGTTAAAAATAAATAAATAAATAAATAAATAAGGGCTATTTTCTTACAATTTCCATTTTAATTTTTACCTAACCCAGGAAATTCAGAATATCATATCTGATGACTCAATAAGGTGGGTGATGCACTTTCCAGTGCCTCTAGTGTATATTTCTCTCCCTTCCATCCTCACTGCTTCTTCCTCTAATAAGTGTCTCATCATCTTTCACCAGCTGCTTTCTTGTTGACTTCAAGTAGTGTACTTCTCCAGCCTAGCTCCATCATTTATTCTTCATATAGATGCAGAGTTTTCTTTGTAAAGCATAGATGTGATCATTATATTGTCTTGTTCCCAAAACTTTACAAAAAGAAAAATACACACACAAAAAAAGAATTCAAATAATGAGAACCATTTCATTCAAATATGAGAAAAGAGCATGAAGATCTCTCAAATAACTGAGTATAACTACAGGTACAAAAAGTTTGCTTAAAATATTAAGGTCAACAACTAAAATAATAGAGTTATATTATCCAAGTTAGCAGAGTGTAAAGCCAGAAATAAATAAAACCTAATCAATATAGAAAAGGGCAGAAAAAGAGAAAAATAAACACAACAAAAAGCATGATAAATATTTAAAAAGAAATAACCACAATAAATGTAAGTGGCCTCAATCTGCCTTTTGGGAGACAGATCCTTATGTTGGGTAATGAACTATATTTCTTTTAAATGCTAATTATGAGGGAGACACGTAATGCATAAGGCTCTTGGAAATTTGGAAGAAAAATGAGAGAAAAATACATGGAGAGATATTTTCTAAGCAAAATACAATTGACAGATGAAATAGAGAATGACCAGTTATATTTGAATTTTAGATAAATAGTGAATATTCTTATTATAATTATGTCCCAAATATTGCATACAGCAAACTTATACAAAAAAAAGGAAAAAAAAAAGGTTATTGTTTATCTAAATGTTAAATTTAACTGGTATACTATAATTTTATTTACTAAATCCAGCAACCCTAAACCAAAGGAATGTTGGCCAAGCTATATTATTATCAGATAAAATAGACTTTGGTTCAGCAAGAGTTTTTTTCAATAAGGGATAAACTGCACAAACCATAAAGTAAATGACAAATCCACTATACTACATTCAAATTGTAAAGCCTCTGATCAAAAAAAACAACATAAACAAAGTGAAAATAAAATGCACAGACTGGGAGAAGACATTTCTGATTCACATAACAGGTAAAAGATTAAAAATTAATAATTTATAAATTGCTTCTATAAGTTAGGTAGGAAGGAAGGAAAAAAGGAACACAGAGAGGAAGAGAGGGAGAGAAGGGAGAGAGAAAAGAAAAGCAAATATCCCAGTAGAAACATGATTTAAAGTATATGAACAGGCAATTCAAAGTACAAAGCCAAATGGTTAATATAAGATGATAAACTTCGTAATCAGGAAAATAAAGATTGACCAAGAGCTGCCATTATTGCCCAAATGAGTATCAAAAATTTTAAATCTTGACAATCCCAGTGTTGAAGAAGATAAATTATATTTAAAAAATCATTGTTAGACATATAAATCAGTAAAACCAATCTGGAAATCAATTTGACATCTGTAAGAATGCACATAGGAATAATATCTTTTGAACAAGATGTTCTATTCTAGGTTATATACCTAGGGCTGTGCTGTCTAATACAGCAGCCACTAACTGTATGTGGCGATTTAAATTTTAAAATAAATTACTTTAAATTAAATAAAATTTAAAATTATGCTCCTTAGTTGTACTAGCCACATTTCAAGTTCTCAGTAGCTGCATGTGGCTACTGATTATCATATTGGACAGACCAGATATACAACGTTTCCATCATTGTACAAACTTTTATGGGATAGTGACCCTAAGATTGTCTTTAATAATAATTTCTACAAGAAAGCGTGTTTTTCTTTTTTTTTTTGGCTTCCCTGCCCCCATAACTAGCACAACTTCTTCCATCTCAAGTAGCGGTCATTGCTCTAAGATGACTTATTTAAAAGAAATTTCCCATCTAGTTTAGCCTAAGCACTTTTTTAAAAATTAGAGAAATATTTTACTCATGTCTAAGAATATAAATAAATAAATGTAAATATAGACTTTTAGAAAAGAAGCTAAAAATGTCCCATTTGTCAAACAAATTACCAAACTGGAGGTACATGAGCCTGCAGATATATTTTATTTGGTCAATGGTTTGTTTTGGTTATTCTTAAGTTGAATTTGTTCCCAACACTTAAAAGTATAGAGATTTTCTTTATTTTTTTTAAAGTTGTCTGACTTCTTTTTAAAAATAGAAAAATCTGGGAAACTGAGCCTATATCCATTGACAAAAAAACCTTTGTTAGTGCTGAGTGGTGAGAACTTTATTTTGCAGGTGCACTGCCTTTCCAATAGATCCCAGTCCTTCACCACTTCCCTCATTTATATCATCTGCCTGGCCCCTGTGTACTGGCTTGGAACTGCAACCTCTGTTCCCAATATACAAAAATGATCGTATTGCTTTCTGGCATACCTAAACACTCACGGGCTCCCAGCTATGTTGTAGTTGTGTGTGGTTGACCACATCAGCCATCATGAGAATAAATATTTGACTATCACAGGAACTTGAAAAGACTAAAATATCAATCGATCGAGTTATGTTAAGATATTTTAGTTTGAGCATATGATTCTCTGCATATGTTTATTTCTGTGGTTTTATTTATATAGACATGTCTGTGCTGTATTTATGCATCTTACAACTGTTATTTTGAGGAAATAAAGTAGAGGTGAAGGTCCAGCCATCCTCAGCTGTTAGAAATTAATACTGTGTTGGCAGATGCACCAGAGAAGGCTAACGTATCACTCTGTTTACACCTGAATGGAGTTGGGGGAAGCACAATGTAAATAAACATACTGTTTTCAAAGAGTAGAAATGTTGAAATCAACTGGCTAATTGCTTTTAAGGAAGAGTACCTTACTATGCTTCACCTCTGGCCTGAATTCCTTCTCTTAATTAATTAGGCAACAAAATATTAACATAACTATCAGTCAGAGTTTAAATGGTCATTCTTCAGGGATATTGTAAAAAGAATTGCTACTGCATTGAGTTTGGCCATGATTCAGTTTAATAATTTGGTTTCTTGACATCTTGGGGTAAGACAAAGTCAGTAAGTTAAATGGTTTGGGTGATTAGGGACAGGGCCAGAAAAAAGTGGTTGATTTTATTGTGAAGACTCCAATCACTCACTCAGATACACTTAAGACTTCCTCTGGCATAAGAGAAACTTTATACCCCTTGAAGAACAATTTCCTACTTTTCCTTCCCCCTGGCCCCGGTGAACACTATTCTATTTTCTGCTTTTATGAGTTTGACTATTTGAGATACTTCATATAAATGGAAACGTGTAGTATTTGCCTTTCAGTTTCTGGCTTATTTCACTTAGCATAATTTCCTCTAGTTTCATTCATGTTGTCGCAAATGGCTGGATTTCCTTCTTTTTTAAGGCTGAATAATATTCCATTGTATGTACATATCACTTTATTAATTCATCTTTCCATTACCTTTTGGGTTGTTTCTATTATAAATAATGCTACAATGAATATGAGGGTGCAAGTATCTCTTTCAGATTCTGATTTCAATTCTTTGGGATATATGCCCAGAGGTGAGATTACTAAATCATAGAGTCATTCTATTTTAATTTGCTGAGGAACTTCCATGCTGTTTTTCCTAGTGGCTGCACCATTCTACATTCCCTCCAAAAGTGTATAAGGGTTCCAGTTTCTCCACATCCTCTTTAACACTCATTATTTTTTGTTCTTCTGTTTTTGTTTTTGTTTTTTTATAGCCATCCTAATAGGTGTGAGGTTTCTCACTGTGGTTTTTGATCTGCATTTATCTGATGACTAGTGACACTGAACATGTTTTCCTATAACTGGTAGCCATTCATATGTTTTCTTTGGATAAATATCTATTCAAGTGTTTTGCCCACTTTTTAATCAGGTTGTTTGTTTTTGTGTTTTTTTGCTACTGAGCTGTAGAAGATTCTTATATATTTTGGATACTAACCCCTTATCAGATAGATGGTTGGCAAATATTTTCTCCCATTCTGTAGGATGCCCTTACACTCTGATGATTGTTTCCTTGGCTCTGCAGAAGATTTTTAATGAGATGTAGTGTCCCTTGTCTATTTTTGCTTTTGTTGCTTGAGCGTTGATGTGATATTAAAAATAAAATCGTTGCCAGGACCAATGTCAAGAAGTTTTCCCCTTACATTTCATTTTAGGAGTTTTACAGTTTCAGGTCTTATATTTAGGCTTTTAATACATTTTGAATTGATTTTTGTGTATGTATAAAATAGGGGTCCAATTTTTTCTGCATGTGGATCTTCAATTTTTTCAACATCATTTGTTTAAGAAGCTATTCTTTCCTTATTATGGGTTCTTGGTAACCTTTTCCAAGGTCAATTGACCATATATATGAGGATTTATTTCTGGACTCTCTTTTCTGTTTCATTAGTCTGTATGTCTGATTTTATGACAGCAGCATACCATTTTGATTACTGTAGTTTTGTAATATATTTTGAAATTAGGAAATGTAATGTCTCTGGCTTTGTTCTTTTTTTTTCAAGATCATGTTAGCTATTTGGGGTCTTTTGTGGTTCTGTACAAATTTCAGGATTTTTATCTATTTCTGTAAAATATGCCAATGAAATATTGATAAGGGTTACATTCATTCTGTAGGTAGCTTTGGGTAGTATGGATATTTTAACAATATTATTTCTTGCAACTCATGAACACAGGATGCCTTTTCAGTTATTTGTATGAATTTCCTGTTGTACAAGATGAGTCAGTTCTAGAAATCATCTCTACAACATAGTACATATAATTAACAATATGACTTTGTGCACTTTGAAGTATGTTGAAGATAGATCTCATATCTCATGTTAAATATTCTCACCAAAAAAAAAAAAACCCCTTCACAAACGAACACAAGGAAATGTTTGGAAGTGACAAGTGTTAGTAACCTGGTTGTGATGGTATTACAGGTGTACACATGTGTCCAAACTCATCAAGATGTATACATTAAATATGTGTAATTTTTGTAGATCAATTATATCTAACTAAAGTTTAAGCTTTTTCTGGAAATAAATGGAGGATGAAAAAGCAGGAGCTGGAGAAGGGAGAAATCTCCTCACTGAGGTTAGACTATATTGCTAACCAAAGATGATGGGAGAATCAGAACTTCTTAGCACATGATCTCTTTAGACCAGTGTTTTAATCTTTCTGTGTGATCTGCTCTCTGATTTTTCCCCTAGTCTGTAATTTTTTATAATATTGGCGATGACTGTTTTATTCTTTTCCTTGGTCTTCCTCTTTTTGTTACACACAGGATAAGAGATAAGGCAAAAGAAGAACAAAGAATGTTGCAGGCAACCCTTTAACTGGCATCTTATCCTGCCTGGGTTGCTTCATCTGTTGCATTGTTTTTTCTTTAGTCCTATCTCTTCCCAGGTTTTCTGAGTTTAAAGAAAAGCCAAGTCCTCACTGTGATGCCTAAAGCATAAAATATTAAGAAATACTAAAGTATAAATAATGTGGGGTGATTCAAAACATATATTCCATTAACCAGTAAATCTGTGATGCAGAATCCATTGTATTCACATGGCTGTCAATAAGAATTCAATGGCAAAGAACCAATCTACTCCTTTAAGCAGGAAGGAATGTATTACAGGATATTAGATAGTTACAAAACTATCTGAAAGACTGAAGAAATGGACTCTGGGTTGATCTTTTAAGAATGAAGAATGACTTTCAAGAAAACCTAGGAAACACTCTTCTGGACATTGGCCTAGGCAAAAAATTTGTGATGAAGATCTCAAAAGCAAATGCAACAAAAACAAAAATAGATTAATGGGACTTAATTAAACTAAAATTCTTCTGCAGAACAAAAGAAATAATCCACAGAGTAAACAGACAACCTACAGAATGAGAGAAAATATTTGCAAATTATGGCTCTGACAAAGGACTAATATTCAGAATTTACTAGGAACTCAACAAGAGAGAAACAAACAACTCCATTAAAAACTGGGCAAAGAATATGAACAGACATTTTCTCAAGAAATACAGGCATCCAACATATGAAAAGATGCTCAGCATTACTAATTATCAGAGAAATGCAAATTAAAGCCACAATAACATATCATCTTACACCAGCCAAAGTAGCTATTATAAAAAGTTAAAAGACAACATGTTGGTGTAGATGCAGAGAAAAGGGAATGCTTATACACTGTTGCTGGGAAAGTAAATTCGTTCATCCTTGACTTATATTGGATATTTGTCCCTGCCCAAATCAAATATTGAATTGTAATTTCCAGTGTTGGAGGTGGGGCCTGGTAGGAGGTATTTAGATCATGGGGGCAGATTCCTCATGAATGGCTTGAACCATCCTCTGGGGATAAGTGAGCTCTGAGTTCACATGAAATCTAATCATTTAGAAGTGTGTGGCACCACCTACTCCACTCTCTGTCTCTTGCTCCTGCTCTGGCCATGTGATGTTTCTGCTCTCCTTTCACCCTCTACCATGATTTTAAGTTTACTGAGGCCTCCCCAGAAGCCAAATAGATGCCAGCACCCTGCTTTCTGTAAAGACTGCAGAACTGTGAGCCAGTTAAACTTCATTTCTTTACAAATTACTTGGTCTCAAGTATTTCTTCATAGCAGCACAAGAATGGCCTAACGCAAACCTCTATGGAAAACAGTATCGAGATTTCTCAAAGAACTGAAAACAGAACCACCATTTGACCTAGCAATCCCACTACTGAGTATCTACCCAAAGGAAAAAAAATCATTATATGAAAAGACACCTGTGCTCATACATTAATTGCAACACTATTCACAATAGAAAAGTCATAGAACCAATGTGAGTTTCCATCAAGGTTAACTGGATAAAGAAAATGTGGTATATACACATCATGGAATACTACACAGCCATAAAAAAGAATGAAATCCTGTCCTTTGTAGCAACATGGATGGAGCTGGAGGCCATTATCCTATGTGAACTCACTCAGGAACAGAAAATCAATACCACATGTTCTAATATATAAATGTATAAGCTTGTATAAGCAGTTTGTACACATGGACATGATCATGGAATGATAGACACTGGGGACTCCAAAAGGGGAAAGGGTGGAAAGAGGGCAAAGGTTGAAAAATTATCTATTGGGTACAATATTCCCCATTTGGGTAATTGATACACTAAAAGCCCAATCCCCACCATTAAGCAATATACCCATGTAACAAACATACACATGTACCACCTGAATCTAAAAATAAAATAAATTTTAAAAACGACTTTCAAAAGACACACCATTAAACTGGATCATCAAAAGAACTGCTACATATAAGTTAATTAAGTACAAGCAACGTAGCCTTTTTTGGTATCCCTATGTGTAGGTCAGAGCCTGGCATTGTCATGGTTAGGGGCCCTACCAGAACTGAATGAACCCCAGATCTGTCTCATTACCTCTGCATCTGTGATGCCACTACCCGTTGTGCAAGAGGGCTTAACTACTAACATTCTCTTTGTTCTTTGGTGATTGACTTGTTCTCTGTGAGCTTTTGATTTCTCACATATAAAATGGAACTAATATGTACTCCATTTCCTTAAAGTTTGGGATAATATATAATGATTTTAGGATCAAGAAAGTGAATTCTTACAGAAAACCTGGGACAATAAGTGTTAATTCAATTTATTTGTTAAAAAGCTTACATCTACGTGAAACATTTTATTTAGCGGTGTTTTATTTTGAAGCAGTCAACTTGATGGATTTGAAAAATGGAAGAATGGTTGCCTTTTCAAATCACAGAAGTATTTATAATCATAAACCCTTGCCTTTGAGTAAGCATAGTTGAATTGAAATTAGTGTAGTTCCTCCCTACAGAAATACTGTTTGTGAATGGCAATGGACCAGGATTTAAATAGGTTCAATTTATTATATGAATTAAACACAAATAATGAGTTTAGCTCTTCTTTTTTCTTTCTTTCTTTCTTTCTTTCTTTCTTTCTTTCTTTCTTTCTTTCTTTCTTTCCTTCTTTCTTTCTTGCTTTTTTTTTTTTTTGAGACAGAGTCTCTCTCTGTTGCCAGGCAGGAGTGTAGTGGCGTGATCTCAGCTCACTGCAACCTCTGCCTCCTGGGTTCAAGCGATTCTCTTGCCTCAGCTTCTTGAGTAGCTGGGATTACAGGCGTGCACCACCACACCCAGCTAATTTTTGTATTTTTAGTAGAGACAGGGTTTCACCATGTTGGCCAGGCTGGTCTCAAACTCCTGACCTAAAGCCTCCCAAAGTGCTGGGATTACAGGCTTGACCCGCTGCACCCGGCCAGCTCTTTTCTTACATGATTATGGTATAGTGGAAAAATGTGGGTTTTGAACTGGCTTGAGTCCCTGCTCCATGATCTATAAGCTACATGATCTTGCTCAATGCACTTAACCTCCCTGAGCTTCAGTTTCCTTATATATAAAAGCACTTAGGGCCTAGCACAGTGGCTCACACTTGTAATCCCAGCACTTTGGGAGGCTGAGGTGGGCGGATCTCAAGGTCAGGAGATGGAGACCATCCTGGCCAACATCGTAAAACCCCATCTCTACTAAAAATACAAAAATTAGCTAGGTGTGGTGGCACATGCCTGTAAATCCCAGCTACTCTGGAGGCTGAGGCATGAGAATTGCTTGAACCCAGGAGGCGGAGGTTGCAGTGAGCCCAGATGGCGCCACTGCACTCGAGCCTGGCAACAGAGCGAGACTCCGTCTCAAAAAAAAAAAGCACATAGGTGGATCTGTAAAGCTCCTGATGCCTAAAAGATACTCAACAAATGATAGGTACAATTATTGTTGTTGTTGATTGCATCTATATTTATCAGTATTTTTAGTCTGATATGGTACATAGGAAGAACAAATATTAGCACATCTGAAGGAGAAAGAGTACAGCTCTATAATGTAAGTTCTTCCTTTTGGAAAGCTTTGAACCTTATATAGTCACCAACCTTCTTCCTTCCTCAGACTCTGACTTTTGGTCTGTAGATCCCTGACTGCTGCATCTTTTCTGTATAATAGTCCCTTTTTACTATCCTCAACTTCCAACTAATAAACGTCACTGGATCCTTCCAAACAAAAGCAAGATAAAGTACCTGTCTCCTGCTATTTCTTTCTTTTTTTGCCATGAGAAACCATTTTATTTTTAAAAACATATTAACTTAATTGTTATTTATAATAAAGCATACATCACTCCCAACTTATTACAGATTTTTATTTTTAATTTTTTTAATATATTTTAAAAATTTCCAACTTTTAAGTTTTGGAGTATATGTGCAGATGTGCAGGTTTGTTGCATCGTGCATTGCAGCACTATTCACATAAGCAAAGACATGGAATCAACCTAAATGTCCATCAGTGATAGACTGGATAAAGAAAATGTGGTGCATATACACCGTGGAGTATTATGCAGCCATAACAAGGAACACGATCCTGTCCTTTGTAGAAATATGTATGGAGCTGGAGGCCATTATCCTTAGCAAACTAATGCAGAAACAGAAAACCAAATACTGTATGTTCCCACTTATACGTGGGAGCTAAATGATGAGAACAAATGGACACATGGCAGAGAGCAACAGACACTGGGGACTGTTGGAGGACAGTGGGTGGTAGGAGGAGAGGATCAGAAAGAATAGCTAACGGATGCTGGGCTTAATACTTGGGTGATGGGAAGATCTGTGCAGCAAACCACCATGGCTCACATTTACTTATATCTCCTGCTATTTTTGAGAGAGAAACTGGTGTGCTGCATAGCCCTTGATAGTAGGAATACTGCTGAGTTGACCTTCACTATTGTTATTTCAAGACCTGCACTATCAGGATTTCTCAAGGAAAGGAATGCTTAAATAGTCTATAGGCAGCATCAATTGACATGAAGTCAGATTTCATTTATTCTAAATAGGTATAGGAGAATTAGCTTCTTTCCTCTTTATTGCTTTGATAGTAAATTTAATAACTGGCTAAGAAAGCAGAAAAAAAAGAGTAAGACTCTTTAAATTGGCCATCGGTTAGAAACGAAACAGATCCGGGCAAGTCATTTTACTGTGTAAAATAGATTATGTTATGTCACATTCACTGATGATAGATCTAGGTACTTCACATACTAAATAATAACATCTTACAGTATATAAAAATTACAAAATTAGACTTGGCTTGCTTTTGAATGGTAAAAATTCCTTTTCAGAATATAAGTATTGTGACAAAATCTGTGGGTGTAGTGAGCCCTTGGGTATCAGCGAGTCTGAACTATCAAGCAAATAAAAGACACACAGCCTATATTTTCCCATGGAGTGAATAGTGCCAAACATAAATATTGTAGTATTGAACGTAAAACACCCTATGCAAAAATATAGACCTTGTTTGTTTGATTCCTCTAATGCTTTAAAAAAGCTTACATCGAGGGTACTATAAGTACTATATTTAAGAAACGAATTCAATTTAAGGGGACCTACACTGCCTATACATTTTTCTATTCAATTACTGCCTATTTTCAATTCAAGGCAATGCATTGTTCTATGCCAACAAACCTTGTTAGGTACTTAATAACAGCAATAATATATAAAATGTGACTAAAGTGCTTGTTGAAAAATTGTCATTACTAGTAATTACTGGCTTCCTCCCATCATAGTTCAGACAATTAGTTCAAGGACTATTATTAATTTTTAAGCTAATTTTATGGAATGCCTACTATGTGTATGGTGTTTAGGAGCTTTCCATGTATACTTCATTCATTCATTTTGCCAGTCCTGCCAGGTAGGTTTTTTAGGAAGTAACACTTATCCTCTGTCTTTCCATTTCCATAGAAGGGGATTTTCATGTTCTCTCCCAGTTTTGGGAATTTTGAATGGAACATTTCTGACTTTATTCTCTCTACTTTATATTTGCTCCTCCATAAGGGAGGAAGGAGGGGTAATGTGACTAGTGGGAGCCTTGTAGCCAGTAGGTCACCTCCCACACATCCCATGCACTGTTGCCTCTTGGCAGTGGGAGAGAAGGTCCTCTTTGACTCTCCTGAGCTGCTGTGTCTTAGATAAGTGAGTTTATTGCAGCACTATTCACAATAGCAAAGACTTGGAACCAACCCAAATGTCCATCAATGATAGACTGGATTAAGAAAATGTGGCACATATACACCATGGAATACTATGCAGCCATAAAAAATGATGAGTTCATGCCCTTTGTAGGGACATGGATGAAGCTGGAAACCATCACTCTCAGCAAACTATCGCAAGGACAAAAAACCAAACACCGCATGTTCTCACTCATAGTTGGGAATTGAACAATGAGAACACTTGGACACAGGAAGGGGAACATCACACACCGGGGCCTGTTGTGGGGTGAGGGGAGGGGGGAGGGGTAGCATTAGAAGACATACCTAATGTAAATGACTAGTTAATGGGTGCAGCACAGCAACATGGCACATGTATACGAGGCTCCCACCAGTCACATTACCCTTCCTTCCTCCCTTGTGGAGGAGCAAATATAAAGTAAAGTACCCTAGAACTTAAAGTATAATAATAAAAAAAAAAGATAAGTGAGAGAAATGGAGCACTTGTTCAGTACCCTCTGCCCTTGCAGTAACAGATCCAGGATAAATTCTACCACCCACTGGACACTTTTGAGTTCTCTGGTGTCTTCTCCTTTGGGCAGTGGTTGGTGAGCATCACTGCCAGTCACTGTGAGACAGACAGATTCTCTAAGCAGCAGACACAGAGTAAGTACTCTGAGGTGATTTTGCAGCCCCTGCTCATCCCCACAGCTAGCTGCTGAGGTCTAGACTGGGGAGAGGGATGAGGCAGGAGGCAGCCATGTTGACTGCATTTATCACCTACATCCTCCATTCCATCTTTACGAGGGAACATTAGACTTTGAGAGTAACAGACATCCCTAAATAGGATGACACCGACTTTCACTTATCTCCCTGTTCTACTCCTGGGTGTTGAAGGAGACAAATAATATGTAATTGGGACCCCCAACTATAACAGGAATGTCTATCTTTATTTTTACTAAAAGGTGAGGTGCAGAGAGGTGAATTAGTTGCCCCAACTGATCATACAAATCAGGTATGAGAACCGTGGTCATCAAAAGGTGTTGTGCAAATTATCCATGTGTCTACAAAGAAAATATTAGAAGTTATATTTATATGTATGTTTGTATTAAAAATAATGAAGATAATAGACCTTACAAATATTTAATATGAGACTAAAAGTGACACCTGTATTAGGTTTGCATATCAGGCAGTCATTTATCACATACAATATACAGAGTTTCTCCCTAAGGCTGAGTGGTTTAAAGCTTCACCCTCACTCTCTCATTAGCTTTCAAGGTACTATAATGTTTTGAATTGAGTGGATTGAACTGCATTATCTGGCTATCAGCAAATTAATATTTTCAGAAAATAAATAAGTGGCTTATAAAGATTCCTATACAGAAATTAAAAATTAAAGATAACGTAGATAACATAAACACAAGTGTACAACAACAACAGCAAAATGACAGAGCTGAAACTTCAAAGTTGTTGTCAGCCAAATTCAAAGGGAAAATAATGATAATCCAATCAGACCCCAAAAGAAGTTTACCCCAAATTTAGAAAATATTATTTAGTATTTGATATACAAATTTCCATTCACTATATTTAATTACTGAAGCTCATTCTGTCTTGAGATATTAATTAATGATAGCATAAAGTTATAATTACCAAGACATTTAAAATCTAGGCACCCAAACCATAAAGCAAGCCTCTTTTTTTTTCCTTGATATTTAAAGTTATTTGAAATGTATCCCAGTGTTAATAGAAAATTCCATTAAAGGTGACAATATTTAGATGCTTTCTTGAGAATTGATTAATGTAACACTATAATAATCTATGTAATTTATGCACACATATAATTCTTTTAATTACTTTTTTTATTATCATGAGGTGAATTTAAAAATGTTTAGAGACCCCTGGACTAGGTGATTAGTGCAAGCCTAAAGGGAGATTTCAGGTAGTGTAATGGGAAATGAAGAGCTGGATAGCATATTTTGCGAATGTAAAAGCAACCTGAATCTGAAAGGATATCTATTTAAGATACTAGGCTAAACCAGATGATTGAAGCAACGGACTCAAAATAACTATAGCACATTTTAAAAAGATAAGTTTCCAGTACTACTCTTAGATAATAAAAATCTCGACTCTCCAACTCTAGGATGGGTAGGTAGCAGTGTAAGAAAAGAAACAGTTCAGAGGTTTATCAAGGCAGAGTGTGATGGATCTGCCATTAGAAAGCAATGTCATCTCTGGCAGTATGAACAGAAGTACTTTCTTATCTAGAATATGGACAAATCCACTCAGACACCTAGGCCATGGTTTGAGGTCCGAGTATCTTTTTAAAATAGACTACAAATAAATAGAAGAACAACCAAAGGACAGGAAGACAAGGGGATTCAGTCTAAGAAACTGAGGATGTTAACTTTACAAATCTTCAGAGATATCATCAACCTAGTAATATTTACAGAATGACTGTGAAAGGAGAATTCAAATCCTGCATGCCTCTAAGGCAGTGTCGTGTGGCTTCTTGGATTCACTCAACTATTCAACTTCATGTCCCCTTGAAGATGCCGTTCAGCTACACAGCACAAGCCAAGCTACATGAGCTGGCTGGAGTCTGGGTTGAAGCCTGGGGCCTGAATGGCCCTTATACCCCACAGGCTGGGCCTACACTTGAGAATTCACCCCCTCCACTTTAGGATTCAAATAGGCAACTTGGAATTTGGCTCCCTGAGTGACCATTGAGAGACAGCTACTGCAACCTGAAGATAGAGAGGGGTTAGTGGTTGCCTGGGGTAGTCCTTGACCAATAGCAAAAGAAGGTGTGTGGAAGCATGACAGATAAATTCCCCTTCCTTTGTACCTTGTATGAACAGTCACATTTTTGGGGGAGACGCTGTGGAGCATTCTTCTGTGTTTCCTGGTTCATTGGGAAGTGGCAGTCAGCACGTTGTACTTATGCCCACTCCATTTCCCCTTTCACCACCTCCATCCTGGGCTTGTAATCACCTACATGGAGTATCTCCACTTTCACTCTTGCCCCAGGCTTTGCTTTCTAGAGGATCTAGGCAAAAACAACTAGTTCCCAGATGTTACTAAATTATGCAATAATGTAACAATAAAGAAATACTCAGTAGTCAAGTATTTTTGGAAAACTTTGTATTAAATATCATTTAATAGATTTACTTATGCAATTTTTAAATGAAGTAAATACTCTGCAGTGCTTTTTATATTTCTTAGAAATCTTTTCCCAGGGAGCGTGTGTAGTGTTAGAATAGTACAGAATGAATTTTTGCAATGCTGTTCTAATGGACAGAATGAGGAGCTATTTTTCAGCTCATCTTAAAGAACGATTGTCCTATTGTCAGAATTGTTCAAAGATAGGATAAAGGAGCTCCAAGATGTTTTTTATTCCCTGCTCCCGAGTTTACATATATCCTGGGAATACCCACATGGCATGGACTTGATAAAGAGGATGCAAGTCATCAGATGAGTTCTAAGTCTAGTATTTAAAGTCTCCTGTTTTGCTTTACTATTTAATATTTTTGCTTTAAAGACTGAACTGTCTTTGCCATTGTTTATAGCAGATACATGGACACTCCATTTGAAATATTATGCTTAGGTATTTCTTTGAGAGTTGTTCCCATTCTCCACCCTGCACTTGTCCACGTCAGCATATGACACAGCAGTTGTGCAACAAAAAAGTAAAACAGTTTGTGATACATAATTGCTGACAAATGGTAGTTTTTGTTATCATAATTTTTAAAAATAAGAAACTTTTACAAGATTTGATAAATTGTCTAAAATAGTCAATTTAGAGAACATCAGCTAAATTAACTTCAAGCATTTGACTCTTGATGACCTGTGCCTTATACTTCATACTCAGAAATAGTTAGTTATTTATAAATAATGCCGTGATCATAGCATGTTGTCTCATACTTTTCTCCTTTGTAGAAACTGTCTCTTCTATCTGTAATTGTCTCCTCCTGCCAGCATGTCTGGAAAGTAATTATTTATCTTTTAAGTATCAATGCAAAAATATACTCCTTCTCTAACTTCCCCAGATGGAGTTAACAACCTTCTCTTAAGCTCCTACAATGTTTTATATCAGGAAGGAGCTTGGAGAAAACACCCCATATGGTTCAAATAAAGAAACTACTTACAAAAGCACAAACCAAGGTTGTTGATACTTCCAGAGACTAAAAATGTTAATAAGCCATCACAAACCCTAGGGATGAAGGAGCAAGAGAAGAAAGGAGTGTTTCTAGGGCCAGTGAGAGCCAGAGCTGTGGAGGAAGAGAGTTTCTGTCCTGGTGGAACTCAGCCACTGCCAGAGACAAACACCTGAGTGAGGTAAGAGATCAGCAACTCCCTGCTCTTTTTCTAGAAAGTTCTAAATAAATTTTCTTCCTTCTAAATAAAAGAATTACATTATCTAAATTTCAATAATCTAGATACATTAATTTGAAGTGTCAACTGTGCTTCAAGCTATTTATTTTTTCTTGTGGGAGTAAAATGCACTTTTCTAGCTTTCTGAAAAATTGAAGTGCTGATTGGATCTACATAAAATGACACTAATTCTGGAAAGCCCTTTAATTTGCATATAATTAAATGTGGATATAAATACAGCTAGCCAACAGCCCATATGCTGCTACTTTGGACACACTTAGCCCTGCTCCACAAGGAGCTGTACCTCTGCAGCTGCTGTACACTGCTGCTTCAATAAAGTTGCTTTCTTTCACCACTATCTCACCCTTGAATTCTTTTCTGGGTGCAGTCAAGAACCCTCCTGGGCTAAGCCCCATTTTCGGGGTTTACCTGTCCTTCATCATGAGCAGCCTCTCTTTGGCAGAAACTAATGGAAGTTCAGGTGACAAGGGAGTCTGAGAGATAGTGTCCTCAGCAGTGCCTGCCTGTGTGGTAAAAAAACAGAAAGGAGTCTAGGAAGAAGGGGAGATGAATGGAGAATAATGCTCACATTGGCATTTTTATCAAACTTATCACATGAAATTTACTTTGTTTACATGCCTATCTTCCCTCTCCTTGAACAAAGAGGTATGTGTCTTTATCTCCATGTCCTTAGCACATAATAGCATGGCAAAACATATAAGTTGGAGGGAAGAGAGGGAAAAAAAGAAAGGAAGGAGTGATTTGAGTTATATATTAAGCGTGTCTGATATAAAGTATGAGTGGGATCCCAGTGAGATATTCTAAGAGGAAGTAGGAATGGATGGTCTAGAGCTGAAGTGAGAGGCTCTAAGGAGTGACTTAGGAATAAAGCATTGCATCATTTGCAGGATGTACTTCCAATGAATGGCGTCCTTTTGGCTTTGGATTGTGCTGAATTTGAGTTTTGTATATTAGATTTAAACTTCATTTTATAATAATTTTTCCACAACATAGTTATGCCATTATTTTGGAGGGGTCATAACTCTACCATACCTCCAATAAGTCAGCAGTGTTTTTGAAATTTTTTTAAAACTGGGGTCACCTGATACTTTACATACTAATCTTGCTATCTCCATATTCTGATTTAGACATTTTAAGCTGTTCACTCTCTGTTTATTATTAAATTCTCTCACTCCTCTGGCAGCCAGATACTATTTTAAAAGATTTCACATTGTTTACCAGAAACCTAATATGAAGAAAAAGTTTCTTGTAAAATCTATATGGTGGTGCTAAACTGTTGAGTGTTTCTGAAAGAATTTCAGTGTTCAGAGCAAATGCTGAAAATTTATATTAGTGTTTTTTAAAGAACAGCTTCACAGAACTTAGAAAATATCCTTAAGATATATGAGAGAGAGATGGTGCAAGGGAGGATAGTCTAAAATATTTGCTTCTTTTGGACTTTGCTTCAGGTATTTTTTAGAATATTGATGTTATGATTATGAGAAATTTTTAAGGTAATCAAATTTGTGCTTTTTTGGTAGGTAAAACACTCTACATTTTTTCAAGGTCTTTCTTATTCAAGAATCTTCAGTTGTTAGCTATTTCTCCTTGTTTAAGTCATCTGCTCTTACACTAACTTTCCTCATCCTTCTTATTCAGATCCTGCCCTACTAATCCAGCTTTACTTTCCACCACTCTTTAATTAGCTATCCTTAGTTCCTATCATTATTATTTTCTTATCCCGATCCCTGAATGTCTTTTATATGTTATTCAGTTTAACAAATAGTTATCACCTGTATAGTAAGGGCAGATGAGAGGTATCAATATAAATATGAACAAAAGGGCCCTGTCATGTGCAAGTACATAGTTTATTGGAAGAAAGAGACATGACAAATAAGTACCACACAGCTCTGTGAGTGCTAATGGGGTGCTATTTACAAAATGCTGTGAAAGTAACAGAAAGAGATAGGATTGACATCTGTCTAGAAGAGTTGTGAGAAAATAATTTTTAAAAACCTTCATTTAATCTGAGTCATGAATAATTAAATAAGTGCTTGCCAAAAGAATTACCAGGGAATTGAACAAAAGTGTAAAATGTTAAAACAATTAATAATCATAAAGAGTTTTATTAAGCCTAAGTTTCCACATATATTGCAACTCACTCTACAGTTCTTTCTCAGGGAAACTTCCAATAACATAAAAGCACTGTAGTACCAAGCCATTTATTCCCAATACCAGACACCCAGTGACTTAACTTCTTTTAAACCTTCACATCCTAGCTACAGAAACAGATTCCACAAGCCCTTCCTCAAGTAAGTAGTGGCTTTCCAGAGGGAGGTAGTGTCATTTTATGTAGATCCAACAAGCACTTCAATTTTTCAGAAAGCTAGAAAAGTGCATTTTACCTCCACAAGAAAAAATAAATATCTTGAGGCACAAATCAAGCAACTGACGCCTAAAATTAATGTACCTAGATTATTATAATTTAGATAATTTAATTTCTTTTTCTGGAAGGAAGAAAATTTTATTTAAATATTATTATTGTTTAGATAATGAATGTATTCAGATTAGTCAGATTTATGCTTCTGACCATGATGGGGTAATAACAAAAATCACATTAACCATACTAACTCAAACTACCAAAAAAACCCAAAATATATGAAGCAATGGTTTTAAGACATTTGTTATCAGGCAGCAAAGAATAGCATTTCATAGGTTATGCAAAACAGTGAACTGAACCCTAGACTGCATCAGCTTATTGCCTTGAGAGAACTTCTAGGCCTCAGCACAAGGAAATGAAACCCAGATGAAAACCCACGGGCTCCCTCGGTTGAGGAGACAGAACTGAGATTCCAGGGAGACCAAGGCTGCTAGGATTTTCAGGACAGAGTGCCAAAGAAAAGAGGGCTTCACAGAGAGAACTCCAGAGATTTTCAAAGAGATCCCCCTCCAGGTATTCAGCTGAGTTATGACTGCTTCATCTGTGGAAGGAAACTACCCATAATTGGCAATAGAACCACTTGAAAGTATTATTGAGAACAGTGCAGAGAAATCACGCAGGATAGGGAATAGTGCTTATTCCTAGCAGCCAGAGTAGAAAAAACTAATAACTTGCAGGTCATTTAGTTGATGGTTTTGTATTAGCAGACTAGACTAAAAATTATGATAGTCCCAGTTAACGAATCTTAAAAGCAAGTCCCAAAATAATCATACTATTTCTGAGTAGCTTCACATGTCCCAGAATAAAACTTAAGAATATTTATGCAATTACAAAATTATCTAGCACAGTATTCAATCAAAAATTACTAGGCACGCAAAGAAGCAGGAAAAATCAATCAAAATTGACCCACACTTGACAGATCATTAGAGTTAGCAGAAAAAGACATTAAAACTTACGTCAGTACTCTGTGTTTTCAAAAAGCTAGAGATAAGATTGATCATGTTAAGTAGAGACATGAAAGATATAAAAGAGACTCAAAGCCGCCTTCTAGATATTAAAATGATAATGTGTGAAATTAAAAAATACACAATGAGATTAACAGTAGATTAGATATTAATGAGAAAAATATTGGTGAATTTGAAGACATAGCAATAAAAACTATTCAAAACACAACATACACACACATGAAAAAGAAAACCCTAAGGTACATGATCATAGCACTAGGAAACTTTGGGACAACTTCAAATGGCCTAATAATAAATATATTATTATGAAGTTCCTAAGGGGAGCATCCAAAAAAGGAGTTCAAGAAATGATGACTAAAAATCTCCAAAATTGGTAAAAATTATAACCCACAAATCTAAGAAGCTCCACAAACCCCATACATGAAAAACAAGGAAAATTAGACCATAGCATATAAAAGTCAAGGTGCTTAAAACCATTAATGAAGATGATCTTAAAGAAATCTTAAAAGGATTCAGAGAAAAAAGAAACAATGCAAGTAAGAAGACATTTGAGCAACATCTTTAATGTATTAGAAAACACAAAAACTAAAAACCTGTCAACCTAAAATTCTTTACCTAGTGAAAATGTCTTCCAAAATGAAGGTGAAATAAAGACTTTCAGACATACAAATGCTGCAGGGCTGCATCAGCAACAAACTCATACTGTGAGAAATGTTCAAGGAAGTCATTCAGGCAGAAGGAAAATGATATCCAAAGAAAATAAGAATCTACACAAAGGAATGAAGGGCACAAGAAATGGTTAATACATTGGGTTAATTTATAGAATAGTATTCTTATTATTTAAGTTTGTTTTTAAAAATTGACAAAACAAAAATAAAAACAGTGTAGTATAAGCATTACAGTACATGTAGAAATAAAATATATAATGACAATAGGACAAAGGAAGGAAGAAATGGAAATATACTATTATAAAGCTCTTGGGCTATTCGTGGAGTATTAATAGCATTACTTGAAAATAGATTGATAAGGTAAAGAACTATACTTATAAGCCCTAACCCTAATGAAACCACTAAAACAATGAAACAGAGTTATAGCTAATAATCCCAAAAATAAGATATAATGGAATCATAAAAATAATATAAAATTTAATGTAACATTAAAGACAATATTTTTATTACATCATATGAAAGCAAAAAGATTTCACCAAGGAAAATGAATATAATGTATATCATTTCCTTCTGATGTCCTAATCTAAGAATAGCATATGGCTCAGAGAATAAAATAGAAAATATTTTCTTAGACCAGGACTCCTTTGACACTTTCTGCCACAGTGCACATGAACAATGCCTTTGATAAGTGTGACGTGTCTTCTTTGGGGAAGAAATGATTATGGGGCACATTGCTGAAATGTCCTGTCTTTCTTTGTCAGACATGAAAGAATTAAAAAATATATGTGAGAGTGACAATATTGACCTCCAATCTTTATACTAAGAATCATGTATTCATAAATTTCAGTTATTTCTTACTAGTAATGAAAAATGTCATGATACATTTCACAACTTATCTAGAACCCAGGCTGTCTTAGAGTTCATAAGCGCTGACTGCAACCTATTTTCCAACCTCAAACCCAACTCTAGCAAGGAAACTCTTGTTACTTAATGGTCGTTTCTCCTCTTAACCCCATCTTCAGTAGATTGGTTGCTTCACTTCTTATTCCCTAAATTGTTGTGTCTATTATTTAAAAATTTTTAAATTTTGACAGTCTATAGCATAATTCAAGTTAGGAAACATTGCATAGATACTTGTTTTTTCAAATATTAATATCTTAACTGCCTTTTTGATGGGAACTGGATGGCAGCCAACACAAGACAGGGTTTACTAATGAGACTAAAGTGCAGGCAGTTAGTGTTCTTGACTGAGAAGAGTTCTACATTTCAGGTTTTAGATACTCTGGTGCCAAAGGAAAACTGACTTTCAATGAAAGGGTGTAAATATTCAGTTATTCCATAAGCGTATTGAATGACTACCTGTGCCAGGCACTGAGCTGCACACTGGAGAGACTGTAGTGAGCTAGACAAATAGCAAGCACTGGTGGAGGTCCAATCCCTGGGGCAGCGGGAGGCAGCAGTGAGTAAACGTGTACGTGATAGAAGGCTAGGATGCAGGTAGCTCTGGAAGTGATTGGGGAAGGCAGATACTTACAGTCCTGTAAGTTATGAAGTCTAGAGTTCAAGAAATGGTAGCCAAAAATCTCCAAATTTGATAAAAAAAAATTATAAACCCACAGATCTAAGAAGCTCAACAAACCCTAAACATAAAGAATGAAGAAAATTAGACCATCACTCGTCAAAGTCAAATTGCTAAAAACCGCTAATGAAGATAGACTTTAAGAAATCTTAGGAGGAGTCAGAAAAAAAAAAACAAGATAAGCGTTGGATGAATTACTATTATAAGCAAAATTGTGTATTTTTAAGTTGCTACTATGGTTTCTTCTTTTCTTGTTTTTCTGACTGTATTCCTCTAATATTTTATAATTTCATTTTTATTCCTAATTTTAGGTTAGAAATGAAAGATTTATCATTTTAAGTGTTGGTATTTGAAACATCTTTTCTGTGAAGGTAGATTTTTTGACCCAAAATAAAAAAAGAAAAAGAAATAAGTTGTGTTTGTATGTGCTTGCGTATGTGTGTGCAGGCACATGTGTGTGTGTGTATGTGTGTGTTTGTGTGTTTAGGTAAAGATGCCTCAGTCCAGAACTTCATCTTAGTCCTAAAGAGATGCAACTGTGTTTCTTAACATCTGTAATCTCAGTAGATTTAAGATGCTGCTTACTCTTATGGGCGATGATGGCCCGAGTTGTGGTTCTTTAACATGATTTACTGTTTTTTGGAACATGCTCTGTTACAATTGGATGCTCGGGGAAGACCACTGATTTTCTGCAGCTCAGTACTTCATGTTTAAGCTCAGAAAGACTGGCTGGGAGCCTAGCTGACAGGTGGTGCTCCCCATGTTACCACGGCAGCCGTACCCTGAGCCTTGCCTGTCACCTGACAGGTGGAGTCTGCTGATGAATTTGGGATCTTTTTAGCAACAGATCTCACCTTTTCAGCTGGACCCTCAGCCTCACAGCCTTCAGGTGTGACTCTAAATTGTTGTGTTAGAAGCCATTTCTAAAGGTACCCATGGAAAGCAAACCAGTTCTAAGAAACACTACACGTGATCTAATAAATGCACAGCCGTCACTTCATTTGTACTTCATAACTCTGGACTGTTAAACCCCTGAACGAGATATCACCTTTCCTGGAGTGGAGTAATGTAAAAAGAGTGTCTGTGACAGCTGACAGGTGAGGTGTGTCCTTTCGCTATGCAAGCAATCTTTCTGATCTTGGGCCAGTGGCTCTCACCTGTCAGCGATGGCTGACAGCACAGGGCTCACTGCCAAGAGCAGGAGCCCTGTGACTTTGACGTGGCAGATGGGAGTCATGCATAATAGCTGACAAGTGAGATGGGCAACCCAGGGAACATTTTCCTGCATTTTCCAAGGGCAGGGTTCATATAAAAGGTCTGTGGCTCTACTCAGCTAGCTCAGTGGCTAGACCATCTTCTGTAGGCGCCTCCCACCCGGAAAAGAGAAGAGTAAAAATCTCAGATAATAATTAGAATTTGGGGTTTATTATGTAGCAGATATTTGTACATATTTTCTTTGTGCTCAGGCCAACTCTCCAAGTAATGGTTGCTATTTTGCAGATGAGGAACTGAGGGCCAGTTGGATGAGCATCTCAGGGCTACATGGGAACTAGAGGAGCTCTGATTAGATATAGATCTGCTGAAATCCCAAAGCTGGGCTATTTTCAAAGTTCCATTGCTGCCTTCATAGCAATTTCTTGTTTTTATAACTCAGTCCATCTTTTCAACTTCACATTTGCAGTGAAAAAGAGGAAATAATTGTATTAGTCCTTTTTCACACTGCTATAAAGAGCTACCTGAGACTGGGTAATTTATGAAGAAAAGAGGTGTAATCGACTCACAGTACCACAGGCTGTACAGGAGGCATGGCTGGGGAGGCCTCAGGAAACTTACATTCATGGCAGAGGGTGAAGGGAAAGCAGGCACGGTCTTTGTGTGGTGGCAGGAGAGAGAGAGAGTGAAGGGGGAGGTGCTACACACTTTTAAACAATCAGATCTCATGAGTACTCACTATCATGAGAATAGCAAGGGGGAAATCCACCCCTATGATCCAGTCACCTTCCACCAGGTGCCTCCCACAACTGGGAATTAAAATTTGACATGAGATTTGGGTGGGAACACAGAGCCACAATATCACTAATAGTGATGGGAAGAAAATATAAATTAAAAAATATAATAATAAATTGGAAATAATACTTATACGTTCCTTTCTGCTGTGTACAATAATCGTCTTATTATAAATTTAAATAGTACATTTTTTCTAAGCTTGACATATCCTCAACAACTTGTAGAACTTTTTCAAGAACCAGATCTAAACATGAACAGGTATAAGTTTAGGAACCCACTTAGAAGCATGATATACAATTCATATGTAATATGAATGTAACTAGACAAAAGAAAACTGGAAGACACCATTTTTTAAACACTGCAGTATTTGTCACACTTTAGGGGCTGGCAGATTTTATCTTAAGAATAAGACTGCTCTTTTGTTGAGGAAAATATTTTACTGGAAATTTTGAATATACCAGGATAAGGACAAGAATTCTGTGTGGAATGGGGAAGTTAAGAAAAAGTATAGCTAAACTCTGATAATTTTTTAAGTAGCCTTCTCCAGAGTGGAGAAGGGACAGGTGGAGGGAGCTGGAAACAGGAGAAAAATGTCTAAGGAATGGAGACTGGACCAGAGAGTAGTCAACAGAGAACCATGTCTGTTACCCTAGCTCAGGAAAGAGGAAGGATCTTCACATGGCTCAGATGAGTTTCTGTACTTTGGAAGCCACAATATTGATTACTGATTTTTAAGTTTATCTTCTCTGTAACATAATTTTGAGAAGATGCAAAATTGCAATAGCAAAAATAGGGAGTTTTCTGTATATATAGCTTCCTCTTAACCCAGTCCTATGATGGGTACCTGTTTCAGTCAATACTCTTTACACAACATCTCTGTGTTAACAGTGCCTTAGGTTCAGAAAATGAAGAAAGGGATGTGTGCACCTGCCCAGAGAAGGCCAGTGAGAGGAGGGGCAGCACAGCCCATACACTGAGACTAGCATGGTGCTGGCAGCATTGTGCAAAAAAACAGTTGTTTCTATGGCCCAAGATTCCTAGAAAAAAATAAACAGTAACAACAAAAAGAATAGGGATCTTTTATGAATTTCAGGAAGAAACTTGTGGCCAAAGTCACAGAACTCCAGTGTGAAGCTGAGAATGTTGGGCATGAGCCCCACTTCCATAGGGAAATGAGATACTCTGCCACTGCATCTTCTCTCCTATGTGCAAATTACTACCTTGAAAATCTCATCCTGTATCATGGCTTTAAATACTATGTGCTGATGATATTGAAAGCTAATTCCCAGCTCCACCTTCTCTCCCAACTACCTAGCGTCTCCACTTGGATATCTAATAGACATCTCAAACTTAATGTGTCCGTTACTAGCTTTTTTTTTTTTTTAACTAATTTACTAATCCTTCCCTAACTTGTCTCTTCCTTAAAGTTCCCCATCTGTCAATGGCATTACCATTCATCCTCAGACAGCCCCAAAATTCCCATTACCATCTTTGACTCCTTTCTAATATGGATCCCACCTCTAAAATATATTTCAAATCTGACTACTGCTCTAACACTTCACTGATCACGCTCTAGCCTAAGCCACTGTCCTAACTCTGAACTATCACAATAGCCTCCTGATAGGAATCTCTGTTCTCATTGTTGCCCCTTTTCCTGGCCTACCTCCCCTGTGCCTCCCAGTCTGTTTCTACACAGCAGCTAGTGAGCCTTTTACAACATAAGGCAGAGCAGACCTTTTTGCTCGTTACCCTTCAATAACCTTCTGAGGAGGTGTGCTTGTATATCATCTCAAGCATCTTTGTATCTCAGTAGAGAGCACAGTGCTTGGCACAGAGTGAGTGTTTAATAATATCCGTTTGTTCACTGACTAGATGCGTATAATATTTTTCTATTTGTATAAGAAGGCGGTAGGAATTGGGGAGGTGTGTACTACTGAAGAAGGTGCTATGTACTCTTCAGCAGCTTTCTTTTCAAGGCTAATTTCACAGCAAACATGGGATTATGTTTTAACAGTTTCTGAGAAATGATAGCAAATGGCAGAAAATCTGTACATTAGCAACATAGACAACTTCATGGCTCAGAAAATGAGAAAATGCAAAATTGTGATAGCATAAATAGGGGGTTTTCTGTATATATAGCTTCCTTTTAGCCCAATCTTTTGTTTTGAATATTCATTGGGGTATGTTAGAACAGTGAACAATATTTTATGCGTTTGGCAAAGAGATAAAGAGCTGAATGGCTTATGTTTTTGCTACCAAGAAAGCCCAAAAAATGGTCCCAAAGTAGGTTTTCAGCATACACCAGTCAAAGGTGATTAAAAGTAAATTTATTTTACTGCCTCTATTGGTTCAGGCTCCTCTATTTGCTGAATCCTCCTATTTTGTACTCTTCAACGGCTATCAGCCTAATTTTTACAAAGGTTTGTTCCTTTATATATGTCCCTTAATATCTTCTAACAACCACATTTCTCTCTTTGATATCCTTACTTTTAGAACGATTTTCTCCAGGAAAGGTCTGTACTGAGAATCCTAATTATTTCAGAATATTGTGGAAAAGGCTCACATTGCTTTATTATTTTACAGATTCATAATCAGTGTATCTCTGATTTGTTTTCACACCTCCTTCTGAATTAAGACTTGAAGAATTTTCTTGATATTGTTACTCTAGTGGAATTTATCTTCCATACTAGAGAAAAAATCATAGCAATAATTATGTCTATCCATCAGCTATTTTTTTTTTTTTAGAAACAAGTTCTCACTATGTTGTCCAGCCTGGTCTCAAACTCCTGAGCATAAGTGATCCTCCCACCTCGGCCTCCTAAAGAGCAGAGATTACAGGCATGGGCCACCATACTGGGACAGTGTTGAGGCATTTTAAAAAGTACTTTGCTTATGGTAACAGCCCTCGTGAAAACAATGAAACACATTATCTGGCACATAGTAAGCACTTAACAAACTTCCTTTGAATGAACAAATCAGTGACTGTGGGAGTGAATGAGTGATTGAGTGTGTGACTTAGTAGCATTTAGACTTGACATGCTAATTCACAGACAGATGTGAAATTTGAATGCAATTTGAATATGATGTTCTAAGTAGCCAATAATTTTAGTATTATAATATATTTCAGGATGGTTTATGATGCAGGCCATAATCCTGTCACAAAGCATATGAACATCACCTAATATAGTGTTTGAAACCTTGCTAGGAAAAATTATCAATAAGAACTAATTTTTATCCTAATTAAAAGCTAACTTTGTTTCATAACCATTTTGTCTTAATTGCCTTTAAAGAGTTGTTTAACAGATTTAATCATTTATCTAAAAATATTATCCTATATATCTGAGACAAATAAAATTCAGGAGAGTACTGTTTTAAATTTGCCAAAAAAAAAAAAATAAATAAATTAAGAAAGCCTCATAGTTAATTGGATAGCTAAAAGTCATGGTTAACTTATGGATAACTTGGTTTGCCTAGAATTTTTCTGTTTCCTCTTTTTCCTCTCAGTCCTCTCTTCTGGCTTTTTAAACTTCTACTCTCCTTCCAAAAGACTTCCACATTTGTTTCTTCATCTTTTTCTGTATTTCATTTGTCACTCATTTCCTCTAATAGTTGGTTATTTCCTCCCTTAGTCAGCAGCTCAGTCTTGTTATTCTGCTATTTTTGCACTTTTTTTTACTGTAATCACGATGGAATAAGGCTGTGCCCTAAAAGGCATATTGCAGAATGTGTCTCCCAGTGCTAGATTTTATTATGGTTCCTGATTTGGGTTTGCCACTCATTTCTGTATCTATCCCCAGGACTATCTATATTATTGGCAAGACCTAGTACAAACTGAAAATGCAAAGCCTCTTGTTAAATTTTTTTTTTACAAATTTGAAGATGACAACAGCAGAGCATTCAACCAAGCATGGAACCCCTTTAAGCCTAAGATCCTGTGTGACTGTACAAGTCACACACCGATGAAGCTGGCCCTGAACACAGCCTTCATCAGGTGACTTTGCAGTTCTTTCCTTTGAGTGTGAGGTATACATCCCCATCCTACTGCTGTTGGACTTGACCACGTGATTTGCATTGGCCACTGGTATGTGGACAGAAGTGACAAGTGCCAGGTCTGTCTAAGCCCCAAAAGACATCGGGTATCTGCTTGTCTCTTTGTTTTTTTGCTACAGCAACATGGAGGCCATATCTCAATTAACCCATGGGGCCATGGGAGAGTCAACCTGTAACATAAAGTTAAGCCCAGCACCAGGTAGCCCCAGCCAACCTTCAGACATGAGAAAAAATGAATTATTGGTGTTTTGAGCTATAATATTTTGGAGTATTTGTCCTACAACAAAAGCCAAGTGATACACGAAGGGAAAACAGAGTTCACCTAAGAAACCCTATAGTACAAAATAAGAAAATTGTTCTCATTTGTTGATCCTCAGTTCTTCCTTTCTAACACCTGTCCTTTCTGACTCAGCTTAGGTTGTGGCCCAGTTAGTTGTCATATGAAAACCCTAATTGTGACTTTTCTCCACCTACCCAAGCACTTCAACCACACACTCTAAACTTCACACAATGCCTGCTTCTCCGGCTCCACCCCTTGTTCTGACAGAGCTTAACTTCCCCTCCTACTAGAGATGCCATATCCCCCCACCCCCTAAAAAAGCACCATAGCTCAAGATGGCAGTTCACATCAGTCCCTGCTTATGTCCCCTTTGGCACCATTTGATAACTGAAATAAAATTTAAAGTCTTTATACTGCCTACATCTTTGGCCTCATCTCCCTCCATTTCTCTGTCGTTCCCTATGCTCCACCCACACAAGCCTTCCTGCAAAAATGCCATGTTTATTCCCATCTCAGAGCCTTTGATCGTTCTGATAACAGACTCTCTAGCCCATCTTCACGTTCTCCCTGAATGCTGCCTCCACCAGTCTACTCCCATTATTGTCCTGCTGTTTTCTGAGAGATGTCATGTCTAAAGGGATGTTGAAAATCAAAGGGACAGAAAACACAATGCATAACAACAAAAAATAGCAGTGGTGAAGAAAAAGGACCAGCGACCGCATTTGGGGCTGTTACATGCTCTGGTTTTTGAATAGAGGAAGTAGATAGGGCAAGAATTCCTTCCTACACTCCCACAGATAAGAAAACCTTAAGATGCCCTGCCATTGATTTCCACCTTTTTCATGAGGTCAAGTATGAGATGACTATTATGAGGTAGTCTGAAATCCTGCTGCCTCATATTTATATTTGATGAAATATTCTTTTTAAAAAAGTATTGAGGTATGATTGATAAACAAAAAGCTGTACATATTTAATGTATACAACATGAAGAGTTTGGACATAAGGATACATCTGTGAAATCATCAACAACCTCTGCCGTGAACCTATCTATCACCTCCAAAAATTTCGTCTCACCCTTTTTATTTATTATTATTATTCTTGTGTACTAAGAATACAACATAAGCTCTACTCTCTTAGCAAATGTTTATGTATACAATACAATGTTGTTAATTATAGGCACTTTACCATACAGTAGATTTCCGGGACTTTTTTCCTTGTATCACCAAGCTTTTTACCTTCTGACTAATGCCTCCCTGTTTTTCCCTCCCTGCAACCCCTGGCAACCACCATTCCACTTTCTGCTTCTATGAGTTTGACTATCTTAGATTTATTATACAGGTAGTATTGGTCTTGGACCAAACTGAGGGTCGGGCTGCTATTTCTTGTGGCCCAGTAACAAGATGCAGATGAACTGGGGATGAAGAGAGTTTTTATTTCTGCAACTGGTTACAGGGAGAAGGCCTAGAAATTATTGCCAGACCAACTCAAAATTACAAAGTTTTCCAGAGCTTATATGCCTTCTAAGCTATATGTCTACATGTAAGTGTACATTCATCTAAAGACATAAGTGATTAACTTTTTAAAAATCTATAACTAATTTCTGAGTCCTGAAGACCTTCCTCTGGAGCTTCAGTAAATTTACGTAATCTAAATGGGTCCAGGTGCTGGGGTGGTTACCCTTATCTTGTCTCCTGCTAAATCATGGAGGTTTGAGGAGTTTCTTCAGACCCCCAATAAAACTTGTTTAATCCTAAATGGGTCCTGTTAAGAATTCCTTTGTTAATTTGTCATGCTTTAAGGCCCAGAAGGCCTAGGCAAAACTCTCAGTGGGCTTTTGTTACATTCCAGCTTTTGTATGGGGGCACTAGCTTTTTTAGCTTTTGATATTTAACTTAACCACTCAGTAAGTACTGAAACAGTTGTTACGGAAGCCTGCATTAGTGAGACCTGTCCTTCTGTGTTTGGCTTATTTTGTTTATCATGATGTCCTCCAGGCTCATCCATGCTTCCCTGAATGGCATGATTTCCTTTTACTTTTAAGGCTGAATAAAATTCTATTGTATGTATATAACACATTGCCTTTACTCATTAATACGCTGATGGCCATTTAGGTTGCTTCCTGTCTTAGCTATTGTAAATAATGTTGCAGTAAACATTGGAGAACAGGTATCTCTGAGATCCTGATTTCAATTATTTTGGATATATACCCAGAAAAGTGGGATTTCTGGATCATAGGGTAGTTCTATTTTTAATTTTTCAAGAAACCTCCATATTGTTTTCCGTTATGGCCATACCAATTTGCATTCCAACCAACAGTGTTAGAAGAGTTCTCTTTTCTCCACCTTCTCACCAAAATTAATTTTTTTATTTTTTGATAAAGCCATCCTAGCAGGGGTGAAATGACATCTCATTGTAGTTTTGATCTGCATTTCTCTAATGATTAGTGATGTTGAACATCTTTTCATATAACTTGTGGCCATTTGTGTGTCTTCTTTGGAGAAATGTCTATTCAAATTTCTTTGACCAGGTTTTAATCAGGTTATTTGGTGTTTGCTAATGAGTTGTGGGAAAATATTTTCTTGATTCTGGCCAAAGCCTGTCCACCTGTCTTAATTTGGGATAATAGTGCTAATTATTTAAAAAATTATATCTTTATAGTATTTTGAAGAGAATTTGAGAGAGAATATATTATAAGTTAGTAAGTTAGCACCTTTTAAAACTGAAATTTGAACACGTTCTTTGGTTTTCCATTGACTTATCTTTTTGTATTTGATCTCATGTTTCCATTTTTTAATTCACAAGTCATCATTCATAAAGGTGCATTTATTATAAAAATTTCTATTAAAATTTTTCTATTCTGCACCAAGGAAAATGATGACAAATTTTAATTGTTTTAAAAAGAACAGGCAATATTATCATTCCTCATTGTAATTATAAAAAAGAAGTAGGGATCTGTGAAGGATAAATAAATGTTATACTAAACAGTTATCATAAGAGACTTAGAGAAGACTTATGTACAAACTTATGAGTCATAACTTAGGTCAACAGAAATAATAATTAGGACTATGAATTTGATCACAACAAGAAACTATGATAAGAAATTCACAAAAGCTTTGTCAATCATAGGAAAGGATCATAAAAGACAAAGAAGGTGGGCAGAGTGAAAGAGGAATGGATCCTATCAATTGATGTCCAGGGATGCAAAGAAAAATTCCAAGACTGTGCAATGTAGCTAGTAAGGTAGAACTGAGCAATCTATTCATAATGCGATGTATGGGAAACGAATGATGCTTTCCAATGGAAGTGAGAGGTTGAAGCATGCAGAAGTTAGGCAGCTTCGTGTCTGGAGAGGACTAGAGCCATGGGAATACACTTACTAGAAAATGGAGAACAAACCAGAAAACACAGGAGTAGACAAGAACATCATGACTAGAAAGTATCTCATTTCCTACTTTAGTCTTAGGTATAGCTGAGAAGCAATGCCACTTTTAAGCATAAATCTGCAATATATCCTTTGCTGTGATTTGCATTGTATTCATTCAAATAGTACATTACATGAAACCTCCTAATAAAAGATATTAACATTTAGTACAAAAATTATGGGATAAGTTGATCATATATTCATTTATAATTATTATACATATTTCGTTTAAATTGGTAAAGTACATCACATGTAGAAAATTTGGAAAGAAAAAAGAAAGGGGAAAATAGAAATAAGATGCCACTTGCGATTCCATCAACCTTTCTTATGTACAATTATTGTTTATGTAACCTGGAATTTTGATCTTATCATTGGTGAATGTTGTTATAAATTATATCTCTTCTGTAGCAAGAGTTTTTGTTCATGAATTTGCTTTATGTTTCATAGTCATATTTATTCAAAAATTATTTAGAAATAATAGTATATTTTAAAAGTCTTAATCTTCTTTAAAAATTAAATCATCCTCATTTTTGAATTCTGTATTTTAATATATCCCTTGGTTGGGATGAGTAACATATCTGAGTAATTTTTTTCAGTAAAGCTTTTTGATTAGTAAACTTTGTGAACTATTTATTTCTTTGAGATTGTCTCCCATGACAACTTGGCTAGGTATAAAATTTTTTAGTTATATCTTTTGCCTTTAAGTACTTTAAAGAAGTTGTTCAATTATCTCCTGAAGTTAAATGTCTTGGAGAAGTTTGAGATCCACATGATTTTTCCTCTTCTACTTGTGAGCTATTGTTTCCTTCCTGGATGCTTTCGGGATTCTTTATTCTTAAAATTTATTTCTTAGCAAGCTATAGCTTAATATTACATTAATTAATATAAGATTAGATGCTATAATATATAATTGAATATAATATGAGATTAATCTTATATTAGCATGGATACATCAACATTGTATACACATGTCAACCTAGTTATTCTTGGTTTTATTTTTAATCTTTCCTTTATAAGGCTCAGTTACCATTAATATAACTATGGATAATTTTTCTTTCTCAGGAAAATTAGTTTGATATATAATTTCCTCTGTCATCAGAAAACAAGAGACTCAAATTAATTATGTTTTCTGATATTTAAGCTTTTGATTCAGTAGAACTTTATTTAACACCAATGGGGTAGCAGCTGCCATGCTAGATGATGAAAATAGAGGGAGAATAAAATATGTCCTTGGCCTAATTAAATTTATAAATATTCTTGTGAGTTTTAATAATAACGACAGAAGCTGGTCCAAGAATGTGAAAAAGAACATAGATTTATCCTTGAAGAAATCAAGTCCAGTTTACTTTCGTGTGCTGCTTAAGTGAAAAGCCCATGAACAGTCCTGCTGTGTGATTAACAATAACAAAATATAGACATAAATTTATGTGTAGAAGTGTATAAATATATCCATATAATTAGATGCTTTACAAGAATAGATTCCATGTTTATTGTGTGATACATGCTGTACTAAACTCTTTTTTTAGATCATCTGGCTTAATCCTCACAGTAACCCCACAGCTTATGTTCCATGTCTCTTTTACAGGTGAGGAAATGGAACTGAGTTGAATCCCAAGGTCAAATAGTGCTCAACACAAATTAGACACTCAATCAAAATTTACCGAATGAGAGAATTAACTGAGACTTAAAGCTAGTGCAGTGTAAATAGAGTCTTTGTCTTAACCACTATACTAAAAAAAACTTATCAAAGTTAAATCAGCAAAAACAACACAAATAAAAACAAAGCAATTCTGTTTAACACTCAAAGATAAGGAGACTTGAATTAAACAAATCATGAATTATGATTTTATTATCAAGATAAGCTTTCTGCTTTTTTTTCCTTTTAAGTGAAACTTTAACTCTAGGTATTTTAGCACATAAAATGTTGATAAAACTTGACTCAGATATGAGACCCCCAAATACGAATTCCTTTATGATTTTGATATCCAATGACTAATAAATAGAATTCATAACAGCTAAATGAGAGTTTCAAATCACAATTAGGTGGGAAAATTTGCATTTAAATAGAAAAGCAATTTGTGCTTTAAAAAAACATATTGTGGAAGATTATCTGGTGTTTAGGCTGATAAATTTCTCTTTACTTATATATGGGAAATAATGACAGCAGAAAAAAACTAATCATCTAAGTAGTCTTTACATACAATAAGCCAGACACTGTGGTAGGTGACAGCTTTCAATACAAAAAAAAAAGTTTTTCAAAAAGTTAATTTATATGAAGTTATTTAATATTTCTTTCAGTTATAAAATGTTAAATATGTGCATTTATCTTTAAATATTTTTTCTGCTAATAACTATAATGCAATTATTGTGTAAAGTTAAAAATACAGAATATACAAGAAGAACATTGATGGCACCTATTATCCCATTAAGTCTAGATAACAACTGTTGACATTTTTATGATGTCTGCATTTGTTAAACACCTAGCACACAGTGGAGAAAGCTGGCATGAAGTCATTAGTAATATAGTTGGACAATTTGATTACTGCACTGACCACTTTCAACAAAGAAAAAAAGTATTTGAAGTTTAATTTATATTATTTGTTTTAATCAGTTGTTTTCTGAATATTCTCTGTAACTCGAAATATAAGAAGTAGTATTACAGAATATAACTTAGAATGATTCTACAAGGTATAGAGAGTAAAAAAAATTAAAAAACCAGAAGGAAAAGCTAAGCCAATAAAGCAATTGTAACATAAAGAATTGGTATTATTTTTAACTGTTGAATAACAGTGAATAAAAAGAATATGCTACACATTTAGGCCAATACAGAGATTCCCACACTTCTAAATTCAGACAAATGACATGAGCCCCTAAGGAGTTTCAGGGTAAACAACAAAGATCTAATTGTTGGCTTTAAAAACTGGTTACACAGTTTACCTAGCTTAATATTCTTGAACAACAAAGGAGGGATTTTTAGGCAGTGATGGGGGTTATGGCTTGGTTGATGATCCATGGCTTGAAGCATGGGAAAGACACCCAGTGAGGAAAGCATTGCATTTATGGCAGGAATAGATTACTAAGTGGATAATTAATGGTGGCAAAGATAGGAGATTTTCTCTTTCTCCTTGGGCTTATTCTCACATTGAGGATGTAGCTTATAGCCTGGAGGAAGGCTTTCTGCTTTAAAGACCATTCTTTCTGAAACTTTTTGTCTTTCCCTGGTTCATTGAGCTAGTCTCTAAAGTTCAAGGGGGATCAAAACAGAAGTCTTCTCCAAGGCGTTAAACAGACATTAAAGGGACAACGCTAACCTAAAGAGTTTCCACAGGGTCTTCTTCAAAGATTTAATCTACAAAGGAATTTTATTTTCTTCCCACATAAGACATTCAGTTAATGACTTCAAGATTCTTCATTTATATCTTTTTTCCCTTTTAGTTAAGTGCTGAAAACCAATCAAATTTGAACCCATAAATTAATATTAACAGTGTAAATAATACTGAAGACTAAATAGAAAGTTTAAGCATAGGAGATGGTTTGTGATACATTTCTGTCTTCATTCCCTCAGATAGTTTATAAACAGAATATTCAATTGGAATTTTTTAGATTCATTAATAAGTACTATATAAACATATATAATAAGAGCCTATATAATGCTTTTCAACTTAAGGAACAAATGCATTACAGACACAAACAAACATGTAAATTTTATTCTTAGATTATTAATAATAACATTACATTATTTTAGTAAGTCCTTTTGGTGCACAGGCATTAAAAAACCAACAGATATATGATTTATCAAAACATTTTCCCCACTCTTGTCTTGTAATAAGTATATAAAGCCAGATAAAGAATAGGTATATTTCAATAACAATAAAGTGTATATTGATTAATATTATCAATTTAGTCAATAAAGTACTCTTGTAATAGTATACTAATGATTATCTTGCTGTGTTCTTATGGCTACACCTGTTATATGAATAAAAACAACCTTCATATTATTTGAGCAATAATGTCTTGTATTTGGAATCGTTATATAAATAATTACAGAAGAATAACTTTTTAAATTTCCCATTTTTACTGCATGTGTGTGTATGTTCACTCTCATGCACATAGATCATGTGTCTTCATTTAAAAGCCATGGCTTCTATAAAATTTAATTACATCTCCCTGCAGCTTTAAATTGTGAGTGGCTTTAAATCAAGTGTGTCTTCAAAACAGGGGCAGCTTCTATTAAATTTAATTATGTTTCCCTGCATATTGCACAGTGGAGGTGTAGCTGCTAAATGAGGGCATCTTCTATTAAAATGGCACAGGAAAGATGTAGAGCAAAGGGAATGGCCCTCATGACTCTTTGAAATGGATAAAAATACTATTGCCTTGCCATAGTCAAAATGCTCTGGGACCAGCTTTAGTAATGTAAGACAAAGCCAAGAAGATTGAATTTTTCTTGCTATTTTCACATATGATATGTACATTTTTGGAAATATTCCATTTATGTTAATTTTTCAATACATTAAATATGAATTCAAATGATTGAAATGTAGAAAGTCTTTTGCATTATATTTGAATTTCAGAACCATATGCGTCACTAATTTCCAGCCATACAAAAGGGATTAAAGAGGCAAAGCAGCTTGAAATTATGCCTTCTTTTGTTAAAAAACAAACAAACAAAAAAAGAATCCTAGGCATGGTTTTTTGTAATCCCCAAGGATGAAAATTTTTTTTCTTTTTAAAATAAAAAATGTATTACGATTTTCTATCTCTTAATAGTTACTTGACTACCAAAGGCTAATTGATATGATGACATGTATTCGATTATATTTGCGTTAAATATTAAAAGTTGCTTTAAAAAAAAAAACTATGGTAAGGGGAACTAATGAACGGATCACCTGTCCAATAAGATTAATGTAGAGTATCTGTATTGTTAAGCACGTTTTGATGATTGATAGATCCTGGTAGTATACATTGCCTAAACATACATTCTCTATAGATGCAGACTAGGTAAAATGGATAATTTGTTCTATATTTGTTTTAGAATATTTAATAACATACTATGATATAGTTTATTATTACTTTTACTATTATTGCTTTTGCAAGAGTGCCAAGAGATTGATTATCTCAATATTCGTCTCCCTGAAGCACACGGAATTTTAAAACATGTTATCATTTGGGTGGTATAATACTTAGAGAAATAGGCCTAATTAAAATAAACATTACAGAAGTTTATGTTCCCCAAACTCACTCAGTGGAATGGTCTCTTCTTTCTTTGCGTTTTCTTTCATAAGCTGGAGTCCTTTCCTAGAATGAAAGCAAAAATAACCTTTCACTCTTGAGCAAAATAAAATCCTGGCCCAATGTTTTCTAACTTGTCTAAAAATAAAATTAACTCGCACAATTGGCATTTCTTTTGACATGCAGACCTCTGTAGTATGATGTTCTAGTCTTGAGAATTACCATGCATTATAGCAGACATGTTTACATATGAAATAAGTGAACTTGTGATCATAGAGGGGATACTCTTGCAACTTGCCTGTTTTATGAGCTGTATACAAATGTCTTAGGGACAAACACTAAAGGATCTTCTGTAGGATCTTATTATTTGCTAATAGTTGCTTGACTACATAAGACTAATTTTTATGAAGGCATATATTTGATCATGTTTGTATTAAATACTCAAAATTGTCATTTCAAAAAAAAATTGTGGTCAAGAGAACTAAACGAATGATCACTTGTAAAATGAAATTGATAGAGTACCTATGTTGCTAAGCATTTATTGATGATCGATACTATAAACACTACAGGTTTGTCACCAATACATTTTAACCTCAAATTAAAAGCACTTTGTCTTTTTGCCTTAAAGTTGTACATATAAGTCCTTTAGTTTTGCTTAAAATAATGATTTCAGAAATCTTGCCAGGTGTTGAAGGTATGCCAACACAACCATATAGAGGGGAAAATTGAATGGATCATTTTTGAATTCAGTGGAAACTTCTAAAAGTAACAAAAATCAGTCTTCTAGGGTCAAAGTTTTATTATAGCCCATCTCCATTGGCTGAAAGTAAGAATGAAATTTTCAACCTCAGAGATTTTATTATCTACATTAGCTTGTTACAAATTCTCAAAAAATTTGCATTTAATCAGTTGATTTTGTATTAATCAGAATGCATGTGTATCAGGGCCCTTCACATGCCATTATATTTTCTGTTACATTTATCAACACATCACAACTTAATAGGCATAGCTTGCAAAAATGATTTGTAGATTATTTGTTTAAATTATGGTCATTGGGCTGATTGGCTGGCTGTTCTAGAATACATGTGGCCAGATAAATTACAAACAGAGATGTTCATTAGTAAATTGGGGGCATGAGGGTAGAAGAAGTAAAACCAGCTGAGCACACAGAGCTTAGCTGAGTACTAGTGTACTCAGGTACCAACATCTGTTACCTACTCACCAATCTTGAATGAGTATCTTTTTTCACTAAGCAGCAGTAGAGAAGTCTCCATTTTTATGGCATGTAAGAATGTGCTATATACGTAGTGCTATATGTATATATGCATTCAATTGCAAAGCTTTCTGTGTTCCATTTCCACTATTTCTAAATACTGTATAAAATAAAATGATTAAAATGTCACTGGATCCACATGCATTCCATTTCTGCAATAAGCATTTCTTTCTACAAAAGAGAAATGCTGTTTAATTTCAATGTGATTGTGAATTTTGTAAAATGAGGATGTAATGGCGTTTTACTTAAACTTATAGCATCTTCTGCTCATATTGTATTTCAGAATAGTTCCTTCATAATTAAAGTGTCAAAAAACAAATTTGTAACAAGAATGATGAAATTCATTCTGAATAATCCGTCAGCAAATAATAACCTGCAGTTTCTGCTCTCAAGCAGAATCATTTAATACCTTGCTATCATTTGGTTCCTCCCTCTGTTTTCTTTTATTTTGTTGTTGTTACTCTTAGAAAATAACTTCCTATAATAGCTTAAAACTATTTTTTGGGCTTAATGGAAGTTTTTCTTTAGCTGGAATGTTATATGGTTAGCAAATGTCTCAGTAAATATGTAAACTGCTCTTCCCAGAATCCCCACTGGATGCTTCCCAATCTAGAGCATTTCCAAAACAATAAACAAGGCAAGCAAAGAATGCTTCAAAATAATCAAACTTCTCATGTCTACCCACCCCCCAAACATTGTCCATTCACTTTTCTACTTTATTGATGAAAACAGAAATCATATTGGGTGAAGTATGCCCTATTATGTTGAAATAAAGTCAGGTTGACATTTAAGTGCTATATAGCATATTATGTTCTGAAATGTTGAAGGAGCAGATCAGATTATTCCATTGGAATTTTTTCCTCCTACTATTATGTTTTTATTGTAGCCTTTTGAAAATGACATTGATTTTATGTTTACTCTTTAAAAATTTTAAGTTAGAAAATGTATATTTACATATATATATGCATGCCTGCCAGGGATTGTAATAAAATGCAACTATGAGTAAGCAAGAAATGTCCATCTAAATAACTTAGCCTATATCAAGAGAATTGGTATTCTGTTGGCTTAATATGTCCATACTGTATGTGCTTGAAACTTGGCTTTTGGAGAATTTTTGGATCAGGCACTCTTTGTCAAGATGATAAACATATTTATATAGCACATCCATAGTGTGTTTTTGAATATATTTTCTTTGCATTTAGGTTAGTACAGTATTCAGATGGTAAAAAGCAAGGAACCATAAATTGTTTTATAATCTATCTTAAGATTTTACCCCAATACAGGTCAAGCATAATTGTAAGAGGGAAAAAGAAAATCTTTTTAAATAATTTATTCTTTTTAAAATGCTTGTACCATCTACTGCAGCTGCAAAACCATAATGCTTTCATTAAGAATCACATCTGGGCTGAATTAAAACAGGAGTCTTTCCCAACCCTGGAGTGTTTCTCAGGTTGAAAGTTTTTCTCATAGCTCCTGAAGCTTTTCCAAAAATCGAGGGCTAAGACAGAGAACAGACCTTGTCACGAGCTGGTACCGGGTTTTAAGTACATTCCTGCTATGTTATTCACCGTCTGGCTCTAATTTGGAGGTACATCTCCCTTGTGTTCACTTTATTAAGTTACATATGACTAGCTCTTTTGTTTAATATGGAAATAAAGAAAACAGGGTTTGTCGGAGAATACTGCTGTAGACTGAGGCTCTTATTTTTCCACACATTTCCTTTTTTCTCCCTATATGTTTGCTCTTTAAAGCAATTTTCATAATAATTTTTTAAAAAAATAAATGATATAGGCAATTCATAATGGACTTTGTTTTCTCCTCCATTTTTTGGAACGGATGGGGGAAACTACACAGATACTAATTCATCACATTTTTTCATGTCTATTATCAATTTTGTCTTAGAACTACAAAGAAAAAAATGTCTATTAGTGTTGTTCATGGATACATGATATGAAAATAAAAGTATATGAATTTTGGAGAAATTACTTCAACGATGTATTGTAAATTTGAATAGAATGTCAGTGAAATTTTGAAATATTATGTCATTAAATAAAGAATAGAGATATTTTTACAAAGCTTTCAAAAAATTCTAAGATCTGTTAGGACAAAATAACCCACCAACCAAAGAGAAAGGGAGCTTTAAAAAATGTATTCAGAATATTTTCTGATGACTTGAAAATGTTAAAAGTCCAGATTATTAATGTATAAAATCATTCATCAACTTGTGCAATGCACACAGCTTTATTAAAATCCCACTCTGTTCCAATCTTGGGGCAAAAGGAAAACACAAATTCCATGAAGCTAAAAATATCATAGGGGATACAGAGAGGTGAACAAATAATTATAATGCTTTGTGATATGTAGAAGCAGAGGTAAGTGCACAATGATAGCAATGATTAACTCTGCCTGAGGAGGTCACCTTCGAGCTGGTCTTTGAAGGATGAATAGAAGTTCAGCAGACCTAAAATGTACACAGATTTTTAGCAAAAATCTTTAACTGGAATTACCAATGGATATCCTTTTGAGATTAAGAATGCATCTCACCATTGCATTAATTTAATTTCCACTCCTATTATTGATCCCCAAACTAAGATTATTCCGACAGATCATTTTCCTAAGTGCCTTAATAGTATTAGAAATTAATTATAAGGTTGTTTTGTTTTTCCTCCCTGTATGAAAGTAGAGCTTACTTTCATCAGATACAACAGGAAAAAAACAAATTAGAGTAAAATTTACCCAGATGATACATGAGAATGACAATTTAATTAATCTGTCTGAACCTTAACTTTCTTATTTAAAATGTTGGGAATAATATCTATCTCATGGAGTGATGAAGGTAAAATGAAGTGATTTATTTTGTGTAGTTTTTTCCTTATAATAGGATGAATAAGCATTGGTTGAAACTAGTTCTGGTTTCTAGTTTACTAATGCAGTATTTTAGACTATAATGTAATGTATATATGACAAACATTTATGTTCACAATTGAACAAATGAGTACAAATTGATAATTAGCATGACATAAAATAGATTAATGGAAGAACACAATAAATGATAAAGCCTTCTCTAATTTAACTGCAGACATGTTTAATTTCTTGATGGACAACAAGATATGTTCATTGCTATGATTTATTCTTCCCGTGAAAAACTGTATAAGCTTCCTGAAGTGCAAGAGTTGCATCTTCTATTGGTTTCATAGACACCTAGTAAATATTCCATCAAAGCCTAGTAGCTAGTAAAATACTCCATCAAAGCTTCTGTGTTCCATAGGTGTTTGTTACGTTACTGCCTCTTGTTCTCAAACTCAGACTTAGGATTTCCCAGAGAGCTTTAGCACACGTTTTTCTTGTAGGAAAAATGGAAACCAGAACTTCTAAGTTGAGTCAAGTCACCTGTGTCTATACGTAAAGACATCATGGTTTGTAAAATGTTAAACAAACAAAAGTTTCAAATGTAAAGCAAAAAAATGCTCTAGCACCACTGAGTAATACCTAGGAAATGATATGATCAACCTCCTAGTTACATGAAATATATACATTTAAGAGAATATAGGTTGGAAGCCAGGTTTTATTCTTTCTCATTCACTGTTCTTTCATTGTACTTCTTTATTAGACTGTGAAGGTAAAAGGACCTGTTTTACTTAACAAAGCCAACTAGCTGTTTTTATGGAAATTCTTTTTCAGTTTATAACTCATGTAAATGTCAATGTCAAAGTAACAACTGCGCCACTGGGATAAAAGACTCCTGTTCAGATGAAGTTCTCTTTCCATTAAGATTTACCCTTCATGTTTTCCATTAAGTATTGTCAACTCAGCTTCTTTCTTCATTGAAAGTAGCCAGCTGATGGATGCTTATGTACAGTACAGTGCAGGAGAGGAAAATATTTCTATTTCCATGTGCTTTTAAAATCATTGTATGAAAAATTAAATTTGACAGTATTTCTAGGCAACATTGTTTTATACATGAATTGTGAAATATCTCATTTATTAATCATATTTTTATGGTACTATATATGTGTGTATATATACTCACAAAAACAATTTAATCTTTTCAACGATTCCATTTGTTTGTAGAGGCAAATATTATACTCTATTCAACTTTACCTTGTGTAAAATGCTTGATTTATAAGACTGGATAAATTTCACAGCCTTGCAAACCCAGGCTTAAAAACACACTTTAAAGGTGAGATTGGAAACTAAAAAAATAAGCCCGTAATTTAGAACAATTTATTCGCATGTATGCTTCAAATTTTGTTCCAGCTTATGAGTAAAATACTTAGAATAAAATACTGAAAAAGAATGATTAAAAGTTACTTTCTGGAGAGTTAATTTGCCTTTGGTATAATGGCAATGGGCCTGCAGTTCTATCAACTTCAGTCCTAATAATCAAGTTCAGAACATGACATTTAGAAATGGAATTTCTCTATAATTGAAATTACAAGAAGGTTTATTTCATTTCTTAGTCAAGAATTACATTTTTCCTTTTAACAAGGAAAATCTTAAATACAATCTCTGATTATGCTTGATCAACTTTTGGACTCAAAATGTATCTAATGATGTTTAAAATGATTTTCCATTGGAAGATTGGAAATATCATCAGGAACTATCCATTTGAAAATTAAGTAAAATTATAACACATATGATTTTTTGGAACTATGTTTAATCCTATGGTATATTCATGAGTATTAAATACATCCGTAAAATCATTTAAATACACTTAAATAACAAAAGTAAAGGGGCATATTTTTTGTAACTGCAGGAGTTTAGAAAAATAGTTAACAAGAAAATGTTTTCTTCTTTCTTCAAATTTTCCTAGGATAAGTTAGTTACATACTTAGGATAGAATAAAGTATATTTTACTCTAAAAAGAGAATAATTAAAGAAATTAACCTACCAAATCAAGGAAAGCAGGAAAGCCAAGAAAGGGATTGTTGTAGAAATCCTGCCAAGAGAAGGTGGTAGCTGGATAAACAAGGAAGGACTTAAGAGGTATCTTAAAGTAAATAAACTTTGTGATGTGTTAGATTTGAGGACTTAAAGAGTCGATACAACAACAAAGCTGGCAGCATTGGACACCTGGGAAACCCTGATGATTATGGAAGAAGACCCTCCCTGGGTGCATGGTACTGTGAGTTCTCCCTTTCCCTACCCTCCATCCTTGGTCAGTTGCCAAAGAGAGCTGATTTAAACACCTACATATTTCCCAAATCTGTCCCTATCTGTTCACCTTTACAATCGCCACCTGAAATGGCCTTTGAACTAGTCTTCCCTCTGCTACACAGATTCAAGTTTAAGAACCACAGCACTGAGGGAGATATTCCAATTTAGAAAATCTAGACATGTCACATCATTTCAGTTGGTCCCCAGGGACATCAGGACAAAATCAATTTCTTTTCCCTGACCAAAACAAACAAACAAACAAAGAACCCTTCAGAGTCTCTACCTACTTTCTTGGTTCTTTAATTTCTTGCACTTCCCCAGATACCTAAGGTGATTTTGTAGCTTCTTCCCTATCCATGTGCTACTTAGCTCTTAACACCCCTTCCTCAGCCTTCTCCTGGTTAAGCGCTATTTATCTTTACAGCGTGATTAGAATATTCAAGCATCATCTTTCCCCCCACACAACGCCGACCCTGAGCCCTTCTCCCAGCTGGTCTAGGCACCCTCCTCTGTGCTTCTTTATCTTTAGTCACTGACACTGCATTCAACATAAATCAGGATTCTTTGTGTTTTCAAGATAATGAGCTCCTCAAAAGCAGGGACTATATATTTTGCATTCTGTAAACCCATGCTGATGTCAGACTCAAGACTTGACCAACAGTGAGTGTTCAAAATATTTATTATTGAAAGTATTTAATGCGCTAACTAAGGAATGAGTGACTTGCTGATTAATTACAACACATTTAAGTCAGGGACAATGTGTTTATACGTATTTTCTTATTAGGGTTCATAGGCAGTGCTGAGCACATAAATGTTCAGTACTGTGAAGAGAAGGTGTATTTTGGAGACACAAGTTAGGTCTACATGGCATTTTCAGCTTGAAAGTTTTATTCTGTGTAAGGAAAATAAAATGATGTCAACTTCTGCTGTGACCAGCCCTTTGATTCATTATGTTGTTCTGAGAAGGCCACGCCATTGTTCAGCGCTTTATATTTCCATCTAGAGAAAGTAAACTAATAATTCCAGGTTTATTATTTCCTTAAAATAGTGTAATTAACAAGTTATGTAGTCTAGTTTTCTGAAAAGTCAAGTATCTTTATATATTTTTATATAAAATACATATTTATATAGAACAATATAGCTAAGTAATAGTATTAATTTCCTGTCATGCTCTTATTATTTCAGAATTTCCATCAATCTTGATTGTCTTCCAATGTTTCCTATCCCAGTAAAGGGCATCACCATGCACCAAGTTGCCCCCAACAATCATGATCTTTATTGCCCCTTCTTCATCATGTGTTATATTCATTCACAGAGTCTCATCTACCCTATACCCTAAACCATGCCCACTGCCAACTCCCTAGCCCAGGCCCTCATGTGTTCTTAACTGAACCATTGCGATAGACTTCTGATTCCCAAGCATCCGGTTACACTCTTTTCAAAAATACTGTTTCCACTGTAGTCAGAATGACTTTCCAGTAGTCACAGTTTGTATTACTCTATTTAAACCCATTCAATGGGGTCAATGGCTTCTAATTTCTAAATGGATAAATACCTAACTTTTAAAATCTAACCCTCATCTCTGACATCTCCTCACTTTGTACTCTATACTCTTACTAGATAAAACTTTTTTTTCCTTGAAATTTCCACCCTCTCTGGAGGGTAGATTTGGGCAGATGCTGTTTCTTTATTCTGACACAATCTTCCTCTGTCTTTTCACTGGACTGACATGCACTCATCCTGTGGTTAGGAATTAAAATTTTTTTCTTCCGGGAGGCTTTCTGGTTGCTGCACCTTTAGCCACTCAATCTCAGAGAACCTTGTATGTCTCATTAACACTTAGTACACTTCATTGTAAGTACACTTCATTGTAATTGCTTCTTTTATATCTCTCTTTCTGGATAGATTATAAGGTCCATGAGGACAAAGCTCTTTTCTCAATGCCTAGCAAAATGCCTGACACATGAAATGTACTCAATAAACATTAGTTTATTGAATAAACAAATGCTTAATCAATATGGTGAACTGATTCCACATACGCACAATGTTCTTTCTCTGCATTTAGAAAGACAATATAAGTTAGTTTTTTTAGATAATATTATTCACTTAAGCTGGGCATGGTGGCTCACATCTGTAATCACAGTACTTTGGGACGCCAAGGTGGGAGGATCGCTTGAGGCCAGGAGTTCAAGACCAGCCTGGGCGACATAGTAAGATGCTGTCTCTGCAAAAATTAAAAAATCAGCCGAAGCAGTGGCACACAGCTATAGTCCCACCTTGGGAGGCTGAGGTGGAAGGATCACTTGATCCCAGGAGTCTGAGGCTGCAGTGAACTTGATCAAAGCCACCACACTGTGGCGTGGAAGACAGAATGAGCTAGATGCCATCTCTAAAAAAAGAAAGAATATGTATTTTCTTGAATTAGAAGGATAAAGATACTTTTATTAAATATCCAGTAAAATCTTTGGTTTCTTGCTGGGAATAAAATACAAAATAATGAAGTAATCAACAATCCTTGAATCCCTGTTGCTTAAGATTATAAGTAATAAAAATGACATTTAAAAATTAAAAATAAAGTTAAAAATATGATTTTACTTAAAAGTGACCCAGCCTTTATACAGTGTAGACCCATTATGTATAAAAGCAACCCTGTAGCTTTGAGTAGCCTACACCTTTTTTTTAAAAAAACTAACTTTTAAATCTAAATGCGGTGACCTTGTTTTCTTTTTTCAAATTGAATTTTGCTTAACATGAACTCAAATGCCAAATTATGTTGTGGTGCTCAAACATTCTCCAGTAGTTTCCTTAAAATTCATTCTCACTGGTTTCTATCTTGTTGCAACCTCTTTGACTGGAGTGACTGCAAATTACATTTTGAAAATGACTGACCTCCTTCTTCTGCTAATATTGTTAGAATGAAGCAACAATGGCACCTATCAGGATAACCAAATTAGAACAGTTCACATAAGGCAGACCAGCATACAAATGTACTTATGTAACAAATGTATCCCTCAACAGGAAAATGACAGCCATTCAGATAAAATGCTTTTATTATTTACTTTCAACAAGTATCTATGACTATGGCATGACTGTTGTTGAATCATTTCAATAATCTTGTTATAGGGCTGGTAATAAAAGAAAAAGCACTTCAGTAGAGAGAAATGACCTGCCTCATGACATCTTCAGAGGAACCGGATGACAGTGATATGTAGATTACTTTTCTGTTCAAACAAACAAGAGCATTGCCAGACCTTTTCTAACCTAGTTTATTTCCTTAAAGCACTGACAAGGAAGACAGGAGGCTACTCCTGCAATTTCACCACTGCCAGTAGGTGTAGCAGTTGGTGTAGCTTGACATGGGAAGTAGAAGAGGGAAGCATCTCTGGAAAAAGCTTTATAGTTACCAAAAAATGTAATGACTTCTGCAAAGTCTTCTGTGTCTATCTTCTCCATATAAACAAGCACTGATGAATAATGACGCTTGAAAACATAAAAGGATTTTGACCTTATTAAATTAAGCAAGGACAGATATCTCACTATTTATGTTTATACTTTGCTGTTTGAAGCCTAGTGCATAAGTATTTTATCCTTTAGTGATAGCTGAACGATGGGTGTTTCTTTAACATTCACATCTATACATATACAACTAGGAAATTTCAAGAAAATTAGCCAGTCCTAACAGGTACAGATTGTATCATTTCCCTCTACTCTCCACTGAGGCCATTATTTCTCAGATAATTTTGATGTCCCAAAAATGAGAGAAACATCTTATGTCATTTTTGTCTAACCTTCCTCCATCCCGAGTAATATCACACTGTTCTAATCAATACATAAAATATTGTCACATTGAAAAATTTGAAGTCGAGGACCAGTAGAGATGAAACCAGCCTATCAGATAAAAATCCAGAGCAACAAACAAAAAAGAAGGAATCAGTGATTTTAAGGTTGCATAACTATGTGTTTGTTTCTTCATTCTTTAAAACATAATGGCAACCAACTCAAAATACACCTCAGATTGAACATTTCCCATTGAATTTGTTCTTGAATATTTGTGCTTTATAGCACGATCTAGTCTCCTCATTGTACACAAGAAGTAAGTTAATAGTTGGCAAATTGTGATTGCATTCTCCCAAGTCTCTTCTCTGAATCTGTGTCTGGCTGGAAGGTTAATTAACTGAATGAAAAGTCCTTTCCCAAGGCCGAGTTTACAGGTGGGTGAGCATAGCTTGTCTGTAATGGGAAAACACTTAGCCATATTGCTGTGGGAAAGCAGAATAAGTCCAACTAAGAAGTCAGGGTTCAGCCCTAAGGTTCTCTATCGTATCTCAAATATTTCTCACTTTCTATATTATCATAATGCATTGTTATTTTATAATGCATATTTTATTTTTGCCTGGTAGAGCTATGACTCATAAGACAATGATTTCTCCCAGTATGAGATTTTGAGGCATCTGATCAAGATAAGCCTCACTTAAGGGACTAGATTCCAATAGTGCCACACTCGAAGTCAGAAAACTGGGGTTTGATTTCAAATTTTGCTGTTCCCTGCCTGTATAATCCTAGGAAGGTCACCATAGGCTCTCTGGGCTTCAATATTTTTTCAATGGTAAGATGAAGACAACAGAAATTTTTATGAGGATTAAATGCTATCATTAAGTACATTGTGTAGGGTTACACAAATGGTAATTGCTATTATTATTATTATTACCAAAGTTATTGTGAGAGTGTTAATTCTAATTACATTGACACTGCTTACTGTAAACCAATTCCCCTTGATGGGATTTGTGATTCAAGAAACAGAGGAAGAAAATTAAGGTTTACTGGGCACAACCTTGTTCTACAGGCTGTGGCAGTTGCTTTAGTTCTCATGCATTTTTCACAATACACACCCCCACCCCCAGGTAGATTTTTTGGGGGGATCCTTTATTTACAGGGAAAGAAACCCAGACCTGGAGTATTCAATTTCTTTCCTGGTCACAGATATGCTAATTGATAGAGCCAGGAGTGGGCCTCAAAATTTAAGCTATCTTAATTATGTTCTCCTAAATAATAGCCATTCAAATAGTTGGTGGAAAGTAACATGAATTAAAATGAGATTAAATAGAATAGGCATGTGAACAGCCTTCACTGGAATATTTATATTTCCACCAAAAATGCATTAGAGTCTTGACAAATGAATAGTGGAGAACTGATGGTAGACTCACATTATAAGATGGTGTTCTAAAATATACTATTAGGCATTATTGGTTAGCTTATATTTCAGCTATTTTTTAGCATTAAGCAGAATGTTTTCTCTCAACTATGAACATATATATATGTGTCTGTGTGTGCGTATATATGTATATCTAGAGTTATATATACATACATATATTTGTGTATATATGTATATAATACATATGTGTGTGTATATATACATATCTATGTGTATACATATACACACATATTTACAGGGAAAGAAACCCAAACCTGGATTATTCATATAGATAACTCTTTTTACACATATATTGTATACATATATGTGTATATAATACATATATATGCACACTATATATGTTTATATATAAAACTGTGTGTTTATATATCAGTAAAATATCCAATGCTTCGACACAATGGAAAGTTATTATTTGTACATTCTATTTGTTAGGTGTTAATTACTGATAGGTGCTTATTAAAATTGAATTGTATTAAAATAAAGGTAAGAGATATTTAACATTTATTTTAGTTATTTCCTAAAACTTGAAGTGACTTCGTGATGAAGCTACATGTATAAGGAGCAAATCATCTTATTTTATTTGAAACATGCTGGGTGGATGATTTGTGCAGGAACTGGAGCTTTGAGAATATTTCGAGATTCATGGCAAGTTTCTTAAAAGGTGCTGTGGTCTTTCAGTTGAACAGCAAGAAAATCCATCAAATTCATATCCTGACCTCATCTGTCTTTCTCTAAGGACATGACTTCTTCTTCTTTTTTTTTTTTTTTTAGACAGAGTCTCACTCTTGTAGCCCAGGCTGGAGTGCAGTGGTGCCATCTGGGCTTACTGCAAGCTCCGCCTCCCGGGTTCACGCCATTCTCCTGCCTCAGCCTCCGGAGTAGCTGGGACTACAGGCGCCCGCCACCACGGCAGGCTAGTTTTTGTATTTTTAGTAGAGATGGAGTTTCACCGTGTTAGCCGGGATGGTCTCGATCTCCCGACCTCATGACCCGCCCGCCTCGGCCTCCCAAAGTGCTGGGATTACAGGCGTGGGCCACCGCGCCAGGCCAGGACATGACTTCTTGTAGGAACTCTAACAGAAAGAGCTCTCATCTCCACAGAGTAAACATAATTACAGCCTTAGGAATAACAATTACCTAGGCATGTCCCATGAGCTGGGGATCAAAATGCAAAAGAGATTCCTGAAATGGCCATCATTTTATGACTTGGGATGCTGGTGGTGGCTCAGAATCCTCCTGTCTTGGGATGTGACTTTATCAGTGACATTGCCAGTCGGAGGCTGTCTTCTCCATCCTGTGCCTGTGCCTTCAGTGTCTTTCTTGACTCACTCACCTTCCTATAATTCGTGAGTAACTTGGCTTTTGGGTCACAGTTAACTGTGTTACTTGAATTTTCCAACCTGGCTTTAGAGACCAGCTTCTGGAATGTAATAATGGCTTCTCAACTCAACCCTTGTCCCCTATGCTCATTGCCAGTTTGCACTTGACTTCATTTCTGGACTGTCCTCTTTTGAATTAGGCATCCCAGCCTTTTAGTACAAGGAGGATAAGAGGTAGCCCTGCCTCAACGTATGTTACTGCTCAATAATTTTGCACCTGGACCCACCAGTTAAAAGGAACATATTGAAATGAAAATTATCAATACAGTATATACTGTATATCTTTCTTCACACAAATCCAGCTAAAAATAGTAATTATTATAATTTTTAAAATTACTATCATTTATTGTGCATTTACTTAATAGATTTTAGTCATTGTGTTGAGTGCTTTACCTAAATTAACATTTAATCTCTACAATAATCCTATATATGGATACTATTATTGGAGTAAACCATATGAAACTGCTGATATTTTACTACTTTTGACTTTAAGATTGGTGAATTTCATATGGATAATGCAAATATTAGCTCTATTCGACAGATGAGAAATCTGAGGCATGAATAAATTAACTTGCTTAGGTTACAGTCAGTAACTGGCAGAACCACAAAATGAAATGTATAATGGCTATAACCCCTTCTTGCCCCATCTAATCCATGGTTTTGTAGCACACCAGCTTAACCATATGAATACCTCTCCCCAGTTTGAAATTACTTCTTTGATCAACTACTTGGAGCCAACAATCAGCTGTCAAACATATAATTCCTTCAATGTAAGCAACTTTTACACTGATTGGAATAATTTATGTGGGAAAGAACCATGTAGAGTGGGGCAATTTAATCAACTCAGCAATAAACAAGCCATAGTACTACATTTATTGGTTCAAACTATTTCAAATATTCAGCATGTGGGCCATAAATATAGCACTTATTCTAAAAATTAGGAAAAACAGCTATATAACTTAAACTGAGTGTAGATTAGCCAAGTTAGACTATCCCTAATGAGTGAAACGAAATAACTTTCAGCTATCTCCACGTGTTTATAGCAGACTGTAAAGTAATTTCCCCTTTGTTGAGAACTTTGAGCATACATTTTCTTGTCAGACTTCCTGACCGTACAGGCTGGAAAAGGAGTCTGACTGAGAATTCTGCAGGCGATGCAATTAGTGTGGGGGCACTGCGGTATCTTTACAGAACTGCCAATTAGCACTTAAAAAAATAATTTGCTTCTGGTACAAAGACAAAGTGATAGACAATACATTTGAAAAAGCTCTCACTGTATTTGAGAATCTTACACTTTGGGAACAAATGGGATATTTTCAGGCTCTCAATGCTGGTCCTGCTAAGTCATATGAATTCATTCAAGACAATAGTGTATCTTTGGATGGAACTCATTTGATACAAGGTGTGGTTTTGTTTATAGATTATCATCAAAATTCTTTACATGGGCTAACCATGATTTTCCCCATTTACATGCTATGATGGAGAGCTTATAATTACTTAAAGTAATCACAGCTACCTTTTCTGGTATGCAAATGAACCATGCTTGTCCTTTTTATTACATTTTCTCCTCTGGCCACATAGTATTTTATCTCTTCTCAAGAAAGTACTACAAAGTTGAATCATTCATATGCCCCAAAATCTGATACTCATGATACATCTATATATAAAAATGAGGTTATCAGTATCCTTCACTAACCTGAATCAAACAGTGACTGAAGTGAAGATCCAAAGCCAGATTATAGTGACTGGATCATTATTTGTTCTTATTTTGTTCTTTAGAAAACATTTTTGAGGTCTTCAAATAAGAGTCAGATCAGACAATCCCTCCCAGAGGCAGGAGTTCATTGTAGCTTTACCCATTGGCTAGAAAATGGTGCTAATGAGGTTAGAGTCATGGATTTGATCTCGCATGAGTGGGTGTAGCTATGTTTTGTTCTAACTCTATGCTTCTGATAGCTTTAGTAACCAAATTTGTAGATGTGTGTTGCTGGCTATAGGAGTAGCATGAGAGAGAATTCATGTTTATCAGAAAACATTGTCAGTACTAAAACAAAAGTTGTTCAAAGAACACGTCTTACTGGTGGTAAACATCATCTTTGCTTCTGAAACTTTCACAGCTCATAAACTTCCAGAGTGTTTTTTTTTAAGTTAGGTGATAATTAAAATTTTATGAGAAACTATGAGAATGCAGTGCATTAAGACAAATGAAGAATTTTATAAAGTCTTTATTTTTGAGTCAACCATTAAATCATTCTATTTGAAGTATGTATTCATACTTGAATTTGTAATCTGTTCATACTAATGAATAGAAAAAGTATCTATTCATTAATTTTTACTCCATTATACGTACATGTTTCATTATTGCTTTTTTGAAAAATAAGAAAAAAATACTAAACTCTTCCTTCTTCAATCCCAAAGAGCCTATACTTCAGATCATCTCTGTAATTTTCAATTAAAATACATTCAAGGGCACAAAATTTTTATATTTAATATTTTTTAAGTTACCAAATAATGCCATTGGAATATGAGTACTGTGTACTTGTAAGGAGCTCTGCCTGAAAGACTGATGGACCTCAAGAAGTTGATGCCAAATCTTATACCCCAAAAGTCTGACAAGGAAGGCAAATCAATATTACATCAAATGTAGCCTAATATGTGTTGGTTGTCAGAATACAGGTCAGCTCTGGAATATTTATTTATATTTGTAATAAATAACATCCCTTACTTTCGATGAAATCCAAGTGCTTCTCAAATCTATTGGAGTTAATTGCATAGACAGGAAACCTAGAGATGTCGGAGATCAGATTTCTAATCAAGTGACCATTTCACCAAGCCTTCTTTGATTTTATATAGTTTTAATTAAATTCAATGTTTACTTCAAAAATAGAGCATAATACTTAAGGCTGTGCTCACTGTAATTTATACTAGCCAATACAAATGCCTATTATGGTTTTGTGCAATTTCCTTCAAACCCTACCATGAGACAGGAAATCATTTTTCTTGTTAGATATTGAACCAGGCTTTTGACTTGCATATATCCTCTCTTGGATTGATTCTGCGGGATAGATATTATTGCTCACATTACAAAGATAAGGAAGTGGGCTAGAGATCAGGCAGCCCACCAGTGCCAAGCCCGAATTTGAATGTAGTTTACTGGAAGCCCCACACTCATTTCTCCTCCATGGCATTGTTCTCTCTCTTTGATAGGTCTGGAATTTCATCCAGAACTAGACAGAATCTTGACACTGTCCAGTTCCTATCAACATGCTGCCCCACTGGGCCTGCAGTCTGCTGTGTATTATTAATAGTACAGTCCTGACTGGGGTAGTACAGCGGAGTGAGAATATGTAGCACCATAGTGAAAAACCTAGAATAGGAGTCAGATCTACTTGAATTTGAATCCTAGTTTTGCGCTTATTATAAAGTGTGAAGAGAGATCAATGAAACCTACATGGTAGGTCTATGGTACTTCAAAGCCTGGCAAACAGTGGGTTTTCAATGAATGTTTTCTCCTATTAGTATTTCTAATTAACTAATGATAACTAATACTGATGCTCATTTGACTTCACGTTTTTTCTTCCATCTGAATTACTGCTGCAGTTCCCTACCCACTATTTTGGTCAACGTAAAAAAACTCAATGCTTGCCTGGATCAAACTTTGTTTGCTGTATTTCCTATGCATGGAACAACCTCTGAGGCCAGGATGCTCTCCCCGAGTCTCTGTATTACTGCTGTCTGTGAGTCTGCTTTTCTGGCGGAGCTGTCCTCACCCTACCCACAGGTCTGGGCTTCTAGGCTCCTGCACACCCAGGCCTTGCCTGCCTGATTCATGAGGTTAACCAGCATATTAATGTCCTATGGCTACTGTAACAAATTCCCACAGTCTGGGTGGCTTAATAGAACAGGAATATATTCCTTCACAGTTCTGGGAGCCAGAAGTCTGAAATCAAAGTGTCAGCAGAGCTGCCCTCTCCCCAGAGGCTCTGGAGGAGAACTGGTTCTTTTCCTCTTCCAGTTTCTGATGGCCACCGGGCATCGCTGGCCTTCCTAGGTTTGTGGCTGCATCTCTCCAATCTCTGCCTCTGTGGTCACATTACCTCCTTCTCTCTGTGTTTGTCTCAAAATTCCTTCTGCCTCTGTTTTAGAGTATATGGTGCATTGAGGGCCTATAGGCTAATGCAGAATAAATTTCTCCAATCAAGATCTTTAACTTAATCCCATCTTTTATTATAATAAGGTAATAATCACAGGTTCTGGGTGTTAGGATGTTGACAAATCTTTTGGGGGACCACCATTTGGTCCACTACATCTAGCTTCAAAAAATGTTGAAAAAGAAATGCAAAAAGCTTATTATTTAGTTCATCCAACAGTTATGAAACACCTACTAACTATAATCCTACATAGCATAAGCTACAAATTCCCTCACATGCCCAAATAAGAGAATTCAAACCACACACGACACACACGTGTGCATGGTGCATCCACAGACACATTTGTAGTTTATTTCTCACAACCACATGTTGGACTGAGAAAAGAAATTGTCAGAGATGAAGGGAAGGAAAGAGAGAGAGACAGAACAAACCTTTTCTGTGTCCCTTAGGCTGACAGTCATTTATTATAAGCCCTGGACATGTATTATCTTGGTTATCAGAATGATGCACATTGAAGAATTGTTTTGGTTTTAAAAACAGTCACAATATTAATCCATGTGGACAGCATTTGTGCATGTGAAGCCCATGGATTTGTGCATAGAATACCCTTAACACATTAAATACTGTAGCCCTGATCATTCATTAAACATGTTTTGACAATCGATTATAAATCAAAGCAAGGGCTATAAATCATAAATGTGGAAGTTGATGTTGTATCAGAAGATTCTGGCGAGTGAAAGAAACAAAAAACCAAAAACGAGTCTTATTCATTCTGCCATAAGAACTATGTAAAGAAAAACAAAGCTTTTTTTTTTTTTCTTCCTTTCCCAGAAGAGAGAAAAGAGAGAACTGGCAAAGAAACAACAGTGTAATGAAGACAATTTCTGGGCCACCCAGCTGCCTAATTACTGGCAGCATCTCTGGATTTTTACAGCAGGCCTCTTGTGACACCACCCTTTGAAAAGAAATAATCTTGCATTACAACAAAAACAAACAAAAAATACATATGCCATCACAGAAAAGCAACCCTAAACCTTCTAAGTAGAATAATTCAGCAAAGGATTTCATGTCATGAAAGACAAAGCAAAGAATAAATAATTACTTTGCAATCCCCCTACCTCTACTCTAGTGTTTTGAGAAGCCTATCCCATGTGTTAAGTTGAAACACCACTTTTTAAATTTTAAACTTATTGCAATTTAATCCAGCATGATGAAAGCTTTGAATATCCCATTTATTTCAACATTTTATTTAGAAGGACAACAGTGGTGATATTCACATTGTTTTATGCAAAACAAAATACAAAACACAATGAAAAAAAAAACAGTGGTCTTATGCAGCTAGCACTTATGATGTTCAAGCAGAACGCAGAACTACTGTGGAATTATTTAGCAATTCCCCTAGGTGTTCTTAGCAATTTCTTATAACGAATTCCTTAACAATATTATTAAAACTTGAGAGGAGGTAAATGGGCTATAGCTGTGTCCCTGTGGAAGTATCTCTGAAAAGACAAAGCAACAGTATATGCTTCACAGCGACAGCTAGCGTGTATTAACATGGCTTTGTGTAAGTTGTAGAGCTTGTTGTTTACTGGCCAGATACCCTCTCCAACAGTGCTTACACACATCTGCAATAAATGAAACAGATGTATTTGATTAAAAAAGCAACTCTTGAAAAGATTTTATTTTATTTTTAGAATTGTTGGATGTTGTCTTATCTTGTCATTGGGGAGAGGGTAACCAACCATCTTGGGGCTACTGACTGGAGGAAGCATTGGTGCATGCATTCATTCAATCATGCATTAGGCATTCGAGTGGCCTCCCTGGGTAGATCCTGTGAAGATTCTAGAGTCGTGAAGGTAATTATGATGTACTTTCTATCTGTGAGGAGCTTGCAGCCCAGAGAAAAAGATAAACATAAAAGCAAATTGTTGCTACCCAATGTTAACCTTGCCATATTGGCAGTAGGTACAAGGTAATTAAGCAACGCTGAGGAGGAATGACCGCTTACTAGGAGGACGAGGAGAAAGTTTGGACCTGAGTTTGGGAAAATCACCAAGTAAATGGTTCTAGACAGAGAAGAAAGTATATTTTCTTTGGTAACATACCATGTTTAGTAACAAACACACAGAGAAGGAAGTCTTTCATAGTGTTTTTTTTTTTTTTTGAGACAGAGTCTCACTCTGTCGCCCAGGCTGGAGTGTAGTGGCACTAGCTCGGCTCACTGCAACCTCCATCCACCTCCTGGGTTCAAGAAATTCTCCTACCTCAGCTTCCCGAGTAGCTAGGATTACAGGCATCTATCACCACGCCCTGTTAATTTTTCTATTTTTGGTAGAGACGGGGTTTCACCATGTTGGCCAGGCTGGTCTTGAACTCTTAACCTCAAGTAATCTGCCTGCTTCGGCCTCCCAAAGTGCTGGGATTACAGGCGTGAGCCACTGCGCCCAGCCTCTTGCATAGTCCTTTAAAGCATCCAACCTGTATTATGTGTTGATCTTTTAAAAGGTCAAGTTTCTCAATATCTAATTTTAAATGCCACATATAGCCTGATCCTGAATATACACTACTTGAGAAAGAGAGAGAAAAAAGGTGATATATGGTATATGTCTCCTAAGGATAAGAGGCAGGGCGACATAGAGTTTAAAGAAAGCAACTCTGAAAGAAGACTGCCTTGGTTTGAATTCCTACTTTGGTACTTATCAGCTGTGTGCTCTTGGATAAATTACTTAACTTCTCTGTGCCTTAGTTTCTTTATCTATAAAATAGGGTGATAATTTTATTTTCTACCTCATAGAGTTGTTATGAATAATGCTCTCATGGTGCATAATAGGCTTTTAATTAAGGTTGACTCTTACAATTTTAATTATTCCTAGATTTTCTATCTTGCCAGTCATTCACTGGAATTATTATGGATGATAGAAGATTCTACTGTCTCTTTCGAGATACCAGTAATATATTAGATCTAGTTGGCTTAAATAAACTAAAAGAATTTGTTTTTTTTTTCTGAAGTAGTAACTTTAAGAAGTCTTTATATTTATCAATCTGGTACAATAGTCTATATTTTCTAAGGCAAAAGGGATTAAAAAGTAGGCTGATAAATATAAAAGCTTCACATACTTATCTCATTAGGGATAAAACTTTAATGAGCACTTTCGACCTATGGGGCTCAGTAAAGTTACCACCACCTTCTTTCACTAGTAAAATGAAATCTTGATGCTCACACTCCCAGAAAGTCCTTTCATTCACTAAAATGCATGTTGTCACTCCATGTAGTTTATTGTTGGCCTTGGAAATGAAAAGCTTCACTGCATCATATATCATAGTACAGGCTCTCGGTCAAGTCACGATGTAGGTGATAATTTCCTCAGTTCTCAGGGATCTTCACCATGCTTTCTCCTTCCCTTCCTGCTATCATAAGCTACTTCTGAATCCTTTATTTATACTAAAGCATAAAATAATTGATGCCTATTTAAACTAATACACTGTCCGTGGGTCATTTGCCTCTTTGATAAGTTGCCATCCCTTAGGCCAGGTGTCCACAAACTCTGGCCCTTGGATCATCAGATCAGGGATCCAGCCTGTTTTTGTAATTAAAGTTTGTTTGAAGCACAGACACACCATTTGTTTATATATTGTCTGTAGCTGCCTTTATGCTACAAGGGCAGAGTTGAGGAGTTGAGATGGAGACCTTATGGCCCACAAAGACTAAACTATTTTGTATCTGGTCTTTTGCTAAATCCTTTTCTGATTCCTGCCATAAATTCTAGAGTTAATCCTCAGAGGGGAACTTTCAGCAAGTTAGACATAGACTTCCCTATCTACCCTTTAACATTCTCTCTCTCTCTCTCCCTCTGTGTATGTGTGCGTGTGTGTGTGTTTGACATACACACAACTCCAAGTACACTTATCCCACCTAGTCATAAACTATATGTCTGGAGCTAAATTAAGAGTTGTCATGAGCCAATTGAATGTTCTTAAGAACCAGCTTATTTATTAATATATGGCATGACTACAAATATATTGCCACCATTTTAACGTTTTATTTTAGTACAAAATTGAATCTTCTTTTTTTATATTTTATACTAATGCTAACTCCCTTAGTCTGTGGCCTCCTATAGGGTAGGTAGTGGTCATACTGTCTTCATTTTTGATTCCAGAGCACCCAAAAGGTAAGAATACAATAGATGTGTTTAGAAAATGAATGGAAAAAGGGGCTGGGCGCGGTGGCTCTCGCCTGTAATCCCAGCACTTTGGGAGGCCGAGGTGGGCAGATCAGTAGATATCAGGAGTTTGAGACCAGCCTAGTCAATATGGTGAAACCCCATCTCTACTAAAAATACAAAAATTAGCCTGTCATGTTGGTGGGCACCTGTAATCCCAGCTACTCAGGAGGCTGAGGCAGGAGAGTCACTTGAACCCAGGAAGCAGAGGTTGCAGTGAGCTGAGATCATGCCACTGCACTCCAGCCTGGCGACAGAGTGTGGGGGTGGGGGGTTGGGAAAGAGAAAGGAATAAATATAAACGTTTAATTTCTGTTTTTTTCTTTAATCTAAAAATGGAAAAACACTAGGTATGGGTATAGGTGAAAAACGAAAGTAATTCTTTTTTGCTGAAGGACTATAAGCACCTTTTGACATTATCTAGTAAATCTAAAGATATGGGTTACACGTGACTCAGGAATGATACTCCTAAGTATGTACTCTAAAGGAATGTGTGTCCATGTATACCAGGAAACACATGCAGAAAAATTCATTGCATCGTATTTTATAATTGCCAAAACATGGAAGGAATCCAAATGCCCATAAACAATAGAAAGGGTATGTAAATTGTGGTATCTATAAGCAGTTACAAAATGATAGGTTTCATTTTTATAATTTCTTTACTTTTATTTACTAGATAGATCTATAAAATTTTATCAGTAGTGCGATGACTATCAGTCTCTGAGTGTCATATGCTTATGAGCTTCAATCTATGTGGTAATTGTAGAAATCCTCTTCTAATTGTATGTATAGACTTGGTTTTCAGAGTATCTTGCAAGATCTGACTCCCTGAAAATTTCAGGAGTAGAATTTTACAGTTCAGTATTTTTACATTCATAGTAAATATCAAAGCCAGGATAATCTCAGTTCTGAGTGATATTGATCTCTCTAGTTAAGACAACATTTAAATGTTGCATACTTGGGTTGAACAGGCAGAAATTCTAATCATCATAGCCAAGACAGTTTCTATGATATCACTATTCTTTAGTTATTTCAATTGCTTCATCTCTCTAGAATCACATATATCTTTCTGTAACAGTCCTTTCTCATGCTGCTATAAGGACATACCCGAAACTGGGTAATTTATAAAGGAAAGAAGTTTAATTAACTCACAGTTCGGCATGGCTGAAGAGGCCTCAGGAAACTTACAATCATGACAGAAGGGGAAGCAAACCGCCCTTCTTCTCATGGCAGGAGCAAGGAGAAGTACAGAGCAAAAGAGGGGAAAGCCCTTTATGAAACCATCAGACCTCATAAGAACTCACTCACTGCCATGAGAACAGTATGAGGGTAACCAACCCCAAGATTAAATTACCTCCCACTGGGTCCCTCTCACAACACATGGGGATTATGGGAACTACTGTTCAAGATGAGATTTGGGTGGGGACACAGCCAAACCATATCATTTCATACTTTAAAAATTTGATATATTAGACTTTTAAAATATATACGTAGATAGCCACTTTTAGACAAGATGGAGTAAGGAACTGGGATTACCATTCTGACTGAAACAATTAAGCAGACAAAGTATTAAAAAAATAGTTTCCAAGATATTTGGATATTAGGTTCTCAAGTGAACTCCAAGAGACAGGAAACAAACAGTGATGCTGTGATTTTTCAGCTGATTCTCTTAGAGAGTTTCCCAGCATTGGCTCAGCAAGGGAGAGCCCGGGGCTGGGGGGACTCTTTCAGATTCCCTGAGTTGAGGAGGTGAAACTGAGAGGTTGGCAGTAAAAGTGGCCCTACTTCTTAGGGCAAAATGTAACTGAAAAGTGAGCTGCATGGAGATAAAATTATTGAGATCTGAATCAGGTGTCTTGAATATTCAACAGAGTGCTGATCAGCACATTTACATGAAGAAACTAAGACTGGGAAAAGAATCAAGTGAAATGGTTGGAGGGAAAGTACAGGAAATGCAAACAGGGCTGAAAATAGCCTGCCTCTCACAGCAAAACTGGAAAAACTAATAACTCATAGGACATTGTGTAGTCAGGAGGGTCATGCCTCAGCAGTGGGGAATACTTAGCTCTAGACTAAACACTGCTTCGATCCCACCTACCAAATCTTAAAAGCAATGATCAAAATGTTTCCAAGTAACTTAACTACATATCAGAAACAAAACTGAAGATATTTATAGAAATACAAAAATACTCAGCACCCAACAAGGTAAAATTTACAATGTCTGGCATCCAATAAAAAATTACAGGCATGCAAAGAAGCAGGAAAATGCAACCCATAATGAGAAAAATCAATCAATTGAAACCAACCCAGAACTGAGCAAGAAAGAACCTTGGAACAGTTTTTATAACTGCATTCCAAATATTCAGGAAGCTAAGGAAAAGATTTAACAGGTTAAGTAAAAACATGAATCATATATTTAGATAGATATAGACAGAAACTATATTTTGCCGATTGAGATTAATTAAGCATTGTTAAAGAAAATAACAATAAAAACTACATAAATTAAACACATGGAGAGAAAATTGAAGAAAGTTCTGAAACAATTTCACACATTCTAAAATACATATAGTTTGAGTTACTGAAGGAATATTTAGGGGAAAATACATGTGAAGAAATGATGGCAAAAACAATTCCAAATTTGATGAAAATTATAAACATATGGTTTCAAGAAGCTCTATGAGCCCCAAGCCCAAGAAATGCAAACTACAAAAGAGCACATCATAATCAAGTTGCTCAAAACCAGTAATGAAGAAAAAAATCTTAAAAGCAGCCAGAGAAAAAAACAGCACATTAGGTAACAGAGGAAAAAAGGTAAGAATCAGAACAGATTTTTTTAGGGGTGTCAGAAACAATATAAGCAACAAACAGTAGAGGAACATCTTTCAAATACTGAGAAGAAATAGAACACTAGAATTCTATGCCTACTGAGAATATATTTCAAAAATGAAAGTGATGTAAAGACCTATAAAATTTGATATATTTCATCACCAACAGAACTACACTATAAGAAATGTTAAAGATAATCTCTCAGGCAGAAGGAAAACGATACCAGATAAAAATAAGAATCTGTGCAAAGTAAAGTCTTAGAAATGTTTACTATGTGGGTATATATCTAAGTTACTTTATTATTTAAAAAAAACTCATTAAAAGATAATTGACTATTTAAGCAAAAATAGTAACCATGTGCTGCAGAGCTTGCATCATATGTAGAAATAAAATGTATGACATGATAACATATGGCCAAGAGAGAAGTATACTACTGTAAAGTTCTTATACTATATGGGAAATGGCATAATATCACTTGAAGGCAGACTGCCTACACTATAAACCCTAAAGCAACCATTAAAATAATAAAACAGAGTTATAGCTAATCTAACAAAATAGATAATATAGAATAATGAAAGATACTCAATTGGAAAATAGGTAAAAACTTCAAAAATAGAAAAAGGAAAACAAAAAGCAAGTATAAAACAAAATTATAAATTTAAACCTGTCTAAATAATCACGTTAATGGTTACAGTAGGCAAAATCCCAAAAAGATCCACAAGATACCTCCCCAATAATCTATAGGACTATGAATATGATGAGATAATAAAATCAGGAATTATATTAAATTATATGGCAAAGGGAGATTATCTGGGAGGGCTTAATCTAATTACTGAACTCTTTAAAAGCGGGAGATTTTCTGCTGGGAATCAGAGATTTAAAGCTCAGAAAAATTGGATATGCCATGGCTGGCTTGAAGACTGAGGGGACCATGAGGTAAGGAACCTGGGCAGCCTCTAGAAGTTGAAAGAAGGTCTCGGTTAACAGCCAACAAGGAAATAGGGACCTCAGTCCTACAATCATAAGTGACAGAATTCTGCCAACAACTGATGACCTGGAAGCAGACTCCTTCACAGATACTCCCAGTTAGAGCCCACCACAACCAACACATTGATTTTGACCTTATGGCACTAAGCAGAGAAGCCATCTGAGTGTACATGGACTTCTCAGGTACAGATCTGGGATACAGTGAAAGGATATTGTTTTAAACGATGACATTTTTAGTAAGTTGTTATGCAGCAATAGAAAACAAATACAAGTGTAAGGGTATCAACACCCCCCAAAAACAGAGATTGTTAAGTCAGATGAAAAAGCCAGAACTACCTATATGATGCCTACAAAAAGTGCAATTTAAACATAAAACATTTTACCTTGCAAACACTAATCAAAAGGAAGCTATTGTGCCTATATTAATTTCAAACAAAGCAGATTTTAGAGTAAAGAATAGTGCCAGGAATTTTTTAAAAATTACCTCATAATAGAAAGAAATAAATTCATACAGAAAATATTATAAACTGAAACATGCTCCTAAAATCAGAACTCCAAAATACAAAGAAGAAACCAAAAGGGAAATATTAAAATGTTCTGAACTGAATGAAAATGAAAATACAGGATATAAAAATTCTGGGATTCCACATAGCAGGATTTGGAGGATAATTTATATTATTAAACAAAAAAATTAAATCAATTATAGGACTAAATGTAAAAGCCAAAGCTATAAAAGTGCTAGAAGAAACATAGCAGAAAGTTTTTAGCTCTATGGTTAAGCAAAGATTTTTTAGACATATTACCAAAGGTATAATCCATAAAAAGAAAGTGCTAGTTTGAATTTCATAAAAATTAAAACTTTCTGCTCTTTGAACAAAGCCATTGAAAGAATGAAAGGGAAAGCAATAGACTGGCACGCAGTATTTACAAATCATATACCCGACAAAGGATTTGTATCTCTAACATGCAAAGAGAACTCTCAAAATTCAATAATGAGCTAATAACCCAGTTTAAAAAATGGGCAAAACATTTAAACAGATAATTTGTCAAAGAAAATATATGTGTAACAAATAAGGACATAAAAATATGGCCAATGTCATTAGTCACTCAGGAAGTGCAAATTAAAACAGAAAGGATATACCAGTTAATAGCTATTGGAATGGCTAAAATGAGAAATATTGATCATATTAAGTGTTGACAAGGATGACAATTGAAATTTTCATACCTTACTAGTGGGAACATAAAATGGAACAAATATTTTGACAAAAAAATTGGCAATTTCTTAGAAAATTAAAATATGCCTTCTATACTATCCAGACACTTCATTCCTAGGTAATGAAAACATATTTCCATGTAAAGGCTTGCACATGAACGTTCATAACCACTTTCTTTTTAATAGCTCCAAATTAGAAACAACACAAATATCCATCGATAGTTGAATGTATAAAGAAACCATGATCTGTACATACAATATGTTCAACTTATCAAATTTTACCTTTTAAGTATATGCAGTTTATTATATGTTAATTATATCTCAATTAAGCTGTTAAACATGAAAAGGTAAAAAGGCTTACTTGAAGTAAATTTGAACTTCAATTTCAATAAACTATGAAATCAATAAACAGAACACACAGATATACTTGCTCTAGCACATTTTCTGTCAAAATGGAATCTTGCTGGTGTCATTGGGAGTAGAGTGGATTTAGGAAAGAAATTTACCTTGAGATGTGGATACATTTTCTTAAGAAACTTATCTGCATCTCAAAAATAGCTTTAGGATCAGATGATACGGTAGTTGCTATGGAAACTGCGTATTGGAGGCAGAATCACAGTGTGTAAAAGTTGTAAGTTAAAAACACCTTATAGTATAAATCCCTGCAGTTTCTCTCACTCATCCTCCTGCTTTGGGAAGTAAAAATCACTTCTTAATGAACTTAAGAGTCTTTTAAAAGTATTTTTTCAAAACATTCTTATCTGCTGAGTCTATCTGTTACTAGAACTTAACATCCCTGGGTGCATAAGTTAAAGGTAACATTTTAACTGATGGGAAATGGAGATTTTGCAATTATGAACCATTTACAAGGAACTAGTGTGGAAAATTGCAGGCAACCTCTTTCAGACGTGACCAACAGGTAAAAGACAATTTGATGGTAGTTCAATTTATCCTAATGAATGGGAAGGAAATGGGAAAGCAATTAGGGCTTCCATGAGCTTTCCTGTTAGCTCCACTCAGATTTCATTATTTTCACCACATATGTAAGAATTAGTTTTCCTCTGGATACTTCACATAAACATAGGAATGTACTTAAGATTCATATATTTAAGAAGCCAGCAAAGAACCTGCATTCTTAAACCTTATAAAATAAAGTTGTGGCTTTCTGAACCACAAAAATTTCTCATTGTATTTCTGCTGTATCACACTCCAGTCCATATATTTATTGCAGACTCTAGAGTCACAGAATCTGTAGTCTTTCTGGCTAGACATCAAACGTAGCCTCAATCAGAGATATTTTTACCACTTGGTTCACTTGCTTTAATTATACCAGGTGTCTGGGATATTTTATTTTATTGAATCTACTAGATTTTCTGAAACCACATAAAAAAAGACTATAAAATTGAACTTAAACATGAGCTCATTTCTAATTTTAACAGTTTCAAATTGTCTCTGTTTTGCTAGTTAGGTTTGTTTCATTTTTAGGGGGTAATCAAATTAGAATTGTGTTTAGAGTATTCTGTCTTCAAGTTATTGCTTGTGATTATGGCAACATGAATTAATATCTTTATCTTTCCTCTAGGGAAAATTCAGCCTTACACTTTCAGCATTTGATTCATACTGTGAAGGCAAATTTCACACTGGGAAAAGTGTGCTTCCTTTCTCAGACCACATTCCCTCTAAAGGATCATACTAAAATGTAAACAGAACTGCTTCGAACTCTCTACTAGCTTAACTATCCATTACAGGATGAAGACCAACCAACCACATCCTCCATGATCTATGCAGCTCTTACCTATTTAATTTTCATCAATAGCCAGCCCCTCACTGCATATTACCCTAAATAATCTAAAAACATATGGAATGACGTATTTCCTCAAATCTATCCTGCTCTTTGCCCTAAGACTTTGCACAAGCCCTCTCTGAGAACACTTGACCCCTTTTTCTAAATCTAGAGAATTCCTGAGTGTTTCCTCCTTTGAAGTTTTTTCTGACTTCCTCAAGGAGAGCTCCTCACTCCCACTTACCTCTCTATCTATGCGCATACCTGTATTGAAACATTTACTGTAGTGTATTGCACATATGCATCCCTTTTACCAGACTGTCAACTCTCTGAGGCAGGACTTTCTTACCCACCTTTGTACTCTGTCTAGGAGGGGACTCAGCCCAGGTCATCTACCATCCCTAGTCTGGCTCCCCAGGTAGACATTGTATTAGAAATATAATTGTTAGTTTTCTACTTTATGTGGTGTTTCAGTCAAGGCCACGAGAATGCTAGAATCTTCCCCTATCAGTTTCCCAAGTCATTCTATATTATGCTGAAACAGGAGCAGGACATAAATCAGAGAACTTTAATTGTTATACAAGCACTTGACTCCTAAAAGAATTCTGGTCCAAGACTCTGTCGGAATGCATGGCTTTTACTTAAGGTCTAAGTGAGATCTCCTACTTCCCTCTGACTCTTCAGTGAGAATGCAGTTTAAGAGAACAGAGGCTGAAAATTCAGCCTATGTTTCCCCATCTAGTTTTATGTAATGGTTAAGAACCTTATTAGTGTAACTGGGGGTCCAATCAATCTGGTCTTTCCTTAAAGGAAATAGGAGGATCTAGGCAGGGAAGACAGAGAAAGAGGCTGGAAAATTGACTCCTCCCTACTCTGTGCATTATGAGGTAGCTGCTGTAATTAACAATACAGTCCAGTTAGATTTTTCTGTCATCTCAGGCCACACAACTCTAAGGCCCAGCACTAGATTTCAGTTATTTTTAGTGAATTTGTTGCTGCATCAGGGTAGCAAAAACACAATACAAATAATTTTCAACTGAAAATAATAGCTAATCTTTAGCAATTCTCATGTGTCTGGCACTTATTGTGCACACTTTGTAAAGATTAACTCATTTAATTCTCACAATAATTGCATGAAATGAAAACAATTATAACCACAATTTGGGGACCAAGAAGTTAAGCAGCTTATCTAAAGTGACACAGGTAGTAAATGACAAAACCCAGGTGGCTTGCTCTGCAGACCTGGCCCTTAACCGCTATATACTTACTATAAGGCACATAGCTGAGCAGCTTCTCAGAACCAGCTACTGCTCCAGTTCCTGGAGATGCATGGGGAACAGCTGAGACATGGCATTTATCCTCAGAAGGCTCACAGTCTAATAAGGTGTATAGGTGGTATAATACAGTGTGATGGTAGCACCTCGGAGGTTCCCAAACACATACTTTGAGGAGCAAGTTAAGGTTTGGGGAAGAATTCGAGTTTGATAGGCTGACTAGGTAGGACAGTGTAAGTCAGGAAGGGATTATGGTCCTGTCATTAGCAAAGGCCCTGGGGCAACAGAAAGCATGGCATATTCAAGGCATTAAAGTTAGAAGCAGGAATACTACAGCCCCCTAAGCCGTTTTAACAGGTTTGGATATTATTTTGACATGTTTAGTTTGAGATGCCTGGGGGACATCCAAGTAGAGATTTGTGTCCATAATTCAGAAAAATATTTGGGCTGCAAATATATATTTGGGAGTTATTAGTATGTAAGTGGAAATGTAAACCATAGGGTGGATGAGGATGTGTGAAAAGATAGCATACATTAGCCTAAGTAGCACCCCAAATTAAGGAATGTCAGTAGATGAGAAACTCAGAGGTTGGGAACACAAAGGAGTCATTGAGAAAAAGGAAGAGAAGATGAAGAACATGATACCCGTGAGGCCCTAGGATCCCAGAGCATTCCAAGGAAGAGCAAATGGTCACCAGTAGCCAATGCTACAAAGGTAAGGACTAGGAAGTTTTATTGGATTTAGCAATAAGGTGGTTTAACTAGGTGAGAACAGCTAGAATGAAATGATGGACATGGAAGCCACTCTACAGTGGGTTGGAAGTGAATGGGGAAATGGGAAGTGAAGACTGTAAGTAGCAACAACTTTCTCAAGAGGCTTTTCTACCCATGTGGATCGAGTAGAAGGGAATAAAATGGTGTAGTCCTGTGGTCCATCATCTGAACTAAATTATAATCTTATTGAAAGGAAAGATTATGCCTTCTCTTTCTTTCGCACACAATACTCAGATAGTAACGTGCATTCATTAGATGCTAAATAAACTTGAAGATGGATTTTGTTTTGTTTCGTTTTGTTTTTGTTTTTTAAGACAGGGTCTCGCTCTCTCGCCCAGGGTGGAGTGCAGTGGTGTGACTCTGCCTTCGGGGTTCAAAGGATTCTTGTGCTTCAGCCTCCTGAGTGGTTGGAATTACAGGCGCACATGCCACCATGCCTGGCTAATTTTTTGTGTGTTTTTCAGTGGAGACTGGGTTTTGCCATGTTGCCCAGGCTTATCTCGAACTCCTGGCCTCAAGTGATCCACTAACCTTGGCCTCCCAAAGTGCTGGGATTACAGGCATGAGCCACAGCACCCAACAAAGATGGACTATTGATGGCAATAATTTGTTTTACTAAAAAGCAATATCTAACATATATGATAGCATTTTTACACTATAAACCTATTGGTTTTTTACTATAATTTTCTATACATCCTATGTGTACATAGCCATATTGTAATTAGTATTGATGATATCCCTATGTTAAGAAAATAAACAGAAACTTCACAAATAATAAAATATATTATAAGCAGTGTTGGTGTTAAGAATTATAATGCATTCTTTTTTCCAATTATTAATTTATAGGTAAAGTGTAATTCAGTTAACTGGCATATTTAGTAAAATAATATTTAATTTCCTACCTTTTCTAAGGAAGGGAACTGAACTTATATCAAGATTTTGTATTTTGAGGATTTGGCAGTGAGAAATTTTAGTCAATATAACATAGGGTATGTGTGACTTGAGAAATTACAATGGTAAGAATCCAACTCATAACATATGTCTAAACTGAATCTTAAAATTCAGAGGTTTGAATATTTATTTATAAGGTATTGTTTTTATGAGAAAAGTTGACAGATCTTTATAAATATAATTGAAATCACTTTTATCTACAATGATAGGTAGTTTTAATAGAGTTTTTATGACTTCAGATTAAGTTTTTGGTCAACTTACCCATATATTATTTTCTCCATTGATGTTTTATTCCATTGCTTTTAAAATTAAAAAGAACTAAAAAGCAAAGATATTTGTGAGTATTTTATGCAATCACTTACTAAATTAGGAAATTGCATTTCAGGCAACCCTCTGCTTATTGAAAATTATCCAATACAAACAATAGCCCTGGTTGGAAAGGCCACATATTGTGTTTTTTAGTATGATGATATGTTTATAATTACATTGAGTCAATTGCTTATGATATTTTGGCTTACAGACTAATGTGAAAAGTTACAAGCTAATTACAGTTGACCCTTGAACAACACAGGTTTGAACTGCATGGGTCCACTTACACATAGCTTTTCTTCTACCTCTGCCGTCCCTGAGACAGTGAGCCCAACCCATTCTTTTCCTCCTCCTCCTCAGTCTATTCAACATGAAGACGATGAAGATGAAGATTTTTGTATTAATCCACTTTCACTTAGCGAATAGAAAGAAAATAGTTAATGTATTTTCTCTTCTTTATGATTTTCTTAACATATTCTTTTATCAAGCTTACTTTATTATGGGAACACAGTATATGATAAATATAACATACAAAACGTGTTATGTTATGGGTAAGGATTTTGTTCAACAATAAGACTATTAGTAGTTAAGGTTTGGGGGAGTCAAAACTTATACTCAAATTTTCTGCTGTGTGGGCATCAGTGCCCTGACTCCCACGTTGTTGAAGGGTCTACTGTACTTGTATTTCCTAACAAAATGTTTTGATTATATATAGAGAGTGTTGATTTTCAAAGAATAAAAGTAGCTTAAGCAAAAAAAAAAAAAAAAATTACTGGACCAGTACAGGAGTTCTAAGGGGAAATAATAAAACTATTCTAAGTACTCCCTTACTTAAATTATTTCTCTGTTAGCCAATTTTTGTTACGTTCTATTGTGATAATAAATAGCTCAAAATCTCAGTAGCTTACAACATCAAAGACATACTTTTTGCTTCTGTTATATGCTGTTTCATGTATTTTTTTTTTTTGAGATGGGAGTCTCGCTGTGTTGCCCAGGCTGGAGTGCAATGGTGCGATGGAGGCTCACTGCAAGCTCCGCCTCCCAGGTTCACACCATTCTCCTGCCTCAGCCTCCTGAGTAGCTGGGACTACAGGCACCTGCCACCACCCCCAGCTAATTTTTTGTATTTTTAGTAGAGATGAGGTTTCACTGTGTTAGCCAGGATGGTCTCGATCTCCTGGCTCGGCTGCCTTGGCCTCCCAAAGTGCTGGGATTACAGGCATGAGCCACCGTGCCAGGCCACTGTTGCATGTATCACATGTTCTGTTACATATTAAGCTCTGCTTCATATATCTAAGTTGTTTTTCTTTTCTTTTTGATCACCCTACTAAAGTGGTAGCCCCTATTTTAGTTTCAAAGCAAATAAGAGAAATATCTTGTATTATTTTGTTTTCATGCTGCTAGTAGAGACATACCCAAGACTGGGTAATTCATAAAGGAAAGAGATTTAACTGACAATTGACTGACAGTTCAGCATGGCTGGGGAGGCCTCAGGAAACTTAACAATCATGGTATATAAGTGGAAGCAAACATGTCCTTCTTCACATTGTGGCAGCAAGGAGAAGTGAAGAGCAAAAGGAGGAAAAGCGTCTTATAAAACCATCAGATCACATGACAACTCACTCACTATCATGAGAACAGGATGGAGGAAGAGTCCTTCTGCTGAAAATGACTCTCTGCTATTGAAAGTGCCCCAGGCCAGGCTGAGTGCTGTGGCTCACTCCTGTAATTCCAGCAGTTTGAGAGGCCAAGGCCAGAGAATCACTTGAGCTCAGAAGTTCAAGACCACCCTGGGCAACATGCTGAGACTCTGTCTCTACAAAATATTTAAAAAATTAACTGGGCATTGTGGTGCGCTTCTGTGGTCCCAGCTACTCAGGAGGCTGAAGTAGAAGAATTGCTTGAGTCTGGCAGGCCTGAGGTTGTGGTGAGGTATGATTGTATCACTGCTCTCCAGGCTAGGTAACAGAACAAGACCCTGTCTCTAAATAAATAAACAGATAAATAAGAGAAAAAAGTAAAGAAAGTGCATCAAAGATCTGGCTAGAAAACAAAGAATTATCAGAGGCCAAAGTAAAAGGTAAATTAAAGTGGGAACCTAGTATGGTGAGCAGAGTTCATGTTCTGAGGGTGCTGCTAAGCCAAACCAACTTTCCCAGATTTTTAGGGTGTCATGGGGGGACAGGCAGAGGAAAGAGCCTAGTCCCACCTGGTAGAGCTCAGCATAGGGAGCACCACAGAGTCCGCTTTCAAGTAAGGATGACACAGCCCCCTGAAGACTGAGAAAAGAAAGTTGCCTATTTTGACATTTCCCAGTGGAGGGGAAACATATTTCTGAAGAATTGGTAATCACTTCTTCATCAAGTTTGTAGGAATAGCTCACATCGATTGGGTTAACTAACAAACCTCTTATTCCTCATGCTTCAACATGGTCTGTCTGTTCTCTGGTTCTACGGTTTGTCTTCATTACTGTACTCTCCATCTTCTGTGTCTTAAATCCTATAGTGTGTCCTCATTCTTGCTTTACTCCCTCATTTTGCTGAAGTGTATCTTTCAGTAATTTTCTAAGAACCAATCATTGAAAGTATATTTGCCAGTCTTTGTTTGGCAAAGACGACTGCTATTTGTTTACCGAAGTCCATTTCCTCTTCTTTCTAGGTATATGGTTATAATTCTCATCTCCCATGAAGCTAAATTATGACCAATGGAATGTGCAAAGTGATATGCCACTTCCAGGTCTGGCTTGTAAAAGCCTCTCACGTGTGGCCTCTCAAGTTCGTTCCCCCTCTGTGTCCTCTATGTACTTGTTGGAGGTGGCAGGGCCTTTTTGGTCTGAGTTCCCTGAGTGACCACATGAAGAGCGACATCTAGTAGCATGGATTGTTACCATGGTCCTTTAGAAGAGCAAGAAATAATCTTCAAATACACACACACACACACATTTGTTTACATATATATATATATCATAATAGTATTCCTTTATTTTAGCATATGCTGTTATCCTACTAATGTTATATACTTTGCATGCTTGCAAATATCTTCATCTTTACATTTCAGCAATATATTATACAACATTTTAGGTGAAAAATATTTTTTTCTTTAGAATGTTGAAGATCTGACTACATTGTCTTCTAGGATCCAGCATTGCTGTTGAGGGGTCTGATGTTATTTGATTTCTGTTCCTCCTTTGGAGACTACTTTCTTTCTTCTGGGAGCTTTTCTTGTAGAACATCTAATTCTGAAATTTCAAGGTGGTATCATTTGGGTTCATCTTTTTATTTTATTCGCTTTTTTGGGTACTTAGTGAGCTAGTCAAATTTAGGGGCTTATGTCTTTTACCTTTAAAATTGTTTATTGAGTTTTATATGTGATAATTCTTTCCCCTTTATTTTCTTTGTTCTCTCTCTAGAAATATTACTCTAAAGATATTGGAAATGTTTATTACTTTTTCTTTTATATTTTCCATATTTTTGACTTTTTGTTTTATGTTCTGTGAGGTTTACTTGAATTTTTATTTTAAATATAATTTTCTATATCAAGATTCATATTTGGTAGTTGTCTAAAGTCATTATTTTTTTCCTATTCTATTTTCCAAGCATCCTTCTCCTCCTATTATTGCCCTGGTAGATTAATACAATTTGAAACACATTTACTATTCTTTTAGCAGGGCTTTGGTAGAAGAAATAAATCCATAATCCATCTGATATATTTGGTAAGGAGATCTTTATGAACAAAGTATAAGGTAAAATACAACTAGAAATTGGGTATCACTGAAGCCTAGTGATGTTATGTTTACAACGAGGTAATCTCAGTATTTATACTGCTTAGGGCCACTCACCCAGACAGCTCCAGGGCTATGGGAAGAGCCACAGTAAAGCTGTGGACAGTTTCTCTTTGTGTTATCTAAGACATCCGGTGTCAGGCCCTTCATGGGTGACATTAGTTATGCATAATAACCTGTATTAAGTTCAGAGAACCAAGCAGCAGTATGCCTGGCTTTTAAAACTACAGGCTGTAAAGTCTTGAAGAACTTAGTTCAAATCCTGCTCTGGTATTTCCTAACAGTGAGACTTTGGTTATGTTTCTTAATTTCTCTGAGCTTCTGAATTCTCATCTGCAACATGGAGATTAATTATTGTCCCTACTTCCTAGGCCTGTTGTGAGGATTAGTTGAGATAATGTGTGTGATATAGTTAGCACAGTGTCAGGTATAGGAGGTTCTGAATGAATGACAGCTATTATTATTTTAATGGTACATAATTACACATGAACACAAGCTGTAACATTCCACAAATTGGGATCATCTAGAATGAATTAAGATATGCATGTGCTCTTGAAATGAAGAAATATAATAACTATATAAAATATTACTTGCTTACAATAAGTATTTAAATTTGTAGTGAAAGAATTCACCAGAAAAAAGAGGCTGGAAAGATTTATTCAAATTTATAGGTGTGCCAAGGGTCCTGGAGAGAAGCTGAAAGACCCTTTACTGATATATATAATTTATATAATGTGAAGGCTTAAACCTATTGTAAGTAAATAATAAGTTTTGATAAATCATTTTTCTTTGATTTCTTCTTATTTTAATTTCTATTAAACTTGGTTTCATTTTTTTATTCACAGAAGTAAGCAAACATTTTCCTCTAATTCAGATTCTTTAAACAAAAGTTGCAAATGAATGTAGCCTTCATCTATTGTAAAATTAAAGGTAGGTATTTCATTATATTAACACTCTTCTCCTAGTATAACAAAAATAGAAGGATGTATTATATCATAATTACACTTTAATAACCTTTTTCTCCACTTTAATCTCACATTAAAATAAATGAAACATTTTAAAACACTTCTTTAAGCACAAAAGAAGAGAAGATGTAAAATTCCGTTTATTACCCTGAATAAACTGTGTTCCCACAATTGGAGCCATGTCAGGGGTGAATATTTTTAAATGTTTTTTCTGGAAGAGGCTATTTTGAAGCCTTGAGGGTTGTGTAGGCATCTAGAAGCAACAGAACTCAACTACAACAAATGAAGCCTTTATTATTTGTGTGTGTGTGTGTGTGCGCGCGTGCATAGGAGTGTAAAGCTTATACTTTGAATTCCTGAATAATATTTAATTGTATGAATATAAAACATTTTGTTTATTCTTTTGTTGGTTGATAGACATTAGAATTGTTTTCACTCTTTGGGTATTATGAATAATGTGATTAATGTTGCTGTGAACGTCCATGTACAATTCTTTGTGAGGAAATGCATTTTTATTCCCCTTGGGTAAATATATTGAAGTATAACTACTAAAATATATTGAAGTACAACTACTTGTAGAGTAGGTACGGATACAACTTACTAAAAACCTCTCAAATGTTTCCTAAAGTTCTTAAATTTTCACCCTGCCAGTGATGTCTGAGAATTGCAGATCTACCACATCCTCCTCAATATTTGGTGTTGTCAACACTTTTTATTGTAGCCATTCTAGTGATAGGAAAGGGAATCTCTGGTTTTGATTTGCATTTCCATCATTACTAATTGTGCTGAGAACTTTTCATGTGTTAACCATTGATATATCTTCTTTTGGATGCTAATTCTTTTGTCCATTTGTAATTGATCATTTGTGGTTTGGTTAATTATGTGCAAGAGTTCTTTACTTACATGTGAAGATTATAGATATATAATTTGAGAATACTTTCTCCCAGTCTATGTCTTGCCATTTATATTTTTATGGAGTGTTTTTAAGCTAATTTTGTTGAGGTAATGTTTTCCAGTTGAATTTTAATTTTGATGAGGTCCATGTATCTATTTTTATGTTAATATTTTATGTTAATTTTATGTTACTACATGTCTTTTTAAAGAAATCTTTGCCAAACGTAGGGTTACTAAAGTGTTTTACAATGTTTTCTTCTAGAAGTTTTATAATTTTTGCTCTCATATTTAGGACTATGATGCATTTCAAATTAATATGTGTATAAGGTGTCAAATAAGGATTGAAATTCATGTTATCCAGTTATTCCAATAACATTTGTTGAAACAATTTTCCTTTCCCCATTGCATTTAACTTACATCTTTGTCAAAAATTAACTGCCTGTGTATATTTGGGTCTGTTTAATTTATTTTCTGTCTGTCTTATCTCAATATCATATTGTCTGGATGCTGTAACTATAAAAGTAACTTGGAAATCAGGCATTGTGAATCATTCAAGTTTGTTCTTTTTAAATATAGTTATAGCTATTCTAGGTCTTTTGCTTTTTTATAACAATTTTAAAATTAATTTATCAATTTCTTTAAAAACATGCCTGTTGGGATTGTACTGCATCTATGGATTAATTCAGGAAGAATCGATGTGTTAACATTATTGAATCTTCTACTCTTTGAACATGGCATTATTGCATTTATATAGGCCTCCTTTAATTTCTCTCTGTTTTTTATTGTAGAGGTCTTTCATATCTTTTGTTAATTTTATTTTTAAATATTTTATGGTTTTGATGTTATAAGTAACATTGCTTTGGAAATTTTATTATCCAATTATGTTTTTCTAATAATGTGTAGAAATAAAAGTGGTTTTTAAATATTGATTTTTAATTTTATCACATTGTGAAGTTCATAGATTAGTTCTCCTTAGTAGTTGTGTTGAGGATTCCTTAGGATACTCTGTATTGTCTGTGAATAGAGGCAATTTACTTCTTCCTTTTCATTCTTTATGCATATTAGTTCTTCTTCTTGCCTTATTGCACCCTCTAGGACAACACTGATGAAAGCAGGCCATGCCAATCCGATCCTCAAAACCCTTGAATGAATCTTTATAAAACTTAGAAAATAATCCAAAGTCCTTGCCTTAGCCCACCAGATCTGGTCCTAGCTCCCCTTTTCTGTCTGATACCGCCAGTGGTACGGTCTAGTGAGTCTGGCCTTTCAGATTCAGAAGGAGCCACACTTCCTGCTGCTGCAGGGACTTTTCTTAGGTTTTTGTCTGTGCCACCAACTCTTGGGCTGCTTGGCACTCCCTCCTCTCTTCTGAGATGCCCAGAGCTATTTCTCTGACCACCCTATCTAAAGCAGAGAGGCTATAGTTTCTGCAGAACATGTGTCTCAATTTGTAAGTATACATTTACTTTCTTGTGTAACTGGTACACTGAACCTACAGAAAGCATCTTGTTTCCACTGTCCCTTTGATTTGTTAATTTTTTCTTGCTTCTGGACAAAAAATTTGACAGAATCCATATCTCTTAAATGATAAAAAGGACCTGTGATGATCATGTTAAGGCACAAAACACAGATTCAACTTGGTACCGTCAGCTCTCCTTACACACAGCCCTCATGCCTCTCCTTCACCTACCTGCTGTGGCTCCTGACCCTAACAGAAATGAGGCTGATGATTGTGCTGGGAAGGGAGGAAGGATGAAAGACAAGGCAGCAGTGTAGTCTTCACTGGCTGGTACTGGGATAAGAGAACTTCATGGTTTCTGGGCCTGCAAGAGGCTTAAAGCGGACTCTTTCTTGGGCTCTTTATTTTTTTTATTTTTTTTATTTTTCAGGGTCTTCCTCTAGGAACATTCCCTGAAAAGTCAGGATTAGGGTGAGGAAAGTGAGGCAGGGATATGTAAGTCCAGGGTTGAGAACTGTCTTAAAGAAATAATATTTTGTTCATCATAAATTCTTTGGCATTAATTCTGACTTTTTTTGAAATAGTGCATTAAAATTTTACTATCTTGGTTACTGAATTTTTGCTTTTTTGTGCTCCTTAAATTTTGTGCCTGAGGTGAGTATTTTATTCACATCACCTAGTCACAAACTTGCACTTCCTGTGACATAGGAGATTCATTTTTCTTTTGCTAGTCACACATACTTTAGCTCCTCCTACTTTTTCTGCAGCACATAAAATATACCTTTGGGTTCCTGTCAGCCTTCTAGATTGTCCTTTAAGGTAGAATTTAAAACAGCTCCAGGCCAGTTCTCCCACCTTCTGCGTGCATCTGGTGCACTGCAGTCTCAGTTTCCTTTGCTGGACAAATTCTGGGAGAACAGACCAATCCAAATACAGAATCAACTCTTCTTTATTCTGTTATAGAAACAGCTGGCTGGCCTGTTTCTGCAATTTGGTTTTCTAGGTTGTAGTTAGACATCAGCTCATTGTATCTGAAGAACTAAGATAAGGGGCAGCCACACTCAAATGCTCACTTTTTTTTTTTTTTTGGTCTGGGGGACTCATTGCATAACATCATTTAAAGGAACCTTCCAACAACGCCATTTCCAATCTCCAACACCATGGTTTTCACTGTGGATGAATGGTCTTAAGGGTGAGGAAACTGGCTGAATCACTTATGTTTTTATTAAGAGATGCTTTATTCATTAGTCATCAGGAAAATGAAAATCAAAACAACAATTACATACATTTTAAACTCATAAGATTGGCAGAATTTAAGTCTTGCAATATGAAGTGTGGGCACAAATTAATATGACTCTTCTGTGTTGTTGGTGGAAGTATAAGTTGGTACAAGCATTTTGGAGAATGATTTGGCAATATGTAGTAAATTAGAAGATGTTCATACTGTAATGCCAAGCAATTCCATTCCTGTGGATGTGTCTTAGAAAACTCCTTGTGTATGTGCACTTGTATATTTGCACAGAGAAACAAGTATAACAATGATATAAGAATATTCTTTGTAACATCATTTGTTATAGGAAGAAATTAGAAAAAATGTTGTCCATTAACAGAATGGCTAAATTAATCATAGCCTAGTCATCATGCAATTCTGAGGCTGGCATGTGGTATGAGCTCAATAAATTTTAGTCTTATACTCTCCACTTAGCATCAAAATATGGCTAAATCATTTATTAATTCCGCTTGTGATCTAATACAGCCTGTGAAATGCAGCATTTAGTAGTTAAAATTCCAGTGTGATACCCAGTTTTTCTGCCTCTCCATTGAACCATAAACTTCATGAAGGCAGAGATCATTTCTGTTTTGATCACTCTTCTATCTCCTGCACCCAGCACATTGCCTGGAAAATTTCAGAGACTTCATAAAATTTTGTTGATGGAACAATTGAGTAAATGTATGAACTCTTTTTCCATAACTGTTGTAAAGCGTATCCAAAAATAACAAGCTATTTCATATATTTTATTATTTTGTAACAACATAAATTCTCACTTTGTAATACTAATGAAGAGTTAGGAATACAGAGTGGATCATAAAAGACTTTGGGAAAAAGTAAGATGCATGTGATTCAGCAAACATCAGTAAGAAACATTCAGTGAAATGAAGTCTTGCTTATATTCTCCAAGTCAGAACATGAAACGCTTTAGAAAATAGCATGGAAGTGGCTAGTGGCAGGTTTTCACTGTATTCTGCAATAGCCTCTGCACCTCTCTATCCTCAAATGATAAACCTTATTCTCTGTGGATTTACCTGGATGAAAACCAATCAGTCAACTGTACAAATACTACAAACACCTGCACATCAGAAAAATTTAACAGTGCCAGCACCAAATAGTTCTTTTAGTTTATCTCAAAGAATGTTCCCAGCTAATCCTCTCTTGGGGACATAGATAAACACTCTGAAGCTAATACAGTCTTAACATAAATTAAAAATAATGCAGAAAAGACATTTTAGAGAATACAGTATTTTGTTACCTTTGGATTTCTATTCCCATTTTGTGAGTCTCATTGTTGAAAAGAAAACATTTTCATATTATTGTTCTGAAGAGGCCAGTAACCTCAGCACTATACACTGTGGTAGATTTTTTCCATTTTCCTCCCTTGGTAACAACTTAGAAAACCCAGATGCTAAGCTATGGAAGAGATTCCCACAAAGCACCTGGCTTCTTGGCAGATACCTCAGGTAGCTGGGCTGGTAGCTGCTTTTCCATCTGAATTTTTAAAAGTTGGTTTTAGATCCAAGATTTACTTCTAAATTTAAAATAGCTAGATTCTTGTCATATTGTCATTTTAAAAAATTGAAATTGTAGTGAAATGTTATCCAAGTAAAAGTTATATGTAAAAGTATATATTATTGTATAATATATCATATAAACTATGATATATAGTACAAATAATATATTATTTGCCTTTTAATATATTTTTCCTGGGTTTACTTGCATTATAACTATAAAAATAATTCCAGGGTTATATTTTCAATAAATATGTTTCTTCTTATAATAATCTAAAATAGCCATTTTCTCCAACATCGCTTCTAAAAATACTAATTTAATCAAGCATCTAAGTAAGAGACAGCTCATTTCAGAAAATATCCTAATTAATTACTGATTGCTTATATCCTGCCTAATCTAGAAATGATTTGAAATAATATGATACAATTTACAAGTTCTCTTTTTGTGTATCTCTCCCAATGTGAGAACAGTTTTTTACTTATCTTTTCTATGATTTCCAGTTTTTTTCTGCTCATTTCTAAAATTCTGCACCAATGCTATTTGAAAGGCTTTTTGTTAGTAACTCCATTTATCTCCAAAATGTCTTGACATTTTTAGTGACTCTTTTTACTATAACTCTGACAATGTTTTCTTTTTATCTCATCTATATCTAAATTTTGATTTTTTTTCATTTGTTATTTTGTTTGAAATTTATTTTTATTTTTCTTTGTCCCTACCACAGTTTAGTAATACTACCTTCTAAAGCCACGCTTAACTTTCTAATGAGTGTTTAGGTTTATGTTTTACATAAATAAAGCCATGTAATGTAAATTTCATAGATTTTTTTTCCCAGAGCCTAAATGGTGTATTTCTAGCACATTTCTGTTGTCCTGTATTTCAGATAGTCTCACTCCAGAGCATCTCAATAACATAAACATATTTGGTTAGATGCAATAAAGATTTGCTGTCTAACTGCATCCAATTGGAATCTTATACTCTGTAAAGTAAGAAGAAATTAATTTGAATGGTTATGTAACTTCACTACTGAGTTTGCCTCTTCCGTTTATTGTATGTTAGCAATTGAATGTTTGCCACTGCTTCTTACCATTAAACATCAACACATAACTGTTATTATTTTTTAAATGAGGCAATATGGTGATTGAAAAAAACCCTCTTATCTTCTGGCAATAAAGAAGCAAGATAAGAATATTCCCCAAACTGATCAAATTGCATCTGGAAATAGGCCATCCCAAGAGTAGAAAAAGTAGGAAGAAGCACTAACAGGGCAAACAGTGCAAATACCAAAAGATTGGGCTCACTTTGTGTCTAAGAACTTTCCAGAATAAACAACCTAGCTTGTGTAACCACTACCCACACCAACCTTAGTCCTTCTTTGTGGTGTAGAGCACTCAAAATGCCTCAAACAAGCACAAAACGTTATTGGATTGATTTGTCGCTGTTACCAAATGCTCATAAAATGTATTTTAAATATCTAATCTTTAACTTGACATTATTTTGTTTTTTAAAAACACATTCTGAAGCTCGGAACACTGAAGGATGACTACGGTTGTGAAGTTTCACCTTGGGCAATATAAACGATGAACTGTCATTTGGTATCTTTGACTCTGATTGAACTATGTGGCCTTTCTTGTCTGCTTTCCTCAAACACACTTTAGCTTTTTTTCAGTCACATAATAACTTTGCGTAGCTTGTAAGCTAAGAAGTCAATCCAAGGTTAAGCTGTTGCTTGACAGAGAAGAAATAAGTAATTCAATATGAATGTTGTGTGTGACAAGGGCATGTGATTTCAACAAAAGCGATTGGGATATGTGATATAGATCGATTCATATTCCAGAATCTTTGAGAGTCCTAAGACTAACTGAAGCAGATCCTGAGAGGGAGCTGTCTGTAATGCTGCTTTTTGGTTTTGGAGATCAATGTCTATGCTGGTGGTATGGCTTGCTATAATCAGGCATGTGAGCACCCGTATTGACTCTTTTTATTGTTGCTGTTTGTTTGTTTTTTGAGATGGGGTCTTGCTCTGTCACCCAGGCTGCAGTGCAGTAGCACGATCCAGGCTCACTACAACCTCCACCTCCTGGGTTCAAGCGACTCTCCTACTTCAGCCTCCCATGTTGAAGTGACTCTCCTGCCGCAGCCTCCCAAGTAGCTGGGATTACAGGCATCTGCCACCACTCCCAGCTAATTTTTTTTATTTTTTATTTTTAGAGACAGCGTTTCACCATGTTGGCCAGGATGGTCTGGAACTCCCAACCTCAAGTGATCCACCCCACCTCGGCTTCCCAAAGTGCTGGGACTACAGGCATGAGCCACCACACCTGGCCCCTTATTGACTCTTAAAGCATTTAAGTTGTCTTAGAGAATCACAAAGACAGGAGAACCTTGAAGGAAAGTTAAATAATAAAGTATAGATAAACAAATCTACACTTTGAGAACTATAAATTTGCTACCCTTTCTAAGATCTTCCTGAGCTAATTGTGTTCCGTAGGTCTATAGATGCATGATTTGATCAAGTCCCACTTATTTAGAGAGGGCGATGGTGCTGTGGAAATTAAGTATGTTTTTCATATTTGTGTCACAAATATGTTGTGAATATAGGCACGCATGGTTCTGTCAGTAAAAACGTTTAAAAGAAAATGAGATGCTATGCTGCAATAATTCAACTTGGAAGGGAACCATGTCTTATCTGTCCCTAATCAGCAGCTAACATTCACAGAAACCTGAATCCTGAAGTAGAACTCATCATTTTCCTGAGACCTCTTTCCACATTTATTTGATCTTTTCTCTTATTTTCGAATCCCTTCATTTCCTTCCCTGGAATTTATTTCTGTCTCTGCATTATATTTCTATGATCTTCCACTTTCCTTTTTTTCCTCATTGTTTGCCTTCCTTAAACTCAATAGGGAACTCTCATGTGTTCCTATGTGTTTTATTGTTGTTACAGTAATGATGAAAATGATTCTTAGTTCACTTAAATCTAAGTGATATTATAATCCTTTTGAATTATTTATATAATTTTAGTAAGAATTCCAATTAATTTTAAACAATTTAATGATTAAGATATATTTCCTTTGCTTCCAATATTCTTCATAATGCTTGCCATTTCTCTAACCGTTGCTGCCAGATTTTTAACTATACATTTCTTTACAACTTAATCAACATAATTTCACATAACATAAAATTCCCCTGTTCAAAATGTACAGCTCAGTGACTTTTAGTATATTCACAGGGTTGCGCAAACACCACCACAATCTAATTTAGAACACCTCAAACTCCCCCAAAGAAACACACATGCATTAGCAGTCATCCCCCATCCCTACACCATCCCAGCCTCAGGGAACTCCCAGTCCTTCTGTCTCTGTAGTTTGGCCAGAGATTTGGATATTTCTTAGGAATAGAATCATACAACACATGGTATTTTGTGGCTGGTTTACTTAACATAATGTTTTCACGGTTTATCTTCTTTGTAGCATGTATTAATACTTCATGCCTTTTTATAATACAACAATAATTTTACATTAATAATGTACAAATAACTTTATAATGTTGTTATACATCAATTCTGTCTCAGTCACATAATAAGGGTCAAAATGATTTAAGGAATATCTTCACTTTTAGTGATGAAACAAAGTATATGAATGTGTATCTCCTAATTCTAATGAATAATTATCTTATTATCTCAACGGGTAATTAAAGAAGGAGAATAGATGTGTTCCCTTCTGCCGAAACCAGCTTTCTACTTTTTGTCCACTGAGTTTCCTCACCTAATATTCTCCTCAAACTTATTGTTTTAGTAAAACATCCCAGATCAGACATACATTTGTAAGTAGAATAGCTGATATCCTTTTTTAAAAACTTCTGTCTGTTTATAACAAAAATTTCTCTGTGTTGGGAAGAAATGGAAACATATATCTGGTCTATTTCTGTCAGGATGAATTAGACAGCAGAGAGATCTCAACTATTAATTTGTTGTAGCACATAATTCAAATATCAATTGATTAAATCCAGCATTCAGTTACTCAATGAGCATTTATCAATCCTGATGCTCTCATGGAATCAGTTTTGTATGAAATTAACTTTGTGTTGGATGATAAAATTCAAGCTTAAAAATAAACCATAACAAAGACTTGTTATAAAATACCAGATGCTCTTTTCAATTTTTGGTTCTGAAATGGATACATGTCAGCCAAGGCCAAGAGAAATTTTCTCCAGCTATATCAAATTTGTCCAGCTGCAACCCAATAGATGCTTTTTTTTCATAAGGTTTTTCTATTTGGATACAATAGTTTTTTTTTTTTTTTTTTTTGGTTTGTCCCTACAGTCTGAAGTTAGGCAGAAGAATCAGACTTGCTGTCTTTCTCAGGTTTAATGAGTTTGCAAGTGTACAGGAACAATTAGCATGTTGATGGCAACACCAGATCAGGAACCAAGAATAGCATCTAAAAATAGAGAAAACTAAAAATGTTTTCAATATGGTGGAAGATTGATTACATTAATGGCCAAATCTGCCATGCTGCCTGTAGCTACACCCATTACTGTATAACTGGAATGTCTCCTCACTTCTGGCTCAGGGTTTGATCACATGACTTACTTTGGACAAGGGGATGATAGAAGATGTGATCTAAGCAGAGTACTTCTGCTGGCACTCTTCCCTCTGACATCACCATGAGAACGTGGCCACATGACCAGGTAGTCTGCTGGAGAATGAGACATGAGAAAAAGCTACAATCTACCTAGTTATGATAGAACATGACACTCACTATTAGAGACGTGGGCAAGCTCATCCAGTAGCAGAGGTTCCCAGCCAAGTCCAGCCTAAATTTCTGACCCACAGACTCATGAACTTAATACACATTCATTAGTTTGCTAATAAGTTCTTGTGGTCCTTCATAATGTAGCATTATCATAGTAATCGATAATTGATACATATATAGATACTCAAAAAATCATCATACTTATTGTTAATGCTATCAGAATACCTTCTAGTCTATACAGTAAGGCAGGTAGAATTTAGAAATATTTCATATGCAATAATGTCAAATTTGTCTGTTATCATGGTGAATATCATGTTGAGTTTTGGATGAGGATTTCTTCAGATGATTGAAACTTAGCATGTAAACACATTAATTAACTTAAATGTTTAAAAACGAAACTTTGTGTAAGAGTTGGGATACTTATCTAAATTTTGTTAAAGGAAGTACTTAAAAATAAGTGTTTATGGTTCTTTTTATGATAAAAATAAAATATTATCATTATGGAAAATTTGAAACACAGACAGAAAAATAAAAGGAAGACAATCATCTATCATTCCAACATTCAAAGATGATTGATGGTTGCTAATATTTTACATATTTTAATGCATTTTTTTCTAGCCTATTTCTTTGCATGTAACATTTTACACAGCTATGAATATATTGTTTGCACAGTTTTGTATAAGTATTTTTAAAGTTATTATAAGTTATTAATAAATATTATCATAATGGCTGTTTATCACAGCTTGTAGGTAGACTTACCATAATTTCTACAAGTATTCAATTTTCATTGGATATTTAATTTCATGCTTCATTTTATTTTATTGCTAGTATGAGTAATATATTGGTAAACATTAAGGTACACTGGTCCTTTTTTTTTGTATAAGAATTACTTATTTTAACATAGAGTCCAAAAAGTGAAATTATAGAGTCAAAAGGTATAATATTTTAAGGCTCCAGGTATATTCCGGAATTATTTTTCTAAAGGGTTATACAAGGTTACAATATAGTGAATACAAAATAGTGAATACAATCCACTAGCAATGTATACTTTTGAAGCCAAGTTATTTGAGCATGAATTAACCTTTACTTGATGACTCATGGCCATTGTTATGAATATTCATTATTGCATAGTACCCAGGGATGATTTCAGGAGCTATTGAGGACTATAAGGCTGTTTTCTCTAATATGTCTCCCCCATCATAGTTTTAGTTGGTTTTAGTTTCTTCTTTATTGTTTTCTGTCTTTTTTTTTTAAATTTCTATGCCTGAAATCCAAATGATAATATCCAGTTTGGGGAAGGTAGTTCTTAGGACAATGGTAATTCACATATAGTGTTGATAGGAATATAAACTGATATATTTGAAGAAGTATTATATGAACCAGTAATCCACTTTCCAAAGTATTTTATACTAAGTATTTATAATCAGGCATTACACTAAGAAAATAATATGGGTACTGAGGGAAAATTCGTCAGCAATGATGTTGATTAAATAATTTTAATACTAAAAATTCTAAAAAGCTAGGTCAAATAAACAGTGATATATGTTTACGGTAGAATATTACAGATATTAAAAACCATGTAAAAGAAAATGTAATAACATGGGGAAAATTAAGATGCATTAATGACAAAGAGATTTTATAAAAGATGATCTGTACTACATATATGTATGTATACAACATAGTACCAATGTTATTTTTAAAAATACTATAAACAGTATTCCAAAATTATGCTACAGATCTATAGTAACGAAAACAGCATTGTACTGGTATAAAAACAGACACACAGACCAATGGAACAGAATAGTGGAACTCAGAAACAAATCCACACATCTATGGTGAACTCATTTTCAACAAAGATGCCAATTGTATGTTCTTGGCATCTTTGTTGAAAATGAGTTTGCTGAGGTGAAATACCATATATGTATATATTATTGCTTATTTGGCCTAGCTTTGAGAGAAAAGGCCTCTTCAATAAATGGTGCTAGGAAAACAATATCCATATGCAGAAGAATGAAACTAGACCCCTATATGTTGCCATATACAAAAATCAAATCAAAATGGATTAAAGACTTAAATCTAAGACTTCAAACTATGAAAATGATGCAAAAAAACATTGGGGAAGCTCTCCAGGACATTGATCTGGGCGAAGATTTCTTGAATAATATCCCACAAGCACAGGCAACCAATGCAGAAACGGACAAATGGGATCACATCAAGTTAAAAAGCTTCTGCACAGCAAAGGAAACAATCAACCAAGTTGAAGAGACAACCCACAGAATGGGAGAAAGTATATGCAAACTAACCATATGACAAGAGATTAATAACTAGAATATATAAGGAGCTCAAACAACTCCAAAGGAAAAATCTAATAAACCAATTAAAATGGATTAAAGACCTGACTAGACATTTCTTAAAAGAAGACATACAAATGGCAAGCAGGCATATGAAGAGATGCTTAACATCACTGATCATCAGAAAAATGTAAATCAAAATTACAATGACGTATTATCTCAGCCCGGTTAAAATGGCTTTTATCCAAAAGACAGGCAATAATACATTTTGGTGAGGATGTGGAGAAAGGGAACCCTTGTACATTGTTGGTGGAAATGAAAATTAGTACAACCACTGTGAAGAGCAGTTTGGAGCAGTTTCCTCCATAAACTAAAAATAGAGCTACCACAAAACCCAGCAATCCCACTACTGGGTATGTACCCAAAAGAAAGGAAATCAGAATATCAAAGAGATCTCTGCACTCCCATGTTTATTGCTGCACTGTTCACAACACCAAGATTTGGAAGCAACCTGAGTGTCCATCAACAGATGAATGGATAAAGAAAATGTGGTACTTATACACAACGGGGTAGAATGAGATTCTGTCATTTGCAACAACATGATGAAACTGGAGATCATTATGTTAAGTGAAATAAGGCAGGCACAGAGAGACAAACTTCACATGTTCTCACTTGTTTGTGGGACCTAAGAATCAAGTCAAATGCACTCATAGAGGTAGAGAGTAGAAGGACGGTTATGAGGCTGGGAAGGGTACTGGGAGTTTGGGGTAGCATATGGGTGGTTAATGGGTACCAAAAAAAAAAATAGAAAGAATGAATAAGACCTAGAATTTGATAGCACAACAGGGTGACTATAGTTGATAATAATTTAATTGTACATTGAAAAAATAACTAAAGAGTATAATTGGATTGTTTGTAGCACAATGGGTAAATGCTTGAGGGAATGGATACCACATTTTCCATGATGTGTCTATTATGCATTGTGTGCCTGTGTCAAAATATCTCATGTACCCCATAAATATATATATATATACACACACCTATTATATACCCATAAAAATAAAAATTAATATAAAACAAAGAAAACAGTATTCTGTGTGACAGGATTAGGGATTATTTGTGAAATCTTCATTGTTCTTTCTAAGCTTTCTACTTGCATAATCTAAATAATAAATGGGTGTTGAATGAGGGTTTAAGGTACTCACCCTTGAGTAAAGTGCATGAGTTCTAGTGTGTGAATTTTATGCCATATCTTTAGGCTGCTCAGATGTTTCTTTATTTCCCTTCCCAATCCTAGCCATGTATTCGGGCTGACAAATGAATTATCATGAAATAGCTCTCCTATTACTCCTGGGTGATCGTACATTGAGTAGCTCTCTTGATGGTTTCAATTGTTCCCCTATATTTCGATAGATGTGCCAATTATAACATATGCCCCATTACTACTCATCATTCAATCAGCTGAATATTTGAGATGTAAAATTTATTAATTGTCCCAGACCTAATGCCCTTTGGGACCAAGGAGGTTATATAAAATAAAAGTAAAGCAGATTAGCCACTGGCTGAATAGAAAGAAAACAGTTACCACTTACCATCGGCTGATTATTGGCAGAAGCAACATGAGCCTTGTGATGCCAGCTCTGATGATTTTTCAAGTGAAGCTAGAAATCTAATTTTTAAAGCTATCATTCTATTTTTATATCTTAGCTATTAATTCAAAGTATACAGGCCACAGAAACATAACTGCAAGTTGCATGAGTCCTGTGAGCAGCCAATTTGTGATTTCTGATGTTTAGACATGTCAACATGTCAAATTTGAGGCACCTACAAGCAAAGAATTCTAATATAAAGACCAATAATTTTGCAGCGAATAATCAATTCACTTATTAAACAGACATCTAAGCATAATGTGACTGCAAGATTGTCAAGGTGGCTGAGATGACAAACCAGTACGCCAACATTTTTCAGTTTTATACCCAGGATCTTTAAGTGAATAGTTTTAGTTTTCTTATATATGTCCTTTGCATAGAAATAGTGTCAAAAATTATAAACCTCAATGTGTACAATTCTCTATTATCAAAATAAATGGGTATTCTAAAGGACCTAGAGAAAGGAAATATGGTAATCTGAGCAAAGGGTGGCCTGATTTAGGGTTACTAGATGTGGGGCTATGTCTAGTGTGAGTCTGTGTTCTGGGGCAGGGATATTTTTTCCTAGTGATCTCTAAGGTTGAGATCAATTGTGACAGGGACACACAAACTGCTTAGAAAGCAAGCAGTTCAGACTTGGGCACTCATTATTTACTTTTTTTTCTTTTTTTTGTTTATACTTTAAGTTTTTGGGTACATGTGCACAACGTACCCTGATGGAATTGGACTACAATTCCAGCAGGCCATGTGCCATGTTGGTGTGCTGCACCCATTAACTCGTCATTTAGCATTAGGTATATCTCCTAGAAACCATCATTCTCAGCAAACTATCGCAAGGACAAAAAGCCAAACGCCGCATGTTCTCACTCATAGGTGGGGAATGAACAATGAGAACACATGGACACAGGAAGGGGAACATCACACACCGGGGCCTGTTGTGGGGTGGCGGGAGGGGGGAGGGATAGCATTAGGGCACTCATTATTTAATAGGAGTTGTCTAATAATGAAGGGTGACAAGTATCTGGGGACTTTGAGACTTTGGAGAAATTACTTGCACCTCCTCTTGTTGGGAGAGAGAAACCGTTGATTCTGTGGACAGCTAAATCTGGGTGCAGCCCCTACCATGGGGAGAATGGTGGGGACTAATCCCATTTAGAATCCTTCTAAAAGAGGGGAGCTTGATCCCATGATTCAGGAAGCTCAGCTTGAGCTTTCAGGGTCACTTGGGAACAATTCTCACTGCACTACAATCAAAGACCTTCTGGCAGTTGGAGTGGGGCTAGAATCTGTTGCAATTTAGGGAAAATGAAATTCAGTTAAGGAAAACTATCACTGAGGGTGGGTAGCATGTCAAGCAATTTTAGCTGGCCTTCGGATTTGTTACTGGAAAGGGTCCAAAGACTATAGTTTGAGAAACATTGCCGCGTGTGTGTATGTGTGTGTGTGTGTGTGTATAATATACATAAACATTCAATAGAGTCATATATTCAATGCATTCAAACATCTATATCTAGCTATCCATATTTGGAAATATCTATCTGTGACTCACTGTATTTTCCAAAGAGGTCCAAAATAATGCCATGTGCTATTCTTGAACCTTGACACTTTCTTAGGAAAAGGTACAGTTTAATTCCTTTCTTTAATCTGAGGGGGACGGTGACTTTATTGTAATCAATGGAATGTGGTGGAAGTAATGCTGTATGACTTCTGATGCTTGATAATTGTGATGGTTAATACTGAGTGTCAACTTGACTGGATGGAAAGATAAAAAGTATTGATCCTGGGTGTGTCTGTGAGGGTGTTACTAAAGGAGAGTAACATTTGAGTCAGTGGGGTGGGAAAGGCAGACCCACCCATAATCTGGGTGGGCACAATCTAATCAGCTTCCAGCATGGCTAGAATATAAGGAGGCAGAAAAATGTGAAAAGAGAGACTGGCCTAGCCTCTCAGCCTACATCCTTCTCCCATGCTGGATGCTTCCTATCCTCAAACGTCAGACTCCAAGTTCTTCAGTTTTGGAGCTCGGACTGGCTCTCCTCGCTCTTCAGCCTGCAGATGGCCTATTGTGGGTGTGGAACCTTGTGATCTTGTGAGTTAATACTTAATAAACTCCCCTTTATATATGTGTGTGTGTGTATGTGTGAGTATATATATATATATATATATACACACACTCATATATATACACATACACACACACACATATATGTATATATGCAGAGAATGATACTCTGCAACTTGGAATAGGGACATGTGGGAGGACCCTGATGAAGCTAGGGACACTGAGTTTGTAAACTCTTATGAACCTTTTTTGCCAGAAGAAACAGCTTCACCATCCTCAGTAGTGGCAACATTCGCTTCCTGACCCATGCTGCCATCAGCCTTTCCACCTTTGTCTGAGGAGATAAACCCTGCATTGCCTGAGGCAACAGTGATGGCTTCCTCTGAGGCAGTTGTCCCACGGAATAATGTTGATGCTCCTCAGGAGCCACCCCCAACACCTTTGTTTGCTTCTAGACCTATAGCTAGACTACAATTCCAGCAGGCCCCTAGGAGGTGAGGTTGAGAGTGTGACCCATGAGGAGGTGCGCTACACTAAAAAAAAAAAAATCTGCTTGCATTTTCTAATTTATATAAACAGAAATCTGGAGAACAGGCATGGGAATGGATATTAAGGGTGTGGGATAATAGTGTAAAAATATAGAGTTGGATCAGGCTGAATTTATTGACTTGGGCCCACTAAGTAGGGACTCTGCATTTAATATTGCAGCTCAGGAAGTTCAAAAAGGTTTAATAGTTTATTTGCTAATAGTTTATTTGGTTTGTTAGCTGAAATATGGATTAGAAGATAGTCCACTGTGAGTAAGCTGCAAACGGCTGATCTACCTTGGTTTAATGTAGAGGAAGGGATCCAAAGGCTTAGGGAGATTGGGATGGTGGAGTGGATTAGTCACTTTAGACCTACTTATCCCAGCTGGGAGGGTCCAGAAGATATACCCTTGATCAGTGCCTTGCAAAATAGATTTGTGAGGGCAGCACCTACATCTTCGAAGAGCCCCGTAATTGCTCTTCTCTGTATTTCAGATCTAACAGTGGGAACCGCAGTCACCCAACTACAAAATTTAAATACGGTGGGAATAATTAGATCCTGAGGTGACAGGGGCCAAGTGGCGGCACTCAACCGTCAAAAGCAAGGTGGACGTAGCTACTATAATGGACAGCAGAGGCAAAGCAACAATCAGAATAGTCTGACTCATGTAGAGCTCTGGCATTAGCTAATTAATCATGGTGTTCCTAGAACTGAAATTGTTAGGAAACCTCCTGAATTCCCACTTAATTTATAAAAGCAGAAAACTTCTAGGTCGAATGGACAAAAGACTAATTTGAGCTTTAAAAACAGAGAATCATGGCCCTTCAATCAATGTCCAGAGTTGAGCCAGTTTGCAGACCTAGAACCCCTTGAGTGAAGAGAGGCCGGGTCCCCTTGAGGAAGGACCCCACTACACTATCAACAATTTATGCAGTGAATCTTTCTCCCATCCTTACCCAAGAAGACCTCCGGCCTTTTACCAGGGTAACCGTGCACTGGGGAAAGGGAAATGATTAGACATTTTGGGGACTACTGGACGCTGGCTCTGAGTGGATATTGATTCCAAGGGAGCCAAAATGTCATTTTGGTCCTCCAGTTAAAGTAGGGGCTTATGGAGGTCAGGTAATTAATGGAGTTTTTAGCTCAGGTCCAACTTACAGTGGGTCCAGTGGGTCCCTGGACTCATCCTATGGTTATCTCCCCAGTATCAGAATGTGTAATTGGCATAGACATACTTAGCAGCTGGCAGAACCCCCACACTGGCTCCCTGACTGGTAGGGTGAGGACTATTATGGTGGAAAGGCCAAATGGAAGCCATTAGAGCTGCCTCCACCTAGAAAAATAGTAAATGAAAAACAGTATCACACCCCTGGAGGGACTTTGGAGATTAGTGCCACCATCAAAAACTTGAAAGACACAGGGGTAGTGATTCCCACCACATCCCGTTCAACTCTCCCATTTGGCCTGTGCAGAAGACAGATGGATCTTGGAGAATGACAGTGGATTATTGTAAGCTTAACCAAGTGGTGATTCCAATTGCAGCTTCTGTACCAGGTGTAGTTTCATTGCTTGAGCACATTAACACATCTCCTGGTACATGGTGTACAGCCATGGACATGGTAAATGTCTTTTTCTTCATTCCTGTTCATAAGGCCCACCAGAAGCAATTTGCCTTCAGCTGACAATGCCACCAGTATACCTTTACTGTCCTACCTCAGGGGCATATAAACTCTCCAGCTTTATGTAATAATCTTATTTGGAAATAGCTTGATAGCTTTTCACTTCCTCAAAATATCACACTCGTCCATTATATTGATGACATTATACTGATTGGTTCCAATGATCAAGAAGTAGCAAACACACTGGACTTATTGGCAAGACATTTACATACCAGAGGATGGGAAATAGATCAGACTAAAATTCAGGAACTTCTACCTTAGTAAAATTTCTAGGGGTCCAGTGGTGTGGGGCCTGTCAAACTATTCCTTCTAAGGTGAGAGATATGTTGCTGCATTTGGCCTCTCATACAAGCAAGAAAGAGGCACAACGCCTAGTGGGCTTATTTAGATTTTAGTGGTAACACATTCCTCATTTGGGTGTGTTACTCCAGCCCATTTATCAAGTGAACTGAAAGGCTGCTTGTTTTGAGTGGGGTCCAGAACAGGAAAAGGCTCTGCAACAGGTCCAGGCTGCTGCGCAAGCTGCTCTGCCACTTACTTGGGCCATATGACCCAGCATATCCAATCGTCCTTGAGGTGTCGGTGGCAACCAGGATGCTGTTTGGAGCCTTTGGCAGGCCCCCATGGGTGAATCACAGCAGAGGCCTCCAGGATTTTGGAGCAAGGCCATGACATCTTCTGCATATAACTACTCTCCTTTTGAGACAGTTCTTGGCCTGTTACTGGGCTTTAGTGGAAACTGAATGTTTGACTATGGGCCATCAAGTCACCATGCAACCTGAACTGCCTATTGTGAACTGGGTGCTTTCTGACCCACCTAGCCATAAAGTGGGTCATGCACAGCAGCATTCTATCATCAGATGGACGTGGTATATACGTGATACGTCTCCACTCCTGCCACCCTGCCTTCTCTCCCGCAGCCAGCATGGATGGCCTCATGGGGAGTTCCCTATGATCAGTTGACAGAGGAAGAGAAGACTAGGGCCTGGTTCACAGATGGTTCTGCATGATATGCAGGCACCACCTGAAAGTGGACAGCTGCAGCACTACAGCCCCTTTCTAGGACATCTCTGAAGGACAGCAGTGAAGGGAAATCTTCCCAGTGGGCAGAATTTCTAGCAGTGCACCTGGTTGTGCACTTTGCATGGAAGGAGAAATGGCCATATGTGCAATTATAAACTGATTTATGGGCTGTAGCCAATGGTTTGGCTGGATAGTCAGGGACTTGGAAGAAGCATGATTGGAAAATTGGTGACAAAGAAGTTTGCAGAAGAGGTATGTGGATGGACCTCTCCGAGTGGTAAAAAACTGAAGATGTTTGTATCCTATGTGAGTGCTCACCAACGGGTGACCTCAGCAGAGGAGGATTTTAATAATAAAGTGGATAGGATGACCCATTCTGTGGACACCACTCAGCCTCTTTCCCCAGCCACCTCTGCTGTTGTCCAACGGGTCCATGAACAAAGTGGCCATGGGGGCAGGGATGGAGTTTATGCATGGGCTCAGCAACATGGACTTTCACTCACCAATGCTGACCTGCCTACGGCCACTGCTGAGTGCCCAATTTGCCAGCAGCAGAGACCAACACTGAGACCTTTATATGGCACCATTCCTCAGGGTGACCAGCCAGATACCTGGTGGCAGGTGGATTATATTGGACCTCTTCCATCATGGAAAGGACAGAGGTTTGTCCTCACTGGAATAGACACTTACTCTGGATATGAGTTTGCCTATCTTGTACACAATGCTTCTGTCAAGACTACCATCCATGGACTCATGGAATGTCTTATCCGCCATCGTGGTATTCTACACAGCATTGCCTCTGACCAAGGCACTCACTTTATGGCTTAAAAAGTGCAGCAGTGGGCTTATGCTCATAGAATTCACTGGTCTTACCATGTTATCTGTCATCCTGAAGCAGCTGAATTGATAAAATGATGGAACGGCCTTTTGAAGTCACAATTACAATGCCAACTAGGTAACAATACTTTGCAGACCTGGGGTAAAGTTCTCCAGAAGACTGTGTATGCTCTGAATCAGCATCCCATATATGGCACTGTTTCTCCCATAGCCAGGACTCACGGCTCCAGGATTAAAGGGATGGAAGTGGAAGTGACACCACTCACCATCATCCCCAGTGATCTACTAGCAAAATTTTTGCTTCCTGTTTCCATGACATTACATTCTGCTGGCCTAGAGTTCTTAGTTCCAGAAGGAGAATGCTGCCACCAGGAGACACAACAATGATTCTGTTAAGCTGGAAGTTAAGATTGCCACCTGGAAACTTTGGGCTCCTCTTACCTTTAAGGCAACAGGCTAAGAAAGGAGTTACAGTGTTATCTGGGGTGATTGACCAGGACTGTGAAGATGAAATCAGTCTACTACTCCACAACGGAGGTAAGGAAGAGTATGCATGGAATACAGGAGATCCATTAGGGCATCTCTTAGTATTACCATGCCTTGTGATAAAGGTCAATGGGAAACTACAACAGTCCAATCCAGGCAGGACTACAAATGACCCAGACCTTTCAGGAATGAAGGTTTGGGTCACTCCACCAGGAAAAAAGCCATGACCTGCTAAGGTGTTTGCTGAAGGCAAAGGGAATACAGAATGGGTAGTAGAAGAAGGTAGTCATCAATACTAGCTATGACCATATGACCAGCTGCAGAAACGAGGACTATAATTGTCATGAGTATGTCCTCTTTCTTTTGATAAAAACATGTTTTCTTCTACAGTTTTTATGGTTTTAGGTCTTACGTTTAAGTCTTTAATCCATCTTGAGTTAATTTTTGTATAAGGTATAAGGAAGGGTTCCAGTTTCAGTTTTCTGCATATGGCTAGCCAGTTTTCAACACCATTTTTTAAATAGGGACTCCTTTCCCCATTGCTTGTTTTTGTCAGGTTTGTCAAAGATCAGATGGTTGTAGATGTGTCGTGTTATTTCTGAGGGCTCTGTTCAGTTCCATTGGTCTATATGTCTGTTTTGGTACCAGTACCATGCTGCTTTGGTTACTGTAGCCTTGTAGTATAGTTTGAAGTCAGGTAGTGGGTTGCCTCTGGCTTTGTTCTTTTTGCTTAGGATTGTCTGACTATGCAGGCTCTTTTTTAGTTCCATATGAAATTTAAAGTAGTTTTTTTTTTTTTCTCAATTCTGTGAAGAAAGTCAATGGTAGCTTGATGGGGATAGCATTGAATCTATAAATTACTTTGGGCAGTATGGCCATTTTCACAACACTGATTCTTCCTATCCATGAGAATGGAATGGTTTTCCATTTATTTGTGTCCTCTCTTATTTCCTTGAGCAGTGGTTTATAGTTCCCCTTGAAGAGGTCCTTCGCATCCCTTGTAAGTTGCATTCCTAGGTATTTTATTCTCTTTGTAGAAATTGTGAATACAAGTTTACTCATGATTTGGCTCTCTGTTTGTCTATTATTGGTGTATAGGAATGCTTGTGATTTTTGCACATTGATTTTGTATCCTGAGACTTTGCTGAAGTTGCTTATTAGCTTACAAAGATTTTGGACTGAGATGAGGGATTTTCTAAATATACAATAATGTCATCTGAAAACAGAGACAATTTGACTTCCTCTCTTTTCATTTGAATACGCTTTATTTCTTTCTCTTGCCTGGTTGCCCTGGCCAGAACTTCCAATACTATGTTGAATAGGAGTGGCCAGAGAGAGCATCCTTGTCTTGTGCCAGTTTTCAAAGGGAATGCTTCCAGCTTTTGCCCATTCAGTAGGACATGGCTGTGGTTTGTCATAAATAGCTCTTGTTATTTTGAGATATAGACCATCAATACCTAGTTTATTGAGAGTTTTTAGCATGAAGGGGTGTTGAATTTTATCGAAGGCCTTTTCTGCATCTATTGAGATAATCATGTGGTTTTTGTTATTGGTACTGTTTATATGATGGATTATCTTTATTGATTTGCATATGTTGAGCCAGCCTTGCATCCCAGGGATGAAGTCTACTTGATCGTGGTGAATAAGCTTTTCAATGTGCTGATGGATTCAGTTTGCCAGTATTTTATTGAGGATTTTTGTATCAACGTTCATCAGAGATAGTGGTCTAAAATTTTCTTTTTTTGTGGTGTCTCTGACAGATTTTGGTATCAGGATGATGCTGGCCTCATAAAATGAGTTAGGGAGGAATCCCTCTTTTTCTATTGTTTGAAATAGTTTCAGAAGGAATGGTGCCAGCTCCTCTTTGTACCTATAGTAGAATTTGGCTGTGAATCCATCTGGTCCTGGACTTTTTTTTTGTTGGTAGGCTATTAATTACTGCCTCAATTTCAGAACTTGTTATCGGTCTGTTCAGGGATTTGAATTCTTCCTGGTGTAAACTTGGGAGGGTGTATGTGTCCAGCAATTTTTCCAGTTCTTCTAGATTTTCTAGTTTATTTGTGTAGAGGTGTTTATAGTATTCTCTGATGTTAGTTTTTATTTCTGTGTGATCAGTGGTGAGAAAACCTAGGCAATACCATACAGGACATAGGCATGGGCAAAGACTTCATGACAAAACACCAAAAGCAATGGCAGCAAAAGCCAAAATTGACAAATGAGATCTAATTAAACTAAAGAGCTTCTGCACAGTAAAAGGAATTATCATCAAAGTGAGCCTGCAACCTACGGAATGAGAGAAAATTTTTGCAACCTATCAATCTGACAAAGGGCTAATATCCAGAATCTACAAGGAAGTTAAACAAATTTACAAGAAAAAAACAAACAACCACATCCAAAAGTAGGCAAAGGATATAAACAGACACTTCTCAGCAGAAAACATTTATGCAGCTTACAAACATACAAAAAAAAGCTCATCATCGCTGGTCATTAGAGAAATGAAAATCAAAACCACAATCAGAAACCATCTCATGCCAGTTAGAATGGCAGTCATTAAAAAGTCAGGAAACAACAGATGCTGGAGAGGATGTGGAGAAATAGAAACACTTTTACACTGTTGGTGGCACGTAAATTAGTTCAACCATTGTGGAAGACAGTGTGGCGATTCCTCAAGGATCTAGACCCAGAAATACCATCTGATCCAGCAATCCCATTACTGGGTATATACCCAAAGGATTATAAATCATTCTACTATAAAGACACATGCACACGTATGTTTACTGCAGCACTGTTCACAATAGCAAAGACTTGGAACCAACCCATATGCCCATTGATGATAGACTGGATTAAGAAAACATGGCACATATACACCATGGAAACTATGCAGCCATAAAAAAGGATGAGTTCATGTCCTTTACAAGGACATGGATGAAGCTGGAAACTATCATTCTCAGCAAACTAACACAGGAACAGAAAACCAAGCACTGCATGTTCTCACTCATAACTTGGAGATGAAAAATGAGAACACATGGACACAGGGAGGGGAACATCACACATCAGGGCCTCTCAGGGGGTCGGGGGCTATGGGAGGGATAGCATTAGGATAAATATCTAATATAGATGACAGGTTGATGGGTGAAGCAAATCACCATGGCATGTGTATACCTATGTAACAAACCTGAACTTTCTGCACATGTATCCCAGAACTTAAAGTATAATAAAAAAATTAAATGTTAGTTGATCTTTCAAAATCTACATTTAATTTCATATTTCAGTGATATTGACTTATAGTAAAAATGAGCAGAACAAAAAATTGAAAGAAAAAAAAGACATGTTTGTGCAGGCCGGGCATGGTGGCTTATGCCTGTAATCCTAGCACTTTGGGAGGCCGAGGTGGGTGGATCATCTGAAGTCAGGAGTTCAAGACCAGCCTGGCCGACATAGTGAAACCCCATCTCTACTAAAAATACAAAAAATTAGCTGCGCTTGGTGGCAGGCTCCTGTAATCCCAGCTACTCGGGAGGCTGAGGCAGGAGAATCACTTGAACCTGGGAGGCGGAGGTTGCGGTGAGCCGTGATTGCACCATTGCACACCAGCCTGGGCAACAAGAGTGAAACTCTGTCTCAGAAATAATAATAATAATAATAATAATAATAATAATAATAATAATAATAAAATAACATGTTTGTGCATGTGTACACTTGTACTAAGAAAATATCTTCATTTTATTTCCTTTCCCTTTATCATGTGGTATAAGATTTATTGACTTCACATCAACATTTAAGTATTGTTAATTTTATGTGCCAGTATTTGGGTCGAGGATTGGTGCATTTCTGGTTTTATGAAGGATAGCTGTATTATGTCAGGCATAATTATGACCTTATTATTGTCTTTATTTGAAGATTATGTATAATCTCAGGAGATGTGTATGTGTTCAAGTTGACAAGGGGTGGACTTGTGATAGTTAATACTGAGTTAATCCTGGGTGTGTCTGTGAGGGTGTTACCAAAGGAGAGTAATATTTGAGTCAATGGGCTGGGAAAGGCAGACCCACCCTTAATCTGGATGGGCACCATCTAATCAGCTTCCAGCACAGCTAGAATATAAGGAGGCAGACAAATGTGAAAAGAGAGACTGGCCTAGCCTCCCAGTCTACATCTTTCTCCCAAGCTGCCCTCGAACATCAACTCCAGGTTCTTCAGTTTTGGAACTCGGACTGGCTCTCCTTGCACCTCAACCTGCATATGACCTATTGTGGGACCTTGTGATCTTGTGAGTTAGTACTTAATAAACTCTCTCCTATTTATATATAGATATAGATATAAATGTGATATATATAATATATATGATATATATAAAAAACATATATATATTCCATCAGTTCTGTCCCTCTAGAGAGCCCTGACTGATACAATAATAATAGGCAATTGCTCTTCAGCTGGGAGCTGGAACACCTGTCTTGGTACACAAGTCTTCATGGAAGCAGTGCCACTGCCCTGAGGCTGACATGCTGTGAAAGTCCAAACCGGTCCATGTGGAGAGACCACATGGAGAATCCCTGTGGCTAAATGAAGAGAGAAGCCCTGCCAGTCTTCAGATGCTGCATTCCAATCACCATCTGACTGCAACTGTGTGAGACCTTGAGCCTGTAGCAGCCATCCAACCAAGTTCTTCTCAAATTTACGATTCAAGAATAAATTACTGCTGTTGGTTTAAGCCACTGAGTTTTAAGATGATTAGTTATGCAATGATATAACAGAAATCACCTTTCTTCAAAGAGAATCTTTAAAAGAGGAGAAATCTTCATGTAGAGATGACCTCACGACCAACTACTTGGCCTCTTTCTTTTACACAAGACACCTCAATAAGCCCTAAGGAGTGTGTGGAGCAAGGTTGTAATCAAATGGCATTTTTGAAAAATAAGAAAGGTATTGAATCTCTACTGTTCGTAAACAAGTCACAAAGAGAGAAGAAGCAAGAGTAAGAAAAGTAGTCTCAATTGGGAGCTCATTTAGACGGATGAAAAGCAATGGATTTTCTTGCTTGAATAGTATAAGGAGTCACTGCATCTTTCAGAAATACTGATAGGGAAAGCAAAACACATACCAAGTAATTCATCATGGTTCAGATTAAAAAAACTAGGGGTAAGCTCTCACCTGTAAGCTGGCCAAGACTTTCCTAGACCCAGATAACTATCTTGGTACCTGGAGAAACTGAACCCCACCATGTAAATTCAAAGCATGTGTTTTTTAGAAAATTAATCAGCACTGGTAGCATTACTACCACGTATCACAGTAATTTATTTACGTTATCTCATGCAATGCTTTAAAATTCTTAAAATAGAATTATATTATCTCTAGAGTCCAAATGTGAAAATTGAGATTCCTAGAGATTGAATATTACAGTGTCACCCAGATAACAAGGAACAGAAATTTGAACTCAGATTTGCCTCCTGCCAAAGACTGTGCATTGTCTCCACATTATTGCTCTTCATAATAAGATGCTGTGGGCCTGAAAGAAATTTGGCAGAAAAAACAAAAAACAAAAGAGATTGCTCTAGCTCTGTCATTCATTGCATTGCATAACATGTGATCAGCAAGTTACAGTTCTCACCAGCCTGTGGGGCATCAGGGCATATTTCCTTCAGCACCTCAAATCTCCATTCCTTTGCCACATCTATCCCTTTTCACTTCCTGGGTCTGAGAAACAAGTTCATCAGATATAGCACCACTCCCTTAATGTCACATTAAGGCTAGGAAGAGTATCTTGTCAATGAGTCCACTTGTCCTTTTTGTTGCCAGACCTTCCAAATCCGTCATAGTTTCATATCAATAGAGAGTGGATCCCAGTCTCCTTCCTCCCAGGAGTTTTCAACATGGACATAATTATTAAGAGAAAACACCAAAGTCTCTCTCCGTGGATTCAAATACCTGCTCTGTTACTTCCTGGTCAACTGATCAATGTTTTGTTTAATGATCCCCTGATAATATGGTTAATCAAAATTTGTCAGTTCAAGTACTCTGAGAAGAAGATGCAAGACATATATAGATATGCAAGACATTGGGAGAAGCACCTATGTCGTATAAAATGGAGAGAGAGCAAGCATAGCATGGAGAACCTTCAGATTACAAAAGTAAGTCTAACACCCATGAACGGAGAGTGGGAAGAAAGAATTGTGAAGGAAGATCCTCATACTGTAAGGCACTTCTAAGAAAATCCTGGCCAGGCTAATGAGGAGTCCCTGAGCAAATATTGCCCATTAGAGTAGTCCTATGTTTGACACAGTTCTTTGGCTCTGATACCCTCAGCTGTGCTCAGTTATTGGCTGGGAACAGCCCAGGGACAGTGTGGCTTGAGAGTTAGCATAGCAGTGGGTTTAGAATGTCTTATGAAAGGAGACCTAAGCAGTGCACACCCTTGCTGCGGCACATACTTATTGTATAATAGGGCTATTGCTATGATGAAATGGTTTTATCCATGAGATGCATTTAGAGCAATGCTCCACGCATAGAGGAATTCAAAATAATACACCAGTTATTATCACCTATAAGGGAACACAAGGATGCACTTAAATGCCTGAGTTAGGTATGTTATCCAGCTTCATCAGGCAGCCTCAAGTCTTCAATTGCAAACAGATAATTTGAAGATCGGATGGGTCCTGAACCTGAGTCAAAATCCTGCAAACTGTCTGTTAACAAATGCTGGTGACTGGATTAGAAACTGCTCAATCTCAGTAGCTATTCATGCATGGTCTTCTCTTGGCATTACTTCAAACCACAACTTCCTAAAATGACAACTTCTTTAATTCCTTTGTTGGTGTCTTCTTTATCCTTTCTCTCTGTCTCTCACTCTCAGTGTCACCGTTGCAATGACTGGCTTGGCACAAATGTCCTATATGCTTAAATTCATCATCCTATTTCAATTTGGTTTAGTGATCATTCAACACCTGACCTAGAGGAATTCAGAATTCAGCGGGGGTACATTCTCAGCTGGTGAGTCATACTGCTTCTGTCAGATTCTCATTCCTTTTTTTTTTTTTTTTTTCTGTTAACATCCGCCTCTACTTTGCCTTCACCTAGCACTAGTCCTGTAACTTTGTCTCTTGGTGACATCAAGAGGAAATTATTTCTTTCTTTCCTCCACCATTTTATTTGCCGCCAGCTAGAGATAAGGGTTATAAAAAGAGGCTATTCAAACTACTATTGAATGCAATCTGTCTGAGGGCAGAAATGAAGAAATGAAAAGTAATGAGACAGCCCAATTAAGTCTTTCAGGCCTCCAGGAGACATCTCAGACATGAATTGCAGAATTGTATAGAAGTACAGACAGTCCTCCACTTATGATGATTTGACTTACAATTTTTCAACTTTACAATATGCATTCAGTAGAAACTGAACTTTGAATTGTGAATTCTTGATCTTTCCCTGGGCTAGCAATATGTGGTATGATACTCTTGCAATACTGGGAAGCGAGTTTCAACTCCCAGTCAGCCATGCAATCATGAGAGTAAACAACCTACATTCTACAGTGCACTGTGTTGCCAGATGATTTTGTCTAACTGAAATCTAATGTAAGATTTCTGAGCACATTTGAGGTAGGTGGGGCTAATCCATGGTGTTTGGTAGGTTAAGTGTATTCGATGCTTTTCGCCTTTCACTATTTTCAACTTACGATGATGGTTTTGTTGGGACCTAACCCCATCATAAGTCCAGGGGTATCTCTGCCACTGTCCCAAGTCCAGTGCCCTGCTCACACTGGCATGCAATGAACATGTATTGAATGAATGAGAAAAGGCACTTATTTAAATCATGTTTATTTAAGCAATATTATCATGCATGCTTTTTGTTGTGGAGTCATTCTCATCTCTAGCTGAGGAGTTTTTAAATAATACTGATGCCTGGGACCACTCCAGATCAACTGAACCATAATCTTTGTAGGTAAAGCCTATACATGGGTATTTTTTTTAACAAAACATCCCCGATAATACTAATATATGGGCAGATTTGGGCACCACCAGTTTGGGTGAATCAGGGGTCCCTTCTGGTATCCACGGTCTGCTTTCCTCACTGAGCTACCCCCACATGGCAGAGTGAAAGGCAGGAGCTCCTCCCATGACAGGGTAGCCATGCATGCATGCAATTACTTGAATTCTTTTATTTTTTTTAATTAAAAGTTATATTCTTATGGATTTCTACTCCATAATACATCCTGTTTGTTTTAATGTAACATATTTTTCACATACAAAAACTCTTCAAATAAAAAAGTTTTGCATGATGCACCATGATAATTCTCTGGCTTCTTGTCCTCCAAGCCTACCACCTCTTCCCCAGGAGGCACAGCTCTAGCATTGGATTCAGGAGCTCAAGTGTGAATATCAGATATGCCCAGGTTGAGATTTCATCTCTGCCACTTACGTTTGTGGGTCCTAAGAAGACTCTTCACCTCCACAAGCCTTAGTTTTCTCATCTGTCTAATGGAGATGTTGTAAGGATTAAATATAGCAAAGTGTTTAGATAATGGGTCTGGGAAGTAAGTCTCCAGTTACGCTTATGTTGTAATGTTTTAATTGATGAGCATGTGCTTTTATTCTATGTTGCCATTGGAACTGGGCAGAGCTGGTGCCGTCACATACCTAGTTGTATGAAGAGTCTGAAAGAGGCGAGAAGAGGAGGCACTAGAAGGTCAAAGAAGGCAAAGATAGTGGGACCAAGACTGCAGGTCAGAGCAGAGCAGAATCTCTTCCCCACAGCCGTCACCCACCTCTTGTGTGTGGAGCCTGGGTGGACTTTGCCGAAGGAGGTAGGGCTGGAGTGAGAAGGCAGGATAGTGCTTCTAAACTTAATTAAGCCTTCAGTTCTGCCATTTCAGGAAGCTGCCCCAGGTTGATACTTAGTTTCCTCCCAGGAATTTCAGACAAGATTTTCCATTGAGGTTTAAACTCTGAACAGCTTTCAAGTTGCAAGACTTACCTGAATGCAAATGAAGAGTGTGGTCACTGAGAACCCAAATGTGCTGATTTAGGTTTACGAAGCTCAAGTCAGTTGACCTGGCAGCTCTGGTGTGAGATGAGGTGGAACTTAAATGTGCAAAGTGGTCATTTTCTAGGCATCTGCCATTTGGAGTCAGACTTTCCTGATGATGAGAATCTTGCCTGTCCTTTTTCTGTTGACAAAAGTGTTTGGGCCATGGCTGGCAATAAGGGATGATAATAATGCTTATAAAAAGTCACCTTACATTTGTGTTGCATGCCACATTGAACAACGCAGTGTCATATCCATTATTGTATTTGATCCTTGAATAATTCAGTGAACTAGAAAAATTACTGCAGCCTGAGATTAGGCATATTGTTAAAGGACACATGGTCACTAACATCCATTTAGCATGTATGCCTGTGCTTCTCTACACTGTGACCCCCTTTCTGCTCTCAATGTATATGTTCTATTTAAAATTGTATTTTTAATAATCCATTTTTTCAAAAAATCTTGCTATCTTCTGATCTTTTCCATCTTGCTCTGGTATCTCTTTAGCATTAACAAAACTAATTATTGAAAATAAATGCACATTTGAGACTGGACTTTTGGCTGAATTTCTGTTTGAAATGTTCCCTATAGCAGGTGTTAACATATTAAGTCCTTTCCCTCCCCTCCCCTTCCCTTCCTTTCCTTTTTTTCATTCTCTTCTTCTCCTTCCTTCCCTCCCTCCCTCCCTCCCTCCCTCCCTCCCTCCCTCCCTCCCTCCCTTCCTTCCTTCCTTCCTCCCTGACTTCCCTTCTTGCCTCCCTTCTTTTGTTGTTACTAGGAAAAACTATGTGCCCTGGAGGACATTGAGGTAAAGGTGAGGAATAGAATGATTTTGAACAAATCAAAGGGAAGAAAATCGTTTTAAAAGTCTGAAAAGAGATAATTTGGGAGTTAAGGTAAAAGATACGTAAGTGTGAATTCAAGGTAACTAATTTTAGGGGCTGCATTTCTTTTGGTGAAGCAGTGCTGTTAGGCTCCGATTGTGTTGCTTAAACTATATCACTGTATACAGTGATAGCTGATATCATTTATACTTTTTTTTTTAGTAATTTTATGTTTAGAAAATGTATTGTTTCTCTAGTTTTAGTTGTTAATGTTTATCAGGTGAATTAACATTCTCAAATGTGTGTGTGATAAATATTGCACTACAGTTATCATTATCCTTTCCCTAAATGATTGAGCCTTGTATTTCAGGATCTTTATTTTGCCAGATGGTGTCCAGATCACTAATACATCAGTCAAGAGTTCCCATATATGCAAAAATGTAACCGTCAGAAATGGGTGTTAACAGAGTGAGAATTATATTTTTTTATACTTGAGAATTTTAGGGTCCTTAGTGAGACACATATGTTTTATGTATGATAGAATGTGAATGTATTTTAAGTAAGTAAAAGTAAGGTTAAACACATACCTGCCCCAAATCCTTAACTTAATAATAATCATAAAGCAATTATAATAGTTTGACGAACAGGAAACTTTTGAAATAAAACCTAACATATGGTAGATTCATACACCTATTAGTCTGACACTTTTTCCATTTAATTTAGGCTGAATTTACCAAATATTTTGATAGAGGAGAGACCATTTAATGTTGTGATTAAAAACTTAGGCTCTGGAGTCAGATAGAGCAGGATTTGACTCCTGCTTTTCATGCTTACTGGCTAAACTTCCAGACCCGGTTCTCTCATCCATACAATGGGAGTCATATTACTAATTAAGAGGGTTGCTAAAGTTATAAAATAAAGAATGTGAAATGCTTAGCAAACTGTTTAGTATATAGTTGATATTCAGTAAATAGTACTGTTAATATATTATTACTTGTTTTCAGTAATACAAATTCAGTTATATTAATCAATATTTGGTATATCTCATATATTCTGAAATATATTTATTGTTTCTCTTAGACTGCCTAAAAGCAGCATTTTCTCCGTGTTTATTCATTCATTGATTTATTACATATTTATTGAGTAACCACTGTGTGCTGGATATGTTGCTAGAAGCTAGATTGAGAAAGTTTAGCCAAGCAGATTCCTTTTTTTCATGGAAATTGTAGTCAGTGAGAAATGGAAAATAAACCAGCAAACTAACAAATTGTATATATTTGTCTGTTTAGCAGTGGAGAGCTGATTAGAGTTTCCTGTCCACTAGAAATCAGGCTCAGAGCGACAGGAAACCGAGTGAAGAATGACCAGTGGGCATGAAACTAGAAACTTCACCATTTCACCTGAGAGCTGTGGGCTCTGAGGCCATTGGCCATTGCACACACTTAGCTTATGCCTCTCCGGCCATTCCACAAGGCAGAGTTGGTGTGTGTGTGTGTGTGAATGTGTGTGCGCGCGCGCGCATATGTGTGTGTGCGCGTGCGCATGTATGTCTGTGCTTGTGTGTGTTTCCTTCAATTCACCTCATCAGCACCCACCAAATAATATGGAAAAATAAGTAGGTGAAGGGTCATTTTCCATAAAGGGCCATAGTTCAAAAACGCTCAGCATCTCTAAGACATGCTGAGTGGAGACAGTGATAAAACAAATCCATTCTTCCATCTTCATTAAATTCCTGGGAGAGCAAGATGACCTCCCCCTCAGCACTCTCTACATCTATTTGAATCTTAGTATTCAAAGTCTTAATGGAAATAAGAAAGAATTCTTAAAAGATAACACTCTGGAGTACTGGTGCATGCAGAGAGGAGGACTTTGGTTTCTGTTGATTAGTAAATACGTGAGGGGATTCATACCAGGTATGATGTTCACAGAAGCTTCCTAGAGTTCTTGGCCTCTGAGCTACAGTCAAGTTTCTTCTAATTCCGTGGGTGCTCACTTCAAAAGACCCTAAGAAAAGCACTCAGAAGGAAGGAAAAAGTTTTCCTCCTGGCTCTCTATAGTGAATTACAAACTGGCATTCTCTCCTCCCATTCTTAAAACTCGAAGGGTGGTACAGGCAGCGATGCTGACAGTGTGCATTCGCAGATGCCACCATATGGGTCTCGAAAAACTAGTTGCACTGATGATTCCCTGCACATGTAGGAGACAGTTTGCATTGTTGGCATCGTCCCTGCACAGAAACAAGCACAGCTTAGCAAGGCTGAGCAGATGGCACTAGATCTGGTGCCAGGGAAGCAGTGAATTAAAGGTTATACCCACCAGGTTTGATGCAGTGCCAGTTTGAATTGGTACAGAAGCTTCAGCCCACCTGCTTATTGGCCTCATGACATCTGGCATCTTTTTATTTTATTTTATTTTTTTTAATTTGGACTGAATTGAAGGCAGCGAGGAAAAATGTCATTTTAAAAGCCAGTTACAAGTCAATGGATTTAAACTCTTAACCACAAAAAAAAGGCCTACAGACCCTCCACATTAATGTTTTATATTAATGAATTTTATAAAACCTTGGGGGAAATTACACGTTGATGTGCAGAATTGTGTTGCAATTTATAGCATCATACAATGGAGAGGGTGGACTGCTAAAAACTGGCTCAAAGTTACTAAATAGTGACAACAGAAAAAGGCTGTTATCTGTAGCCTGTATATTGTAATTAGGAATCAGGGAGGAAAATAAATTTGCTTCAATTTATTCTAATGATTTTCACATTGTAATAATTAGAAAACATTGTGTTGTTTCACATGGAAGCTCACTCTAAAAGGTGGTTTGCACCTTTAGTTTCCTCCTGTAAAGTTTTTTCTGCAGTAGTGTATTAAGTTTTGCTGTGTTTCAGCTGCAATCCCCACTTGCTCTGCACACATTCATATACTGTGTACACAAATAGGCAACATACCCAGTCCCAGGGTAGCAGTGTGTGCATACTGAAACCTGTTTGTATATCTCCTCCATTTGGGATATTCATGCCTGCTCCCTGGGTGTGAAATGAAAGCATGCAGCACAGTTGCATTTGGGAGGTGATTAGTTTGGTATCGAAGCTTCTAATTCAAATATATGTATGACCTAACATAGGGCATCCACTATTTAATTTTTAAAAATTAACTTCTAATGACATTGTATCAACCCTCCATCAGCATGAGAGATAAAAGAAATCATCATTAAGCAAATGTGTTAAATGTCTAACATAGTATCAACTTTTATCCCACAAATCTGACACATACCATGCAGATATTGACTTTTTTTCCACTGGAATTGGCTTGGTTAGCTTTTCACTTCCTTTGTTATAGAATGACACCAGCTCTGAAGTTTTTCGTAGTCTTTTTCTTTCAGAAAAAAATATAGAGACGAGGCATTGATAGAGGTAAAAGAAGTAGGAAGTGTTTCTAAATTGTACTCAAATAATTTGGAGGAAGTAAAGAGTAGAAATCAGGGGTAAACGCTAGTTGTAAATGCAAAAAATAGGTTGGAAAGCCAATAATCTATTCTTGTTTCAAACTCAGAAATCTACAGAGACAATGAAGAACCAATAATACCGATTTGGCTGGTGCAAAAGTAATTGCGGTTTTTGCTGTTACTTTTAATTACCGCAATTACTTTTGCACTGACCTAATAGTTCTGAGAATATAGATGTCTAAGAAAGCTACATCCATTCTGGTAGTTCTGGAAATAATCTGGAAATCTATCTTCTGTTTTGAAGCATTTAACAGAATATTATAATGACTTTTAATATTAAAAGTATCATTAATTATTAATGTTAAAGAATTAAACCACATTAAAATCATCTTTAAAATATTAACATATTATTATAAATATTAAAATATTAATTAGCTTCTAATTCTGAATTACATGAATTATAAGTACATATTTTTCCAATGTAAAATCTGGGTAAAATAACTGCTTCCCAAGGAGAATAAATTACTGTGGAAAATATGAAGTAAAAAAATAAATCTAAGCAACAAGACTGAAAATGATGTTAGAGTTTTATAGACCGATTTGTTGTTACCAAATTCCTTAAGTTCATCTTAAACATAAGGAGGGAAAAAAATCTCAAATTCATTTGACTTAATTTAAAGGTATATCAGCCAACATTTCAACACCAGATAAAGACAGGAAAAAATGAAACCACCCACATTGCAGAGCTGTCCCATCATTGAAGCCACTTAGTGCTTTCTCCTGTTCATGTGACTAACTCATTTATATTTGATACTTCTTCATAACTCTATTAGACTGGAATTTCTTTCACAGGCTTCTGTGGTGTTCTTCTATAATAATGCGCCTTCGTTATTGCTATTCAAAGACATTTACTGTTGTCACAGTCAAAACTTATACATTATTCAGTGTTGTTATAAATAATTCTTGTTATAGACCAGGTACTAAATTGCTACCTCATATTCACTGTAGTGAAATAATCTGTTTCAAAGTTCTCCAGGTAAGTACGTGGCCCAAAATATTCCAAGGGAAGTAAAAGAAATATGTTGTTCTATTTCTTCAACTGAATAGTTTTAATGAGGCAATGGTTAAAAAAAGTCCCAATGAGAGATGGCAATAAAAATTGTATAGTTGTAATAACAATAAGATGAGTTTAGTATATTATAATTTCAGGCTGCTGATTTGGGAGGATATCCAAGAATAATTTTATTTACAATGTATCGAACATTGCCTTCCAAGATATCTATATTTTGTTAAGTACATCTTCTCAATATATTTACAATCTGATACTCATTGTTAACAGACACAAGGGCTGGTAAAAACTGATCTGAAAAGTAAGTGAAGAGCTCTAAGTAGGGTTAGTCGGGAGACAAGATCTTATGAACTCTTCCCTAAGCAAACCAGATAGTGGATTTTATATCTATTTTTTTAAAGATACCTCTATCATCTATGTATGAAATAAACAACTGAAGGTTTCAGCTAATGCCCATGTCTCAGGTTTTCAGATGTGATGTTTTATTTTCCTAATCATAATAATGGGCCATTCTGTAAGCTCCTAATTATATTCTGACATCTTAATATAATTACATTTATGTGGCTTCTATTCTTTCTTAATACCTATAATATTTTAGGGCTCTTAATCAGATCAACAAAAATACACATCTTTAGATTTTTCTTCCTAGAAAACATATATATATTTTAAGTGTATTTCTTCGTGGAAATGATATCTCTTAAATTTCTAGGCACTAAAGTACCTCACATTTATCAATTTGGAATTCTCTTTATAGAGAAAGGTAATCCATTTTGTTATTAATAGTCAGTATTGATTTTACAATTTATGGCCAAAGGTTCACTATAGGTGCTTTAAAAAATAAATCCAGAAAATCAATAATTTATCCTTAAGTTAATAAAATAAAAGTTAAAGTTCCTGAAGATTTCATTTACATGGAGTCTGCATTGAGGATAATGATCTCATAGATTTAGCTGAGGCAAACCCTGCTCTCCAGCTACCGTCATCAATGTCTATTTTTTCATTATCTAAGACAATATTATATTTCAGAGATGGTAAAATACAAGTCCTAGCACAAAATAGAAACTCAAAAATATTTGTTTAATGGATTTATGAACCATGAAGTGAATAATTTGTTCATTTATTCTTTCTTTCAGTCAGTAAATATTGATGGAACATATATTGTAGAAGTGGCTAAGGACACAGATTCTGAACTGCCTACATTCAAATTGGCTCTGCCTCTTGCTTGCTGTGTGAATCTAGACAAGTTATTGAACATCTCAGTGACTGGGTTTCCTCCTCTGCAAAATGGAGAAACTCTGAGTACATAAGATACATAATGATATGTACTTTATAAAGCATTTTTAAAAGTAAATTATATTTATTTAGAATTTAGAGCAATGTTGGACACATTTTAAGTTCCTTATAGGTATTTGATCAATACATAGATAAACAAAGATAAGTAAATGATAAATTTTCCAGCACAGAAAACAGAGCATGGTATGGTCTGTGTTCTCAACATACTCAAAATATTCAGATATTCTTCTAGCCTGCGTTAGCCTACCATGCACAAAATAAACATTTAATTTGAATGAAAGTTTAAAATTTGAGCTTGGAGAGGTGGAATTTACCAAAAGATCTGGGTAATGATCAATATTCTTTCAAATCAACATAGCCTGTCTTTATTATTGTAAGCAAAATTATGAAGTCATGAGAGGTGCTCATCATTCTCAGTGCATTCTTTCTTTGTGAAGGTGCTTCTTATTTAAAAGAGAAATGATCTAATATCAACTTTTCACTATTCTCATTAATTTTGCACGTGTGAATGATTTCCACTATTATTCCTCAACTAGGCATTTTAAAACTTCAAGCACTTTTCAATAGCGATAAAAAAAAAAGCATTTGCGCTCTTCTAAAGAGTTTTAGGTAGTGCCAGATAGGTGGAGGATTTAGGGGTGGAGCAAAGGGCCCCTGAAGACTTAACATAAAAATGATGTGTTCCACAACCTATCAGTCTCGAAGATGTATTGATTTTCCATTTCTTTTCTGTACATCCTCAGTGCTACTATATTGCCTTGGTTCCACCAAAAGTGCTGAATAGTCTCCTTCCTTGCTTCCTAACTTCCTTTTTCTTCTCCTAAACCCCAGCATATGCACGGTGGCCAAAATGAGCATTCAAAATGACATCCATGATCATGTTACTTTCCTGCTCAAAAAGCTTATAACTGCATCTTATTGCCTCAGGAGAAGTTCCAAGCCTGGTTGCCCATCAATCTCCCCTGGTAGAACTCCTGTCTCTGAAGATGTTAGTTCAGTAGGCTTATGATGGGCTCAGAGTTTAATCCCTGGGGGACTTTGATGAAGCATTTCATGGACAAATGTTTGAGGGCCAGCAGCCAAGTATAAAGGTAAGGTACCCAGACATTCTCCAGATTTGTCCCTACCTGTCTCTCTCCATTTTGCACACCCCCTCTTTCCTCCAGTTGGAGTGAACTATGTGAGCTCCCACCTCCACAGCTTGTAGATGCTTCACTATTGGTTCAACAGTCAGCTCCTCCTTATGACCCCTGGTGACTACCCTGCACCAACTGGTAGCTCCTTCTGTAGTTCTCTCAGGAATACTCTGCCAAGATATATTTCACACTTTCTTACTTTTATAATTATAAGAACTTCTAATGCATGTGGTGCTGGAATAGTGGCACTAAATGATGCACAGTTAAAATGGGCAATTAAAAAAAACTTATTTTTTTCCTTATCTCTATCAGAGAATATTAAAGAAAATTCTAACATATAGTGCTCTCCTCTCAAAGTTTTCTCTCCTTCCAATTTTCTCATTGCCTCTCCCACAGCACCCCCTCCAGCTACTGCATCTTTCTCTTCCAAACTCCCTGGAGATTCTTCCACATGCCCTGTCCCATTCTGACTTTTATCCTTTTTCTCTATTCCTTTTCCTTTTGATTTGACACTTTAAAAGTTTCAAAGACCATTAAAACTTTTCTTAGGAGTCCGGGAGGGCAAATCCCTCAACTGTGTTAGTCTTTAGTGTTTAGGAATTGTTCCTAGTGGATACAGAGATTGAGATTTGGGACCATTAATGCAAAAACCCGCCTCTCCTATTTCTGTTTGAGATCCTTAAAAACAACAGTGATGTCTTAGTGATTATGATTTCTCTGCATAAACACAGATCATGAAACATATTAGAATATTTAGTGACCACTGTGTTTTGAATAAATATTATAACTACTTTAAGAAAAATCTAATTTATTTGTTTTAGGGTGATATTGAATCCATAAGATTGGAAGGTATTTTGTCTCCTCTCTATGATAATTTTCTCTTCTTTCTACCACCATCCTGTTTATCTTTGTTCCAATTACTACAGTTATACAACAAATTATTTGAAAATTAGTGACATAGAAGTCATTTATTATGCTTGCAGATTCTTTAGGATAGGTATTCAGAAATGGCATGACAGGGCAGTTCTTGCTAGGATTATGTAGTTGAAGTCAGAGGGCTGCAGCCCTCTCTGAACATGCTGGGACTGAGGGTCCACTTTCAAGAGGGGCTATTGACTTGCAGCCTATGCACAGGGTGGCTTGGGTTCCCTCACAATATGGCAGCTGGCTTCCCCAAGAGCATGATCTACAAGAAATCAAAGAAGAAGTTGCAATGCCTTTTATGACTTTGCCTCAGGAGTCATATATTGTCACTTCTGTCCTGTTTACACAGGGTTACAGGTTACACAGGGCCAGTGTTGGTTCATTTTGAGACGGTACTACAAAAGATAATGAACACCAGAGGTATGGATCATTGGGGACCATCTTGGGGGCTGGCTGCCCCTTGAATGTCCACTCTTTCCTGCGAGATGAAATGAAGTGTGGAGTAGCCTAGTTGCCTCTACTGCTATAAGTAATAGAGAGTATGAGATATTGAAAAACAGCATTTTATGGCTGGAAAAGATTGAGGAATTATAGTCTAATTTGAGTATCCTTGAATCAGATCTAAACCTAGTTTTAGGGATTAGCTAATTCAACCATTTAGTTGATAGATAAGAAAACAGAGGCTCAGAAAGACCATTAGTGACAAATATGAGACAAGTGGTCAGAACTACTGTATCCCAGACCCGTAAGCAATCGAATGAAGCAAGCAAGCAAACAAACAAAAGAACTCCATGGAAAAATCTGAGGAAGGAAACTGCAAATATATTCTTTTGATGTGTAAAAGTAATCTGAATTTGAGTCAATGTTATAAATTGCATAATTTTTGTAGCTAACAAGATGCAATATAGTCATGATTTTGCTTGTTGGTAAAGTGTGCTGCACACTAATTTGCGTGAGTTTTATTTGCCCAAAACATTATCCTCTATTCATGTTTCTAACCATACTAATTTACTAGTTATACAATGTGGTCACTTGCTGAGAAATTAAAATTAAATGAAACATTATCCATCCATTTATCTCTTGAGAATTACAGAAATATTAAAAAAGAACATACTTAAAACTTTAAAATAAGATATAGAGTCATAGAAGAAATTGTTTAAATTGATCAATCAAATTAATCTTTAACATTCAACAAAATCTTAGAAAACACTTGATTAGAAGGCAAATTGTACAAAGTAAAATGTCCTGAATTCTGTTTTTACTTGCTTAGAAATTAAGACTAGGTAAAGTTTATTTATTAATGTAGTTTCTTTTAAAAATGAAGTTCTTTTACCCACTCTAATGAAAGTCACAGACAAGTCTATTTTTAAACTTCAGCCATTCCTTCATTATTTTGACAACTTGAATTGAATATTCAAGGTACAGAGTGCAACTGTTTTATAGACTTTCTTTGCAATTGGAATACAAGAGAAATAAAAGTAGACATAAAAAGGGTCATTTGATGTTGAAAGTTTTACTGCTGCAGTTACAGATTGGCATACATAGGGATAAAAATACTGGGCCTTACATTAGTTCTACCATATATTTTGCTTTGGCTCTTTAAGAGAATAGGACGTGACAGGGAAGAAATATACGTTTCCAATCTATTTTTTCTTTGGAAAAAATACACCTTATTTCTGACCTATAAGAACATTGTGCTCTAACAGGACAATGTATCAATGCTGAGGAGTAACTGTGCAGTGTTTGGGCTTAACCTGGGATGGAAAAGCCTGGTAGTTCATTTACATTCTATCCACATCTCCAAGTGTTTCTCCAGGAGGTTTTCTTTTTTTATTTCTTTTCAGTCTAAAGTAGTGATAACCAGATAATTATTCAACCTATTTTTCTTCATTTATCATATATATGGATGATTTTAAACATTCTTTTCCTTGAATTGCCATCCTAATAATTAGCTATTGTTATTAGAAATTCAGCTAAATGGTAAATGCAGCAGGAACTATGCAGTCCAAATGTGAATAATCATTTAATTCTAGATTATTTATTATCCTTGTATCTTAAAAGCATTACACATAAAATGTTAGAATTATATTTTACGTATCTATTATTTAATGCCTCTCGCTGCTGTGTACTGCCCTCCTGTTACTATGCAAGCAAACCACCTACCGGGTTTTCTCTGTGTAATTGAAGGCCCCGAGCACGCTCTTTCTGAGGCTATCATAGCTCTGGAAAATATGAGTCTTTCAGGGCAAAGGAAATGACAGTAAGGAGAATGAACAGTTTTAACTGAAACTCTCATTTTAGTTGGGGCCTGTGCATAAGATAATTTTAGAACTGGTGTTTTGTAAAGCTCATAATTAATGAAGGCAAAAATATATATATCATTAATAGAATAATGATTAATTTTTAGGTGAAATTTCTAATGAAAAAAATGTGTGTCCAACAGAAAATTGAAAATTATATGATATGTATGTCTTTTATGTTCTTGTAATTTTAACATAAACTTTATTATTTGCCTCTCATTTTAGCACTGTTTATTTTCACTTCATTACTTCATTATTGTGACTTGATTGGCATCAGCTTAATATGAGTTTTAAAAATTATAAATTTTTTTTTATTTTAATGTATGTAATACTGGTACTCAATTTTGTAAAATCCCCAAATGCACCCTTCATCCCTCTTGTTTGTGCTTTATTTCTTTCCCTCCTTCCATGTTTGCTTTGGCTTGCAAACTTGTTCCTGCCAAACGAGTCAGTTAAAATGGGAACATTAATTTTTATGCGTGGAAGCATGTCAGCTACATAGGGAGAGGAGGGGGTGGTGAGGAGGGAGGATTCAAAACAACTGGGCTTGTATATTGCGCCAGGCTGGGCTGTCACAAGAAAAGGCTCTGACAATCATAACATAATGCAAGCTTTTACCAGAGATGCTGTGGATGAAGGATTTCAGCACTTTTTGCAAAAATCCTTTCTTGGCTTGGCAACTCTTCTCAACATTGGCCCATTTAAGATGAACACCTATCCTGCAGTCTACCTGACTCTTGTGTTGAAGCCCTAATATCAATTTCTGCTAAAGGGACATTTAACAATAAATCAACAACAACCACAAAATGTAAGAAGATAGACAAAATTGCAAGAGTACTGAGTACCACTTTTGTGGTATCCACATATAGGGCCTAGGAATACACCTACTAGAGTATAAGCTCCTCTATGGCAGGGCCTGTGTTTTACTTATTTTTGGTGCTACTCATCTAGCTCATTGCCAGGCATTTCATAGAAGATTAATAATGTTTGCTAATAAATGACTAACTGAACATGATAGACAATCATAGATGAGTTTGATTTGCATTCTATGGTTTCAAGAAGTAAAACTAGCCTAATAATCAAATGCTACAAATAGATGGATATAGGACCAATATAAAAAAGATAAAAATTAAACCTTAGAGAAATCCCCAAATGGAACAGGATACCTTTGAAATAACGCCTTTGCTGTCACTGAATTTTTTTTTTTAACCAGAGGTTATTGTATCCATCAGAAAATAGTAGGAGATGCTACAATAGCAGACAAACCCCAAATTCAGGAGTGGCAGACAATATTGTTCATGTTCTATATCCATCATGGGTTGGTGGGGATACTTTGACCATTTGAGTCACCCCAGGCACAGGTTCAGGGAATAGCCATTATCTTGAATGCTGCTAGTTATTATGACTGAAGGAGAAGGAATATGCTGTAGAGGTTTCTGAATGGACTATTAAATGCTGCAGCATATGAGTGACACATTATTTCCACTCCACAACTCACTGGCCAGAGCTAGACATTTAACCTCAAGCATTATGAAACCAGGCAGTACAGTCCTGCACAGTATCAGAAGATAACCATTTTGGTGACCACCATACCCAATTATTTAATAAGGATGTTGTAAAAAGGATTAAATAAGGGTACAAGGAAGGCTGATCTACTAGCCTGTCAGTCCATGACCTGATGATTCTGCAAATGCACTTAATTTCCAACCCCTATGCAACATGTGCAAGCTTCATTTTCATACAGAAAATCTCACATACCTACATTGATTTTTACAATGATTTGTACAATAGGAGGCCAGTAAGTTCTAAATATTACTATGTCTAACTGCTTCTTATAATTGTTAACTTAATTTCAGTTGAATTTTATTTGTATCTGTCACTGTTTTCTAGGTCGTTTGCTGTTTGGGGGCTTTGTCAAATACTAATTATATTCTACCATGATTCTACAGCTTTCACTATAGAAGTGCCCACGAGCTCTTCCAAACATATTTTCCTTTTTAAATAAGCACACTTCAAGGCAAGTTCTCACTGTAATGCTACTTCTCACTGGCCATAATGAAAAATATAGCCTGGACAACTGGGCTTTACATTTAAGAAGCGTTGACATGGGCGGGCGCAGTGGCTCACACCTGTAATTCCATCACTTTGGGAGGCCAAGATGGGCGGATCACAAGGTCAGGAGATTGAGACCATCCTGGCTAACACGGTGAAACCCCGCCTCTACTAAAAATACAAAAAATTAGCCAGGCGTGGAGGCGGGCCCCTGTAGTCCCAGCTACTCGAGAGGCAGAGGCAGGAGAATGGCGTGAATCCGGCAGGCGGAGCTTGCAGTGAGCTGAGATCCACTGCACTCCAGCCTAGGCGACAGAGCGAGACTCCATCTTAAAAAAAAAAAACAAACACCAAAAAAAACAAAAAAAACCCAGAAGGGTTGACATTACATGGATACTGATTACGATGGAACACTGACATTCCAGGTCACATAATGGGAAAGTGCAGGCTTCTTCTAAGATGACAACCTAGGGAGCCATTCTCATAACAGATTGCTATTTGTGGTGTCATATTCTAACTTTCTTATATACCTTACACCAGCATGAGTCTGCTTGTACATGATGAGCAGAAACAGATCTTTATGGCTTGATTAGTTGTTTCATGAAGACTGCAAGGTACAAGTGAAGCTATGTACTGCCTCGTGTAGAATGGAAATTCATGGTCAGTGTATACAAACTGGTGTTCTGGTGAATGTGCAGTCTGTGTTGTTTTGTTTGATGTTGAGGGGGTGTTTGTGTATTGGGGAGTGATTATGAAAAACACATAACTAAAATCAGATTGAGTGTCAGAACTCTTCTTGCTTGTCTATGGCTAAATGTTATGGTGTTTTAAGGAAAAGCAAGGAGTATAGTGGGATGCAGCAATAAAGTGCATTTTATTACAATCCTCACAAATAATGGATTTGGTTATAGTGGTAGTTAAATCAGTGCTCCTAAGTATATCTCAATGTATGGTGGCTCTTGCTGTGTTATTTGTCTGTAATGTTGTGGTTTTCTTTGCTGGTGACACTAGAGTAATTATAGGGTTCTACCTTCCCATTTTTGCTTGCTAGTCTTTAATGAGAAAACTTAGCCATTTGTCTAGGCTACCCGGAATGAGAAGCAGTTTTTCTCCTTTGCCTTACTGAATGGTAATGAGGTAATTTGGAAATACATGTGAACCTGTTCTTGTTGAAAGTTTGATGTGTTTAACAATGACTATCATGAGACTATAGAGAAAGTAGGGCAAGAAAATATCTATTGGGTGACTAAAAATACACAAATACAAGGAATTCACAGTAGAATTTGGATGGTTCTCTTCAGTTACTGTCATGTGAGACAGAAATGTGACAGAAGTCCCATGCCATCCTGAGCAAAGCATGTCACAGCTGATAGGAAAGAACATCATTATCTAAGGGCTCTGGTGTAAGCAGAGCAGTATTCGGGAATTTTCAGATTGATAAGAATGGCTTAGTTCGAAGCCAGTCTATCTCGGTGTGTTTGTCTCAATCAGGCAGAGAAAATCAATTTCTTATTTGATATTTTTCTCTGATGTGAATGAGACTCAGAAGAAACAAATGTGAAGTCCTTATTGGCCCAACTGATTCATTCTTATTCGTGGTATGTGACTTCATTTTGCCAAATCATGGTGTTGAGTAATTATAATATAGTTGATAAATGTCAGGCCACTTGTGACTGAGGAGAAGCCAGAATATGGCAGTAAAACAGGTCACAAGTATTAAATTCAGAATGTGGTGTGCCGGATAAAAACACCTAGCTGAGGAGCTTCATATGCTTAGAGTGGTACACAAGTAATTTTGAAGGCTTAGATTTTGCTCCATTTTATTTTTAAAATGTCCCATACATCTGTTAAAGCTTTTACTATTAATAAAAAGATTGTATAAGTTATATAGTGTATGCATATCCATGTGCACTTAGCTCATGTCATAGTAGGGATTTTTTTTTAATTAAAAAGCACCATGCTTCGTTTTTTCATTTATTGGTTTTGCCCGTACCTTGTTTGTTGGTTCCACACAGAACCCCCAAAGGTCCTAAGACATAATTGGAATCATCTGGAGTTTATGTTTCTAGTGAATATTTTGACATTATGTACTTAGGACATATTTCGATAGGCTTAAGTATGTTTTAGTACCTTTCAGAAAGTGGACTTTGAATCTGAAAGGTGATACTGCTGCTAAAGATCCCTCTCAGAATGCAAATCCTTCTTAGCACAACAGTTACTGGCCCACAAGATGTGTAATGTTCCCTCGGTTTATTATATCGAGTCCACTGCTGCACATGAGTGCTTTGGAGAGTTCAGTAAAGATCATTGGTGTAAACCCACTCCAAAGCTAAACGCAATCATTAGGTCACAATCCTTGGTTCTCTAACTCCCTAGCACCCTTCGGAGCATCCTGTTGTAATTATCCACATTTCACATACGCATAATTGAATTCAGGTCAGAATTCCAGTCAACTGCTCTGGAATATCAACTTGCAAGTGTCACTCAACAAGAGAATATGTCTTTATTCTGCACAGAGGATACAGAGAGGCTGAGGTTTAGCTTGTGTGACACACTATGCTGCCGAATACCAATGGTGTGTGCTATTAAAAGAACTTCTCCAAAGGAAAGAAGCACAACCTTTTCAGAGACAAGAATCCTTAAAATAAAACCAGTGGCTCATACCTTCCAATATGTTGGTGGGCAGGTAATTCTAGTTAGTGGCCTGCACTTAAAAAATAAGGTTTCCTTGTGGTTCAGCACCATAATCACATGTCCAGCTTTGCCTGTAAATCACGGGCATTTGTTGTTTCTGCTAATTGGTGAATTAAGCTATTATCAAGTCTCTTAAATGTTACATAATTCAGTTATTTGAGCAGAGATATCTGCTGTGTTAGGAACTCTTGAAATTTGTATTACCTGCATACAAAGAGTAGAGAAAAATATCTGCCTGAAGATTGCTGTACTGTGTTACATTTCAAACCAAAAGAAGACATTTGCTTTAGTCATCACCAACTCTCATTCCTAAGTATAAGAGGCTTGAATTGTGCAGGCTACAGGGTGTCATACTAGAGTGTTGTTAGCATTGAACAAAGGTCTTATGCACAATAATTCAAAGCAACTGATACAGTAGTAAGTAGACATTTAAACAACAGAAGACAAGTTGAGCTGAACCTTTTGAGATGCATAGTCTGAAAAAAAAGGTTAACCTTTTTGAACTTTGAATACAAAGCCTTTAAATGAATTTTATATGAATCTGAGAGACAAAGAAAAGCACCACTCAAGGAAAAGACTCATTAATTGAATTGCTTTTTATTATGCATGCCAACACGATGAAAATATGTTTATCAATACACTTTTTAGTCACACAAAATGGACACAATCTAATCCAAAATAGAGAATCGGGGAGGCACAAAGGGACTGTTGGATGTCTTCTGACGACGGTTTCTTGAGTGAAACGTAAAGCCCGGATTTACAAATATTACACAAGTGAACACTGTTACTGCACTCAGGCTGAAAAATCCTGTTCAAATCCAATAAGTGGTTTAAGATGTGCAAATAGAGGCTTCTGCAGGGAGTCAGGCATTAGAAGCCACCTGGAGCATGTGGTGGAGATTGTATCCATCAATACAGCAGCTGGGCTGAAATTATAAAGAGAGCTGCTTTTCATCACGCTTGTTTTAATGCATACATTTCTCCTGTCACTGGCACCCCAGGAAAACTACTAAGCACAAAAATGAATGGTGCCCATTACCTGATATTCATACTTGTGACAACAGAGGAAAGAATCACAACACAACAGTAAGCAAAAAAATTGATATCCAAATTATTTTTAAGTTGCTGCAGTAGGAGAAAATCTTGAGTACCAATTGGCAATATTTTAATATGACAGGTGGGGAGAGAAGCATAGTCATTTCATATCTGATCTTTCATTTCCTTTTCCTGATATGATGTGGACAGTCTCTCAGCTATTATTTTCTAAGCAGGGTCATATTTTTTTCTCAGGGTCACCTTTTAAAATACATTTCATACTAAAAGAGAGAAAAGATGTCCTCTCTAATGTGAGACTTCATGTAAAATCCTGGTTAGGGAAAAGATCAGGAGCCTAGGTTTGGATCAAACCCATTCTGATATTAAGGACAGAGATCACATTCCCTGCAGGCGGTTCTATAACTGTCGGGCTGATGGACTGGTGTTCAGACCTTTCTAACATTTTATGTGGCTCATAACTGAATAGCAAATGCCATCTATTGCCTAATTGTGCTTTCATGATGATAGTACAATCTATATAACATACTATTAAACTGATGCCTTTGGGACAACATGGCAGCTGCCTCAATAATAGCTAATTATTAAAAAGGCAAAACAAATCCATGGTAACAAAAAGGATATCTATGGTGCCTTAGGTCTGGGGTGGGATGAGGTTGACTGGAAAGAGGCATGAGGAAAATTTTAGGGGAATGCAGATGTTCTCTGTCTATATTGTGGCAAAGTTACACAGGTGTCTACTTTTACCAAAGCTCATTTGACTATGCCATTCAAATAGAGGCATTTCATTGAATGTAAATGATACCTCAGTAAAGTCAATTTTTAAAAAAGCTTGGTATCAGAAATATTTCACTGTGTTGCAGTTCGATTATATAAGTGATATTTTATATAACCAACCTCAATTTTCTCTTCCCTTTCTCAATTTGTAGAAAGTTGTAAATACACATTTCACTGTATGAGAGGGCTTGATAATTTGGTGAGGAGAATTTTTTAGGCTTTACTCAATGGCGAATTTACTTTTCCGAAGGAAACTTTCTGAATACTGAATGGGTTTAGGTGAATTAAATAAGAATACAGGTCCTGACATAACATTTAAAACTCTAGGTTAAATTGATGTGATTATTTTTCCCTAGCACAAAGCAGTATGTACTTATAGAGGCAGATGGTGCAGTAGTTCAGGGAGTAGCGTATCTTTAGGTGTAAAAGAAAAAATGTTGAACTGGGAATATTAAGGGTCCTAAAATCTTTCTATAGTACTTCCATTAAGATCAGTGTACAATGGGAGGCCGAGGTGGGTGGATCACTGGAGGCCAGGAGTTTGAGACCAGCCTGGACAACATGGTGAAACCCTATCTCTACTAAAAATACAAAAAATTAGCTAGGCATGGTGGTGCATGCCTGTAAATCCAGCTACTCAGGAGGCTGAGGCAGGAGAATCACTCGAGCCCAAGAGGTGGAGGTTGCAGTGAGCCGAGATCACACCACTGCACTCCAGCTTGGGCGACTAAGTGAGACTCTGTCTCAAAAACAAACAAACAAACAAACAAAAAACAATGTACAACCCTGGGTCAATTTGCTTTTCCAAACCTCAGTTTCTTTTTCTATATCTTAAACGGGTTTTTGCTCAAGCTTGTCTTTAGTGGTCGAATTCTTATTTTAAAAAATCTATTTTATAGAAACACAGTAAATAAAATACATAAGAATAAAGTTATTCTGATTGAATTGCATGTTACTCACTATACACAAACAGGTACACTTTTGGACTCCTGAACTTCCTCAGAAAAGTGTGAAAACCACTGTTTTATTACTTCTATTCCAACTGTAATATTTTAAACTCTATCTAAAAAAAACTTTGAATATTAACAGTTTAATAATATAAACAGTTTACTATTTCATATAAATTTTTAAATCTATGTTTGACAGTGAAAGAATGTAAATTTGTTCCAAAGAAAAAAACATGGGAGATTCGATAAGTAAAAAAAAAGGCTTCCTTTTTTATTGTTTTAATCAGTATTTTTCTATACACATTGTTAGACAGTAATGGTGATCATGAATGCAAAATATTCCTTTTCCCATAATATCATTTTATTAGTACTTTCCTATAAATTATAAAAGCTCCATAATATTCTATTGAATTAATTAATTATCTTTCTGTTGTTGGACAATTGTTTATATATTTTACTTTCAGTTTAAAGTAGCACTGCATTGAAAACTTTATTCATAAAAATGTTTATGTATTTCAGATGGATAAAATACATAGTTTACCCAACTGCTTTTCAAAAGCCTGTACTCATGCGTTCCTACCACCAATAAACAAGAAATTCTAAACAACATTCTTCAGGTCACTAAGGATGAACAGCTATGCCACATATTTTTCTCATTCTGAGTCTTGGATAATCTTTAAATCTTACATTTTTGAGATTTAATATCATTTCAGAAACCTCTGAGATGGTTTATACTCCCCACATATGGATCAAATAATTAGAAGGCCAAAAGAACTTGGGACACACCTTCAAGCAAAACCAAGTACTTGGAGTTTTTTTCATTCATTCATTCATTCATTCATTCACATTTTATGCATTTGTTAAGCATCAAATATGTGCCAAGAATTTGCACTAGGTCATTAAGGTACAAAGTTAAGTTCAACATGGTCTATTGCCATTGAAAAGTCATAGCTTGGCAATGGGATTAGAAAGGTACATGCTGTTAAGAACAAGTTGTCTTGGTAGCTCAGAGGGGGATCCAGGAAACAGTTCTGCCCAGGGCAGTTGGAGTAGCCTTCATGTAGAAAATAACAGCTGGTTTGTGCTTTTCCTACTGAACCAGATGGACCCTGGGGTTGGGTATGGTGAGTTGACTCTGGTGGGCGCAGTATCTAGTGAGAGAGATTAGCATCCATAAAGGTGAGAAGCCATAGAAGTCCATTGTGTGGTTGAAGATGAGTGCCAACATCATGTGGCTGGGGTGTATGGCTGACCTGTCCTTGAAATGAATTGGGAGAAAGGAGGCAAGCCTCACATTGTCTGAAAGGTTTACTGAAGGTTATTGAAAACACAACCTTACTTTTTCTTTATAGTACATTTTCTAGGATTTTCCTTTATAAAACTGAAATGAAGTATTTACTTTCCACTTCTCAATTTCTTTCACATCAAAAAGATAAAAAAGTAACTTACCAATGTATTTTTTTTACTCTTCCCAACCTGTATTTTAAAGGTCTTTAAAATACTTTTATGAAATAGATAACAGTGCTCCATTTAATCTAGCCTCCAGATAATTTTAATAATATCTCTAATAAATTTTTTCTGAAGATCCAAAGTGTTAATACTAGTTAAATATTTTTAAAGTGTCAAATATCTAGTTAGAGATAGCCTGATAGAAAAGCCTTCATTTGGTTCTTATGGTTCTAATTTGACTTTAAATAATATGATAATATATTTAACTTCTGTGAATCAAAGATCCTGAAGTGTTTGTAGACTCATCCTGTCAATACTGAGTTAGAAATAGGTACAAGCAGAGCTCAAGAGTAGAGAGATGAGACTTGGCTTTGGATCACATAAATTTGTAGAATCTGTCTTCTTGAAATTTAACCATTCCATAGTGTAAATCTATCACAATATGATTAGTCTTTAAGGTTCGTTTTAGCCTTCTATACCAGTAATAAAAAAAAAATCCGCTTGCCCATAATACACAAATCAAGGAATCTAAAATCATAGATTTTCTAACGCCTTAGTACTTCTTCAAGGTTAGCTATGAATTAATCTTACAGTGCACGAAGTATAGCATGTGCATTTCAGCTACCATATAAGCAGGCATTAAACATAAGACCCTAGCTGCTCATCTCCTTGATTTAACAACTGAAGAATCTGAGCACAGGTTTAGTAAAGTGAACATCTATTCCTCCTTAAGTCATTTCCCATTGTTATATGAAATAGAGTAATTCCAATTATTGCTTTGGGGGGAAGCACTAGAAAAGCCTAGGAAGACTTGTGTACCAAAAATAAAATCATCAGACTTAATGGAGAAAACATATTGTGACTATCACGTATGGTGACTATTGGCTTCAAATTCTGTTACCCCAAAAGAGAGAAATTGAAGAGAATTACCATCTTTTGTGTTTCTGTTTTGCCTTGACTGGTTCCATGTGATTTTCTTATTCTGTATTATTTTTAGCTGACAGTTAATAATGTAGATTCCCTAGCTAGGAGAATTCAAATTTAATCTAAGAAGGACAGGCTTTAAAATAAACAAGTTATCTAAACATCTGCTTGGTAAAGAAAGGGTTTCTCTATGGGACAGTTTCTGGATCCTTTGGTTCGGAATTTAATTTATTTTTAAACAAACACATTGAATTTCTGTAGTGGAAATTTGCCATTAAGTTTCTTAAATCAGTTACAGTTTAAGCCATTGATTCATGAATCATTCAAAGTAGGAAGCCAGAGTTACCAATGTATGACAGCAAGTGCTGGATTCTCAGAGGAAATGGAACTGTGGCTTGTTTATCTTGGAGAGTATTCTTGTCATAATTTTTACTATGCACATATATTTTGTGGGCAATTTTGTCTGTTTTTCCTATTCTCAGGTAGAATAAACCAAAAAAGAAAAAAAAGATATTGCTCCCTAGTCCTGGTAAAGTTATTAAAGGATTAAAATTTCCTCCATTTAGAGGTGCAGACACCCTTTCCTATGGTATAGGGTACTGAGGGAATATATGATGTGCTCTGTGTGCAGGAAGGGAAGAAAAGCATTCACCATAATTTTACACCAGCACCCATTCAGTCCTCCAAACCAGCAAGCTCTTTTCCAGTTAGCTAAGAAAGTGACTGGCCTCACTCACTCAAATAAAATGCTGCTGAGTGTAGCAATGCCAGAGCTGAGCAACTGGACCTGGCACTGGTGCAGAGATCCGGCTCCAAAATGGAAGCCTTTGGAGTAGAGCCAGGATGCACAGAGCAAATGATGCCTCAACCCTCCACTCCAGTGAAAGAGATTAAAGAAAACCCACAAGCTCTGAAACTGATAACAGCTATCTCTGGATGATATCATACTAAATCTGAAAGTCTGGTTTTCATTATAGTTAAAACCAGAAGGACCACTCATAGAATAATTTGGAAAGGGTGAGAGGAGACTTTGGAAAGTTATTTGAATCACTTTGTGTTCATGAAACTCTGGATTTCTTCCCACACTTGAGTGGGAGAATGCCTAAATGAAGGCGAAAATGACTGTTTTCTCATTTGAAAAAATAAGAGTGTGAAACAGATTCCAGTATGAGAAAGGATTAAAGGAATGTATAAAAACTATTAGGTAACAAAACACACTGGCTTAATTGTCTCAGGAGCAAGGTTCAAATGCCATTTGGGCATTAGGTTGGATATTGAATCTTTTGGAGTCTGTGAAATAGAGATACTCTTAATGTCTTCATAAGAACATTAGAGGTCTAAGTGACATAATGTGGGTGACTATAATTTATGAAGTGTTATTTGAAATGTCATTATCAAGTGCAACCCTCAAGTCATAACACATGTGTGCAAATTGCTCATATAGACACTGGCCTCAAATCTGCCATTTAATGTTTAGGGAAATTCATCAAATAACATACAAATTTCTTGAGTTCTCCTTCATCTTTCTTATATGTATTTTGTTTGTGCCAAATTAGACACTAGCTGTCTATTCCTTTAAACCTTTGGGAAGACTTTCCAAAAACTTCAATATTCAATAAATGTCTATTAAGTGCAAGACTCTATGCTAGGTGCTTGAAATTTTTATAAATTACTTTAAAATTGCTCATATTCTCTTGAAAATTAATTTTTTGTATCTCTTGGGGGGATGCATTTTTAAAGGTTGCTATGAATTCACTTAATTTTTTCTTCCTTTTTTTGAAATAATCCATTGAAGAATAACCTAAAAAAGAAAAACAAGAGACAAGATTCCATTACAATCATACCACTTGACTGGAAATTTTTAAAAAAATGATTTTCAAGATTAATGCTGCAAGTGTTTTGTACTTTGGGGACCTAATTTATAAATGTATTATCTACTTTGTTTCTGTATTTACTTATATAGATAGATCAATACAAAATTTACTTATTGAAAGCTGTGTTTGGTTCCAACAAGACTTAAGTCGTATGTGGATTTTTCTTCATCACTAGATGTATTTTTATTTTCAAAAAGGTTTTCCACTCAAAACACAGATGCTTCACAATACTTACATGGGGGCAATGCTGCTTTTCAGTTTTCAAGAAACCATTTCCACTTTTCTCTTACTCCAAGTTTTCTGATCACCAAGAATTTTCCCAATCAGTTGAAATAAGGAGTAGTAGTCACAGGAATTTAAGAACAACTGAAAATCTCTACAAGTGTTCATAATCTGGGGACGAATGACAAACATTTCACCTTAACTCCACTTAATATATTTGAGTTCTTTGACAGATCCCCTTAAGGAAACATGGTGATACCACTGTGTATCTGTTACTATTACATTTCCAAGAATGATTAGATTTTTCTTTTGTTGGTCCACTTAGAAAACAGTGTGACTTTGTAATAATTAGAGCAAGTAATTCCGGAAACAGCAAAGCAGTGAGTATCAGTGTGGCTCTATAGTCAGAGACGTGAGTGTGAGTACTGGCTCCAACATGCTAGTTGTGGAATTTGAAAAGTTTATGAGCCACCTGTGTCTTGGTTTTCTCATTTGTAAAATGCAAACAGTTATACTACCCTCCTCATAGGTATTTTTAAGGACTAAGGGAGCACATGTAAACTCATAGAAGGGTTATGGCTAGTAAGCACTCAATAAATATTAGACATTATTATTATCATTAATTGAGACCAAGCTTCTCAGATAATCCAATTCTGCTATTGATCCTCTCTCACACTGGTAATTGATTACACTGTATTATTAAAACAGGTTTTGAAACCTGTGTGTATTAATCTATCAAGAATGTAATATGTTGCCACTTTTCTTTCTCAAAGTGATTAGAAAATTCCTGCATTACATCATGACCAACAGCAATATGCGTGCCTATTACAAAGAAGTAAATATCAACAAGGAGATATATCCTACAAATATATCCTTTAGCTGTGATTTTTTTCTAAAGGTGTAGAAAAGAAAAGCAAGATGAAGAAAGCAGACTGCTTACTTGACTGACTCAGATAAAGCTTGTGGACCTGGAGTGAAAGCCTTTTCAAATCGTTGAGCTGGGCTTCATCTCCTAGACATTATCCTCAATACAGTGGTTTCTGTTCCTGAGGATTTGTACTAAGTAAGCTTACTCACACCTACTGCTACTGAGATCATTCTTCGAGAGCATGGTTTCTCAACTTTGCCACTCCTGTGTGGTCTGGATTATTCTTTGTTGCAGCTGTGGTCCTGTGCATTGTAGGATGTTCAGCAGCATCTCTACCCACTAGATGCCAGCAGTACCTCCCTCAGGTTGTGAAAAACAAAAATGTTTCCATGGATGTGCAGATGTTCCTTGGATGGCAAAACACCCTGAGTTGAGAACAACTGCCCTAGAACACCTTGATTGGGACATAAGCACATTCCACCCATGAGTTTTTCTGCTTAATGCTCTGATTCACATTATATTTCATTAGAACAAGCCAACATTAAATCAATAAGCCTTTTCATTCCCCAATCTCCTATCTGGCCCTCCTTTAATTCAGGCACTCATTCGTTACTCTTTATGCACGCACACACACTCACATACACACACACTCATATGTATGTATTATTGAGTGCCTCCAATATGTTAGTTCAGGCCCTTGTCAATCTTGCTTGCACTTACTGTAGCATTTCCTAATTGGTTTCTCTGTCTTTACCAGCCCCCTAACCAAACCCTGGAATGATGTCTACTTTCACGTTGTTCAAAGGATATCTCTAAAGCCCAAACCCGATCTTATCTCTACTTTCTAAAGAATGTTTCAATAGTTTCTTACTGCCCTCTGGATGAAGTCCAAACACTTAAACCTAGCACACAAACATTCGTACTCCTTAATAATAATAAATACATATCTCTAAATGTACATAATTGCCTAAACTTCTATGCTTTTGCATGTCTACCAGCAATGCTCTTTAACTTTGTAACCATTTGAATTAATTTTTATTGTTTCTTCAACAGTCCACTCGGTTATCCTTTGCTCGCAAAAGTCTTCTTCACACCCTTGGGTAACATCAGAATATTTCCCTATTCTATTGATCATAGGAAGTTTATTATAGTACTTGCCAGTCTGTTGTGATTGTTTAGGTCTTTCTCTTTCTGATGGAATGTGAGTTCTGCTAAGGTATAAGTGAAACTTACCCACCTTTGTAGTCCCATTATCAAACAGGACTGGCTCAGAGTTAGTGTGTAAAATAAAATACAAATTAATTGAACTGAATTTTAAAAAGAAATGAGGATATTCGCTTGACTGTTTCTTCCTATCTCATTATCCTGTTTGTTTATTTCATATCACTTACCCTTATGATGAGTCACATCTTGTTTTTATTTATCTGTTTATTCACTCATTTATTGTCTGCTTCCATCCTTTCCTACTATGAAGATGTAAGTTATATGAGAACAAGAAACATCTTCTGTTTTTTAAATGCTGTTTACCAGCACCTACGAAGGTGCTGTAAAGATACTAAGAACTCAAAAACAAGTTGCTGAATGGATAAACGCAAGAGGTAGGCTGAAAAGCAGAAGCTAGTTAATGAAACCAAGGATGAGTGGTCGCAGATGTAGGGAAAGAAGTGAGAGAATATATTTAAATATAAGAAATAAAATATTTTATCAATGTGTTATGTTTTACTTGAAAAATAAATGCACATAGTTTGGGGAATTATACAAGAACAATAAAGCCAAACCTAGAAGGAAGAAAAAGAAAGGGCTTCCAGTTTTTTCCTGCCACCTATAGGAAACAGACTGGCAGCTGCTGTTACAAGTAAAAAGAAAAATTGTCATGCACAAGGTTCATGTTCTCATGATTGATGGACATTTCCTTTTGAAAATATGCCTATTTATAATCACAAATAAAATTCCTGTTTGTCTCATGAACAACAGACCTTGAGTCTTATGGATTTGCCTCCTAAGAGTTAAATAACCTACTAATGCCACTTGACAGTCAGGATAAAGCTACTGTTCTACGGTGATAGATAATCCTCCACATGGGGTGGTGGGACTGGAGGAGCAACAAGAGAGACAGGGGAGAGGAGACATCCATCTTGCTAAGCAATTTATGAATTGAACCTTAAATCCTTAATGTACTAGATGGTGAGTCAGTGTGCTAATGCAGAGTTGATTGGATTTAGTTTAAAATGCTAAGTTAAAATGTGCAGGTGTCTTGAGCAGGTGCACAGTATTCTGCTAATAAACAGAAGACATTAAACCTGAGGCAAGGCTTATTTTGCTGCATTATAGAAATTTCACAGACCTATAGAAAGTACATGAAATATTGCATGAGAGAGGGCTATTCATTCAGTATCTCTTCAAACCCAGTAAATCAAGAAAACAATGTGCTAGTTCAAATTTGTGCCATGAGGTTTTTCTTTTTTAAACATTTAAAATGAAATATAATGATAATTCCCTCTCTATTAGAGTATCATTGTATTTACATAAGTGGGTCTGAAAAATGCTGTGCTTTCTTGCAACCTCAAAAAATATATAGATGTACGGAAATCATATCATGCTCTATTTTTTCTGAAACACTTAACGCTCACAGTTGGAGTCCCAGTGTCATAATGAAAAATTGCTGTTAATTTTCAGCTTATGGATGTGAAGAGCTGGGAGCTCCGGCTGCACTGGGAATTAGCTGGTGCAAGCTACAGAGATCCATTATTTAGGGTGCGGCAAGATTTAAAATAGCCTTGACATTCCAGAAAAAGGATTGACTGGCAAAGGAGTGTAGTACTTTGGGAGTGGTGACTTTCTCTGGGAAATAATTCCATATGACAGAGGTATTTGAATAACTCTGGCATATTTTTCATCTAGCTCCAAATAGGTTTGAATAAGATGTCATTTAAGAACTTTTTCATGTAAAATATTTTAGTTTGGATGTCTACCCCTTATGTTGTTTATTAAAATATCACTATAGGAGTAACAGCAAGTTTCATTATGTACCGTTCATTGTGGAGCTAATTCATTCCCATGTATTGGGCACTATACCTTAAATAAATATACTGTATATTGTTATAGACTAACTTCTTTGGTTTCTATGGTGCATATTAGAATCTAGTGTGGATGCCTTATGTTGGATGTTAATATGTGTTACATTTATCTACTATATTTTTGGGAAGATGGAATGTATGAAGATGAATTCACAATATAGAAGTGAGATTCCTGTTTGCTGATAAAGATCTCCTCTGAACTCTTAGGTTTGTCTATGAACTACAGCTTGGAAAACAGTTTCAGCTGCAGTCTAATTAAGGTTTATAAGCAAGGTTTATAATGTCTTCTACTTTCTGCTTTCAAGGTTGAAACAATACTTAATCTTTTCTTATCCTCCTGACCTAGCCTGTACATAAAAGACAACCTAATGTCTGCTCACTAAATCAAGCAACTTGTCCCCCATTTCCCAATGAAACACAAAACACATGCCAGATTCTAAACTTTAGTAAATATTATTTAACACCTTACATTTTTTCACACCTTAAAATAATCCCGTCTAATCAGTGCCATAGTAAAATTGCCTATAGAAACAGAGTGAAAATGACTTTCTTCCATTTGTCATTGTTGATACTGAACCCAGAGATGGTCTTGTCCTCAATTTGCACAGCAGTACCTCTGTCTTTCCACCATGGCCCATTTTATTTATTTATTTATTGTATTTCCAAGATATTTGCTAATATGTCAACTGGCAGCCTATTTTTACATTAGAGCCTTGCCTGCCTATTTATTTGACTAGGAGATCTAATCAATCATACAGGTGATTGATGTATAAGTGGATATTTGGAGGTTTCAAATAAAGATACTTTTTAATTGTGATCAGAATCACATTGTCTTAATCCATAAACCTCAAGATGTTTTGGTAAGGAGGGGAATTAGCCTTAAAACCCAAACTCACTCTTTTAGGATTATTACTAATCATAAATGATCTTTGAAAATTGTATTTTGGTTAATCCATTATGCCAAAGTAGGATTCTTATAATTTTCTCTCTAAATTTCTGAATAGTTTTTTCACCACACTGAATAAATCTAGACTTAAGAGGTACTAACTGATTGCCAAATTCCTGTCTTATTTATAAGGCTTGATAATTATTTGGGCAAATAATTGGGGCTTTAAGTAACCATCTTAGATCTGGGACTGGAAGAGTGGGAGGGAAGCTATTTCTTTCATCTAACCTGAGTTCTTATGCTTAATCTTAGAACTATTGTGACTTGATTCACTGAGGGTGAATGAGGAAAGAGGGAGCATTCTGTATTAAAGATCTTGATTGTGACGGACTTGGAATCTGTTAAATATATCAGAAGGTGTTGAGTTCATAATTTCATATTTTTTTTGTATGTGTCCTTTGAGTTCCTTTGATGTTTTTATTCATGCAGCACATCTTAGTGATTTAATGCAGGATTAGCCCACAGTGATTTTACACTAAAAGAATTACTGTCTTGTGGAAAACCTGCTGTTCTTAACTCTATTTATTGTTTCGTCAATAGAAAAAGGTCTAGTAAACTAGTAGCTTTTCTGCTTTACTGTTCACTCTGTACTTTTAAGAACTAAACTTGCTCTAAAGAGCATAATTCAAAGGTCTTTGTTCAATAGTTTTTTATCTTTTTGCTGATAGTCCTGCAACAGGTCATCCAGGTTCAGAATCACTAAGGATGCTTAAATGCAATATTTGATCAGCGATCATTTGAGAGAGTGCATACTGCATTTCAGTATCCAAAACCAGAATTTGTGGTCTTTGCTGAGGAATCAGTAGTCATCTACATAAGTTTGTAGCTAAATCTTCAGTGTTTACATCCCACGTATAACCTTACTTTGGAACATAATCATTTTTTTAACATGCACATAAGTTGAGATCAACCTTACCTAGCTTGGTATTATTCTAATACAGTGGTTCTTAAACTTAACGGGCATCAGAATCGCCTGGAGGACTTACAAAACCCAGATTGCAGGGCCTCCTTCTGGAGTTCTGTCTCAGTAGATCTAAAGTGGTAAGTTGGTATTTCTAGCAAGTTCACAGGTGACGGGGATGATGCTTCTATTCCAGGACTGCCCTCTGGGGACTTCTGTTCAGCATTATCCTAGTGGAAAACATTAAAATGATGTGAAGAGTTAATGCAGCAATCTAAAGTGTTTCCTCTGTAGACAATTTGTTGATAATTCCAAGAGAAGATTCGGTCTCCTTTCCCAGTAGGTTTAGAGCCAGCAGTTACACTTGGCTTTGCAAGTTTTTCTTTGCTTGTCTATTTTCTTTATTTGACTTCAATCCTTAATGTCCAGAACTGTGTTTGGTTCACCATAGTAACCTCAAGATGCATTGAATTTCAACAGAGCATAATGTATGTATCATGGACTTACAGGTATATTAGAGGATTATAAACGAGGGCAAATTTTTCTCTTATACTTTGCTTAGACAACATTCACCATTTGTTATTGTCATTTGAATGCTAAAATGATCCTCAAAAGTATGATATGGAGCCAGAAAAGTAAAAGGAAAATGCTAAAACCAATCAGATGTCACTTAATATCTTAAAAGACCCAAGGAAATTTTTAAAAGTTAAACTGCAATATGAAGGAAGTTAGCTAAAATTTTAAAATGATTTACCAACTCCTTAAGTGAAATGAAGAATTTAGTGAACTGTAACTTTACTGTGGACACAAAAGCAGAGACCATTTCATCTGTTGCTCTGTCTGCCTCTCCCAGTTTTGTGGACAATGTCCCCAGACGTCTGCAGTTCTGGCTTTACACGGGCCATAATCTCTGGTTGATGCGCAACTCCAGCTGACTGAGAAGGCAATTCTAAGAACTTGCCTAGAAAGGGAAACTCAAATTATTTGAAATTGTGTAATTAGTTTCCTGAGAGGATTTTTTAACCCTAAAAAAATATAGAGTTAAATGGAGAAATGATGAACCAAATCAAACTTATTTCATTAACTTGTGTTTTTAGTGGAAAGTTGAGACTTTGATGCATCAGACTGTACTGTAATATTTAAGATAAATTACGATTTACCATACCCACAAACTTAACATGTATTCCTACAAATGTTATTTGATTACTCAGCAAATTTTATGTAATCAGGAAAGGTAAAATACAAAAGAAATGAAAATCTAAATTTATAAAGGCAGCTCAAAACGTTTAAATAAGATGAATAACTCATGTTTTAAGAGCCCTCTTAATAGTAATGTTAAAATACAATAAAATTTTATGTAAATTGAAATCAGATCAAGAAAGAACTAGGTTTATGAGTTTATATCTTTAAAAATTTAGTGTTAATTTTTAAAACAAAAGTAATTAGTGAGTAATGATTTTGTGTCTAAAAGCCACCGATTAAGAACATGAATACCTCAGCCTTCCAGAAGGACAGACATTTATGGTTGTATAGGTTTGGCTGCATGTAGTAACCTATTATATAAATTGGCTGAGCCGACCACAGAAAGGTTTTGAGGAACACATAACTTTTGGCCATTGGAGAACCAACAGAATGGGAGTCAGAGTCTAATTATAATGATAAAATATTGCTTCAAAACACTGGCATCAAGTTCATGCTTTTTACTGTCCAGATATTGGACAGAATTACATATGTTAAAAAGGCTTGGGTAACTTGTCCACACTTGCCAATAATTAACCCCTTGCTTAATTATTTTTTAAAAAATGATGTAGTCATGGAAGGACAGGTCTATGATGAGAATGGCCCCTAGACAACAAGTACCCATTCTTTAAAAACATCTTTTGTTATATTGTGACACTCTCAAATACATTCTTATTTTCTGCCTCATCAAATCTAGAACAATGTGACTCATTTTCAGAATCTTTAAGAATCCGTCTCAAACATGAATATACTGTCTTAATTTTCTCCATACTCCATGAAATATCATCAGGAGACTTCTGTGAACTTTCTCACTTTTCCAAGGGCACATTTATTCCCTCATCTTTGTTTTTGCTTCTGTTATTCTCTATTTAACTTAGAATTTCCCATCCTTAGATTTGTCTATTGTAATTTCTCTGAGTTCCTAGGTCTTCTAGGAAAACTTTCCTAATTTCCTGACTCTCACTAAATTATTCCTTCTCTGTGACATTCTAGACCATTTATCCCTGTGCCACACAGTTTAGTATTGCTGTGCATTGTGTAAATATTATACCACCACTATATAGACTGTGGTGGTATAATATCTACCAAAGATGTTTATTAATCCCTGTAATCCTTTTGTTTACCCCACCCCAACATATTCTCTCTGTCTCTCTCTTTCTCTCTCTTCCTCTCTCAAACTAGACCTTGGACTCTAGCACTATATAGAGGTGAGGTGCATCCAAATGCAAAGGAAAACAAATGAAGTTTATTGTTGTCTTTTGAAGACACAAAGCCCATATTGTTGTGTAAGTCATGGATTTGGGGAAAAATTCTTTTATAATCAGTTTTATCTTTCCTATGCCATAGAGGGAAGACAGAAATAAAACTAAAAGCTAATTCTCTCTGGACTTGGAAAGGAAGGAGTATCAGAGAAGCAGAGAAGAGAAAAAAGCTTAGAAAGCAGGAAAGAAGCTGAAAGGTAGTCTCTTGGGCCTTGGTGCCATAACCAAGGGGACCATGTGGGTACCAATGAGTGGAGGCTTTCAAAAGGCAGTCAAGTCCCCAGAATCCAAATGGGAGGGATGGTCACACCCAAGGATCTCAATGCACCCCAAACCACAATCTCTCTGTTTCTTACTCTGTAATGCTGTATAAAACAGTTGCTTAATATAAAATAATCTTAAAGAAAAGTACCATAAAGTATTGCAAATTAAAAAATATCATAAAGAGGATCTAATACCTAGGGAGGAAAGGTTTAGAAAAGAAGGAAGAATCCTTAAGTGACTTAAAAAAAAATGAGAAAATCTGGAGTTGACTACATTAAGATTTTGTCCAGGAAGAAAAGACACAGATTAGATTGCACTACAGGAAATACACATATTCCATATCATTGCACACCTGAGAATGGATTGAAAAGTATGTTCTCTGTAATAGTATCTTGAGTAACTCGATTTATGATGACAAACATCCCACAAACCTTGTCACCCTATTTTTTTTTTCTTTTCTAAGTGTCATCCAGATATTTCTGGAACTTTCTATCATGCTTCAGTCCTTGTTGCTGGGTGTAGTCCCTCTGCTTCTTCCATTCCACCTGCCTTGTCAGGTAGCTCTCTCTGTAGCTAGTGACACTCCTGCTGCACATAGTTACACTTTGCTGCTGACAGTGGCTGTGGGGCTCAGGATATTATCCTCTCCCAGACCTGATTAGGTCTGTCGCTAATTCACCCATAATACTACTGCCTTTACAAGACTTTATTGAACGTTTGAGCTTCGTGGAAGAAAATACAGAGCTCACAGTGTCTTTGGTCTTTGGTTCTATTTTTTTGTCATTCTCTTGCCTCTAATCTTCTCTATATGTTCTCCATACTCTCAAAATGGCTCCTCTCATCACAAGATGTCTGCCAGCAGATTCCAGAGACATGCACTTCCTGGTTCACATCCAAGGATAGATAGATATCTTCTCTTTCTCTGCCAAACAGAAATCCTGTGCTTCTCTATAATTAGAGCAATTTGAATGAAATGCCCTCCCCTGAACCAGACCATACAACTAGAAAAATAGTATGACTGATTGGTTTAGGCCTAGCTCACAAGCCCATTTCTGAACCAATAATTTTGGCAAAAGAAGACCACTCTTAGAGTTTAGGCCAATTAAGACTCTCTCTGAGAGCTAAGCAGGTATTAGATCTATTTCATCCATAAGGTTGCTACACATCAAGAGAGAATAAAATGGAAGACAACCACAATTGTCCCACACTTGCCCTGGAATCTTGTAATGGTCTCTGCCCTGCCTAGCTCCCTTGCTAGACCCAGACAAACCTCCACATGCCCAAGGGCAGTCACTTCATGATGTTGGTGTCACCACCAGAACAATAGCAGTTTATTCTTTATATAAAGTTTAAGCTAAGCTTTACTGCTGACTCCCTCTCCCAGAGAAAGCAAAGATGTTTTAAAATCCCAATATAAGGCCATTTTTTCCAAAATTTTCATTTGAATTTACATGGATGAGACATCTATTCCTTTCAGAGGACATTTTATACTCATTCACAGGTTGATCTTGCTCTTTAGGTCTATGTATAAGATAAGCTCAGAAAATATTTCTGGTTTATTCGGTTGTAGTCAATATATTACTTGTAATAAGGTTTAAAAAGTATAGAGAAGACATACTTACCTACTTGTTTCATTTGTATCCAAATAGATTTTAGGCTTGTTTAGAGCAATGCCTTCATCTTACAGTTTTTTGGATTTTATCAGGCAATTTCATGTGGTTCATCCTAATACATTTCTTTGTATTTGCAAGCATTTGGAAGACATCGTGAACTCTTTGAAGGCAGAAACTAAATGAAATTCACCTTCATATTTACAGGGACCAGCACAGCCTCTAGAACAGAATGGGTGCTCAAATCAATATTTCTTTAAAAGAATAAATGAATGAATAAATAAATGAATGCAAGTGGAAGATAATTATTGATGACATTTTTTTAAACAATAAATAAATTGATGTATCTTGTATATCAAAAAGTGTACAAATTTTACTCTAGTTTGTGAGATAGTCCCATTTCTGCCACTAAGAAATTATTATTATTTTTTATTTCAACTGTTATTTTATGTTCGGGGGTACATGGGCAAGTTTGTTACATGGTTAAATTGCGTGTCACTGGAGTTTGGTGTACAAATGATTCTGTTACTTAATTAGTGAGCATGTTACCCAATAGGTAGTTTTTTGACCTTCACTCTCCTCCTAGCCTCCCTCCTCAAGTAGGTCCCTGTATTTGCTCTTTCCCTTTTTGCGTCCATGTGTATTTAATGTTTAGCTCCCATTTTTAAGTAAGAACATGCAATATTTGGTTTTCTGATCCTCAGGTGGTTGGCTTACGATAATGACCTCCAGCTGCATCAATGTTGCTGCAAAGGACATAATTTAATTTTTTAATGGCTACATTGTATTCCATGGTATATATGTATCACATTTTCTTTATCCAGTTCACAATTGATGGACATCTAGGTTGAGTTCATGATTTTGCTATTGTGAACAGTGCTACAATGAACATATGCATGCATGCCCATGTATCTTTATGGTAGAATGATTTATATTCCTTTGGGTATATATCCAGTAATGGGATAGCTGGGTCAAATGGTAGTCCTGTTTTTTAAGTTCTTTGAAAAGCCTTCAAGCTGATTTCGACAGTGGCTGAACAAATTTACCTTCCCACTAGAAGTGTATAAGCATTCTCTTTTCTTCACAACCTTGCCAACATCAGTTATATTTTGATTTGTTTATAATAGCCATTCAAACTGGTATAAGATGGTATCTCACAGTGGTTTTGATTTACATTTCTCTAATGAGTTAGTGGTGTTGAGCATTTTTCTTGTTTGTTGGCCACGTGTGTGTCTTTTTTTGAGAAGTGTCTGTTCATGTCCTTTGTCCATTTTTAAATGGGGTGGTTTTTTGCTTGTTGATTTGTCTAAATTCCTTATAGATTCTGAATACTAGACCTTTGTCAGATGCATAGTTTGTGAATATTTTCTCCCATTCTGTAGGTTGTCTGTTTATTCTGTTGATGATGTTTATTTTACTGTGCAGAAGCTCTTTAATTTAATTAGGTGCCATTTGTCTATTTTGTTTTTGTTGCAGTTGCTTTTGGATATTTCATCATGAAATATTTGCCAAGGCCTATGTCTAGAATGGTATTTCTTAGGTTTTCTTCTAGGATTTTAATAGTTTTAGGTCATACATTTAAGTCTTTAAATCATTTTGAGTTGGCTTTTGTACATGGTGAAAGGAAGAGGTCCATGTTCAATCTTCTGCATATGGCTAACCAGTAATTCCAAAACTATTTTATTAAATAGAGAGTCCTTTTTCCATTCCTTGCTATTGTCAACTTTGTCAAAGATCAGATGGTTGTAAATATGAAGCTTTTTTCCTGGGTTCTCTAACCTAGTCCATTGGTCTATGTGTTTGTTTTTGTACCAGTACCATGCCATTTTGGTTACTGTAGCCTTGTAGTATAATCTGAAGCCAGATAGTGTGATGACTCCAGCTTTGTTCTTTTTGCTTAGAATTGCTTTGGTGATTTGAGCCCTTTTAGTGGTTTCATATGAATTTTAGAATAGTTGTTTTCTAATTCAGTGAAAAATGTCATTAGCAGTTTGATAGGAAAAGCATTGAATCTGTAAATTGCTTTGGGTAGTGTGGCCATTTTAACATATTGATTTTTTTCTGTCAATGAGCATGGAATGTTTTTCCATTTGTTTGTGTCATCTCTGATTTTTTTCAACACTACAACTGAGATATTATGAAAGCGATCATCATTTAGGGTTTAAATCTGCTGTGCATAAAATTTCAGGTAGTTTTTGGGTAGGTATACACACACATAACTCTGGCTCATTTAGCACATGTTTATTTTTAAATATATATATATCCTATATACTTTTTCTATATATTAAAAAATCGTAGAGTATTTCTTCTTTGAATGGATCAAAAACATTTGGATAAATCATTTTATGAACAAGGGTTGCAATATCCTGTTTCTATCACCTGGTAGGCACAATCATTGTCTTTGTTCTTCCTATATATTAGCCACTCCCAATTATTGCTCTGTATTAGATGTACAAGTAAATCAGTGTTATTTTCTAGGAAACAGTTGTCTTTACTGAAATTAGAAATTAGAACTTGCATTCTGCCAAATGAAAAGTGGATTTATTGCTGTTGTTTTTTTTTTAGCACACACACCCTCCTCCAAGCTAAAACACTGATATAAAATTTCATAATGATTGCTGAATAGTTTGAAAGTTGTTTTCTTTATGGATCTCAACTTGTCATAAGAAATGAGTCATCTATTATAATATCTAGAATACTGAACTATTAAGCATCCATGCAGATAATTACTGGCAAAATGTATTATTCAAAAATTTTAAAATAAAAGTACCTTAGGTTCACATTTTTGAAATGCTTTGAAATTTACAAAAGTCATATACATATATTATTTCCTTCAAACAACACAACAAACATAAGTATATGTTATTGTCTTTAATTTATTAAAGAGGATAAAAATTAACTCATTATGTGACTTGCCATGACCCTGTTAATTCCACGAGAACTCTTACTATTATCAGGGCCGGGAACACTGGCATATGGTAAGTGGACAACTAATAAATATTTGCCAAAATAAATTATTAAATATCATACAGCCAGAATCAGAAGTCTAACTCAAACCTCCTAAATTTAATATATTTCTCTACCACATCAGACTAACTTTATTATTTTTCCCTTGTTTAACTTTAAGAGAGGCACATATCCAAATAATGTTGCTTAAGATTAATTGTCACTGTAGCTCACCTGCCATTTGAGCACAGAGCTGAAATGTTGACATTGCACAAATTAAAGTCCATTCAATTAAACAGTATTGAGTGTCTATGATATAGGGACAATGTACTAAAAATTGAAAATGTAAAGATAAGTGAGACATCTGTATTCTCAAGATAATTGTAAACTAATAAATGGGAGAGACAATGTAAGTGCAATTTGAATGGTTAAGTACTGTGATCAAAGTGTGGTAGCTAAAAAGAGAAATTTGGACATCTATGCTAAGACTGAAATGATTAACAGTGGTGTAGTAATCAAGATGTGCTAGAGTATGCTGCAATAACAAAAAGCACAAAAACCTCAAAACGAACTTTATTTCTTGCTCCTGCTACATGACCAACATATGTGAGTTCTGGGTTCTTCACTGGGTTCTAGGTTCTTCCTTGATTTCACTTCAGGATCTAAGCTGATGGATCACCCCCAGTTTTGAACATTATTGGTTGGCTAGAGGGTAGGGTGGGTAGAGGGATCTGGAAGTTTTCCCATTAGCCATTGAACATCATTTCTACTTATGAATCATTCATCAGAAATAGTCACATGGACACACCTAAGCAGAAGAGGGCCAGAATGTACAACCCTATCATGTACAAGGAAGGCAGAGAACTATTTCACCAACCATGCTAATGACTACTACAAAGACTAAAATAGGAATCAGTACATTCTAAGTAGTGTTTAATGCAGTGAAGCACATGTTCTAATCTTGCATATGGCTCAAATATTTAAATTAGAGATACTTCTAAAACATGCCTCTTGCTTTAGCCCTTTAAATTATACCCTCTCATTCATGGTATATCGAAAATAGAAAAAATTCACAAGCTCTAAATGCATATAGATGCCTGCATATGGGAATTGAGGAAACTAGAGATCCCTAATCAGGCACTTCCCCTGCCAGAACCACTGTGTTTACAGTGCCAGCTTTTCTTAGCTGAAAGTCCTTCTTACCCACTACACTAAAGAACTTCAGTTGGCTTTCTGTTCCAAAGCAGCAATAAATAAACAGTATAGCCCTGTTATTATTTAGAGCTTCCAGTTCTTACAGCCGGAAAGTTACAGCCAGTAGGCGGGCAATCTCCAGGAAAGTAAGTAAACAAAGTTTGGAGAGCAATAATACCATAGTTCCTACAGAAGTAAGAGAACCTATGCATGAGGAAGAGCTGTGATCATGGCACAGAGTGAAGGCCATGTGTCCTCCTGTGACAGACACTGTTGTAGGAAGACAATTAATACATTTTTGCTGATAATGATCAGAGGGAGAGGAGCCTGTGGAGTTTGCGTATGAGCCCGTGGCTCTCCTAACTGTGGAATCTGTATTCCAAGCCACAGTAAATGTCAGATATTTTTATTGAATGATAATGCTGTCCAACACAATATGGATCTAACTGTGGTTGATTTCTCTTTGTTTTATTTTTCAAGCACTTAATAAATTGCTTCATTTTTGAAAATGCTTTGGACTACTAAAGAAATAAAAATTAAATCCAAAACCAGAAACAAAAACTCATACATAATAGATTTATTCATTATAAAGATGGTTAGATATATGTAAGTCAGAGAAAGAATTCTACTAATTTTTTTTCTTTCACCTAAAAATCTACTCTTCTAGATGGAGATGGTCAAGGGGTTACCGCCAGTCTGTTTCTTGCGCTGATAATTTTTCTAGACATTAAATCTCACCATTTGTTCCCAACAAAGAAAGAAAGACAGGACCACCAGACTCTACAGGGTACGTGGACTCTGCTTATTTTAATTTCCTATAATACATAAGTGCACAAGACTCTGACAGCGTTAAACTCTGCAGTCTCCAGCATGTTGATTTTGCTACTCTATATATTTAATTTTCTTTTAAAAATGTATCGTATTTCTCTGAGCATTCATTTGCTTTTCAAATTATGGCTGCCTAGCTGATGCTTGTGTACCAGGTGCCATGTAAAAGCATGTTAAAAGTAGATAAAAGCAATTTACCCTGCCCTCTAATTAGAGATGTCTCATCTTTACCACTGACAATAGCAGTATGCAGCTGTGGCAGTGGAGAGATAATGGGAGCTGGAGTGGGGAGAAATTGAAGATATGCTGGCTGAGGCAGAGTGTCACCTCTCCATTGCTCAGCTTGGGCGGGCTTCAGAATGAAGACAGATTTTTAGTATTTCTTCTTTCCTAGCTCTGTTCATTTATTTTACATTAATAATTGAGCTTTTTTTATTAAAGGGAGTATGTGGGGGTGGGGAAGCAGATTATAGGGGGAAAGACTGTGGGATTTTCTTAATGACTCATTATATGGAATTTATTGTTGCCTAATTCTATAGCTCCTCTACCAATTAACATTTGTTGGGTGCACATCACTACACTTAATATCATAAGGTTTAAAATGTGTGGAGAAAACACACTACTTGCCCATGGAGTTTGCAATTTAGAAGGGTTCTTCTTCATAGAGAGAATATTTGGAATGTTATAATCATGCTCAGAGAAAAGATAAACCTAAAACGTGGTGATCTTGGATTATACATGTTCAGACTAGGATGTTTAGAATGAGTAAATGTTGAGAATAGCTTTGGTAAAACAGTCATCCTGAGTGAGGGACACAGAAGGAACCATCATTCCAGGGAATGTACCATGACTGGAGGTAGTAGGTAGCAGCATATGTAAGAATTGTTGAGGCCAGTTCTACTGAAGGGGAAGAGCCATCCACAAAGGAACTTAAGTGTTGAGACTACACTAAAATGGCAATGTAAATTTAATACAATCATATGAGCTGATTTGGTTTAACTTGCATCTGAGAAAACATACACTGGAGAATATATGTTGATTGTATTGGAGGAGAGGTAAGTGTATATAAAGAAAAATTTAATTAGCAGTTTCTGAATGCTGATTAGTATGAGAAATTATGCTACGAATGAGAGCATATAGAAACTAAAATGTGTAATAATTTGGTGTGATCTAGAGTGGTTGCTGTAGAAATGGAGACGAAGAAAGATTCAACTTAAGTGATGTGGTAGGTAGTTAAAGAACTAGCCTATAAGACTTGATGAATTTGAAAAAATAAAGGTATCAAAATAAATTTATCAGGCAAGAATAGGGGCAAAAAAGAAATAAGTACAATATACGATAAACATTTGTACAAGAAAATAATGATTTCATTGCTTCACATGTTAAGTAGCATCAATAGGGGGTTGAAATATAAGATTGAAAAGATGTTAAGCAATCAAGGCTGGAGTGTAGATTTAGGAATTGTTTGACTAGTGGTAGTAGTTGGAGCATAACAAACTGACGATTTCTTTAGGAGTAAGAATAAAAGTACAAAACATTTTATAGAATGAAATTTCAGGAAGTGGGAAAAATATGTGGAATGATGAAAAACAAGAACTTGAAATCAAGTAGGGGGTAACTACCAGTGCCAAATGCTGAAGAAACTCCAGTGGAGGAGAGCTTCAAGAAGAAAAGTGTTTCCATGAAGAAAAGGAGAAAAGATTTGCTTAGAAGTAGAACATTGGTGAATCCCTTCAGCAGAGTGGTAGCAATGGAAGCCAAGTTGAGAGGATTAAGGAAGGACAAGACGGTAAAGAGAAGTGGCAGCAGAATGCTCAATCATTAAATGCAAGGGAAAAATAGACTGATAGTAGAAGGAAGTGTTAGTATCATCAACTTAGTAATTTAAATAAAGCTTAGGGAAATCTGAACATTTACATTTTTAGCAGGAATTAACCATACAAGAGTGAAATGCTAGAGGGTGGAATAAAAGTGAAATATATATGTGTGTATATTTCATGTATATGTTTGTATAACCTTGGGAAATACACATCTAGTCTGGGGAGAAAAGCCTGTTCGTTCAGATATGGCATCAGAATGATCTTAGAAAAGATAATTTTATTTTGTTTCTCAAAATAACATATGGATTTATATTGGTTCTGCTGTGATATCCCTCAGAACATTGCTAGGATGCGGTAAGAGTTTACAAAAAGAGCTGTGTTGCTCTGCATAATATGTATTTTTTCATTTCTGGAGGAAGCCAAGAGGAAGAAGGGAAGGAGCCCAGAAATGGAGAGAAGCTGGACTCTAGGGATGGATCTGGGGATGCTCCACAAAGTGCAGCTGTGGAGAATGCAGAAGAAGAGTTGGCTAGTGGGACATTCCCACTGAGGAGCATGGCAGGGGGAATGTCTAATATTCACTAAGAGAATTCTTGAAATGTAACATTTAGATGAAACTCTTCAAGTTTCCTTAAAATACAAATTCATGACTCTCTTTCTTTCTCTCTCTCTCTTTCTCTCTCTCTTTGGTATGTTAAAGTAATCAAGGAAAGGGATTTTGTTTTATAACTGGGTTACACAGGGGAGAGACCAGAATAGCTGAAAGCTGTGAGACATGAAGAAAATTCAAGATTTAGGAGACATGCAGAACATCAGTGTCTAGGCAAAATGGCAGACTGACCAACCCCCACACACTGAATCCCTAGAGATATTAGGACAGGGATATTGAGAAAAATTTACCTTTAAGTTGTAAAGGACAAGGCAACTCAACATATTGAATGCCTTGTTGACAACCAGGGGCTAATATTTGGGATGCATATTGGGCATAGATGCACAGAAAATAATTTATCAGTGACATTAATAATATGACATCTCTTTGTTGAGAATTTACTGCTGTCTTAATATCACAACTCTAAGGGGTCAACATCCAGAATAAACTTCTTATCTTACATATTTAAAATTATTTGCTAGGCTACATTTTTCTTAGAAAAATGCATATCTGAAACAGAATATTGATTTTTTTCCTGGGTCATACATAAAGACCATCAGAAATTAATTATTGAAAAAACACTGCTATACTCATTAGAGATATATTTTAATTAGATTAATTTTGCATTAACAGTCCATGAGAAGTTACAACTAACTTGCAACGAGACATTAACATGCATCATGTTTGATATAAGTAAAAATGGAAATGATTAGAAGTATACAAATATAAAGTATGTTGCTAGTATATGCAAGCTTAAAAAACTTTTACCTGATAGAATTAGCAAGAGCAGCTATGTTGAGCTTCTTTCAGTTAAAAGTCATTTTCGGCTATGTCTCCCTAAGGATAGAAATATCACTGCTTTTGATCTCATTTAGAATTCTGCTCACTTTTAGGAAAGTAGGGCTGTTTGGAAATGGTCAGCCATATCCTTACTGAATTTCCTAGGGCTTGACTGCACCTACTCTAGTTAACAAGTAAGATATAGTTATATATTGTATTATAACTTCTCAAAGCACTTATATTTTGATTTTCCTTCTTTTATGTTCATTATCTTCATTTGGACTACTCCATGTGACAAAAGCAGTTATTTTTCTTCTACCCCCTAAACTGGACCACATCGATGCTCTTAGGTCCAAATCATATTCTTTAAGAAACAAGTGTTCACTGAATGATTTACTGCATTATATAATAGGTACTATACAAGACACCTGAGGCCCCCCACACCGTGAAAACAGATGTTTCTTCCTGGAGCTTGCCCAATAGGAGAGAAATTTTTAATTTACCCTTTCTCAGTAAACCATTATACAAAACAGAAGTGAAATTATGGACCCAGTGAACTCAATCTGGCTGACTTGCAACCCCTATGTGTTCATAAACCCACTGAAATATATAATTTGTTGTTTATATTAAATATGCACTGAAGCATGATTAGATAAACATTGAAAGTAAATTTTAATTTTAACCATCAGTGGAAGTATATGGGGTGATTTAAGTCATTCATATTAGTTTATTTTTATCAGGTGTTCCTCCTTGTCCATAGTGAAATACAATACAGAGATTATAGCCTGTGGCTTGACAGGACATCTTATAGTTGGTAACAGGACTACATTAAAAGGAAAAAACAATAAATAAGGATGTCTAATTATACAGATAAAGAAAGCAAGTTCACTCACTCCTCCAGGACAGCACCAGAGACAACGTTAGAACCAAGAGTTTCAAAACCTCGCCTTGTATGGTTTGCCTGATGCCATGATTAAAGAAAAGGGGGTGGGGAACTAAGAGAGGAAGCCAAAGAGAAAGAATTCAGTACCAAACAGCAATATTCAGATGTTTTATTAAATAATAGGAGGTGTTTTGACCTTGCTGGTGAACAGAGGTGATCTCAAAACATTTGACAGATATAATTAAGGCCATAAGGCAATAATTGCAAAAGTCAAGGAGCCCTTGCCACCTCCAAAGCATCACGTGTGGATGCAGGAACCATATTAACAACATGGGTAGTCAAGGAGAAAGCAGATAGAATAAAGCTGTACCCAGCAATATAAAGGGACATGCAAGTGTGTGTTGTGCTTAAGAGTAAACTTAGGGAAAAAAGCTCCCCATAACCTCGAGAAACGTTTCTGGATCTGAGATATCCATTAGCACATTTAGAAGGTACCTATTTCCATTATTGTGAAGGAGTTGTAAATGAAATAAACAACTTTAAATAATACCTCCCTTGGTCAAACTGCATTAAGTATTCCCTGATGGAATTCATTCATCATCATTCAAACAGAATGGTTTGCAACTCAACCTGCCTAGTGTGGGGTCTGGAATTCCCACCACAGTCACTGTGCCTTAAGCACTGTTGCAGCAGAAGGACTTGAAGTAACACATGAATATATAATGCCAATTTGCATGTCAGCATGGATTGTTGAAATTGAAGTTAGTTAATTGTCACATTGTAACAGGAAAAGAATCCAAGTTTTGGAGCTGGTTGGAACTGAGTTTTCATCTTCTTTCTCTGCTACTTAACTGTGTTATCCTGAACAAGATACTCAACCTCCATGAGACACAGTGACCATGTGAAATATATATGTAAAATGTCTGGCAAACATCTGATTCATGTAGGTACCCAAAATTAGATCATTTTCATTTTCTTTTGCTTCCTTGGAAGTTCAAAACAAAATTCTGAGGTAAGTTTCAATTAAAATGGGTCAGGCAGACAGATTCCAGCAAGGTCAAAGCATCCTTTTTTCTTTAATAAAATATCTGAATATCTGAACAAGAAACAACTTCTGTTTCTCAAGGTTGAAATGATGAATTATTGAACTTCTGTTGCTGTTTGTTTTCTCTCTTATCTCCTTACTACTACATATAAATGAGATATCTTGCTATCCCACTGATATCTCAAATTCAGTATTTCCCAAATAAAACGTAATCTTTTCCAACAAAAAAGCTCTTTCTCATGAGTTCTCCATGGCTATTAATGGACCAACAGTCTTTCAGTTCTCTACCATATCCAAACGTCAGTTAAAATAGAGTCACAGTGATTGTGTTTGTGATGGTGGATGGGGCAAGGTCTAGTATTCACCATCCTCTAGGGAAAAATTGGAAACGTGTGAGACTTTTGGATTGTCATGATGGCCGGAATATGCTATTCAAATTTAGTGGATATGGACCAGAGATGCTAACATACCTGTGTTGCTAGGAACAGTCCTTCACATTAAAGAATTGGGAGCCCGAAATGTCACTGGAAGCCCCACTGGGAAATGCAAATAGAATCCGCCCTCTTCAAAAGCCTATGCTCATTTTCTACTTTCATTACTATTTCCATTCTATCAGTCCAGGCTCTGCATTACCTTGAATCATAGCATGTTATTGTTGGAGAGAACTTTAAGGTCATCCACATCATGGAGCTGAGGCCAAAATGTTAGTGAACTGGTCCAAATTATGTAACTACTTGGTTACAAAGTTTGACCTCAGATCTAACTGTTACCCTAATAGACTTGCCTAAGGTTATAATATTATCGAACTGTGCTCCACATTCAAATTCATCCTCTACAGGACAGAGCTGACCACCAAATCTTAAAGAACCACTCCCACAATATCATTTTTCTACCCAAAACAGCCCCCAGTGTTTTCCCATTGCCTAGTAAGTACACATTCCTCAGCCTGGCATCCTAGACCACCCATGATCTGGGCCAGCCAGGCCTTTTACTGGTATTCCACCCTACTCTCCTTCTGCCTTTTTTGAGTGACAAACTGTCCCCCTGGCTAACTCCCAAGCACATATTGGGCATTTATATCTTCCCTCAAGCTGTTCCCTTTGCCTAAAATATTCTCCACATTCCTTCCCTGTCAAATCTCTACTGACATTCAAATGTCTCCTCTCCATGAAACTTAAAAAAAAAAAAAAAGTCCTCAACCTGATATGTTCTTTTTCTCTTTATCACCTTTAATATTTTAAAATTGTTACTGGAATTACTATGGTTTGCTAGGCACTATAGCTATTTGAATATTTTGTTCTTTTTGAGGACAGAGACCAGCTAATATGCATAACATTAGCTATATGATACTTTGCACATATAAGGTGCACAGTAAAAAGTTTGGAGATAGACACACAAAAGATCTAGCAGCAAATCTGGGAGAAAAAAAAAATCAGAAGACAAGACAAAGCTTTCTGCTCTTAATTGTTCACCCAGGAAAAGCTTTAAAGCACTTCTCCTCACACTCCCTTCAAGACTCCTTTTAGCATTATAATGGAAATTCATTGGAAATGTGTTTCAATTTTAACAACAACAACAAAGAAACAGAAGGGAATGACATCATCCTTGTTCTTTCTGTTGCCCTTAATGAAAGTTTCATTTATCTTTGTCATCAAACCTATGCTGTCAGCAGTAAGGATGGAAGCTTCGCTAATAAAAATCAGAGCAAGCCTTCTACCTTGTAGATGATGCCTGGAGAACTAATATGTAATCTTAAATGGGCAAAACCAGTTGATTTAGAATTTGGTTTAGAACCATAATTGTGGAAGGACAAATCTTTTTTTAAACAAAAACAAAACAGGGTCTCACTCTGTCACCCAGGCTGGCGTATAGTGGCATGCTCACAGCCCACTGCAGCCTCTAACTTCTGGGCTCAAGCAGTCCTCCCACCTCAGCCTCCTGAGTTGGCCAAATCTTTATAAAATTTTTCTAACTATTCACCACTGTACACTCTGAAGCTCAGCTAAAAATTACCAATAGCGTAGTGCTGGGGAGCAGAATCTAGCCTTCCTAACACTGTCCACTCAGTTCCAAGTGAAATGCTTGGTACAAGTAAGTATATAATTATAAGTATATATCGTATATAATTAAGTATATAAAGAGCATATAAGTGTGTAACTTTTTGTCAGTGTGTGTGTTAAGAGTAATTCTGGACATATCTTCTATATAGCTATACATTTTCTTAATCACATGATTAATTAGGTCAAGTATAAATAAACTAAACTATACTGCCAGAATTTTAGGGTTTAAGAGGATCAAAGAAACAAAAATATGCAAAAAGCCTAAAATTCAAATTAGAAGAACAAATCTTTATTTTGTTTTTTTTTTTTTTTTGAGATGAAGTCTCGCTCTGTCGCCAGGCTGGAGTACAGTGGTGTGATCTCTGCTCACTGCAACCTCCACCTCCTGGGTTCAAGTGATTTTCATGCCTCAGCCTCCTGAGTAGCTGGGATTACAGGCACGCGCCACCATACCCAGCTAATTTTTGTATTTTCAGTAGAAACGGGGTTTCACCATGTTGGCCAGGATGGTCTCGATCTCCTGACCTGGTGATCTGCCCACCTCGGCCTCCCAAAGTGCTGGGATTATAGGCATGAACCACTGTGCCTTGTCTGAAGAAAGAATCTTAATCTTTAAATCACGAAGCTAAATAGTCCATTGTTTTATGCTAATCTTTTAATATTGGTAATGCACAAAAATCAAGTGTCTGTGCCACAATTGTAAGTTTTTCAAAAGTTAGAATTTTTGTACAATGGTGAAACTTTTTTATAGTACTTGAACTGAAATTATCATTTTTATGTAGTTGATTAGATTTTCCTTTTTAGATTAGAGAGTAGTTTTATAAAGCTGTTTTCTCTGAATTGAGAATAGAATAGAAGAATTGGTTTTTTAGAGCTGAAAGGATGTGATAAAAGGTAATCATTATACTATGCTGTAATTTAATTTTTTTCCTACCAAAAATTATACATCCACTTTTACAAAGTTATGGCACAAAACCCAAGAGCTGTATTCTTTCAATATGCAATTTATAATAATTTACGCTACTAGGTTTGCTGTCCAACTTTAGATATATGAATGATAGTGTTATACTCATGTCATTATATACATTATGTCTTAAGATATTAGGTTGCATTATAGCATATTCTGTTATTCTGCAGTTCATTAATAGCTTATATTATTTCCTGAAAATTCATTTTTTTGTAGAAAAAGGGCATGCCATTTCTCTGCTGGATGCTCCTTCAAGTCATGTTTACTGTAACCAGGAGATGAAATTTCCAAACAAACCCTGGTGTTTACAGCACTTGGAGAGGCATGTGGCCTGCCATTCCAGTCTCTGACAGGCATGTGCCCCACCTGCTTTTTGCTTTGGCTTAACGAGTTAGTTGGGCCACAACACAAGTGTGAGAACATGAGAATGTGAGATGCCACAGGCCAGGTGACATGCCAGTGCTGAAAAGCTGGTACATGGCAGGGTATCATTGTGTACATAGAAAGGCCACATGCCACACCAAAATGTAGCAGCCACTTCTCCCAAATTAGATGAATAATTTTCCTTCCATTATGTTCTCACAAACATGTTGTAAAACAATGAGCCTTGAGCTACACTAAGTCCAAAAGTTCAGGGTTTCAAATGAGTGACAAGTGAATATTCATGTTTATTTCTGAGTTGATTGACAGGTAGAGTTTTTTTTTCAACTGTGCTTATGCATGATTTGAGAAATACTATTTCAAAGCAGCAAAAATCCTTCTTATAGGTATGAGTCTTCTGAGATGGCCAAAAGCTACAGAGCAGCAAATAACATTTTATTTGTCTAATATAGCAGGAGAGAAGCTACTAGAAGAAATGTCCTAGAATCTCACTCAGTGCTTCCTAGTTTTCTCTGAATTTCATACTTCTGTGTGCTATCACCAGGCCCACACTACTAATGCAACTGCAGTTGAATTCATTTCAAGTGTTGGCAGGAAAGGATAAGGAAAAAAAATTACATTTTAAAAATTCTGTTGGGTCTAGTATGGGATACAGAATTCATGAATGTGCAGTGTCAGGTAACCCAAGGTATTTTCTAAGTTTTGACTCTACTGCTGAATAAGTAGATGAACATAAAAGTTGAATAAAACTTCTATATTCTCTTCATCTTAACAATGGAAGACTCAATCTAAGGACAATATACTTCTGAAATTTTTGAAGAATTACCAATGAGAATTTCTTTCTTAAGAATTAGCAGAAATCCTGAAAGAATATAAAGGGCTTTTGTCTCTGCTTTACAAATTGTAAGCAAGGAAATAATTGTGGAATTTGTGACAATTAGCATTTTTTTTCTAGCATGACACATTTTCAAACTTATAGTTTTTAAATTAAGAAAAATTGTTTTTCATCTGTTTAACCACAAACCATGAGTTTTCAAGGAGCTGCATCAATCTATTTATATCCTTTTTCATGGATTTCACATAATGGCAGAAGGGAATCAAAGACAGGTTTTAAGAAACCAAAAATTATATGAATATGTGGAAAGCTGTATGATTTCAGTCTGTAATTTACATTTACATCTTATAGTTCTTGGCTTTTACAAGTGCTTCCTGACTTTCCTAAAATAATTCCCCAGGCTTCAGTGTGGGATGGAGAATACCCTGCAGGGCCATAGTCCAGTTTTAGATTAATGGACTCCTGGCGTAGTTTGCTGGAGCCAAGCATTGTTCACCTTCACTGGGAACACAGCATCGTCATCATTTATATAAAAGAGAGACCACTGGTACTGTACTATGCTTTTAATGTTATGTTGCCTAATAAAGGTATTTTGAGTTTATTTATTCCCTGTCTGTTTGCTGAGTAAATTATTGCTTGTGAAAGGTTATGCTTCTCCAGAGAGTATTAGAAATGAAGTCCCAGTTCTTTTTACCCAATGTCTGGGTAATTTCCACCATCGTTTAAGCCTGGAGTTCTAATAAGAATGTTATCCTTTGAAACAGTCTGCTAAAATAGAGATTTAAAGCTCACTTGCTGCCTCTTAATGAACACATGGACTGAGAAGATAGAGAGGGGAATCCTGAGACCAAGTGGAGACAGTTTCCCATTACAGCTCAGGTATTAGGATTCAATGGAGGGTGGGTGGTGCCTAGGAGACAAAATATGATTTTTAATGCTGGATCTCCAAGCAGAACATTTAGTAGAATTCCTATAGTCTATATTTTAAAAAACAGTTCAACAATGGCAAGGTTGTTACTCATTGTTTTATATATATATATAATATATAATATATATATAAAATATATAAATATATATATAAAACGTATGGATTTATATATATAAAATATTTATATTCTCTACTGTGTATATATATATATATATTCAGTAGAGAATCTATAGGGAAAAAGTATATTATCCTTGCTTCAAAATATTAAGTGTCACATAGACTCCCTACATGAATTTTATAATTTCTAGAATTATAGCTATAAAATATTTTACTAGTAATATGGAAGTCAAAATATGAAACCAAATAAAAAGAAAAAACCAAACCAAATAAAAATGCACCTAAATAAAACATGACATTTTATTCGTGACATTTTTGTTCTTCCCATCTTTTGGTCTTTACTCTCTTTTATTTCCCAGCCACATTTTTCCATATCTTGCACATAATAATAATCCCCTCTCTTCACACACCATGTACATTCCCAATAGGTCATCAAGATGCTCTCCATCGTCTACTGATTTTCCTTTATTGTTTTTCTTTTAGTTCATTCTCTCTGAGACCTGAGAAATTAGATAGAGGTAAAATTAGGGAGGTATTCATAATCGAAAGATGAAGTGATATTAAATGATCACATCTTATTTCACATCTGCTTAAAGTGCAGGCAATGTTGATCTCATCCATTGAGTCTGAATTGGCGATTTAGTGTCAATTGTGCCATTTTAACAATGGTTTGTAGATTACAGTGAGACAGGAAGAGCAGCCTACCATTACTGTCTATGACCCACAGTAGGCCATTAATAAATATTTGATTGAGTTGACTTGAAAAATTGTCATTGTGAAATGTGAAATGCTCGCTTGGAATTATTGCATTATGTCTATAGTTAGAAGAAATATACAAAAAGGGAATCGCTTCTGTCCTGAGGCTAGAAATTATGATACAAAAGAATTTTATAAAAATAAATGGGGAAAAGAAGAGATAAATATTTTCAATTAGTGAGAGTACACTGTTCAACACAAAGAACAAAGTTGCCCTAGTGCCATCTCAAGGAAATAATGATTGAAGCTATTTGAAATATTGAGAAAAGATATGTTCATAATATAATCTTATATAATAATCATTTGTCGAACCCTACTTTCAATTTTTTAACATTAAAAATGGAAAGGAATTTGTAGATGAAAACATAAATTTGTCATGTTAAAGTCCATACCTCGCTCTAATATTTTCAGAGGTTACACGATGAATTTAAAACCAAAAATGGGGCCTACAAGAAAGTAAAAATGTGTTTAGATTTTGTTAGGCCTGCCAAAGTCATAAGGAAGCATAACCACCGAGTGCTTTTTTCAGTTGCATGGGAAAATGTTTCTATACTGCCCTAGCGAATACTATTTAAAATGTATTGAGCCTGACAAAAGTGTAGGTGAAGGTGAATCGGGGGCACAATCTCTGGGAAATGAAATATAATATTTTGCTAAGGAAAAATCAAGATTGATCTGTGATAAAAAGGAAACTGATAGCAGCGTGAAACTCAAAAGTCTCTGAATCTCATCATTGCATCAAAAATACTATAATCCTGGAACTTAATTTATCATTACATTGTTTAAATTCCTGATTCTCAAAGTTTAAAAAATGTGGTTGAATTATACTGAAAACACATCTGAGTAATACTTGAGAGACATTTGTAAAGCATCAAAAACATTAGTAAATTTCATATACTTCATTACAAGACAGTTTTAACCCATTTCATGGGACATCAGGATTGATAAAGATTTTTTCACATGAGTATATTCTTACTTTAACTATATGATTTGCCAAGCCACACATAAAAATTTAAAATGAGAGAGATATTTTTCTTTGACGAAAGGAAGACCACACATCCATTTCAGTGAATTGAAAACAGCTGTGTACAGTCTTTGGCACAGGAGAAGTTTAAAAAATATTACATCTGTGTGGTCAGTTTGGGTTTTGATACAATTGCTTTTAATGTACTTATATACAAATATAAAGATATGTTGAACTGCTTACAAATATTTTTAAGAGTTGAGACATTCACTCCTTGAATTGTGTATTCTTTTTTTCTTTTTCTTGCATTCTACTAGTTATAAAATTTGAACAAACTGTTCACCTACAAATATTGACAAATATTGATCATGAAATTTGAATGAATGATAGTACCTTTAAAACAATTTTTTTTTTTTTTTGATACGGAGTCTCACTCTGTCACCATGCTGGAGTGCAGTGGCACGATCTTGGCTCACTGCAAACTCCACCTCCTGGGTTCAAGTGATTCTCCTGCCTCAGCCTCCCAAGTAGCTGGGACTACAGGCGCACACCACCATGCCTGGCTAATTTTTGTATTTTCAGTAGAGAAGAGAGTTTCACCATGTTGACCAGGATGGTCTCTACCTCGTCTTCGTGATCCACCCATTTTGACCTCCCAAAGTGCTGGGATTACAGGCGTGAGCCACCATGCCCAGTGTAAAACAATTCTAAACATTAAGAAATCTTTTTTTAAAAATTTTATTATTATTATACTTTAAGTTTTAGGGTACATGTGCACAACGTGCAGGTTTGTTACATATGTATACATGTGCCATGTTGGTGTGCTGCACCCATTAACTCGTCATTTAGCATTAGGTATATCTCCTAATGCTATCCCTCTCCCCTCCCCCAACCCCACAGCAGTCCCTGGTGTGTGATGTTCCCCTTCCTGTGTCCATGTGTTCTCATTGTTCAATTCCCACCTATGAGTGAGAACATGCAGTGTTTGGTTTTTTGTCCTTGCGATAGTTTGCTGAGAATGATGATTTCCAGTTTCATCCATGTCCCTACAAAGGACATGAACTCTTCATTTTTTATGGCTGCATAGTATTCCATGGTGTATATGTGCCACGTTTTCTTAATCCAGTCTATCATTGTTGGACATTTGGGTTGGTTCCAAGTCTTTGCTATTGTGAATAGTGCCGCAATAAACATACGTGTGCATGTGTCTTTATAGCAGCATGATTTATAATCCTTTGGATATATACCCAATAATGGGATGGCTGCGTCAAATGGTATTTCTAGTTCTAGATCCCTAAGGAATTGCCGTACTGACTTCCACAATGGTTGAACTAGTTTACAGTCCCACCAACAGTGTAAAAGTGTTCCTATTTCTCCACATCCTCTCCAGCACCTGTTGTTTCCTGACTTTTTAATGATTGCCATTCTAACTGTTGTGAGATGGTATCTCATTGTGGTTTTGATTTGTATTTCTCTGATGGCCAGTGATGATGAGCATTTTTTCATGTGTTTTTTGTCTGCATAAATGTCTTCTTTTGAGAAGTGTCTCTTCATATCCTTCGCCCACTTTTTGATGGGGTTGTTTGTTTTTTTCTTGTAAATTTGTTTGAGTTCATTGTAGATTCTGGATATTAGCCCTTTGTCAGATGAGTAGATTGCAAAAATTTTCTCCCATTCTGTAGGTTGCCTGTTCACTCTGATGGTAGTTTCTTTTGCTGTGCAGAAGCTCTTTAGTTTAATTAGATCTCACTTGTCAATTTTGGCTTTTGTTGCCATTGCTTTTGGTGTTTTAGACATGAAGTCCTTGCCCATGCCTATGTCCTGAATGGTATTGCCTAGGTTTTCTTCTAGGGTTTTTATGGTTTTAGGTCTAACATGTAAGTCTTTAATCCATCTTGAATTAATTTTTGTATAAGGTGTAAGGAAGGGATCCAGTTTCAGTTTTCTACATATGGCTAGCCAGTTTTCCCAGCACCATTTATTAAATAGGGAATCCTTTCCCCATTTCTTGTTTTTGTCAGGTTTGTCAAAGATCAGATAGTTGTAGATATGCGGCATTATTTCTGAGGGCTCTGTTCTGTTCCATTGGTCTATATCTCTGTTTTGGTACCAGTACCATGCTGTTTTGGTTACTGTAGACCTTGTAGTATAGTTTGAAGTCAGGTGTCGTGATGCCTCCAGCTTTGTTCTTTTGACTTAGGATTGACTTGGCGACGCGGGCTCTTTTTTGGTTCCATATGAACTTTAAAGTAGTTTTTTCCAAAAAAAAAAAAAAAAGAAGAAAGAAATCTCTTAAGTGTATACTTGACTGTACAATTAAGTCTATCCTTGATTGTACAATTTACTGAATGATACTTTGCAAATCCAGATATTACTCAGTTTTCTTGTATAGTAGGGGTAACAATACTTTCACTTGCTGGAATTTTTTGAGAAGTTATCAAAATTATATGAAGTCATGAAAAGGTTTTTATATTTATATAATGTTTTATAATTAGAATCAACATTTCCGCTTTTGCCAATTCTCAGAATGTGTTGCATCCTTGTTTTTGGAAAATTAATGTAACTCATTTTATTTTGGTTCCATACACTGAAATGAGTAGGCACTAATTTGAAGTGACAAAGTGTAAATAAAATGAATTTGTCACATGAAAAATTTTAATCTATTATTCCTATGATGTTCTGACAAGTGGCAATGCAAGACAGCATTTGGTAGTTTTGACTGAAATGTAATAGTCATATGAAATGTATTTGTAAGACCCATTATAAGACATCTTCTTTGAATCTAACCCTAAAGTTTAAAGCAATAACCTGGGAATCGTTTTGAATATCTAAAGATGCAGGAGGGATGTTCAAAGGATTGCCTGCTTCACCTTCCTGTTTCCTATAGAAATAACTAAAAAGGACTGAAAATATCAATTCAATACGTGTATTTTGTTCCTAGGCATCAATTTTCTCTGAAGTAAATCTAGAGGTAGAAAAAAAAAGTTTAGTTTAGGCATGGATATTTGCTGTAAGAACTTTCACCATGATGGAAAGTGAATGGAAAGGTTAAGTAGAAGACGTGCATCATTGCTGTAATTTGTAAACTGATGTGATAACCTCATGTTTAATATTTTATGGAGTAGAAGGTGAATGCTACAGGGAGAAATGTCACTTGGAGATAAGGGAAATCATATGCTAAGAATGTGTATAAATGTGACTGAGAATTAACTTGAGTGTTTCTTTATTAATTGATAGACCGGTGTAACATGACAATGAAATAATGAAGGTATCCTAGCAACCATATTTTCATAACAACTGTGGCCTATAAGACTATGGTGACTGTCAGCCACATTTTATTAATTCAGGAGGGTGAGCAAAGATAATTTCCAATCATAAAACCTTTCTGCAAACAAAATATGATGCAGATTTGATCACACCCAATTGGAATCTTTTCATTTAAAAAAAATCATATACCTAGATGAATAAATCATTTTATGTTTATAATATTGCGGTTCAGTTTGAAATAGTACTAAGAGATTTTGTTATTTATTTGCTATGTAACCTGAAAAAAATAATTCTAAAAACAAAGACCTGTTAATATTATGAGATCTGTTTTTAATATAAAATATCAACCTATCAAAATAGGCATTTATTTGTAAGTTATTCCTATTTTTTAATCAGCTTTATTTATTCTTATAATTCCAAGCCAAGGACATTGTATGTCCTTGTTATGATATCCTGGAAACTGGTTTCTTTTCTTTTTTTTTAATTGTATTTTAATTTTTTTTTTTTTTTTTTTTGAGACGAAGTCTCTCTCTTGTCCCCCAGGCTGGAGTCCAGTGGCACGATCTCGACTCACGGCAACCTCCACCTCCCGGGTTCAAGCAATTCTCCTGCCTCAGCCTCCCGAGTAGCTGGGATTACAAGTGCCTGCCACCACGCCTGGCTAATTTTTGTATTTTTAGTAGAGATGGGTTTTCACCATGTTGGCCAGGCTGGTCTCGAACTCCTGACCTCAGGTGACCCTCCCTCCTCAGCCTTCCAAAGTGCTAGGATTACAGGCGTGAGCCACCACGCCAGGCCTAAAATTTTTAATTGACAAAAATTTTATATATTTTTTAAGCGTACAACATGATGATTTGATAACAGTATACTTTGTGGACTTATTACCACAAATTAACATATCCATCACCACACACAGTTACCATTTATGTGTGTGTGTGCATTCGTGTGTCTGTGTGGTAAAGACACTTGAAATCTACTTTCTTATCAAGTTTCAAGTAAACAGTACATTTTAAAATTGTCAGTGAGGCTCTTCTGTCCCACAAACTGAATCTATTCAAATACTATTTCTTTAGTGAATTTAAAAAGAAGGAAGGAGTGCTTATTAAGTACCTACTGTTTGTCTAAATGAAAGATCAATATAACATGATTACAGAAATACTTCTACCCAATTTTTGGGTCTACTATTTTCTCAATTTCCATCTCCTCTGATTTATTATAAAAATGATTTATCTGTCCAAGTCCTGTCAGGAAAGCTGAAACCTCTCTGTCTATTTGAAGTAAGCAGAAAGAGATTTGATACAGGGAAATACTGGGAGGTATGAGGCAGAGATAAAGCACAGCTACAGCCACATTTCACCACTATTCGAAGGACTCAGAAAGGGACAGAAACTTCCAGAAACTTTAGACAATGATAACTGTTGCCTCCAGCAATGGTTCAAGAGAAATTATCTAGGGACTGCTGAAAATCTCACCTGCCCAAAAACACTTATCTGCCCATTGCAGCCATAAGAGTGTTAATATGGCTAATGCCTTTCATGTGTTGTGCCTCTTACAGGCAGGGTTTTACCTGGAGCCCTACTGACAGAAACTCCAAGAAATCTAGTTCTCAGGCTTCCAGCTTCTTTAACACAGAGAAGAGCCAAGAGGAGGAGGAAAAGTGCTGAGCTCCCAACAGACAATTTGGCACAGATATTAAGTCAGAGAACTTTCCCATAAGTGACAACATAGCAATTCCAAATATAACAGAAAAATTGTAGGAGTGATCTCTAGCTTGGAATTATCTAGAATATTTTAGCAACTATAATTGAAGAACTAAACAATACCTAAGATACTAATAGTTCTCCAATTATATTATTATTCCCCACAACTATTTTGTCTGCATTTGAATAAAGCTTAAATTTTATTTTTTCTGTTTAGTAAGATATCAATGTGATTGTTAATCTGAATAGATCTTTGGAAATTTGGAATCAGTTAACCTTCTTTAACTGCCTAATTAGAAATAATATTGGTATACAGGCAGAATAGGTTATGAATACTAGAGATTTTTTAAAAAGCAAACACAAAAGCGAAAGTTAACTAGCAGAATGTATCCTAAGCAATAACAGCTTTTATAGATTTTAAATTTAGATGTCAGGTGCTCTCCCTGTTCTCTGCATTAAGATAAGAATTCACATTTTTTAGTTTTGGCTACTATGGAACAATCAATGAATTGTAAAAGTGAAAGAATTAGAGCTTTCTGAGACACACTTGGTTCTGATGATGCAAATAGACCTCTCTCAGGCAGAGATGCGTCTGCCTTCTTTACAATTCTGTGCCAGCTCTTTGTACATTGCTTTGTACATGTGAAGAACCCAGAAAATATATGCTGAAAAAGACATGACTAGTATTTAATTTGTTACGTTTAACTCAGATATCATTTTAGAGTTGTATTTTTTCCTTAAAGAATTATGTTGTCAGCACTTTGGGAGGCCTAGGTGGGAGGATCATTCGAACCCAAGAGTTTGAGATCAGCCTGGGCAACATAGAGTGACCCTGTCTCTACAGAAGTGTTTTTAAAAATTAGCTGTGCATGGTGGTGCATGCCTGTGGTCCCGGCTACAAGGGAAGCTAAAGCAGGAGGATCACTTGAGCCCAGGAAGTCAAGGCTACAGTGAGAGGTGTTTGTGCCACTTCACTCCAGCTTGGGCAACAGAGCAAGACTCTGTCTCAAAAAACAAAACAAAACAAAACAAAACAAAAAATGTTGTTATAAAGGAAGGAATTTCAAAACACAGCCATTTTCAAATTCTTGACAATTGTTGAATCGGGGCAAAGTAACATACAGGAATTCATTGTCTTTTCTCTCTGCTTTTGATGTTTTTGAGTATTTAAAAATTCTTTCCTTATAAATTTTCTTTTAAAATGTTATCTATCCAGGTGATCTGACACTAACAACTTAACAACCATTCTACTGAGTCAACAAATTTCTCCTCTGTGTACAGACTTCAACCGAAGAATCTAATACTACTGTGAAGTGCTGCTGGGCAGGACACACGTTCAGGAGACACAGTAGGGGAACAGATGAGGCCAGAGTGGCCCACAGCCGGGGTGAAGAGCCCCCAATTATTTATAAAGTGTTTGCTGCCTCATTTATGAAAATAAATAGTGCAAAGCTGTTACAAGTATTACATTTTTACATCAAATTAAACATTTCAAAATTAGTGTCACAGCTTCTCCTGGGAGCAACTTTTGAGGGGCTTTTTATCCAATAACAGCAAAATGGTTATTTAGAGAATAGACCTAGAATGTTTCTTAAATGGAAAGCACACCCAGCAATAAAGTCACCTGTTCCTTACAGCCGACTTGGGTTTGTACTGCCACTCCACCCATCCCCAAATGGACAGGGAACTTCGATCCATTGAGCCACCACTGTCCTACTGTCCCTCCCTGCCAAGTGTAGATCACAAGGACTAAAGGCTGCAGCCTCTCTTCTGCAAACACTCTTCACCTTGTTCTCCTCTTATTTCTTAGCACTGTTCTGGCAAAACCCCAATCTTGATCATAATCGTCCCTCCCCCACTCTATGCCTACAACCAGGTGGCTGAAAATTGCTAGGAAATTCTAACATCCACAAGGACTGGTCTCTTTCGTAGAATAAATGACAAAATCATCAAGCAGCATGAAAGCTCCTCCCATATTCCACAGTAAATATTTATTGTTACTTACTCTTCCAGAAATTATTTCATATTTTCTCCTCTTCAAACATCTGTGATAAAACTCAGCTGATGACTTCACACTTCCTTAGTAAAAGATACAGCCAGATGAGAATTATTTCATCTGGCACCCACCCACCAAATGTATTTTTTTGTTAACTCCTTTGTCTCTTACACCTGGCACAATTTTTCATGAATGCATTGAGCTAACCTAAATTTTAAAACTGTTGTTATAATAGAATAACTGTCCCAGCTCCTGTTTAATTCCAGCCATCCCTCACCCACGTAAGACTTTATTCTTGCAGTTTTTGCCAGCTCCTGCATCATCAGTTTTTTCTACTAAAATGGGTCATTCCTACTAGCATGCCAGAGTAGCTCGCATAGTACAAATAAACAAATGAAATTATCCCTTGGCTTCTTGAACTCCAGCCACAGTTCTTGTTCTCTGTTCATCTGCATGGCAAAACTCCTTAAAGGAGGTGTCTATGTTAAGTGTCTCTCTTTTCTCACCTCCATCCTCCCTTCAGCTCACTCAAAGTTAGCTTCTATTCTTATCTTTGCACTGAAAAAGCACTAGTTTGTGTCAATCACAATTTTCATTAGATTTGGTCATGTTAAGTACTTGAAATAAATTCTAACATAGTTTTAATATATGTAGATATGTGTAAACATAGATACTGCTTTAATATCTACAGATAAGGAAACTGACACTTAAAGTGTGCCTGAGGTTACACACTGCATGAGTGATAGATCCAGTCTTCCAACCCGGGCAGTCTGACTCCAATTTCTGTGATCTCAACGGCAGTGGACTAAAACCCACCTTTAGGGAAAACCTCCCTCTTGGCATTTTCTTCCCCCAGCACCCACTAGCTTGGGAATCCCTTTATTGGCTGCCTTGTAACTCGGTATGCCTCCTTTGCAGTATTTGCATCACAGTTTGTAATTATATGTTTATTGTTGATATTTTGACAACATCTGGTTTTCCTACTAAGCTGTAAGCTTCTGAAGGCAGAAGGAAGAAATTGTCTTTTTTTTGGTTATTGTTTTATCCCTCTACTGTGAACATGATTTTGAATGAATGGATGGATTAAAATGAATTTAAATGATCTTGGGACAAATTCTCATACAAATTATGTATTTGCAGTATGTCCCAATATTGAAGTCCAGTTAGAGATTTTTGTTGTTGTTGTTGTTGTTTGTTTTTTGTTTTGTTTGTTTGTTTGTTTTGAGATGGAGTTTCTCTCTTGTTTCCCAGGCTGAAGTACAATGGCATGATCTTGGCTCACTGTAACCTCTGCCTCCTCCTGGGTTCAAGCAATTCTCCTGCCTCAGCCTCTCAAATAGCTGGGATTACAGGTGTGCACCACCACACTCAGCTAATTTTTGTATTTTTAGTAGAGATGGATTTTCACCATGATGCCCAGGCTGGTCTGGAAATCCTGACCTCAATTGATCCACCTGGCTCGGCCAGTGAAAGTGCTGGGATTACAGGCGTGAGCCACTGCACCCTGCCCAGTTAGAGTTTTGACAGACGTGTATACACCCATGTACTCACCACCCTATGCCGGAGTAGAACATTTCTATCACCCCAGTAAGTTCCTTCATGCTTTTCTTCAATTAACGCTCCTCATCCTGCAACCACTGAGCTGATGTGTTTTACCATTACTCAGGTTTCCCTTGTCAGAAATTCACGTAAATGTAATTATCAAGTATATATCTTTTGTCTCAGGCATTTTCCCCTTAATGTTATATCTGTGAGATTTATTCATGTTGTCTTATGTATCAGTAATTTGAGGCATTTTATTTCTGAGTAGTATACCATTGTATGAATATATGACAATTTCTTTATGTCTTCATCAGCTCATGGACATTTGGTTGTTTCCAGTTTGGTCTATCATGAATAAAGCTGATATGAACATACCAGCATTTTGGTGTGTATACGCCTTCATTGCTCTTGGGTAAATGCCTAGTAGTGAAGTTGCTGAGATATTATCTATACATTTAACATTTTAAGAAACTGCCAGATTGTTTTCCAGCAATATATGAGAATTAAGTTTGGTTGGTCCACATTTTTCACCAGCGCTTTGTGTTGTCAGTCTTTTTGATTTTAGCCATTCTAATTGGGTGGTCTAATGGTATTACATCGTGATTTTAATTTGCATTTCCCTAATGATTAATATTACTAAACAGCTTTTCCTTGCTTATTGGATTTTGTGAAGTATCTCCTCAGGTCTTTAAAAGCAGTGAAAGTTGATGAGATCACCTATGGATTTGTGATGTGTGCGTGAGGACAAAAAATATGTCCCAAGATGAATTCCTTTAATACTAAGAATGAAACATAGTTGTTATGTTTCATTCTTAATATTCTAAATAAATGTTAATTCAACATGAGTTTAGAATTTAACACATAGAATCATGTAGAATTCATTTAATTTCACATGAATCTATGTGTTATTTAGAATTTTTGATGTTTTCACAATCTTAAAAATCTGTGAAAGATTTTTCTTTCTTTACTGTTTTATATCAATTTTATATGATCTTAATAATAAAGTGACCTCAGATGCATGTAGTATTTTCCTTATGATCCTTGATGCTCAGTAAAACCGAGTTTGATAATGAATTTTTGTGATATATAGCTGTCTTGTCTCACTCCTCACAAACTACAGTTCTTTTCTCAAAAATTGTATACCCATTATTAAATATGCAAAGTAAGATATATGTATTTCTCTAAGTATAACACAAAGAAAATGTTTAACCAAAGATAAAATTTATAACTATTAAGAAAAAATTGTTTTTCATCTTTCTCCTCTGCACTTGTTAGTAATATCAAGGAATCAGAAGCATTGATTTCTAAAATACTATATGACAAAATTACAGGATTCAAAAGTGATTAATAGTTTGAACAATATTAGGGAATTAAAACTACAATTGTTCAGAGATTAGCTTTTCAGAATTCTCAGGCTCCTGGAACAATTTCTTATCTAAAGGCACCAAAACTAAGCCAAACAAAACCTCTCTATTGATAAAGAAATAACCAAAGGCAATGAACAAACCTAGTCAAAAGGGGTAAAGCTATCAGATCAAATGGTGGTGTAAAAAGAAAATATTGCAATACCTTGTAATGACTAAAGTGTATTTTCCTGATCTTTTTACAACATGGTTCCTACAGGGTATAATACACACATAAGATATTAAAAGGCTCATTGTGGGTACTTAGCACCTTACTAAGGTCAGGCACGCTCCTAAAGGCTATATGGAAATTAACTCACTTGATCCTCTAGACAGCCGTTAGGTCTTTGTAAACTTTATTCACAAGGGATAAGAAAAGTTATGTTACATTTCCGAGGTCACAAAAGCAGTTGGTGACGGAGCTGGATTTCAAACACGTCTCTCTGACTCCAAAGATTTGCTCTCAACCATTAGTTTGTAATTATTTGTTGAGGGAATAATTATAATAGTGTGTTATCTATAAGCTATGTCATAGAAAGAATACCTCTGCTGGGTCAAAAGAAAAATCTACTCGAACCTCACAAGTTGTAGTCCCTTAGGAATAGAAAAATGAAATCACCATGGTGGAGAAAGGGGGAAAAAAGAATATGATTAGAAAATATCACCAGTATTATGCTCATTCAGTCCATAAATATTGAATGGCTACTATGTGGTAGAAGCCACAATGGCTCTAGTTGGATAAAGTTGAATACAACATGGTTCCCAATCACAAGAAACTTATGGTTTAGTCCTTGAAGATACACAAATCACTATAGTCCAACAATTTGGAAGATTATTCACTTTGCCCTTCTGATAAAACTACAAAAAAAAAAAAAAACTAAAAAGAGGCAGCATGAAAACCTGTGCAATGTCAAGTACAAATGCAGCACATTGGAGGCGGCTTCAGAATTCATTATTAAACAAACATTTTTTTACCAGCTATATGTCAATCACTCCACTAAGCTGTAGACATAATTCTCTCAAATATCAGAGGAAAGAAACCTCAAAAATTGTAATAATCTTAAAGGAAGAAACAGACATGCGTGCACAGGAAGAATTGTGTAACATGTTAATGGGTCAATGCAATAATGACTAATTTGCCTTATTATTAGAGTCACTGAATATTTCTGTTTAGTTCTTTTGCAGGCGTTGAATTACAATAAAGTTGTAGTATAACACCATACAGCCCATTCATTGAAATTAGTCTTCTTAATTCTTTTCTGTTTTACTCAGTCAGATGATACAAGGGTGGCTTAACTCTAACACAAAGTTTACCAAAAAAGATTAAGAACCTGTAGAAATTGTGGTTGTAGTCAAAATAAGTAGTAGCAGCAATTAGTACTGTTTCTTGGGGTATTTATTTATAGAGAGAACTGTGCTAAATACTTTGCACAGTATGTACCCTTACAGAACAAACTTTTAAAAATTTGACTCATTTTTAAGCATGGTCTATTCCCTGAAAAATTTCAGATGAACAAAACTCAGTCTATTTTGAAGATATTTGCTATGTTCTAGCTGGAACTCAGTGGGTTAACTCAAAGCCATCTGGAACATTCAGCTGTTCAGAATAACTCATTTTCAGGGAGCTCTGTATAGTTGAGGACTTACTATACGTGTTTTCACATAATGTGAATAGAAATGTGACTATTTGTAACATTTAAACACCCACAATTTCCACAAATGAAAGAAAGTTCAGCATGATATTTATCATGACTCAGTTTTTTCTCCCTCCTCAGAATGGCACTTGCATCTTTTGGGGAGCTTTTGAATAGGCGCTGCTGCAAAATGCAGTAGGTGACAGTTAAACATACTCTTCAGCATTTGCACAAGATGAATCATGTTCTTTCGCAGTCATTTGGCTTTTCAAGATCTCTGTTAAAGAGGAGATGCAAAAACTCTCTCTTGCGACTCTTTCATCAGTCATCAAACTTGTGGCTTTTAGAGCACATTGGTTTTGAGAAGCTTTTCATGAAGCACCTTGAAACAGCTTGCCATGGAAATAGAAAAAAAAGGAAGGCAGATGCCTGAAAAAGAAATTTTTTCTTTTAGTTAACATATCACAGGATGGGCCCTATGCCCAAACTTGAGAATTCAGAATTCTCATTGACATGAAAAGGAGTTTTCTATCATTTTTTGTAAAGCTGCTGGATTAGTCCTTAATTTTGAATAAAATTTTCGCTCTTCTTGCTCTCTTTCTTTTCTTCCCCACTTTTGTTTTATAGGCATTTTCCTTAAAAAAAAAATCTGGATATCTCTCTTCATGTTGAATAATTATGTCTCTGTAGATGGTTCCAGAAAAGTTAGATTTAATGGGTTCCTAAGAAAACACACGTAATAGTAACCTTCTTATCAGACATGAAGTGGTAGAAGACAGAGTTAGGGCTGTCTTTCATCAAGGTAATATTTATAGCTAAGCAAATCAACATTTCAACTCTGCAAATTCTAAATTTGTTGCCAGACAGTATCTGGAGATTGTTTTGTGTGTTTTGATTAAATACAGGTTCCTTGAACTTTTTTTTTTTTCCTAACAAAACCAGAATCCTGTGTTAGTTCTTGTTCTTTGTTTTTTCTAGTTAGGTCTTTTGATAAATGAGATGTCTAATTAATGACTCACATCACTGAGTGTAAAGAGTCTCTTTCTTTATGATCATAGTCACCTATATTAACTTTTCTATAGTTTGTTATTGAAAATTTAGTAATAATATTTGAAAACAAAGCATTTGAATTTATTCAAAAATAAAACTTCTGACAGAAAACAAAGTAGGAAAAATAAGGTAGTAAATTGTTGCTTCCAAAATTATGCTTCTCTGTTTGTACATTGGAAAGAACAGTCTGTGTATACTTAACAAACATTTGAGTATATTCTGTGTTCCAGGCACTGTGGTAGATGCTGAAAATACGAATAGGGTGTCCACCCTGGAAACTTTATGGTGAAATCAAGAAATAGGGAGTGAAATGATTAAGACTGTAAATGAATATGCAAACTAAGTTACAGGTCTTAATAGGGTGCACAAAGAGGTTCCCCAAAAAGAATGAGGAGGGAAGAGTAGTTTCCTAGAGGGATTTTTTAAAAGAAGAAATAAAGAAAACTGGAGAATTAATCTGATAAAAATACAATCTCGTATTATAGAATAAGATTAGAGGTCCCAGACCTGACTTGAATCTCTGTGGCAGAGTGGGAAACATCATGAAATTCTTGATATGGACAAAAGAACTTTCCCAGTAGGAAAGATAAGAACAATAGAGTTGTTTCTAGATAGCAGCCATGGCCAAGAAGAATGTTCATGAGCTCACATGAAACAGTCCCAAGGACACACAAAAAAACTCACATTGAGTGAGGTTTTTAGAAGGAATAGAAATTAGCATGTGTGAACATAGATTTATAAAATACAATTGATTATTAAGAGTATAACCCCATTCATCCTTACAAGTGGTTACAGCTTGAAGACTTTAACAATGTAAAAGTTCTTACATTAACCCCCATTTATGAAAGCAAGAAATAGTGAGGGTAGATAGTCAACTGGAGACCAAACTAGAGTTGGCTGTATAAGCCATGCTAAGAATTCTTAATGTCGTCTATCAGATTTGACAATTTTGTTTGAGCAGATTTGAATTTTTAAAAGATTTTGGCCAGGCGCGGTGGCTCACGCTTATAATGCCAGCTTCTCGGGAGGCTGAGGCAGGAGAATTGCTTGAACCTGGGAGGCGGAGGTCGCAGTGAGCCAAGATTGTGTCACTGCACTCCAGCCTGGGTGACAAAGATTCTGGAAAAAAAAAAAAAAGGGTTATCATGGCAGCAGTGCAGAGAATGAATGGAGTTGAGAGAAAGGCAAATTTGAAGGTTAGACTCTGAAGAGACAGAGGAATAGAAAGAACAGCCTGAAGCAAAGCAAGCCTCAAAATAGGGCAATAACTGTGGCAATAAAAAGTATGAATGAAATAAGACCTGTTTGAGAGTATGAATCGAAAGGACACAGGTTGATTGAATGTGTTTAGCAGGAGGGATTTTAGTGGAGATAAAATATAAACAAGAAGTGTCCATGGTTTCCAGTTTTCTGGCTTGGGTGCTGGGTGGATGGCCATGCTAGTCGCTGAAACAATGATTACAGAAAAAGGAAAACATTTGGATGAAGAGGAAGAGATTGGTTAGGGATGAGATTGGTTAGACGTAGATATAGATGGGTTTATAAGTGTTGCTTTAGACTTCAGGGTATAAGTTGGAGTTGAAAGTATAGACTTGTTGTTTCTGTCCTCTTATGTTTTGCACAGAGATATTTTACTTAAATAGCAGTGCTATTAATTATATCATGTTTGGATCCCTGGCCAAGTTGCTTAGTTTTGTTTTGTTTTGTTTTTTGAGACAGAGTTTTGTTCTTGTCGCCCAGGCTGGAGTGCAATGGTGTGATCTCAGGTCACTTCAACCTCCGCCGCCCAGGTTCAAGTGATCCTCCTGCTTCAGCCTCCAGAGTAGCTGGGACTATGGGCACCTGCCACCATACCTGGCTGATTTTTGTATTTTTAGTAGAGACAGGATTGCACCATGTTGGCCAGGATGGTCTCAATCTCTTGACCTTGTGATCTGCCTGCCTCGGCCTCCCAAAGTGCTGGGATTACAGGCGTGAGCCACCACGCCTGGCCATAGCTTAGTTTTTAAGAGGAGAATGTTCATGGGAAGTTGAATTATGGAAGACTAGCTCTATATGAACTAGTTATTTTGCCTGAACACCATGAATTTAAATATGTAACAAAAAATATGTAACAGATTTGGAAACACATTGTTTAAGGAAAATTGCTTATAATGTGATTTAGGTTGTCTGAATCAAAAATATTTATGCCCCATCTCACTTGACATAACATTACTACAAGCCAAGACACGTTTATTTTTAAGAATTCTAGCATTGATCTGCCTGTTGCTGTCTGGTACAGAATGTCTTTGAAATTAGGTTTAAGAAGTTAACCATACTTGGCTTTAAGATTAAATGTTAATTAGAAAAGTGTGTTGGTTAAGAGCAACTTTGCATCTCAGATTTGATTCTTAGTTGCTATTATAACCTTTGCCAATTTACTTGTATTTCTGGGAACTTAATTTCATCATCTGCAAAATAAAAGTCATGGTAATATTATCTAAGTCATGATAATATATAGAGCTCAATTATGAAACAGGCTAAGCAAGGTACCCAGCATGTTAGTAAGTATCAAAAATGTTATCGTTTATTAATATACAACATCGCTGATAAATTGAGAATAATAAAAAAAACTGTAGGAATGAAAGTTAGAAATGGAAATGTAAAGAACAATTGAAACACTTACTAACAGAGCAAACCTCTTAAAGTTGGAAACTGTGGCTTGTTCTTTTTGTTTTGGCATTATCTGAGCATATGCAACATTCTAAAAAAAGGGGGGCACTTAAAATATGAGAAGACATTATTTAAGGTAAACTTTAAGATAATATAAAAATATAAACTATTATAAAATTTGCCATTAATTCTACTTAATAAAATACCCCAAGATTTGAAAAGAAAATATGACAAGTATAAGACAATAAAAAGCTAAAATGTCATGAGTGAAATTATGTGAAGTAAAAATTAAGTAAGCGTAAGAAAATACATTAAGAAAATAAAATTTAAAGTTTGAATTTAAAATATATGAAAATGATGTTCTAATAAATGTACAAATTTAAAGAATACAAATGGAATAAATATGCTAGTTCTCCAGATTTCGCCATCCTCCACTTTGTAGTTTTCAAATAACATTGTTCCAGCAGAGAGCTGGGAAGCAGAGTTCAGTTTAGTGTTACAGGAGAGTCTTCCCTTGGTTTCAGGCCCCTGGGGACCTCTGAGAAAGTATCCAGAGGTGTGGGATTCGCCTCCGGGCTATGACAGAGATGTTACACTTTGTGATGAAAATTGTAGCACTGTGGGGAGAACATTCTTAGAAAGATAGAAATTACCAAAAATGATACAAGAGGAAATAATCACAATAGACTCATAACAAAAAAAAGTGATTAAATTAGTAACCGAGAACTTTCCACAAAGAAAAACCCAGGACCAGATGGCTTCACTGCTGAGTTCTACCAAACAGTTAAAAAAGAATTAACTCCAATTATTCACAACTCAAAAAAAAAAAAAAAAGAAAGAAAACAAGGAAGCTCCTCTCAACTCATTTTCAAAACCAAAGACAGAAAGACACATTACAAGAAAGAAAGCTATATATATATAGACATAAAACTTCTCAAGAAAATACTAGTACACTGATCTGGTGACATATAAAGTAGTATATACACCATGACCAAGTGAAATTTATCCCAGAAACACAAGGTTGGGAAAATTAGACAGGAGAAAGAAATGTAAAGCAACCAGATTGGAAAGAAAAAACAAAATTATCTGTTTGTAGATGACATGATCTTGTATAGAGAAAATCCTAAGGAATTTCTATGTAAAAAATTCCAAAACTATTATAGCTAATAAGTCAGTTCAGCAATCTTAAAAGATACAAGAACCACATAAAAAATCAATTCATTTCTATATACAGGCAGTGAATAATATAAAAACAAAATTTAAAAACAAATTCCATTTACAATTGCATCAAAAAAATACTTAGGAATAAATATAACAAAGAAGTACAAGACTTGTAGCTTCTCAAGAAAGTGAAAAACGACTCATGTGGGAGACAATATTTGCAAATCCTATACCTGATAAGAGAATAGTATTAGAATATATAAAGAGCTTTTCTAACTCAATAAGTAGATTAGTAACTCAATTAGAAATTAACACAAATATTTGAATAGACGTTTTCCAAAGAAAATACACAAATAGCAAATAAAATACATGAAAAGATGCTCCAATATCATTAATCATTAGGGAAATGCAAATCAAAACCACACTGAAATGGAATTTCATACCCACTAGGAAGGCTATGATAAAAAATGACAGAATATAAAAAGTGTTGGTAAGAATATGGAGAAACTCAAACTCTCATTCACTGTAGGTAGGTATAGGAAATAGCACAGATACTTAAGAAAACAGTTTGGCAGTTCCTTAAAAAACTAGACATAGAGTTGCCATATGACCCAGCAATTCCATTTCTAAGTATATACTCAGGAGAACTGAACATATATATCCACGCAAAAACTTGGATACAAATGTTCACAGCAGTACTGTAGATAATAGCCAGAGTGGAAAACAACACAAATATTCATGAACAGAGGAGTAGAACAATAAAACCTGGTATATCAATACAATGGAATATTATTTGGGCTCAAAAAGGATTGAAACATTAATGCATGCAACAACATGGATAAACCTTGAAAGCATTCTAAGTGAAAGAAGCCAACCAAAACAAAAGGCCAAATATTACATGATCCATATGAAATGTCCTGAATGAGCATATCCATAGAAATAGTAGCAGATTCATGATTGACAGGGGCTGCGGCTAACGGAGAGTAAGGAGTGACTGCTACCAGTGCAGCATTTCTTTTAGAGGTGTTGGAAATGTTTGGAATTCTATAGTGGTGACGGTGACACAATCTTATACTAATGTATACTGAATTATAGATTTTAACATGATGAAATTTATAGTATGTGAGTTATATCTAAATAAATAAATAAATTGCATATAAAAGTTGTAAAATAGCATTTGGCCCCAAATATGGATTTAACATCAAAGTGGTAAGGCTTAAACTTCAGGATGCCTCACTTGCACGGGCCCACCCAAAGCCTTAGGAGGAAGCCCTGTTCATGTGGTGTTTTGTAAAGTTTGCAAAAGTAAAGTATTTTAACTCTGATTGGCCAAGACTATTATCTTTTTCCACTCCAATTTCCCTTTCAGCTCCTTCTCCTTATGTTGGGCAGCATTGGAGCAACTGCAGAAATTTAAACTGATACATTTTAACTGCTTTATCTAGGGGCCACAAGTGGCCTGAGACCCAGAGAAGAATCTCAATGTCACACTAACTTCTTGGTAAGATGCTTCCAGTTGTCCTGGTATCTGAATGGCTTCTAGGAATGCTCGTGTTACAAACTGCCTAATTCACGCTGTGTCATGAGGAAATGGTGCAGGGACAGAGACTGACTGCAAAAGAGATATGTCCTACAATTTTTGTCACCAAGATGGAAGTGGGTAATGGAGGAAAACAAAGGCACAGGGCCAGAATCTCATCTGTGGAAAATCCTTATGGATCTTATAGCTCATATGTCAAATAAAATTGATACAGGTTCCCCATAAAAATGTGTATTATGTTACTGCAGTGATTTTGAACCTAAAAAAATGTTGTCAACTATCAGTAATAGAAAAACAGTAACAATACATTTCAATCAACCACCCTATATGAAAAGCAGAATCATCTTTCTATTCTCTGCAGAAAATGACATCACATTGTTCAAGATGAGTGTATTTGTCTGTTCTCACACTGCTATATAGAATTACCTGAGACTGGGTAATTTTAAAAGAAAAGTGTTTTAATTGCCTCATGGTTCTGCATTCTGTATAGGAAGCATGGCTGGGGAGGACTCAGGAAATTACAATCATAGAAGAAGGAGAAGGGGAAGCAAGCACCTTGTTCACATGGTAAAGCATGAAAGAGAGTGTGAAGGGGGAAGTGCCACACACTTTTAAACAACAAGATCTCATGAGAACTCCATCATGAGACAACACCAAGGGGATGGCACTAAACCATCAGAAACCACCACCCCCATGATCCAGTCATCACCCCCATGATCCAGTCACCACTTTTGGGGTCACCCCCAGGCCCCACCTCCAATACTAGGGATCACAATTCAACTTGAGATTTGGGTGGGGACACAGAGCCAAACCATCTCAAAGGAACACTCAAAGAGGGCAACCAAAATACAAAGAAATATTATAGCGGTATGACAGGCAGTTAATTGATAAAAATATTATGCTATTTTTCTGAATTTTGTGGTGTTTGTGACATTTGTGAGATCTTTAAAATGTATAATTTGTTGTGATTTCTTTTTCTCATGCAAAATAAAAATTAATAATAATATTTGTTAATTTTGTGATCTTTTTTCTTAAAAGGATAAAGGTTTATTTTGGATATTAATGTAAAATATATCAGAGAAAAGGAAAAAGTGATAAACATATGATCCCATGAGAACATTTTTATATTATTTTCAGAGAGTTCCCCAGGAAAACTTTGCTACAGAACTTACATTTACATATGAAGTGATACAAAGATAGGAAAAGCAACCTTTTTTATATTGTTCATTTCTTGGGGCCTTCATGTTAGTGAGAAATCCTTTAGAATATATGGCTTTTAGAGCATGAGCTTAATGCTTTTTTCTTAAAAAGATTATCCCAATGGGATAGCTTTAGACATCTCAAAACCTGAGATCTGTCCCCATGTGATGCTCAGCACATGTTAGGCATTATACTAGAAAAAGAGAAAAACATACTCCTCTTGGAAACTACTGCAGACGTTTTAGCTTTTCCTCTCAGTGTTCTTTCATGCGAGAACAGTGTTTATCAGGACAGTGAGTGAGTGTCACCAGATACACTCACATTGAATGAATCAGGTCATTCGTGCTCAGTGATGGCTAGCATACACAGGTAGCAGGTTTACCTCCTCAAACCTGGCTTATCATAATGTCAAAAAAATCAGCAAATTAGAATATCCCTGTTCTCTGAGAGTTGAAGACCTGATTCCTCTGTCACCTTCACTCAAAAATGGAGAGAAGAAATCCACTTAGGGTTACTCTTCCTTTCATCTACCTTGTACGTTTCAACCAGAATTTTGAATTTAAAACCTCTCCCCTAAAAAGATTTGGTGTCTAAAATAATCTGGTTCTTACAAATAATTTTAGCACTAGCCAAAATAATTTTTTCAATACATCAGTGTCTTTATAGTTGTCAAAAGTTTTGTATTCAAAAAAAGATAATTAATAAAAATAATTTGCTGTGTATGCAAAAACCTGAATTAATAAACTGAATTAAAAAGTATAGATTTACTTTGGATATTGATGTCAAAATACCAGAGGAAAAGAAAAGGGGCTCAACATATGATCTCATATGAACATTTCCATATTATTTCAGATGGTTCCCTCAAAAAATTTTGTTAGGAAAGTTATATTTACATATGCAGTGACACCTATAAAGGTAGGAAAAGCAACATTTTTAATATTGTTCATTGCTTTGGGCCTTCATGTTAGTGAGAAATCCTTTAGAATACGTGGTTTTCAGAGAATGAGCATAATGCTGACAGCCATGTGTGGGGAGCAAGTCCAATGTTGAGAACATAAAGCAATGTGGTTTTCAAAGCTACACCCAATGGCGTTTCATCCAGGAGGTGAGGACTGGATGACGGATCTTCTAAGGCTGACAGCAGTCAGGGATACCTAATATCAGCTCAAGCTGAGAAGCTACAAAGTCACAAGAGAATCCTCTGAACTTGTCTCCTTGAGTATTCAAGCATGACTTAAAAGCTACAACTTTCCTAACTAGAAAGTTGGGGTGGGGTGAAAAGGGGGAGGCAGGAAATTGAGCCAAGCATTGTAATGGTATTCCTAAAGAGAAGATCCTGTCTCTCCTGCTCTCTTTCATTTGTACAAGAGGTGTTCAAAAGGAAGAATGTCAGGCATTTAGGATAGAAGCCTGTGTGGCATATTACACAATTTGCTAGCTTACCGCACCACATTCTACCTCCATGTATTTACTTCTGTTCTCATAACTTTGGACCTCCTTTACCTCTCCTTTTAGAACCATAGTCTTAAAAGAAAAAGGGAAATTACGTATAAAGATATATGCAAAGAAACAGCCACTACTACTAAAGGATAGGGAAATGTATTTTGGTTATGTGTGAATAACATTAAAAAAGGATACGCACACAGAATATTTTTAATACTTACATTAAGTCTCATTACTTTGTTCTTTCTTTGAATATTAATATGGCACAACTTTTGGCACATGGATGTCACTCAGCACTTAATCTAAAGCTTTGCAGCAAAATTGAAGGATTTAAGATACTCATACAGACAGGAAAGAAATCTGATTGTTTTTATCCTATAAAACAAAGCCTCTAAAAGTCAGTAATGTTCTTTGGTTTCACATTGCATACAAAATAAACACACTATCCTTATTATTGTAAATGTATGCAAAACCCCTTCCCTTTTTGTTGCATTAAATATGGTGATGTCATCTCACTTCAGAAACTGCTATTACATGCCATGACACTCTTAGGAAAGTCAAAGGTAGGGACGGAAAAGTAGGCACTTTTATCCTCCACTGGCTCTTTTTGAGTAATTATTGTGACCTCATTTCCCCAACTTCGAGAGGCATTGAGTTGTACTTTGACTTGCTACTATTTTTAAATCGAAGCATCATTCAAAACATATGTTTTAATCAAATCAAGCAAAGATGTCTAGGGTGATTAGCCTGGGATTTTCATGCCTTGAATTCTTTTGGCTGTGGATACTCAATTCCTCCTTTTTTACATTCCCCAGATACTGTTGATTTCTCTAGCTATAAGCTTTACATCGTTCGTGTTTATTTTAGCTTGTTTGTGTGAAAGTTGACACCATTCAGTGACAGGAATCACATTCCGAGCCTAAATGTTTAACATGTAACAGGGATTTTTAACTAAGAGACCCAATGATGCCAACTGTAAAATAATCTGTCACTTCTAGATGATCTGCTTTGTTTAATTAGAGTAAAGGTCAGAGTGGCCAATCGTATTTTAAAAGAAAGCATCCCATAATGGAGTTGGCAGAGAAGATGGAGAAAACAGAAAATTAGAAAAACATGATGATAAAAGAAAAATAGAAGCACTGGTAAATTAATATATGTATCTCATATTTGTTGTCATCTATTAAACTACTATCTGTTCCTCATTCTAGGTGGACAGTAAGGATATAGTTTGAAATTATTAAGTATCAGTTTACAGGCAGGCATGGAAGGGAGTGTTTTTTGGTGTATAAATGTTAACATCAAACATTCCAATTAAGAATGGGAAGTAGCAAGGGACTTTTGGTCATTTTCTTATACAAAATTAATTTTCTTCTACCTAGAGTGATTGATTTAAATCCGGAAGCAAGGTTTAAACTTAAGACACAAAGAGAAAAATCAGTGAGTCAAATCCATAGTGGTACATAGAGAACGAAAGTGCAATATTTGTTTAACAAATAATTTCCTTTACATAATGATACTGAAACCATCCAGGCTGCTCAATTCTTGAGCCAGAGTTGCACTGGTGGGACTACTAGAGGCAAAGAATCTTTTATTAGATTTTTCACTAAAATCTGAGGAAGGCCATAATCTCCTCCCCGTGCACATTTTGTTGGAATGTCCTGTAGCCTATGTACATGTTTTCCTATAGCCTCATAATACAAACCAAGCCTCCTGATGGTCTTCATGCACACGTTAATTCACATAGAAACAAACACGTAAACCTACTACTGTTAGGTTACTTTGCAATGAACAGCATATTTTGCTCACTGAGGGGAAAAGGCAGGAGGCAGCCTATTGTATTGTAACAGTTATCTCTGAATGAATAGAAGGAATTGCTTCCAAATGCAATAACAGAATTACTGTAGATTAGTGTAGCATTTGAGTGTTAGTGCAGAGGTAAAATTGTTTTCTCTATTGCACAACCATGATCTTGAAAGTTTTTATTTTATTCCAATAATGGAGATGCTTGATCACATACTGAGCCAGGTAAATCACAAAGCCAGCTCTTCAGCAGTCCTGGGCAGGCCCTAACTAGTGCCATAGCTGAGGACTGCATTAACCACAATTCTGATGAATAAAATTCAACACAAGCTCATTTGATTTGGTACAGTGGGAATAGGGATTTTTATTCAAAAATACAATAATGCAACAATAATAAATGCTCTCATTCCACACTGTAAAAAAAGAAGCCAAGGTACTATTCATGGCAGTCTGTAGTCTTTCATTACAAAGGACAGCATACCCAGTTCATGAACACTACAAGAAATAGCAACTTGTGTAAAAGAAATAGAAATTTGTGAACTAAGAATATATATATATATACATTTGAGAATGAATGAGTCAAGGAACAGCAGCATTGTGGTATCAATTACAATGCCAAACATGTGGCCACTTAAAAATTTTAACTTGAAACAAGAAAAGAGATTGTAATTCAGCACAACGTAGCCCATTAATAGCTTATAGTTTCGCCTTTGAAGTCAATGACCCACTTTTCCCTCTTGTGCACCCATTAAAATTAGGTAGCACCTTGCTTAAAATGTTGACAATTTTGAGATAGCATATAAAGTTGAACAGATGCTATAAATTTACCCTTTAAATGAACAGATTGGGACAGAATTGTATTTTTATGTTAGATATAACTTAAGTAAGAACTGGGTCTCTCTACCTTCGTAAATTTGTAGTGAAAGTAAGAGTCAACAGCAGATGACAGATTTGAAATTCTGCCTAACAAAAATTCTCCATCATAATAATTTTTAAAAATAAGCATGTAATTCATTAAAAAATGCCAACCAAAATTCCAGGAAAACAAATAAGAAAAAGTTATTAAAGAATATGGTTTTACTATTACCACACCCATCCCAATTGGTATCCCATCCAATCATTTTACACTAGAAAATTTTCTGGTAAGAAGGCTTAGGGATAGAACTAATTGCACCTGCTAAGCTAAGTCAAAGAATTAAGGGATTTCTATATTTGCTATTCTCAATACCGAAAACAAGATTGTCCTATTCTGTTTTTAGGAATCAGGGTTAGTTTGGAAGATCTTAGAATATTCTAGAATCAAGGGATCTAGAATTCCCAACTTCTACTTCTGTCCCTCACCTCTTTTTCCAAATGAAACTTCCAAGAAATCGTGAACCGAAAGGGCGAGGACAAGTGCTAAATTTAAAAGTGCCTCGGTTCCTGTCAGCTGGCCCCCCATGTTCTGTCACAAAGCTCTCTGGACAGCTGGGCTGTGCCTTTGGCTCAGGCTCATAGCTCGAGAGAAGTCTCTGGATTCATTTGTCTTCGTCTTAGCTGCAGCTGCCCACTAGAATCAGAGCTGGTGCTCCCAGGGAAGGAGGGACTGGAGAGCCTTGCTGCGGTGCCTCCCTCAACTAAAAGCTGGCAAGTGTGCCTCCGTCCGGCTTCCCTCAGGCCTGTCAGGCCAGCTTCACCTTCTCCCAGAACAGAGGATGGGAGTTGAGGGAGGCAAGAAAAAGAATGAGAAAAAAGAAGCTCCCGTGGAAAGGGAATGGTGCTGAGAGTTCTCCTCCTGTCCAAAGGCAGATAGCTCTGCACGGAAAACACGATCATTCAATTCCAGGCGCAGCTATGTTCTACAGGACCTGGAAAGGAGGAAGGGGTGGACGGTTAGACACGGTTCTTGTCCTTAAAAGGACTCAGAGGTAGCAGAAAAATGGGCTCTAATCACAAAACAAGGTATTCGGGCTTTATGTGTTTAAAAACCAACTTACATAGAAAGTCGAAAAAGGCAGTTACTTCCACTGTGAATGTGAGTGGTTAGAAGTGATTTAAACAGAGACATTCAGTTAAGGTATTGAATAACTAAAAGTAATTTTAGCAAATTATTGAAATGAGAAAACAATACCAATGAAAGGGAAACGGGAATAGGTAAAGAAAGTAACAAGAATTCAGGAGATAGGAAATTATGTGGCATCTGTGGTGAGTGCTGTGGTTAGAGATCTGGGGGGAAGAGACAGGGCAAGAGGGAAGCATCTGGAAATGATCCAAGAATGGTATGTTGTTGCTAATTTTGGAAGGGCCTTGAGTGTCCTGCTAAGAAGTTAAGAGTTTTATGAAGAGAAATAACATAATCAGGTCTGCTTTTGCGGAGATGACTCTGACAACACTGTGAAGGGCAGACTTGAGGTGAGAAAGGTATAGGTAGAGACACCAATAAGGAGGCTCAGGCAGCTGTCAAGGAGGCAGTTGCATTGGATATGAAGTCCAGCAATGTTGGGTTTCTCAGTAGACACTGAGGCTGCCTGCAAATGGAGCTACTGAAATAGTTTTTGAATAATTCAACATTTTAGAGTTCGAAGATGTTAAAGTTGTCATCATGGGAAAAATCAGATTTTTGTTAGACTTTATACTGATTCTATGAATAGTTTGTAAAGTACGTGTGCTTAGTGGGAGTAGGGGCTGCATCATTATTTTCTCCATATTTAGGGTTTCCAGAGGTCCTAATCAGTGATGAAATCTGTTCCTTAGGCAGTTGAATGTACAGGTACAATTAACTGAAATAAGGAACACAGAAACAGAGCAGATTTCGGAGGAAACAAGTTTAGTTTTGGGATTTTAGAAGTTAAGGTAACAGAGGGACTTCTAAGTGGTGGTGTCCAGTAAGATTTGGCACTCACTGGGTGGGACTGCACTTATAGACAAACAATATCTGAAGAGCACAAAGTTCCTTCACATGCATTATGAAACAGAAGGTAATGGTGAAAATGTCATCGCAAACACAGAAAAAAGGGGAGGCTATTTGATTGTTTAATAGCACTAAACAGACTTATTTTCTGTTTAAAAAAAAGGAACTTGTTTTGTTTTATTTCTGGGTAAGAAGACTTACAGTTTTTTTTGTTTTGTTTTGTTTTGTTTTTTTTAAGAGACAGGATCTCACTATGCTTCCCAGGCTGGAGTGCCGTGAGTATTCACAGGTGTGATAATAGCACACTATAGCCTCAAGCTTCTGGGCTCAAGTTATCCTACTGCCTCAGTCTCCCAAGTAGCTGGGACTATAGGCACATGCTACTGCACCCTGCTGACTTAAGGATTTTATAGGCTGTTATGGGTCAGTCAGTTGTTCAAAAGAGATGCCATTCTGTTTCCTGGTCAATTTTGTTATGAAAAGCTTCTATTTGTGAATTTTCTGGTTTTAGTTCATTGTACAGTTTGAGGCTACAAAAGAGAACTTGACTGACTGACATATAATGGAATCAAATTTTACTGTGCCAGGCACATAGTAGTTATTCAATAAATATTTGTTGAATATAAGTTTGTGAGATGATTATGCCTGTCTCACATACCACGCTCTTCAACTGAGTTCAAGTTGTGAAGCAACCATGAGTTTTTCACAATTCTAAACTTCAGCTTTTCCTTCTAAATGAGACTAACAGGGACGTTATAAAATGAATAGGAAAACAAGTGCATTTTTTTCCTCCATAACGTATACTGCAATTTGCGTGATATGATTTTTCCTCTTCTTATAGAATATGGAGACTCATTCACAGAATGGTCGAACGTATCTCCCGCTGATTTTGTTTTATTTTTAGAATGTATTCAAACAGCATCAAAATCTGTTCTATTCTAATGAACCAAATTAAGTCCTATCAATGCATTTTAAAATAGGATACATTAATTATCAGGCAAATAATAATAATACCTAATGAAAGTATTTTGACAAGTCCTATGATACGGACTTGTAAAGACTTTCCATACGTTATTTCAGTTTTACTATGAGGGAGGCACTTTTATTACACTCCATTTTCATATGTAAAACCCTGAGAGGTTAAGTAGCAAGCTCAAGGTCATACAGCCAGTAATAGGTGGAGCTGAGATTTGAACCAGCCAAGGGAACTCCAGATCCCATGCATTTAATTCACAAAATTACATTGCATTATTTCATGCCTTAGTTGCCATAAGGGAGGATTCTTTTTTTTTTTTTTTTACCAATCCAGCCTAAATGAAAGTAGGTTTTCTGAATATGCCTATTCTTCCCTAATTTTTTTTTTAATGAAACTTTTTAAAAGCCTCGTTTCACAGTTTCTAGTAAAATTAAAACTTCTCCTTTGTCTTAGCCACAAAGGAAATTCTCAGGAAATAATCTTGACATTTTCTCAGCAATTGAAGCTGAAACCATAGAACAAAGAAATTACACAAATAAACAAAATCAATCATGTATAAGTTTCAGGAAGGCATTTTAAGATTTCAGCCTCACTTACAAATTAAGAGTTTACCTGTTAGTAGCACTCACATTTGGCCATGGCAAGAGAATGGCATTGTTTTTTTGCCAAAGAATAGACTGTTGGAAATGGCTGTTTGAAAAGCATTTTGATAATGTATCAGCAATAAAATGTTTATAGCTTAATTGACATTAACATGTAATCTATAAAATAGAACAATAAAAAAATTATCTTAGAGACTGAGACTCACCTAATTGAAAAAGAACATTTTAAGCACTTGTAAGTACTCCAAAACAGACACCAAATATAAGAAAACAAATTTGAGGTAACAGCTCTAACAGTCAGGGTTATCCAGAGAAACAGAACCAACTGTCAGCATGTATAAATAAATTTATATAAGGAATTGGCTCATGTGATTATAGAGGCTGCAAGTCCAAAATCTGAAGAACAGGTGCTGAAGTTTGAGTCTGAAGGTTGGAGACTACTGCAGAACCAGGAAGAACTGATGTTCTGGTGGTTTGAAGCCCATCAGGCAGGACAATTCTCTCTTAGCTGTGGAAAGGTCAGACATTTGTTTTATTTAGGCCTTCTACTAATTGGATGAGGTGCACTCACATTATAAAACTTAATCTGTTTTATCCAGACTATTAATTTAATTGTTAATCTCATCCAAAACACCCTCACAGAAACACCCAGAATAAAGCTTGACCAAATATCTGCCCATGGCCCAGTTGACACATAAAGAAATCATCAAAATACCATGTTCTCTGATCACAATAAAATTAAATTTTAAATAAATAGGAGATACACATTCAGAGAGTTGAAAACTCTTCTAAAGAACTCATAGGTCAAATAAGAAATTATGATGGAACTTAGAAAACATGTAGAACTAATGACAAATAAAATGTTTTATATTAACATTTGTGAAATAAAATCAAACTGGCACTTAAAAGGAAATTGTTAGCTTTTTGTGCAAATACTTGAAACAAACTTGAAAAACAATTAACTGAATATTCAAATTATATATCAGTGCAAGAACTTAGAAAAACAATAGACTAAATTAAAAGATAGAAGTAATGACATAATAAAGAACAGAAATTAATAACCTAAAAAGAAAAGCAATAAAATAAAAATGTAAAATGGGAAAAAGACAATCATAATATAATTGTCTTAAAAAGTAATAAAATTGATAAAATGCTGGCGAGTCTAATCATAAAAAAGAAGATAAAACAAATTAACAATATTATAAATAAAGAGAAGAATAACTCCAATTGTGTCAACACTTAAAAAAATCTTACTCATATACAATTTTATGCCAATAAATTTGAAAATTTAGAGAAAATAGATAGTTTGCTAAGACAATACATCCAAAAATTAATAAAAATATTATCTAACAAATTTATTTTTTAACGTAATTAGATAGATAAATATTTACCCTTTAAAAAAAATTAGAAGTATTCTCACACATATTTGAAGAACAGCTGGATTCAACCCTATTCTGTTTCTGTAAAAGAGCCTGCTAATTATCCCCAATACCTGTTCTCTCTCTTGAATTTTAGCTGATCATGGAAACTCAACTACAGACCTCATTTTGTAGTATGTTGGCAGCTAGTTTTGTTAATATGACTGTTTTGGCCAAGAAGCTCTGAATGGATGCATGCAACTTCCAAATCACATCCTTTTGTGATGATAGAATCTGTCATCAATTTCTTCTTTTTCTCCATCCTCATGGGCTGAAATGTGTAGGCTTGGTATGGGTGAACCAGTTTTTTCTTTTAGATAATGACAAAATTTAGAAAATGGTTAAGCAACAAAATAGAAGAAAGAGCCTTGTTTTATTGGATACTCTTATGAAGCCCAGATGCCTACTCATTGCCTGTATGTTGTTTGTGCCACTATATTTTTGGACTTTATTGTTAGACCTTGTGCATGCCAGTTACAAACTTGATTCTAAAATTGGATGAAAAGGGCAAAAGAAAGAAAAATTACACTTTCCTGACTTAGTATAGACTCAAAAGTCATAAATAAAATGTAATTTATTTGAATAAAATATAATCTAATATTTTAACATTAAAAAATTAGTACATAACAACTATGTAAGGTTTGCTTCAAGAATGCAAGGATGGTATAATACTAGAAAATTTATTAATGTAATTTACTACATAGACAGATAAAAAGAAAAAAGTATATGAAATCTCAATGGATACAGAAATATTTGCATTTGGTAATATTTAGCATCACTTTGTGGTGAAAACTGTAATCACCCTGGAACTGATGGGGAAGTTTTTAAACTGATAAGGGCTATGTACCAAAATTAAGTAGCAAATGACAATTTTACAGATAAAATATTAGAATGGTTTTCTTCTAAAGTGGGAAGCAAGATAAAGGTGCCTATCATTTTTAATTTTATTCAACAGTGAATAAATAAGCTTTCAATGCATTAAGTAAAGCAGAAGAAACACACAATGTAAGAATTAGAAATAATTTGTACAACTTTTATTACTGATATTTAATATAAATTTTTATTAGATAAATTTTTTGTGGCATATGTTAAAAACGGAACATTATACCAGTTAATAGGAAGAGATTAGGGTTACTTTTACCTAAATCCTTAAAAAAATCCATTCATTCTTCACTCTAAAATATTTATCATGTGCATATCCTATGTCAGGCATGGTTTAGGTAATGGAATATGGCACAATACAAAATAATATTTGAAAACCTGAAAAGCAATACACATTTTATTTATAAGCATACACATAAGTAGTGGCCATAAAAAAGAACATATAGGGAAATGCCTGGAAATAATAAACATGAAACGAGTAGAGGGATTACTATCTTAAGACGAGGAAGTATGAAGAGTGAGAAAGGAAGAGCTCCCCGGGGGCTTCACTGAAAGGAGGTATAAATATCTACATTTTCTACATCTATATCTACATCTGTGTCTCTCTACACAATATATAATACAGATGTAAACATGTTAAAATTTAACAGAGTTGGAGGGTGGGTGCATTGATTATCATTACATTATTTTTAAAACATTCTCTGAATGCATAAAATATATCACAATAAATATATAAGAAAAAAATTTTTTACTGATGTTCAGATCCTGTATCTCAGGATGTTTAAAAAGGTAATGCTACCCTGGGACACCCATCAGCATCCAGCCAGCCAGCCAGATATCAGCTGCTTCCTACCTTGTGCTTGACTTATTTTTCAAACTTAAAATGTTAGGATTCCATATTGACCCCTGAAAATTTGCCCTACTATTGAGACATTGGACATTGGAGTGTAATGCTTAAATGCTTAAGAGTGGCCAGATTCTGGAATATAAATCATAGTTCTATCATTTCCTACTTATGTAATTTATTGTAGGGGTGATTAATTTACTTAACTTCACTGGGCTGCAGCTTTCTCTCTGAAAATGTGGGTAAAAGTAGTACCTATCCCAAAGGATTTCAACATTTGCTGAGTGCTTTTTAAAAATTCCTGGTATCACATAATGCATTTTAACTGTTACTACACATTAGAACTGTGCCTGACACAATAATTGTTTGATAATTGCTTATAATTTTTTTTAAAATAGGGAATAGCATGGTAGTTTAATAGGCTATAAAATTAGGTTGCTAGGTGGAGATCTTGGATCTATCGCTCCCTGTCTCTATGGCTTTGGACAAGTCACTTCTTTGGGCTTCAAATTTCCTAACTGGGTAAAAGGGAGATAGTAATAGCATCTACTTCCGAAAGCTGTTATGATGAGTAGATGCATTCATATAGGTTAAACCCTCATGATTGGGCTATTGGAGGGATAATTGCATTTAATATTATTTTAACATACACATATATGTCCATACATATTCATACAGGATGTGTGTGTGTGTTTGTGTACATAAATATGACACACACATATTCTGAAATCCTCTTGCTAGCAAATTAACAGAGTGTAGAATTTCATCTCACCCTGGTTTGTGTACTCTATGAACACACTCATTATCTCCCTTCTGAGTAGCATTTAATATCCATCATAGAACTGTTTATCAAGAACTGACACATTACTTTGTGACCACAGATTTCCATCATGTGACAAGATTTCTAGGACCTGAGAACTACTTGCCTGTCCAGTGCCATGAAGACATCTGAGTAATTGGATATGTCTGTTTAGTTACAGGCTCCAACACTCATAAACTCTGCCACACTGCCTGGATCCAATCTTGCCTCGGCCATTATGACTGAAAACTGTGGACAAGTCTTTCACTCCCTTGGTGTCTCAGTTTGTTAATTGATAAATGGTGAAAATTGTGGCACAGTTGGTTTATTGTGAAGATTAACAAGTTGCTACATGTAATGCACTAGAACCTACCATAAAGAAGATTGCAATTACTACCATGTCTGCTACTTTTATTACTACTAATTTGTTCATGTAATAAATGCACCCATTATGTCCTTGGCACTAGGGTAGTTGCTAAGAATATAGCGTTAGTGAGACACACTCATGATTTCACAGAGCCCAATTTTAGCACTATGCAATGGAGTAGAAGAAACACAACATTGGAATAAACAGAGTTCTTTAGGAACTCACAACCAGAGGGAGTGGTTTCCTTTGTAATCGTTGCTGGGGAAGGAGGAAGAGTGCTATTGACTGAATGTTTACTTCCCCCTAGTATCCATACGCTGAAATCTATTCCCTTAAGGTGATGGTATTTGGACGTGAGGTCTTCGAGAGCTGATCAGAGGGATGACTGTCTTCATAAAGGAAGTCTCAGCGAGCTCTCTCACTCCTGTCATCTTGTGAGAACACAGTGAGAAGTATCAGCCATCCATCTGTTAACCAGGAAACAGGCCCTCACCAGACACCAAATCTGTTGGCCCCTTGATCTTGGACTTCCCAGCCTTACAGTACTGTGAGAAATAAATTTCTGTTGTTTATAGGATGCCCATCTGTGGTATTCTGTTATAGTCTTCTGAATGGACTAAGATAAGGATCAAGACCATGAAAGACTTCACAGAGGGAGTGACATTTGAACTAGAGTTTGAAAAATAGACGTTGAAGGGGAGATCACTGGCATAGACTTGAAAGTAGAGAATGGAAGATGGTTACAGAATAGGAAGGAAAAGAAACAGTGTGTGTAAAGATAAGAAAGTATATAATTACAGTATTCGGTTTGTTTAAGGAAAGTCCCTGAGGCCAATAAGGTTCAAGAATAGGCAGGCTCACAGAGCTGTGGTAATAGTTAAAATACAACAAACAGTATACACTAGTTGGTAAATAATTGCCCTTCCACACTTCCAATATGTCACTCAAGCTCTGCAGCCTGGACTACCTTAGAACCTTCCAAACACCTCAGATTCTTTCTTGATCCACCAACTAAAGGGTTGCGCTTCCATGACTAATAGCTGTGCCTCTTCTGATTGGTTAGAATCCTATGGGTTGTTGAATATTTTTAATATCATCCCTGAGTACAGATAGTGGGAGTATGTGAGTTTACTTTTTTATATCTAATTAATTGGTATTTAAATTGACACTAAGTGATGTGAAGCTAGTTTTATCCCTATAATGCCTGCATTTGAATGACTACTTATTAACCTTAGAAATACCTAAAGAAAAAGGTATTTTTTCAAGTTGTCTTTATTGTTAATTTCTATAAATTAAAATGCAAGGAGATGCCACAACAGAACCTGGAAAATGCAGAAGTTACTTGTCTACTATCTTCTGTCAATTAATACATAATTATTGTAAAAATGTTTTAAAATGCTTAAAATAACCCCAGAATTAATAACCGTTAACTTTTTTTTAGGAATCCTCCCAGCTGATTTCAATGTAACTGGTGTTATAATGTATGTGTATGTATGTGTGTGTGTATGTGTATGTGTGTCCCCCCCAGGTAATCTTAGTGTAACTAGTGTTGTAATAAGCATGTGCATGTGTGCACACAAATACATTATGTGTATTGTTGTTCACATGAATTGCTTTCTACTAAATATTCTGCTCTGTAATTTTGCAATTTTTCCACTTAACAATGTATCTTGCACATGTTTCTGTAACAGTATATATAGATTTACTTATTTTCTTTAAAAAAATCATTGTTTAGAATTCTGCCTAGAATGTCTACCATAATTTATGATGGATATTTAAGTAATTTCCAGACTTTTATTATTGTTAACAGGGTTGTAGTTAATATCTCTGAACATATATCATTGTACATTATAAAAGTTTTTTGTGAAATTGATTCTTTGAACACACAAGTAACTCATGCTAATTGTTTTCAAATATAAATTGTTGTTAGTGTGCAAAAAAAATACAAGTTTAATTACCTGAATCCTTAATAAGCTTCTCTGAAAGCTTTATATATCTCTCAAGCAGAAAAAATAAGTAGATGATATAATTGTCCCCTGTCTAGACTGAGGCAACCATGGTGACATTTGTTCTCAATTATTAATTAAACACACATGAAACCCTTTAGATAAGCAGGTGATATGGTTATTATTAGATGTATTGCTTGTTTACAACAAGGACATATTTAGAGCTTGAGATCAAAGTTCCAAAGCTGATTTCAAAACAGTAGCATTAATTACGCTAAGGCCTGGGACTCTGGGGAAGCAATTCAAAGCGAATAAAAATGACTTCAACTACAGCGAAGTTATGTCTTTACATCATTATTCTAAATCCATTACTCAGACTGTTGCAATGGTGCTGGTGGAGGCGAAAAAAACAAAACAAACCCTCAAAAAATTTCACTGTATTCTCTCAAAGAAGATATGCACTGTACATATGTGAAAGAGTTATATCAATACTTATCCATTAATTATTTCACTTAAAACCCATTTATTCACCAATACCTGAGTGCCAAGCTCAGTGCTAAGCAGTAAGGAAGGAGCTTTGAACAAAACAGACATTATTCCTAAACTCACAGTCCTCTCCCTAGACTTGACGTTTAGCCACCATAGCAATTTTTTTCTGGGGGGAGGGGGCAGGAGGGGCAGAATGTGTTCATATAAACTTCTTCCTCAGCATTTTCACTGCCATTATTCTAGCTCAGGTCATTACCATTTCATTCCTGAACTGTTAGATTTTTATAATTGCTTACCCTGCTCCCAGCCCTAATCTATTAATCGACTTTAACCCAGTATTGCTAAAAGTGTTTTTTCTAAACACTATTCTTTTTTGAGACAGAATCTTGTTCTGTTGCCTAGGTTGGAGTACAGTGGCACCATCTCTGCCCACTCCAACCTCTGCCTCCAAGGTTCAAGTAATTCTCTTGCCTCAGCCTCCTGAGTAGCTGGGATTACAGGTGCCTGCCACCATACCCTGCTAATTTTTGTATTTTTAGTAGAGACAGGGGTTTCACCATGTTGCTTAGGCTGGTCTCGAACTCCTGACCTCAAGTGATCTGCCCGCCTTCGCCACCCAAGGTCCTGGGATTACAGGCATGAGCCACCACACCCAGCCACACATGATTCTTTTAATGTTGATCCCTTATTCAATCACAATGCCTGAGTGTTTTCTGCAATGTCCAAAATGTATATATATGCCAGTACTAATGGCCTACCATATTTTCCCCAATCGATCTGTCTAATCTGCTTACAGATGTCCCCATAGACACACACACACACACACACACACACACACACACACACCCCTACCTCACTCCAGTTAGTACGTGCTCCACACTAACTTCAGAAATCTGCTTTGGATCTTTTTGTGTCTGATTCTGAGTTCAAAGTCTTATCTCTATTAGATTCCTCCTTTGGTTGCAATGATCTAAATTTTGTTCACAATTTAAGACTGGAATGAAGCCCTCACCTAACAAAATTAGTTATCTAGTGTCTATTACATGACAGACACTGAATTAAAGCATTGGGAATAAAAATAAATATAAAAATATAGTCCTCTTACTTAATAACAGACATCAGCAGATAATCACACTATAAAATGGCAAATCTGGTGAAGACGTATGTCTACTATGGAAGTAGAGAGACGGTTACCCAGTCCAATTAGAGGTATGGGTAAGGAGCAAGGAAGGCTTCTTGGAAGAGGTTACCCTCAAAAAGAATCTTATTAGGAGGAGTTATCTAGGTGAAGAGGATAGGGACATTCCAAGCAAAGGGGAGAGCCTGAGCAAAGGCAGAGGCAGGATAAACAATATAGCATATGAGAGGAATTACAAGGCCTTCAGTATTGTGGGAAAGCAAAGCATGAGGTAGGTGGTCATGTAAAATAATGACAAAGAAATAGACCAAATAATGTGGAACCACTGGCAAATTTTGTTAGGAAAGTAACAAAATCAGAATCAAATTTGGATGCATTTTTCTGTCCACTGTGAGAGGATGAGTTTGGGCACAGAGTTGTAGAGGCTGGCAGACTACTGGAATAGTCTAGGGCCTGCATTAAAGTAGCATGAGTAGTTATGGGGATGAAGAAACTGATTCAATATTACTTAATTGGGTTCCTTGAGGGAAAGTACACATTACATGGTGATTATCTGGATATAAAAGCCAAAGGAAAAGAGGAATTCAAGGATGAGCTTCAAGCCTCAGTTTCTATTTTGGATGACTAGGTAAATGGTGTACTCCTGACAAAGTTGGCAATTACAGGGAGAAGCAGCAGATGGGGAATACCCTAACATGCTCCAAAGGATTTAGGGTGGTGCATGGAGCTACAAGTTCCCATAGGGACAATCAGGTGGAGATGATGAACTGGTTCTGGGAAAATTTCAGAGCTGGAGAGATAGCATGGAGCATTACTGGCAAAGTAACACCAGGATTACTAAAGTACACATCTTTTCTGGTGGCAGTCAAAATCCTGAAAGTGGATTAACACAAGGAAGTACAGAAAATGGAAGACATAGTGGCAGAATGTCAGGAATATCAACATTTAAGAAATAAAAAATGACAGAAAAAGTCGTGAAAGAGGACAAAAAAGAGTGATCAGAGATTGTAAGCTGGTTAAAGACAGAGCAGCAGAGTGGTGTAAAGGAACTCAGAGATTGAAGCGTTAAATAAAGGAAGTCATTACCATTGCCAGATGCAACAGAAACATCTGCCCAATTTTTCTTCAAGAGCAATTTCATTGAGGTGATGGCAGTAAAAGCCAGACTTCAGTCTATGGAAAAGTGAATAGAATAACATAGAGATAGCGTAATACTACATTCATAAAAAAATAGAAATACAGGAAAGATGGGACATAGACTGGTATAAAAATAGTGTGGGGAAGGATTTTTATTTAGGATGCAGGATATTTATTTATTTATGTTTCTAAGCTATTAGGTTTTTCTAGCAGAGAGGTGAGATGGAAGGTTGAGAAAAGAAAAGATAACTGATGAAGTAAAATATAAAGATAGTAAAAGGAAATTGAACCAAATGCACATTATTCTCAAAGACTAAAAGGAAAAAGAGAGATGAATTGTGCATGTAAATACGTTTGCAAATAAGGAGGGCAGAGTTAAAGAAGAGCACATCTAAGGAGCTCACCTCTCTCTTCACCTATCAAAGCAGAATGCTTTCCCTACAAATAGCCCCAAACAATTCTCTTTATCACTATTTTACTCGTATTATTTTAATGATTACTTAGAAATTTTCTAGACTGCCTCTCATGTGTACACACACACACACATGTACAAACACAATCTTGAAACAAATTATTAACCTTGAATAGTTAATATTGGTGCATATTGGTCAGCACCTATACACAAAATGGGTTTGCTTTATGGCTAAAGAATAAAAGTAGATTCAGGAATAAATTCAAGCACTCCAGAATGTCACATGACAATATACAAAATTTAAACGTTAAAGGAAAAGTTAAAATTAAAGTAACAGGCCTATAATCCCAGCTGCTCAGGAGGCTGAGGCATGAGAATCACTTGAACCTGGGAGGCGGAGGTTGCAGTGAGCCGAGATCATGCCACCGCACTCCAGCCTTCCAGCCTGGGCAAGAGAGCAACACCCTGTCTCAATAAATAAATAATTAATAAATGAACAAAAAATAAATAATAGAAAAATTAAGAATCACTACTTGTTTCCAACTCATCAGAAAGAGAAAGAGATTCTAGAGGCTTTTAATTCTTTGCAATTTTCTGTATGAACAAAGAAAGGAAGAGAGGAAAGACGAGAAAAAGAGAAGAAAAAAGAAAAGAAAAACACAAACTTAGAAAGACAAATATTATTTTGCTATCCTTTGAATACTCCACAACACCCACTGTGGTGCTTGGCTCATTGGAGGGGTCAATAAATGTATATTAATAGTTTGATATAAACATGGATAAAAGAATTACACGTAGGATACATGTGGAAACATATCTCCTTCATAGCACTCTCACTCACAGTGAAGAACCTCTGAGAATTAGAAATAATTAAAATAAAGAACTGAAGCAGCACTCTTGGGACATTCTGTACTCACATGAAAGACCACATGATAGCTCCTTCCTGATCCCCAAGGCCTCTGGGTGTTTGACAGCCTTTTTGAGGGTTCACCAAGCCCTTTGCTGCTTATGGCAAGGTTATGTCTGATCTCAGATCCAAATTGGTGGTGCACAGGCCCATGGGAAATAAGGCCAGATCTGTTTGGCTTCAGCTCAATTTCCACGTCTATAGATAGCCATAAAACTCAAAAAGAATCTAAGGAAGTGAGATATTTCATAAACAGGAAAACAGGATTACCACTTGTCCTGGTTTCACTTCCATGGTGAGAACAAATATAGTGATCCCTTTGCAACCAAAATTTTCCCCTACTAACTCCACCCCATATCTTCAGGGATCTCCCTGGAGTTTGACAGAAAATGTGCACTGCTTGGCCAGAGCAGTCTTTGCTTTCTCCTCTTTTTGCTTTGCCATCCTGTTTAAGGAACTGACAAATATTATCTTAAATGCTCAGGCACATCTTGTTCCTGAGACAGTCCTGCTCACTGAGGCTGGAAAAAGATTTCTTTTTCCTAAGGCTGGAATAAGATTGGCTAGCTTTGCAGTTACATGAAGTGAATTCTACAAAGCTTCAGACACTTCACTGCCCACTAAACCATGCTGGCTTTCCCAGTGAAGTTCTTTTCTACAGTGGGCAGCTCCACAGGCAGGGCTGTTGCCTATATGACCAGCTGGCCCTCTGTTTCTCTGCTGGGAGTGGTCCTTATGCTCTGAATACTAGCTCACTATCAGCTTCCTTGGTCCTTCCTACCCCTCCTCTCCATCCTTGCCTATAATTACTCAAACATACTGTTTCAGTAGAAAGGACAGGAATGTCAAAGACATATCAATGTAGGCTCTTTCATCTCAAGGTAAGGAAATGTTTGCAAATTTATTTAACCAACAGTGATTTAGCACTTGCTTTATCAGACAGAAAACATGCATGAGTCAAGTTTTTATGAAAAGGCATTTTCTGAAGGTAAAAAATAACACAAATACTAGTTATAAAAAAAATTCTATCTTTACTTAGGTCACAGAATTAATTTAATGCGTAAAGAAAGCCGATGAGAGGAAGAATACAAGATGGTGAAGAAATGCCTCATAGGCAACCTCATTAAAAACAAACAAACAAACAAAAAACCCAAAAAAACAAAAGAAGGGCTGCGCACGATGGATTATACCTGTAATCCCAACACTTTGGGAGGCCAAGGTGTGTGGATCATTTGATTCCAGGAGTTTGAGACTAGCCTGGGCAATAGGATAAAACTCCATCTGTACTAAAAATATAAAAAATTAGCTGGTCATGTTGGTGCACACCTGTAGTCCCAGCTACTCAGGAGGCTGAGGTAGGAGGATCCCCTGAGTCAGGGAAGTTGAGCCTGCAGTGAGCTAAAATCTTGCCCCGGACCAATTCTAGAAATCCATTCTACTGAAATGCAACAGTATAAAATAAGCTTGTCTATTACGGTAGAATCTCAAGACACTGGAAATGACCTTGGCACCGTTAAAAGAGAATGATTGAATAAATTACATATCTACACTATGGAATGGAATATTTCATAGGTATTTACAAAGTCTAGAGAGATATTCAATATGTGATATGAACTTTAAGAAACTGAGTGTTATTAATACTTGTAATGTGATCCTATTTTTGCCTAGAAAGCTGTGTATGTGTGCGTATTTGTATTAGTGTGTCTATGATCTTACATGCACTGAATAAAATATAGAAAAGTAAGTACCAAGTTGTCCACACAATTTATACTATTGGTTGAGAGGTTATCACAACTGTATTGATGTGATAATCCATAAATGGGTAAGCATGACTTATGTTTGTATTTTAAAAATGAAACACTTGGGGTGGCTGGCAAGATGGCTGAATAGGAACAGCTGTGGTCTGCAGCTCCCAGCAAGATCAACGCAGAAGGCGGGTGATTTCTGCATTTCCAACTGAGGTACTCAGCTCATCTCATTGGGACTGGTTAGACAGTGGGTTCAGCCCACGGAGGGCGAGCCAAAGCAGGGTACCATCTCAGGTCAGTTAGAATGGCAATCATTAAAAAGTCAGGAAACAACAGATGCTGGAGAGGATGTGGAGAAATAGGAACGCTTTAACACTGTTGGAGAGTGTAAATTAGTTCGACCATTGTGGAAGACAGTGTGGAGATTCCTTAAGGGTCTAGAACCAGAAATACCATTTGACTCAGCAATTTCATTACTGGGTATATGCTCAAAGGATTATAAATCATTCTACTATAAAGACACATGCACATGCATGTTTATTGCAGCACTGTTCACAATAGCAAAGAGTTGGAGCCAACCCAAATGCCCAATGATGATAGACTGGATAAAGAAAATGTGGCACATGTACACCATGGAATACTATGCAGCCATAAAAAAGGATGAGTTCAGGTCCTTTGCAGGGACACAGATGAAGCTGGAAACCATAATTCTCAGCAAACTAACATAGGAACAGAAAACCAAACACCACATGTTCTCACTCATAGGTGGAAGTTGAACAATGAGAACATGCAGACACAGGGAGGGGGAACGTCACACACCAGGGCCTGTTGGATGTTGGGGTCTAGGGAAGGGATAGCATTAGGAGAAATGCCGAATGTAGATGACGGGCTGATGGGAGCGGCAAACCACCATGGCACTTGTATACCTATGTAACAAACCTGCAGGTTCTGCACATGTATTCCAGAACTTAAAGTATAATAAATAAATAAATAAATAAATAAATAAATAAAACACTCAGGGCCGGGCATGGTGGCTTGCCTGTAATGCCAGCACTTTGGGATCACTTGAGACCAGGAGTTCAAGACCAGCTTGGCCAACATGGCAAAATCTGGTCTCTATAAAAAATACAAAAACTAGCCAGGCGTGCTGTAATCTCAGCTATTCTGGTGGCTGAGGCTCAAGAATCACTTGAACCCAGGAGGCGAAGGTTACAGTGAGCTGAGATTGTGCCACTGCACTCTAGCCTGGGCGACAGAGCAAGACCCTGTCTATATTTAAAAAACAAAACAAAACAAAACAAAACAAAACACCTCATGCAGACTTGCAACATACCAAGGAATTACATGAGAAGGCTTATGACGAAATAAAATGTATATTATGGAAAGAGATAATCATGGACCCATTAAAGCTCTTCCATCTCTTGGACCCAGGATGTGTTACTTTGTTCCGTTTACAAAGATCTCTCTTTTGCTCTCTTACCATATAATAAAATCCTAGCAGTGTTGACTCATGTTAAAGAGCACATGTTTGCTTTCCTTCTGACCACTGTCCTTTGTTAACACTTAAATCAAAAGTTCTTTCTCAAAAGAGCTGCGATACCATTTTTCAAGGGCGGAACACAGCTGCTTTATAGGAATGGTCCTGTATGCTACTGATAGCTTGATATTTGTTAAACGCAATCAAGCTAACCCTAAGATGCAGAAAAATAAGGCCATTCTCCTATTCATTTATGACTTAAGGAATCTAAGCCTTCTCCATGTAACAAGTATTTCATTTTAAAATTCTTAATTGGGACCAAAAAAAAAAAAAAACCACTTAGAGACATTGAAAACGATAAGCTGCTTTTGGGCATTAAAACAATTCCTCATGATTTCCCTCTCCATCATTTTCACAGTGGACTTGTCACTTTTATGAAATGCCAGGACGACTCAGATTGGCTGACATGGTTGGCATCTCATTGGAAGGTGTGATTTAAAGTAGTTTGATATAAACTAAGAGAATGTTACTAAGAGATTGAGATACCTGGAGCTATAGAGCTGGATAATTTTTTTAAAAATCTTAATTTTAAAATTTTCTAAATATAAAATTAAGGCATGGTTTCAAGGCAGGTTTCTTTAACAAAAGACAGGTAGTTTATTGCAATTGCAAACTGTGAAACTGGAAGCTTAATATTTATTCCTCATTTTCTAAACGTATATTATACTAAACACTTAAGCTCAGGAACAGGCCCTTTGTCCCAGTGTATTAATTCTTCATCACAATGTTTTGCACATAGAAGGTGTTCTAAATATTTGTTTAGTGAATAACAGAATTTGCTTATACAATTCTATGAAGCTTTTTATGACTCAGACATGGTATTTTTATATTCAACTCAATTAATATAGCTGCAGTATCAATGACAGAAATAAGAAAGTCTTGAAACTAAATCGTTTTGATGCCAACAGTTTTACACACACACACATATAAAACTTTGCACATAAATAAAAACCTGTTAAAAAATTAAATAATGCAATACCTTTTATTTTTAACTAGCACTTTTAGCTTCTGAAACAGGATAAGTAATGAAAAAATTTTGAGAGAAACAAAAGTCAAATTGAAGAAATATGATACTGTAGCTTTTTAAAACTTTCTGTAAAGCAATATATTGAGGAAAGGATTGAATTAGAATAATATTGATTGCTTCATTTAAAAAATTATTTGTTTTATTACAAGTGGTCATAGCATAAGATTTTTAAAAATTTTGACTTTTCTTTTAGACATAGGGGGTACATATGCAGGTTTGTTACATGCGTATGTTGCACCCAGTTATGCTTATTATGATAAGCATCATGCATAATACCTGAAAGATGGTTTTTCAGCCCGTGTTCCCCCTCCCTCCCCTCTGAAGTGGTCCACAGTGTCTGTTGTTCCCATGTTTATGTCTATGCGTGCTCAATGTTCACTCCCCACTTATAAATGAGAACATGCAGTATTAGTTTTTTCTGTTTCTTTATTAGTTCACTTAGAATTATAGCCTCTAGCTCCATCCGCGTTGCTGGAAGGGACATAATTTTATCCTTTTTTTATGGCTATGTAGTATTCTATGGTGCTTATATATCACATTTTGTTTGTCCAATCGACTATTGATGGGCACCTAGGTTAATTCCATATCTTTGCTGTTGTGAACAGCATGGTGATGAACATACAAGTGCATGTGCATTTTTGGTATAATGATGTATTTTCCTTTGGGTATATACCCAGTAATGGGGTGGCTGGATCAAATAGTAGCCCTGTTTAGAGTCCTTTGAAATATCTCCACACCATTTTCCACAGGGGCTGAACTAATTTACATTCCCACCAACAGTGCATGAGTGTTCCCTTTTCTCCACAACCTTGCTGGCATCTGTTGGTTTTTGACTTTTTTTTTCTTTTGTTTTTTTTAATTATACTTTAAGTTCTAGGGTACATGTGCAAAGTGTGCAGGCTTGTTACATATGTATACATGTGCCATGTTGGTGTGCTGCACCCATTAACTCGTCATTTACATTAGATATATATCCTAATGCTTTCCCTCCCGACTCCGTCCTCCTCACAACAGGCCCCAGTGTGTGATTTTCCCCTTCCTGTGTCCAAGTGTTCTCACTGTTCAATTCCCACCTATGAGTGAGAACATGCAGTGTTTAGTTTTTTGTTCTTGTGTTAGTTTGCTGAGAATGATGGTTTCCAGCATCATCCATGTCCCTACAAAGGACATGAACTCATCATTTTTTAAGGCTGCGTAGTATTCCATGGTGTATATGTGCCACATTTTCTTAATCCAGTCTATCATCGATGGACATTTGGGTCAGTTCCAAGTCTTTGCTTTTGGGAATAGTGCCGCAATAAACATACGTGTGCATGTGCCTTTATAGTAGCATGATTTATAATGCTTTGGGTATATACCCAGTAATGGGATTGCTGGGTCAAATGGTATTTCTAGTTCTACATCCTTGAGGAATCACTACACTGTCTTCCACAATGGTTGAACTAGTTTACAGTCCCACCAACAGTGTAAAAGTGTTCCTATTTCTCCACATCCTCTCCAGCACCTGTTGTTTCCTGACTTTTTAATGATTGCCATTCTAACTGTTGTGAGATGGTATCTCATTGTGGTTTTGATTTGCATTTCTCTGATAGCCAGTGATGGTGAGCATTTTTTCATGTGTCTGTTGGCTGCATAAATGTCTTCTTTTGAAAAGTGTCTGTTCATATCCTTCACTCACTTGTTGATGGGGTTGTTTTTTTCTTGTAAATTTGTTTAAATTCTTTGTAGATTCTGGATATTAGCCCTTTGCCAGATGAGTAGATTGCAAAAATTTTCTCCCATTCTGTAGGTTGCCTGTTCACTCTGATGGTAGTTTCTTTTGCTGTGCAGAAGCTCTTTAGTTTAGTTAGATCCCATTTGTCAATTTTGTCTTTTGTTGCCATTGCTTTTGGTGTTTTAGTCATGAAGTCCTTGCCCATGCCTATGTCCTGAATGGTATTGCCTAGGTTTTCTTCTAGGGTTTTTATGGTTTTAGGTCTAACATTTAAGTCTTCAATCCATCTTGAATTAATTTTTGTATAAGGTGTAAGGAAGGGATCCAGTTTCAGCTTTCTACATATGGCTAGCCAGTTTTCCCAGCACCATTTATTAAATAGGGAATCCTTTCCCCATTTCTTGTTTTTGTCAGGGTCAAAGATCAGATGCTTGTAGATATGTGCTATTATTTCTGAGGGCTCTGTTCTGTTCCATTGGTCTATATCTCTGTTTTGGTACCAGTACCATGCTGTTTTGGTTACTGTAGCCTTATAGTAAAGTTTGAAGTCGGATACAGTAATGTTGCTGGCTTTGTTCTTTTTACTAAGGATTTTTCCAGCAGCTTAGAATAAAATTGTTTTGGCTATTCAGGTTACTTTTTGGTTCTGTATGAATTTTAGAATACTTTTTTTCTTATTCTGTGAAAAATGATGTTGGTAGTTTGATAGGAATAGCACTGGATCTGTACATTGTTTTGAGCAATATGGCCATTTTAAAGATATTGATTCCTCCAACCCATGAGCATGGAATGTTTTTCCCTTTATTTGTGCCATCTCTGATTTCTTTCAGCAGTATTTTGTAGTTTTCCTTGTAGAGATCTTTCACCTCCTTGGTTAACTTTATTCATAAGTATTTCATTTTCCTGTGGCTATGGTAAATAGGATGTGCTCTTGATTTGACTGTCAACTTGGACATTATTGGCATATTTGTGTACATTGATTTTGTATTCTGAAACCTTACTAAAATCATTTATCTGTTCTAGTAGCCTTTTGGCAGAGTTTCTAGGATTTTCTAGGTGTTGAATCATATCATCAGTAATGAGAGATAGCTTGACTTCTTCTTTTCCTATTTGGATGCCTTTTATTTCTTTCTCTTGCCTGGTTGCTCCGGCTAGGATTTCCTAGATTAACTTTTTTAATTCCAAATTTATGAAGTATTAGAAGGCACTCTCAGAAATTAGCTATTTGTCTTTTTCTTCTTCGTCTGTTTTTCTCTTATAACCCCTAATTTTGTTTCTCTTTTCACTGTGTGTATAATAATAAACAATTTTATTCTAAGCTGCTGGAAACATCTTTTTGGCTCTTCTCTCTGACTCTCACATGAGGAGCTGCCATTTTTTGTCAGACACATTGGACACCAGTACTCAGAATGGTGAGTGAATCCGGATTTTGACAGCACTTATTCATGTCTGCAATTCAAAATCCATAACGTCTTTCATCCTTAGCAGTAAAGTTGGGAGCAGAATGGTCTTTCTCTTTTTCAGTCAGGCTGCATTGCTGATATGAATCTAGAACCTCTCTTGTCTTCCTTGCTTTGACATTTGATTTCTCTTGGCAGAATGAATGAAACTTTCATTTTTTTCCCCAAGAAATTTGTCAAAGTCCCTGAAAGTATCCCGAAAACATCTCTCCCACCAAAAACATGGCAACAGAAAACGAACCTGATCAGTTAATGGTAAATGAATCAGAAACATACGGATTAAATTCCCCTTAAAACACACCAGGGTTTAAAAATTAAGCAGAAAATTACTGAGTAAAATATTTTTTTTTGCCAAATCCCAAATGTTTGAAAAATAGTTCAAGATGTTTGTTGAACCTGAAATGGGTCTGAATTACCCACCCATATTTAATTCAGGCAAAAATAATTCCTACCAGATGAATGCTCTAGTCAGTAGACTTGGTAAGAAAAAAAAAATATTAGCAATGTAGAAGATACTCTTTTTAACATGTAGTAGGTCAAACTGGAAAAAAATTACCTTTGTGAAAGGCTTTCTAGGAAGATGTGATGACTCCATTCCTGACTTTTCAGGCCACCCAGCTCTCACCCCAAATGATGTTTTGGTACCCTATGAGTCACCCCTCCTCTATACCTTCCTATGCCTGTCAGCTTCACTATTTATTTTGATAATAATATGGCCAAGTAATACTGTGGAATGGTGGGAATGACCATGTCAAGATCTTGTTAACTGGAAGAAAAATCTCTTCCTGGGGTAATTTTGGCCATTAGTGATATTAAGGATTCCTATTTAATTTCAGCAATATCTGGCCTTATAAATACTGGTTCCATTAATTTTGACAAAGGATTTATCTCTTCCTAACAGATGGGTCCAACACTAGATAGCTAAGAAATAAGTATGTTTGCTGGAAATTTAAAATTGTTAACAGAAAGGTTGATGTGAACTGTATACAAATAACATGATTTTCCCAAAATAAGTACTTCCTTCTGGCATAGAAGTTTGATGAAGTAAAATAAATAGAGCAAATGAAAAAATGTCTGAGAGGCAAATAAAGGAGAGAGAGGACTCTTAAGTACCTTCTGTCAAAGCTATAGATTGGGGGCCAGTTTAGTTGCTATTGCACACACTTTAATGGGAGGAAACTGGAATTTCATAATGGGAAGGCATTTTAAAAGTTATCCAGGCTACAGTAGTTTTCTCATTTTCAAATTTCCAGATATTCCACTTAGTAACTTTAGAAAGTTATATAATAATAAGCACTATATATTACTTTCTATTGCTGCCATACCAAATTACCACAATCTTAGTAGTTGAAAGCAACACATATTTATTTTATTGTAGTTAGGCAGGTGTAAGTCCAACCCAGGTCTGGCTGTGCTAAAATCAAGGTATCAGCAAATCTGCATTCCTTCAGGAGGCTCTCCGGGACGCTGTGTGTCCTTGCCTTCTCCAGCTTCTAGAGGCTGCTCACATTCCTTGGCTGGTGTCCTCTTCCTCAATATTCAGAGCCAGCAGTGCCTCACCACTCTGACCTGGCTTCTGCCATCACGTCTCTCTCTCTGACTCTCTTGTGCTTCTGTCTTCCACTTATAAGGATTCTTCTGATTAATTCGGCCCACTCAGATAATCCAGGATAATCTCTCTATTATAAGGTCAGCCACTTAGCAACCTGAAGTTCATCTGCAACCTTAATACCTTAATCCCTTTTTGCCATGTAACATAATGTATTCACAGCTTCTAGGGATTAGGACTTGGACATTCTTCCGAAGGGAGGGGGCTGGTGGGCATTATTTTGCCCACTAAACGCTATTATCTCATTTTTAAATGGAAGTGGAAAGTTGCATAGGAGGGAGGGATTGGACTACTGCCTTTATGCAGAACTTTTTCTTTCTTCTATATTTTTATGGGAGTGGAATGACACAATAATAATCATCCATTACTAGTAATTCTACTTAATGATTTCCAAAACTAGAAATGTGTTTTATCTTCTACTCAGAGTCCAAATATTAATTTACTTTTAGGCCTGGCCAGGCCAGTGCATGGAGAGTGCAAGAATCAATCAATTTTAAATTAGTGAGTGGCTACTATGCACCTACAAGTGGAGTCCTGACTGAGATCATTCATTTGTGCTATGTTTGGGGCTTTTGGAAACCAAACCCCAGTAGTGTACACAAAAATGCAACTAACTACATTATAACTTAGTCAGAGTCAATATCTCATAGAGGTCCTTGGAGTTTTCTGAATATAAATTAAAAAGTTTTTTTGACAATCGGTGTTACTGAAATACAATATAACATAAACTGTTAGATAAAAGACGGAAAAGCCACTGGCCCATATAAGAATGTCATCAAAACTCAGCATTATAATAAACCCTAGTCTTATAACTCAGAAATATAATACTTGTAGGAAAAAACAATGCTTAATTATTTTTTGGAGAAACAAGTAGTACTAAAGATAAATGAAATATAGCATAATTTTGCCACTATATTCAATACAACTAGACTTATGCAATTTTTCAATTAAGTTTCAGACACTGGCCATAACAAGTATACCTTTGACTTTCTCACATTTACTAATATCATTTAATTTTCTTTCTATTTTCTCATCTTCTTCATTCTTCATTTATCATGAGATTTTTTTAGCTCTGTGACCTGCTCATTGATCACTTATCTTTTTTCACAGAAATAATAAATAAAAATATATTTATATATAATAAATAAGCAATAAATAAAAGGAATAACTTAATGCATGAGAAAATTGATTTAGAGTCTCAAAAAATACTTGAAAAGGACTAAAAGGTAAAGATAAATTAGATATAAATTTTTAGCTAAACAGAATTTTTCAAAAGTTCTCTTTGAATCCATGCCATGTGAGTATACATTTGTGCTTTCCAAAATGGGAACATCTAGTTGGTCAGAGAGAGAAAGAAACATCAACATGCTTTTAAGTTTTTATAGTAGGAGGTATGACCCAGTTATTCACCTCTCTTGAGAGCCCTTTCACATTACAAGTGTTTACATGCTGGACAGTCAAAATAAACTCTGAATTGTAAAGGTCATCTTATATGAGAAACTTATAAAAGCAATTTTATTTGTAAAGGTCATCTTATAAGAGAAAATTATAAAAGTGATTTTATTTATGAAAATAATGTTTGTTATTATTAGCAATAAGAGTGTCTATTAATTTATTAAGACAAAATTACTAGCTCCTGTACTAAGCCCATTATATGCATTATCTAATTCATCTCTTACATAGTACTAGGGAGGTGTCATTATGTTCACTTTACAGTGAAGGTTCAAAGTTGTTACCTAGCTTGCAACAAGATCTCACAATTGATTCCAAACACCATACTCTTCTGCTGGTTTTTAACGCTAACCCTAACTATATTAAAATCAGCATGATGTCTTTTTATATGCAATATTGTACCAAATTAACAAACTCTTCTTGCTGGGCTTCAACAAGACCCAAGGGAGTGTTGCATCTTACTCTGTTCTATTGGAAAAAAAGGACCTGAAGTCTTTACATATTAGATGAATACAATTCATCTAATTCGTTTTTTTTCTTTAAGTGAAGCACAGTTCTACTGAAATCATTATCTTAGTACTGAGCACTGACTTTAAGATTATTTCTGGGAAAGCAGCAAAGATAATTTTGGATCACTTACTGAGGAAAAGAGAAGATGGAGTTAAAATTTAACACTGAGGACATAAACAAATAAAATGACCTTATCCACTATCTACATTTGATGTAACGAAAGCCCAATAATTAGTTTCAAAATTCACTGGACTTGGTTACCAAAATAGTGTGAGCTTTTAATCCCCCACCAGTTCTTTAAATCCTATAGTGTCCTAGAATTCCTAAGGACTAATTTCTCCTGAGGAATGGCTTGGGTATTTTAGCCTCAAAGAGTGCTGTTCTAATCAATTTGACTTGTTCTTAAATGTACATACAGGAAAATATAAGGAATAAATGAAACCCAAAACCTTAGAAAAGTTGAAATCATTTTTCAAATATTAGGTAGTGTTTCCGTCATCAATTTCTTCCCAATAATTTAATCTGGATAGATTTTCAGTGGAGTTATAAAATTTTCATAGTGACATTTTCTGCTCATCCTAATATCTCTCTATCTCACACCTATAAAACTATTTTGGTGAGTGAGCGTCTTAGTTCATCTAGGCTGCTATAACAAAATACCGTAGACTAGGTGGCATACAAACAACAGAAATTCATTTCTCACAGCTCCAGAGGCTAGGATGTCTGAGGTCAAGGTGTGGGCCTGTTTCCCTATTTATAGATGGGACCTTCTCCCTGTGCTCTCATATGTTGTAAGGTGTAAGGCAGCTCTCTGGGGACTCTTCCATAAGGGCATTAATACCATTCATGACAGTTCTACCCTCATGACCTAATCACCTCCCAAATGCCTCACCCCCTTATAGCATTGCAGTGATTCGACATCAACAGATGAATTTTGTTTTTGTTGTTATGATTACAGCTTTATGGTTTGTTTTTTAAGGTATATCATTTAAGCATTTGAGTCAAGTTCAAATAATAACCATGTCATACTTCCATATTTTTGTTTCACAGAGTCTCTCATTTGATCTTCAAGGAATCTCACAGTACAGTAAAGGCCTCCTGCTCCTTTCATGCCACAGCTCTCGCTGAGTGGTGTTATTAACAAGCAAACTTTCAGGAGCTGAATGCCCTTCTAATGCAGTTATGCTGCTTGCTGGTAACTTCTAGTGACTCTCTTCAGCCAGAATCCTCCCTGAGTTGCTGGCTCGTGTATGCAGTTTTCTTCTGTCATTTCTACCTGGAAATCCATAGGTGCCTAAAACTCCACATGTTTGAGCCCTCATCACCTTCCCCATCACACCAGCTTTGTTTTCCTTATTCTTGGGGGCGGTCTTGGTGTGTCCTCTAACCTGTATCCTTGATTCCGTTCTATTTTTGCAAATTTAATGTCCCAATACTCCCTAGCTCTTCTCCAACCTCTTTCCCTCAGCCCATTGCCAGGAGACTCCTAATGGTCTCCTTTAAATCCACCCTTTGTAGAGTAATCCACATAAATGATTTCAAATATAAATATGAGCATAGCATCTTCCAGATGGTTCATTGTTTTCTTCAGGATTAAGTCCAAGCTCCTTAATGAGGGCTGTAAGACTCTCTATGAGCCATCCTGTACCCTTCCAGCACTTTTTTTTCTCCTAAAGTTAGCCAAAGTTGATCAACGTTGTCTTGTTTCATGTCTTGCCACTTGTTGAACTCTGAAAATATCAATTGCTTGATCTCCTTAAAAGGGGCACCGTTCCCTAATGTTTTTTTCCCCCTTGAACTGGCTCAATTCCCTGGTGTAAGAGAAGACTTCGAGTCTTAATTCATGTGCTGATGCTTATTGGAAGCTTTCCCTAGTGCCCCCCGCTTTTTTTGTTTTTTTTTTTTTTTTTTCTTTTTGAGACGGAGTCTCGCTATGTTGCCAGGCTGGAGTGCAGTGGCACGATCTTGGCTCACTGCAACTGCCGTCTTCCAGGTTCAAGCGATTCCCCTGTCTCAGCCTCCCGAGTAGCTGGGACTACAGGCATGCGCCACCACGCCAGCTAATTTTTGTATTTTTAGTAGATACGGGGTTTCACTGTGTTGGTCAGGCTGGTCTCGAACTTCTGGCCTCAAGATCCGCCTGCCTCAGCCTCCCAAAGTACTGGGATTACAGGCATGAGCCACCACGCCCGGCCCCTAAGCCCCTTTTTAATCCACACCCTCCTGAGATGAATTTCTCTCCTCTATGTTCCCATAAACTTATATGTTTTCATTACAAATGAACACAAGGTCATACCATTTATGACGTTTCAATTATGTGTCTGCCTCTGTGTTCCTACCCTGTGGAGCCTGAGCATTTCTTAAGAAGAATACCTAGAAACATCTGGGGTCCTTCTATTTCATTGTCTTACAATTATTAGGCTTTGTGTAAACGCTCGCAGATTGAATGACGAAATAAAAGAAGAAACTACAGCACAGGTATTTCAATCTATTTTCTTTTCTTTTCTTTCCTTTCTTTTTTTTCTTTTTTGCTACACCATGCTGTCTCTAACACTGATCCTATCTACTTCAAAACCTAAATAAGTACTGCAATTTTGGTAGGATAGAAATCACTAGTTTGAAATGTTACATTTTCATAGTTTGATACCATACACAATGAGTAGAATTTTAAATGAAAATTGATTGATCTGGTAAAATGTTCATATTCTGCCCTCTATTTTCACAGTTCTGGGTCCAAAATCATTATAATAAAGTTTCTACTTTAGCATTCATCAAAACTATAAAAGAAATGTTGCCATTCATAAATGTATTAGTGCAACAGGACCCAATGCTGCTTTCAAGGACTATTTTCTTGTACAGAGAATTTTATAGTCAGGCAATCATCTTGTTAAACATTTCCTATAAAATTTTAAAAATCATTACCTGGGAGTCTATCACTGTGGCATTAATCACACCTCTACAATTAAGCTTATTTCAACCCTTTCACTGTAATCCTTTTTCTTTAATCAAGGGTTTATTATTGGACTGTTAATGTGAGAGTTGAAATTAAAAAAAAAATGTCTCAGCCCAGGAATGAATCCTAATAGTAGCGGTTATAGAAAAATGAGAAATTCTAATTTTTTTATGAGATTTATGTTAGGATGTGGGTTTAGTGCAACACCCTCCATCTCCACCTTTTTTTCTGTAGAAGGATTCACCTGACTGAAGGGAGACTGGAGCTTTTCCTCCTGTCTTTAAGGCTATCCTTTATCTGCTGCAGTTGGGTTTTCCTTGGTACGAGCACAAAAGCGCAATTATTTTATTAAGCTGGAGGGAGCAAATACAGTTGACTCGGGGTTATTTTTTGTCTTTTCTACATCACTAAATAGAAGTGAAGTTTTGACGTTTTTAAGGAAAAAAGATCAGAATGTAGTTTTATTTTACCAAATGAATCAACTGGATTTTATATCTTTCAAGAGTTCTAATAAAAGAGGAGTTTTAAATTCAAGGACAACATGTATCTTAATAGCAAGCTAGTCAAATTTTGACCTTAAAATGCACGAATTTCATATAAAACTTTATAATTTTAAAGTGCACTCATACACATGACTGCATTTGCTATACATAACAATCCTATGAATAGTTAGAGTCATCCTAAACCTTCTGTTTCCTGAATCCCTCTTCTCCCCCTCTCTACTACTATCATCTCCTTTCGTGTCTCGGGCATTTTTCCCCGGTTAATATCTTTCTGTCACCACATATCATCTCTTGCCTCTTCAGTCAATTTTCTCCATGACAGCCTGAGAGATGTAGCTGGTGCTGCCACTTTTCCTTCATTTTTCCCTGCCTTGAATATGGTGGTGATGCCTGGAGCTTCAGCAGCCATCTTATGGCCATGAAATGGCAAGCATGAGAATGAAAGAAAATGCACTCATCATGAAAGGAGGAAGAGCAGAAGAAATCTGGGTCACTGGTGATATCAATGGATAGCTGAAGCAGTGTGGGTAATTACTTATCTCTAAAATTTCTGTTATATAAGAAAATTTCAACCCACATTTTAAAGCCATGTTACTTATCTATGACTTGAAATCAGAGGTATTCCTAACAAATATATAACTTACAAGGCTTTCCATAATTCTTCCACCTTCCAACAGCACTGGTGTTCTTTGAGTTCCTAGGATGTTCTTTCCTACCTTGGTGACTCTCCTATGACACCATCCCAATCCCCTCATTCCACGCACTTCATCTGGTTGACTCCTACCCAATCTTCAGATCTCAGTTAAAATGTGTCTTTCTCCAAGAGACTTCCTCTGATGCCTAGAGGAGCTTTTCTTTTCCAGTTGCATACTCTTATAACATACAACAGTTGTCCTTGTTGGTACATATTATATTGTTCATACGTACAATTGTTGGTACATATTATATTGTTACCACTTATTCATTCATATAAGTAATTAGTAATGTTGTATTTTTCAAGAGACTGTAAGATTTTTTAGGGCAGAAACTGTGTTGCTCATTACTATCTGCCCGATTTCTAGCAAACTGTATGGCACCAAGCATGTATTCAATAACTTTAAAGCAGGAAGGAAGGATTTAAAGAAAAAGAGAAAGAGAAAGAGAAAGAAAGAAAGATCTTTCTTTCTCTTTCTTTTTTTTCTGAAAACTAAAACCCCAAATTTGAAGGTGAACTTGAGATTTCTTTTGATATTGTAATTTCTATCTCATTTGTAGAGAAGAAATAGCCAAAAATTAGTGGTCCATGTTTTTGAAATCTAATGTGAAAGCAGCCTAGTGCACTTGTTGCAAAAGTGTTAAAAAAAACATATTTCTTCATTATTTTGGTTTTTGGTTTTCTTTTACTTCATTTAATTTGCCTTTGTTTTAAAAAGTGAGTTCATGCCTTCTGCTGCAGATCGGTGTTTGGTAATCAATGTAGTGTTGTCAAAGAGCCAGGAATGGACAGAGTGAACAGTCTTGACACTGGGTTTCTGAACATTGGGCTTTATGGCTTGATAAAGTTTGAATAGATTGCCAGAAATTCATGCATAGGCTAGAAGGGCCAATGAAGCTCTCCGGAGTTATATATACATCTTTTTTATGTATGTGTGTTTTTCTAGGGAGAGATCCAAGGGCTTTAATAAGATTTTTAATGGGGTTTCAGTTTTACAAGAGGTTAAGAATTACTGGGTCAGATTACAGGTTATAGTGATGATACTGGAAATCAGAAGTCACATCCTTTTAAAAAAGATTAACTTGTGTTTACTATATGTATGTTTTGGGGAGTTGTACTTGCAGTATAAATAAATCCATATAATAACCAGCGGTGTTTTACAGTTTCTAAATAGATTATTTGATTAATTTATCAGTCAATTTCTTAACCTACTTCATTGCAATAGATGCCAGGCACTGTGCTAAACTTATTACATGCATTATATCATTTAATTCTTGTAGCAAATCTGCAAACCTACCATTATCATCCCTCCTTTCAGGTTAGTAAATACAGTCTCTGTAAGGTTTTCAGTAACATGTCAAAGTTTGAGTCCGAGTAAGGGGAGAAAGTAAAGAAAAATATATTTCCTAGGTTTGAGTTGAGAGGAGTGCGAAAAAAATAGAAAAATATATTTCCAGCCTTCAAGGAAACAAGACTTAATTAAGGAGAAAATAATGATCATTTAGAAGTAATGTGTGATAATGGCCAAAGCTACAATAAAGAATAATAAGCATTTTAGGATTTTTTAAAAAGTTCCTTTGGGATTCTGTCTGGACCATGATTGCTGGTTAAAGGCTGAATAGAAGAGGAGAAGATTTTCATCATCCTAAGTTCCATGGGCAAGACGGGGAGTGGACAACATGCGTTCAAGGGGCTAAGGAGTTCCCAGCTTCACTAGGACTGGGTTCCTGTTGAGGAGCCAGGGGAGATAAGGCTGGGAGGGTTGTCTGGGTGAACTCCCATGGTCTTGTGTGCTAAACTAAAACGTTTGACCTTTACCCTTAGATAATGAGAACCACTTGAAGAGTGTTTTGAGCTGGAAGGTGACATCATGCATACTGTTTTTAGTAAGATTAATTTGGCAGCAGTGCACTGGATGGACTGGGAATAGTCAAGACCAGAACAAGGTGGTCCAGCTCAGAAAGCATAGAGAACTGAGAGAAACGGTCCCATGAATGGAGGCAGAAATGTCAAGAGGGGAAGGGTTTGAAAAGGCAGTCTCATGGATAATTGATTGTATTCAGTGACTTTGTCCCTTTCAAATCCAACTCTTCCCAAACAGAGGAAAAGCCACAGAAGAGACCCCACATTTATGGGCTTGGATTCTGAAAGAAGCATCAGCTCTGTCTCTACTCATTTTGTTTCTACTTCCCTTTTTATGTGTTCTGACTTAGTTTCTATTTTTCCCCCATTTTCATTCCTTTATTTATTCAACAAACTTATTTTTTCCTGTAAAAGGCCACACTCAATCTAATGCTAGATTTATGGCAGTTAGCAAGAGAGACAAGGACCCTGCCCTGATGAAGCTTACATCCTATTGTTGATGGATAAACAGTGACCAAATAAATGAATATATATTATAGAGAATCAAAATAAGGTAATGTGACAGAGAGTGACTGGGGGAAAATTTAGGCAGAGTGTTAGAGTGGCCTTTCTGAGGAGATGACATTCAAACAGACGTTTGAATGACAAAAAGTAGACAGCTACAATATTTCCCAAAATATTGGGAAAATAATATTTTAGGTATAGAGAACATCTAGTGCATTGGTCTTAAAACAGAAATGAACCTGGCTTAATTCAGTAATGAGAGAGGGTCAGTGGGCTTGAATATGGTAAGCCACAGGAAAAGCAGAAGGAGGCAATATCCAAAAGGTAGAGGCTAGATGAGGTAAGTTTGTACAGGCCACTGTAATGAGTTAAGGTATTGGCATTGAAATAAGGTAGAATGTTCCTCTATTTATGAAGTAAAACAACTGGAAAGTTTTCAAGAGGAGTGTAAGATAAGACCTAATTTCCATTTTTAAAAGATCACTCTGCCTTGAGAATTGATTACAGGAGCAAAAGAAGAGGCAGGTACATTGGGGAGGAATCTGTGATGATAGTCTAGGGAAGAGACTGCTGATATGAGAGACTTGACTAAAATTTTAATAGTGATAGTAAACAAGCGTTTGAGAGTGGGGATGTGTTTTGAAGGCAGAGTTGGTAGCATTTACTGGTGGATTACATGGGGGTAAGGAAAGAGCAGAATACAGAACAATTCCCATATTCTTTGGTTTGAGCATGAATTATGAAAGTGGAAGATGGCAAATACTAAGAGGGAAGTGGGGGAAAATTAACGAGTCCTCTTTTGGCTGTGTTAAATTCATGTATTTTGCTCCATTTCTTAAGGTTTTAGCCAGATTTTCCCCTCTTTGTTTAAAAGTCTGATGACTTAGTAACAGCTCCATCCCCTGGGCATATTTTCCCAGATGGTCAGTTCTTTTGTATTGGACTCTTGAGAAGTCTTGACTGCATAGTCTGACTGACAGATAGCTCTTGGTGGTTGGAAGACTAGTGATTGAATGTAGCATGGGTGTTTGAGATTTTTCAAGGGGATCTAAGACGTTAAAATTTAGGGATTTTGAGATTTAGGTTTGGAGGATGAAGTTGCAATTGACAGATATGTGGATATCGAGAAAAGTAGCTTGTTTTGAACCCCAAAATATACTGAATTTGGATTTGGTATGCTGTTTGAGATCAAGGCAAAAAATGTCCCTGGTAATATTCTGCATGAGTTAGAGACACATCAACTTATAGAGTCCTTTATTCCTGGATTTACAAATAAAGCATGTTGGGGGGAGTTAGTCTGGCTTCTAGAGTCACTAATTAAGAAATCCACATAAACATCTAAACTTTTAAGAGTAATACCTTTCAGCAGTTGATTTATGTCACTTTAATTTAATTCAATTCAGCATTATTCCTTGATGTTAGCCTCCATATATCAATAAGAAACTTTATTTACAGAAGGATTCACCAGAAGGCTTTAAATAGAAAGCAAATAAATGACAAGCCCACTTTAAAACAAAACCAAACAAAACAAAACAAAAGCAAAGTGAATGTGGCTTTTGAGAATCACAATTTAATGCATTAAATAAGGTATAACTGTCTAGGCAGTTACATTTTTTTTTCTGAGGAATTTTACAAAATGTTTTGCGCTTTGTTTGGAGGTATCAGAGAAGGAATGGTGGGTCCCTTTATTCTCATGGGTTGACTGATTTTTTTTTTAGGAAAATAATTTTTAAAAACAATGTTCTTTGGTAAACTCAAAATTGCCTTTATCTTGAAAAGGAAGCATCTGAAGAGTTAAGAAAAATTACTATAGTTGAAAATTTACTTCAATTTCTTTCCAGATTATTTTAAATCTGCTTTAAGAAATGCATATGTCCTCTCTAAATATATTGTGGAAATGGTTCACTGAGTGTTATGAAAAGAAAGTTTAGTCTCATTTCCTAAGCCGACTTTTTAACCTGACAGTGCTAAATGGGGAAGAATTCTTTGGGATTATTGTGTGTGTTTTGATAGAGATCCTGAAACAGCTGGTTATTTTCAGTCATTTTCTCACTGCGGGAAGATACTTCTGCTGTTTGAAGCATGGGAGACAGACCCTTGCAAAATTGGGGGAAAAAAAAGGCGAAGAAATTCAGAAGGAAAAATTTCATTTTATTTTTGAACACACATCTCTTACTATTCTATTAAAAAATGTGTATTTGTGTGACAAAAATAATATATCTACTAGTAATATTAGATTCTGACGATCCAAGGAAAAACAATTTTAAAGTCTTTAGGTAGAGAGAATTTGCGGCCTCCCTTAGTCATTTTCATGACAGAGAATCTGGAATATTTAACAGGTCTTGAACTCACCTTTTCTTAACTGAAAGGGCATTGGACTACTTGACAACTCTGATTCAAAACTCTAATCATTTCATGATGAGATTTCTGAGAATTCACTGTGTGGTTTGCTCTGAGGCCATGAGAAACACATCCATCAGGTACAGTTCTGATTGTACACAGGTAGATGGTTTATAGACTGTTAGCCTGCACTGCTGGTTTAGATTTGAGGAATTACTCTACAAGAACAAGGCAGGTTCTATTTTTGACATTTTAGCAATGAGACCACTTGTACATTATGGCCTGATTTGATTTACTGTAAGAAAATAAGAGTGCTGTAATTTGTAAAAGACATTTATTACACGAGTCCAAAAATTTAAAAAAAAAATACTTAGTGTCTCTGTCCATCCCATCTGGTTTTATTTTAATCTTACTCTAGTCACATATGAAATTTTGCTTAGCTGTCTTCATTTTCTTAGTCAATCTTGATTAATGGCCTTCAAAGTAAAAATAATTGGCCTGCATCAGGGTTGTTTTATAACTCTTGTTCACAAAGAATGTGAAAGGCTGGAAAATGAGCCTAAACAGAAGGAATGCATTACGTCCGTCTTTGAGAAAGAGCAGTCCTTCAGTTGTGTTTCACTGTGTATTTTTATAACAGGCGCCTCCTTGACCGTCCATGATATTGCAAATATGTGGTGCCAAAAGCTTATGTGTACTTCGTCAAACTGACCATGGCAGCTGGACGTCTCCAAGCAGCCACACATGTGAAGGCGGAACTCACCCAGGCCAGCCTAACAGGCCTGGGAATTTCCAAAGTAAATTATCAAGAAAGCCGAGGCTATGAAACCCACAAGTTTAAAATGGGCAGGGGGCTAATTGTCTCTGAAGTTTAAATGGCTTGTTTATAAAAGGCTTCTCCAGCATTCGTATTTTTTCCCCATTTCTTGAAAACTACATTCCACTTGAAAGGAGTGAGAGGGAAACGCAGGCGCCCTGTGAGCCTTGTGAGTTTGCCGTTGAGCTCTGCTTCCTTTCAAGATCTTCACTTCTGGGAGAGCTCCTCAGTGAAAGAAATAAATTTGAGTTAAAAAAAAAAAACATGCTGAGAAGATAATTTCTTTCTTACGCGAAGTTTTGGTAAATGGATATATGATGGCTCTTTAAAAGCTAGTTATTTTATGCTCGTACTGATGAGAAAATTAACATCAAGAATGTTCCAATTTTTCAGTAATTCCAATACTAGGTTCAATTACTCAGTAATTATTCAGAAATTTCACATGTCCTCATATTTGATAATTTAAAAACAAAATTCCCACTAGGAGTGTTGGATATAAATCGGTATGCAATGACCTACCTGCACCCACCAACAGAACAATGTTCCACCCCAGCGTGTTCAGCTGGCACCTCTGGTCCACACAGCCCGAGGGCTGGCTGGCTGCCTCTGGGAGGAGGGAGGCAAAAGGTGGAAGAGATAGCAGAGAGTTTGCTGATGTTGGTAAAAACTTTGACAGTTCGATTAAGGGTAGTTACAGTAGAGTCTTGATTGAAGACGTATTATGTTCCATGTGTTTTCACAAGAGGAAAATAAGTTATTTTTTAGTTGGGGTGGTTGGATTCTTACGATCTCAAGATGGCAGCTATAGGTAAAAATTAGCTTTAGAATTCCAACCCCGCTTCCTTCAGTCTCCCATATGTGTGTTGCTTTCTGTCAGGCTTTCTGGGCCTCTACTTTCACGGAGGTTTCTCAGCTGCCATCCTCCGTACTCAGTTCCCTCTGTCTTTCCATCTGCTCCTTTTCTTTCTTCACCGCCTGAGCCCTCTCGTCCTCTTGCTTGTCCCTTGCTTGTCCGTTATCCCCAGAGCCCACTGATCTCTCAAGAGGTGAGGCTGGATAGAGCTGGGATTTTCCTGGCTGGTGATTTGCACTCCCTTCTCCTATGCATCATAGGATAGTTTCACTTCTCAGGACAATGGAGCAATCACAGGTAATTTGCCATTCTAACACACACACACACACACACACCCCACACACGCATGCACAGGCAACACACAGAATCCATAATCTAGTCTGAATGCTATATATTTACAACAGTTTTTTCATTTATTTAGAAATCTATCGCGGTTGTTGCTTACATTTACTTGATGCTTTCTGAGTCAGTCACTGCATGAAGCACTTTAGAGTTTCTCCAGCACCTGGTTTATGCTAAACTGACAATAAATATATTATCTCAGTTACTCCTTATAAAAGAACTAAGAAACGCATATTTTAATCCTCATTTTATAGGTGGGTGAATTTAACCTTGGCTAGGCCCAGGAAATTATCTAGGTAGCTGTTTAAGTCCAAAGCCCATTTTCTTAACCTCTACAACAAGATTTTCCAAACTTGGCCCTATTGACATTTGGGACTGGATAATCCTTTGTTGTGGGGGCTGTTGTGTGCATTGTAGGATGCCTGGCAGCATCTCTGGCCTCTGCTTACTAGATGCCAGGGTTACCCTCCCTGCCCACCATCGAGTAGTGTCAAGCCCAGATTTCTCCATACATTATTGAATGTGCCCTGGAGCGGAGAACCACTTCTAAACATGTTTCTACCGCACGGAGATTCTCTCAGCTTCTTATGTAACTTAACCGATCTAGTCAAAACCCTAACAGGTCACCAAGGCTTGTTCAGCACTGATACAATCTCAATCATAGTTAATCCCATGAAATGGGAAGAGGCAGTAAGGGCTCCTCAGAGGGACCCTGCAGAGAAGCTAAAATATGTGAGTGGCTATCACCCTTCTGAAGGGACTTGTCAGAGGCCAGAGAGGATTTCTGAAAATGAAAAGGAAGCCAATGGCAATGACTACCTAATTATACATTCAAGTTTATGAACCCACCGGAGGGTGACATGTTCCCACTTATCCCTCCAAGGAAAGCATGAAACACCATGTGACTCAGAAAGAAAGTAGGACACAGGTCCGCGTCTGACTCTGTGGCTCTCAAATAGAGTGTAGACAAGTGACTGGCAGCTTTCAGCACTGCCTAAGATCTGTCCCCAGTCTAAGTCACATTGACCCATAAGACTTCGAAGTCTCTTTCTCATCAAGCCAATTAGGACTATAAGCATCAGCTGCTAAGATAACATTTTTTCAACTTTCGTTACTCCACTGCCTATAGATTCTAACTCTCTTATAAGTTTTCCAGTTCTCATTTTGTATTTTCACAAATGTAAAAAGTAGGTTTACTCCCACAGAGGGGCTCTCCCATTGATTTTTCATACTCTGGCCTGGAGCTTTGGTTCACACATGTTTAACTCACTTAGTGCCTACTTCAAGACAATATTCCAACTCATAACTATACGCCATTATCATAAGATAGAAAAAATATCAGGCCTACTACTGGGAGCATGCAAAATGGCATTGGTCCTGTGGCTTAATTTAAAACTGCCACCTAACCCAGACTTTAAGGTTAGGGAGAGTTCCCAGGAGAAAAGCAAATCATAGCCGTGACCTGATTCATGACTAGTGTTATGGATGGAATTATGTTTTACCAAAATTCTTATGTTGAAAACCCCCAATGTGACTCTATTTGGGGTTAGGGTCTTTAAGAAGGTAATAAAGGTTAAATGAGGTCGTAACAGTGAGACCTTAATTTGACAGGGCTGGTATTCTTCTAAGAGGAAGAGACACCAGAAATCACTTGCATTCTCTCTCTCTCTCTCTCTCTCTCTCTCTCTCTCTCCTTACCTCCCCACCTTCTGCCATGTGCATACAGAGGAAAGGGCACATGAGGACAAACTAAGAAGGTAGTCATCTGTAAGCCAGGAAGAGAGGCCTAGTAAGAAACCAATCCTGTTAGCACCTTGATCTTGGACTTCCAGCCTCCAGAACTGTGAAAAAATAAATAAATAAATTTCTGTTGGTTAAGCCATCTGGTCTGTGGTACTTTCTATGGTAGCCCTAGCAAACTAACACAACTAGAAATTAGCCAGATAAAGCAGGAGAGAACAGGTTCAGGGGCAGGGGTGGTGACAACACATACAAAGTCCTGGAGTGAAGGAGAGTGGCCATCTCCAAATGAAGGCCTAACAAAACGTCGTGTCTAGCACATTGTGCTGGTGTTTATGCATGATCTGCCTACCAGCTCTTCTTCTCAAATCTTACCCACCATGAATCTGATGATAAAGTAGAAATGATATTTTCTTAGGTCAAGCAGAGGGTCTGATATATATGTTGAATATTTGAAACCCCTCAAAGCCATCATAGGTTTGCTTCCAGCCCCAATTATACATTATGCATGATAACTAAAGTTGGATAACATATTTTAAAAGAAAAAAAAGGCTTTACACCAAACAAGTACTTAGTAAAGGGTGAGGTGAATAGATAAAAACATCACCTAATGTATTTATTCTGAAACCCTGTAAATCAGATTCCAATGCTAATGAGTTTTAAATTTAAAGAAATTGAATCTTCAAGCTGTTTGAGCTTTTATCAGTTTATGTGTCAAATATCATACTCATTTAGAAGACTTTAAAAACAACACTGACAACATTATTTAGACAAACAAACAAACAAACAAAGAGTAAATATTATAATTGTCTTGTTGTTTCACCACTAACAGCTTACTTGCTCCATAAAAGAGAAAGTAATGGAATTAAAGGAACACTATCATCTTCACTTTAATTGTGGACACTGCTATGTCTTTATAGGTAAAATAAAATAAATGGTTGATAGGTCCAATAATTTTGACAACTACAGAATGTGAAGACAAATAATAAGACCAAAAATCTACTTTTTTAGGTGAGTCTTGCTTGTTTTTAAGGGCCTGAGTAAATTATGTACTAGGCCCTTCATTTTCTTATGCTCTCTTCCAATCCCTACTGAAGATATCTGCGTTGATCTTTTCATACGATATGCAGCTATATGCTCTTTCTTACATAAACATTTGCAATTCACCAAGGAGAATGTAAGATGCATCTTGCATGCTTATCAAGCGCCACAAGAACTTTACAGATTACTGCCTGCCTCAGGATTCTAGTTCCCTGGTGCTTATGCATAAGCAATGGATTTATGCAAACATTGTAACATTTCCAAACAGACTGTGACATGAGTCGTTCCTAGTTCATATAAGGTTCAGATATGCAGCCTATTTTCTGCTAGTACTAGATCATTCATCTCATCAAGCTTAAAATGTATCATCTCAGCTTATAATGTTGTCAATATAAAATGTCATAATGTGGTACTCAATTTGAACAGCAAGATGGATATTAATCTCAAAGGCTTCTGTGCACTGCTGTGGTGGAATTGAACAATGTGAAGCAGCATTAGTCTGTTTGTTTGGTAGTCTTAGCATCAAGCACCATATGCATAGGTGGTAAACATTTCGTTATATACAGTCTACTAATTCTCCCTGATCTAGAGTGTTTATACAGCCCCAGTGGTATAATATGCATTATAACTTAAATTGGATAATATATTTGGAAAAGGAAAAAGCCTTTACAAAGAACAACATCATCGAAGTATAATCATAACATGCCTATTTACATAATGATAATGCACGTATTTACTGCCAAGCATGTTTGTTTTGCCTTAGTGTTTATAGCAGGGCACAGGGAACTAAAGAATTACAAAAGGGAGTTTTTCTAGTCTCCATTACTGTGGTAGGGTGATATTGGCAGTGAAGAAAGAAATAGACAAACCCGTATTTTAACTAGTGAGAAAAATGAACAATGCTAGTTGTTGGGTTCACGTTGTTTACGAGTACAAATAGGCATGTGCCCAAACTCTTCAGGTTTTTTCTCTAATTCTGAGACACAGTATCTCTTAAAGAAAGTACAAACCCTTACACACATTTTTTGGCAGCCGGAATAAAAAATTAAATACTAAAAAACATCTCTGTTGGCTGTATTCACTCTTAACAAACATGTGCTTAAGAAAAGCCACCGTTGGAATCATTTACTCCAAGATGTGAAAATCTGCATTTTTGCGTTTGCATCCAAAACTGTGAATTTTATTTATATGTCTACGAAAGCCTGGAACCTTGCACTTTAAAAAAAAGTTGGGAAATGTTATTTTGTGAGCTGTCATATGTTTTCTGAACTTTTTATAATAGAAAGGAGTCTCTGAAGAGCCCTTTTCCTCACTCCTTTAACAAAGGCATGTCCCAGTTTATTAAAAAATCATACACAACAATACTGCTTGCCAGGTTTTATAGTCCTAATGAAAATTTGGTCCAGAGCACAAAAATTATCTGGAAAAATGCCTAAAATTTCCCTGTCGCAGATGTTTCAACAGAAGGTGCTTGCATGCCATTCGTTAATACGGCGCCATACGGGACTCAGTGTGGCCACTGCAATATAACCAGTAAGTAACACACGCAGCGTGCGCAGAGCTGCGCCAAATTCTCCGTCTGTTGTGTGGGACTCGTATCCCGTGGATTGAGACGTACCTTGATGAAACTGCATTGTCATGGAATGGTAATATTTGTGGATCACCATGCACAGAAAACATCCTATCGAGAATGTGGGAGGTCCGTTTAAAGATTCAGTGCATTTCTTGGCATTGGAGTTGGTTAGAATGGATGTGAACATTAGTGTTTTCAGTCCTTTTTTCTTCCTTATATGCCAGTTTACAGGAATAATTGCATGGAGAGAAAATTCTTTTTCAAAGAATATTAGTTTGAGGGAATGTAATTAAAAGGCCGTGTGAAAGTTGTTTCATGTGGACAGAGAAGACAAATGTACAGGCTGCGTTAGTTTATTCTCTGCTTTAATATATATACGAAGGAAGTGACTCAATGTTCACTCTCTTTGAAATAAAAGGAATTGCTTCATCCTTGCAGAAGCTGATAAAAATAGAGGCACATCTAGGAGGCTACTCACGTGTTCTGAATTTTTCTGGCGAACCTAGAAAATTCTTGCTGGATAAGACTATTGAGAGCAACATCATTATCCATTGTGAGGAACAGATTCTCAGCTACCCAATACATACTCCATACTCAAATCTGGCTGCTGGATCATGAAAATAATGAGCTTATTACAGTGGTGAGACGGTTGGAAGAAGGCTGCAGAATCATTTATCCAGCATCTTGTGGTCATCTGGGGTGCTAAAGGGATGTATACACATAGTACATTATTTTTGTGTTTCCTAAAGTATTACTTTGCTATGTAGAGAGAGCTAAAATATATCACAAATTTTGAGACTCCATTTTGGCATGTTTATGTTCTCCTACTACATCAGAAAGCCTCCATCAATAAAAGTTAACTGGGCTGCTAAGAAGCTCTCTATGCTCATATTGTACCGTGTTTTTCAAAACAATAAAGTGTTTGATTAGGCTACTTTATTCACATCTTATAATTCTTTTGAGGGAAAGATGTTGACATGTTTTCTTTAAATACTTTGTTTTCTCTTTTTGGGGGAGAGAAAACAAATTGTAAATACTTCTTCATATTAAACAATTTAATATCTCTCTAAAGAAAAAAGAATTTACAGTAAGCAACAATTACTTAAAATTTTCCTTAGATTCTTTCTTATCTTTACCAAAGATTTTGACATCAATGTTAAACATTTTTGCAACAAGGTGGAAGGTGGATAGGTTATTTTGACCATTTTTCTTAAATAAAATAAATTATTGCTTGTTGTTAGTAATTATAATAGTTATTATTTTCTTAGTGTGTTCATTTATATTAATGCTTTTCAAATATATTATCTTTCTTGATCTTTGCATTAACCAATAAAGTAAGTATCCCCAATTATTGGTAAGGAAATTGAGGCTCAATGCATTTACAAAACTTGCCTAGAATCATATTTTCAGTTATGGGTATTTCTAGGTCTTGAACTTGGGACTTCTGACTCTGAATCTTGGTTTCCTCTTGTTGGATTATACAAGATTTCAGTATAATTAATTCATACTTTTAACCATGAAATCAATTACTACCAAGGCATGGTCAATAAACAATTCTTAGCCACAAAACCAAGGATTTCTGTAGGTCTACTCTAATTGGTATTATTATAATTTATGCCATTGTCTATATTGACAATATAGGACATAATTGTCTAAACTTCTATTTCTGATTCATTAATATATTTATAAGTCCATTTATGAAACTTTAAGCAGTACCCCATTCTTCAAAATTATTTCACTATTTTAAAGTATATATATATATATACACATTTAAGTATATATTTTTATGTATTTTAGTATTTTTATCAACATTTTTCAGAAAAAGTGATAAATGTGGCCTACAAATCTCTTTACTTTATAGAACATGCCCCCAGTCAAAAATAGTTTGAGGTCCACTTGGCTAACCAAAAGTCATGAGAAACCAACAACCACATTGATTTGTAGCCATGAAATTCTGCTTCAAGATGGACTCATATAACCTGTTATCTTTTTTAAAGGCGAGAAAAATGTTATTTTAAAAATCCCACAAATGTGCTTTCCTTTGAAAAGCACCTATCCTCTCTAAGTCACTCTGAGATTTTAAGTACTGGTATATTTCTATACTCCAATACAGAAAAAGACTAAATTTATCTTTGTGTGATTATCCTTCAGTTAAGAATACTACGTATGTGCCCTGAGATGACATTCCTGTTATAACATTGTTAGAAACCATTGATTGCGAGTAGCAAATTGTTCACTGATGATTCTTAGTAAGATCAATTTGAAAATGCTTCTCTCCACAGTAGCACTTCACAGGGGGGAAGGAGGAAATTTCTCTGCTTGCCAGTGAAACTCAACCAAATGATAATATGCTGATATATACTATGCCCTTCCAGACACTGATCAAGTTAATTTTTTGCTCAACTCAAAACGGCATGCTCTTTGAAGCTATGCTGCTATCACTTGATATTATTTTAATGTATATTTACTAATCTCCAAAATTCAGCTCGTTCTCTGTTGATTTTTTTTTTTTTTTTTTTTTTACCTTCGGGTAGACTAAAATATTCCTAAATGCTGCTTCTGTGGAAGATTCCCCAAGTATTCTAAGCCTTCCCAGAAGCTATTGGTCAATGTTAAACAATACTGAGAATTCTAAAGTAGTTCCACACAGTCATGCCCACTGGCTGAGCCTCGAAGGAAAAGATGCTACCAGCTGTGTTTCTGATGCATAAGAACTGTTTAATATTTTGATTTTAAATAATTTCCTTTGATATTTTAACATTTTTATAATATATTTTATTTTGTTTTCTCTCTTTCTTCAATTTGCTTCTCCCTCCTTACCATCACCCCTCCCTCGTCTTCTTTCTCACTGTTTCTTAGTTATTCCGGTCACCCTCTGTGCTTTCCAACTGGGTTGCTTAAGAAGAAAGTGCAGTTGGCTTTGCCTGTTTAATCAACTTCAGAATATTAGCCAGGTCTCAAAATACTTCTTTACTTACCAGAGGGTTGCTCAATCATTGTTCTGTTCTTTTGAAACTAAGTGAGATTTAAGGTTCTGATCTTAGTAACTGCCTATCAGTGCTCTCAGATAAGAGAAATCAACTAAAAAAAAAATACACACTTAATCTAGATGTCACTCAAATTGTTTGCCCCAAACTGAAGTTAATAATGATTGCAGAACCTCTTCATACATTCTGCTCCTTGGTAATATACGTCCTGCTTTCAGAAAAATTCATTGTTTCCCCTCAGTCCCACTTTTTTGTTTTGTTTTGTTTTAAACATCTGTCCTACTTCTGCTTCAGAATTCCGAGACCTTGAGTGGTCCCTCATCTCATTGCTGAAAACACTGAGGCACAGAGAAGGGAAAGGGCTGGCTCATGACACCAAATCAGTAAGAAGGCCCCACTCCAGGTTGCCATCTAATAGGATATTCTGAATTGAAACACATCTGGTGATGCAAAATAGAGACACTCATCTCATGTATAGAGAACATTTCAGTGTTCAGAACATCTTCAGACACCTTATCTCATGCCAGTATCCCTTTCTTCATTACCAATAAATCTTAAAAGACAACCTGAATGTCCTATGGCCTTCTCAGGACAAATATCCCAGAGACTGAGGGGAAATAGATGTGCTTGCTGATGGCTTTAGAGTGTTTTGAACCGATTAAAGTGTGTGGGCTAGGCACAGAGAAAACAGGAAACTAAAACAGCAAAAAAGACAGGACAGAAAAAAAACAAGAAAGTTATGAGGTCATGAAATGTTGATTAGGGTGGTAAATGGATATCTAAAAGGATGAAAGGAGAGGCACTGTAGAAAAATGATTGATAAGTTGGAGAATGAAATTGGCTGTGTAGGAAGGGGAACAAGAGTGAAGGAGAAAGAAAAAGTTAAAACATGAATGCCTAGGAAAAATCCTGTTATAAAGCAAAAATTTTTTCATTGTTAAAAATGCCTTCTTGGTGATGACTTCATTCATCTGTGGCAGTTGAGACTTTATTTTGTTGAGTTTTAAAATGACTATTTGTTTTGGGTGCAGGAGTGCTGGGAGAGACATTAACCTGGCCACTCTATTGATAAGAAGCTACTGCGGGAATAATGTGAAGATGTAGATCTCCTATTTTTTCTTTGCTTTTTGTTTCTCTATATAATATTTGGAGAAGTCCATTGACCAAGCATCCCTCTAAGTTTGTCATTAATAATATGTCCAATGTCTTCCACAAATGCTGCCCCCCACAGTAGAACTCATTATGAGATCCAGGGTGTGATTGCCCTGAACACAGATTTTTCCTGAGTTGAAAGATCCCTCAATTCATTTGGAATCTCATATTTTTCATTTCATATTTGAGCATTGTTTGTTGTATTTCCCCACTAGGCTATGAAATATATGATTATAATTATGAAGAGATAACATATGAATTACTATGGTATTTCAAAATAAAAATATTGAGATATTTATGTCAACAAGTAGGCAAATGAATACACCTACTTGAAATTCACAGAAATAGGTGGCAAGGTAGGATTTTGGCTTTTATTTATTATCAATTTAAATTCTTGCTCTGAAGAATAGAGATATTGCTAGTCTTTTGGTGACTGAGTTTCCTCTTACCAAAGTTTACATCTAATTTCTCTATGGGTGTTTAAGAGTAGCTATCCAGGCTGGGTGCAGTGACTCACACCTGTAATCCTGGCACTTTGGGATGCCAAGGTGGGCAGATTGCTTGAACCCAGGAGTTCCAGACCAGCCTGGGTAACATGGTGAAACCCCATCCCTGCAAAAAAATACAAAAAATTAGCTGGGAATGGTGGTGCTTGTCTGTGGTCCCAGCTCCTAGGGAGGCTGAGGTGAGAGGATCACCTAAGCCCAGTGAGGTTGAGCCTGCAGTGAACTGTGACCACACCACTGCACTCCAGCCTGGGTGACAGGCTTAAAAAAAGGAGGAAAAAAAAGAGTGGGTATCCACACACAAATTGCCCTGCATCTTTTGTGAAAAAATAGTGTGGGATTAAAATGTATTTTAGATGGATCCAGATTGGCTTTTCTAAAATGATTTTTAATTTGACTTCGAGAACTCTGTTTCTTTGTTTCCTTCATGGTCTTTATAAGTACATTTACTGTAAAACAGCTCATTAGAATTACCACGTGTGGTTTTTGCAAAGATTATTTTTAGCAAGGGTGGCTTAGTTCATTAACTCTTTTATTTTGATCACATCAGCAATAAGAGGGACTAGTTACATAAATGTTAATGAATGCATATTCATGGATGAGAACTAGGGAACTGATACCATGGCACTTTGAATTAGCTTTCAGTTTTCATGCTGAATGCAAGATAAGATCATTTTAGTGACCACAGAAATGAAGAAATGTTTGGGCTTTCCATTTTTCTCACACATCAGGATGGTGAATCGTCTGTTTAGGGGCTCTCAGACATTTTCTCCTGACTAAAGTGGTTAAGAGAGCATAGCTCCTGGTCATGCAAACTTAGGCACAAACCCCAGCTCTGCCATTTGCTGACTTAGATATGCTATTAAAACTCCATGTGCTTCAGTTTCCTCATCTATAATAAGGCAATATGATACCTCACATAGATGTTGTATGTTTTAAAATAAGATATAATAAGACATATATTTTCAAGGCACAAGAAATATCATTCCATACTGTCACTTACTCACTTTGTGAGCTATACATTTTTCCCCCTCTTATTATTGGAGTAGAAAATTGAGCTGAAAGAACATGGAAAGGTGCCAGATAGAGAATATCAGGCTGGGGTTAAATTCTGATTCTCCAGCACCGAAAACAGTGTCAAACAACACTCACTAAATGTTCGTTGAATAAAAGAGTTGACAAACAAACAAAAAATTCTTACTCTCCTTATTCAAATAGCTTATCATTTATAATAACAGCTTCATTTATTGGATATTTATTATATTATAAGCACTTTATTTTTTTACTCCCAGTAATTTCTCAATTAATTCCTTCAAAACCACACTAAGAACATTTTTATTACTATTTTACAGATGAGGAAACTGAGAGGGGAAAACTTTCCCCAAAGACATAGTAGGTGGCAGAGCCAAGAATTATTCCAGTCGTGTGCTTCAGGGCACAACCTCACAAACACTGGGCTCCACTGCATTTGCTTCTTGGTTAAATAGCGGCTTTAAAGTCAGCTGTCCTGGCCACATGAACTTCTTGAGATCCTTCCTTAATCCTCTGCAAGGAATCTGACAACCAGTTTAAGAGTTACAGTGATATTCCAATTTAAATGTCATAAATGTCCGAGCCTTTCATCCTTAGTAGCATTTTGGGGGTGTTTTAAGAATAATCAAGACTTGCAATACTCAGACTTTTGTCTATTATCTAATTTTCCTCACTTCTTAACACTTTTTTAGAGTAGCCAATAGAACACACTACCCCCTTTCTTGAAAACCTTTCATAATTTACCTCAGATCTTTCGTCTACAGGAATGTCTTATTTTTCTTCTAACAGGTGGCCAGTCACAATCTCTGTTTTAGCCAAACTAAACATTAGATGATTGTTATTTTTGGAAAACAATGTTAAAGTCCAGAGCCGTAATTGCCTGCCAGGTAACATGGCATAGTAAAAATAACATAACATTGTGCTTGTCTTGTTAAAGCATCACATTTTTCGGGATCAGAATATATTGGTCTTGGTGCTAGCAAAGTATATAGCAGCAATAAAATGCTATCAATACCAATTATTGTGAAACGGAGTCAGAAGGCTGAATACCAAGAGAACTTTCTAATTGGCTATTAATGATGTCATAATGAGTACAAGCCCAATATATTTGTGAATGTGACCATTCTTTTTTTTTTTTTTTTTTGGCTTAAACTTTTTCCATTCCATCTGAATAGCAAAGACCTTCACTATATTTACAACTTTTCTCTGGGTTTCACACCATTTCCTAAAATCAGAATCATGGGGTATTTCATCTTTAAAAGTATAAAACAAAGAGATGCTCAATTTCTCATCAAGAATTGACTGATTTTTAATTTATGGACTATCTGAATAAGAAAATGTGTTTTATATAGTGTTTGTTTTTTGAATTAAGTAATTTAGTAGAATAAACTTAAAGTCATTTCAAACATAAACATAATGTAGAAAAGTAATTTGTTCAAATGTAAGTAAAATATGGAATTAATACATTCAAAATATGAGAGCACTGTTATCTAATATAAGGAGTGTGGAAGCTAGAAAACATAAAGCCAAGTAAGTGTTTCAGATAAAATACAGTGCCCAGTTAAAGTTGAATTTCAGTTAAACAAAAAATAGTTTTAGTACAAGTATGTCCCAAATATTGCATAGGACATACTTATCCTAAAAAAGTATTCATTGCTTATCTGATATTAAAATTTAACTGGATATCTTGCATTTTTATTCGCAATCTTGTAATCCTACTAAGCTTCAGTATATTTTCACTTGTGAAATGGCTTAATAATTTCTAGCTACCTCTTCAGCTTGTTAAGATACTCAAATGGGATACAACAAGTGTATATAATGAGATTTTTGACTTAAACATATTCAGCTATATGCCTATTCCCTCATAGTCTAAAAGGATAAGGAAAATCAGAGGCAGAGAGAAAGACAAACAGCGATGGAGAGGGCAATGTGCAGGGGCGTGGGCCATTCCACACAGCCCTCCAGGACCTGAGCACATGCCCGCGGGTGAGAGTGACATGGAAGGCTCTTTCTGGTGGTGCTTCTGTCTCCCCGTGGCTGCTTCTCAGAATGTGAGCACCTGATGGTGCAGGAGTGTGATTCTAGTGTTTAAAGATACTTATTTTTCATGCAACATGGTCCCTAAACGCAAGCCAACTGCTTCAGCTGGAGCTTAACCAAAGAAACAGTGATCTGTTCCAATAGCAGGAGAAAAAAGAAGTCTTTGGATTTACTGAGAAATGGTATGTTGATATTGCATGTGGCACTTCCTAAGGAATTTTTAAGGGTAATTTTAACTGTAGGCAATCTTCATCTTACATATTGGTTTGAGAGCCCAATCTCCATATAAGATGAAGTTTCACAATAATTGATGTAGAAAGTGTTTTGTACACTATAAGGTAGTAAACTGATGGAAGGTATCATTATTTTTATATTTTTCTTTTACTTACTATTGGTTTTATCATTTTTATTATCAAAATCATTACTCCAGATGAAGTGACATTTACATTTTTGAGAGTTTGCCAGATAACTTTGAATAAATAAAAGGCAATATGAAGGCACAGACAGATTCAATGATAACTAAAGTTTGGCTACTTATGACTAATATCTTACAAGAATAAAGGAATGAATGCTTATGGTATAGTACCTTAGGGGAACAAACAACTTAGAAGCAATGAGATAACTATGAACACTAAGCATAATAATTAAACATTGACATTACTTCTTTATAATGAAATTATGGGACATGAGGTTTGTTGAAATGATTAGAGGAAAAGTATAACCCATAAAAAGAAATTTCCTGGAACTTCTGTCTAGTATATTGTAGGACAATCTTTCATGGGTTGTGGTAGTAGCCAAGTAGTTTCAGTGATTTAAAAATAGACTAATAAACACTTAAGACTATGCTACAGGGAATTGCTCTGCTATAGCAGGAAGAAAGATCAACAAATCTAAATGACCTAGCTTTGGCTAACTGTTCTAAAACTTTTCACTACATGTCTACCAGTATATATGTCCTGAATTATTCATTCGCTTTAGAATAATGCTGGGCAGGATGGCAAGAACTGAAGTAAAGTTAGTTGGGATGATGATGATGATGATGATGGTGATGACTGTGATGATGATATTACACTCATAGCTTATTACAGTTACTGGAATTGTGTATATTATTAGTTACTTGACCTAAACCTCTTTGATTGAAGGGACCATTTACCTCTTTATTCTTCCCAGTACCCGGGTGAGTGCTTTTGTCCTCACTCCTTTGGGATAGCATTAAATTTATTCCTATTTTATAGCTGGAGAAATAGACACTAAGAGGTTAAGTCACCCATCAGGGTCTCATAGCTGGGATGTGATGTACACAATATAGCCCCAGATATGGAGTGATCCAATCCTCATGCTATGTGCCTTTTCCAAGGTCATGTGAAGAATGGGCTGCAGGTTCTTGGGCAGAGGACAATTGATGCACATGAAGGAAGATTCAGTAAGATTTCCTAAGAAGATGAACTGAGACTGTAAACATGAGACACCTTGTAGAGAGATAATTTTACAGTCAGAGTAGGAAGATTATTCAAGGCAGAAGAAATATTGTAGGCAAAGAGGATAGGTAGCTTGGGAGGGGTGAGTGAGCTCCCAGAGCTAGAAGCCCTGAGAATGTTGTGCTGGCAGAGGAGAGGGTTGGGCACAATTTTCTGTGACTCTTTGGCCATGTGTGGGGCATGGGGGTTGGGGAGAGGTTGGCCATACCAGATGAGGCTAAAGAGCTAATTAGGGCCCAGAGGGTGAGTGTAGGAAGAACTGCTGGGATGGTAGGTGGGGTGGAAAAGGCTACAAGAGGAACTGTAGAAGGGCAGAGTGGAGACCCTTTTCTTTTCTCCTGCCTCTTCAGTTTGCGGCAAGTTGAGTTGAATCTGCTGAAAGGTCTTTTCAGGTGGACATATTTGCCAGGTAGTTGGAATGCAGTTTTGGCACCCAGAGAAATATCGTGGCTGTGGAAGCAGATTTTTCAAGTTACCCAAGGACAGAAACCTCAGGAGAATATAAAGCTGTCTTGGGGGAGACAAGTGTGAAAGAGAAAGAGAGTAGAGAGTAGGACACAGGATGAGGCCGACACTTGATGTGTGGGCAGAGAATGGACAGAGACTGAGCAGTCAGAAAAGCAGCAAGAGGCTAGAAAGTCTAAGGAAGTCCTATGTATTTACATAGGTAAACATGACTGGTTAGCAAATGATAATTTTGCTTTTTAGATCACACAATGTTGCCTTCTCATCCTTCTACCTAAAGATATGTACACACACACACACACACACACACACACATGCAGCCTACCTTTACTAAAGGCTTTCTGTTCTATATTCTACTTAGGAAATAAATACTTCCAAGAACTGTATAGGAAGATTCTTAGGAGCAGAGAACCAAAAAGGATTTCAAGAGCCCATTTGGTCCATCTCCTTGCCAGTAGGGGCATTTCCTAAATCATCCAAAGAAAAAAATTGTCAATTCTATTTTTGAAGTATCTCCACAGATGGCGATTCCATAAGCTTCCCTGCTAATTTGCTCCAGTGTTTAATCAGTCTGAGACACAAAGTTCTTCTTTACATCTAACTCAGTGCTCTCTTGCTATAACTTAGAATCTATTTCCTCCTCAGAGGTGGAAATGCAAGGCAATCTAAAACCCCAGAAAGCCCCCAATCAAATGTTCTCAATCTTAATTGCTGAAGAAATGTATGTGGTATTTTTTTTAACCCTTGTCAGTAGCATGCAATTTGGTCCTAATGAGAAGAAAAGGCATCTACTCCTAAATCTGCTACAGACACTGATTAAATAAATGCTCAAATGCCCTTTTGCTTGAACATGGATAATATAAGATGAAACCTCTTTAGAATTACTAAACCACTGTTTTCCCAGAAAAAAAAAAGCCCCATCTAAGGATTTTAATGAATCTTTTGGGGGAACTCTAAACATTTTATCTATGATATATATGATAAAGTGAAAAATCTTCAAATGTGTATAGATTGTTTATGAGTATTATAAACATTATTCTTAAATTACTGTCCTTCTTAAATAATGTCATTGGACAAATAGCTTATTCTTCAAGCCAGAAATCTACAATAGAGTCATTTTGAATGTTTGTGAATGATACCAGTCAGGGAAGAAAGAGATCTACTGAAATAGCTGAAAAAGAGCAACAAGATGAAAACTTTACATTTTAATATTATTTTTAACATTGGTTTGGGCCAATTATGTGGGCCTTCTACTGTGTAATACTTCATTAACCATAGTGATATGGCTAAAAAAAGACACATCCTTATTGAGAATATACATGCGAAAAGTTACAAAGCAGAGTTTTAGAAGCCTTTCCTATTGTTCTAATGAACATTCTCAGCAACTTCTTGGGAGTAGCACAGTCCGAAGCCCCCAGGATCACCGATGCCAAAGGAGAGGTGGTCACACCAAAGTTAGAGACATGATTATCAAGGAAAAATGACATGACGTTCTCTCATAGATGGAAACAATCCAAAATAAACAAATGAGAAGCAAAGCATTAGCTCCAAGATATTTAGAGATCAACTCCCAATATTTTAAAAGTGCTATGAAGAACACTGCATCAATGAATACAGAGAAGTATTATTCAGTTCTCACACATACACACACACACACACACACACACACACACACACACACACACTCCAAAAAAGAAGCTGTCCTCTCAGTTTCATGAAGGATGAATATGCTGTGCTATCTTTCTCTTACTTACAAGTCTAACATCTAGAAAACATGCTCTTTCATCTACTGGGAATTTTCTTCCCACTCTCAGATTTTTTTCACTTGCCCAACACTTTAATTTTGAAGATTCACTTTGGATGACATCTACTCAGAGGAGGCCATTCTTGACCTTCTTAATAGGCTGAGATGCCCCTGTTCTCCATTCTCCAGCTACTTCTGATACTTAACCCATCCTGAGATGAACTACATTATATTTTAATTATTCCACCCCTTGTCCATGTCTCCTACCCAATGTCAATCACAGAGGAGAACATCTTATCCATGTCTGTATATCCAGCGGCTAGCATGTTGCATTTATAACATATGTCAAATATGTGAAAATCAAATGCATATATGGCCACCAATGTCTTCCCTGCTACTCTATTTGTTGATGCCTTTCTTAGCTGAGCCTACCTGACCTTTCAACTAGGTCAGTGTTATGGATTGAATTGAGTACCCTCTAAAATTCATATGTTGGAGCCTGAAGTCCCAACACTTCAGAATGTGACTGTATTTAAAAAGAGAACCATTAAAGATGTGATTAAGGTAAAGTGAAGCTATTTGGGTGGGTCCCAATCCAATCTGACCAGTCTCTTTATAAGAGGAGACAAAGTGATACGCAAGCACTGAGACATGACCATGGTGAAGACAACAGGGAGAAGGCGGCCCAGGAGAGAGGCCTCAGAAGAAACAAACCTGCAGACACCTTATCTTGAACTTCCTGCCCCTACAACTCTGAGAAAATAAGTTTCTGTTGTATAAGTCACCAAGATTCTTACAGTTTGCTTTGGCAGCCCCAGCAAACTAGGGCTCTTCTTATACAATCTATAGTACCTCACTGCTACTTTTGTTTTGCTAATCACATTTGTAATATCTCATTTAAAACTTACTTCCCCACTTAGGGGCCCATGAGAAAAAACAAAACTAGTTTAGGTCTTTCGAAAAGAAAATTTAATTCAAGGATTTGGCCACATGGATCATGAAGGCTGAGAAGTTAAACAGAGATTGTAGGCAACACAGAACAAAAGCCACTGCTATCCCAAGGGCTGGAGGCACAAGAGCCTAGAAAGGAGGAGGTGCAATCGGGGTTACAGCCAGGCTAGCAGGAGCTAGAGTTTAGAGGAAAGGCAGCCAGCACCTGCGACAGAGAAAGGAAGAGGCAAGGTCACTCCTTTCTTGTGTTTCCCCAGACTTTGGTTAGTGCCTGCTGCTCTTGAAAAACTGATCAAGTGCCATTTGGCAGGGGAATCTAGGAAATGTACTCTGTAAAGATTACTTTCCTCTTCTCTCCCACCTTCAAAGGAGCAGGAGAATGGTAAGAAATGCATGTGAGAACAAACAGTTAAATGATGGGCACGAGAATGTAAGTAACATGATGGCTGGAATCATATCTTTCTGGTTCCTGCTTTAACTCCAACAACTGATAAACACTGTACAATACATATTTGGTATTTAACGAAGAGTTGTTGAATTAATTTAGCTGAATGAACTTCCTATTTCTCATTTGCCAAGTTCTCTGACATAATTAATATATCATGTATCTATAACCCCTCACCAGAGAATAATATTCAAGAGACAGAGATTTATTATCTGTTTTCTTAACTGACTTAGAGCTAGCACTTACAACATGTCTGGCTAGTAGTAGACACTCTATGTATTTGTTAGCCCAATGAACACAAGTTTTGTTTGATAAAAAAGCCCAACTTACCATCTTCTTTTTTTCTCTTTTTTAAGAGAAGAGTCTTGTTATGTTGCCCAGGTTGGAGTGCAGTGGCTATTCAGAGGCTCATAGTGCACTACAGCCTCAAATTCCTGGCCTCAAGGGATTCTCCCATCTCAGTCTCCTCGGTGGCTGGGACTATGGGTGTGTGCTACTGTGATCAGCACCATCTTCACGATTAAGGTGTGAGGAATCAGGTCATGAACCAGATGCCTCCTGAGTTTAGAGGAAAAATGGAACTGGTTGCTATTCAGGGGAGTCACAGAAACTTCACTGCTTTGCCACCATCTTAACAGAGCGTGATGACTGCCTGCAGCTAAGGAAAGCGGCAACATCAGAAGCACCAAGCCTCGCAAAGCTTTGTGACAAATTTGCATAAGGGATGGAATGCATGGATATAGCTGCTAACATGAAAAGCCATATCTCAAGGCTGAGGTTCCAATTTGAGATATAAGGGTTTATCTTAATAGACCAGAAACTTGAAACTTTATAGCACTTATATGGAGTTATAAGGCATGCAGATCAGATAGGTGATACTCCAGCTGAAAAAACATATAACAATGTGATATAGGGCATATACGTATAACATATACAAGCTGACCTATATTTAAACCTAAAACAACACATTAGAAGTTTCACAGAATATTGGGGAAAAATTTAATTAGGGAGATCAGAAACCTAAAGAAGAGATATCAGACTGAAGTCACAAGAGGAGAAAGGCTTAGAGGGAAGAAGGTTATTTAGCCGACAGAGAAACTTGAAATGAGAAATAGGGGAGTATCCCTGTGAATGGTTATTTAAAAGTATGAGGATTCAATGAGAAGCAGAATTAGATCCCTGCTATTTCACTTATTAGCTATATGACCTTAGGCATGTTCTTTGCACCTCGGTTTTCTCATCCAGAAAGTGAGGATAGTAATAATATCTACCTCATAGGGCGTTTATGAGGATCACACGAAAAAGATACAGGTAAGAGGCTTAGGACCGTGTCCGCTCACAGTAAGCACTCAGGGATGTTAGGAGTGTGTGCTATTATTATCTTCAATGAAGCTTGCGGAAAAAGAAAGAAATACATCCTGCAAGTGTTAGGTTGGGTGTCAGAATTTCCTCCAGGCCAGGTTTGCAGAAAAGATTTACATAAAGAATGTATGAGACATGCTTGTAAGGTAGAGTCATTCCAGTCTATTCAGACTTGAAGGCTAGAAGGTAGACTAATTCTCCACATTCTCCCTCAAATGACCTTTCAAGTTCTCCTTCAGCCTTCCCTTACATAAAGTGTATAATTGCCCTTTCTGGCAGTTCATAGAAAAGTGCTATTTCCAACCCTTCTAGGCTGCTCTGGATGGAAAATGCCCTGGGTTCTCCGAGACTTAACACCCCGCCTTGTGAACGCGAGCAAGATTATTCTCTCTGAGCAGCTCTTTTCACATGTGATAAGCTTGGCAAGTTGCCCTGGTAAGTGTCAAGCCCTGAATGTTTTTGTTTTTGCCCTGGTGGTCCTGAGGAGTTACTGGAATACTTCTGGGGATCTGTTTTTTATCAAACTCTTGGCCGACAGTGACATTGAGAAGAAGCAGGTAGAAACAGAGAGCAGGGCTCTGGACTGCATCGCGTTTAATTCTGATAGCAGACTCCCTGTCTGCCCTGGCCGCCTTAAAGCTTCCTTCAGTCTTTTTTTGGTCCCTTTACTTTGTGTTTCTCAATATTACAGGGCAATCTTGTGTGTGTGTGTGTGTGTGTGTGTGTGTGTGTGTGTGTGTGTGTGTGTGTGTATTTTCTCCCTTTTGCTCCCCAGAGAGTCTTGTCAAAACTCCTTATCTGTTGATGAATGAAAGGAATTTCTCCTGTGCGGGCGGGACCTGGTTAATGCAGCTCTGGCCAGCACGGGTGGGTCACGGAGCTCAGGGAGCAACAAAAGGCAAAGCCCACTGAAAATATCACAATTGCTGTTGTGCCAGGAAGTGCCATCAGCAAGCATTTTCCTCCAGGCAGATGGGGGGATGAGAAGAGGAAAGGCTAATGGAAGCAATCTTGAGTTAATTTACTCCACTGGGGAGAGAGACAGAGGGTACCATTAATGTCTTTCACGTTTGCAGCATTTATTCAACTTTGAAACTTGAAAACATGTGCTTAGGAGTTTGACTGTATGTTAGAGCCAAATAAGAATCAGCACCACTTCTTTTCATACAGGACTTTTTGGTTATTTAAACTGAGATTTCTTTTCTTAATTTCCTCCAAACTTCAATCATCTGAAACTTTTTCCAATTATGCAAAGCAAAGGAGACTAGGCTGCTATATCCATTACCACAAACATTCTATGATGCCTCAGTTATGTTCTTAGTGCCCATTGTATCTCACACAATCACCTGCATGGTGTGATGACTCATTTAATATATAGTGAAAGATTCATTCAAGGAATCAGTGAATGGGTCCCCCTTCTGCCAGGAAGCTCTAGTGTATATGGCACCATTGGCCATACAACGCCTAAAGAGGAAACTGCTAAAGAAAGGAAGAAAGCTGTCCTGGTTTCACAATGTGACCTATGGGTTGGGAGGGGAGATGTCAGGGAAGCCACCGGTGGTCATTCAGTGATTCTGTTAAGATGCTCATTATGTCTGTTACAGTCACATGATTAATTTACTAAGTGCATGCAAATTAAGAATGTATAAGCAATTTACCCTTCTCACAGTCTAGGGGAAAGCCTTTAGGAGTGTAGTATGAGGACCATAGCACTTAAAATCAGGAGATCTGGGTTTAAATCCCAGCTTCACTTCTTTTTTCATGTGATCAGCTTCACCTTAACCACTCTGAACCTCCAAATACTCATCTGCAAAATGGATATAGGAATAACAGCTACCTGACTTGCGCATAAAGACATTTTAACTTTAAATTTGTTTCAATCCAGTCACTCATTTCCCAGAAGGAATTGTAGCACATATACCTCTAAACCAAAAAAAAGAAAAAAAGTTATTTGTTTGAAAAATTAAAAAAAACCTTTTCAATAAAACAAACTTCTAGAAGATAGAAAGCTTATCAATTTTATTTTCAGGAAATAGAATGTCTGGCCAGGCACAGTGGCTCACACCTATAATCGCAGCACTTTGGGAGGCCAAAGTGGGAGGATTACCTGAGGTCAGGAGTTTGAGACCAGCCTGGCCAACATGGTGAAACCCCGTCTCTACTAAAAATACGAAAATTAGCCAGGCATGGTGGTGGGTGCCTGTAATCCCAGCTACTTGGGAGGCTGAGGCAGGAGAGTTGCTTGAAACTGGGAGGTGGAGGTTGCAGTGAGCCAAACCTGTGCCATTGCACTTTATCCTGGGCAACAAGAGCAAAACTCTGTCTCAAAAAAAAAAAAAAAAAAAAAAAAAACCCAAAAAGAAAGAAAGAAAAGAAAAAGAAAAAGAAAATTCTTTGCAAGAATCCTCCTTGTTCAGAAAGAACTGCTTTTCTGAAATAGACCTTTTCCTGCCCCCTGATGTGCTGTCTACCAAACAGAATGAAGGGAGCATAATTGTATTTCTTGTATTACCTGAATGACATAATAGTCGTATCATGCGATCAGTAATCTAGTAAATGAGCGGCAGACTAACAAATACCTTAGCCAACTCACAATCCAAGAAACATAAGAGCTAAAAATGAAGTTCATCTATTTCTGCTCATTGCATTCAGAAATTATACTTTGGGTGATTGGGTGATTTTTATTTGGGGATGACAAAAAGACTAAGGATTTGGGGCTCTTGTTCTCTTCTCCATTCCCCACTTAAACTTGCCTCTGCATCTGTTGGTAGATCTTGCATTGTTTGTTCCTCTGTTTCATTGACCTCTAAACTCATAATCTGAGAACATATATTTCTAAAGAAAAAAATAACCTTTTCTTTTCTGATAGCAGAGTTCTAGTTCTTTTTCTCCTTTCTGTTAATTCTCGCCCAGAAGTCCTGACACTGGCCTAGTTCCTTTTAGTTATAATCTTCTGGGGTGTCATGAAGTCATTTCAACTTTTATCTTTGCCTGTGACTGTCCTATTTCAGTTCACCTTTTGGCAGCTTCTTGTGCTTTTCCTGCTTTCTCTTCTCCCAATCGGGCCTCACATTGTGCTAAGACAAAAACAGCTGTGATGCTAGAACTGGCTGCTGCTCCTTTTGCGTGATGCAGTTTTATATTGAATGTGCCAATGGCCATGCAAACATAGATAGACTACACAGCAGTAAATAACCCCTAATCAATTGAGGTGTACCAAATATGACAAATCCTCTTATTGTCAGAGTCGCACTGTTTTTGCTGAAGCAGAACTTAGAGATGTCTTCCAACTGCCTCATTTTATAGACAAGGAAACTGAACTCTAAAGAGAGAAAGAGTCTCGCAGAGGTTGTAGATAAGAGTTATTTATGACCTTTAAATGTAAATCTGGGACTTAGAACACTAATTTGAGATAAAACAGATATGTTTTTTAAATAGAGAAATGAACAATAGGGAAATAATAAAATTTGGAACCCAAGTGGCTGGTATTGGGAAAGAAGTGGAAAATTGTTATGTGTGTAGTGAAAAGAAAGCACAGGAGAGTAGAGGCAAGACGTGTTCGAAAAGGAAATTCACCAGATAAAAAGTTAAGGAGCTCACAATGAAAAATTAAAGGACTTAATAAGGTAACCAGGTCCAAAACTGAAAGGCCCAATTTGGGAAATTACGTAGACTGAACACTTTCAAAAGCCAATGATGAAAGGTTATTTCTAGGGATAAGGAAAAGAAACCTCAAGAGAAAAGCTCAGGGTGTTAAGAATAGCTTAAAAGAATGATTTGGGTGAAACCTTGAAAGTGATTGCTCTTTCCTTAAGTGAATTAGGGAACATAGAGACGTAGTATAACTTTGTGCAGAAGTACTGTACAGTAGTTTGTAACCAGACTTGTTTAAATAAAACAGAGCTAACTACGCATGATTTGCTGACCTGTAAGCAGCAAATCCAAGCATCTACACTCCGAGATAAGGTAGGTCTTGCAGCCTAAATACCTGGCTGAGCATGAAATTCTGAAGACCATGCTTTCATATGCAGACTTTGTTGTTCACTCTTTTGAGTTAGGAGTTGATGGTTGCATCTTTTGCTGTGAGTTTGGTCAATGACAAAATTAACAGCAGTAAAGAAGGGCTGCTAATCTTTTGAGGGTTACTTGTAAGTGAAAACAACACCAGCATAAGTGTTCTAAATCTACTCTCAAATAATACCAGAAGCTGGTGATTATGGAAACTTCAAGGTCATGTCAGCAATGCTCATTTCTGTTCTGATTCGCCACATGCATAAGCTTTGATGGAAATCATATACAGAAATCAGCTATGTTCTTTATTGCCTATGAGATTGACAGATCTTGTAAAATCTTCTCAAGAGTAAGGCAGGTGATGAAACACATGATTACTATCATGAAAATATTCAATAACTATTTATAAAGTCCTTACATTTTATAAGGGACCATAGAGTATTCAAAAATAATTACGTAAAATTGAGTGAGTTTACAGTCTTTGTTGTGCTTTTTAGATTTTAGCTATATGTACCAAATAACAGCTTGCCTAGAGTACAAAGCTTCCCTGCTCTCCAACAAGGCAGCTTTGGGGATTTTTGGACAAAGTAGTGTCACCATATAGGTGATGTTGCTAATTTAGTCTTCAGACAACATTTATTTAAAAAAAATGAAAAGAATCTAACAAGTAAGATAGCATTATGCTATACTACACTACAAATTATAGATATAAATAGCAATTTTTAAAAAGAAAAATGCCATCCATAATAACTATGTTAAAATCTCTACATAAAGTCAGCAAAACAAGGGAAAAAGATAGACCAGAGATATGAAGATGAATTATTCAGATTTACCAAGTGTCACTCAAGCTGTTCTGTTTCAAAGATTCACTCATTAATTTATTCCTTTAGATAATCTTATTAAATATCTACAAGGTACTTGACAGTACAAAATAACAGGACAATGTGTTTAGCCTCCAAAATGCTAAAAATCTGGCAATGAAAACTCTCTACATGAATATCTATGGTGCAATACATGTGGCAATGAAGGTTATAATCAACACAGAGAAGGGGAAAGAAAGGTGAGAGCTATTTCATAAAGAAGATGACATTTAAACTAAGACATAATAGGAGAGGAGAATATTTGCAAGTCAACAGAGTGGGGAAGGACATTCTGGACAGAGATAATAGCTTATACAAAGTCACTGAAGTATAATAGCATATTCCCAACTCACATATCTATGAAAACTTAATATGAGAGAGATGACATTAAAAATTAGTAGGGATAACATGACTATTTAATAATGCTGCTGAGAAATGAAGTATCCTTGTGGGGAAAAAATAAAGTTAAACCCCTACCTCACACTGTACAGAAAAAAATAAATTCCAGATGGATGAAAAATATAAAAAGTTTAGAAAAAATATAAAAGATCTTATTTCTAACCTTGAGGTAGGATAAATAAGAAACAAATGCACATACTATTAAATAAAGTATATAGCTGAGTGTATTTCAATTTAAACCAATGTTACACAACAAACATTACAAATAAAGTAAGAAGATACTCCACAAACTGAGAAGGGTTTCTGCAAAGCATATAACAAAACAAATTATAATCCATAATTTTTAAGAAATGCTTACAAATTAATGAGAAATAACACATAAGAAAACTCAGTAGAAAAATAGCGTGAAGATACAAATAGGTAATTCACAGAAAAGAGAAAAAATATTGTCCTATAAGCATATGGAAGGTTGCCTAGCCTCCCTTACAAGGGGAAAACCACAATTAGATATAATTGCAGACTTATCAGTTTGGCAAAACATTAAATGTTTAATAGTGGCATATGTGAGCAAATTATATGAAACAGTAGAACTCTTATATACTGTGGTAGAATAAAAAATTGTTTGGAGAACAACTTGGCAATATCTAGCAAATTTGAAGATGCATATTTTCTTTATCTCATAAACTTTACCCCTAAACATACAATACAATGAACTCTATCTAGTAAATGTGCCCAAGAGATCTGTAAAGAACATGGACTGCAGCATTTTTGTGAAAGTTAAAAGCTGAAACAAATAAACAAAACTTAAAGCATTAATATTCATTAATAAGAGAAAGGATAAGCAGTCAAAGATGAATTAAGCTAGGCCTGTGAGCATTAACATGAATAAAACTTAAAAATATACTAGCAACCAAAAATCAAGTTTCAGGTTGATGATACCATACATAAAATATGGAAAGAAGCAAAAAAATATTATTTTCTTTAAGGAGTAAATAAATAAAAACATGCATGGCTGAAACTAATGAATGACAAATTCATGATCATGCTATCTCTGTAATGTATCTTTCTTTAAAAAAAATGGACTCAGAGCAGATCCCTAGGTAGCTATGTTTGCTCAATGATTTTCTATAATTTTCTGTGTTCTCTTTGCTAGGTAATGTGGAAACAGGGTTCTCAATTATTTGTATGAAGCTCAGGAATCATCCAATGAGATTTTTTTTAAGATTATGATATTTGCAACAGTTCTATAATCGGTAGAGATCATAACAGTGAAAGTGATTATGAAGATGGCTTATTCTTGTAACAATAAGGGTGCCCCTATGTCCGTTGGTATACTTCTTTATTTATTGTTCACTGTGCTTTGGCATCTTGTTCCTAACCATGGCCTGACACTTTAACAGGATGAGACATCCTCAGCAGTTAGAAATGGGCTGATGCTTATTGTAATTTAGGATCATGAAACTCAGTAATCAACAATTGTTTCACAGACTGGAAAGTTTCCTCATGTTCAGCAAGGCATGGAATAGAGACAGAACAAACCTCATGTTTGTTAGGTTTTTTGGACAGCCCCAAAAGCCATTTGAACAGGGCTCAGCAGGGGCAGCTCAACTCCATTCCACTTGGCATCATTGGGAGCATCTTGAAGCTTGGGCACTGGCGTCATCTGAAAGCTCACTCACTCACCTTCTTAGCAAATGATGCTGGCTGTCAACCAAGATATTACCTGTTAGTTGAAACACCTCCTCATGGCCTGAGCTTCTTCACAGAATGGTGGCTGTATTCATTTTCTATCACTGTTCAAGAAATTACCATAAATGTAGTGGCTTAAAATAATTCAAATTTATTATCTTACAGTTCTATAGGCCAAAAGTCTGATACAAGTCTCACTGGGCTAAAATCCAGTTGTCACCAGGCTGTGTTCGTTTCTGAATGAAGGCTCTAGGGGAGAATCTGCTTCATTTTCCAGTTTGTGGAGGCTGCCCACATTCCTTGGCTCATGGCCTGCTTCCTACCTCTTCAAAGCCAGCAACACTGCGTCGCTCTGTGCCTTCTTTCCACGATCACATCTCCTTCTGACTCTCTGCTCCCTCTTCCACTTTTAAGGACCTTTGTGATTATATTGGGCCACTCACATAATTAAAAATAATTTTCTCATTTCAAGGTCCTTAATTTTATTACATCTGTCAAGTCCCTTTAGCCTAGTAAGGTAATATATTCACAGGTTCCAGGGACTAGGACACAGACATCTTTGGAGAGCCATGACTCTGCCTTCCATAGTGGCTGAGTTGCAAGGATGAGTATCCTGAGACAGAGAGCCTAGCAGGTTCTGTATTACCTTTTCTGACCTAGCCCTTCTACGTGTGACCATGCAATATCACTTCCACCACAGTGCTATTTGTCATGGCATTCATAGTGCCCACAAGGTTTCAAGTGGGGGAAGAATAGACTCCAACTATTGATGAGAGAGTGTAAGGTTCTGGAGGAGTATGTGGCAACAGAAATATGTTCTGGCCATTTTCACAATATGCAACCTTCTGCACAGTGTAATGAATGAAAACATTGGCTCTGGTGTCCAACTTTCTGTGTTAAAATCCTGGCTCTTAGTGGTAATAGCAGTGTACCCTTAAGAGAATCAATCTTTCCAGTCTCAAGTTTTTTCATCTGTAATATGAAGATAGCAGTAATACTATCCCAAAGGGTAAGTCATAGGGATTAAATGACAATATGCAGAATACTGTAGAGAATGTAGAATTCTACTATGTAAAATACTTAGCCTGGTGTCCGGCTCACAGTAAGTCCTCAATAAATGTTGCTAGCAACCAGCTGTATGAATTTAGGCAAGTTACTCAATCTCTCTGAAACTCAGTTTCTTCACATATAAAATAGTGATGAGAGTACTTATTTAACAGGATTGTTGCAAAGATTAAATGGTAGATAATAAGCATTCAATAAATACTACATGGATATAATCATAATTATACACATATATATTTAGAATTATATGTAACTCTAAGTATACTTATAATAATAAACATGATGGATTTTTCCTAATCACTATCCCAAGAAAGCAACATCATACTACAAAATTTAAAAAGAATTAAACCATGAGACCATACGTGTGAAACTATTAAGAACCTCAAAATTATTTGTTAAATCTAAGTTTTTAATGACGTTTTTCAAATATGTACTGCAATAAAGATTATCAACCAAATAGTATTTTGAACATTATAGCAGTATAAATATGTACACTGATTGATCATAAACCAATGACGTTGGGATCTGCTGGCTGTGGTTTAACAACAATATTGATAAAGAAATGGGGTCACAAAGATGAGGGAAAATGGTCACTATGAGGCTTGGATGATTGTTAAGCCAGTCCAGGCTGTAAAGGACTCAGAGAGCTATATCTGTCTAAACTCACTGAACCCAGCCAAGACTGCTTGGAGCAATGCCCTAATTACACTTTGATTAGAAAAGCACCACTCAGAAACAGACTCCAAATTAAGTCATTGTTGTTCTTTGGTAAGTTCTCTTAGTACTACTAGGTATGATCTGTATAAACCCATGAAATAAAAGATACACTGTTTTTTAAAATTTCTAAAATGCCTTGTCTTTCTTGTCTTACTGAAGCAGAAAGCTCTTTTTCAAAAATAAGATTGTATATGTTGGAGGAGAGCCAGAGTTGGCAGGTGCACACAGCTCCTCCAGGATGTTGCAGGATCAGGGCCCTGTGATGTCACCAGCAAATCCACTTCCCATCAGGGTCAGCTTCACAGGAATGACCAGTGCAGTTGCACGTGGCCACTGGCTCAGAAGGATCTGGGCTTGCCATTCTATGCTCTCTAGTCACAGTCTCGAAATTACTGATAATTTTATCTTTGAATTTGGATTTTGTAAATGAAGTCTGCTGGAACAATAGAGCATGGGTGACTGCAGAGGGATGGTGGCTTAGAGAGTCACTCATGTGAGTACTGCCACCTGTTGCCTCCCCTACTTTCCAGGGACAGGTTTTGGTAGCCATGTTGCCATCATCTGGAATTTGAACCCCACATTTTCCCCTTCCCACTCTGCCGCCACTGACACCTTCAACCAGGAGCAAGAGCAGGACAGCAGGGGGAGGCCAATATCCTGCCACTACCTGCCACCCCTGGCAGGTGCCTGGGGAGGACATGGGAAGGGGTGGGGTTGGGTGAGCCTGCACCCCATAGAACCTTGGAGTATTGCAGCAGCTCTCCTCACCCAGGATTAGCAACACCACAGAACATTTGATAAGCAACCTGGGGAGAGGCCTGTTACCTATTCCTGATCAAGGTCCCCAGTGTGTCCCCCCGTGGAGGTTGGACTCTCTCAGGACCTCCCGTCCATCGTGACTGGAGTGATGGGTGTGGAAGAGGGAGACTGACAAATTGGTCTGGCCGCTCAGGCGCCTGTGAGGCTCAGCAGGCTGTGTGTATTCACCTGCCTGAGGGATTGCAGTGTTAAAAAGTCAAAAAACTTCATGAGAGGTCAACAGGGAGACCTTGGAAGGAAAAAGTTTTATATTTTTTAAATTTTAATAATACTTTCTTCCTGCATTTTGAACAAAGGGCTCCCATTTTCATATTGCACTGGGTCCCGCAAAATATGCAGGCAGCTCTACTTTCAATAGATGGGTGAATTTTCTTAATTTCTTTTAACTATAAGCAGTGATGGAAGTGAATTCAGACACAGCGCTGGGACTTGCTATGCCTACTAGAGAGGAGCCAATTCCGCAGGTCTGAATGGCAACAATTCTTAAGGTGATCAAATATGGCTTCAATACTGAGCTCAACCCGCTCTCTTAAAATAGTCTTTAAATTGGCCGCTGGCCGGCAGTCTCCAATTAAACTCCCATTCTGATTCATTTCTGTGGTTTGCTCTTGGCACTTTTTTAACTGAAAGCAGACTTGTAATTGGTTAAAACTGCATAATGATTTTATGGATTTTTTTTAAAGTGCTCCTCACTTTTAGCTGTTTCTCTTTTTTCTCTTTTTAATGGCTTTTGTTTATTTGTCGCAACAGTGATAATGATATAGCTCATCTCACATGTAGGTGAAGTAGTTGAATCTTAGGGACCCCCTAAAGAATCCAGGATCTGCCCCCAAATATCCTGGTATCCCTCTCCTAATGGCTTGGTTTTATGTATTAAAGAGTTGTCCCTGGTAAGCATGAATAGACTCCTCCTTTAGACTTGAAAGGACAGAATGTAACATGAGTTGATTTTCCACAGGATTTTCAGATCACTCCCTAAGATCAAGCTGGATAATAGTGCAAATTTCCCCAAAAGGAATTTTGTCACAGGTGTGTTTTTTTTGTCCAATATTGGCTTTCCACAAGTCAATAAATATCATGGGGTTTTAAATAATATTCTTTCCACTCATGTTTTATGATCTTACAAAATCTGAGCAGGTTTTGCCTATTACAACATATGTATTCTTTTTCTTCTTCATTTCTTCACTATATTAGCCACATGCTTCAGAGAAGGAGTCACACATTTGAACTAAAAGTGCTGGCAACCTTTTTATTTAACCTCAGACTTTAATTTTAATGACCAATGGGTGGTAGTAATAAAGATGTTAACAAGTAGCTTGAAGAGGAGGAGAATAAAGCTGACAGGATTTGCTGGTAGCTTAAAGTTGAGGGGGAAGTGAACAAATGGACATCAGGAGGGCCCATAGGTGTGAGACCTAAGCATCTGAGTTGATGAGTGCCATGTTTACTCAACTGGAGAAAACTGGCAAAAGAACTGGTTTGGTGTAGGGGCAAACCAAGGATTCTGTCCTCAAGATGCCTTTTAACATCTCAGTGGAGATGTCAAGGATGCAGTTAGACACAAAAATTTGGACCAAAGTGGAAATGTCATAAACATACAGATGTGGGAGCTGAAACAGCGTGTAAGTTTTATGCAAGGTCATGAAAGCTAATGTGATTGCCAGGGGCCAGATTGCTCTAGCAAAGAACAGCAGGTTGGGGCCTATGAGGCAGCCCAATGTCTGCTGGTAAAACAGGAGCACAAGCAAAGGGAACTGTAGAGGAGTTCTCAGAGAAGGTGGAAGAGAACAGGGAGAGTATAGCGTAACCTCAGCCTACAGGAGACAGGGCTTCAAAGAGTGTCTGGTCAACTGTGTCTAATGGGAGAGGAGTCAAGAAAGCATGGGAAAGAACTGTGGGATTGACTTTAGAACAGTCACTGATGATCCTAAGGAGAGAAATTGTAGTGGAGTAGTAGAAAAAGATGCTTAATTTGAAAAGATGAGAAGAAAGAATACATACAACACTTTCAAAAAGTTTTGCTGGAAGGGAACAAAGATGTTGATGGTAATTGGAGTTGAACTCAAATTGCTTTAGTCCATTATAAAATGTTAGCTATTTAATAAATAAAGTTAGCTATTATGGACTGAATTGTGTCCCCCCAAATTTCATGTTGTAGCCCTAGCCCTCAATGTGACCATATTTGGAGATAGAACCTTTAAGGAGGTGACTAAGGTTAAATGAGGTCATAGGGTAAGGCTCAAATCCAATAAAACTAGTGTTCTTATAAGAAGAGGAAGAGGTACAAGATCTCTCTCTCTCTCTCTCTCTCTCAATGTGTACACAAAGGAAAGGCCGTGTGAGGACACGGGGAGAAGGAGAGAAGTTACAACTCAGAAATAAAAGCTTCAACAGAAGCCAATCTTGCTGACACCTTGATATTGGAATTCTAGCCTCTAGAACTGTGAGAAAATAATTGTCTCTTGGTTAAGCCACCCAGTCTCCAGTATCTGGTTATGGTAGCCTGAGCTGACTAATACACTAGCTTACATGGTATACTTACGAAGTATAGTTTAAAATTAAAGTATTTTTAATAGTTTCATATTGCTTAAATGCTTCTCACTTTTCTGTTGATCTCAACCTCAATTTAGTATTTTTTTTAACAGTTTCAACTGTATATTACCCTCCTTTCAACTGTATATTACCCTCCATTTCAGCAAATGCACCAATATAACATTATTTGTGCAGGCCAAAAATCTCAGAGCCACCCTTGATTACTCTCTTTCTTTTATGCAACACTTATGAAAAATTGCACTGGCTCTACCTTCAAAATATAATCTAACCACTTCGTTTTCCTTCACTTCCTTTTCCTGAGTTTTAGCTACCATCATCTGTCAGTTGAAAATCCCTCCTAACAAATCCCCATATTCCACGCTAGCTCTTCTGCAGTGCCTTTCTGACATATCCCAAGTAACACATCTAAAATATGAACCAAGTCTTATCTTACTTCTTACCTTACCTTCAACATGCAAATTGTTTTCCTTCTCACAGAATTAAGTCCAAAGTTATTGGGGCCACGAGGCCATCATGATATGGATCTTGGCTACTTCTCTGTATCACTTAACTATTTTTTATATAACAAACAGTCTGAAAACTCAATGGCTCCACACATTATTTATTATTATTTTGTGCCCGGAACTTGGCTAGGAGTTGACTGATCCAGGCTGGACTCAGGTAGGATTGCTTGGCTGGGTGGCTCTGCTCCTTCAGGGACCAGAAGGCCAGCCTGAGCTATTCTTCTGAGAGCAATGGGAGATATGCAAGAGAGAGAGCAGAAACAGGCAGAGCTTCTGAAGATTTAGACTCAGTGCTGGCATATCGCCATTTTCACCTTGTTCTATTGACCAAAGCTAGTCACAATGCAAAGTCAAGTATAGGAAAATATCCTAATCCCCTTTAGAGGAAGGAGCTACAACATCACATGGCAAAGACTGTGCATCAGGGAAGAGTAAATTATTATGACCAGTAATATAGTCCACCACGTACTTGAATCCAGTTTCCTAATTTCGTCCTCTTGCTCACTTGACTTCAAGATGCACACTTGTCAATCAAGCTGCCATCTCAGGGCCTCTGAACTTGTGCTTTCTTCTACTTGGGACACTTTTTCCCTGGATTATCACATAGCTCTTTTATGTTACTCTGGCCTCTATTAAAATGTCATATCCTCAAAGATTCCTATGGCCGGGGTCAGCAAACTATGGCCCATAGACCAGCTCTTGCCTACTGCCTATTTTTGTAAATAAAGTTTCATTAGAATATCGCCACATCTATTCTATTTACTTATTATCTATGACTCCTTTTGCATTATAATGGCAGAGTTGAGTATTTGTGTCAGAAACTGCTGAAAGACTTTAAATATTTACTACCTGGTCCTTTCCAGAAAATGTTGCCTACACATGCTGTATCCGATTATCATGCTTTATTTTTCTTCTCATGTTTATCAGTTTCTGACATTACATATTTGTTTATCTGTTTATGATTGAACTTCTTCTCTATACTATAAGCTTCTCTAGGGAAGGGTTTTGTCATACTTACTGCTGTATTGCTAGTCCTAAAAATGTACCAGGTACTCAGAATTGTGTTCATATCTCCTTTAAGTCTTTGTATAAATATCACTTTCCCAGTAAGGCTTCTCCTGAAAACCCTGTCATTTCCAAGCCCTCTTCCCCTGCCCAACATATTTTCTTTACTTTATGGACCTTATTGCCTTCTTATGGACCTTATTGCCTTCTTCCGTACTACCTTTCTTAACAATTTTATTGCGTATTGTCTGACTCCTTTTATGACAATGTAAACTTCACAGGAACAGAAATCTCTATCCGAAATGTTTACGTGGTATAGTGCCTGACAGAGAAGTGCTCAAGACATATTTGTTAAATGATTGATCAAATAGGAACCACTTTTTAGGAATCAAATTTAAATCTTTAAAAATTAGAGAATAAACTAAATGATAGGAGTTAATATTAATATCATTCCTCAGTGTTTAAGGGATCCTTGAGAAAAATCTCTAAATGAGACTCAAGTCCTGCAGCAGCACTCCCATCTAATGAGGTTTCTTTGTCACAGAACAGATGAGCCTAACAGCATACAGACCAGGCATGTCAAGGTTGTTATGATCTTTTCTAAAAGGCACGCTGCCCATCAACATCAAGGGTGAATGGAAAACATCAGCAAGTGTCCCGCTTAAAGCCCCTCTGTTTAGATATTCTGCTTACTAGCATCCTTCAATATGCATATTTCAGTAAAGAGGGAGAAACTTACTTTTATATTCCAAGTAAGGTAAAAGGAAATTCATTGAATTTCACCTTGGATCTAAAATTTGCCTCTAGGGGAATAATAACAGAAAGCGGGGGAGGTCAGAACTCTTCCTTCGCCTCACTAGGATGTTAGATGAATCATGAGAGTAGCTTTTCTGTCTCCTCTGCTGTCTCACGCCCCGCTCTCAGAGTGAGCAATGCCAACTGTGGAGTGAGGACCATTTGGAAAAATAAAGATTACTGTCTTTAGGAGGTTGGAGGCAGTTCAGGTAATAACCAGACATACCCAGATGAGTTGGGGTGAAGGGCTGGTTCTCATTCATGTGTGGAGGCTGCAGTGGAGCACTTCTAAGGGGCAGGAGCATCCTGCCTGTCATCTGGATGCCCTGTGGATTCTGCCCATTCCTTGAAGGTGAGAAGAGGACATATAAAGCCTCATGTCACACAGCCTAGTTAAATAAATAGCTATTGGGTGGGAATTCGTTGACAGTAGTTTTATCATGACATGCTAAATGCTGCCAGTGCCCTGCTATATCTCCTTGCCCCTAACACCCTGAGGTGCAGCAACCCAACTTCCAAATGCCAGCACCTGCTCTTTTTTGCCTGAAGGTTTTCTCTTGCTTCTGGAGCCTGCTTGACCACCTGCACAGACCAGAAATGCAGGGGGATTAACAATTCCTGGGAGCAGCCCTTAACCAATGACTGACAGAAGCTGGTGCATAAATACCCCAGCTCTCTCACTTGCCCAGTGGATTAACTCTTCCATGGACTCCCAGAGTTTTCCCAGTGATATCAAGCAGCAGTCCCCTGCGGTGTTGACTGGTTTGATAAAGTGATATTTGCTGTCTTCACTTTCATGTCTTATTCCCCCCATACCCACCTGCACTGGTGTTTTCTTTCACCTCCCAAATAAACTACTTGCACTCAAATTATCATGTCAAGGTTTGCTTCTGGGGAAACCCAAACTAAGATACAGGTCTATCCAATTCATACTTATTTTTAGTTTCCTATCTTAACTCATATGTGTGTGATGATCTTATTTTTGTTTCAAATATTAGGGAAAATATGTTCAGCTTGAAAAGTCATATTCTCCTCTTTAAGAGTAGATTGAAAGCTTTGGGAACATTTGGTGTTAATCCTTTTAGTAACTTTTTAATGCTTAGTTATAAATGCATATATCATTGTAAGCTGAAAGAATAAACAATATCTATAGGTATGTTAATTTTTAAATTTTTAATATAATAAAATATTTTAAAATCTGATGGCTCTTCTATAAAATCCAAGCCCTTAATTTTATGTTAAGCAGTATAAAGTTTGTGAAGTGACTTATCTAAGATCTCATTGCTAATTGCTTTTACAGCTGAAACCACAATTAAATTCAGATATTTCTTAAAAGTTCATATGAATTGATGTCTAGTCAAGTGCCCTATATCCATCCTGTCTTCCAGGCTTTTCCAGTTGTACCTGCTTTAACTATTTTTTTTTAATGTTTAAGTATTTCTGGATGGTTCTGGAAAGGGAACTTTGTCTTTATTTCTTTGGCCTTTTCCTCCCTTGTAAGTGGGAGAGGGACAGCTTCATAACATGATTTCTTGGGATTTCTAAGCTTACCTGAATAACCAGGGTTATTCCTTTCAGGCAAGAGAAAATGTTCTTACCTTCTCTCTCTGCTAATTTCTGCCACCACCAGCTGCAGAAACAGCCATCGTATTGTAGCAGAAGTAATGATCTGCCTCTTGGAACTCAAGAGAGACCCCTCTTGCCACCCTAGAGACATGCATATGGCTGGTGTGCTTGTATATTTTAGCTCTGTCCCTGCACCAGACCCAGTGTATGCACCTCTCCAGAGACATTCATGCCTACCTCTCCCAGAGGCCTGGACCCTGTGACAGCCCTTACCCATAAGAGTGGGTATGCCCTTTCCTTCAATCAGAAAGCTATGCAGCTGCTGTATGGCCTCATCTTGTAACACTCCAGGTTGCCTCTGCCTCCTGCAGGGGCCAGGGTTGGGCTTCATTCAGCAAAGTTTCATCACCATCATGTCTGTCTCATCAGGAGCCCCAGAAGCTGACCTAACCAAGCTCAGAGAGGTTCTGGCTTCCCAGGGGGCTGGCTGCTTAACACAGTCCAGACATGCCATCATCATAGATTTTGAATTAAAAATAGATTTTCAGTTGACACCATTTTGAACAAAACATATAGCATTGGTATTTTGCCCATTTTAGAGACCGGGCATCAAAATAGAGAAAGCTTAATAACATTCCTAGAATTACTTATTGTATCATCAATGGATTTGAAAAAAATTACTTAGCCTCTTGATTTCATCTAACCTTGAGTTTTTCACTCTCCTGTGCCTGTTTTTGTTTGCTTTTCCCCCACTTTATCTGTAGAGAGATGCATAATGGTTAATTTCCTCCTAAAGAATAATTCATCTAGGGCAGTGGATGCTGCATACATCTGCGAGGCTCTTAAGTATCTCATGCATTATGTGGCCCAAATGGCTACATTAGAAAAAAAATTCCAATTAGTGGAATTTAAATATGGAATTTCTTTGAATAGCACTTCTCCTTTCATATGTTACAACATCCTGATCAATGGCACCAAAAAGCAAAAGGTTTCTCTTATTGCTATATATTTTTATTTCCCTCCAAATATCAATGCCACATCAACTGTTAATCTGAAAAACCTCATTTAATGTCAGCTTGCTCACAGTTATGAAAATTCAGGTAATGTATTCCTGTTACTAATTGTATTTGAGAAAGTGTTATTAATTTCATATATCAAGTTCGTAGTGGCCATCTGTTCCCTCCGAACTGCTGCGTCTCCCTCCATCTGCCCTGTTTTTCTTCTGCTAATCGGGTGGCAAGGGCTCAGATGATCGGGAAGTTTCTCCCTGACTTTTGATTTGTCACTCATCATCAAGCCAGCTGTGCATTTGTAACAGACTCCTCCAACGGGTGGTGGTGAATTTAAATCTGTCTGGTTTTCTTTCTTTTTTTTTTTTTAATAAAACTTTTTTGTCAAAAAATGTTTAAAGGAAGCCAGATTGTATTTTCTACACTGTAAAATGTGCTTTGCTGCCACTAATTTGGCTGCATCTGCACTCTCATGAATATAGATGAAGGTACATGGCCAGGATATTATTAGGGACTGCAGCGAGCAGGGAAGAATTTTAAATGCGGCAAGATACCATGGTTTAGATTTCTGAGAACATTAGGACAAACTAACGTGAAACTGCTGACATTTGCTAGCTTTAAGTTCAAGATGAGCTTTTGAATCTTAACCACAAAGATTCTTCTTTGGATAGTTTTGCTTGTGTGAGGTTGGGCAGGGGAAAGAGGTTATGAGAAGGATTCTGGGAGAGTGTTATTAAGTGGAAAATGTTTTCAAATCAAATCTCTTCACCTTTTCTCCCATAAATCATGAAGCCAATGTACAAGTGATGTGTCTGAGTTTACATCTCATAATTGAGCAAGAAGGGCACAACAGTAGCTAACATCAGGATTTTCCAAGCAACTTGGACTCACCCTGCCGGACTGGATATTAAGGTTACAGATTTAGAGACTTGAAGATGAGCCTAAGATGGTAATTAATTATTGTTTGTAATTGTTTACTATATATTTTAGTGCTAATAACAGGTTATAACTAGTAAATATTTACTAAAATGTCATTCATCTTTTCTGATACACATTTCTCCAAAGTCCAATAGACAATTGCACTACTCATATGTTTATGAGGATTTAAAAAGTTTTATTTTGCCTTCAAAATGATTCCATATAATTTGATATAAGAAAATATTCAACCCATAATCAATATACTTTTATGGAGTGTCCACTTTTAGGAACAGACAGAAACTTAAAATAATAGAACAATATCTGTCCTCAAGAAACTTACAATCTAGTTACTATACAACGTGATAAGGTACTCAATAAAGTTGCCAATGTCGCTGCTAATAAACAGCGAAACAAAGAGTGCCAGATAAAAACACGTACAAATCTTCGTAAGAAGAATCATTTTGATTTGCATTAGCTCTAAAACAAAGATTTCTGATTTCTACTACATATCTAATTAGTATTTTTTAACATTAAAAAAGTAAAATTTAATCTTAAGTTTTTTTTCCCTTATAATCACAGTACTTCAGTAACAAGAAGAATTGTCATCCTTGCTTTAGAGGAAAAAGAAAAAAAACTCTTCAACATGGTATGGTTTTAAAAACCTGGGAATCTGCATTTCAAAGTGCGGAGTCTATACTTTATTACCTGTTAAGGGATGAAGTGTGTCCTCTAAAAAATATGTTGACGTCCTGACCCTTGGCATCTAGGAATATGACCTTATTTGAAAATAAATTTGGGTCTTTGTGGATGTAATTAGGTTCAGATGAGGCCAGACTGGATTAGGTGGGCCCTAATCCAATTGAACTGCTGTCCTTATAAGGAAAGGAGAAGAGACACAGGGAGGAGACATGCAGGGAGAACGCCTTGGTACAACGGAGCCAGAGGCTGGCTGATGAACTTACAAGCCAAGGAACACGCAGGATTGCCAGCAACCACAAGAAGCTAGGGTAGGAAGAGGAAGAGGATCCTTCCCTAGAGCCTTGGGAGAAATACTGGCCCTGCTGACGCCTTGATTTCAGACCTCCAGACTCCAGAATTGAGAAAATCATTTCTGTTGTTAAGCCACTAAGTTTGTGGGAATTTGTTACTGCAGCCCTAGGAGACTAATACAGTACCATGATGCAATTTAAGAAATAGAAACAAGAAGTTTGACCACTTCCTTTTTTATAATTTCTAAAATTTACATTTAATTATAACAGAGAGAGCCAAAAGACCTCATGCTTCTTAGTGTCATGAAGGAGAGCATCCACTGACATTTTAAAGTTTTTGAAACAGTTTTCTTTCTTAAAGGTATCATCGGCAAAGCAAAATAATTGTGTGACTGTCGAGTATTTTTAAATTGCTAGAGTTAGTGATGTTAGAAAAATGACAGAAGAAATACCAGATCTAAATTATTTCAAAGTACAATGAGAATTTAATATTTTGCATCAGCATAACTGCTTTAACCATCTCTCGTTGGGAAAATTACGTCCCTGTTTTTTCCCCTAGGGATTTTATCCTTTTCCTAGGGATGCTTCTACCAAACTAGAATCAAGTTCCAATTCAATTGTCCACTTTGACTTTTGATATCATTTATTCATTTATGAAAACCCACTTTGTATATCTACTTCTCAACTAAAAAACAAACAAACAAAAATTCTGAGATACCACCATGTGACATCCTCAAGAGAATTTTGAGGGTTTCCAGACCTGTCTAGATCTTTAAGAATAAAAAATTTTAAACATAACCTAAGCATCCTCTTTGTCTCTTGCTGGTGCCTGTTCCCCAGGTCTTTCTTGCTATGCCCAGCAATACATTCCCCAGAGATAATGTGATGGCCATTTCCCTTCATCATCATTTAGGTCTCAGTGATGTTTCCCGACTCCTTTAGATTAGTTTTCGATTGATGTCAGTACTTGGTAGTTCTAAAAAAATGTAATCTTTGAATTGTCCTAAATGTTGTCCTTTCTATACAACCTTGCAAATCAAAGTGGGATCTGGGGACCAGCAGTATCAGTATTAACCGGGAGCTTGTGAAAAATATAGGCTCTCAGGCCTCTGAATCAGAAGAAAACATTTTCAATAGGCTGTCCATGTGATTTGAAAGTACTTTGAAGTTTGGGAAGCAGAGCTGTATAACACATTGTTTTTCCCTGCAAATTTCCAAAGCAACATCTTATCATACTATTATGTTCTGGGTCACAGAATGACTCTCTTTGGGACAGCCTGTTTCTATTTTGATAACAGTATCCCTCTTTTCTCTTTATGTAAATCAAAATCCTTTAACATTTATGGAATTTGTATGTGAAGAAAAGGATAAAAAAAGGCCCCAGAGCATAGGTATTACCCCACAGTATTACCATTGATGCTTCCCTTCTGCACCATGTTCATTTACACCAAGACCTTGGAATATCATCAATGATATTAATAGAATATACATTAACAACACAGAAGGGAAGACCAGGCCCATTGAAGTGATAGTTCTGTTTCCTTTGCCTAGGTAGATAATGAAGTAGATTCACTTTTCCCATGACACTGGGCTGCCTGATATTTTGCTGTGTTACATGACGTGCTTCAGCATGACTAATACAGCCCAGCTGGTCTCAACAGCAGGAAAATGTGTCGTGGGGGGAGGGGTGATATGGCGAGGAAGTTACGCCTGCGCAGGCAGAGGAGGATCTGTTGTGTCTATGAGTGGATTGGGGGTGGGGTAGGAAGAAAGAATGAATGAAAGGGGGAAAACGAGAAAATCCCAGGAGTTCTGGAGACTTGAAATTTTTCAAGCTGTCATTTACCTTTGCAAAGTTGTGGTTGGTGACTGTGTTTACAGGCTTGGATCTGTAAACAGCACATGTGCAAACCGTTAGCTATTGTTTTGAAAATGACAGTATGGCCAATAATTTCAATTTCAGTGTTTAAGCGTGAACCAGATGACGCTATGTTTTATTTAAAACTGGGCATGTATCATGAAGGGTGGAAACTTGTACCTCTCAAACACTTTTATATTGTGTAGTGTGCCATATGTTGCCTGCTTTCAGGTTTTTAAAGTGATTGCCTACTGCCTCAAGGTAGCTTGTCTCAAGATTATAATCCAAATCTTGCTTGAGGGCAGAAATGAACCCATTAATTTAACAGTACACTAATGGGATTGGTATAAAGGTGTTAATTCTATTCAATATTCCTTAAGGATTAGGTTGAATGATAGTTTGGTTAAATAAAAAAAAGGGGGGGTGGAAAATCAGTATAAAATGTATGGGGCCACATAAAAGATTTGACCGATGTGTTTTAAAATTGTCTAAAAAATAAATTTAAAAAACCAAACTCGTTAGCTACATGAAATCATTTCTAACTTAAAACTCTTTTTAAAGTCTTAAATTACAAAGTACATCTTCCTTATTTTACAACTTTGGATGGAAACCAGTTTCTTTTTCCCTATTTATTCTCAATAAAGACAAGAATGAACGCTAACATTTGCTCTGACTTATCCTGGGTATATATTCAAGAAAGTTGCTGCATGCATATTCTAGTTGAATATTTAATTTCAATGAGATTTGGTCTGGTCATTGAATAAAAGATCCCTGCCCTCTTGAATTGCTTTTAAAAATTTGTATCTTATGTCTGGCTGAAGGGAGAGGTACCTAGCTCTGAAATTATACCCACCAGCTAAATGCAATTAGCTTGTGTGATCCTTGACCCTTGTGGAATGGGAGACTTTGTTCTGTGTGGTGAAGATGTGGGCAGCAGGGAGAGAGAGGCACGAGTGGGTGAAGGCTGTCCATGCTTTGATAAAGGTCATACAAATTTCTGTGTCTTCCTTAGAGGAATGTTGCTCTGATCTTTGGAACTCCAAGGCCTAAACTCATCTAATTCTTTATCCTGTGCTGGCCCTGGAGGCATTTTACTTCTAAGAATCCAATTCTATCTCCCTCAGAGGAGGCACACGTTAGCTCCCTCATCATTTTCCACCTCACTAAGTAGTCATCCAAAATACCATTACTGCTTAATTCATTTAATACTAGTATCCATGTTCAACTAATATCTTCCTTTAAAAAAAATTGGCAGTTGTTTATAACAGGATTTCTTGTCAGGTAATATCTAGCTAGATTTGTTTTAGAATCCCTTTTTTTGTTAGCGTAAAAAACAAAACCCAGCCAGGGCAGAAGATTAGGTTTCCCTCTAGGCAGGGTTCAGACAGTTTCTTCTTTGTGTTTGGCTCTCTTCTTTTGTAAGATGTGATCGGCAGCCTGTATTTGGAGGCCTGGGAGGGAAGAGATTAAGTTCTCCTCAGCTGGCTGTCCGAGGGTGTGGCTTTTTAACATTTTGGCTAACAGATGGTGACAAACCAACAGGTGCACCCAGATCACTGCACCAAGCTTTTTACATCTGCTGGGCACACAAACAGTGTGCTTGCTGCAGCTCCCCCGCGCCAGCTGGGGCCTTGGCTGCTACGAAGCCTGGCCGCAACAAGGTGCAGAGAGATGGAGGCTGGCGACCTTCAACTATTAACCTACTGATATGATGTGCTTTAGAGGATAAGCAGGGCAAGAATGCTTTGATCTGAATATTATGCAGTGAAAAAAGAGACAAAGGGGCACGGAACCTGAAGTGAAGTGAGGAAGTGGCAGGCTTTTCAGGACTTGACAGCTTCTCTCATCAAGGCCAGAGATTTTCACTTTAAGCAAAGACCTTGGCCTGCATTTACTGCTGTCTGGGAAAGTTGTTTGATGGGCTGAAAATGGTCGGATGAAAAGAGCCTAGAGAATCCTTGAGACAAATCCCTTTGCCACAGTAACAACTAACCTTCAGCAGGCATTGGCTGTGTGCAGTGCTCTGCCTGAATTATCTCATCGCATTCTTACCAGTTTATAGGGCGGGCACTGTTATCAGTAAAGAAATCAAGTCACCTAGAGGCTAAGCGATTTACAACTGGAAGAGAGCAGAGGCAGTGCTTACTGATTCAACATTATTTAAACACATGTTTATTGAAAGTCTACTATGTGCCAGGCACAGGCCTATGTGCCAGTTCTTTAAACCAAGTAGGCCCGACTCCAGAGCATCTGCGTTGAACAGCTATGTGCAGTCAGGGATTAACTCACTTTAGACCTCTATCTACTCGAAGGTAGAGAAGGAAAAATGTGCTTGAGGTCACTAGAAGTTGCAACTTCACCTATTAACTCCATCTCAAAAGGGTTGGGTTGTTTAAAAATTTTGTGTATTTTTTTTTTTTTTTTTGCTATGATTACCAAGTTTCTTATGTCACATAAAAGAAGGTCATGCCCCATACCGTTTTACTAATCCTGACCATTAACCCTATTTAAAGCCAGGGATTTTGAGACTTAAGAATTATTTCTCCTACACTGTTATTTTTACAGTTGAAGAAAATTAGTCACAGAACTGTCTCCTGGGGTTCTACAGCTCTGTGGTATCAAACAGGGACTGGAACTCCAATTTTCTCATTTTTCTACCCTCAATTCAAATCTATTTTTTCCAAACTAGATTGCCTCATTTCCATTTCCATGTGTTTCATGCTCATCTCTGTAAAGGATTCAGGAACATAGTTGTAACAGGCTGGCTGCCACTCCAGCCCCAGCTGTCAGTGTACAACCTTATGCCTGCCAAGTGGGGAGCAAACACAGTAGGGCCACGTTTAACCTACCTTCTAGGGGAAGGAGTTACTAAGCTGGGTAACCTAACAGATCTGAACTAAAGAGGAAGGTGAACAGATAAAACAGGGTGAATTAACATGAGAGGAAGAAGAATGACTTATGGGGGTAGTCCAGGAACCTAGGGGTTACTTATTTTATTTTATTTATTTTATTTTATATTATTTTGTGAAGAGAGGGTTTCACTGTGTTGCCCAGGCTGGAGTTTGTGGTGCAATCACGGCTCACTGCAGTCCAGACCTCCCCAGTTCAAGCCACCCTCTCACTTCAGCCTCCCAAGTAGCTGGGACAACAGGCGCATGCCACCATGCCAGGCTAATTTTTTATTTTTATTTTTGTATGGGATCTCACCATGTTGCCCAGACTGGTCCCAAACTCCTAGCCTCAAGCAATCCTCTCACAATGGCCTCCCAAAGTGCTGGAATTATAGGCATGAGCCACTGCACCAAGCAGGTTACTTATTTTTTAAAAAGACTATATCCTGTGCCTGAGTGGGAGCAAGAAGCCAGACAGGACCAGGGTCAAAGTCCTTGATCTTAAAAGCACCACAAGCTCCTAAAATAACTCCAGCCATAGCAGGAAGAATACTAAGAACCATTTATATACACCCACCTTGATCATAATTTGCTGAAGGATTGGGGAAGACTTAAGCCAGTGAACAGGGATGTAAGCCATGATGCTTTGAGGATGTGGGGAGAACATTAAGAACAGCAGAGGAAGAATATCAGAGGCTGGTGGCCACTGTGATTACAGCTCCTTCACAGTCAGACCCTGCAGCAAACAACTTCAGAGATGCGAATCAGTAGCATGAGTTTGGGGCTCTTACCTGTTGTGTTCTCTATTTAATCCCATAAAACTTGGCAGCAAATAGAGGCGTAATATATGTGTACAATGAATAATAGGCTGTTTCAGTAAGAAATGTGTATCTTGCAAAACCGGGCATTTAATTCCTACAGAATTTTCAACAGTGGCCAGAGTGGCAAGTTAGTTAAAATGTAAAACAGCTGATATCTGCTGTTCAGAAATCATTGGAAGTGTGGCTCTTCATAGTCAAACCAATGCTAGCAAAAATCAGGTTCTTTAAATAAGATTTTATTCTTCCTGAAGATTCTATTCTTTATTTAGGAAGATTTTATTCTTTGGTTGAATTTTTGCTGCTTTCCTTTGAAAAGATTAAGGAGTTGGAGATATTATTCAAACAATCTGTAAAGTAATTTTTGATTGAGGTGAAGAAGGAAAACTTAGTTTGGACCTTACGTGTTGAACTTTCTGGTTGTTTCTTTGCATAGCGCAGATACTAGTAAACACACACTTGTGATTTCATCATCCCTCTGTATAAAAATGCACACATTGTCAAAAGTGATTAGTCCATTCAGAGACCACACTTGATGTTTATCTGTCTTATTGCTGGCCTCCTGGGGACGTAGATGTCCAAGGTGGACACACAGCCTTCCCAGAGAATCTCACCCAGTCTCAGAGCTCTAAGTGTGTAGGATGGTTTGGTGCTTGCTTGTTGACTGCTGATTTTAACAGCCCGGTGGGTTTTTCAAGTGTAGTGGAACGGAAAACTCAGTTGCTCTTGATGCAAACTAAATAGTTATCTTTCAAACTGTGAGTCCCTCTCTTCTCTGTGGGCATATTTAAAATTAGGAAGAACACAGCAGCCACTTGTCTTAGTGAATGCAGTGACTTGCCTTGGGCCACACAAGAGCAGCCAGGCACATTGCCAGCTCTGACAGCAATGGCGGGTTCTGGGGTGTAGACTCAGGGAGCCTCATTTCGAGTGTTAGATGGATCTTTGAGCAGGGCACGTCAGCATAAACTGTAAAAAGATCCCCACAACAGTATTAACCCCACAGCGAAGATTAGCTGAGAATGTTTTCGATCTTCACAGTCATAATCTGCTCCTCAGGTGAACAGTGAGCACCAAATGCCAGGACACTGTGAGAACAGGTGTACTAACCTCTGCCTGGGACTTGGGGAGGGGAAGTAATGAGCTAAGAATGGCCAAATCATAAGGTCCTAGGTAAGAAAGCTCTTAAACAAGTGTGCCTGGACTTATGAAGCTTGAAAATGCCCTCTTTGGCATGCTGCCTACAATATAGTGTCACATAAAACAGCACTTCATAAAGTGTGTTTCACGGAACATGGTCCCTCAAGATGCTCCATGCTAAAGTCATGTGCCATACTCTGCGCCAGCACAGGAGTACGTGAAAGACTCAGAAACATCCTTTAGTAAAACACTCTTCTGCGCACACAACTTCTGTATCTGGCCAAAAAGCTATTTTCATGCAATTACCTTTTCACGTCTTTCAGTTATTTCAGTTGTACACGCTTTAGGAAACACTGATCTAAACAACAATTCAAATGTAGCTAACATCTTACAGAAACCAAAATGCGGTGTTTCTGAGACTTCAAATGGTATATTTAAATCAAGGTTCTGGCCTCTTCTGGAGCAGTAGAATTTAATATCCCCCCTTCCTATTCCACTATTCTTCAAATCCGAGGCATTGTTGTCACTGATGCCAGTTTGGATCTAATACTTAAACATAAATCTGTTGGGTTTCTTCTTATGTATTTCACTAAGATACGATTGCAGTAAAATACTGTCACTGAAGCGCTTGAATTTCTGTTCCCTGACCTTAAGGTAAAGTGGAGATCCACCCAGCAAAGTGAGGTGGTCTACTTGTATAAGAACTGAGAGTAAGACATTAAAGATCCTTCCTACTTAAGAAAGTATAACTTGACCTAACTTATTAGTACTGCTAGAGCCTCAGTAAGCACAAGAAGCTACAGAGGTAAAAGCGCTGATCCTAGTAGGAGATCTTTTCTACCAGCATCTCTTTTATTGCTATTCTGCAAGCCAGATGCTAGGCTTCATATGGCCCACCTGCAGGGCCGGATTCCTGGGCAGCCACCTTAGCAGTCCCCCAGGGCCCCACACTTAGAAGGACTCCAGGCTTACTTTAAGGCTCTGCTGTTGCCCTGTTGAAATTTTTAATGATTTTTAAACAATGGCCCCACATTTTTATTTTGTACAGGGCCCTGCAAATTATATCACTGATTCTGACCACCTGGGGGAAGGTGAGCCTCTCTTCTGGCATCATTTTTCAGAAGGTTTACTCTCTTGACTGGCACAGCATATCAACTGCAGTTGTCACTTGCATTTATCGGTTTGAATACCTTTCGGTAGTAAAATCTGAAGCTACTTGAAGATGTCACTATGTGCTCATGAAAATATGGAATTTAAAGTCAGAGATAAATGGACTGAAGCCACAGCATACACATTTACTGAGGGTTGGATCTGAGCACTGTTACCTAGCTTCTCTGGGCTTCAGCTGTGAGGCTCCTGCTCTGCACAGGAGTTTGTAGACACAGCCAGGGGACCAAGTGGAGCTGAACTAAACCCCTTGCTGCTCTTGCTAAGCCATCTGTCCTGGCACATGCATTTGTAATTTATACAAAGGTGCTACATAAGCAGTTGATGGTCCTGCACAGCTTTCTCATTTTTGAAAATGGGAAGCGTGCTTGCTGTCTCACAAAGACTGAGATAACGTATGAAGTATTTGGTATAGGATTAACCTAATACCTGTTAAATTTCCTAAAGGTAAGTGTTTATATTCAGAACTTTGAAAAGACAATGAACATGTTAGCCTATAACCTAAACTCATAGTATAATATTAATTAAATAGTTAAGCATATTTATTTCTGATTATACTTGTTCACTCAAGAACAACATACGTGCATCACAAGTAATAATGTCGCTGAAGTGTTTTCTGATGCTAAATTCCAATTTCTCTTGACTAACAAACTTGCGGAAAACCCTTGGTCATTATTTTTTTTGTATTGTTCTTTTTGTATTGTATTTTTTGTTCTTGTTCTGCACTAAAGGCTTTTTCATACTTCTTGCTGGGATCAGCTTGCATCAGAATGGTTGTTTCTGTCATAAAGCTTCTATGATAATTTCAGTGACTACTCAATTCTCTCCTCTATAGTCATCTAAAATCTAGTTTTCAAGTAGCTTTTGTTCAATGTAGAATTCTGGTAACAGTATAAACTCCTAAAAGCCAGGCAGTCCTAGGTTTTAATTTCAGTTTTTATTAGTTTCCAGGGATGCTATAACAAATTGCCACCTTTTAACTGGGTGACTTAAAACAACAGAAATATGTTCTTTCACAGTTCTGGAGGTCAGAAGTCCAAAATCAAGGTACCAACAGTTTGGTTCCTTCTGGAGAGTTTGAGGGGGAATCTGGCCCACACCTCTCTTCCCAGCTTCTGATGGCTGCCAGCTAGGCTTGGCATTCCTTGGCTTGTAGATGCATCCCTCCAACCTCTGCCTCCATCTTCACATCACCTCTCTATAACTGTGTCTAAATTCTTCTGCCTTTCACTTATAAACATACCTGTCATTAGATTTAGGTGTTACCCTAAATCCACGATGATCTCATTTTGGGATGTTTAACTTAATTACATCTGCAAAAAGACCTTTTTTTTTTTTTTTCAAACAAAGTCGTGTTCACAGGTTTTATGGGTCAGACACTGACATACTTTCGTAGGGCCAGTATTCAACCTGTTACATGGTCCCAGTGGCTTTGGATTGTCACTGAAATTGAAAACTGAATTCATATAAGCCCAAACAATGAAAGGTATTTGTCCCCTATTGTAACTGTAAGGTAGGGTGAACATCAGCACTGAATGATTCAACAACTCAAAAATATCGTAAGAGATCTGGATGTTTTATTTCTAGAGACTTTTAGGTTCAGGGAGTGCATGTGCAGGTTTGTTACATGCGTAAATTGCATGTTGCTGAGATTTGGTGTATGAATTGATCCCGTCACCAAGATAGTGAGCATAGTACCGGATAGGGTTTTCAACACACACCTCCTTCCTAACCTTCTGCCACAAAGAGTCCCCAGTGTCTATGGTTTCCATCTTTGTGTCCATGTGCATTCAATGTTTAGCTCCCACTTATAAGTGACAACATGCAGGATTGTGTTTTCTGTTCCTGTGTTAGTTTGCTAAGGATAATGGCCTCCAACTGCATTCATGTTGCGGCAAAGGACACAATTTCATTCCTTTTTATGTCTGTGTACTATTTCATGGTGTATATATACCACATTTTCTTTATCTACTCCACTGTTGATGGGCATCTAGATTGATTCCATGTCTTTGCTATTGTGAACATACAAGTAGATGTGTGTTTTTGGTAGAATTATTTCTTTTCCTTTGGGTATATATCTATCTATATCTATATCTATATCTATATCTATCTATCTATCGTCTATCTATCTATCTATCTATCTATCTATCTATCTATCTATCTCCAGTAGTGGGATTGCTGGGTTAAATGGTAGTTTTAAGTTCTTTGAGGAATCCCCTCACTGCTTTCTATAGAGCCTGAACTATTTATTTTATACTTTCACCAGCAGTGTGTATAAGTGTTCCCTTTTCTCTACAACCTTGCCAACATCTATTGTTTCTTGACTTTTTAAGAGTAGTCATTGGCTGGGTGCGGTGGCTCATGCCTGTAATCCCAGCACTTTGGGAGGCCGAGGTGGGCAAATCATGAGGTCAGGAGATTGAGACCATCCTGGCTAACACAGTGAAACCCTGTCTCTACTGAAAATATTAAAAAAAAAAAAATTAGCCAGGCATGGTGGCAGGCGCCTGTAGTCCCAGCTACTCGGGAGGCTGAGGCAGGAGAATGGTGTGAACCCAGGAGGCAGAGGTTGCAGTGAGCCAAGATCATGCCACTGCATTCCAGCCTGGGCGACAGAGCAAGACTCTGTCTCAAAAAAAAAAAAAAAAAAGAGTAGTCATTTTGACTGGCATGAGATGGTATCTTATTATAGTTTTGATTTGCATTTCTTTAATGAGTAGTAATGATATCTATTTTTTCATATATTCATTGGCCTCATGCATGTCTTCTTTTGTGAAATGTCTATTCATATCCATTGCCCATTTTTTAATGGGGTTATTTGTTTTTGGTTTGTTGAGTTATTGAAGTTCTTTATGGACTTGATATTATACCTTAGTAGGAGGTATAGTTTGTGAATATTTTCTCTAATCTGTAGGTTGTCTGTTTCCTGTTTATAGTTTCTTTTGCTGTGCAGAAGCTCTTTAGTTTAATTAGGTCCCACTTGTCTATTTTGGTTTTTGTTGCAATTGTTTCTGGGGAGTTGGTCGTAAATTATTTTCCAAGGTTGATGTTCAGAATGATTTTTCCTAGGTTTTCTTCTAGAGTTTTTATAATGTAGGTCTTACACTTAAGTGTTTAATTCATCTTGAGTTAATTTTTGTATATGGTGAAAGGAAGGGGTCCAGTTTCAGGCTTCTGTATATGGCTAGCCAGTTTTCCCAGCGCCATTTATTAAGCAGAGAGTCCTTTCCCAATTGCTTGTTATTGTTGACTCTGTCAAAGACCAGTGGATTGTAGGTGTGCAGCTTTATTTCTGGGTTCCCTATCCTGTTCCATTTGTCTATGTATCTGTTTTTGTACCAATACCATGATTTTTTGGTTACTATAGCCTTGTGGTATAGTTTGAAGTCAGGCAGTATAATGCCTCTGGCTTTGTTATTTTTGTTTAGGATTGCTTTGGCAATTCAGGCTCTTTTTTGGGTTCCATATGAATTTGTTGAGGCTTGTTTTATGGCCGAGCATGTGGTTGATCTTAGAGTATGTGCCATGTGCAGATGAGAAGACTGTATATTCTGCCGTTGTTGGGTGGAGTGTTCTGTAGATGTCTGCTACGTCAAGTTTGTCAATTGTCTAGTTTAAGTCCAGAATATCTTTGTTAGATTTCTGTCTTGATGATCTGTATAACACTGAAATATCTGAATTTAAAAAAATTATATCTGCTCTATCTTCCTTGGAGTTAGCATCATGCACAAGTGATCTTGCTGTCTTGATGCCAAGAAAATGGCTGGAGAAGTTCTAGGCTTTATCTGTAATTTGTATCACATGCCAGTGAATTTCTAGTTGCTCTCTGAAATGAGTAAGAAACCACATGCAATCTTCCCTTATATCTAAACCACTATAATTGAATTTTGTGCCCATTTCTGAACTAGTCTCATTAGACCATTCCACATGCAGTCTGTCTTTCGCCTGAGTTACCAAAACTGGTCCATTGTGAGAAGGAAAGGATGGCAGCTTTGCAACTGATGATGTGAATCATCATTGCTGAATACTAATGCAATATTTTTGTTTCTGAAGTTAAAGTTAGTATAGTGGTATGTTAATCTCCAGTAATGTTCAGCAACTCTGCTAGGTACTTGGGTTTCACCAAGGTTGAAATTTAGCCTGATAGAAAAGAGAGAGAGAGTCAAGGGAGTTAACAGTGTTTTAATGGAGATGATTGTGTAATGGGCCATGGCCTTTCAGCTGAGTAAGGAGGAAAGTGATAACATGATAGACTGAGGACTGTGAAGAAATAGTAGTTTTTTGTTAATTGAAAGTCTCAGTGGGGTCAAAGGACTATTTGAGAGTAAGTGGACTTAAAGGTGGGTGCAAACGGTAGGATACTGGCCCATTGGGAGTTCAGTACTGGTGCAATTACTGTGATGACCAGGTCAAGTGGCTGTGGAGGGGTGCAGAAAAAGACCCTTGGATGTGAGCAGGTCATGAAGTGGTGGGTCATCCAGATGCTGGCTGCTCATTCCACTGGGGATCCCTGTAGCAAAGTGTAGGCAGGTGGTGACCTGGTGGAAGTGCAGCCTAACCTGAAGCACCAGAATTGAGATGGCTTCCTCCCTCCCTCTCCTTCCAGTGGTGAAGTGCACAGAAGCAGAAAAGTCCAGTTCACTAGGGGTGTGGCCAAAAAGAGCAAGTGCCTTTCCCTGTGTCCATTCCAAGTACATTCAGCTGGACCATAGCATAATATCTGAGATAATTAGATCCTGATGTTGTAAGAACTCCAGAGTGTAATTTCTCCCCCCTGGATACTGATGGTTGACGGATGACTGATTAGAGAGTTAAAAATAAGAGATAATATGATTGACAACTCGTAAATACCAGGGATTATTGGAAGCACTGAAATCTCCTTGGTGAATCTTGCATATTTTATTTCTGGTGGAGAAGGGAGTCGGGAGAGAGGAGGAGATGAGAAAGACGGAGACAGAGCGGGAGGGAGACACCCAGAGAAAATGAAGACAACATTTCCATCTGGGGTTTGTGCTTTTCTGAGTGCCGACTCCTTTTGATAGATTATTAGAAAACTCATATTTGCTCATAAATGTGAAAAAATAGCAAATGTAAAATTTGCAAATTTATTCCTAAATGTAGTTAAATTCATAAATATTTAGACATTTTCTGTAAAGCTTCTAATTTATAACCTTTACATGAATCTATAATTTGGTATAAAAGCTTCTAAATGCAGTAGTAATGTCACAAATGTCTATAAATATTCACATCTCATTTGCAAATATTCTACAAACCATGGAATGAAGAAATTGTGAGTGCAAACCATTTTTCAGGTGGATTTCTGTATAGGTAAATTAGTACAATGCACAAAAAAACCATCTAGAAATGATTTTGAGACCATGATTTTAGTTTATTGCTGTATAATCTTAAAAAATTATTAAGAATACCTAGAAAAAGTATAGTTGTATTAGGAATGAATAAACAGATTCAAATATAAAAATTAAAAATTAAGATCTATGAAAAATTCGAATAAGGTTTTCAAAGAAACTAGGCAGTACTAAGTAGAATGTTCAGTTTTTGAATGAATACTTATGAGGCTCAGTGTTTTACTCTGTAAAATGGTAATAATACAATCTTCATAAAGTTTTTTTTAATAACCAGGACTATGCAAGTAACAAACAACAAACACTCATCTGAAAAGTGCTTAAGGAAACAGAAACAAAAATTCAGTGACTGACATGAAAATGTCAGTGGCTGACAAACTTCAAGTCTGTCTTGATGCATGGGCTGAAATTGGGATTCAACCCCTCTCTCTCTCTCTCACACACACACACACACACACACACACACACACACACACACAGTCTCACTTTTGCTTACCTTCTCACAGTCAAGCTTTCTGTCCTCATCTCCTGACTCTGCTTTTCTTAGTATTGGCTTCTTTTCTGGTGATCTCTCGTGGCTCCTGACCTTTCCAGGGTCATGTCACCCCTACACATAGTGACCCCAGAAGAAGGAGAGTGTCTCTTCCCCAATTATTCCACCAAAGCTCTCCTGATAAATTATTACAAGATTGCCTTGGATCATTTGCCTTTTCCTCAACCAATCACCTTGCCCAGAAGAATGGAATGGAGAGAACTGGTTCTGTTACAATGCTGTCACCAGGAAAAGAGGAGGACGGATGCTAAACAGGCAAAAGTCAAAGCTGTTCTTTACATGTGCTCAGTGGATAAAATGAATCAGTGTATGGAAGGCCATAATAAGCTCCCAGTTATTTTCATCATTCCATCCACTACTTACTATTGTTAAACATCGCCTTTTCCACTTACTGTTGTTACTGCATTTTCCACTGTTGAGAAAGGTAAGGAAAGGAATTAAAATAGGAAATAGAGAAGTCTAGAATAGGTGTTCCTGCTCAGAACTGTGATGGAGAGTCTCAGGAACAAGGTTCTCCCTTTGATTCTGCTAATGTCAACTACCGTGGTCATGCGTAACCTTCCCTATCAACACAAATCCATGGGCCCCTACCGAGTCCCTGATGCCAGGAAGTCAAGGAGAAATTCTCATCCATTTGTTGGAAATGATCTATACAGAACCATAGAGCAAAAACTCTGTCTCTGGTAGTTTGTCTTTGTCTATTTTAAATCCTCCTTTATGGAGTCAAGTTTCCTATTTCTTGGGTTTGGTGAATGTTGTCACTACTATGTGGCAGGGAAGATTGATGCTTCATGTTACTAACTGCAGAAAATTGAGGAAATATTTCTATATCCTGTTCAAAATGTGCTCAGCTGCATACTTAAACCGTTTAGCCCAATCTTTTCAGGCTTACGTGCTTTTCCTTTGATGCTCTCTAATAATATATACTTATGTTTATTTATTGGATAAACTAATACCATAATTGCTTTCTAGTTTTTTTCTAAACATAATTTTCAAACTTTTTCCAAACTTTAAGGAGGTTCTTCTACTGCTAATACTCCAGGTAATGAATGCTCTGTCCACCAAATCCACATTTGCCATTTTATTACCTGTTAAATATCTCTACTTCACCTTTAGCTTTCCACAATGAAATACCATAATTTTACAGTCTATCCCCTTAAGAAAGCCTCTATTCCCTTTAATCATTTTAGTTGTCCTTCCCTGCATTGTCTCTGCTGCTGGTCCATTTTTATTAAAATGTGATGAGAAGAGTGCATGCTGTAATGCAGATTTGTAAAAATAGATGCTTGTGGCTTTGTACAAAGTATAGATAAAATTTGATTTGTGTTTGGATTCTCTTTAATAAGAGAATTATTGTCTCTGTGTGTGTGTGTGTGTGTGTGTGTGTGTGTGTGTGTGTGTGTGTTATATGCCTTTCTTGGTGATTAAGATTGCTTTTGTTACTGGAGTTATTTGCCCAAAGTCATATCATAGGTTTAACCGTTGACCCTCAAACCCAAATAATCTTCAGTCTCCTAAACTCAACTGCTATTTCTATTGTATCTTCTTGCTTTCTCTTTATGAAGATAAATTAACCTCTTTCTTAGTGTTTCCACTATTTTTTCTGAAAATAGGGTTTGCACCTACCTCATAGAGTTATGTGAAAAAATCTTGTACAGCATACAAAGAACATTGACCACTTCACTGGCTCATGGACAGCTCTCAGTAGACATCTACTAACATTATATTTGTGACCATTATTACCATCATTGAGCTGGAGGTTAAGCACCCTCTTATGAAATCAGTATCTGACTGGGACATTTACTCTTTGCTTGAGTGATTCGCCCTTAGATTATAACCATAGAAATTGGAAGATTTCAAAGGGTGAAGTGTCTGCATATAAAAATAATAAGGAGTTTTTTGTAGACATTGATTTGGCTGAAAAAGTGGCACATAATAAAAACAAAGAGTTGGACTTTACTGATCTCAAAAGAGTAGGTAATTCAAAGAACAGAAATATGAAAGCAACCAGTTGAGATCAGTTGAAAAGTTGGCAAAGACTATAAATCTTGGTCCTGCCTTCAGGTTTTCAGTTTCCTCCATAATATAAAAATTGTCCTTTAGTCATGGTGTAGTCTTTCTTGGAATCCTTATTTTAATTCTGTAACATTTATATTCCAGGAGTAACAGCAAATCTGCTGATTACTTATGAAAGCAAGGGAAAAAACATTTGCAATTACAGTCAAAATTAAAGTTATTTTCTAATCTTCTCATCTTTTTTAAGGAATGAGAAACTTTAAATATGGTCAACGTAGCACATTTTAAGTGTCAAACTTACTGAATTTTTCTATGCCGATTGAATAATAATCTTCTATAAAACAGTAAGCATTCTAGAGATTTTAAAAAATCATTTGACCTGTTTAATATGAGTTGAAAAATTCCTCCTGTGTAAGTACCATTGCATAATGCTGTATGCTGAGCTATTAAGATATATTTAGTAATTCCATTAGAACTGCACCATTGAGCAGGGCAGAGCATATGGAAAGAAGTTGGTGAAAAACTGATTAAACATTTATATCAAGTACATTTTGATTTAACTCACATAAATAATTCATTTTTATGTTTTCTTTCTTTCAAAATAAACCTTTTTGACACCTGCTGTGCTAAAAATAATGCTAGCATGGCTGTAATAAAGAAAGACTTAAAGCGCACAGCAATGACATCATCTGGTACCCAGGCAGATACTAAATTATCAGCACATAAGTGTAGAAAAGTAAGACTTGGCGTTATTTATTATTTATTTAGTACCTCAAAAATATGCCATTCTTGGTGACAAGTAAAGCACCTAGCTGAGTTTGAATATAGAGTTTGTCTCAAGAAAGGCTAAAAATTAAAGGACTCACGAAGACATACCGGAAAATGTATGAGAGAGCCATAACCATACCTGACACCATTCTTTCCCTTAAGCAGGTGATCTAAGCTAAGAGCTAAGAGTTACGTAGCTAAAGCAAAGTCCCTGAGAGATGTTAGAGGTCCTTTACAGTGCAAAGGGGGAGATGCAGGCAACTACATAGGGTCACAGCATCATTCTAGGGCAGTAATTTCCAAAGTAGGAGATAAACACCGCTGGAAGTACAAGGGATGGTTAGGTAGTCCAGAAGCGTAGTATTGAATAGCATTGAATCACATCACCAAACAATTATTTTCCTTAATTTTTTTGAAATCTTTTTGAGTAAGTCTAGGAGAAAGTCTCAAAGTAGAGCTCCTCTGACCCTAACACTCTTATAACACTCTTCGAGCTCCTTCTTTTTTCTTATTTTTAAACAGAGACAAGGCCTAATGCCCAGAGTTGTGTTTTTTTTTTTTTTTTTTTTTCCGCAATGGCATAGTGGCTAATATCACCTAACTAAAATTTGTTAACATTTCTTTATTCTAATTTATCTACTCAGGGCAAATGTTAGTTTTCCACAAGCAGCATGATATGAAAACTTCTTTAAAAACATTTTGGCAAAAACATGATTCTATTTAATGAAAATTGTTACGTAAACAAGAGTTGACCACAGAGACAGCCTGAAAAGGGGCTATGTTTAGGCAAAATTAACAATATTTGAAAATCCAGCTCCCAACAGCTGGCTGGTACTGGCTGGTTTTATCAAAGGGAAAACTTTAGGGTGAGTGTGAGAGGCATTCCTGTGTTTTTGCACTATGAAATACACAGTGGATGGCAATGAATAACCCAGCAGATTCCCTTTAAGCCAATCCTTCCCACATGGGCCAAAAAGGTGTAACTGATTGTACAATTGCTTATTGGTGAGATTCCGTTAAAGAAAACTTATTTATTTTAGAGGAAAATACGTAAAAGCACCACAACGGATATTGAGAAAGAATACCACCTATTTGGCACTTGCAAACTTAGATAGCATCTGCTTGACCAAATATTTGTATGAGCTAATTTTGTTGTAAGAGATTCACTTAAGAGAATGATTTTATTTCATAATGCGCTCTTTCAAATTCTCAAAAATAAAATTATGTATAGTCATGATCATGTCTATTAGAATGCACTATTGGCACACGTTCTCTTGATTACATTAGTTCAGCTTGAAAGGGGAATGCCAGGATCAGGCTTACAAAAGCATTGCAGATATTTCCCTCTCTGCTGCTGGATGCAGATTTAGCAAGAATGGTTATCAGAGAAAATATATAAAAGTATTAGGTTTTGAGCAGTACTAGACTTTAAAAATAAAATCAGGTTACTTTTTTTAATTTAAAATAACCATTCTCCATGATTAAAAAGTTAATGCTTTTCATTTTTAAAACTTTTTAACTGTAAAAGAGTTGAAGAAGAAAAAATAATCAAACTCTCAAACAAAAATTAAACTATAATCCCATTACTCAGTGACAAACGCTGTTAATATTTTTCTGTGCATTTAAAGATGGAGCTGCCTTCCTATCTTCCCTGTAGGACTTTTAACAGTCTGTTTAAAAACTTCCTGCTTCAATTAATATTCTTCTTCAGCAGTAGTTTGTGAATTGTGAGCTGTGATTAGACTGTGGGTATAGGAAACATTTGAGTTATCTGGACCATTTAATGGCAGTTTAACTTCCATATTATTTCCTTATTATTATTTCACATAAGATATACAGTATAGAAACTGAGAAAACATTTTCCTCATTTATGGTTTTCATGGTCTCATAGTTCCTGTAATTCAACCAATTCTCTATTTTTAAAATTGCAATTGTTTTCATTTTTTACTATTACAGATAAAAACTTCAACAAATATCTCATCTACAAATATTTAGAAAAATAAATACTACATTGAGATATAAATTCTGAGCAAAGAACATGAACACATTAAAGTTAATTTGCTCAGAAATGAAATATCAATTTTCTCTCCCGTCAGTAGTCTATGAGAGTTGTGTTTATTGCAACTTTGTCTTTAGTGAGCATTATTTTGCTGTCAAGTCTTTCAGTTAAATTAGAAATGTTCTATTTATTTAAAATGTTCAAATGTGAATAAGAACATTCAGCAAATAAAGAGCTTAATAATATTCATTAATTAATGCTCATTCTTGAATGGGATCTGGAGAGAAAAATTACAATGATGTAGAAGTCATGCTTTTCTAATTAGTACCCCTATTCCATTATGTATGGTTGTTTATATAATGCCTTTTTCTTCTAGAATATAAAGTAAAAGTTCAGGGTGGCATTCCATTCTCTGATACATATATACCAAATGTAAAAAACAATAACAAAGAAACAGGTATTCTGCATCAGCCATCAAGACACTGTCTGCAAATCTTTACTCAAGTTAATGGGTGTTTATATAATGGAATCATTCTGTCTTCATTAGTGGCCAGAATTAATCACCCCTCCACAAATAATACTTCTTTAGTACTTGTATCTACATGGTAATATTGATGACATCCTGGTCTGCAGTATAGCTTTTTGTGTACCTGTCTTTTCTCTCTTTCTAAATCCTAATTTATCTGTTAATCCTCCACAGTGGTTAATGAAAAAAAAAAAAAAAACTTGACTTAGGTTTCAATAAACTCATTTATTTAATAAGTATTTACTGACCACCTACTAAGTGCCAGAATGATGATAGTCACATTATAGTCACTGCAACAAGTAAGAGGAATGCAGTTCCTGTCATTGTTGTTTTTCAGTATTGTGGAGTAGTCAAATATTAATTCGCTATATAAATATATATAGAATTCCAATTGACTTACATGCTATAAAGGTACTGAAAGCAATGAGAGAGTATAAGAGGGCAGGCATGATGGTGGCAGTGGCAATTGTGGTTGTGAAAAGCCAGAGGGAGGGGAGGGTGTATGGAGACTGTTATGGAATTAGAAGAATGCAGCGATATTGAAAAAAAGAAAAGTAATCAATTTTGCTACTGTGTCTCTAATATGACCAGTCAAATAAATATGTACATTGAAACAAAATTATTGATGAGGTTGAGTCATCTGATTTGCTTTTTATTAATAGCATTCAACCTGTATATAGATTTTAGCTGTAAAGTATTTTTTATGTATCAAGTACTTTTCTGCACCTGCACGTGCAAACACACACACACACATGCACACACACAAATTAGTTACTCTTCAAAGTGCTACTATACTAGGATGACTCTGTTTTTACAGGAATAGGAATTTCATTCCCAGTAGTTTTCTCTGGATTCTGAGATCTTATCGGATTCTCAACTGCATTCTCCTGATGAGGATATGAGATTGGTGGCTAATCAAATGTCCCATTTTCTTGGGATTCCACAATACCATTCTCAAGCAGATTTGACTCTTTGACTGCGTAGGGAACTGTTAAGCAGTCGACCCTTCCACTGAATTCCTTTTAGGCTTTATTGTCACTCCGTGGTGGCTTCAGAACAAAATGAAATTCTAAACTATGCTAGAATGGACTGGTATCTTCCTAGCTCCTTTTCCCTCATTGACGCAATGACTAGCATGAACTAGAAAGAAACAAAAATTGCATTGAACAAATTTCACCATACTGTTTTGATTCCAAACAACTTCTCCTTCAATGCTCTAATATTGCCCTTTGAACATCTCGACATCATCCTGTGGTATGTGCTCCGTCTTTGCTTTAGGCAAAAACTCTGTCTTAAATTTAACTGATGGAATGAGATGGTGGTGATTTGAGATAGCATCATAATTCTGACTTTTGAGTGGGATGATATTCATATTTTTTCTGTTATATTTTAGGCTATCACTAGGTGTTTTTTTCTTCACAAAGCAAAACATGTTTTTATTAACATAATATACAGAATATGCTTTTGCCCTGAGTCCGTCTGCATGTTTATTTTATTATAAGAACTGTTTCCTTAGTGAAACATGAAGGAGAGAACCGCTAAATTGGGATATTAGCTTTTATGAGGTTCATTAAATGACTGTGAGTAGAGAATCAGGAGAGAGAAAATTTGGCAGACTTCTTACTACAGAGACTAAAGTTGCTGTCCAGCTCAACAGAGAAAGTTTTGTGAATTAATTTTGTTTTGAGCAATATATTGGTCACTGGCTGGACAATCTTACTTTTCCTTCGCCATAAATGTGTGTAAAACAATGTATTTACACATCAGTGCATCAACACATGCATTGCAGAAAAAAACACTAGCAATTTATTAGATATCACCACAGACAAAAATCTACTGCTAGCAGGTAGCAGACATTTATGGGTTAATCTCTACTCTCTGTCCAAAAATTGTCTGCATACTAATATATTACAACAGTCAAAGAATTACATCCCCAAACCTCAACCTTTTATGAAAAGTGCTTCATTTCAAGCTTTCAGGGTTTTTTTACATATATTGTAAACTGATTATAATTAGTTTCAACTATGAGTAATAAAAATATCAGTGGCTTAAATATTAGCAACGTTATTTTTCTATTTCAGTAACTTTAAACTATTCAGAGTATTTCCACATTCTTATTATTTCTTGATTCTTACAACAGTTCTGGGATGGAAACAGAGTAGATGGTAGAAAATGAATAAGCTGAGACTCGGAGGAGTTCAGTATTATTATAACTGCGGAAAATTTCACTAACCCAAAAGAAGAGTCCAGTCTTGAAGGCATTGGAAGCACAGTCCCTTTACTTGTTGGCTTTTCATGTCATTAGAAGACATGTGAGCCATCAACATGTAGACCTTTTCCTACCTGGTTAAGGCCCACACAAACCAGAGAGTGGAGTGAATACAACAGTTTACAACCCTTCGAAATTGCCAATAAAGACATTTCCAGTGAGCATTTGGCTAAACCTCATGCTGCCAATCTTGGCCAACAGTAATTTCAAAAGTTTTTCCCACTGTTGCTTATTGATATTGATACTACTGACAAATGTGAAAGAGCTTTATAAACAGCACTAAGTTTCTTACTACAAGTTCAATCTGTAGATGTAGGAAAGCAGAAAGAGAAAAAAGACTATGGACATTAGAGCCAGAAGGAATTAAAATTTAACCATGGCTTTGCCACTTCCTTGTTGCGTGACCTTGGTCAAGTGACTTAACCACTCTAGCCTTTGGTTTGTAGTGTGGTTATGCTCCTCTGATGAGATAATGTCTGTGAATCCACTCGTGCTTCATACTAGCTTTGTGCTTGGCAGTGTGAAGGCATTCTTTAAATAGAGTTATTATTCAAAGAAGGCCAAGCAAGAGTCTAACCAGTGCATCTCTTTTGCTGAACTTGAGTCTAGAAACAGATGGAAAGGGTTTAAAATAGTTAAGGGATTCCAGATGTAGCCAAAACCACAGGGTGGCAGAAGGTTGCCTGAAAGCCTAGATGCCAGAAGGAAAGCGAGGACCAGAAAAAAGGGAAACTACCACCTCTAAGCCCTGCTACTATTTGGTTCTCTCTTTTTTATATTTGAACTACTTAATAAACACTAATTAACCCTGTGCCCTGTGAGACAGACTTGCCTAGAGCACCATGCTCTTAAGAACTGTACACAGCTCCTGTAATTGACTCGATTATCCTCATTGCCTGGGACATCAGTAAAGCTTTCTTCCACCAACATCTTAGGGCCATAGGAAAAAAGCTTGCATGGATACACCTACATCTGACCTTGCGAAATGGAGGGTGTAGTGCAAGTGCCACAAATAACAGATACCATCTTTCTGGCACAAAAATTCCTGACTTAAATAAATAGAAGAGTGGTCAGCCAAAATTATTCTTTGAGCAGTATAAAAAAGCAAACAAGCAAAAGCTGTCAATTAAAACATCATAGCCATGTGCATATACTCATATGTGAAGGACGTGTTTGATCATGCATGAATCCATGTGCTTAAAACTGGAAGATTATATTGTACAGTCCCTTTACTCCCTCTCTAGCCAAATCAACTACAAAGGATCTTTTCAAGCTCAAACAGTGCAATATTAAAAATTTACCTCAAGTAAGCTGGGTGCAGTGGTGCGCACCTGCAGTCCCAGCTACTCAGGAGGCTGAGTGGGGAGAATCCATTGAGCCCAGGAGTTAGAAACTAGCCTGGGTAACACAGGATGACCCTGTCTCAAAACAAAAAAACAACACACACACACACACACACACACACAAACACACACACACACACCCTCTAGTGCTAAATCGCTTTTCCTAAGCACCTACTGTCTTTAGGGTCCTTTCGTATATGTCGGCTTTTAAAGGTTCTCTGTTTATTTTTTCATATTTATGTGCCTCAGGTAGATTATCTCCTTCTGAGGGCGGGAACTGGTAGTCTCTGATTTTATTCCTTCTTATTGCCTGGTCCAGGGGAAGGCACCCAGAGTATTGAGCCTTCTGACTGATTTTCTGCAGTTCTCTTTGCGTAGATCCTCTCCATCTGTGTGGTCATTTTTCCAGATTCTTTCTGCTCTGTTTATGACCACTCCTACTGCTTCTTCCATAACGTTCACTCTACCTTCTCTTCCATTTCTATTGTCCATTCATACTTGAAGGCCTAATTCTAGCACCAACTCCTTCATCACCTGTGACCTGATTAGCCTATACACTAAATCATTCCTTGCTTTGCATTCTGATTGTGCTGCCCATCATAACATTCAATTACTCCCAGGTGCTTTTATGATTTCTGGCTTTGTCTTTATAACTGAGTGTCTTAAGGGAAAAGACTTATGTCTGAATTTATTTTCATTGATCCATTCAGCAGGTAGATTTCTTTTGCTATCTCCAGTTGCCTAACCAGTTACGATAGAAACAGAGTAGACACTCAATAACTACTGGTTGTTTGTTTAGACCAACTATCATTTCCAGCATAGGTTAACCTCTAGTAAGTCCTTTCTTGGACTATATTAGGAAACTGATTCTAGTTTAAAGTTGTACTTGCTTTATAAATCTGTTCAAAATTTTTACCATGCATTTCTTGTTAAAATAAAACAGATTTTTTTTGGCCATTGAAAGGGGAGGAATAAAATATACATATATATGCACACGTATATATATACACAAACATATATATGAACAATAGATATGTATGTACAGTAGTCCCTCTTATCTGCAAGGGATATGCTCCCAGAACTCCAGTGGATGCCTGCAATCTTGGATAGTACCAAACCCTAAATATACTATTTTTTCTATTCATATATACCTATGATAAAGTTTAATTTAAAAATTAAGCACAGTATATTGTTAATAACAATAACTAATAATAAAATAGGAAAATTATACTGTAATTAAATTTATGTAAATATAGCCTTTCTCTCTCTTGAAATACCATAATATTTTTGAACCATGGCTGATGTGGGTAACTGAAATTGCAGAAGATAAAACCATGGATGAAGGGGGACTACTACATACATATATATTTATGAATGTATGTATATAAATACATAAATATTTACTCATTTTTGTTGTTGTTGCTGTTGTACATCTTTTATGTTTCTGTCCCAAGTGTTTAACATTTGTCCTCTGATCTATCCATTGTCCACCTAGCAGTCCCTTCTCCTACCCCTCTAGCCCTTGCCATGATTTTCTAGACCTACTGACTTCTTTGAATACCTAGAACTTGCCACGCCCTCTCTGATTTTTAGGTCTTTTTGCACACACTGTGGAATCTATAAGAATTCTCTCCCAATCCCGATCCTCCTCATCTTTTTTCTTCTATTTAGTTCTCATTTATCTTTCAGAATTCAACTTTAATTTCACTTTTTTTGGAAAGCCCATCCAGATGCCACAGCCTAAGGTGCTATAAACTCCTAGAACATGCCAATCTTCTCCAGTGGTAAGATGCCACCCTTTGTCAATGCCTGGATTCTGTGCTCAAGGAGCAAAGTCCTGGATCTGTTTTGTTCACCTCTAATACTTCCAGTGCCACCACAGCACCAGATACAAATGAGGTACATATTAACTCTCAGCAACTGAATGGATTGTCATAGGGGATCTACTAATCCATGAGGGCCATGAAGCCCGGCCTTTCTCAGCTAATCTGAAGAGTGGGTTCCTGTTTGTTCCCTAATTTATCTATGTAGTTCAGTTTACTGACTTTCATTTTGTTTTTTAAAGATGCTGAGCCTCTGAATATATATAATTAGATTAAGCATAATCCTTGTTTTATTTCAAATTGCTTAATTGAAGGAATTCTGGCAGGCTTTTTTTCTAGCACCACATTGTTCTTTTAGGATGGCAAGTTCTCTCTGAACATTTTCCAAGTGTGTGCCCATTTAAATATTTACCTGGACCTGTCGTTTGTTTTTGAGAAACTTTTTTGAAAATTAATTCTGAGTGCAAATTATGGCTATGTAATCCATTTGGACAAAAGCAAGCTGGTTGCCAGGTTACCATTTTAAATGGGTTCATAAAATAGTGCTTGGTAATATTACTTTAATCCGGTGTTTACTGTACCTGGCAACTGTCCTTGTCGTGTGCTTCAAAAGCATTTAGATAGGATGTGGTTACTAATAACCAAGGTACCACCACCGCTGGGTAAATAGAATTAGAGTGAGACCAAGATATTTTGCTGCTCATAACATGCATTTAAATACATGGGAGTCAAATTTGGCAAACTGGATGAAGGTCCTTTTATGTAGATGAAAGCTTTTCTTGCCCGGGATATTTTATTTATCAGAATCATGTAAGGGCACTTAACATTTGAGGAAATGCTGTCATATTTGGTTCTGCTTCTTACAACTTTCAGAAAAGAGGACAAGACACACGGTGAGAAAATCAGCATGGCACCCGGCTCGGCGTGCAGGTGGATGGACAGCCGTGCAGCACTTCTGCAGCTGTGCCTCTCTGGCAAGCATCTAGGGCTCCTCAGCTGTGCTCAGAACCCAAAAATAGATACTTTCCCTTCACTTCCTTTCCTGACTCACCTCAGATATAATGAGACTTTCCGCTTACAAAAAGTACAGCTTTATTTTTATGCTCACAAAATCACCTGATAACATTAGGATGCCAAGGATTAAATGCAGACAGCATGACTTTTTTCTCCAAAGGACCCCACAAACATGGCCTGGGTACCTACCCTGTGCCACATTCTTTTCGCCTCACTATTCTCACAGTCTCCTTTTTAAAGAAAGAGCTACCCTTCCTGACTCCTTTTGAAAAGAGCTGAAGTGTCTGTATACAAAAGTTCTTGCATAGGTTTTGGTGTGATAGAGCAGAACAATTTTTAGTATTTTGCTTACAGCAGAGTCAGGCAAGGTGTTCACCAATGGTTGGCCTTTTCCTCCTGGGCACACAGCTGAGCTACATGTCTAGCCTCCCTTAGGAGCAGCTTGGGGATTGGACTGTGGCCAAGGTAATGTGGGTAAAGGGGTGTGCACCCTTTCCAGGCCTGGCCAATAAAACCTGCTCAACCCTCTACACTCTGCCTGCTGCCTGTAGGGGTTGTGTGTGAGGTCTCCAAGGCTTTAAATGGAAGGATCTCAAGTAGAGTGCCCTCCTGGCTACCACTGAACCGTGCTATGAGAAGAAATCAACTTGTATTTTATAAAGCTGCTGAGATTTGGGGTACTTTGTTGGAGGAGTTAACCCAACCCGACAACTGTGTGCCCCTTAATCCTTATGACACTCACAAACTCATGAAATGGCTACTGTGAAACAAAGCAATAGTCAGCAGTGAATCTAACATGCCACCTGAATGTGAGGGTGGAATAATCCAGAGTAGGTGCACCTCTTTAGCCTGACTTCATCCTTTTAATACAGTGATGGTGGGAACCAGAAGTCCATGTGACCTGTCCCCTGCTCTATTTGCCAGATGCAGCATGGACCTCCTCAAAATGCTCCTGCAAACTTTTGTATCCTTTATAAACCACATATATGTTGATAATTTTGAGTTCTCATACCAAAGAGGCAACTGTATTCATGTCCTAGTCTTCCATCCTTCTATACAAGAACATTTTCTTTAATGCTTAAAGCAGCTAGATTTGACCTCAGGTTCTCAGGATCATCACAGGCTTTTGGAATCACAAAATGTGTTCACAAAAATTGTGTCTCACAGGTCCTGTTCAGCTTATACCTCTTTGCTTAAGCTGAAAAATATGTCCTTGAAGAAAACAAAATCAAGAGTAGATTTGGCAATGATTCAGTTAATCTGCTCATGATAGCCAGAGAAACCAGGTAATTCAAGCTGAAAAAGAAAATTCACTTAGATAAGGCATTTTCAGTTAGGACCATGCAGGAACATCTGCCTGCTTTTAGGCTACTGCGGTTTTGAAGAAGTGTTTTATTTTCTTGGGAAATACAAGTATAGAAGAAGTATCCAAGTACTTGAAATAACCTTTCCTCTCCCCAGATAACCTTGAGCTATCAAGTCCCAGCAAGGAGGCAGGCATTTCCCCTCTGAAAAGGGATGGTTTTAGTTTCTGGCAGTTATGCTTAAGAAGAAGGGGGGAAACTCCTTATTTTCCTTCCCAGCTAAACTATAGCCCTAAAAATAACTCAGCCACAGTAGAGTTAGTATCCTTTAGCACCTGCATTGGTGAATCTCCCAAGGCGTCTAAATTCAATTTATAAAAATTGGCTCTAAAGTTGTCAAAGGGCTGTGGGATAGGGAAAATGGGAGATTAGAATCCAAAAGGGGCTGTGCAGGAAACAGTGGAGATTTAAACTGCCTTCTCTGTGCACAGCTGCTCTGTTACTAATGCTTTTGCCCGGGAACATCTGCCTTGGGCCTCACTACATACCCAGGGTGCAGGCCGAGGGTTCAGTAGTGCAGACCGTGAAGTGGGATTATCCTTACGTGTGTTCTTTAACAGTGGTTGGTTCCAAATGGAACTGTTGGTGATCCAGAAACAAAGCGGTCTCCTTTTCAGGAAGCTGTAATAAGGGATTAAGAAACCATAGAGGCATATGAACGTTTTCCATGCGACTTAGAACTTGACCAGACTCAGCCCTTAATCAAAGTTAATCAACCCATCTGAGGCAGATCAGAGAGGCAATCCAAACTGGGATGAATGTTAATGCCGTGGGGGGCATCAGGGGCCTGACTGGTAATAGACAAGAGAGTCTATTCCTCCAAATGTGAGAGATGCTCCACTGTGCGTGGCCATATGTCTGCTGCAATCTGTGGCCTTATGGATGGAGAACTCTCCCGCCCCCAAAGCACTATGTTGAACATGGAACGAAATTGGCAGTGCCAAAGGGTAAAAGACATTTGCTGTGTTTCAAAGACAATCAAAATATTTTTAGTAACAAAAGGGTTGGTAAATAAATACACCATGGGTGTGGACTGCTTTCTATGCTATTTGATCAAAAATGAAGAGAGAGAGTTTTTAATTTTTTTAAAAATTGGTGACTGTAATATTAAGGTTTTATTTTCTTTTAAAGTGCAAGAATACTGACATATCCAAATATTTACCATTCTTTCCGAAATTGCCAGTGGGGAGCCTCTATACACACCCCAATAAAATGGCCATTTTTCAAATAATGTTTGAAATTTTTCCTCACAGAGTGCCTTCAGAAACTGGCTTATTTTTATTAAACACTCAAGTGTGGGTTGCCATGCTCTATGTATGTAACATGGATTTTATTTTTTTCTAACTAGCCAAAAGTTTTAAACCGATGGGGCATAATTAAAGTTTGTAATCAAAGAGTTGGATTTGGGAGTAAAGGGACTTACTTAACTTTAAAAGTAACTAAATTTGGCAGGGGTTGGGAGGCACTAACTTACAAAGTAGCTCTAAAAACAGTGACCTATAGGAAATTCTTTACAAAATGGTAAAATGGTAGAATAGGTGGCTAGCTTCCAAAGATGGCTTAACAAGCAAATATTTATTTGGGTGTTTGCATAATGGCACGATTATTTAATAGGTCAGCTTGTCAGAGTTTAAAGCGGGCTTTTAACATGCACTTTCAGTAATGAAGGATAGGGTGAGCTTGACAGCCTCCTGCTGAGGACCACTAGCAAAGCAGAAAAAATATTTTTAAACAAATTACTTGAAGACATCGGAAGGGCAATAAGGCATGGAAAGATTACTGGGTCAAGATTGAAAAAGACAGATATTCAGAAAGATAAATGTTGCATTTGGGGCCACTTCTTCCTAGCGGTATCTGCCCATTTCTGAATAGGTGGCTAAGTAGCCAAGAAGATTGCAAACAATGCTCCCAATAGTCTTGTGGAGATTGGAGGACAAAAACGAAAATAGAGGCGCTGCTGGTAGTGCTGGTATAACACCAGTGCTTTGGCTTAAAATTTCAAAGGTCTGTAGGAGTAAAGACTATAGGAGAAGAATAAACCAGAAGTATACAGCATCTCAAAAGAAATGAAGCCCAGATTTAAATAATCTAAATCTTTGAAAATAGAGTGAGATAAGAGTGTATTGCTAGTGTGCAGAGCTGCCAATGAAAAGTCATCAAAAGTTATCTCTAGAGGAAGACAATGTCAGTATTGGACTAATCTTATCTCCATAATTTTTCATATACAATGTTCAGCACTCAATCAAAGTAATCAGATGCATAAGCAGACAAGAAAGCATAAGGAGGTAAACAGACTACAGAAACACACATTCAAAACGACAAATGAAGACTTTAGAATAGTTACGTTCAATATATTTAAGGAGAAAACACATATTATTGAGAAGTTCACCAGAGATCTTGAATTATAGAAAAAAATGAACTATACAGAAATTACCTCAGTGGAGGTAACAGCACATTAGACACAATTGAAGAACAAATAAGCAAACCAACAGATGGATCAGAAGAAACTATCCAAACTAATGGTGAGTAAAAAGAATGTAAATTAAAGAAGAGAGGGTAAAAACATAGAGGACACTTTAAGAAGGTCTAATAGCGATGAAACCAGAGCCCCAGAAATAATGATGTGAGAAAATGAGGTATAAGTGACCAATGATAAAATGATAATTGCTGAGAATTTTCCACAACTGAAAAAAGCCATCAAGACACATATTCAAGAAGTATCATGAACCCCAAGAAAGATTTTTTAAAAAATTGTATCTAAATAAACTGCTAAAATCCAACAGGGAAAAAAAGAATATCTTAAAACCAGAAAGGACATGAAGAAAATATAAAAGGAAAAATAATTAGACTGACAACTATCTTCTGCAAAGAAAAAATAGAAACCAGAAGAAAAGACAGTAACATTTTTAAATACAAGAAAGCGAATAACTGTCAACTTAGAATTTAATACTCAGGGACAATATCCTTCAAGAATGAAAGTTAGGCTGGGTGCGGTGGCTCACGCCTCTAATCCCAGCACTTTGGGAGGCAGAGGCGGGTGGATTGCTTGAGGTCAGGAGATCAAGACCAGCCTCATCAACATGGTGAAACCCCGTCTGTACTAAAAATACAAAATTTAGCTGGGCATGGTGGCAGGTGCCTGCAATCCCAGCTACTCTGAAGGCTGAGGCAGGAGAAGCACTTGAACTGGGGAGGCAGAAGTTGTAGTGAGCTGAGATAGTGCTACTGCACTCCTATCCAGCCAGTGCAAGAGAGTGAGACTCCATCGAAAAAAAGAAAGAAAGAAAGAAAGAAAGAAAGAAAGAAAGAAAGAAAGAAAGAAAGAAAGAAAGAGAACAAGAAAGGAAGGAAGGAAGGAAGGAAGGAAGAAAGAAAGAAAGAAAGAAAGAAAAAGAAAGAAAGGAAGGAAGGAAGGAAGGAAAGGAAAAAAATTTTAAAATGAAACAAATTGAGAAAATTCATCACTAGCAGACCTAAACTAAAAGAAACACCAAAAGATATTTTTTAGGCAGAAGGAAAGATATCCCAGATGGAAAGTTGTAGATTCAAGAGGAATTAAACAAAAACACCACCATCAACAACATAAAATAAACATGTGGGGAAATCTAAATTAATGCTAAATTTAATAAACAATATTAATAACATCTTCTAGAAGTTACAATATACAAAGAATTTATATACACGAGAAGTCAATGGTGTTCAAGTGTTCCAGGGTCCTTAGGTCAAAGGTAAAATTAGTAATTTATATAATGATTTGAAGAAATTTAGGAGTATACATGTGGCAATCTCTAGAATAAACAGAAAAGGAATAGGAAAAGCTAATAGGGTTAGAGTATAATTGAAAAATTAAAAAAATAGCGAATAATTCCAAAAGAAAATGGGGAAGAAAAGAAAAAGTACATAGAAAATGCAGGACATAAAAAGCAGATGATCAACTTAAACCAAAATATAGTAGGGATTACATTAGTGTAAATGGGATAAGCCATATTGTAAAGGAAATTCTAGCTAGTTAAATGTGCCAAGAAAATAAATAAACCCCATTTGACCCAGCCATCCCATTACTGGGTATATACCCAAAGGACTATAAATCATGCTGCTATAAAGACACATGCACACGTATGTTTATTGTGGCATTATTCACAATAGCAAAGACTTGGAACCAACCCAAATGTCCAACAATGATAGACTGGATTAAGAAAATGTGGCACATATACACCATGGAATACTATGCAGCCATAAAAAATGATGAGTTCATGTCCTTTGTAGGGACATGGATGAAATTGGAAATCATCATTCTCAGTAAACTATCACAAGAACAAAAAACCAAACACCGCATATTCTCACTCATAGGTGGGAATTGAACAATGAGATCACATGGACACAGGAAGGGGAATATCACACTCTGGGGACTGTTGTGGGATGGGGGCAGCGGGGGAGGGATAGCATCGGGAGATATACCTAATGCTAGATGACGAGTTAGTGGGTGCAGCGCACCAGCATGGCACATGTATACATATGTAACTAACCTGCACAATGTGCATATGTACCCTAAAACTTAAAGTATAATAAAAAAAGAAAATAAATAAACAATATGTTTCATAAAGAAAGAAATAAACCTATCATTATTAATAGATACTATAATTGCATATGTCAAAAATCCAAATAATCTATAGATAAATTATGGGAATAATAGGTCAGCTTAGTTGCTAAGTACAAGAACAGTTTTAAATCAGTTGTATTTTTGCATACTAGCAAAAATCATTTGAAATACAAAATTTAAGAAAAATAAACTGTTTAAAATATCATCAAAAATAGCCATTAGCCCTAAATAATTCTAATAAGAAATGTGTAAGAGCTCTATACAGAAAATATAAAGTTCCACAAATCAATAGTAATAATATAAAACCCATAAAATACAATAGAAAAATTGGCAAGAGGTTTAAACATTCTTTAAAAGGATATCAAAATGACTAATAAAATATACAAATGTGTTCATTCTCATTAGCTATCAATGCAGTACAAATTGAAAACACAATGATATGCCACTATACACATTGGAATAGCTAAAAATAAAAAGACCAAATAACTGTTGAAAATATTGAGTTCATGAGAATGTCATGCAATTGAATCTCTTTTTACTGCTGTACAGAGTATGTATTGTTATAACCATTCTGAAAAATTGTTTGTCATTGTCTTTTAAAATTAAATATGCATGTATCATAGCATCCAGCAATTCTGCTCCTGGGTATACACCCAGAGAAAGGCATGCATGTGGGCCACAAAGAAACATGTATAAAATGATTCATAGCAAAATTATTAAGAGCAAACCCAAAATGAAGCCGATCCAAGTGCTTATGAACAATAAAACTGAAATTTATGTATGTACATATATACATACATATGTGTATATGTGTATATATATTTACATTTATCTATATAACAATGAAAAGAAATGAATTCTATATAACAATGAAAAGGAATGAAACAGGAGTATACATAATAAAATGGATTAACCTTATAAACAGTATTGAAAGAAGTAAGATTCAAAATATGCATTCAAACATTTAATTTGTGTAGATTTTGTAAACAGACGGAACTAAGCTGTAGTCTTAGAACTCTATCATGGGTTATGTCTGAGACATCGTATTGTGCTTGGGAAGGCATGTAAGGGGACTTCTGGGAACTGCCAAGATTCTATTTCTTGCCTTATAGTAACTTGGGTGTTTGCTTTGTGATAATTAATTGTATGAAACCTTTATAGATTTGCACACTTTTCTATATTTGTGTTTTCCTGCTCACTAACTAGAGATTTAAAAAAATAAAACATTAATAAAGGGCACTTAGGTGACCTTTCTGAATATGTTTTCTCAACTAGAAAATAGTGGTTATAGCATTGGGTTTTCAGAGCTTTTCAGTATTTAATGAGGTTACAAATATAAAGTGCATAACAGAGCAGTTGGTACCTAGGACACAATAAATATATGTGTATGGCTGGACATGCAGTATGGCTGGATGTACTTGATACACATCGTTTGAGGACAATGGTCTTTTCAGCGCTGCTTTAGGCAAAGCTGTTTTGTCTCATTGCGTGTGATTGTAGCATATAATTAAATGGATTTATACCACTAATATTTTATTAATTAAGAGAAATGTCCTCTCTAGGACTTTTACTTAAGTATCTTATAGCAAAAAAGGATATAGGAGGGTTATAGCTAACATTCTGTTTTTGTAAATGATAAACTGTCTCAGATCCCAATCTTACTTTGTGTTTGTTGTATGAACTTGGGCAGGGTGATGTTCTTAATCTTCAGTTTCTGTATCTGCAAAATGAGACTAATAAGAGAACTTAAACCACATAGGGTTACTGTAAGCATTAAATGACATAGAAAGTGCTTACCACAGTGCCTTAAGCCCTCAATATGTAATTTTAGCTTAAAAAATACTAATTGCAAAAAATTTTGTTTTGTAATTATAAGCTAAGAGAAAGAGTGCTATATTTACCTTCTAAAATGAAACTATCATTATCATTTTTAAAGTAAAGATTCTAGAAATCTTAGCCTATAAACACAGAATTTAAAAATAATTTTATTAACACCTTTTGCAAATAAATTATGCAATTTATATTAGAAAAAAATATACTAAAATAATAAAAAATCTCACTGCCTCTGGGGACAATATTATAGCTAGGTATTACCCTATAAATTTAGCCAATCAGTCTATTTTCAGGATATCAGGTAATTTTTAACTTATTAATTCAACAAACATTTAGCCAGTGTTAATCTCTCTCAGGTGCTTCTCTGAGCACAAAGATAAATAAGATATTGTCCATGACTGAGCAACTCACATTCAATGTAAGAAAAATAGCAAGATACATTCAGTCGCTCACTCAAAATTTAGGGAGCACTGCTAGATGATGGACAGTCAATGACGAATGGTCTTTATGGCCTCTGCTCTTGAAGAGCACACAATCCAGAAAGCATGATAAATTCCAATAATATGTTCTAAGTTTTATGATAAAGGACAGAAAAAGAAACAGCTGACTCTCCCTCGGCAAAGCAGTGGTCAAGAGGAGGTGACAGTTGAGCTGTGTTCTGAAGGATGGGGAGAAGTAACACCAGGTAAAAAGGCAGACGTATATATCAGCAGGTTTGGGGAACTGCAAACAGTTCAATGAGACTAGAACCAAGATGGATGGAGACAATGAAGGAAGAAGGGGCTGAAAAGAAAAGAGGGAGCCAGATGGCAAATGACCTTTTACTACCATGCTAAATGCATTAGACTTTATCCTTTGCCTGTGTATGGTTATTAGCTAGTTTTAAGTAGAGTAGTGACTTGTACATGTTTACATTTTAGAAATAGAACTCTGTTGGCAGTGTGGAGGAGGGTCAAAAAAGCAGGCTAGCCTAAAGACCATGTACAGGACAGAGTGGAAGGTGGAATATGTAGGAGACATTTCAAATACAGAGCTAAAGATGATAATGACTGCATAGGTGTGACTAGGAAAAAGGCTGGAATTTTAGTGGTGTCCTTCCAGCTATAGGATATGCAAGAGAAATGGGAGAAAGTTCAAGAGTTTAGTTTCTGGTTATCACAGTTTTAGGTGCTCAGGAATAAACAGAAGGTGTCCTTGAGATCAAGGATCACATTTTAATCTCTATAGATTATTGATATAAATCTATAACCTTTTTCCCCCATCTGATAAATGACAGTAAGAATGTCTTCAGTTGTAAATTAAATGTGTTATATTAATGATTTTGCTTTTCTAATGAAAGCCTGACAAAGCCTTTAGGGCAAGAATAAATTCTGCTGCCCCTCTAAAAATGTACCATTAGATGTCTCCAAATATTAATCACTCCGAATATCAAAAGCTACTTTTCTTCCCATTTCCTCTTCCAAATGTCCCTAAATCTACCCACTCACACTCTTACCACTAACCCCAAAAGGCTTCCGCAAAAAGGGTTTTAGGTGGTATCTAAATATAATAAAGCCTTTAATTTTGACATTTTAAAGAGCAAAGAGACTTGAAGCTATTTGCCTACGTTGGTCTTCTCTTCCTCCTGGCATGCAATTTTTAGTAAAAGATAGAGTCTTATTTTAAATTTCATTATCCTAGTATGCAGTTATTTTTTTCTTGAATAGTCACTTTGTATACATTTCCCTGATGATGCCATCAGCTCATTGAGGGTATCTCTTAAGTGTCTTTGGACTTTCTAAGGCCCTCAGTGTAGCACTTTGCACACAGTCCATGCCAGTTATAGTTATTTGATATGTTATTATAACTAATAAAATGATACCATTAACTACTTTTAACAACTCAAAGGTTAAACTTAAGCTACAAATCTTGGATTTTATAAATAAGGTGTTTGAGTTTTCAAAATGCTGCTAATTTTCCTGGAAGACACATATCATGCCCTCACAAAATCAGCTTTTCAAATTCCTTGTTGATGCATCCTCTGAATTATAAAAAGAAAATAGTAAGTTTGATTCATAAAAGGGGGAGAAAAGAGTAACTCATGCTTTGATACTCAGGGTATTAATACTATTTTTTCCCCTGTCGTTGAACCCTATGATTTGCCAAAGGAAAGAATGAAAGCCATAAATACCACAGTGACCTCATTCATGTCTTCTTAGCCAAGTGCTTGTCATATTCATCAGGTGGCCAGCCAGAACATTTATAAAGGCCACAAGGCCTTTAAAATGAATTGGAAACAGGTTTGTTTCAGTGAAATGTGGGGCATATATGCTACTGCACATTGCTATTGTCAAGGGGCATTCCACAGTCCCTTCTATTTTACAAAGTATAATTGAAGCATACCACCAAGTTAAAAAGGGACAGAGGTGATTTTTAGAATCAACCAAATCTGTTCCCTAAATATTAAGGGTTCATAAAACCTACGGCAGTTCCTGTATACATAAAACTTTGTTTCTGTGGAGGAGACCTGGTTTTCTCCCCTGAAGGGATTAATTTCCTTATAGAAGATCAGTGGACTATGCAGAGCTACTCATCAGATACTTACGGCATCTAACAATGAGACATATATAGGGGTGAGATGTGCCTACCCATTGGGAAAGGAAGCTCAAAAAGGTTAAAAAAGAGATAGGATTTTAGGTGTCTCTAGGTAAAATAACACAAAAGTGACACTAACTTCATTCCAACTGAGTACTAAAAATGAGCTATTTCATACCAAGAGAGCTCCCTCAACAGTAACTGAAGTAAGATTTCATGAAGTCTGTCTTTATGTGGACCAACAGCTTGATTCTTTCATTGTTTGTTGATTACAGTAACATTTGTAGTCCTAGAATATTCAGAGACAGTTAATTCTAGTGATTCATATTTTATTTTATTCGACCTTTAAAGGATTTTTTAAAGTGCCAGTCATCCACTAAATCCATAAAGCTGCCACGTCAATTGGTCCAATTCTTTGGTTGCTGTTAAGTGTTTATTGAATAAACCACAATATATCAAACACAATATAGATGAAGTCCACTCTAAGTTTACAAGCTAAATTGGCTTAAGCATTAGTCATAAAAAAGGTCCTAAACAAGCATATATTGATCAAATTTTAGTTGGTTTATGGGTGATGGACTTGAAGTGAATACCGTGAGGGAAAACAATGGCTAAAAGGAGTTTGTGGGGAGTGAAACTCTTCATTTGACTCCACTGTTCTCAGATTTCACCTGAAAGGTGTGGCCTGATGAAAAGCCTTGAATGTCAGAACGTTACTGGGGCTTTGCAGACAGGAGATAAAGCAATTTAGGTCAAGAGAAAGACATCCAAAACAAATGTTCTAAAACCACATCTGAAGTAGATTTCTCAATGAAAATAGAAAATTTACTTAAAAAACTGGGCAAGACTGGCAATTATCTGGTGACGCTGGTCAATACTAATTATGTGAGCAAATCTGAAACTGAGCCAAGGCAGCTTTTCTCCACTGTTTTGATTGTTTACATGTCATATAATTGAATTAAGCATAAATTTGCACTCATGCTTCTGAGGGTGTGGCTATGAGTTCAACCAAGTCACAGACACAAAAACAGTGTCATGTCTAGTAGTTCTGCTTTGAGGACCTGGAAACCAGTTTATGAAGTTTGGTTGCCCTGGGGAATAGAAGGTTCGTATGGGTGATTTATTCCTCTAGCATAGACATGGAACTTTCTATGGATATCAGACTCAAGAGTTCTATTATTGTTTCCTGGCACTTATCTGTATATAAATTTCCTCAAACATTTCTTTTCTGGAACAACAAAAATAACAAAATTAAGGGTTCTGGCTCAGAAAAAGCTGTGGTTTTACTGTATTTTAAAAGATTATTTTAGAAATAATGATATTACTGTGTAATTACTGTATTTACATTGACGTATGTCATATACAAAATCCTATTCCTAAAGCCCTGGACTGTTTATAAAACACTTTCGCATTTATTATCTCAGTAGATTCTTATATTTACCCTTTGAAGTAGCTATTACTGTCTCTATTTAACAGATATGGAAAATAAAGCCCAGGAGATTAAGTGGCCTACCCAGCTTTATACAGCTTGCAGCAGCAGAACTTAAATCCCAACGTCCCTACTCCCAGCGTTTTTTTTTTTAATTGCATTAGAATATCTACTAGAATCTAGTGAACAAACATGCTGTGGAATATTATTTCTGGAACACTGGAGATCAACTCATAAAATGCTAAAGCAGCAATCTTAGAAACAGGTATAAACAATGATGGCTCTAGCAGGCTTTTTAATGAATAGAACCTGTCATAAGATGCAGAAAGAGTCAGCTCCACCTTTGAGGCCAGCTTGTCCTCTTCCTTCACTGATGAGGTATTGGAGAGGAAATGGATGAAGTAGCCCGAACTCTGCACAGATGACTGAAACCTGGCCGTCGTCTTTGCACACGTACCAAACCCACTCACGTACTGAGAATTCTTCTCAGAAGTGATGGTAGGAAATTAAGAGAAACATAACCTACAAGGTAAAAAGGAACTTTTCCTTTGTAATGACAGTGGTTTACCAGGATGAAAGCCAGAGTGAGTCAGATTTATCTTTAAAAGGCCATGGCAATGGCTTGACTGGGAAAGCAAATGCTCCTCAGGTCAGCACCATTCCACTGAGACCCTCTATCCTATTGAGCTACAGATGATAAACTATGATAGCTTTGGAGAATTGTGGTAGAAGGAGAGGAAGCAAAAGGAATTTGTTTACACAAACTTGCTCCCAGATGTCCTAAATTATAAATAAATAATAATAGTCATCTAACCTGTTCCACAAAAGAATTTGTAAACAAACACATTTGCAGGATAGCTCTTTAAATGAGAGACTTACGGGGAAAAACAGACACTAAATCTTAAGTGGTGAGTACTGACTTTACAGCTCTGCTTCCAGCGTATTCGATGCTCCCTACCAAAGAGCAGGTTCACACAGGATGAACCAATTGGTGTGAACCAATTGGTGTGAACCAATTGGTTCACACAGGATGAACCAATAAGTCGCTAATTTTGTTCAACCTCAGAATCCTGTGAACTTCTTAGAAGATATATTCAATCTTCATTTGAAGATTTCAAATTTGGCTACTCTTTAAAATTTATTTGTAACTTTATTTGTAAAATTTATCTATAATTTACTTACAAAATTTATTCGTAATGATACTCATGGTGCTTTTGCAGATTTGTGCAGAGTGGTGAAAAACTGGACTCAACCTTTGTGCCCCTTCCCAGCTGAAGCAGAGCAAGACAAAGCTCTGCCCTCTTGCTTCAGTTCTCATACTGTGTACCACTGTCCTCTTCACAGTCTATTTTGTGCCACTTTTTTTTTTTGTAATTTTGTGTTTGTGGTGGGGGTTTTACAGTTTAAAATGGCCCTCATGTATAGTGCTGAAGTATTGTCTATTGTTTTTAAGCGCAAGAAGGTTGCGACAATGTGCCTCACGGAGAAAATGTGTGTGTTAGATAAGCTTCGTTCAGGCATGAGTTAATGAATCAACAATAGATATTAAATAAGGGTTATTTAAACAGAAAGACACATAAAACAAGGTTACGTATTCATGGGTTGATGAAATCTAACCTATTTCCCCTAGAAGCAATGGTTCCGTATTTGCCAATTCAGTGTTGCCAGTGACTTTATAAAACACATATCTACAGCAAATAATAAAATTCGACTATAGTTTTGTTTCTAGTATTTAGAATTATCAATTATATAAAAGGCAAAACAATAATTTATATTACTATTCAGAACTACAGAAGTTGTAGCTACAAACCCCAAATTTTGAATGTAGTGAGTTTTGAAAACGGTGTATTTTAAATGTATGCAAACATAGGTAGATACATGTATATATTTTCAGGCATATTTTGTTTCTTTTAATGAACACTTAACTGTTTCAAAACTAATTCAAGTGAATAAAACATTTCACAATGTTGTGAAAGGGCAATGCTATCAAATAAAATGAAGCCCCAATAAATGTGTCCAAGCTATGACTTTAAAAGGAATCTGTATTTTAACAGAATTGGTATATTGAAATACAACCCCACATGAGTATTTTTTGATATGCATTAATTTTATTGCTGAATAATAGTAATCGTTTGTATTTGCATGCTGATTGTGATTTTAAGGCCTATTCATGTGCATTAAGTCACTTTGATCCTCTGAAATGTGGGTGGACATTTGGGTTTCATCACCACAATTTAGCGATGGAAAGAGCAAATTTTGACTGGTAAAGTGACTTACCCATAGTAACATGTACATGTCATTGTTGGGCTTAAAATTCAGAAGCTGTAGATAACGTTATATATTTTGCCTTGTGTTGTCATGCCAAGGTATGTTTCTAACCTTGAGAATTTTTTACCACAACTTTTTTTTCTATTGGTAAAACTAAATCCAAAGACCATTGAAACTATCCTAAATGGATGGTTGTTAAATGTTTCCAATTTTAAATTTCACATATTTGAAACACTGATTTTTAAACTATAATTTCCCTTTACATTTGCTTCTTAGAAATGCATCATATCATGTCTGTGACACAAGAAGTATTTACTGAGATGCAAGTTGAATTTGTTAACTTGTGTGTTATGATTCTAGGCTAAAATTTCCTCTCTTAGCAAATTCAGAATTGAGCAGTGAATGTTTAATTTGGTGACACATGTAAGTCTGGTTTATATTCTTACACCAAAGAATATTCAGTTTTATGCTGAACAGAAAGGAAACTCCAAGATATGAAAAATGCATGCACCTACCGTAAAAAATGGTCTTCAAAATCTTGCTATTATGTCATCCTTGAACTGATATTTTTAATGTGACTATGTTTGGTAACCATAATATTGAAGAAATTTGGAAAAAAGACTTTCTTTTTGCAGGGGATGTGGGAGCACAAGTTTACTTGCACCTGGCAAATGATCTTATTTTACATGGGTTCAACAGTCTGTGAGGGGGCAGATGTCATGACAACAAAAGAAGGACAAATTAGACTTAGTTTAAAAAGGAACATGTGAGAATAAATACAACACATGATTATTAGCCTATAAAAGTGCTATAAGGAATAAAAACTTGACATAAAGGAGAAAGCAGGGTGGTGGTATATAACATAGAAACAGGGAAGGATGACCGAGTGGCAAGATTTTGTCCAGTGAAAAAGTTATCTGCCGAAATTTCAACATCTCATGAAATTCTTTACAGGATTGAATTCTCACCCACTGTCTTCACCCAACCCAGCAGAGAAGAAGGCTTGTGACTGTGTAAGGTAAATATGCTCATTCAGAAGTTAAGAATTTTGAGGTTTCTCAAGAGGTTGACTAGGTCAGAGAGTCACTTAGATTCCTAAGACACAATGTTTATTCCCACAACATTTCTAATGTAAACATCAGATTGAGCTCAATGGGCAAAGCTTTTCTTTACTATACCTATGTTGATATAGTAATTGTAGAAGTTTCCATCAGAAGGTTGAAGAGATAGAGTGATATATATAACTTGCTGCAAATTTGCTGGAACACGAAAGAACTTTGCTTCATGAGTATTTTAAAGGGATTGGGGTTAGAGATGGCCCTACTGAAAAACTCAGCATGGTGCAAAAGGGTAACCAAGTGAAGTGTGCAATTAGAATGCTTGTAGAGACATTCTGCTATGTTGTTGTTCTGTAATTATAATTGTATTGTAATTATTACTGATTTGTTCAGTGTTGTTTTGAGTCTTTTAGCTCTTCAAGTATTCTGCCAAACATTTAAGTATTAAAAGTGTGACTCAAACACACTAAGGTTATAAACAACTTAGATTAGTTGCACGTGAAGCCAATATTTTCAAAGAACATTCAGTCATTTGAATTAAAGAGAGAACATGAAGGAAAGTATGGACTATCTTCAACCTTTAAAAGAAAAGTAGAAATGCAGCACTTTCAATAACCCAATAATTTAGTTTTTCTTAATTAAAATAAAATAGGCATATCGATAAGACACATAGAACTTTGCTTTAAACACTCCTTTTGCAATTAATGATTAGCCTTCTAATGCCTCAGGTGTGAATTATATTAATGTTGTGGATTAAAAACAGTATGGGGCACGTTTGGGAAACATAGTTGATTTTTCTCCCCAGGACAGATATTTTTCATTTTATAAGTATGTAGCTTTGCCCAGTAGACAAATTCCTAGAAAATTATTTGGAAAAAAAAAGTTTTTATAAATAAAAGCAGTTTCGTAAACATTAAAAATGTTATGCTGTATGTAAAATTACAGTAAATTCTAATTACCTTTTTGGTCGAGTTAAATTTTCAGACAATGCATTATGTAAAGCGAAGTGGGTCTCTATGCAGAACTCTTGGTGAAGGGGTTAATTCTGTTTTCTCAAGTGCCTAATTTATTAGAGAGTTACCTTAGGCACTGCAAGCTTCTGGCTCAACATGTACATATTTTTCAAGTACAAATTAAGGACTGAGAATGAGGCCAAGAACACACCGTTGTGTGCAGCAATAGGATGGACTCACCAACAGAGAAAGGCATAAATATTGCCTCAGATTTTAATAAGGATGAAACTCCATAAACATTAACAGTTCTTTCTTCAATGTCCTGAAAACCTAAGTCGTTACACTTGATCCCTGCTTAATATTCTGCATGTGTGAACCAATTTGGGTTGCGGTTGCATTAATCAGGTAGGGGATTAAAATAAGACTCCTCTTTTATTTGTAAGATGTTTTTAAATAAAATCTGTTTTATATGACTTGTCTTGGAATTTGTGCCAGGATGTGTATCTGCATACCCATTTCTGTCTACCCCATCTGATCTTAGATGGAAGACTAAATGGTAATTTTGCACACCATCAACGAATCATGTTGATTGCCCACCTTTCTTTTGCTCTATCTCTATTTTTTTAAAAATCAGGGTTAACTCTGGTCAACTGAGGAAAAAACTGAACAAATCTTTTGTAATTGCTTTGTTTTTTCATGAATTCTCAAAAGTAGCCCAAATAAGTTAAAAGGTATTGGGGGTGTTGAGGGGGCATAGAGTATTACATTGGAAGCTTTAGTGAGAGAAAAAAACAATGGCACTGATTATTACATCCAGTTTCTACTACTTCTTTTACTATTTATCTGATGTCACATTATGTGTATATAAATGATTCATGTTTCCTTAAATCAGAGATAATTAGTTCAATGACTGCAAGACTATCTGTCAGAAGCAGAGTTCACAGGCACCTATGGTTGTCTTGCAAGTGTAGAGAGATACCTGTGCATCAATGACTGGATGTAGAATATATTAAAGTGCATAAAACTTGGATGGAAAGGTTTCATTTGGACAATAGAAATGCCATTTTCATGTATTTGCTAATGTAGATATGCAAGGTGAAATAAAAGCCAAACCTCTGTTGGATAGTGTCCATATCTACCCTGAGGCAAAGAGAATCTCACTTTGGGTAATGGAACTCTAATATCTGTTTAACCATATTTAAAGGAACAATACAAGCAGCCGAAGGAGCTGCCCAGGACAGACTAATTTTCAGGGGAGAGAAAGACAAGGAAGACTTAACCCTGCCTCTTGCTCTGTGCATTACAAAGGCATCCGGGCTCCAAGTGATAAGTTTGACTTTTCTCTTAAGCACTGTCTAATTTTTATAAAAGCTCTTAAAAATGCCAACATGCAAATTGTACATAAAATATTTAAAACATGAGCACTTCCTTTGAAAAGGTGAATTAATGAATTCATCAATCAAAACTCTGAAGTTCTGAAAACCTCTAATTTACTCTTGCTGTAATTTAGTGAGAGAAAAGTAGCCTTCTGCTGGATAGCTCCACAGAAATGTAATTAACCTTTGCTTTTGATGGAACAGGTGGGACAATTGTTAGAGTAGGATGATAAATAACACACACACACACACACACACACATACACACACAAGCATACAATTGTATAGGATTCTTACGCCCCACATTTTTGTGAGGACCAAAGTTTGAAAATACTGTAAAAAACAAATTACAAATATAAGCTGTTGCAATAGTTGTTTATAGACAGACAGATACGTAGAGGCAGGCAAACACAGAACAAAATGTTAACAAAATATAAAATTATTTCTGTTATAGAAATTGAGATATTTTCCCCTACTGAATTTTCTAATGATTTTTTTCAATTGACATGTATTACTATGAAATAAAACAAAATGAAATACTGACATTCCCATATTCTACTGGCAGGTGCCCATAGCTGATGGCCACAAGCCATCTCAGCAGCAGCATATTTTCAAGCAGAAGTTGTAGCACAATCTAAAGTGCTTTCATGGGGACGATGGGTCAGAATATTTGGCAGTAAGACGCACATAACAGAGATTTGATTCAGTTCAAGACATCCAAGAAGATAATTCTCTTCTCATAAGGTTGAAGTGTGTAAATTAAAACAAGATGCTGCTAGCTTTCTCCTTCCTCCCATCTCTTGTCTCCTGCTGATTCAGGACAGAGTTGGTTTGTCTTCCTCACTAATTCTCACCAGAGCCCCAATTCTTTCTCTCCTTTGTGGAATGAACTCAGAGTCCATTTATATTGGATTCTAGACTATGTTTAAGCCTTGGCAAGAGCTTAGGAGGAGGGCAAAGGCATTTTATAGCACGTGGAACCTTTGATACAATACAGAGGAGAAAGATTTACTCTTCCAATTTTTACAAGTTATTGCTCCTTTAATTACTTTTACTTCCACAGGTGAAAATGGATATACCATTTCTGGGAAGAGAAAAGAAGCCAATTAAAAGTGGGGCATGTCATTACACTGACCAGAAATGAACGTACCTTTTTAGAAATAAAGAATCTGTATATTCCTGTGGCTCTGATTTATTCCTAAGTTTCTTGTCTCACTCATTAAGGACACTTCTTCAGCCACTAGTGTTTGTGTATATATATTGGTGTGCATGGCCATGTGTATCCCAGGATATAAATATAAAGAATTTAATATTCTTTTTCACTACAAATGTAGTTTATATTTCAATATAAAACCTAATTTGACTAAGAAGCCAGGATTTATGCATTATCTAATTTCTCTTGCTATAGTAGAAATAACTAAATTCAGGTTGTAGTTTTAATATGTTCCTCCTTCTTACAATACCTTTCTTCAAATGATTGTGTGTCAATAAAAGTACATGTACATTGGAATAAATGGAAATACTGTAATAAATTATAGCTTCTAAATTCTCTTTAAAAAAAACAAAGTACCAAAATAAGCCAAAGAAATATCATCTTTTTAAAGTATTGGACTATGTTAAAAAGACTCTATCATCTATCTATCATCTATCTATCTACCTGATATAGATACATAAGCTATATGTATTTGTATAAATACAAATATAGATAGAGTCAGGGCTGGTCATGTGTGTGAGTGTGTGTATGCATATATATGAACCTATATAATAAATTAACTATTAGAGAGGTCCTAGAACCATTTCAATTTCTCTCCCATCCCACAATACTTTTGTTTCTTCTTTTTTTGTTGTTTTGAGAGCATATTTTTAGTGGGAGATGCTGTTGTTTGTGCTTTGTAATGATGAAAACTTCTGTCTTTTTGTTTTTAATCAGTTCCCACACACCGACTGTGTGGCTCAAAGTGTAATATGGCTGTTTTTCTTAAACTAGTGAGCAAATATGAGACTGTGTATATTAGCCTTCATGGTCCTGCTCACACACAGCAAAGCTGATCTTTAGTTTTATCATACCTTATAATTGTTCAAACAAAAATGGTCAGAGTGCTGTGAGTGTTGGGTTTGGCAACCAACACAGTTTCATATGGTAATGAGATTTCCCCCCTGTAGGAGGGCTATGAACTGCTAATTAGCATCTATGACCTAATATTCTCTAGCAACCAAGAGTAATAGCAGTAATTTCCAGTTTTATGCAGAGTACAAGCCTCTAATATTACCAACACTTTTGTTTCATTTATAATTAACTGCACACAATTATTACAGTCAAGAAAGTAAATCCTAATGTTCCTAGGTAATAAAAAAAAGAAATTATGTTTGTAAAACTTGTATGTGTGTCATGCTGACTGACTGGACTTCTTTGGAAGCCCTGAGGATCTTTATCAATCAATTAATTTTTCTTTTTGTCTATACCGATATCACCCTTAATTTTAATTTGTAATTCCTAGTTTACTACTTAATTCTTTGTTCTTTGCTTGAAAACTCATATTTATTAGACCTGCTTTTAAGTTCATGAACAAAGAAGACATTTAAAAGCTAGTAACTAGGGCAAAATGTTCTGATATTAGCTGACAATGTGTTTCAAGAGACCGGTAATGCATACTTCTTAGATAGGGATATACTTTGCACAGGAAGAATGTTTTATGAGGTGGGAATAAAGGAATTTTATTTGAGGTTCTCCCATGAAAGTTATGCTTCTGTGAATGTCAGTAAAATTGTTCTATAATAATTAAAAATGACATTTGAGAAAATTTCCTACTTTTAAAAAAGGAGTTAAACCTTATTTATCCAAAATTGTGAAGGACTACAATTTTCTGTAGGAGAGATTTTTCCCCAGATAATATACCCCTTAATACACCAAACTGTATTTTAAATATTTTGATGTTTATTTTCTGAAAATAAAATTAATCTTATGCTTTGCTCTGCATCATTTTCTAAGGTTCCGGATGACACTTCCTGTGCAACAGGGATGTCAAATTAGGTCTTTATCAAGTTAGATGGGTGTAGTTAGAGTCTTTATCTCCACTACCACACCAAGAAAAATTCTACTTTTCTGCCTTCTGTACTGGACTGTACTGGATTTTTACCTCCAAGTCTACTCATAAAACATATTTTGTTGCTCAATCTTAGCTTTTAAAAAGTTTCTGCTTTAGAAAACAGAATATCTATATACTTTAATGGCTTTTTTGAATAAGTAGGGTCATCATTATGCACATCAATTATATTATACAGAAGTATAATAGTGTAATTAACATTTAGATGCTTGCTCCTTTCCCCCACACTGAATGGCTTCAGATATCTGTGCTTTTGTGCTTAATATTCCTTGTTTCCTCCTTGATTGACAATTGCAACTTAATCCTACTGTAACCACCTTAAGTCATCTCTATTTCTAATTCTAATCTATTATAAGGCCAATGAAGAACGGAAGGTGGCCAAGGGAAACCATATGACAAAGTTCAGTAAATCCTAATGTGATGATGTAAAAGCACATGATGAAACTGTCAAATACTCTAAAACCATAAAGCATTGCTATTAAACAGAACTGGACCAACAGGTGGGGAATATAATAATGTAGACTTAAGCACAAAGTAAAGAAATACTTATTCAAGGTCTGCTCCAAGATGGCCGAATAGGAACAGCTCCGGTCTGCAGCTCCCAGCGTGATAGACCCAGAAGATGGGTGATTTCTGCAATTCCAACTGAGGTACCTGGTTCATCTCACTGGAACTGGTTGGAAAGCGGGTGCAGCCCACGGAGGGCGAGCTGAAGCAGGGCAGAGCATCACCTCACCTGGGAAGCACAAGGGGTTGGAGATTTCCCTTTCCTAGCCAAGGGAAGCCATGACCTGGAAAAATGGGACATTCTCACCTGAATACTGGCTTTTCCAATGATCTTAGCAAATGGCACACCAGGAGATTATATCCTGCACCTAGCTCGGCAGGTCCCACACCCACAGAGCCTTGCTCACTGCTAGTGCAGCAGTCTGAGATCAATCTGCAAGGCAGCAGCTTGGCAGGGGGCGGGTTGTCCACCATTGCTGAGGCTTGATTAGGTAAACAAAGCAGCCTGGGAAGCTCGAACTGGGTGGAGCCCACTGCAGCTCACCAAGGCCTGCTGCCTCTGTTGACTCCACCTCTGGGGGCAGGGCATAGCCGAAAAAAGGGCAACAGAAACTTCTGCAGACTTAAATGTCCCTGTCTGACAGCTCTGAAGAAACGAGTGGTTCTCCCAGCATGGTGTTTGAGCTCTGAAAACAGTCAGACTGCCTCCTCAAGTGGGTCCCTGACCCCTCATGTAGCCTATCTGGGAGACACCTCCCAGTAGGTGCTGACTGACACCTCATACAGGTGGGTGCCCCTCTGGGACGAAGCTTCCAAAGGAAAGGTCAGGCAGCAATGTTTGCTGTTCTGCAATATTTGCTGTTCTGAAGCCTCCGCTGGTAATACCCAGGCAAACAGTGTCTGGAATGGACCTCCAGCAAACTCCAACAGACCTGCAGTTGAGGGACCAAATGGTTAGAAGGAAAACTAACAAACAGAAAGGAATAGCACCAACATCAAGAAAAAAGACATCCACACCAAAACCCCATCTCTAGGTCACCAACATCAAAGACCAAAGGTAGATAAAACCACAAAGATGGGGAGAAACCAGAGCAGAAAAACTGAAAATTCTAAAAACCAGAGTGCCTCTTCTCCTCTGAAGAATTGCAGCTCCTCGCTGGCAACGAAACAAAGCTGGAAGGAGAATGACTTGACAAGTTGACACAAGTAGGCCTTAGAAGGTCGATAATTTCAAACTTCTCCGAGCTAAAGGAGGATGTTGAAACCCATAGCAAGGAAGCTAAAAACCTTGAAAAAAAGATTAGATGGATGGCTAGCTAGAATAAACAGTGCAGAGAAGACCTTAAATGACCTGATGGAGCTGAAAACCATAGCACGAGAACAACGTGATGCATGCACAAGCTTCAGTAGCCGGTTCGATCAAGTGGAAGAAAGGGTATCAGTGATTGAAGATCAAATCAATGAAACAAAACAAGAAGAGAAGTTTAGAGAAAAAAGAGTAAAAAGAAATGAACAAAGCCTCCAAGAAATATGGGACTATGTGAAAAGACCAAATCTACATTTGATTTAGGTACCTGAAAGTGATGGGGAGAATGGAACCAAGTTGGAAAACACTCTTCAGGATATTATCCAGGAGAACTTCCCCAACCTAGCAAGGCAGGTCAACATTCAAATTTAGGAAATACAGAGAACACCACAAAGATATTCCTCAAGAAGAGCAACCCCAAGACACCACATAATTGTCAGATTCACCAAGGTTGAAATGAAGGAAAAAATGTTAAGGGCAGCCAGAGAGAAAGGTTGGGTTACCCACAAAGGGAAGCCCATCAGACTAACAGTGGATTTCTCAGCAGAAACTCTACAAGCCAGAAGAGAGTGGGGGCCAATATTCAACATTCTTAAAGAAAAGAATTTTCAACCTAGAATTTCATATCCAGACAAACTAAACTTCAAAAGTGAAGGAGAAATAAAATCCTTTACAGACAAGCAAATGCTGAGAGATTTTGTCACCACCAAGCCTGCATTACAAGAGCTCCTGGAGGAAGCACTAAACATGGAAAGAAACAACGGGTACCAGCCACTGCAAAAACATGCCAAACTGTAAAGACCATCGATGCTAGGAAGAAACTGCATCAACTAACAGGCAAAATAACCAGCTAACATCAAAGTGACAGGATCAAATTCACACATAATAATATTAACCTTAAATGTAAATGGGCTAAATGCCCCAATTAAAAGACACAGACTGGCAAATTGGACAGTCAAGACCCATCAGTGTGCTGTATTCAGGTCTCATGTGCGGAGACACACACAGACTCAAAATAAAGGGATGGAGGAAGATCTACCAAGCAAAATGGAAAGCAAAGAAAAGCAGGGGCTGCAATCCTAGTCTTGGATAAAACAGACTTTAAACCAACAAAGATCAAAAGAGACAAAGAAGGCCATTACATAATGGTAAAGTTATCAATTCAACAAGAAGAACTTAATGTCCTAAATATATATGCACCCAATACAGGAGCACCCAGATTCATAAAGCAAGTCCTTAGAGACCTACAAAGAGACTTAGACTCCCACACAATAATAATGGGAGACTTTAACACCCCACTGTCAACCTAAGACAGATCAATGAGACAAAAGGTTAACAAGGATATTCAGGACTTCAACACAGCTCTGCACCAAGCAGATCTAATAGACATCTACAGAACTCTCCACCCCAAATCAATGGAATATACATTCTTCTCAGCACCACATCACACTTATTCCAAAATTGACCACTTAGTTGGAAGTAAAGCACTCCTCAGCAAATGTAAAAGAATAGAAATCACAACAAACTGTCTCTCAGACCACAGTGCAATCAAATTAGAACTCAGGATTAAGAAACTCACTCAAAACCACACAACTACATGGAACCTGAACAACCTGCTCCTGAATGACTACTGGGTACATAACGAAATGAAGGCAGAAATAAAGATGTTCTTTGAAACCAATGAGGAAAAAGACACAACCTACCAGAATGTCTGGGACACATTTAAAGCAGTATGTAGAGGGAAATTTATAGCACTAAATGACCACAATAGAAAGCAGGAAAGATCTAAAATCAACACGCTAACATCACAATTAAAAGAACTAGAGAAGCAAGAGCAAACACATTCAAAAGCTAGCAGAAGGCAAGAAATAACTAAGATCAGAGCAGAACTGAAGGATATAGAGACATAAAAAACCCTTCAAAAAATCAATGAATCCAGGAGGTAGTTTTTTGAAAAGATCAACAAAATTGATAGACCACTAGCAAAACTAGTAAGGAATAAAAGAGAGAAGAATCAAATACACGCAATAAAAAATGATAAAGGGGATATCACCACTGATCCCACAGAAATACAAACTACCATCAGAGAATACTATAAACACCTCTATGCAAATAAACTAGAAAATCTAGAAGAAATGGATAAATTCCTCGACACATACACCCTCCCAAGACTAAACCAGGAAGAAGTTGAATTTCTGAATAGACCAATAACAGGCTCTGAGATTGAGTCAATAATTAATAGCCTACCAAGCAAAAAAAGTCCAGGACCAGATGGTTTCATAGCCGAATTCTATCAGAGGTACAAAGAGGACCTGGTACCATTCCTTCTGAAACTATTCCAATCTATAGAAAAAGAGGGAATCCTCCCTAACTCATTTTATGAGGCCAGCATCATCCTGATACCAAAGCATGGCAAAGACACACAAAAAAGGAGGATTTTAGACCAATATCCCTGATGAAAATCTATGCGAAAATCCTCAATAAAATACTGGCAAACTGAATCCAGCAGCACATCAAAAAGCTTATCCACCACGATCAAGTCAGCTTCATCCCTGGGATGCAAGGTTGGTTCAACATACACAAACCAATTAACGTAATCCATCACATAAACAGAACCAAAGACCACATGATTATCTCAATAGATGCGGAAAAGGCCTTTGACAAAATTCAACAGCCCTTCATGCTAAAAACTCTCAATAAGCTAGGTATTGATGGAATGTATCTCAAAATAATAAGAGCCATTTATCACAAACCCACAGCCAATATCATACTGAATGGGCAAAAACTGGAAACATTCCCTTTGAAAACTGGCACAAGACAGGTATGCCCTCTCTCACCACTCCTATTCAACATAGTGTTGGAAGTTCTGGCCAGGGCAAGCAGGCAAGAGAAAGAAATAGAGGGTATAGAGGGTATTAAATTAGGAAAAGAGGAAGTCAAATTGTCCCTGTTTGCAGATGACATGATTGTATATTTAGAAAACCCCATTGTCTCAGCCCAAAATCTCCTTAAGCTGACAAGCAACTTCAACAAAGTCTCAGGATACAAAATCAATGTGCAAAAATCACAAGCATTCCTATACACCAATAACAGACAAACAGAGAGCCAAATCATGAGTGACCTCCCATTCACAATTGCTACAAAGAGAATAAAATACCTAGGAATCAACTTACGAGGGATGTGAAGGACCTCTTCTAGGAGAACTACAAACCACTGCACAACGAAATAAAAGAGGACACAAACAAATGGAAGAACATTCCATGCTCATGGATAGGAAGAATCAATATTGTGAAAATGGCTATACTGCCCAAGGTAATTTATAGATTCAATGCCATCCCCATCAAGCTACCAATGACTTTCTTTACAGAATTGGAAAAACTACTTTAAAGTTCATATGGAACCAAAAAAGAGCCTGCATTGCCAAGACAATCCTAAGCAAAAAGAACAAAGTTGGAGGCATCATGCTACCTGACTTCAAACTATACTACAAGGCTACAGTAACCAAAACAGCATGGTACTGTTACCAAAACAGATATATAGACCAATGGAACAGAACAGAGGCCTCAGAAATAACACCACACATCTACAACAATCTGATATTTGACAAACCTGACAAAAACAAGAAATGGGGAAAGGATTCCCTATTTAATAAATGGTGCTGGGAAAACTGGTTAGCCATACGTAGAAAGCTGAAACTGGATCTCTTTCTTACACCTTATACAAAAATTAATTCAAGCTGGATTAAAGACTTAAATGTTAGGACTAAAACCATAAAAACCCTAGAAGAAAACCTAGGCAGTACCCTTCAGGACATAGGCATGCGCAAGGACTTCGTGACTAAAACACCGAAAGCAACGGCAACAAAAGCCAAAGAGACAAATGGAATCTAATTAAACTGAAGAGCTTCTGCACAGCAAAAGAAACTACCATCAGAGTGAACAGGCAACCTACAGAATGGAGGAAAATTTTTGCCATCTACCCATCTGACAAAAGGCTAATATCCAGAATCTACAAAGAACTTAAACAAATTTACAAGAAAAAAACAACCACATCAAAAAGTGGGCAAAGGATATGAACAGACACTTCTCAAAAGAAGACATTTATGCAGCCAACAGACACATGAAAAATTGCTCATCACCACTGGTTATCAGAGAAATGCAAATCAAAACCACAATTAGATACCATCTCACACCAGTTAGAATGGCGATCATTAAAAAGTCAGGAAAAAACAGATGCTGGAGAGGATGTGGAGAAATAGAAACGCTTTTACACTGTTGGTGGGAGTGTAAACTAATTCAACTGTTGTGGAAGACAGTGTGGCAATTCCTCAAGGATCTAGAACTAGAAATACCATTTGACCCAGCAATGCCTTTACTGGGTATATACCCAAAGGATTATAAATCCTGCTACTATAAAGACTCATGAACACATATATTTATTGTGGCACTATTCACAATAGCAAAGACTTGGAACCAACCCAAATGTCCATCAACGATAGACTGTATTAAGAAAATGTAGCACATATACACCACGGAATACTATGCAGCCATAAAAATGGAAGAGTTCATGTCCTTTGCAGGGATATGGATGAAGCTGGAAACCATCATTCTGAGCAAACTGTTACAAGGACAGGAAACCAAACACTGCATATTCTCACTCATAGGTGGGAATTGAACAATGAGAACCAACATGGCACATGTATACCCATGTAACAAACATGCACGTTATGCACATGTGCCCTACTACTTAAAGTATAATAAAATTAAATAAATAAATAAAATAAAAAATAAAAAAATACTTATACAAGTTTTAGGAGCAATGATGATGATGATGATGCTATTAACAATGAAAATATGCCAGGCACTGCACTAGCTCATTATAGCATTTAATTTAATGTAATATGTTATGCTAGTGGGTGGATATAATTATTAGTGTTATCAATAATGTTATTATCTAACATCAGAAAATTTAGACTTTGTCTATGTAACCTTAAATAAAAAACCACACAAATTAGGGGAAGGAGTTTGTAATAACAGCCACACCTGTCTTATTTCAAACCTGTGTGTATGAGTGTCAAGTTCTTCTGCCTCCCACTAACAATAGAGTACAAGTAAAGGAAGAATTTTCCACAACCATCAAGAACAACCTCCTTATTTTATCGCTGAAGACACTAAGGATCATAGTGTTCTTGCCTCTAATCTCCTCTCCCAGGGAAGGGAACTTTTTCTTAATTACATTGAACATGAAGCCTTTACTCTCCATCTCTATTTCTTCTGCTATTGGTCTTCCCCACCCACCTCATTACTTGAAACTGCACTTTCAGGTTAGCAGAGTCCTGCTCATTGCCAAATGCAATAGATTGTTAGTTATGTCTGGTGTGTTTGGAATAGTTCACATTGTCAACCACTCTCTTCTCTTTGTATTTCTTTCCCTCCTTACATCTTGATGCTAGCTTATGCTGGCTCTCCTCCTTCTCTATCTCAATTTCTGTATCAATTACCTTTACTTTTTACCGCATGACAAGCTCTCCTAAAAGTTAATAGCTGAAAACAACGACCATTTATTTAGTTTACAATTCCACAAGTCAGTAATTTGGGCTGTGCTTGGCTCAGCAGTTCTGGTCCCAGCTGGGCTCACTCATGTCTCTGTGGTTAGCTGCTGGCTTAACTGGGGGATGGTTGGCCTAGAATGTCCTCTACTGGGCTGGCTTGCTTCTGCTCCAGAAGGCCTCGTATCCTCTAGCTTGCACTTGCACAGGACAGCCTGGGCTTGTATACTTGGCAACTGCTCAAAGTTCTAAATAAGAATGTGGAATCATGCAAGTCAAATAATCACTTCTGCTGAATTCTGTTGACAAAGCCAGTCTAAAAGGCAACCAAAATTCAAGATGAGGGAAAATAGACTCTACCTCTTGACAGGAAAACTTAAAAGCCACACTGCATGGGCAAAGCTATAGGGAAGAGTGAAGAAGGGATTGTGGATATTTTTTGCAGTGTACAACAATCTCTTTTGTGAGTTCCACTTCTCTCACTTGCATTTTAATTGCAAGTTTAACTTTCATGTTCACTTTTGGACTTTTTTCTTCTTTTTCAACTTTTCCCCCTTCAACCATCACATTTATTCCCATGACTTCAGACATCACTCAACAGATGATTATCAAATATCTATATTGAACTCTTACCTTATTCATAAGCTCCCAACTGTAATTTCCAAGTACTTACTAGAAATGTACCTGGTTCCCTATGTGTGCCTCAAATACAAGTTCAAAACTCAGCTCTATATTCTCCCACAAACTTGTTTCTATTTTTTTAAATATCCATTCTCTGCCATTTGTGTTATTTGCCATCCAGAATCATAGTCTAGAGACTTCAGAACCATTTAAGTTTTTTTATTTTTAATTTTTGTGGGTATATAGTAGGTTATATATTTATAGGGTACATGAGATGTTTTGATATAGGCATGCGATGTGTAATAATCTCATTATGGAGAAAGGGGTATCCATCCCCTCAAGCATTTATCCTTTATGTTACAAAGGATATAAACAATCCAATTATACTCTTCTAGGTATTTTTAAACGTACACAAGTTATTATTGACTGTAGTAACCCTGTTGTGATATCAAATAGTGGATATTATTCATTTTTTCTATATTTTTTACCCACCTTAGAACCATTTTTGATGCTTCTCTCTCCTTCAGTCCTTACATTCAGTCACTCAGCAAATCCTGGCCATTCAACCTAAATGTGGCTCATCTTCCTCTTTGTTTATTCCTAGTATCACCCAGATTGGGTCCATTGTTGCTTGTTAGATTATTTATGAATTTATTAATTATCTTTTACTCCTTCATATGCACAATCTAATATATCCTCCTCACTGACAATAGTATTCCTAAAACACACACGAGACTTCACAGTTTCTTTTGAAGAAGTCTTTTATAATAAGTTTATCATTATTTGGAATAAGTGGAAAGTCTACAGACCCTTGTTATTGGAGATTTGGGGCATTCCTGGGGGTCTGTAGGGTCAAGAACTATTTTATATGTCTTTGTTGTATTCCCAGTGTCTAACATCCTGCCTGATGGTTGCTTATAAATATTTGTTGAATGAATAGATACATGAATGAATAATAATAGATCTACTAGAGGGGGGAAGAGCAGGCAAAGACTTTCTATGTGTTACGTTAGAAAAGGTAAGAAGACTTAGGCCAGATGCAGTGGCTCACATCTGTAATCCCAGCACTTTGGGAGGCCAAGGCGGGTGGATCACCTGAAGTCAGGCATTCGAGACTAGCCTGGCCAACATGGTGAAACCTCGTCTCTACTAAAAATATAAAAATTTGCTGGGCGTGGTGGTGCATGCCTGTAATCCCAGCTAGTCAGGAGGCTGAAGGAGGAAAATCGCTTGAATCTGGGAGGCTGAGGGTGCAGTGAGCCAAGACCGCGCCATTGCAATTCAGCCTTGGCAACAAGAGTGAAACTCCATCTCGAAAGAAAAAAAAAGAAAAGAAAAGAAAAGAAGACTTAGAGATTAACAGACATGGGTTTGAATCTAGCTGCACGACCTCCTCACAGTGAATCTTGGACAGTGTATTTAACCCTTCTGAGACTCAGTTTCTTTGTCCATAAAATGAAGAGAATTATAATTAACTTCATGTATAATTATAATTATACATGAAGATATTACTAATCATCTCTGTTGTCATCACTGGTCCCAACAAGAGAGTCATTAGTTTCAGGTGTGACAATATGTGACAAGGACTGTATAAGGGTCTGAGATTTGAGCTTGGGTGGAATCCAAGTGTCAAGATACTACTCCCAAGTCCTAAAAACAAACAAATAAAACAAATTGGGGCTCAGAATAAAAGAATTTCAACAGGAATTCAGACATAGGGAAAGAACAATTGGAACTGGCTTAGAAGAAAGGAATAGGGGAAGAAGTCTGGACATTACAATAGGAAGCATGTGTAGAATAAGAGAGGACAGACAGGGTTCATTGGTGTTGGAGAGATAAGCATCCCAGCTAGTGGTCTATATATCCCCAGAGTCTGGATGGGAATGAATCTGCAGGAGTATCAGTAAGATATGGCTCCATCTGCAATGGAAAGAGGTTTTGGGGCAAAGGACACAACTGTTTTTTTCTATCTGTAAGGTCTTTATTGAGCTGTTACTGTACCTGTTTAGGAGACCTTGGGGTCCATACTGTCTGCAAACAATAAAAGAATCAGCCACTTCATAGGGCATGTTTCAATTTGGTCTCTCTTTTTCAAGGGTTATCCTTTTCATACTTTATAAATGTTTAATTTTCTCTTAATAGCCATGAAGTCATTCTCCTTATTAATAGGTACACAACTTTGATTCCTTTTTTTCCTTTCTGCCCATCTATATGTCAAATTACATGACTATTCTCAATAAATACAGGATAATAATATCTTGAATAACCTAAAGAATTAATGCTTTTAAAGATAATATGTAATAGCTTAAAATATCTTTCATGGTATGCAAATATATTTGTTCCTAGTTAAAACCTTTCAATAGGAAAGGTAGGCAATTCATCAGAAGATTGGTTTGATTATATTACCTTTTTTCTTCATCCACTTTTTTCAATCACCCTAATCTTCCACATCAGAATGGCAATTTGACTTCATCTTGCATTCTTGATTCTGATTGATTGGTAATGGCTGCCTAGAGCACAGTGTTCAGGAGAATTCAAAGGTATCATCCAGACACAGGAGCAGAGTCCCATGATTGATTAACAATGTCTGTTATGGGAACGTAAAGGGGAAAGGGCAGAAATTTTGTAGTCTATTTGACAAATCTATTCTGTGTAATGGTATAACCATCTCTTATATCAGTGGTTTTCAAATTACTGGTAGCCATATAGATTTTCTCATCTCAACTGCGGAACACATAAAATGAACTTAGTGACTACTTTCTTAATTCTCTAAGAATGATACATAATTGCTGCTATACTAAATGCATAGGAGAGAAGTTAATTCTAACATACAATGTATAACTTAGGGCATAAAAGCTTAATTATCTCCACGTTGAAAAAGACTGAAGTCCAATAAGTGCCTCAAAGGCTGCTATAGTTGTAAGGAAGGTCCAAGAGGGAAAGATTCCAGTCTTCCATTTGTAAATCAATCAGATCTCTGTTACAGGGAAATGTGTGTGTACATGTGTGTGTGTGTGGGGGGGGTGTTGGGAGTGCATGCATATATATTACATATTTGTATACACAACATACATGCTACAATTCAGAATTCATTTGAAGACTCTTTGAAATTTATTCTCTTTTTTTGTCTCTATATAAATTTCTCCCTATTGTCTGAGATAAATTCAAATGTTTCTGTGTATTTTGCTTTTAATTTCTTTTTTTATCATGAGAGTACAAAAATGTCCTCTGTCTATGAAAATAATGTGAATGTTAGAACAAATGTCATCAACCCTTGAGATAAATAAAATCTGGATTGTGTAGTCAGTAGGAAAATCAGGCCCATAGTATCATGATTAACAGAATCCTTGAAATAAAAAATTGGATGTAAATTTCTATTTCCACCTTAGCACCTGGATCTTGAAACAGCTGCCCCTTTAATCATTTACAAAGTCCTTCAAATAGTGTTTTTCCCTATGTTGTGTTATAGCAAGTATAATTAATATAATTTCAGCAAACCTGTAATAATCTGTGTGTAGATTTTTTGAATTGTGTCTAGTAATGTCTTCAGATATATTGAAGCTACTTAAAGCCGGATCTGCTTTTCGGTGCACATCATTTCAATGCCCCATAAATAATTAATCACAAAAACCTACATTAATGCAGCCCTCAGATCCTAAATTGGGACCTAGAAGCTAAATGAATGCAAAGTTCACATTCTCCAAGAAATATTCATTTTCTCACATGGCTTATTTTACACAATTTATTTGCTCTATATTTAGAAGCGCAATTAGCAGCCCAATATCATATGTGCAGTGTGGAAAAAATTCCTGTTATTGTGAGCACTCTGCATTGCATCTATTTCTTCAATGATTATTTACTAGGCACCTACTCATGCCAGGCACCAGGTTAAAAGGATAGAAGAGTTCAAGGGTGACTATGGTCACAAAAACCTTACAGTTCTGTGAAAGACGTAAATGATTAAACATAAATAAAAATAGTCATTAGAAATTGTGATCAATACTATGAAAGATATAAACTGTTACTTGAGCTAAAAACTAATGAGGCAGGCTCTTTAGGCATGGTTGGACAGTATTTTCTGAGGAAGCCCATTTATACCAGGACTCCCATCTCAGTATGTCCAAGGTGCCTGAGTAAGATCTGTGAGCCTGAGCTCAGTGCAGGGAAGGGTAGAACATGAGGTAGTTCTGCAGACATGGGCTGGGACCTAATTATAAACCATTGATTGGTTTGATGGTGGGCATTACTACAATTAGCTTATTTTCAGTTTTAAAGGATGAGTTTAACAGGAGGATTGTTGGTGGGCAAAAGCAGCAAAAAGAAGATGTACTAAGTGGCAATCGCAATGATTCTGGCCACCAATTGTCTGAAACCTGGGCAGAAGGAGGCATAGAATGGATGACTGTGATCTATATTTGAAAGGTAGAATAAGCCAGGCACGGTGGCTCACACCTGTAATCCCAGCACTTTGGGAGGCTGAGGCTGGTGGATCACCTGAGGTCAGGAGTTCAAGACCACCCTGGCCAACATGGTGAAACACTTTCTACTAAAAATACAAAATTAGCTGGGCATGGTGGCACACAACTGTAATCCCAGCTACTTGGGAAGCTGAGGTAGAAGAATCCCTTGAACCTGGGAGGCAGAGGTTGCAGTGAGCTGAGATCGCACCACTGCATTCCAGCCTTGGAGACGAGAGCAAAACTCCGTCTCAAAAAAAAAAAAAAAAAAAAAAAGGATAAAGAAGAAAGATAGAATGAGTAGAACCTGCTGGTGGATTGTGTGGGGTGGGGAGGAAGGCATGGTAAGAGAAAAGAAGAAATCAGGAGTAACTCTTAAGAAAGTGAGTGGATAATGGTGCCATTTACTAAGATAAAGCTGGGCAAAGGGGCTTATTGGAAAAATTGAGAGTTCTATTTGAATGAGTTAAACTTTAGATGTCTGTGAGACATCTGGACAGGGATTTTGAGGAAACAATCAGATAGATGGGGAGTACTTTAGGTTTGAAATACAAATTTGTGAGTCATTACCATAGAGATGGCATCTAAAGCTGTAGAACTGGATAAAGTCACCTAGGGAAATAATATGGTTAGAGAAATGAAATGGGCTCAGTACTTGGCCCGAAGAACACCAATAGTTAGAGATCTGTTTGAAGAAAAGACTTGCAAAGTAAATAGGGAGTAAGAAACTACGGATTTGGGAAGAGTACAAGGAAGGTGTATTGTCATGGAATCCAAGAAAAGAGTGTTTGAAAAGAGGGGGGAGAGTCAGCCCTGGAGAATGCTCCTGAGAGGTAGATGGAATTGCCAACAATCGGCGCTTCCTGGGTCTGGCAGCATGGAAGACACTCAAGACCTTGAAAAAAGCAGGTCAGTGGACTAGTGTTTTGTGATACAATTGGTTGAGTAAAGATGGGGGATCATTAGTCCAAGAGAATATGGTGAATAGTAGCATGAGCAAAATCTTTAAGGAAATGCAAGATGGAACTGAAATTCAAAATAGGGGTTGAGGATTTGGCCTTTCATGAAAAAGGTAGGAAGGTTCACCCTATTGATTCTCTTTCCTCAATAAACTAAGACACTTTGACCGAAGAGAGGAAATAATGTTGAGATCTGTGGTGAGAGAAGAGGGTTTTTCTGAGAAGCTGTATTTTCCTGTGGACAGCCGTGAGGCAGAGCAGTGTCGAAGAAAGCCTCCCATGCCCACTTGCACTGCCAGAGACCCCCAAGACGTCCAGGGAAAACCCGAGGAGTGCGGTCTAACCTTCCTGATCTATTAACAGGCAGAAAGTACTTACAATTTAAAATCAAAATGGCAAAGACTCAGAAAATAGCCAAATTAATGTATCTCTACAGTGAACGATTTCTTACTTTCAGAGGTCAGGTTTGGAAACTGGAGTCTAGAAAGTGTTTGTTTTTTGATCAGGCTATGAAGAAAAAGTTATTCACCTCCACCTAAACACTGAGTATTATTTGGCTTGAATTCTATTTCTAAACCCTCTGGAAAGTTACATAGGTCTTTTAAGAAACATAGATTTTCAAAAAAAGAAAAAAGTTCTGCTAGAATGGTGGAAACTGATCTTAAACATTTCAATGCAAATTAATTTTTATACCAGCTTTAAGGTTTGAAAGAAATGGGGGCTGAGGGAAAACAAGTGTGAAGGGAAAGAAAATGACTCTTTTCTGACTAGAAAACAATCACCGTTAGACAATTGTGTGGTTTTACACACTCCTGGATCAGAGAACAAACTCGTGTCTACCTGAATATGTGAGGAGCTGGCATTCTTTCTATTTTATAACTCATACCAATCTATGTGGAGCAGAAAGATGCATGAAACAAAAATAGTGATTTTTCTTCTTAGCAAACAGTCAGTAAACCCCAGAGAGCAGAGTGAGAAAGTGTGTGCCACCACAGGATCTAGAATTAAAGTTGAGGGCAAGTATGACTGAGGAAAAGACAAGCTTTAAGGGTTTGTGACATTTTGCTCCAAAACATAGATGGAAAATCAAGGTTAGATCATTCAAAAATGAATACTTGAAATTTGGTGCAGAAGTAACACATTTTGCCTTTGTTTTGAGATTTAATATTATGTAAACATGTAAAATAATGTTACTAGCAATTGTCATCACAGTTCATTTAAAGAATGATTTTACATTTTTACAGAAAATATGTTTTATGTGAAAATACAGTTATCCAAACTATTTGCTCTGTTCTTTGTTTAGTTTATGATAAATTTAGCTATTTATATTATGCCATAAAAATTTATCAGTATCATTTCCCTGATGTCAGCACCTGATATTTGAAAATTAGTAAATAGAATGAAATGTCTCTATAAATCTAAAAGATGTGATGCTTTCCATACAAAACTCTCTGAGGAAGTGGTTTGACCTCAAGTATAGTAGGTATATGTTTAGCTTTAAACACTAGCTCCTATTCTCTATTGCTGTAAGTTTACAGCTCTCAAATTCTTACTAGAAAGAGTTTAAAAGGACAGAGAAGCCAGCTTTTTTTTTTTAGCTTCATGCCTATACAAACTTCCATAAACCAATTGTAATAACTTTGGGAAAAAAAAACTAGCATCTCTGTATGGGATTGTATGCTACTATTAATGAATACAAACAACACTTACTCTAAATGTGTCTGACATCCTGCTGTGTGAAACCACTAACACATTTTATCAAAGTACTTAATCCAGTGGCCTCATGCTTATATGTCTATACATATAACTTAAAATAAAACAAAAGGACATATTTCCTATTCAGGTTCCCTTTTTAATGTCTAGTATGCACAAGGCCCTAAAATTAGTGTTCTAGGAAGTCCCTACCTTCAAGGATATGAACACTTTTGCTATGCATCATGGGCCTAGTAGTGTCTTTCTTCTGCTAAGATTTTAAGGACCAAGGACAGTTACAGCACATCTCTCTGGATCCAAATTACAAATAAGCTTGATAGTTTTTATTAAAATACATGAATCATTATTGCCTAGTTATAACAGCAGAAATGTAATTGAAGAGTAACAGACACTGCTTGGAAAGAATAATTTCATGTTTATAGTATTTTCTAAGAAACAAAACCCCAATCCTAAAATGAAATTATCTTTAAATATTTTTTTCAGAATCATTTCCATAATCCAGGAGAGAATTAGAACATAAGGACATTGCACTATATTCATCTCCTTGGTACTCTGGGGACATTAAATGATAAGAAGAAGAAAGGCAGGAGGATTGGAAACTGTAGCACTCACTACCTTTGGAAGGGCTGAAGGTTGAGGTTTACCTTGGGAGGGTATCCAGTCTTTGGTCTGTTTTGGGGTATGCATCAATAACTGCAGGGAGTGGGGAGGCTGGGCCAATCCTGGGAGGCTAAGCAGAGTGTGGTCTAAGGAGGAGGGGTGTTTGGAGTAGAATTGGAGAGAAGGCAGGAAGGCAAACTAAGTTGTTCTCTGTGAATCATATTTCATTCTGAGCTGTGAAATATCAGAGTTAAGGATGTATTCCTGGAAAATTACTTTCAGGTTGTCTATGAGTATGCTAGCTCTCAGCCAAGCTAATGGGCTACCTTGGTTTTGGAGACCCAGAAGTGGAGAGGACAGATACCTAAAAAATCTCCTTTGGGCAGAGGGAAGACCCAGAGGAAGACAGGCCTCCTGAGTGAGGGAGAGAGGAAGGGCAGTAGGTCTTGGCACTTCAACTAGAAATTGAATTCTTATTTTGACAGACCTATAGGAGCTTCAGTTTACTTGTTCTATGGATATCTGTAGAGATAATACTGTCTATGGATCGCTGTGAAGATTGTGTAAAGTTTTTTGCACATAGTAGATATTCATTCAAGGACTGCTATTAGTGTTAAAGAAAGTGTTCTCTGGTTGTGCCATTAAAGAATTTAAGAAGTGGTTACTTCCACAAGTCTTAGGATTTTTTAGAATAGAGCTATTGAAGGTGCTCTCTGAGCCCTAAACTCAAGAGTTATTGAATTTAGGAAGCGAAGGATAATTTGCAGATGACTGGGTGCACATTGCAAAGAATCGGATGAATGGAGGACTAAAACTTCTATCTTGTTTTGGGAAACAGTATGTTTTGGGAAACATATTCTCCATCAATATGCTAGTTGTGAACAATCTTGATCACAACGTTAGATTCAAAGTAAAGTTAATACCCTGGGGAACCTGAACAAGTTTTAGCACAGCCACATTAAGCACTCGATAAGTAGACCTAATTTTCTCAAGCAAACTAATCTCAAATGGTCGAGTAGCCCAATTTGCAATTGATACTGTTGATTCACATGAATGTGAAAATAACGGCTTAAATCCAAGAACCAAGAAGACAATGATTACTTCACTAAAGTTAAAGTGATAATCAAAGGTCTTTTTCAGACTATTTCCTGGTCTTTTTGGTCAATTAATTGTAGAATTTTTTTAAATGAACTGAATTTGGAATTTGGTCATTGCTGAGTTGTTTGTTTGCACATGTGGTAGCTTCCCTTTGTACACAAGCATTCCTCTATGTACAAAATAGCAGATAATGTTAAGTCTCGTATCTTTTTTTTTTTTTTTCTTTTTGAGACGGAGTCTTGCTCTGTTGCCGGGCTGGAGTACAGTGGCGCCATTTCGGCTCACTGCAAGCTCTGCCTCCCGGGTTCAAGCAATTCCCCTGCCTCAGCCTCCCAAGTAGCTGGGACTACAGGCGTATGCCACCACACCCGGATAATTTTTTGTATTTTAGTAGAGATGGGGTTTCACCATGTTAGCCAGGATGGTCTCGATCTCCTGACTTCATGATCTGCCCTCCTCGGCCTCCCAAAGTGCTGGGATTACAGGCATGAGCCACCGTGCCTGGCCAAGTCTCATATCATTTTTGATTCTGCTCATTTTGAGTTTCTAAATTGGTTGGAAGAGTCAATGCAAGAATACCTAACATATAGATTTTACTATTAATATTTATAAAATAAGGATTAAGAATTACTAAAAGTTACTCTGCCATAACAAACACGCCAAATAACTAAATTTTTAGGCATTGAAAAATCTGACCATGTTTTAGTTTTAAAAAATGATTAAATACTATTTTTTGAATGTTTTGGTTTTGGAAAGTTGCCAAATGGGTTTTGCCAAACACATTTTCCATCATTTCTCAACCCATGTGGGTGTTTTAATGAATGTGTGTACTTATGTTCTGATTAACTTAAACTTAGCTTCACAAAATCTGTTTTAAAAACAATATGACTTCCAAGAAGACTTTAGAACTGTCCTAAGCAGCCACATCTTTACTGTCAAAAAGGAAGTCATAGTTAATGATGAATAAACATAACAGATGTCTAAATTTAGAATGCACATCTAAATCTTAGACCCACATCTTAAATGAGTTGTAACAGCTTTACTAACTGGTGCTTAGTGAAATAAATAAGATTTCACTCTGAGCTATTGCTATGCTATATAAAGTGGAAGGTAAAGTGAAACATCATCCATCTTTCCACGTCCATTAAATATACCAAGAAGAAAGATAGCAATAGTGAAAAGACAGTTCAAACCTTTGCTTCTTTCATATGGCAGACTAAATCTTTAAGTATCTGTCACAATAATTTACAATAAACATATTTTAAAATCAACAGTGAACTGAAAACAGGTGTTAAGGAAAGCAATGGATAGTAATACAAAAGCAATGTGCTCCTAGGGAAAAATTCAGAGCTGGTATGCTGGAATCATCAATGAAACCTGGGCTACACAAGAAAGGGAAACTGAACCTGAGATGGGGAAGAAGTCTGAGATGGTCCTAGGCTGGTAGCAGCCCTTATATCACAACTGAAGAATACCCAAATTCTCTCTAGATAAAAGAATTCCCAAGTTAGGTCCTCAGAATTTTTGCCAAGTAAGTTACGTGATAGAAGATTCAAGTTACTAGAAGATAGAACAAAGTCCTCTGCTATAGGTGTTCACAATATAAAAACAAAACAAACACTGACACAACGAAGCAAGCTACCATAAGTGAAAGTCAGACTAGATTCTCAAACAGTTCAGATATTGAAAATTTCAGATATAGTATAACTATGTATAAAGAGTTTTAAAAATATAATTTAAAAACGAGTAACATTCTGAAATATAACCTAGCTTATTTGAAAAAGGAACCAAATAAAACTTTTAGAAAGTAAAATGAGACTATCGCAATAAAAAAAGCACAACGGACAAATAAAACAAATATAGTTAAGAACAATATTAGTAGAATGTTACACAGTGACACAAGAGATGAGAAAACAAAAGTATAAAATACATGAAAAAAATGATAAACAATATGTGTCAAAATGAGAAAACAAAACTTAGAAATAAATTTAATCACAGAGGTGGAAGAACTATACACAGAAACTGTAAACATTGATGAAATTAAATACACAAATAAATGGGAAGGTACTCCATGCTCACAAACAATGTGAGTGAATTTAATTTCATTTGTTTTGCTTGCTGTACAATTCGATTTCTCTGGTTCATGTTTCTTATTGTTCCAGAAATTTATCACCATTACCTCCTTGACTATTGTGTCTACATTTATTTATTTTTTTCTCACTTTAACACAGATTATTTGTCTCTCTCCTAGCTTTTTTTTTCCTCTTGTTTGTTTTTTCAGTTAGGTCTTTATTTGTTTATAAAAATGCTATTGATTTTTGTATGTTGTTTTTGTATCCTGCCATTTTAGAGAATTCATTTATTAGTTGTAACAGATCTTTCACGGAATCTTTGCTGTTTTTAACATATATAATCACATCATCTGCAAATACAGATAATTTTACTTATTTTCCAATTTAGATGCCTTTTTATTTTCCCCTTATCTAAATTCTCTTGAGAGTACTCTCAGTACTACGTTGAATTGAAGTGGTGGGAGTGGGCATCCTTCCTTGTACTGGATCTTCAAGAACTATTGGTAAGATAATTGTACAGTGTTTGGAATTCAGGCTAAATGAGTAGATTTTAGTTCCTCTTGCCATGATAAACAAAACAAAACAAAAAAAACTATGTGAGTTGATAGATATGCTAAGTTGCTTCACTATAGTAACCTCTTTACTGTCCCATAACATCATGTTGAATACCTTGAATATACACAATACATTTTTTAAGTTAGCATATAATGTATGAATCAAAGAAATAAAAAGTGTAAACAATCTAATGGAAGATTGAAAAACACATAAAAAGTAATGTACAGAATATCTATAAGTGACAAATAAACATATAAAAATGCTCAATATTGCCAGCAACATTTCCAGTAATCAAGGAAATGAAAATTGACAACCTAATAACATTTCATACTAAAATGGCAAAAACTTATAAATCTGGCAATATCAAGCACTGACAAGAATATGGAACAAAGTAAAACACCATCCATTAGTATTAGAGATCTATTAATAGATCTAATACATTGATACAACTATTTGGAAAGCAGTTTGGCTTTATCCTCAGCTTTGCTACCCAATGCATTTATAACATGCAGATATAAAAGTGAACATTTGATAAATACTTTTACTCTGATTCTTTATATTTAATTATTTTATTTTAAAAAGTTTATTGTTGAGGCTTATTAAATTTATTTTCTAATCCAATAATGACTTTTTACCTATCGTTTGAAAAATATTCCTATAGAGAAGCTCATGTGTTACCCTGGAAATAGGTATGAAAATTCAAAATTTTTTATAACTTGATTTAAAACAGCAAAAAAAAAAAAAAAAAAAAAAATGCTGGGCATATGGTGGCTCACGCCTGTAATTCCAGCACTTTGGGAGGCCGAGGTGGGCAGATCACTTGAGGCTAGGAGTTTGAGACCAGTTGGGCCAACCTGGTGAAACCCTATCTCTACTAAAAATACAAAAATTAGCTGGGGACGGTGGTGGGCGCCTGTAATTCCAGCTACTCGGGAGGCTGAGGCAAGAGAATTGCTTGAACCCAGGAGGCAGAGGTTGCAGTGAGCAGAGATTGAGTCACTGTACTCCCACTCCAGCCTGGGCAAGAGAGTGACACTCTGTCTCAAAAAATATAAATAAATAAAAACAAAAATAAGATAAAGTGAAACAGTGAAAAAAGAAAGAATTGAAATGTTCATCATCAGAAATAAACAGATAATTTAGTTTTGATATATTCAAACAAAAAACCACATAACAATGAAAATAAATGAACTATTACAACATAAATTAATTTTAGAAATAGTACTTTGAAGGAAAAAAGCAAGGCAGGAATTAATGCTTACAATATAATTTTTATAAAACTAAAAATCTAATTTTTATGTACATATATAATAAAACTTTTACAAAGCAAAGGAATATTAAATCCAAAATTCAGAATAATTGTTACCCTTAGGGGCAAAGCAATGGGCTCAGAAAGAAATATGCAGGTGGCTGCAGTGGAACTAATTCCTAGCTCAGACTGTGGGTTTATGTCCATGTATTTTATTATTTTACTTTCACCCAAATATGTTATGTATATATCAAATATTGCATAGTGATATCTGAAAAGAGATCTGAAAAATAACTCTTTAATAGTTCAAGGTTTTGAAACCTGAGATGCTATTGAGGTGGATGCTAACACACACATCTTAATTTCCATGAAATAGGTAATAGATGGCAGGGGAGAAACATGCAAGAACTTTCTGCCAGGTTTATTGGAATCTGAATGAGTTACAGAGGGAGGGTGTGTCTCCTGAGACCCTTTAGTGTGGGCTTGACAGTCATATGTTTTCAGTGGTTCAGGAGTGGTCTCATCCAAGGCAATGATTGATGTCTCAGGGATGGATTAGATGACCTCTTTGATCCTCTTCAGCATGTGGTCCTTGGTCGTTCAGTCATGTCCTCCTCTGGGCCTTGACAACTGCATGGCCTCACTCTCTGCCTCTCTTTGTCTCTTACTCATCTACTTTAAATAGTCTGCCAGGAAACACAGACATTTTATTTTCAAGTAAATGGTATCTCTCGGACAAAACATTCATCAGAAGAGGCAAATAAATCTAACAACCTTAATGATCAACTCTGGACTTCGAACTCTTCACCTTCTTCGAGGAATGTCTGTGTCTATAGGGACTGAAAGGCATGCATACTAATATATCCACACTCTGCATTATTATCTAAAAAAAATTTGTGTCATGTGTTTACTAACAAAAAATTAAGACAACTATGTATCTTTGCAAATATATGTGTGTGTATATATATATACACACACACAATTATATATATGCACACATATGTGAAAAATATATGTGAAAAAATAATTTCTAAGGAAGATCCTGCTACTAATAACCATGGTTTTAGGAACTAAACAAAGAGGTAATATTCACATTGCCAGTCTCTTGATGGCATCTTCATCAGTATCCTGATCAAGGAAACCAACAATTCAGCATGCTCAGGCTCCAGTGATGCTTTCAGATGTAGCCTAGGTTTCACCCCAGTCACATGGAGGGAGGATCTGTTTCAGAACCTGAGACCAGCCAAGTGTTCATAACATTTAGTCACAACTACAAGAACATATACTACATTGCCACACTTGATTGTTAGCTTATATCTCTAAATTTCAGGTTTAAGCACACAAGTGTCTTTTTTTTTTCTGTGTTAGTGTTTATTGGGAGCCCACCACTGACCAAGCACTGAGCAAGGCGTTTGCGAGACAAAAAGTCACATGACACCTCACAACAGCCCTGTGAGGTAGGGATGAGTCCCATGGAATAGTCCAGAAAACTGAGGCTCCCAGGTGACCTGCCAGCTCACATGTTAGCTAGTTGTGTGGTACAATCAGGGACTGAATGCAGTTCTTTTTGACTCCAGGTTCAACCCAACTCTTGGTTCCATTGTTTTAGAAAATACAAAAGGTTTGGTCCTAATCTACAGAATCCTTTAACTACATTTCCAGGTTTTGTTTTGTAACCCCCACCATCATAATCTTTTCTGAAGTTTGGAAAAAAATAGGATATAATTTAAAAATTAATATAGGTGTGTAGTTTGAAGTTCGGCAAATGAGTACACATGTTCTGCATGGTTCAGGGTTCCTTTCTACCTGGTTCTCTGACATGGGTCTTTATACTAAACTTTTTAGACTAATCAGACCAATTCAATCCCCCCTTACAGGCACACACTCATTAATATACAGCCTTTCTTTTCATGGAATGTTTTCACTTTGTGATTTAGGGGGACTTTGTGAAGTACTTTCCTTTGGTTTCTTCCCTTTGGAAAAGTTTTGGAGGTCTTTGAATGTCTGCCCAGGTACAATATATAAAATGCTTGTTTTTTAAGGAGAGGAAATTCCAGCTCCATAGAAAACATCTCATTTATTATATAGGATGAAGGGAGGAAAGTGTGCTCAAGGAAATTTTTCTTTTTTATATTCCAATACAAGCTTTTTACAATAAGAATATATTTGTATATTACTTGTGTCATTTAAAATGAATAAATAAAATAGATTAAAGAAGAATTCATTGGAATGAACTGAGACGTGACAGGGTGTATGATGTAACACACATGACCACGATTTCTGATGCTCAAGGCAAATGTCTGTGTTAATTTGCCACTGGAGTCTTACAGCAAACACCGTACTTCCCCCAGCTTATCCTACCCTTGAAGCAGCAGCCAGCTGCGAGACAGATTCCCACCCAGACGGAATGCAGGTGAAACATCAATACAGCAAGAGCCTAGTCAAAAGGGGGCATGTGGAGTTTGGAGAGTTTTAGAAATTTTTATTGCAGAAACACATGTGTTAGTGTAGCAGATGGAAGTAATTATGGCAGGAAAACTTTGCCCTATCTTTAAAACCAAATTCCAATAGTGTGAGCTCAGGCTAATGACTATCCTTAAGGACAAGTAAAATCAGACCACAGTGAATTTTAAAGATTGACTTCACATTGCATCAGGTCATGATCTGCACTGCAAAAACTCATCAAAACTTGATTTTATCTCTACCTCATTTCTCATTGGAAAAGGATGTGACCTCAAACTCACTCATCTAAAATTAATATGCTTTCCTGTATTCTCTGTTACAAACCTCCTCTGACACTGGTACTTTACAGTCTGACTTGTAGAAAGTACTATTATGATTGCTAATGAATAGCATGATTATTCCAAATTGGAGAAATGTGCTTTGTTTGGCTATTTCTTTGCATGTAGTTCTTTCTGAAAGCCTCTTGTTCTCTTTGAAGGAGACAGGCCGATACCTGACATCTCCCTTAATAAATAGTACCATGGGAGTTAAGATGAAGAAAATAAAGCGAAATAAGGCTGAGTGCTAAATCTGTGACCTATAAAACAGTCGGAAGGATTCGAAATAAATCCAGCTGCATGAACTCTCTTGTCTAAGGGTTTACCCTGCAGACTTGGGCACTAAAGTAATTTCTCTCCCTCTTTGGTGTTGTCATACAATTGTCTCTACTTACTGGTGACTCAAAAGAACAAAAAAGAAAACCTGGCTGGTAATGATTATGGATGTACAGAAGTGTGTTAGTTTTACAGTGATATAGTATCACTTGTCAGAGTTCAACACCGTTACTCTCATGGAACCAGTGGCTGAAGGATTTACTGAAAAAGGAGCAGAAGGACTAGAAAAGTATAAAAATTCAGGACCCAGAATGGATAAAGTGAACTGTTCAGTTTCTTAAATCAGTTTTCTGGAAACATACCCAGTGGCTTACTTTCTATTGAAAGATTAACTTGATATTTAAAACTTGACTTTTTAATATTTTGCTATTCTAAGTAGAGAATGATGACCTAAGCCAAAAAAAAAAAAAAAAAAAAAGTCTGACAATTGTATATCAGTTTAAAGCTAGTCAGTTAAAGACACAAGGTCAAATTCCAAAAGTGGTTCAGTCATACCTGTTTTTTCAACCCAACAGTCTTGTTCCTTTGGACCAGCGACTTGACTTCTCTACTTCTCAGTGGACTCATGCAAACACGGGGGAATAATACTTGCCCTACCTATTTCATTAGGTTGATTAAGTATGGAAGTGAGAAAATACATTAGAAAGAATGAATGGAAGTGTATTTTCCTAGGTGACCCAAACAAGTAATGTTTTCCTTAGGTGAGGAAACCTGTAACCCTCATTTTCTTTTATTTTGTAACTTTTATTTTTAATTTTCATGGGTATATAGTAAGTGTATATATTTAGGGGCACATGAGATATTATGATACAGACATATAGAACATAATAACCACTTCGGGGTAAATGGGGTATCCATCCCCTCTAGCATTTATCCTTTCTTTGTGTTATAAACAATCTAATTATACTCTTTTAGTTAATGTAGTTATTTTAAAATGTATAATAAATTATTGTTGACTGTAGTCATCCTGTGTGCTATCAAATGCTAGATCTTACTCATTCTACCTAATTATATTTTTGTACCCATTAACCATCTCCACCACCCCACCACCACCTACTACTCTTCCCAGCCTCTGGTAACCATCATTCTACCCTCTATGTCCATGAGTTCAGTCGTTTTAATGTTTAGCTCCACCACAAATATGTGAGAACTGGGAAAGTTTGTCTTTCTGTGCCTGGCTTATTTCACTTAACAAAACGACCTCCAGTTCCATCCATGTTGTTGCAAGTAACAGGACCTCATTCTTTTTTTATGTCTGAACAGTACCCCATTGTGTATATGTACCACATTTTCTTTATCCATTCTTCTGCTGATGGACACTTTGGTTGCTTCCAAATCTTAACTATTGTGATAGCTATAGTGCTGCAATAAACGTGGGAGTGCAGATTTCTCTTTGGTATCCTGATTTCCTTTCTTTTGAGTATATACCTACTGATGAGATTGCTGGATCATATGACAGCTCTACTTTTAGTTTCTTGAGGAACCTCCAAACTGTTCTCCATAGTGTTTGTACTAATTTACATTCCCAACAACAGCATATAAGGGTTGCCTTTTCTCCACTTCCTCAGTAGCATTTGTTACTGCCGGTCTTTGGGATATAAGCCATTTTAACTGGGGTGAGATTATATCTCATTGTCATTTTGATTTGCATTTGTCTGATGATCAATGATGTTGAGCACCTTTTCATATTCCTCTTTGCCATTTGTATGTTTGTCTTTTGAGAAATGTCTATTCAGATATTTTCCCATTTTTTAATCACATTATTAGATTTTTTTTTCCTATAGAGTTGTTTGAGCTCCTTATATATTCTGGTTATTAATCACTTCTGAGATGCATAGCTTGCAAATATTTTCCCCCATTCTGTGGATTTTCTCTTCATTTTGTTGACTGTTTTCTTTGTTGCACAGTAGCCTGTTACTTGATGTGATTCCATTTGTCCATTTTCGTTTTGGTTGCCTATGCTTGTGGGTTATTACTCAAGAAAGCTGTACCTAGTCCAATGCCCTGGAGAGTTTCCTCAATGTTTTCTTGTACAACCATCATACCTTGAGTTCTTAGATTTAAGAGTTTAATCTATTTTGATTTTATTTTTGTATAAGGTTTCACTAGTCTGCATACGGATATGTAGTTTTTCCAGCATCATTTATTGAAGAGACTGTCTTTTCCCCAATGTATGTCCTTAGCACCTTTGTAAAAAATCAGTTTACTGTAGACACGTGGATTTGTTTCTGGGTTCTCTATTCTGTTCCATCGGTCTATGTGTCTGTTTTTATGCTGGTAATGTGCTATTTTGGTTACTATAGTTCTGTAGTATAATTTGAAGTCAGGTAATGTGATTCCTCCAGTTTTGTTTCTTTTACTGAGGATGGCTTGGTTATTCTGGGTCTTTTCTGGTTCCACATAAATTTTAAGATTTTTTTTTCTGTTTCTGTGAAGAATGTCATTAGTATTTTCATAGGGATTGCATTTAATCTGTAGATCGCTTTGGGTAGTATGAACATTTTAACAACATTGATTCTTCCAATCTATGAACATGGACTTTCTTCCCATTTTTTGTGTGTCCTCTTCAATTCCTTTCATCAATATTTTATAGTTTTTATTATAGAGATCTTTCAATTATTTGGTTAAGTTTATTCCTAGGTATTTTATTTTATTTGTAACTATTGTAAATGGAATTACTTTCTTGATTTCTTTTTTAGTTTGTTTTCTGTTGGTATACAGAAATGCTACTGATTTTTGTATGTTGATTTGGTATCCTACAACTTACTGAATTTATCAGTTCTAATGGTTTTTTTAATGAAATCTTCAGGTTTTTTCCAAGTATAAGATAATATCATCTGCAAACAATGAGTAAAATGGGTAAAAAGTAAAATTTGGTGTTTCCATATGATAATACACTGTTCTGAGGTGACTGAAAATTATGGTGTAGTAAAACATGTATTTACCTTGTAAAATGTGTGCGATATATTGCAGATGAAAAAATAAAGTATACTTTTATTTACATGAAGCAAAAACAACCAAACAAAAATCTCTATCTCTTTGCTTGAATATACTGTCACATAGCAAACCTGTATCAATGATAGTGGTTAGGAGGTGGGAATCTGGCTGATATTTTTTCATTGCATTTCTTGTGTATGTTCTTAGATTTTTTAATTAAGCATTTACTGTTTGTTTGGGTGAAATGTTATTATAAATAGAAAACAGATTATAAAATAGAAAATAGGATTGATTAGAATAGTATTGAACTTTTTAACCAAACTTGCTTTTCTCTTTGTTCTTGAGTTTAGATGATTGAATCACAATCTACTAAGTCCTGTAAATTAAAAGGCAGGGATTCACCTCTCTATCTTTCTTCACAGCTCACTTCCTATAGGCTGTTACTGCATTCACTCTGTCGCTGTAATTTATCTCTTTTCTGGCTCCTCTTTTTCCTGCTACTATTGTCTTACTTTAAGCCCCCATCACTTGTGACCTGATTAACTGAAAACTTCTCAAATTATCTTCCTCTCACCAGTCTTTGCTCACTCTATTTCATCCTCTGTTACATCTATTTCCCTAAAAGTCAAATCCAATCATATGTTCCTCCTTTTATAAACTTTTATTGATTCCTGTTGTTCACTAAATAAACTACAAACATCTTAACATGTTCATATTAAACTCTTAACTAGCCGGGTGCAATTTTAGTCTCACATACTGCACTCCAATGACTGATTCTATGCTGTATTTATAGTAAATCCTAAAATGTGTGATTTGGCGTATAAGACCTTGCTTTTATTCATAGCTTTGTTATTGCATGGAATAGCCCCTTTCTCTTTGTGATCTAGCAACAGTTCTTTTACCCTTCTGCGCACAGCCTTCAGTTTCCTTGTCCCAAACTTTCTTTTCTTTCCCTTCTATGTCACCCCTGTCCCTTGAGTCATTACTAGTTTCACTTGTGTCCTCTTACAACTTTATTTTATAACAAACTATGAAAAAGTTTGGGGTTACATTATTTATATATTCATCCACTTAAGGATAGTTTTGAGTGCCTGTGTGATGATAGACACTGTGCAAGATGGTGAGAGTAAAGCAACAAGGAATACAAAGGCTTCAGATGCTGTCCAGTGGGACTTCTCATTACCAAGGAGAGGATGGAGCCGCATTCTACAGTTTGCTGTCCATTTTTTTCAGTGCTTTCACTTTGACTAATCAAAAACATCAGTCTCTGCCTTTCATTAGGGCCATGTAATTTCAGTCTGAGGCTCTTTAGCCATACACTCAGCACTGAATGGTCAAGCCCAGGCAAGTTCCTGATGGCTAGTCATCATCTTCCAGCTCCCAGCTTCTGTTGAGCTTCTAGTCTGACCCCACAGTGTTATCCTGTTTCTGCCTCACTCTGTCTTCAATCTAGTTAGTTCACTTCTACATCCCATATTGGTCCATTCTGACAAGGTTTCCCATAGGCTGGTAGAAAATGCCGTATCTAAGCTGGTAGAAAATGCTGTATCTAAGAATTGCTTTCTGTTCAAAGTGCTGACTTTAACTACTTGCCTAAAATATAAAGATTTCAACAACATACATTTTGGTATATTTAAATTATATTTTATTTAATTTAATAATGTAGTAATAGATATGTAAATCATAAATTATGCTAAATAATATATTAAGTAAGCAATTAGGAAATAATGTTAATCTCTTTTCTAACATTCTATGAAAAAATTTTATTGCAACTTTTCACCAACATATTCAGTATCAGTGCATCATTAGAGAACTTTTTGCCTTGTAAAATATATTCCAAAGCATGTGATGCTCTTTTCTGCTTTTAACTTAGACAAGAACAAATTTTGAAACTAGATATAGGGTTATGACTAAAAATATTACGCCATAAAAATCTTTTTCTATGTCAATACAGGTGTTTTATCCTGAAGGATATATAAGGCATAGCCAGTTATTAATTTAATTTTTTAAATTTACATTTTATAACTTAAATTCTTATGTATGTAGTTTTGAGTTTCTTTGGATGCTGAAATCAGAACTGAGATGAGAATGTGGATGGAGGTTGTTTATTATGCAGATGATTCTAGGAAGCAGGAGTGAGAGAGCAGGGAGAGTGAATGAGGAAAGGAGAAAATATGAGGCCTGGAGAAAAAGATACAGAGGTTGCTGCTGTGGGTAGGAGGAGTTGGACTAGAAGGTAAGTTCTTCCAGGACCTCTTGTAAAGCATCCAGAATATCTTCCAGAATTGTTCCCTTGAAGGCTGGAAGGCTAGAACATATATTCCCTGACTTCCATTTCCCATCTGTTGAGGATGACCCTGGGGGCTTTTATTTCCCATCCCTTGGACTTCAAGGATGCTACTGTGCAAGAATCCCACTTGCCCCCAAAGCCTTGGAAAAGACACTGTGGCAGAAAGCCAGTGCTTGAGATAGGACCCTGTAAGCACGAGGAGTGTCTGCCCTCCCAAGATATTACCAAAATGAGAACTGGATTGAGCTGATGTGATGCAGGCATATTCACAATAGTCAAATGAGCCAAATAACATCCTTGCTTACTTTCTATCCTTTTTTTTTTTTCTAATTCATTGTTTCATTGTAATCTTGGTCTATTTTCTGAATAGTTTTTTCTCCATTTTTTTTTTCATCTTATAGCTCTTTCTTGGTCTCTGATTTGTCCCTTGTGGGTTTCTGTTGTTGCTTCCTCTTTTTAGTACCCTACCCTTGATCACACTGCCTTCTCCTAAGGCTAATATTGTGTGCTTCATTGTTAAGTCTTTAATGCCTCCCGACCTGCTATACAAAAAACAAATTCACTAAGCATACAATTTTAGATATTTTGCAAATTTAAACATATATATAATAATTGCACATATTTAGGGAGAACACATGGTATTTTCACAAATGCATACAGTGTATAATGGTAAAATCAGGGTATTTAGGGAATCTGTCATCTCAAACATTTATTATTTCATTGTGTTGGAAACATTTCAAATACTCTCTTCAGGCTATTTTTAAATACACAATAAATATACAGTTGGATAGAAGGAATACATTCTAATGTTTGCTAGCATACTAGAGTATAGTCACTCTAGTATGCTAGCAAACATTAGAATGTATTCCTTCTATCCAACTGTATCATTTATACCTATATACCAACCTCCCATCATACCCCTAACACATTTTCCAACATCTGGTACTATCATTCTACTCTCTACCTCCCTAAGATTAACTTCCTTACCTCCTACATATGAAGAAAAACATAAAATATTTGTCTTTCTGTGTCTGACTTATTTTACTTAAGATTATAACCCCCAGTTTTGCCCATGTTGCTGCAAAGGACAGGATTTTATTCCTTTTATAGCTAAATAGTATTCCATTATGTGCGTGTGTGTGTGTGTGTATAAAATTTTAAAAAATGTATTCATTCATTGATGGATACTTAGATTAATTAAATATCTTGGCTATTGTGAATAGTGCTGCAATAAGCATGGATGCACAGGTATCCGTTTGATATACTGGTTTCCTGACTTTTGAATAAATACCCTGTAATGGGATTGCTGGAACGTATGTTAGTTCTATTTTTAGTTTTTTGAAAAAATTCCATACTATTTTTCATAATGGCTGCATTGATTTACATTCCCACCAACAGTATATAAGAGTTCCCTTTTCTCTACATCCTCACCAGCATTTACTATTTTTTTTTCTTTTTTATGATAGCCACTCTAACTGGAGTGAGATGATATCTCACTGTAGTTTTGATTTGCATTTTCCTGATGATTAGTGATGTTGATCATTTTTTCATATACCTGCTGAGCATTTATATCTCTTCTTTTGAAAAATGTCTATTCAGATCCTTTGGTCACTTTTTAATGGAATTATTTGTTTTTGTGCTGTTGAGTTTGAGTTTTTTTATATACTGTGTATTATTCCTTTGTCAGATGAATAGTTTGGCAATAATTTCATCCATTCTACAGGTTGTCCCTTTGCTTTGTTGATTACAGGTTGTCTCTTTGCTTTGTTGATTATTTCCTTTACTGTGCAGAAGCTTTCAGTTTAATATAGTCCCATTGGTTTGTTTTTGTTGTCTGTGCTTTTGAAGTCTTAGCCAAAAATCTTTGCCTAAACCAGTATCCTGAAGCATTTTCCCTGTGTTTTCTTCTAATAGTTTTATAGTTTCTGGTCTTAGATTTAAGTCTTTAATCCGTCTTGAGTTTACTTTTGTATATGATGAGACATAGGGGAGTAGTTTCATTCTTCTATCTATGGATGTCCAGTTTTCCAGAAACTACACCATTTATTGAAGAAAGTATCCTTTCCGCAATGTAGGTTCTTGTTGCCTTTGTTGAAAATCACTTGGCTATAAATTAATTTATTTCTGGGCTCTCCATTCTGTTCCATTGTTCCGTATGTCTATTTTTATACCAATACTACTGCTTTAGTTACTATAGCTTTGTAGTATATTCTGAAGTCAGATAGTGTGATGACTTTATCTTTCTTCTTTATCCTCAGTATATTTTGGCTTTTGGTATCTTTTTTGGTTCCATATTAATTTTAGGATTTTTTTCTATTTCTGTGAAGCATGTCATTGATATTTTGGTAGAGATTATATTAAATCTGTAGATTGCTTTGGATAGTATGGTTGTTTTAACAAAATTAACTTTTCTGATCCACAAACATGGGATGTCTCTCCATGTATGTGCCTCCATTTTCTTTCATCAGTGTTTTGTAGTTTTCCTTGTAGTGAAAACTACACTTCCTTAGTTAAATTTATTCTTAGGTATTTTTTTCTTTCACTTCCTTGGTTAAATTTATTCTTAGGTATTTTTTGTAGCTGTTATAAATGAGATTACTTTTGATTTCCTTTTCAGCTAGTTTGTTATAAGTGTATAGATTTTGTATCCTGGAACTTTACCAAATTTGTTTATCAGTTCCAGCAGTTTTTTGGTAGAGTCTTTAGGTTTTTCTATATATAAGATCATATCCTCTGCAAAAAGGGACAATTTGACTTCCTTTTTTCCAATTTGGTTGCTTTTTCTTTATCTCTCTGGCTAGGACTTCTAATGCTATGTTTAATAAGCATGGTAAAAGCTGGTATCCTTGTTTTCCTCCAGTTCTTCCATAAAAGCCTTTCAGCTCTTCCCCATTTAATATGATGTTAGCTGTGGATTTGTCATATATTGTCTTTATTATATTAAGATATATTCTTTCTATGTCTAATTTATTGAGAGTTTTTATCATGAAGACATGTTGAATTTTATCAAATCCTTTTTCTGCACATGTTGAGATAATCATGGTTTTTGTTCTTCAATTTGTTAATGTGATGTATCATGTTTTTGATTGATATATATTAAACCATCGTTGAATTCCTGGTATAAATCCCACTTGACCATGTTGTATTGTCTTTTTGATGTGTTGTTGGATTTAGTTTGTTCATAATATACGAAAGATTTTTGCATGTATGCTCATCAGGAATATTGGTATATAGCTTTATTTTTTGTTGTGCCTTTCTCTGATTATGATATTATGGTAATGCTGACCTCTCAAATGAATTAGAAAGAATTCCCTCCTTTTAAATTTTTTGGAATAGTTTGAAAAAAACTGGTGGTAGTTCTTTACAGGTTTCGTGGAATTCAACAGTAAAGCCATCCAGTCCTTGACTCATTTGTGGAAAGACATTTTATTAATAATTCAATCTCATTATTGGTCTGTTTATGTTTTCTATGTCTTTTTGTTTCAATCTGGGTGGACTGGATCCTAGAATTTATTCATTTCTTCTAGGTTTTGATCTAGGTGTTTTTTCTAGTGAACAACTATAGACTAACAAATTATATAGTTAATCATTTTTTCTACTGATCCTTAGTATTTTTGTGGTATCAGTTGTAATGTCTCCTTTTACATTTCTCAATATATGTATTTGGGTCTTCTCACTTTTTTCTTTATTAATCTAGCTGTTAGTCTGTCAGTTTTTCTTATTAATTCAAAAAATCAACTTTTGTTTGCTTGATCCTTTGTATCATTTTTTTTGTTTCTGTGTCATTTAGTTCTGCTCTGATCTTTAGAATCATAATCCTGAAAGACACAATCCTGAATGTCATCATCCCAAATGTTGAAATTTCTAAAGATCAAATTCCTGAAGTAAAAATCCCTAAAGTTTACAACCCTTAATGTCTACAATCTCCAATATTACAATCACATGATAATTGTATCATGTTAGGTGGAGCTTTATTATTTTCTTTATGAAGAAGAAAATGAATTTCAATTCAATCCCCAAACCATGTTGAGAGACTTGGAATTAGATGTGATGAAGACTTCTAAAATGGAATTTTAAGGTGTTATTAAGTTTATTTTTTCCACTCTGTCCAATGCATTTGGCAGAAAAGTCAGATGAGTAGATTGGCCATGCAATATGACAACAATGAAAACTTAAGTTTAAAAAATGCTTCATTTTCTGAATTGGCATATTTTTCAGAAGATGACATTTCAGGAGCTTTTAATGAAGTAAGCCATATTTGCCTGAAGGAGTCAATGAAGTTACTGACTGGTTTGAAAATACTTATGTGCATGATGGGATAAGAAGACACTTAGGCAAAGATGTTGCTGTTCAATAACCAGTAATTTTTTCTGCCATATTTGTAGTCTGCAGATGAGTGCATATAGAATCTTTCCACATACCTGAAACAACATAGAAGCTTGGCATAGAAGATGGAAAAAATCTAATGGGGAACACTCATGTCAGTATATATTGAATCACAGAAGAATTCCAAAAGAGCATCACCATGTAGAAAATGAAGTGAATGTATTCTCCAAGGAGAGCTATGTCCTTTAAAATAAAAAGAAGCTATTCATTGTAATGCAAGACTTCAAAATATAGTTAATTAACATGAAAGTCAGCCAGTTCTTGTGAACCATCTGGGTGTCGTTACCTATGATCTATTTATCCCTGTAATATACTTTTTCATATGTCTAAATTTATTTTTAGTTTATTTGTCCCTTTTATTTTATTTTTAATTTTTTCAGGGTTTTTTTTTTACTATTTTTAATGGTCAATTATGCTATGTATTTCATCTTCACATTATTTCCAGTATTGGAGGTACAAATCTGTAGGTTTTTAGAGAGTTCTAATTCATTTATACATTTTTTGCAACTGTGACTCTATGAAAATGCACTAACACAACATTGACTTTGTGTCTAAGTAAAAACACTGCAATTTCCTCAGTAAATGAATGGAATGAATCTGTAGTTGTGAAAGATAAAAATATCTTGAGATCTTGTCTCTTTGAGTGACTAGTGTGGTGGTGATGCAATGGTGACCCACTAGAGTTTTTCATCAATTTCATCAAAAGACTTAACTTGCCACAAAATTTCAGATGACTCAGTTATAATGCACAAAATTACCGACCATATTGATATGAATTTATACATTTCACTTTTTGAGCTATTTCTTTGTAAATATGGTTTATCTGTTCATAACTGTTATGCCCACATGATTATCATTGGTATAACTGAGTGGTTACACTTGCAAAAATATTTGCTATTATTGCTTAATTTATTGGCCTCTGAAGTGGTCTGTCATGTTCTTATATGATTCTCAAAGAAATCCCCTTTTACAGTGTAAATAAATATTTTTTTAAAAATTTAAATTATTGTTCCAGAATTATATTTTTGGGATTTCGATCTTTTGGAATTTCAAAATTCATAATTAAGATGTTCAGGATTGTGTCTTTCAGGATTGTGATCACCTCCAGCCTTTATTATTTCATTCCTTGTACTAATTTGGTGTTTGCTTTGTTCTTTTCTAGTTCCTGAGGTGCATCATTATGTTGTTTATTTGAAATCTTTCTACTTATTTGATGTAGGCATGTATTGCTATAAACTTCCCTCTTAGCATTGCTTTTGCTGTATTCCATAGGTTTTTGTATGTTGTATTTTGATTTTCCTTTGTTTCAAGAATTTTTTATGTCCTTTTTAATTTCTTCATTGGCCCAGTGTTTGTTCAGGAGTATGTTATTTAATTTCCACGTATATGTACAGTTTCCAAAATTCTTCTTGTTATTGATTACTAGTTTTATTCTATTGTGGTCCAAAGAGACACTTGATAAGACATCAATTTTTTTATTATTATACTTTAAGTTCTGGGATACATGTGCAGAATGTGAAGGTTTGTTACATAGGTATACATGTGCCATGGTGGTTTGCTGCACCCATCAGCCCATCATCTACATTAGGTATTTCTCCTAATGCTATCCCTCCCCTAGCCCCGGACTCCCTGACAGGCCCTGGTGTGTGATGTTCCCCTCCCTGTGTCCATGTGTTTCATTGTTCAACTCCCACTTATGAATGAGAACATGTGGTCTTTGGTTTCCTGTTCCTGTGTTAGTTTGCTGAGAATGATGGTTCCCAGCTTCATCCCTGTCCCTGCAAAGGAAATGAAGTCATCCTTTTTATGGCTATGTAGTATTCCATCCCTGAACTTTCAGTCTATATGTGCCTTTATAGGTGAAGTCACTGTCTTGTAGGCAGCATATAGTTGGGTCATGATATTTTTATCCATTCAGCCAGTCTCTGTCTTTTAATTTGGGAATTTAATCCATTTATATTCAAGGTTATTATTTATTGGTGATGTCTTATTCTTTTCATCTTCTTAATTGTTTTCTGGTTGTTTTGTATATCCTCCACCCCTTTCTTTCTCTCTTATTGTTTATAATTATAGTTGGGTGGTTTTTTGTAGTGGTAACTTCTGACTTCTTTCTCTTTCTCATTTAGTATCTGCTTTACCAGTGAGTTTTGCATTTTTTTGTGTGTTTTCATGATGGTAGATATTTTCCTTTTGCTTCCAGAAGTATGACTCTCTTAAGCATTTCTCATTAGTCTGGTCAAGTGGTGATAAATTTCCTTAGTTTTTGCTTGCCTGGGACTATTTCTCCTTTATTTCTGAAGAATAGCTTTGTTGGGTGTATTGTTCTTGGTGACATAGTATTTTTTTTCTTTTAACACTTTCTATGTATTATCCCATTCTCTTCTGATTTGTGAGGTTTCTGCTGAGAAATCCAATGTTATTTGTATTCTGTCTTTGTCTTTGACTTTTGAAAGTTTGACTATAACGTGCCTTGGAAAATAATTTTTTGGGTTGAATCTATTTGGACATCTTTGAGTTTCCTGAGAAACTCTGGGTGTCTATATCTGTTAGAATACTTGGGAAATTTTCTGTTATTATTTTGTTAAATAGGTTTTCTCTGCCTTTGTCAATCTCTTCCTCTGGAACTGCCAAAATTCAGAAATTTGGTTGCTTTATGATGTCCCATATGTTACCTAGGCTTTCTTCATTCTTTTTAATTATTTTTTGCAAATCCAACTGAATAATTTTAAAGGACCTGTCTTCAAGTTTAGAAATTATTTCCTCTGTTTGGTTTAGTCGATTCTTGAAACTCCAAATTGTATATTTCATTTATTGAATTCTTCAGTTTCAGGATTTCTGCTTGGTTCTTTTTTGTAATTATTTATCTCTGTTGAGTTAATTATTCAAATTATGAATTGTGTTTCTGTCTTATTTGTATTGTATATCTATGTTCTCTGTATCTCACTGAGTTTCTTTAATATCATTCTTTTGAATTCTTTTTTCGGGTATGATATAGATTTTGTGTTTGTTGGAATCTGTTGCTAGAGAATTATTGTGTTCTTTTTGAGGTGTCATGTTTTCTTGCTTTTACATGTTTCTTGTATCCTCATGTTGATATCTGTGTATTTGGCATAACAGTTACTTCTTCCAATTTTATGCATTGGCTTTTGTAGGGAGACTTTTTCCTATAGAGACTTTTTCCTATAATGTAGTTTCTGTATGAATGGTTTTTGGATGTAATCAGCATCAGTAATTTCTGTGACTTCTGCAGTGGCTCAGGCTGCAGTTCTTAGTAGATGCTGTGATGAGGGTTTGCTGGGCACAGGGATGCCAGGTGGGATGGTCCTCAGGCACCAGTGGTGGCAATGGCAAGCAGGGATGCTGGTCCTTGAGCCACTGGATGGCATACAGTTGAACCGGGGTAGCAGGGCAGGTCAGGCCAATTTTTGGGCCTCCAGGCAAATTGCTTGGGTGCCAGCAGTGGCAGCAGAGGACTGGCTGGGCAGGGAGTTCTCAGGCCCCTAAGCAGCATATGTGAGGTCCACAATGGTAGAGTAGCAGTGGCAGGCCAGTATTTAGGCTGTCAAAAGTCAAGTGAGGGTGCCAATGGTGGTGGCAGCGGGCTGAGAAGGTTAGTCCCCATGTCTCCATGTGGCATGTGTGAGTATATGCCAGCAGCAGTGGTGGTAGCAGGCAGGTTGGTCCCATCCTCAGATCCCCAGAAATTGTACATGGATGCCAGTGGCAGGAGGCAGGGTGGGCTGATCCTGAGGCCCCTAGATAGTGAGTGTGAATGCCAGCAGAGGTAAGCGGGGTGGGCCTTTCTTCCCATCCCCTCAATGGTGTGTGTGTGTGTGTGTGTGTGTGTGTGTGTACCAGTGGCAGTGAACAGGGCATGATGACCTGCAGGCTCCCAAGTGATGCATGTGGACACTGGCAGGGGTGGTATTGAGTGGGGCAGGTCTGTTCTCAGGAACCCCTAGATGGTGTACATGGCTTCAGGCTGTGGTTGGCAGGGTAGGTCAATTCCCAGGCCCCCAGCACACTGGGGTACCAGTTGTGGTTGTGGTAGGTGGGACAGGCCTGAGTTTAGGCCCCCAGAAATGTGCATGGGTGCCTCCATGGCAGGTAGGGAAGGTCATTTTTCAAGTCCCCAGATGGTGTGCACCAGTGATAGTAATAGCAGGTGGCATGGGACTGTTCTCAGGCCCCTGGATGTCATTTGCAAGTGCCTATGGCAGCAAGACAGTCAGGCCTGTACTCAGGCCCTGGGTTGGTGCCCAGGTTGGTGGGTCCCCAGTTTCCCTGAAGGTATGTGTAAGTGCACAGTAGCCCTGCTGCTGGGGACTGATGGAGATGCTGTCAGTGGCAGCAACCTCAGATGGGCAGCTCTCAGGCTCTGAAGAGTATGAGCTTCAGCTTCCTTTGTCTTGCTGGCAGCCTCCTCTGTACACAGTCCCATCCATTCCCTAGGGTACAGGACACTGCATGGTCTAGAGTGCTGGGGACCTGGCTGCACCACTGGATCCAGCTGGTGTTGCAATGCTACAGCCATCTGGGTGGATGTAGGGTATGTTAGCAGGGCTCCCAGGATATAGAGATGCAGGGGCTCTTGAACCCCAGAGTATATAGTCTGGTAGGGTCTGAGCTCTCAAAATGATGCCCTACAGCAGTACCTTGGGTGCAGGGTAATGTGGGACCTGGTGTAAACTTTTTCTCTGGGACAGTGCCATTGTGTGGATTCCATACAGTCTTTTTGTACTAGTCTCAGGGCCTGTGTGGACCAAAGGGCTCTCCCTGTAGCTAGGATTGCAGGAGTCCATGGTGGGAATGTGGAATCCTGGGGATCTCTCACTTTCATTTCCCTACGCTGGGACGTTTCTTGTGGCTTGGAGCCAATCCAAGCCAGGCTGGCTGCTTCACTTCCCTCTCTTTCCATGCCACAGAGGTTTCCTGTCACTTCCCCTCTGAATTCTAGTGTTGTCTCTTAGACACTCTATTCGATATGTGATTACCCACTGTCTTCGTTCTTTGTGGAGGAGGCAAGTGCCAAGTGCCTCTAGTCAGCCACTCCGAAGACACCTCTATTTTCCCAGTTTTCCTCTGCTCCTTTCATTGCCTCCCTTTCAGACAAATTTTCTTCACCTATTTATTTAAACTTGGATCTTTCTTGTTAGAATCATTCCATAAATGTCGGTGATCTTTGGTGACTCACTCGGTCATAATACCAAGACACTAAAAAGCTGATTGAAAGGTCTGTGTGTGGGAGCAGAGATTTCAATGAGTGAGCTTTATTGTAAGATGGTCGGGCAGGGATTTTGACCATTTTCATGGGGACTTCAAATGTTGGAACCTCAGATTCTTTTTTCTTTCTAACAGTTTATCCGGAAATGAATTGCCTAACTTCCTCTCTTGGGTCTTTAGCTTGGCTGCCCATATTCTAGGAGTAAAACAGAGGAAATGATGCTTGAGGTTTCAATGTGCATTGAGTTTACTTTCTCTTACTGTTTCTTTTTCATACTAGTACCTCAACTCCATGCTCCACTGTGCCTGGGATCCATAGTCTGGTGACTCCATGGTTTAGTTTCTTCAGGAAATAAGCCTCTATTTTCTTAGCAGGGTGAAGGAAGCATCATCACCTTGCTGGGCATATGGTATAGGGGTGGAGAAATGGCAAGATCTGACAGCCTACCTGCTTCTTACACAGACTTTCAGTTAAATTTCCTATCTTCAGCCCCACTTTTCACTCTCATTTTCTATGGAAGAAAGCAAGCATCTCAGTCCTGGTTTTTCCTAATATTCTTTTACTTGAATAGACTTGCTTCTCATTTATATACCTTTCTGATGCACTTGGGTTCAGCTTTCTTTTATCTCCTAAGTCATGCACTTCTCACCCATCTTATTTCTATTTCCAAATGTTTGTCAGCATCTCTCATTCACTTTTGCCTTCTCTTTCATCCCCTTTGTATTTGCAGGTATATACCTTTTCAATTTCTTTATAGTAATTTTAAAGGGCCTTCAGAAATATAAATACACATGATCATGTCACCATACTCAACCAAAGGCCCCCCAAAACTATGTCTGTTGTTTTTGCTATTTACATTTTTGTTGCTAATTGTCATTGAATAAATGCATAAAATAATAATTCACAAAACCAAAGAGCAGTGAAAAGGAGATGACATTCATCAATTCTTGTCTTTATGACAACCACAGTGCTAGGTGCTACTGACATAAAATCTTATTGGATCCTTACAATCTCTATGTTGTTCTATGATAGTCATTTTATAGATGAGGAATTGAAGCTTATACAAATTAAGTAATTTGATGAAGATTATGAAGCCAGCAAGTAGAAGAACTGAGACTTCAATTTAATGCTTATGTCCTTTTCAGTGCATCAGTGATTGTCCCTAAAGTAATTCCCCTCAAATGCAAGGAAATGTCTCAGAAGGTCAATGTATACACCACTATTGATGACAATTGATGACAAATATAAGCATCTGATCATTCCACAGATATTAATGACTATTTTTGTGCTAAGTACTATATCAAATATTTACTTTTTAAATTATGCCCTGTATTCCTTTAGAAATGACTCTTATCTGAAGGATTTGGTAGTGGGGGCAGGGGACAATCTATCTTGATGACTTTTGCTGGGGCTTACAGCTTGAGTTTGTTGTTTGACTCTTTTATATCAATTGAGTTGCTGTATCATAAGGCATTCTTAGCAAGCCAGGAAAGCAAGATGTTATCACCCCTAGAGGTCTAGCTGAGGAACAAGAACCTTAGATGAAAGCAAAGCTTTAACCGTACGGAATACAGACTTGCTTGCTCTGATCCCAGAATCAGAGGACCATGGTCTCAAGCTGGAAATGAAAGGAGGACTGAGATCATGTCATCCAGTGCCTGGGGGTATGGTGAGACAGGGCTGGGAATGGAAATGTGAGGTGGACTCACTTATCATATTCTTCATTAGCTGGGTTTTGCCCGAGGTAGTGAGGGGTGTAATGTGCTAGGTTTTATGTTTGTCACTTGTTCAGCTCTGTTTATCCACTGGCTCAGTTACTTGACACACACACTTACGGAATGAAGCTTTTTTCTCTTGGGCCCCTCCAAGCATCTTCAGTCTCAGCTGCCTTAAGAATGCACAGATGAGGCTAGCATCCATCCTTTTGGATGTGATAACTCAATGGCCCTGTGAGGAAGAGCTCATACGACTTTATCCTTATCACAGTGATGTATTCCTATCTCAGCCATTTTTCTTTTTCTGTGTCTTGCAATATCACTTCCTTACCTTATCCCTAACACATGTGAACACACATAGACACACACATACAACAAATCAAAATGTGTTACCCCAAGATGCCCAAATTCATGTGTAGCAAACTAAATCTTTTCCCTAATGAAAACACTTCCATTTTCTTCAAGTAAAATCCTTCTGAGCAAGGCTGTATGTCCTCATTTCCCTTTTATTTAAGGAAGACTTCACTCAGAATAGAGCCTTTTTTTTTTTTATCTTCGATGAATATGCTGCTGGCTTCCAAAATGCATTAGAGCTTTCATTATGATTTATAAAGACACACATGCACAAATATATGTAATATATTAAATAAAAACTGTAATACACTTCTATAGACATTGTTATGGCATAGAGTTGAGAGGACTAATTTTATTTGACACTGTCTTTTAGCAGAGACAAAATAATGTTACACTCAGCATGCCATGTGTAAAGAATTCAGGGTAGAGAGGATAAAAATATACAAGAGTAAGAAGCCATGACAGCATAGTCTCATGACACGCTGCTTTATTATTATTCTTAATCAGAATATTGATAGGGTGGGAAGTATTTTGGCACTAAAATGTCCATATAATTATCAGCTGCATTATATATATATAATATATATATATTATATATATAAAAAATATATATTATATATATATATAACAAGTGTTCAACATGTTTTGTATTGAAATATTTTATTTAGGATGTATTCCTTCCCACCCACAGAAACAAGAGGTGGAGGGTCGGGGGTGAAGCAACAAAATAAAATAAATGCTCTGACTGAAGGCATTGTTTCACCAAACGTTATTAAGCTGATAAGGAAAGCTGATATAAAGTTCAGTGTAACAGGACTGGGGATGCTCAGGGGACGGAAAGTCAATTATGGTCTTTTCACCTTTGTATTGTTGTGGCTAAATGCAGAGCAGGTTTGGAAGTTAGAAACTGCTGATGCTGTGTGAGGCCAGTTGAGCGATCTCTGTGAAATGATTTATGATGGTCTTAAATCCATTGTTAGTGGGCAAGAGCCACATTTCATGTGTGATTGGTGTGAGTAGTTCTTCATGACAGTTCCTCTATCGGTTTTCCCCATTTTTGCATCATTATTCGACATTTTCTAGGAACAGTTCTTTCACTCCCTGAGCAATAAAAGCAGCTCTTGTTATTGATTGTCGATAATGTGCCAAGCTCTGTTTTTGATACTTGGCTCACATTATTTCTAATCCTTAAAACAATCTGGCAAAATGGACATTATCTCCATTTTACCCAAGAGGAGACTGGGGTTCAAAAAAATTAAACAATATAACTAATAAGTGATTGATAGAAATAGATTTGATTCACGTCCATGGGACTCAGAAGCCTGTGTTTTTCTGCTAATTTAACACATAGTCCCTTTATAAATTCAACCTGGATACTCACAGATTCTTTCTTTCTGTAATGACTCCAGTGAAATGCCATGATTTTGATCCTGGGGGCCTTGGGACCATGACCACTCAGATGCTTCATGAATTTCTTCAGAAGCGTTTAGTAAAATTAGTAAAGGTAGAACATGTATTTTTTTAAAAAATAGAAATCCACAGTTCAAGTAAAGATGAAGAAATCTAGCTGACCCCAAAGAAACTTAACTTTTGTTTTTTTTAAAAAAAGAAGAAAATAATGAGTAAAAGTTAGTAAGAGGGACTTGCAAAACTGTAGAAAAACTGGAGCAAACTGAGAGAAGGGTAACCAAAACATTGAGTGGCCCTAAAATCAAGAAGCAGAAGCAATTGGTGAATAAATCAGGAGTGGATAGGCAGAGAGTTGATCTCGCTCATCAATACTTGAAAGGAGAACTATGGGAGAGAAAGTTAACCTTCCACATATAAGGTGGAAGAATGCGGACCTCGGAAGATCTAGCTCAGGGATAAAGGGGAACTGTCTCTAAAGTTCCTCTAAAGAACACTCAGGGTTCTTACATGAAACAGGCAGTCCAGAGAAGTAGTAAATTCCCAATTACTAAAGGTGGCTAGGGAAGACCAAGCCTGTCAGCTGAAGGGAATTCAATACAGGGAATTTAGGAATCAGAGAGGTGATTGAAAAAGATTTCCTTTAATGTTCCTTTCAGTCCTGGTTGGAAATTGGCAACCCTGATGCTACTTGCCAAATATGTGCCACAAACACTTTTGGATAGAATTAAACCAGCACATATTGGTGTGCGAATAGTTTCTTAATAATAAAATTGGATGACATTATCAAAGCGTTGTGTATTTCTTTCTCTCTTTTTTTTCTTTTTTTAATTTTTGGCTTTATGGATTCTGCCACAGGTTTTAGGCCAAAATGGTTAATTAATGCTCAATTAACACAGCCCCTGTGCTGATTAGTTAATATTATATTTGTATCAGTGATGAGGAAAGTGACAGACTGGATAGAAAATTTAGACAGGGTGTTAAAAATAAGGCAGGACATAAGCCCTACACCTGGTCTGGTCACTGGTCAGGACACACCCTTCTGCCTTCTGTTCAGCTTTTTTTTTTTTTTTTTGCATCCTTTATGTGCATCTCTGTTTTGCTGCACACGGCCTTGAGCCAGATAGTGTCGTGAGCTCTCAAATGCTTGTCTGCTACCAGCATCGTCTGATATTCCTCATGAGTGACGGCCAGCTCCTGTAAACAAGCAGCAAACTCGGCATACATCATAGACTTCAAACCATGGAGGGTTCAGTTCCTTTCTATATCCTTGAGGAAAGAAGAAGGGCAAAGAATAGGAGAGAGAATGAAGGCCCAAGAGTACTTAAAACAGGATGAACTAAAACTGGTCTACTTTGTAATAGGTCAGGTTAATCACAGACAGGCTGGATTCCCACGATTTTATGAAAGAATAAAGAAATTCAGAAGGTGCATTTTTTTTTCCAGTGTTGGGGACTGAGAGAGTTTTGGGATCTACCTAAACTAGATGCTTCTATTTTAGCATCACAATGATACAGCTACCATGCATTTATTTTTTTAATGAATTCATTGCTAGACATCAACACTTGTACCATAAATTCTTTCTAGGCATTTAACATCTTAACAGCGTTTCAAGTGCACATTGTAACAGAGTCCCCCAGTAATCAAGTTGCAGGAAGGCTGTTATAATAGTCTTTCTCTGTCTCTGAATTGCAGCGGGAAAGGCAGTTTCTTTTCTGTGAACAAAAACTTTTTAAACTAGTTTCTAACAGGGTGATTTTTACTTTTGTCTATGACAATTCTGAATAACCTGGTAACTATGTGTAGAAAAATGCATTTCAATATCTGTTTTTATAGAGAAGCTATTGAGAGCATTTTGAACTTTATCCTGATTAATTCTAACATGTGTTCCATATATTTCTGAACATGTAAATACTGTCATGGGACCTGTAAACTGTTGTTCCTTTAGGTGAAGGCACGTTAATTATTTTCTCTGATTATGTTTTTCTTGGGGGGAGGAGGAAATTGAGCTCACCCGGGATGAAACATTTTCTTTCTTAAACATTTTCTTTCTTAACAGTAAATGGATTTAATAGAAATCCCAAAATATTTTGGCCTGATTTCTATGTTTGTTTAACTGTTTTAAGATGCATACAAATTAAATGCTGAATGAAACCTTTAGCCAATGAACAATAAAATGCTCTAGATTCTATAGAGATTGTTGAAAACTAACAAATCCTTCGTTTGTATTTAGCACTAGTTGATGAGGCCTTAGATTTAGTAAGGTTGTGGTCTCAGGACTTATTCTTCAGATAGAGAGAAAAAAAAAGATTTACATATTAAAAAGCATTATTAAAGCAGCAAAATTGCAGAGACTACATTTTTCCCCAGGAGGAGTCATTTCTGGAGAAATATCTCTTCAGCCTTTTCCCCTCCTTCTTCCCCAAGATCCGCAATGTACCTTTCAAATATGTTGTCTCTTTGCTTCTGAGAAAGTGCCTCCATATTTCTCTGTGTGTGGCAAGTGTGTGTTTTTGTGTAAACCTGTTACTTAAGAAACATCTCTACAAGCAAACCAAATCTAGACCTGAAGTTCCCACTTCATGAACAAGTGGACCCTTTCATGTCCAGTTTCTTGAACATGGTGAGCTCCTATGTGACAAAATAAATATTTATATGTGTACGATGCTGTGTTTTGAACTGCTTTATTGAAAGATAACTGGTTATTTTAAACCTTTTCTCTCAGGGCACTTGAACCTTGAAAACACAGCAAATGTTCAGGAGACTGTGAAAACTAGCCCCAAGATGTCCCCTCTATCAGGAGCTAAGAAACAACAAGGCATTTCTGAAAAAAATTTTGCTGCTTTGGCAACATTTTGACAGAGAGAATTCTCTTGGTTTCTACTCCCCGCAGCCTGCTTCTACCCAGCATAAACATAACCAAACTGCTGTTCAATTACATAATGGCCATTTTAATTATTATTTTGTTTAAGTCAAAATGTATATTAGTTCCCACAAAGCTAATTTTTAGCAGGAAGGTAAAACAGTGTAACTCCAAAACAGAAGCTTTCCTTGTAGTGCGCAGAGGTCTGCATTTAGGGTGGCCCTCCATGTCTCCCTCATGGTTTGGCAGGTCTCTTACCATTTCATTTCAATTATTACCAAAAGCTATCCATGTAGGAGTAGCTCCATAAAACTGAAAATTGCAGTTAGGTTCACATCTTAACAGCATTTCAAGTGCACATTGTAACAGAGTCCCCCAGTAATCAAGTTGCAGGAAGGCTGTTATAATAGTCTTTCTCTGTCTCTGAATTGCAGCGGGAAAGGCAGATGTGGAAATTATGAGTAATGTAATTGATAATCTTAAAGCTTTTAAATACCCAAGCTCTCAACAATCAAGATCTATTTGAGTTCAGAATCTAATAAGAAGTAAATACAATAGGTTTCAATAAGACATTTTATCAGGAGCTCAGCAGCACTTTCACTCCTGCTTTTATGGGCAATATTATCATCTCATCAGCTGACAAGTTGGAGAATTTTATTGTGACACATAATCATTTTTAGTTCATCATATTTCTCCTTTTTCTTGTGCAGTTTTTTAAAAAATAAAGTTTGCTCATTAAATACAACATTTCAGAGGGTTTTTGTCCCTATTAGATTTAATAGGAAAGGAAGCAGAGTGTTGTTAAAACAAGCTGTTTATTGACAACTAATTTATTGTGTTCCACTGTAGGAGGCTCTGTAAAACACATCATTGTGTTAAAAATAATGCCACTAAGAATTTTTCTAGATACCTAGAATCAGAAAGCCCAGCTCCTGACAATTATTTCCAAATTCATCCTACAGTTTATTCCCTAGCCTAGCCCCGAGAACTTGCATGCCATTAAGAGTTAATTCAAATGCCACATTAAATACACCTCAATATTATTTTCGTTAATATGCAAATTATTCATAATATCAGGGTGATCTTACATTCAGTGGGAACAGCAATAATGCCTGCTTAATGATGTATTCATCAGTGCCGTAGGTGTCTTCATACTATTACTGTTATATATGGTTTTCAGAAACAGGCTTGACTACAAAGAAAATTGTATTGTCTCTGCAGTAAAGGTTTCAATCTTTTTTTCTCTTTTGGTGAAAAAATATCTTTGTCAAGCAGGCAGAAGTACTGATAATCCTTCTAATGTTATCATTTTCACATCCAGATATACTGCTACCAAGTAACCTAGCTTCTGTGATCTGGAGTTATTATCATTACATTTTAATCACAAAGGAATCTCATCAAAATATGGCTTTTTCTTTTTTGATTGAGAAGAAAAATGACTTTCACATTTCCATCATTTTTTTCTAGATCTTCTAATAATATGTTGAGCAAATTATTTATGAAATAGTGTCTTCCCTTGCCTAAAACAAAACAAACGAGTATGCAAGTGTATATAAATGAATAAATAATTTCTGGCAAAATAATTCAAACTTTTCATGGCACCAATAACATAAAATATATAATGATGTTTATTCTCTGAACATGTTTTGTCACTTTCCAGTGGAGCAAAAAGGATAAAACTGGTTTAAGAAGATGCAACTTGTGAAATCTGGTCATGATTGCTCTATCGCCTAAAAAGTCATGTGGGGGTATGCGGTGGCAAGGTAAATCAGCAACAACCTCAAAAGGGCATTTACATACCTCTATCCTCTGCATTTAAGGCATTATTTAATGCAAAATTTTAAAATTAAAAATCTCTAAATTTGGAATTATCCTAACTATATAAGCAAAAAAAAAAAAAAACCTTCCTGTGATTGTAAGCCTCAGGTTAGACCACAAACCATGTCAAACCTTAATACCTCTCTTTAGAATGTTGACTTTCAGTCACAGCCTTCCTGCCTTGGGTGTGCACTCAGCTACAGTTGACAGGAAGAACACATCGATTGACTATACAAAACATTCAAATTAAATGTACGGCTACTAAAGAAAAGCATAAAAGAGGCAGAGGAACTTTCCTCCTCCCAAGCTCACCATCCCGGGATTTCCCAGTGATAAAAATTAAAGCTAACCAAAGGATCTTTTGGAAGCAAGATTGTTTTGCCATGGATGAGGGATTACTGATTGGCTTTTTAACTTCAGCTTTTCCAAATAGTTTTTCAGTTATTTAATTTACTCTACATGGAGTCTATTGATTATTCAAGTTGGCAGTCAATTTTATAGGGCACCCCGCTGTTTCTTTGCTTAATGTAGTCAATGATTGTAATTGCTTGATCAGTGCAGCCCATGAAATAGGTTTTGTGTCTTTTTTACAATGCATTGATGGCTTTATCTGATGCAGCCTTGGCAGGGGCCGGGTTTTACAGCGCTACCCGGAACTCCCAGAGGTCTCTAGATTAATGGCTATGGCGAGCTGCCGGGGCTGCTGATGCTGCGCTCCAGAATGTATTCACACATCTGGCATGCCACACTTGGCGCTGGCGCCAGCTTTGTGTTGTGCAGCTACAGAATCTCTCACCAGTGCCTAGTTAACTGTTTTCACTAAGGGAATGAGATAAAAAGCCATCCAGAGAGCTGTTGGCACCCACTCTCTGTCACTGTAGTCACACATTAAAAATTTTTTTCAGTCTTTTTTTTTTTAAGAGGCAAATGATGTATGGAAACAACAAATTACGTGGAATGTTTATGTTTTGAACTCTGTTTGGATTCTGAAAAGCATCCCATGGGTGTTCAAATTTCCTGTAAACCAACAAGCAGCCCCTCCTTCCTTTAACCACCGCCTTCCCTTGGATGAGAGCATGATAGTATGAAACGCATCCAAGTTTTCCGTATGAGCTGACAGGGGCTTTGGATTTCGAGAGAAAGGTGGATAGTAGAATCACAAATGTGAAAAAGCAGCCTGAACCACCCTCCACAGCTCATTACAATAAAAGGTAATTCTCCTGTCCTTCAGTGAATCGGGTGAAATTGCTCAGGCATCATTTGCCTATGCCTGCATGTCAGTGTTTCATATTTGCTACAACTTGAATTACATTATTAGACATGTAAAATGTAGTTTTAATAAGTGGACCAAGAAAAAGTAATGAAATCTGCAATGGAGTTTCATAAATCCATGGACAATATAATTATATAGTACACATACACTATTTACAATGCCCAGGATGACATCTATCAAAAAAAGTAAAAATGTGATAGATTTTTAGACCAGCTGGGCTCTGAGTTGATTTTCTCAACAGAGTTTGACATCGGAGCTGGACAGGTACAGTTTCTTTATTAATACTTTTCTCTATGAGTAATAAACTATAAATGAATAATGCATCTCTGAAAAGGAAAAGTCTACTGAGAAGACAGAAAATAATACTTTAAATTCGTAGGTCTGCATGGAACTGAAATTTCATTAGGGAAAGCAACTATATAAGAATACCATATATGTGTGTGCAATACTAATAACCTGCTGGACTATGCGCAAGAAAAAAATATTAAAATTTTCTGAAAATAACCATTCTTGTTTTTAGATTTTACAGTCATTGCGTGATGTCATTGCTAGGATCATTTCACCGTTAATTCAGATTTTAATGCATTTACAATAGAAGGCTCTCCAGCAAACTCCCCCTCTCACCCTTTCCTTTCTTGGCCTTCAGACACATTCTAAATATAATTCATCCATTTTGTGCATAGCCGTATATATTACACAACTTTCTTTCCTTATACAGAATGTTATTATTTAATAAGTTGAACAGAAAGAAGCCAAGTCAGCAATTTATCCCAGTTCACTGCCAGCCAAGCTTTTGAAATATGAAGAAATGCCTTTTTCTCAAGGACTGGGTAAAGCATCTTTCTGTTCCTCTACTCCTAATTTCATTTTACTTTGAAATGTCATAAAAATGACAGTCATTTTGAAATAGATGTCTGAGTCACGTTATCATTGCGTGTGCATCAAGATGGTCTTGTCTGCATGACTGAAAGCCTGGATCCATCCTCCTGCACCCCACAACACACACACACACACACATATACAATGGGTGGCACAGCAAAGAATGACATGAGAGCTAAACAAAATACTCAAAGGAGCTGAAGGGCTCACTAATATGACAGCTGATGAAAAGCCTTGCTTCAAACTGATTTAAGATAATTTGTGATATGGGATGCGTGTTTGGAGAAGGTCTGGGAAGATTTTCATTGTTCAGGTTAGGATGATCACACCCACCCTCTCCCCCAGCTCCCTCACAGTGACAAAAGCTTGGCAAGTCAGTTCCTGAGGGAGACCGTGTGCAGTTAGTTGATCCTGTGGTGGGATTAGCTTGATTCTGGGTCTCCATTCATTCATTTCTCGGTTTGCTGAGCACTTATTTGGGAGGCTAGGTCCCTTTTTCCACACCTCTCACCCATCTGTTATTGATTATAAAGTTCCAGAGGGCAGTGCCTTTGTCATTTTCGCTTGCCTTTTATTTTTCCTTTTGGTAGCAAGGTGTTATGCAGATGTGGACACGTAATAAATACTACAGTGCTGAGCTTTGTTGCCCCTACATAAAAGGAGACATGGCCAGAGGAAAATAAGTGCAAGTGGGTTTAATCACACAGCTGAAAAGATGGAGAAAGTGTGTGGACAACACAGACTTTTACAAGGATGACAGGGTTCTCTCTTTGCTTATCTTCCTCCCAGAGTACAACGTTGTGAGAAGGAAATCAGGGACAGGAGTAGCTTTGTCCAACAGAAGTAGATTTGAAACCCTACCCTTGTCCTTAATGCTGTGTGATCTTGAGCAAATTATTTATTATCTCTGAACTTCACTTTCCTTTGAGGAGAAGTACAGAGACTAAAACAAATTGCCCGTTGTCACTGCGAGGATTAAACAGGGCGTCATGAAGCAGCACCTGGCTCAGTGTCTGCCACATAGACGGTATTGCATAAATGTTCCACCCAGCTGTGCTTACAGGAGGACAAGGTTCACTTTCTTGCTCTTTCTTTCCTCCCGAATACCTGTGCTACTTGTATGATCTATCTTTTTCCCCCCGCCTCTGGCCTTTGTTTTAATCCAACTTTGCTTTTCATGCCTAATCATACCAATTGCTTCCTGAAGACACAAACTAAAATATGGTTTAGAACAATAAAACGAACACAATGTGCAATAGCTAAAGATCATCAGGTTTGGGGGAATATTACTGGTTCTCCTACACTGCATATATTTCAGAAAAGATCAAAACTTAATTGATACCATTTGTTGCTTGAATTCCTCTACGTGGAAACTTCCCTGGGCTACCAGGCAGCAGAATGAGCCAGGAGTTGAGAAGCCAGGACCTAGTGAAAGCAGGCTATCCTGGCCAAGGTACTTTAGCCTGAAGTGAAAGAGGTGAATTTTAACTAAGGTTTACAAATGAAGCCAAAGATTTAAAGCCAGGGTAACCAAAAGCAAAGTCTAAGATGTGAGCGATGGATGCGAATTTTCTGGTTTACATGGTAACAGGAAAGAAATGGGAATATATCTAGAAAAGCAACAAAAGACTTATATGATTGTCATGAACACAACTGGCCTGGCCCCTCAGCTTCCTGTTGGTATGGGGGTATGTCAGGTTGTCTTAAAGAAAATGGGTTGAGGCAAAGAATCCTGAATATTGAATTCTGAGCCAGATGGCATGTGACTCTCTGCCTAGGTAGCAGACAGCTCTGTGGTTCTCCTGATTGGTTAGATCCTAGTTTACTTGGCAGGTTAAAGAAAGAAGTCCTTGGAGATAGCAGTCACACCTGACCCTTCTCTTACCTCTCAACAATTCAAGGGCTTAGGGCTGATACCATGATAGAGAAGTTGTCTAAGAAATGAAGTCTTCTACCTTGGTACATGCTGCATGTTTTCAAACCTACTGCCAATAACAGCAGTTTTCCAAGAAAGTTTATAGCTCTCAGTATTTCTCAGAGGGGATATATCTGTCTACAGAGAAGCTGGGGGGAAATGGGAAGAATGTTCTCTAATATCCCTTTAAAGGTTAAACTCTTTGGATACTCTAACATCAATGTTTGTGTTATTCTCGTACATAGAGATACCCACCCATTCTCCTAGGTTTTTCTGTAACCACTGGTGAATATCATAACATAAATGCTAAAATGGAAATGTATAATAGTAAACTGAAGTTTTATTCATTTTCTATGAATCACAATGTTTGTGGTGTTTCCACCATTGAGTTAGGGGCATTCAGGGTGGGCATTCAGGGTGCTTCGGGAAAGGAGAGACACCCACAGTGATACGAAGGGCAGGGTGGGACAGGAGGCCCAAGCTGTGGCTACAATAGCTCTGATCCTAACCAGATGTCATTCTGGAAATGAGGAGAGGGGTACAGTTTGAGAGATAAACAACTCTAATGGAGGATAAAATTTAATTTGACTAAAAATATACTAGAAGTGGGTGTGATTTTAACTGCTTACTTTGCCATCATCTCACATCTAACATCAAACATTCCTCCTGCTTTCCGCCCATCTCCACCACAATTAACAAGAATAAGGGCCTAAGAACAGGAAGAGGCAGGCTTAAGAGTGAGAAGATTACTTTTCCCACAATTCTGAGTCATAGTGAATATATTTCACATCTACTATGAGGACTGTTTAGTGAGAAATCTACAAAAGCCATGATCCTTTCTCTTCCACTTTAATTTTGGCCGTAGTAAGATACTCTGGCTCATATTCCAACAGAAAGAAAAAAACAGTGTGGGGGGTTGTCTAAACCAGCACTTACTGATCACTTAGCATGTATAGGTATTAAGTAGTAGACATGCTTTTACATAAATATAAGTGTGCACATTTGTGTGTGTGTGTGTGTGTATTCTCTGACATTAAGTTTCATTTAAGCCTATTTACTTAAAGTGAGATAAACATTATTATATTCACTTTGTAAATGAGGAACTGAAACTCAGAGAGAGTCTAAGTAACTTCCCTGAGGTTACACAGATAGTAAGAGGTATATGCATGGTTCACACCCAATGTGACTTAATCTGAAACCATGCCTTTTACCCTCCTTCTTGTTGCTTTATACTATGAGTAAGTGGTGTACTTTACACTACAAATAAGCACAATTCAAAATTGGCTTCTTGAGCTCTAGATCCTTGGAGGACTCATTTGTGGGTCTGATTCCTGAATGTGGTACATATGTTTGTTATAGAACACTGTGTCCTGCTTGCTTAGTCTTGGACATGTTGGTTGTGGACCCATCCTGGAAGGGTGAACCTCAGCTGCTAGGTTCTGTGGTCTCCTATCTACATATTCATGTGCAACTCCTATGTGGGCATGAAGAGGGTCCAGTTTGGATGTTCTAGACTTTGAATATTCCAGGAAAAAAAATCCCATTTATAAAAAAGCTTTAAAAATATAGACAGTTGTTTATAGAAGAACTGTAAGTGATTTTTACAGCTAGTATTCAGAGAAAAGCTTAATTCAAATGCTACATCTGCATTTTGTTTTAATTTAAAAGCTTTATTATCTGTGTAAAGGACATACTGATATTAAGTACACATATTCAATGTGAATTAAAGATTCGAAACTCTTTCCCCAATTATTGTCCTTGGTTCCCACAAAATTTCTTCTCCCCTCAAATCTAAGACTTCAAACTTAAAAAAAAATAGGATGATGTGTTTTTTATTTAGGTTGAATGCCTTGAAGATTGAATGCTTCAGTCTTCTGCAACCTGTGGGCAGACAGAGCCACACTGTCTTCCTCTTGGCAATGAGGATATTTGCTTACGTTTTGGTTTGCTAAAACACCATGCCCTTCAGTTACTTACCCAAGTGACATATTCACCTCAGTGATGGAAAAGTAACCTGACTCAAACCCAAAAATAATCTTCACAAAAAGGGGCTATTTAAAAATGTTCCATATGATATTCCTAACCAATAGTTTCATAGACCAATGAATTTTAAAACAATAAAATAGATACAATAAAATAAAAAACAAAATCATAGAATTTTCAAAGAAATATCTGTGATTGTGAGAAATTTGTTCAATATCTCCAAACATAAAAAGAAAACATTTTATTGATCTGCACTTGCATCCTTTGGGTAACTATTAATATGTTAACTATACATTTAATTTGCTATATTTTATCAATGCTTAAAACTATACTTATATGCTTAAATCCACTTACTGATGAGAAGCTCTTTGAAAAAGTCGGCCTCCACAGAAAAGTTTTTGTTTTATTTTCTATCTTATTATCTCTTTAAAAATAAAATTATATATTCATTTTATTTACATCAAGTATTCTTTTGGTTTACCAACTAATTGTTTTCATTCATGGTAAGCAAAATCTTTTATTGCAAAGAGTATTTTTAAACTTTTGTTCTCATAGATTGGGCTGAATGAGAAGTCACTAATTGTGTATCTCTGTGGATATCATATACATTCTAGAGGTAAAACCCATGTTGTCAGTGAACCGTGGGGGTGCTGGCTAGACTTCAACTTTGTCATTAGGGAAACTGCTCATACATGGACTGTTCCTGAGAACTCTAGTTCTGTTAAATGTGCTTCCCTAACATTTTTTGTGCTCCTAATTTGAAACTTTTCTATCAGTTTTAATCTGCACATCCCTCTGCACGTCCAGATTCTCGCTGTGCCTTGCAGAGGAAGTGCCAGCATTCCATGAGAACAACGGTCTCTGTGGAATTTTTGGCTTGACCAGAAGCAGGAAGAGTAGGAAATGTTATTTTAAAAAGTCCCGTTTTTCACACTGCTGATGTCTGGAGAGTCGAGATAAGCTTTGAGCCTACTTCCAAATCTCTGGGTGCTCCTCCAAGCGTGCTGGAAATGGGGGTGTGAAACATAGCTTGCTGAGGTGGGATTGGACAGGGATCAAGACGCAACAGAATTGGCAGTAGGTCTTTTCTCCGTTTAGTTTCCAGGATGCTGGAGGTGAAGCTGGAGTTTTCCCATCCTTAATGCCTTATCTAGAAGACAGCTCTGTGAATACTGGTCCAAAATGTTACTTTTCTTTTTTGTAAATATTATACTTTGAGTTGTTGAGTTTTGGTGAGCCAGAGAGCCCAAAAGTAATCTTTATTCTTGAAATATTTATACATAGAAGCATTACTGAAATAAGAATGCATGATTCCTTGGATTGGATTACATAGTTGTGACATAATTACTTTATTTTTAGTTCTTAGTGCTTAATGGAAACATGACATGGAAGTGGGTGCTGGGGCAGAAACTAAGTTGTGGAAGTGACTGAATGGTTAAGAAGCTGTTGACTCCCCCAAGTCTCTGCATCCTTTTTATTCTTCAAACTATCAACTATTTTCTTAACATTACCTGTGGATTTAGAAAAGATGTAAATCATTGCATATTTGAAAGCTGTTAGTGATGAAATACTACAGTGAGCTCTCCAAAGATCTTTTTTTTTAACACATGAGTATTTCCCAATCTAAAACTATATTGTAAATATCTTCAAGCTGCTAAAGATCTAGCCAATATATATATGAGAAAGGAAAATTATTCTTATAAGTTTAGTAAATAAAAGCATCATGTACAATAGTTCTTTTAAATTTAAAAATTACCCTTTACAACAGGTCTCATATATTTACCTATTTTATAACCAATATTCTTTAACCAGAATAGAGAGATGTTAATATTCCAGAAATGCAGTTCTGCAAATAATGCTGGAAATACTCATTTATTCTCTCTGAAAATGCACAGTACTTATAAACTTTTTTTTTCTAGTTATCTAGGAATTCATGAGAAAAGAGAAGACTCAAGACAGGTTTTAGATATTGGACACTATTGCATGGCAACAATTGAGAACACAAATTCATCTGCCTCAGCTAATATCCAGTGCCTCCTCATAATTGAATTAAGCAAGTGGTGTAATTAAGTGATTCAATGACAGCATTTACTAAGTGGATCCCTCAAAGATGCCCAGTGTAGGGCATTCAGAAGGTTTAAAAGGGAGGACACTTTTTGTTTTAACATGGACAATGACTCCTTATGAAATTGAATATTGTTTTAAACTTTCTCTTCATCTTTCTACTCTTTCATCAAAAGGATACATTTATTTAGTCTATACTTAATATGTCCTGTCTCTGAGTTTTTACTTGGTCATTTGTAATTCTCTCTTCTACATTTTCTCTGAAATCTCCAGTTATATTATGATAGATATCTTTAATATAGACTATCTAAATAAGTATAGATAGATATATAACAGCAACTAATGATGTTGCATCTTAATCAGAAAACTATAAACAACCATAAGGTCACTATTCCCATGAATTTGTTACTATGGCTGGAGAAGATAATCTCTTAAAGCAGTGGCTTAACTTTATCTATGTTTGTCCTCATAACGAAGTCCTTCTGGAATAGTCCATATTAAAGTCACCTTGCCCCTTACTTTAAAAAGAAAAATTTTAGCATTCAAGCAAAACTGAAAACTTTGGCATTAATATTAGACCACAAAATCCTGACTTTCAGAAGCAGGGAAATACTAAAGAGGCAAATGGTTGAGGAGGTTTCATTTCCTGCAAATGGAATCATATTAGTGCAATCAGCCTGGATTTATTCGATGACTCAAGTAATATTTTTCTCCTTTAATGAATATTAAATTTACCAATACTCTTTACAAATACTATTTAATAAGGTTTAATAATAAACATGTGATCATGTATAATGTGCAAGCCAAAGAATAATAAGATATAGTCCTTTTCCTTTAAGAGTTGATTTCTTATGGGGCAAAATAAGCACATGAGAGGTCCTACTTCTGCATGTGGACATTGGGATGGTGCATTGGGGATGAAATATCTCCAGTCAACTATATCTAAATAGCTAATGAAAACACCTTGTAATTTGAGACAGAATATAAATACACAAATGTATAAATAATATGACCTTCTAATTTTCAGGGATTTTCATAATCCTTAACATACTTTCACAAGCATATGCCACAAATATATGAAGTGGGAAGAGTGGAGTTTATAGAAAATGGAGAATCAAAAAAGTAATTAACAGAGCTGGGTCTGGAGTCAAGTTTTCCAACTCCCATTATTTTCCTGTTTCCATTTCAACCTGGACTTTTTCATTTGAGAGTGACTAGGGTGAAAAGTGATCCTAAATTTTTCGAGGGCAACAGAAATAGTATTATCATAAAAATTGTTTATATTTAAAAAAAGAAGGAACAGATTATCCTTGGTTTTATAGCAATACCATGCTATGAAACACAAACAAGTGTACACCCTTGAGGACTTAAAAATGAGTTATTACATTTATTTGCTTACCTTGGCATCAGTGGCAACATGGCTTAAAGGCAGTGACATGTGGCAGAAAGAAATCAATAACTAGAAATAGATATGCCATGGCTCTAGTTTGAAAGGGTAATCATTTCATTTTTCTTTAGTATTTCATGGACTTTGTCACCTTAAATTAAAAAATAAGAGATCAAACTGGATCTGAAAGTTTAATATTTATTTGAAAATTATTTACTAAAGTAGCTAGCAGCCTTCAGTGTCTCTTGTTTTTAGTCTATTGTGTTCAATTGTGAGTATCATGTACATTCCACAAGAACTAATTTGTGTTATTTAGGTAGAACTGTTGGATTTATTTGCTTGGCCTTGATTAGATTAGATCTGGCCTTATCAGTTGGGTCATTCTGTTTAACTTCTTATACTTATATTTTATAATATTATAATAAAAGATGAGCACTTCCCATCAGTGCCTGTTCACAATCATTTATCCTTAATGTGTCTGAAAGAAACAGAGAGAAATGAAAGAAGACACTTTCTCATTCATGATTCTTTTAAAAACTGTTCCCTTGTCTTCACCCCTCCCATCCTGATATCGCATGCATGGCTTGTTCTCAGCCTGCTCTGAGATAAGCTAGGGCAGGCCCTGTAATATGATTCAAATTGCAATCTCATGTCTTGCATCCCCCAAACACCTCATCTCCCATGCAACCTGGAACCTTCATTCCAGTCCCCAATTAGACTAATATCTCTGCCCAGCTCCGATTGGGGGTGATGAATCGGCTGGGAGGATGGGGGGAGACAAGGCGATCTTCTCAGCTCCTCTGCATTCCCATAGGCACGCAGCATTTGACAGATTGGGCAGAACTGCCACGAAAGAGTCTGACACAGATGGTGTAATTAGAAAATGCGAAGTGCGAGTGTGAAATTTATCTTTGATCAGCACCTCCTTGCCAGATTGTCATCTATGTTAATATGATGATGGCTTCTTGGAGATGGATAGAAGGAAACAGCAGCCTTGAAGAGGAAACAGAGACTGTTCACTCCACAGAGAAGATATTCTATTTACTTCTAAAATCCAATCAATTTCAACAGGCCAAAATGAAATTGTACTTACTTAATTTATATGAAAAACAAGCCTAACCTGATTCGCACACTTTATTAAGCCTATAATCAATATGGTAAAATCTGAGCTTTAGTTGGAAGGGGAGACATGTTAATTTTTTATGGAGTAATAAATAAAAAAATACAATCTATAACTGTAGGAGCTGTTGAAGACAATGTGCATGTCTCTTTATCAAGGCTCTATGAAAAATGCATAGACGAAAATCACTATACTCCATAGCATTAAAACTCTAGACACTGCCAGCAAAGTTTTATTCTTTACTTTTCCTCCACTCTTTTTCTTTCAAAATAATACCTAGGATTTTTACTCAGTTCAAAGTACACCAGCCTTATTTTCCTTGATGTGTTCAATTTTGTGCTTTTTCTCTGTATTTCACAACTTTGAAATTTTTAAAAAATTAATAAAACACGTTTTTAGTCGGGATTTGATAAAGTTGCTTTCTTTTTATATTATCTTCCTGAAAAATCCAGACATTTACCATTACAAGGACCAAGTATAGCCATAAACCATTTCTTCTTAAGTTTTATATATCCAATAAGAGTCATCTTTTCTTTGGATGGCTCAAAACGTTCAGGTTTGCAAGCATCTATGATAGACTACATTTTGCTATGATCTGCTCAAATGTTCACATTGATGGTGCTAATTTTCAGGAAGGTAAATTAGCATAATTAATGACCAGCCAAATTTGGGGGTAATACAGTATGTAATTAACATTAGAGAGTTCTGTTGTACCACCTGCCCCCACATTTCATTGTTGCAGGGATCGAACTGTACAGGAGGAAATTTTCCCCTTTGCTGCACTGAGCAGAAAGCAGCTTTCTTCATCAGAATAAGCCATTAGCTGTAATGGCATGTAGGTGTAATGGAATGTGCTCTAAACATCTGTGCTGAGAGCACGGGAGAAATTGCTGCATGCAGTCGTAGGCCTTTGGGGAGCTTGATTAAGGGTTGCTTCAGAGAACTTGAGATCTGGCTTGGGATGCAAAAACAAAAAAAAAAAAAAGGAGAAAGAGAGAGAAGAAAGGAAAATAATGCTAATAGATTTACGGATGTACTGCAGGGAGAGCAAAGGATTTTTAATTTTTTTCTTCCTTTATTGCTCTTATATTGCATCTGTTCTCTGTTGGGCTTTCACTTATTGAAGTGATCTCGAAAAAATGTAGCTCTAAATGCAGTTTGGTGGGAAAGATCATAGCTGAAAAATAAAATAGGTTGATTTCCCCCACCCCCCATTTTGGTTAGCTAATGGAAAATTCCTCACAACCTGTGAAGAAAAATACTAAGCATTATTTATCTTAAGTGTGATCTTAAAATTAGTCTCAGAAAATAACATGAATATACAGATTTGGGGCTGTAAATACTTTCTTGTTTTTTTTTTTTATTTTTTATTTATTTATTTTTTATCAGTCTCCACAGAGCAGTTCTTGCAATGTATCAGATAGCTGGGTTATTCATTTTCAACTGTTTAATTCAGTATTTCCAGCAGTACTTTAAGCTGATTTTGAAGTCACTTTTTAGACAAAATTTGCATGAATATATGTATTATAGGTAACATGATTTGAACTTCTGAGGACATCAGAAATTATTTTCTACTCATTTATTTTCTCAGCAAATACCTACTGAGCACATGCTAAGTAAAAAATACTTTTTCCTCGCTGAGTGTTTGGTCACCATTGCTAGGAATGTAATACATTACATTTGGCAGCAAGCATTGCTGATTGTATTACCTTAGCCATCTCCTTATTCCATGCTGACTGCTGAAGCCAAATCGATCATGCAGTGATATACATTGATTGCTAAAACAACTCAATTGAATACATCGATTATGATGAGCTTTGGCCATTTTAGAAGTGTTAAAGAAACAAAATATTTGCTTTACTATAGCCTTCAAAGTAAAGATAAGCTAAAAGAGAGTTATATTTAGATAATGGGCTAGGGAAGGGTTAAACATTTGTGAAACTCATGCAACCAAAAGGGAATTAGCATTCTGCATGGGACAGATGTGAATGTATTGCTTAGAAAATTAGAAACAAACCTGAAAATATTGGGTGATTTTGTGATTAGGTAAATCTTACACTTTCTAATTATAAATGACAATGAAGCACTCTATTTGCTGGAATCTATCTTCCTTATGAACTAAGAAGCTTGCTGAGCTTGTGCCAAAAACTCCTTGCACTGAAGTTTAAAATATGTAGGAAGGCAAGAATGTAATAAAAATTCAAAAGCTAATAATATTATGGTGGCTGGCATTGTTTACAATGTAGAGCACCTGCTGTTTAAAAAAAAAAAAAGAAAGAAGAAAAAGTGAAATCATCAAACTGTTCCTAAATGGAAAATCTGGGCTCTCTGCCAGTTACACAATGTGTTTCAGGTGCACTGTAAATAGGAACAATAAAAGGTACAGGCGAAAGAATATGAAATGTTAAATCTCAAATACGCGAGAATATTAATATGATGTTTCTTGAAAGAAAATCTTGGGACTCTTCCAGTGTTCCCCTTTGCAAGGAGGGGGTTTAAAATTTTTACACAGCATATGTAAAGTTCTAAAACTTTTAATTGCCTTTATCTCAAAAAGAATACATATGAATGCAGGACCATTTGCTTCAGCTGCATTGCCCTTAGTTGTTTCAGACAGAAAGGTCCATCTAGACCTGCAAACGTGAATTGCATTGCTTCCAGTGTCTCTGTTACGTACCTGTGTGTGTGAGTGTGTGTGTGTATGTGTGTCTGTGTATGTGAATTGCAGTTTGCAGAATTAAGTCCTGAGAGAAAAAAAAAAGAAGGAAAAAGTAACTTATATTGCCTATTGTTGAATACTAACTTTCTGCATTAAAATTAGCATTATGAGCAACTATAAAATATCAGACACAAAGGGTGATGGGATGTCATATTTCTATCTTCTCACTATGAAGCACTTAATAATGGATTCTTCCAGAATTAGACACCTATTTTTACCAGCTAACAACTCATATGTGCCAAATTTCCCTTTCTAGTTCAAATGTTTTCCTTTCTCAATGAGGCATTTTAAAATCAAGTCATCTTTAAAAAATTCCTATTACATTTTAAAATGCCAATCTTTCACAAATCAAACTGAGACATAATCTTAATGCCTATCTTTTAAAAATAATTTCTAGAGTGACACAATTGTTTTCCAATGATAAATGGAAACTAACCTTCAAGAACTCAGCATCTTTCAAATATACAGTATTTTTAGAAACTGAAAATAAAATTATTTTAGTCATGTCTTTCAGACACTGAAAATTAAGAACTAAACAGTTGCAAAATATTTGGGTTAAGTTGTGTTTGAGTCAGGAAATAAATGGAACTCCTAGGTCCTCTTAAATGTCTTTATCACAATGGTAATGATTAATACAAAAAGGTGGGCTCTGCAACGAGACAAAATAGAAGAAGAATTCTTGCCTTTGTATACCTACTCTACGTGGGATAATATTTATTGCTCTACCATTTACTGAGTCAGCTTGAGAAAGTTAATCTCCCTTAGCTCAGTTTCTTCATCTTTAAAAGTGGCTTAATATATCACCTAATATGTACAATTTGTATGAGGATTAGATGAGATAATACAGCTAAAGCACTTAGTCTAATGACTGACACATAATAAGATTTAGCTAGGTTAGTTAGGTATTGTTATTGTGATTATTTCTGAAATATTTGTACTTCCTTTATCACAGCTGTCAAGAGGCAAGATAAGGCATTTGCAATTGGCAGTGTTTCAAAGGACTCCAGATTTCTCCAAAGAACCTAGATTTCCCAGGTATGTTTCCTCACATGTCCTTTCATCTGGCATCATCGGTGGTAGAAATTCCATGTCACCCTGGCACTGATTTCCTTTTGACTTTACTATTACACACTCACATTCAGGACTGCATGTAAAGCAATGGGTTATTATGAAAAATATAGGGCCCAATTCTTTCAAGAGTTCCTTGAAGAATATGAATTAGAATTAAGAAGGTGGAGAAGCTAGCAGAATAGGAAATGGACAATATTGGCAAAAGAAATTTGTAATGCACAGTATAATACGGCAGGAGATTGGAAAGCAGAGAGATCAGATTAGAAGCATTAGAAAGAAGATTAGAAAGTGAGCTTTGCCTCAGACAGACTTGTGTTGTGTTCCTGGTTCTGTCATCTATTACTATCTATGCATCTTTGGCAAGTAAATCTTCTTCAGCCTCAGTGTCTCATCTGTAAAATAGGGATATTAATACCTACATCATTGTGAGAACAAAATACCAAAATGGCTAGTAAAGCGTCTGACAAATAAAATATGTACATAAATATTTGCTGCTTATACCGTAAATTGTCTTTGACCTCACTTCCCTTTTTAGATTTATTTTTAGAAATCTACATAAATATACTCTCTATAAAAATCTATAAGGTGCTTATCATAAAGGAACTTCAACTCTTTAATAAAGAATAATCAGGAAAGTCTATTTCAAAACTAACTTTATGAGTCAAGTTTCAAATATCAGGCCTTCCTCCTGTCTAATCAATATTCTCCAATTCTATAATCTACAAAAATTATATATCTCCATATAACATGATGTAAATATGTTAATATAATGTTGCTAGTTTAGTTCTTACAATTATGGAATTAGAAACATAAAAAAGAGATTTTTAAAACAGCAAGGTTTTATGAAATATCAGATACTACCATGGCATTGAACAACTCATTGTAGACTCCTAAATGAGCACATAATTTGTATCAAGTTTTTCGATTTTGTCAAATCACTTAAACAAGTAGTGGCTTTAGGTCCCACCAAAAGGTGGGTACCTTGGATTTGGCCCCAGTCATTTAATGCCTGCTTAGATTATTGAGATGTTCTTTTTAACTTCCATTCCCTTCTCCAAATAACTTTCCACATCATCTCTCCTTAGAGGACAATGATATTGTCATTGTTCTTCCTCTTAAATTCAATTGTCTGCTCTCTTAAATTCTGCAAATCACCTCATAAATCATAATTGATTATGTTCATAATTGAACAGTTAAATATTTCTCTAGTAATATGATGTACCTTTTGACTACATTCTTGTGCAGGTATTAGCCATCTACATTAGTGCAGCTTACTGATATTATCTTGAAGATAGATGTATCTATATTATCACTTTTAAAGTACAAGACATAAGTACTAAAAAAGCAATGATAATATGCAACCCCTTGAATGAATATGATCTCATATTGATTATAATGATGGTGATTACTTTGATGAAGGTACTGAACATGTGCAAAATAGAAACAAACATTCAAGATGAGTGAGTGATGAGTTCTGCCTGTGGTCAGAAGAAAACAACACTCCCAACTCTGCAACCTGATCACTTCCCTACTTAGTCCTGTTTGTGGAGCCGCCTTATTAACGACATTAGAACAAAGATATGAAGGTGATGTACAATCATTACTAGTTTTTAACCAAAGATTTTGGTCACAATAAGGACCAATAGCTGTTTCTTTGGACCTCTGAGCCCATCTCTGCTGGAAAGGTATTTGATACATTTTAGCATGCAGGAAACAATAAACATTTACATTTATTTTAAAAATGCTTTTCAATTAACAGTTAAATTTTTTTCACTGTTTTCTTAATTATTTGTGACATTTCTAAGGTTTTTGTGAATAGAGGAATTTGAAAAAATTACAGGAAATTTTAATCCCTTTCCAGATGCTTGAAGTAATGACACAATCTACAGTTTTTAACAACATAATGCATTATATTAAAATCTTTGGGATTTAAATCACACAGTCACAGAAATCTCAAACCTGCTTAAGCAAATAAGAAAATTTAGTGGATCACTAGTTGAAAACTGCTGAGACATTATTGCCTTCAGGCATGACTTGATCCAGGAGCTCACATAGTTACCAAGGTGCAGCTCTCTCCATCTCACCACTGTACTCCCCTTCATGTTGGCGTGTAGGCGTTTCCCTTGAATTTCACCCAGGGCTCACTAGCAGCTCCTGATTTAACTACCCTAGAATTCAAATTTAATGGAAAAGCAAAAAGAATCTTCCCATTTCTCCTTTAGAAATCCTTGGTTTAGTAGTGATTTTCTTGGTTTGGATCCCATGCCCATCTTTAACTATCACCATGGCACGGGGCATGTGACACCTCAATTGGCCAAGACCACCTCAGTGCCTCTTCTAGACTGAGGTATGCAAGACGATTTATCCTAACATGCAGTCTAAGAGTAGGTTTGTTTCCCAAAGGCAAGTCAGGATATGATTGCTAAAGGAAGAGAAAAAAAATGTTGGATGGCAATCCTATGAAACAGCAGACATCTCACTGACTACTGTATCCTCAGACTGGAGTAAGGCATTGCACACAACAGATTCCTGATACTTGTGCGTTACCATTGCAAATAGTGCATCACAGTGAGTACATGAATCAGACAGAAGTGAACATTAGTTTTGTTCACTCAAATAACAAATATGGAATACCTAGATTTGAATGAGGGTGCTTTATAATTTTTATAGTAATTTATTATATGGGCTACGATAATGGAACAAGCAGGGGAGAGTGATATGAATGGCAATTCCACATAGAGCGTATGGTATGAGGAATTGTCTTATGTGTAAAATTCGGTGGGTCTCCATCATAGTGGCGTGGCGTTTTGTCAAATTACACCAATGGTAAAATACTAGGAATATAAAAAGAGCATGCATAACATAGTGTAGTTAACAGGATGGCTACAAAAAAAGTGTGTAATTCTTCTTTATTCATTCATTACTTCTCTAAAATCTTTCCTATGCCTGTCATGTATAGCTTGATCACATCATCTGGAGTACGGGTGGCCTTGAATGCCTTGCTAAGGACCTTGATCTTTCTCAGTAGGCAAAAGGGACTTGAAAGGTTTTAAAGAGAGTCAAAATGTAAATCTGGCTCTGAATTACTGTTGACAAATGGCAAAATAAACTATGGAAAAGAAAGAGAGAGGGGGAAGTAGAGAAGGAAGGAGAAAGCAAAATAAAAGGGTTGGTAGGAGGGAAAAAGTAAACTAGAAATGATATTGAGGGACCAGTGTATTTTCCCATTTATCTTCTTCTTCCTTTCCTGCTCTTTTTTCTGCCTTTATTACCAATGTAGTATGCATTCATTTATTAAAAAAACAACTTTACAGAATTATATATAATAAATGTTAAAACCTGTCTTCCAATAGCCCTCCATAAAGTTAATTATTGATAATATTATGGGATGTTTTTCAGATTATGTTCTCAAGATCCTTCCTCCTTTTCTCATTTTCTCCCTTTCTCCCTCCCTGCCTCTCTCTTTCTTTCTCTCTCCCTCCCCCGCTCCAGAAATGGTATCATCCTCTGTGTTATTTTGTAACTAGCCTTTTTCTTTCAATGATACATCCTGAACAATCTTCCAAGTCAGTACATCCGTATGTATACATATATATGTGTGTATGCATGTGTGTGTATGTATTTTTAAGGCTGTATGGAATGTAATAGCTTGATTTTACTCTAATATATTTAAACATTTTTTAGTGATGGATATTTAAATGGTCTCAAATTTTTTTACTTAAAAAAATGAATAAACCTGCTGTACATCTGTCTTTACCTAATCACGTGAGGATTTCTGTAGTATAAATTCCAAGAAATGAAATGTTGGATTGAAAGAGGTGCAGATTGGAAAAATACTGCCAAAATGCTTTCGAAAATTTTGTACCAATTTATAGTCCCAGCCATCGTGTTTGACAGTGCCTATTTCCATAGTCTCAAAAGCCTTGCCCTAGTCTTTTAAATTTTTGCCAGTATTATGGGAGAAAAATGAAATTAAAATTTAACATTCCCCTGATCATCTTTCCTTATCTAATCCTCACTATAACCATGCGAGGTGCATATTATCATCATCCCAATTTACAGATTTGGAGACAAGATTCAAAGACGTTTTTGCTTTGGTTCAGGCCAAAATGTCATGGTTTGGTGGCTATTAGTGTTCAAAGGCTAAGGTAGCCAATGTCCAATTGATGGGGTAGGTCAGACCAAGAGGCATGTTTCAATCAAGAAATATTTCTTGTCAGCTTTCCACCGAACTGTGGAGTTGGCTGTGGGCAATACAATTGAAGTGAAAAAAGCATTATTCTAGCTTTTATATTTGGGTCTTCTGAACAACTACCAATAACTTGTGAGGCAAACTTAGACAATTATCCTGTGAGCCTAGGTGGGAAAAAGCCAGCTGTTGAGTTTTACCTCCCTCACAGGAGGTCCCTGAATATTAATGAGGCGATCACTAGTATTTCCATATTTTTAGCAATTTGCAAAGTAATACCAATTAAAACAAACGTGTCAAGTGAACAGGTTAGATTAAAACACTACTAAAGGACTTAGGTTCTCCTAAGGTAATTGACACATACGTTGTGTAATTCCTGGGGTCTAGATTAAAAGAACAAGTGGTTTTCTCAAGCATTCCACCTGCCCTTGTTCCCAGATGTCATTCTCAGGCCCCATAGTGTATCAGGTATTTCTTAATTGCCAATTAAAACACATGCCACCTTTAGAAAGGTGTAATAATGAGCCTTTTAAAACAATCTATTGCAGAGATTCTTTTTTTGCTTCAGTTGGTAGTTACTGAAAACATTTCTGTATTTCTGGAGAATATGCTCAACGAGTTAATTCCTCCTGCTTCGGTAGCATATAATACCCATTTCCTAACTGTGACCGTAACCTAAACACTAAATGGCTATTTAAGCATATCAAATACCTAACGCAGTATCTATCACATACTAGACAATCGATATATATGTCGGTTCATTTTCCGTTTGCTTTGCTTTATCTTTTTCTAGAAAGTGAGCATGACAATTAGATCTTTGAAATTTAACTACAAATGTTCTCACCTTTAAGGCAGTCTGACAGAGTAGTATTCCAAACTTTTAGCTACCAATACCAACATTATAACAGACCCCAAAACCCAGCAACCTTCCACTTTATTTTCTTTTATTTTTCTGGTAAATATATTTATCGTATTTTCTAGTAATAAAATAATACATGTTCATTTGACTAAACGAAGAAAATCTAGACAAACAATAGAGTGCAATAAAACCTTCACTAACACCACTGTGCAAAAGAGTGTACCAGGAACATTACAAGTATGTCACAGTTTTTATTTTCTAAACAGGAAGCAAATCACCACAATTTTCTCCTTATTATTAATATTTTCCATGTATATAAAATTATATTACTGCTTTTATATATATAATTATATATAATATTACTATTATATATTATCTAATTTAAGCATATGTTTACTAATTCTCTGTTGAGATACACTTATTCATATATATATATATATATAGTTTTTAAAATATTAAAAGTTGAACTTTGATGAACATTTTGTGCATCTGCTTTGGTTCACCTGACCAGTGATCTCTAGGTGAATTCCTAGAAATGAAACTGGATATGTTTTAAATTTTGATGCATTATGCCAAATTGCCCTCAAGAGAGGTTGTACCAATTTGTACATCCATCAAAAGATTATGACCATGGATATTGGCTCATACACAGTCTATTGCTACAGTTTTTTCACCTTTGCCAATTTGATTAGTCAAAGATATATTTTTTGTGTGTTGTATTTATTTGATTAATTTTATATGTATGCCTATTTGAGTCTTCATATTTTTCTATTATGATATACATGTTTTTCTTATATAGGTTTTTTTAAAAAAACCTTAAAGGGGGTAGTCATATATGTTATGATTATTTATCAGCTTATTGTCATTTTGTTGTTGTAGTCATTTTACTGTTAGATATAGTAATTCTTGTCAAACAGGTTTTAATTTTTGTGTGGTCAAGTCTAGCAGTTCTTCACCTTAAGCCTCCTGGATTTAGTATCATTCTTTAAAAAGTTTCCTATCCCAGAACAACTACATTTAATTTTTAGAGTTTTCATAAATTTTATGTATTTAATTCATCTGAGATATATTCCAGTATAGATATAAAAGAGGAGTATGATTTTAAACTTTTACCAAATGCTTAACCATTTACCCTAACATCAGTTATTGAATAATCCATCACTTTCAAATTAATTTTAGTGTCTCATTTATCATATATAAATTTTTATGTATACTTGGCCTAGCAATCTGGCATTTTCAAAAGCAATGAATTGACTTATTTTAGGAAAAAGAGTGTAGAAACGCTCTAATTCCTCAATTTAAAAAAGTATGGCAATGTGAAAAAGCATGTAAGAGGTGGGGTTATAGGTACATGTTTTCCTTTTACAAATTTCTTTTGAGCTTGTTTTTATATACAAAACATATTACTTGTGAATAACGTTCAAGTCTAAGTTGTTAACTTACTGGGTGGATTATAGTGCCATTCATGGATGCTGAGACTATAGGAAAAGGAGATTAGATGGAGGTGAGATGTCATGTAAAGTGTTAACAGACTGAGCACCCAAGTAGAGGCACTACATGGATGAGTATAGAACGCAGGAGACATACCCTGGATTAAAATCAAGGCTGTAAATGTGAACTTGGATGTCTACTGGGGCTGGAGGAACCAAGCACGGCTGAGATCGCCTGAAAAAACTGAGAGTATGGCAGAGCCTCTTATTCTTGGTTACTTGTCCAGACATATGTCAAGAAAGTGTACAAATAAATGTCCAGTTCTGAATCAAAATCTCTAGGTAGAACCGTGACATCTGTATTTTTATAAACTTCACTGGTGAGCCTAAATACAGCCACAGTTGAGAACCACCAGTAAGAGAAAATGGTAGAGGCAAGAACCCTGGCCAACATAACATTTAAAAGTAGACATAAAGCAATAAAACATTTTTCAGGAAAAGCGGATATATATATATATAAAGGTCCTGGATGTAAATAAAACAGCTTGCCATGGCCTAGCAACTGAATGCAAGCAGGAGTTTGGATATGAATGATGGCAAACTTTAAACAGCTACCATTCCTTGAACTGTTACGTTAAGCTAAACACTAACCTATCTATACCTCTCTATTTATCTAGATGTGTGGATACCTACACAAATACATAGATACTGATATATTATATAAACTTAATTTTTACAACAATCCTAGGGGCTGGATGTTATTATAACCATTTATAGAAGAATACATTGAAGTTTAAAGAGATTAAATAGCATTATCAAAGTCATACAATTGAATTAATGGAAAAGACAAAATTTAAAACCAACACCGTGTTCTTCAGCATTAAGCTAATGCTTTAAGAGCCTTACTCTGGCAATGTTAGGGATGGAGACAAGAACCAGCCTGGAGGCAGAGAGACCCAGTAGTTGAGGTGAAAAGTAGTGACAGCCTTGTTGGTGTGAATGGAAAGAATGGGTTGGGGAGTAACAGGAGCTGAAATTCACACTACCCATTCCTTGGATCTTGGGAATGAGTGAAATAAATGAACTAAATTGGTTCTTGTAATTTTAGCTTGGATTATTGGGTAGGTGGTGGTACCATTAATGGGGGAAAATAGATTTAAGGTAGATGGTTCTAGTTTTAGAAATGTTGAGTTTGACATACCTGTGAGACTTTTGTTTAGTGATAAAGTTGAAAACCAAATAAAGTAAAAGATCCTAAGCTAATTATTTTACTTTATTTTTAAACTTTTTATTGGAAATAGAACACATATACAGTAAAGAAGATTAAATGTACATACCTCAATGATTTAACACCAAGTGATTAACTACGTATCTATTTCAATATCTATTTCCTTATGATATATTTTCTGCTTATCTTATAAATGCTGAGAAAGGTAGGGCAAAATCTAACACGGTGATTGCGGAGTTGTCTGTTTCTCCTTGACATTCTGTCAACTTATGCTTTATATTCTTTTTTTCCCCCTTTTGCCCATTATGGATTAATTTTATTTCATTCTAACTATTCCTCCATTAACTTGAAAATTACTCTTTCACTGTTCTAGATATTACAACATGCATCATTGACATATCAAAGTAAAATAGTAACTGGTTCTTTCTCTTTCTTTCTGGATAATGCAATAATCTTAAAACATTTTAATTTCATTTTTTCTCCTACTCCAATTTATATGTCACTGTTATGCATTTGAATCATATAAATATTTGAAGCTAAATAAGACATTGCATTAATATTATAGTTAGTTTATATAGTCAATATTATTTTAGATATGACCACATACTTATCATTATCTTTGCTTTACATCTCTGCTTGTATCTCCAACACTCCATCTGGCATCATTTTTCTTCTATCTGAAAAATGAAGTCCTTTAGTATTTCCTTGAGCAAAAATCTGCTGATAACAAATTCTCATGTTTTGTTTGTCTAAAAATATCAATACTTTGTTCTTGAAATATATTTTTGTTGCATTTGGAGTTATAGGTTGACACTTATTTTCTTTTAATACTTTTAAGATAGCAATCCTTTGTTTCTTGGTTTCCACTGCTTCTTTTGAGATCTCAGCTCTTAGTCTGTTTCACCTTCAAAAGCAATCTGTCTTTTTTTTTTTTCTTTTGCTTCTTGGGTGTGGATTTCTTTTTCTTTATCATTCTTAAATTTTTTGTAGATCCTTGAATTTTTACCTTGATGCCTTAACATCAGTTCTTAAAAGTTGTCTCAAAGGTTACCTCTGCTCCATTGTCTTTCTTCTCCTCCAGGAACACCCACTGCAATGTATTATGCCTATTCAATGAATCCTCTATATCTCTTACCCTTACCACTGTACTTTCCATCCATTTTTCCCTTCATTTTCTTCTCATGTATTTTCCATTCCACTAACTGTCCCTACAGCTGAGTCTAAGCTGCTGTTAAATCTATCTGTTAAATTCTTGATTTTTGATTACCTTATTTTTGAGTGATAGAATGCCCTTTTTGTTCTTTTTTATTTTTATTTATTGATTTTGAGACAGGGCCTTGTTCTGTTGCCCAGGTTGGAGTGCAGTGCTGCAAACATGGCTCACTGCAGCCTCAACCTCTTAGGATCAAGTGATCCTCCCACCTCTGCCTCCCAAGTAGCTGAGACTATAGGTATGTGCCACCACGTTTGGCTAACTTTTTAAATTTTTTGCAAAGACGAGGTCTCATCATGTTGCCCAGGCTGGTCTCCAACTCCTGGGCTCAGGTGATCCTCCTGCCTCAGCCTCCTGAAGTGCTGGGATTAAGACCATGCCTGGCCTTGTTTTTATTTTTAATAGTTTCCCATTCTCTGCTTAAATTATTAATCTTTTCTTATGTCTTTGAACATAGTAAAAGTTATTTTAAAGTTTGTGTTTGATACTCAGTTATCTGGAGCTCTTGTGAATATTTGTCTATTGCCCATTTAAAAAAATGGTTTTTATTATTTATATTAGTCTATTTTCATGCAGCTGATAGATATACCTGAGACTGGGCAATTTACAAAAGAAAGAGGTTTAATGGACTTACAGTTCCACATGGCTGGGGAGGCCTCACAGTCATGGCGGAAGGCAAGGAGGAGTAAGTTGTGTCTTACGTGGATGGCAGCAGGCAAAGAGAGAGCTTGTGCAGGGAAACTCTCCTTTTTAAAACCATCAGATTGCATGAGACCCACTTGCTATTACCAGAACAGTACGGCAGAAACCACCCCCATGATTCAATGATCTTCCACTGGGTACCTCCCACAAAATGTGGGAATTATGAGAGCTACAAGATGAGATTTGGGTGGGGACGCAGAGCCAAACCATATCATTCTTGTTATTATGTCTGTTCATGTTTCTGGTTGTTTTTATTGATAATACAAACAACATACACAAAATTATTTACAGATATAATTTGAGGCCTAGGATAATATCATTTTCCTCTATAGAGCATTTGGGGCACTGGCAATTACCTCAATTTAATTTCAGTGATGAAAATGACAAAGTTAAACTGCTGTCTATTCCATTTCATCATTACTTTTATTGTGCAGTTTTTAGGGACCCAACACAATGCAAGGGGCTTATCTCCTGGGAAGCCCCTAAACCCTAATATCTGTTCTTGTAACTCATAGACTAGCAGGGTTGTTGTTCACTCTCTCAAAGTCTTAGCTGACCTCTCATGTATAAACAATTTTCCCAAGTGGAAAAGCAGCCTCATACACTAGGCTCTCTCCCTACACCTCTGCCCTGGGTAATACTTCATCCCTTGTTGCTTCTTCAAATATTTGCCCCTAGAGAAGGAATCAGAAAATAAAAAAGACAAATTCAGGTATTAAGAGATATAGAAGAGGTAGAATACCATAAAGAATTACTGAGGTAGGGGAGGGAAAAATACTTCCCCTGGGTTGATCAGGAAAGGTCTCTTGCTGGAGCTGACATTGAGACCAGGATAGTGAGAAGGAGGCAACCCTTTAAAGATCTAAGGGAAGACAATTCTAAAAAGAGATGAGAATGAGCTTCTTTGAGACATGGAAGGAAGACCAGGAGGCTGCAAAGTGGAGGATCATGGCAACAGTGAAGGGAAGTGGCACTGTGGGGGCAGACAATGGCTCCACCAGGTAAATTAGAAGTTGAAGTTCATTTATTCTGGTTTCTATGGGAAACCACTTGAAAATACTAAGCTAGAGATGTATGCCTTGTAGCGGTTAACTGGGCTATGGTGTGGGGTTGGACTGTGAGAGGTCGAGAGTGGAGTCAGATCACAAAAGAGGATGCTTCAGAAGTCCATGGAGTGATTGTGTCATTTGAAGAAGGGGGCAGTAGTGAAGACAGTGATAAGTAATAGGAATCAGGATATGTTTCATTTCCCCTTTGAAATGTTTGCTTTCTGTCTAGTTCTGGGTGCATGTGTATAAATTTGCAATATCTTTCTGGCTCAACCTGCTCAGTAAAACAGCTTGACATCCGTCTATATAAAACTCAGCAGAGACAGTGCTCCTACAGTAAATAAGTAAATAAATATTAAAGGTAACATAGCTGTAACTGGGCACTGTTCTAATGTGCTTTACACATAACAACTCAATCTTCCTGTAATTCTATGAGGCATAATGAATAATACTAATATCATTATTCCCACTTTAAATATGAGGAAACAGGAACAGGGCTGGATTATTTGCCCAAGACCATACAGCTATGCATGGACATCATTCACTAGTGGCTGCTGTTATTCCTTGATTTTTTTTGTTTTTGTTTCTGCTTTGAGAGCAGCACCTTGATGTCCTTTTGAGAAATCGCTCCTTTTCTACTCTTAGCCTATGCTGTTCCTGTGGTGCTGACTTCACTCACAGCTCCAAGGGAGGGCATGTGACTCAAGCTTAGCCAATCAGCACTGCCTTCTTCTTGATACAGCTAATCGTTCAAAGATGAGTCAATCAGAAGCAATGCAATTGCTGACTGCGAAATTGGAGGTCTGGCGTCTTTGTTGCCAACATTAGATGGGAAGTGTCTAAGTATGATGTCAGTATAAAAAGACTGAAACTAACAGAAAAGAATTGGACCCCAGAGATATTGTTGAAGCATCCGGGGCCTTGTACTACCTCAGTTTTAAGTTGCCCATTAAACTCCCTATTTGGCTAGGCCAATTTGAAGTAGGTGCACTGTCACTTGCAACTGAAAAAGACTTCAAACAGCTGCACCCATCCTTTGAGGAATCCCCTGCACACTCACTGCAGGGAATCTGCAAATAGGGAAAGTTGCCATTTTAAGAAAGGTCCATGTTTCTCTAGTGCACTCAGCCTCTTGCTGCCCAACAAAAAGTTGTTTTTTCTCTCCCACTTATCAGACAGATAGAATGACAAGTAGTTAGGATCCTCAATAGTCCTGTATCACACATTCTGTACTTTAGACTTTTACAAGAAAATGAACAATTCAATTACACGTTTACTACCCAGTTATAAATCTCACCTTTGGTTCCATGCCTCTGGGAAAGGATTGCAAATTATGGAGGGCAGGCTTTGGTCCATACTATTCGCTTATTGGATTTGAGTTTTTCTATTTGCCTTTCTAAAGAAATCTTGCCATGAGTACTATTGGAAATGCTTTCAGACAGGGAAAGCAAGAACTACTTGCTAAGATCTAATTTTCAGTTAGGGGAAAAATAGTTTCTTTTTTCCTGCCTATGGCAATCTCACCACATAACAGACAGGCAACGCATAATGGAGACCCCAGATCCCACCAGAAGGGCAATACGGTACAAAGAGAAACTAGAGGTTCAAAATCTTTTGTAATTGAGCATTAAGATTTATGTAAGTTCTACAAAGGAAGGGACAGAGTCCTAAGAAGTAGGGCATAAAAGCAGCAACTTTGAGTGCTCAGTCGCAACTATACTCAGAAGAAAAGGAGGCCTGCAGAGGGCCAGGAGTGAGGCAATGAGAAGCATGAAAAGGAGGGGACCTGACTGATTTCCAACCAAAGACCTGACTTCTGTGTCATGTTAGAGCAGCTGTGCCTAGGATCACAATGCTGCTTGGGTGTCACTGTCCCAATTTCATCCCAGACACTACTTTCATACTCCTTTGCCACCAAGCGGCCCCACTCCCAACTCAGACTTTTTAGCTACTCCTGCTTCCACATGGATGCAGCAACCTCCCAACACCTCATCCCTCACTGCCAAAAACTTCCACCCTTGTTCTTCCTGAATCAGGTCCTAATCTAGAAAAGAATAAATCTTCTGTCACCCCTTTGCATGTCATTCTATAATGGTTTTTTTCATTGTAAATTAATTGCAGTGAGGTAAATGCCTCCCCCTAATATATGTCCACGGGGAACCTGTGAATGTGAACTTATTTGAAAGCATGGCCTTTGCAGGGGTAACCAAGTTATAAATCTTGAGATGAGATCATCCTAGACTATTCAAGTATGCCTAAAATCAAGTGGCAAGTGCTCTATAGGAAGAGAAGACATAGAAGAAGAGAGACACAGGAGAGGAGGAGGAGATGTGAAGACAGAGGCAGGGACTGGAGTGATGCATGTACAAGCCAAGGATCAAGAGGGTTATCAACACCATCAGGAGCTAGGAGAGAGGCATGGAACAGATTTTCCCTCAGAGCCTCCAGAAGGAACCAACCCTGCCAAAACCTTGATTTTGAACTTCTGGTTCCCAAAACTGTGAGCAAATAAATCTCTGTTGCTTTAAGCCACCCAGTTTGTAGTAATTTGTTACAACATCCCTAGGAGATGAATACATAGAGTAAAACTCAAATTTCCTTACCATGATTAGGAGACCCTATATGACTTGGTCCCTACCCACTACTCAGATTAAATGTTTTACTTCTCCTCGTCTCACTTGTTGTCTCCCTTCCCCTTATCCCCTCTGTTTCTTTTCTCTTTCTGTTTTGTTTTTGTTTTTTTGTTTTGTTTTGTTTTGTTTTGTTTTGAGATGGAGTTGTGCTCTTGTCACCCAGCTAGAGTCCAGTGGCACGCTCTCAGCTCACTGCAACCTCCGCCTCCCAGGTTCAAGTGATTCTCCTGCCTCAGCCTCCCGAGTAGCTGAGATTGTAGGTGACCACCACCATGCCTGGCTAATTTTGTATTTTTAGTACAGATGGGGTTTCACCATGTTGGCCAGGCTCGTCTCGAACTCCTGACCTCAGGTGATCCACCCACCTCAGCCTCCCAAACTGCTGGGATTACAGGCGTGAGCCACCACTCCCGGCCCCCCTCGATTTCTTTAACACACATGTTATTTGCTTCCTAATGGCCTTTGTCTATTGCTGTTGTCTGCTTAAAAATCTCCCCCTCCCCACAATGTTTGCCTAGATGGCTCCTTCTTGTCATGCTTCTCTCAACTCAAACACAGGCCTTCCTGAACCTTACTAACCAAAGTACATCTCCCTCCACTCCCCAGTTAGTGTCTACCACATCATGTCACAACACTTTATAGCACTCATCAAAAGTGACAAATGTCTTGTTTATATATTTCCTAGATTGTGAGCTCAGTGAAGGTAAAGTTCGTGTATACCCATTTATTCAACAGCTATTAATTGAGCATCTGTTATATACCAGGTAGCATTTTAGACATTTGGCAAATGTAGTAACCAAACAAAATCAGCCTCTGCTCTTAGGGATTTACATTCTAGCTCATTTTCCATGGCTGTCTCCCTGTGCATGAAGCTCTCTCCATTATTTTTGGTCATTCATTCAATGTTAAATGACTATTAATTGACTAATAGATAAAAGCATTAAGTTCTAGTTATGAATTCTTTCCCTTTTCCTAGTAAAAGCTTGGCTCTGTCTGCTTAAGGAATTTAATAAGCACAGACAATTTTGAGATACCTTCACACTTGTCATTGACAGGGCCTTTTTCTTACAAGAACATGGGAATTCCCTCATCTGTCTAGTCCCATCCCCACGTTTTCATAATTTCTACTGGTGTGATTGAAAGTATGATTTCTCCCTTAGAACATGTTCTGGGAAGCCAAACAAAAGACCAAGCCACACTGGACTTGCAAGTCTTTGCCAAAGATGGCAGCCACCAGGGCAGTTGGCTCGATTAACCACTGCCACGTCTAAAGGTCAGCCTCTGGGACTGTTTAATTGTGGCCATTAAAGTGTTTCAGCGGCTGCTTCATAGCAGTAATTTGGAGCCCAGGAGAAACCAGAGGCAGCTTCAGTACACCAGGTCATTTGAAAAGAGGCTGGCTGCGCTCCATATGCAGCCTGGTAGCAGCTGAGATTTCCAGAAGTACTTAACCTAGCTTAGAGGTCATGGCCTAAGTAAAAGTAAGATTCCCTTTCTCCCAAAGTAAAATTGTAGAGTAGTTCATTTGCCTCCACATTCCCCCTCATCACTTCATGCCCTCCTCATTTTTCATCTTTGACCCAGGACTCCAGAAACCTTACTAATCAATCCACTAGTCAATCAATTAACAATCAATTAACATGCATTAACTGAGCAACTGTTATATACAAAGCAATGTCAAGATACTACCACATTTTCACTATTCACCCCCTCCAGACCACTCTGTTCCATTCCTCATCAAGCCTGCACCTCAAAGATACAGCTAGCTCATCATGAGCACACTTTCCTGCTGAGCCTAGATACAGGCTCACATTTTTTTCTCAACACAACTTTCTAGGCAGTCACTACTCATTGCCTGGGCCTGGCACTGGGATGGAATCTTTTTTGCTATCCCTGAATTTTTGTGCAATCTCCTCCTTTGACTTGCTAAATTACACAGCTGGTCTGTGGTAGACCTGGAACCTAGGTCCCTGTCTCTTGTCTAGGACTCTTTATGATGTCCCAGTATAAACAAGTTAAATAGCATTTCAAAGCTAGCTAGACTTGTTAACTAAAACAAAAATACAATCTAAGTTAGCAAGAAGTGCAAAATAAAATAATATATAGCATTATATTGGAATATTTAAAATGTAATGTCATATATTACCTGTGTAATATACATATGTTATCATAGTTACTTTATAGCCCATTTTATTTAATTTTTATAGTAATTCTATATAATAGGTAATATCCTCCCTATTTTATACATAGGGAAACTGAAATTCAGAGTTTAAGTAACTTCCTTGAAAGCTGCTAAACAGTAATTGTGGAGCTGGGTTTGAAACCAGGTAGATTCACCTGGCTCTCAATATATCTTATTGGCAGTACACACTGCTACCATTGTTGGGAGATAATTCTCCATGGGTGTCTCAGATTTCCGCACATCTTGTGAACAGACACAGTGACAACATTTTGTTCCAGTCCATATTTTCAAGAATGTCTGTACAGCAAACAGTCTTCAAGAGTAGAGCCAGTGTCTCCCTCCAAAGAAGAGCAGAGATTTGTTTGTTGTCCCAGATATTAAAGATACTATCTCCCTCTGGGGCAAATCTTGGACAGGTTTGCTTGCAGCCCATAATAAAAGATTGGGATGTTCCAATCTGAGGGTTCCTCAGATGTGTCCCAGATGTGTTACTGCATGCACACAGTCTCCATGGGACCTGGGTGACAAAGGCAACCAATGCAAACATGAAGCTCACGTTTGCCTTTTGCTCAAGATTCACATGTCTCTTGTTAGCTTATAAGTAGGGTCAAATCTCATACCCTTCAAAGTTTTTAACAACCACGAGTTCCACAGCATGAGACATTGAAAGAGGCTGGGGTGCTCCTGCTCCTGACTGCCTACTCCACTGGGATTCCGAGTTGTTGGTTCATCCTGTCTTCACCTAAGGCAAGTTATATAGAGTCCCAATCCCTCAGGGACTAAATAAATATGCCTGGAGATAAGTCTGAAGTAATATTAATAATGATTATATTTACCTCTTACAGATAAAAAAAATTGCATTTTCATGCATCTTAAACTGATATCATTAGAAATGTGGCTGTTTCCAACAAGATGGGCATTTGGAAGGAAGATGTGTTATTAACAAGAGAAGCTTCTCCCTGTGGGAATTAAATTGGAGCATATCTGAACTGCACTACTTTTTTCAATCTGGCCAGCTCTGCCCACCTCTCTTACCATTGTTCACTCATGACTCTCAGGACAATTTCCTTCCCTTGGAATGAATTCTTAACTTTGTTCTGATTGTGAAGACTTGTTTATGACTGCTTATTGTCAGAATGAAGATTTGAATATTCTGATTTTTTCCTTCTCAGGTCACCTAAGTTATTAGATCAAATCATATGACAAGGTAGAAAATTTTATTCACTGGAAATGTTCCATAAGAATGATTTACAAGATAAGCTGTTAGAAGAAATTAGAATCACACTTCCAAGAGGAAGTAAACCTTCTTCCATGAAGTAGTAGACAGGACGTAAGGCTCATGGCAGTGTGTGGTTGGGTTTGGCCAGTGGGTAGGGTCAGAAATTCCATTGGTTTTCTTCAGCAGGGAGACAGCAATGAAGGGGAGAAGAGAGGGAGGTCAAGGATGACTCTGATGGAAAGAAAACCAAGTAGATAAGAGCATGAGAAGGATTTTAACAGTTGTCATGAGAATCAGGGGAGAGAATTTGATGTCTGGAAAGTATTTCCGAGAAACTCTGTGCAACATGTTTGTGTTAAATCCCTGTGGCATCCCCTTTGAGAAAATTAGTAATGATCTATATTAACCTTTAATGCTGCTAGACTTCTCTTTGTGTTTTCATTTAATGTGACTCTGTTCAGACTGGCCCCACAGGGCCCCAGCTATGTTTTACACTGAATTAAGGACTTAAAGCTCTTTATCATTCCTTCCAAGGAATGGTTTATTCACAGGCACGATTGTTGGGCTACTTTGCTTTTCCTACAATTTTTCTCCAACTAACAACCAAAGTGGGTATCAGAGAATGAGGACTAGGGATTCTTTTTTACTGTAATAAGAAAAAGTATAAATACACAAAAGAAGGAAAAAATAGCTTGAGGACAAGAAAGAAGAACCATTTCAGGTCCACATAACAACCTTATGAGGTAGGTATGTTAGCTCCATTAACAAATAAATTAGAGCATGGAGTTTAAGAATCTTATTCAATGGAGAGGATGTGGAGAAATAGGAACACTTTTACACTGTTGGTGGGACTGTAAACTAGTTCAACCATTGTGGAAGTCAGTGTGGCGATTCCTCAGGGATCTAGAACTAGAAATACCATTTGACCCAGCCATCCCATTACTGGGTATATACCCAAAGGACTATAAATCATGCTGCTATGAAGACATATGCACACGTATGTTTATTGTGGCATTATTCACAATAGCAAAGACTTGGAACCAACCCAAATGTCCAACAATGATAGACTGGATTAAGAAAATGTGGCACATATACACCATGGAATACTATGCAGCCATAAAAAATGATGAGTTCATGTCCTTTGTAGGGACATGGATGAAATTGGAAATCATCATTCTCAGTAAACTATCACAAGAACCAAAAACCAAACACCGCATATTCTCACTCATAGGTGGGAATTGAACAATGAGATCACATGGACACAGGAAGGGGAACATCACACTCTGGGGACTCTTGTGGGGTGGGGGGAGGGGGGAGGCATAGCACTGGGATATATACCTAATGCTAGATGACGAGTTAGTGGGTGCAGCGCACCAGCATGGCACATGTATACATATGTAACTAACCTGCACAATGTGCACATGTACCCTAAAACTTAAAGTATAATAATAAAAATAAATAAATAAATAAATTGTAAAAAAAAAATAAAAAAAATAAATAAAGAGCTCACTGGAAGTTTAAAAAAAAAAAAAGAATCTTATTCAAATGTGTAAAGGTAGGCTAGCTGCTAGAAGAACCTCAAAATTCTTGCTGCCAAACCCATCAAAACTTAATTTTTGTCTCGTGGAACATTCCAGTGTAGTTGGCTGTGGGTTACTGGAGGTGGTCATGGGTCAGAACTCCCTCACGAGGCCACACCTAGGTGCAAAGGAAGCTAGGAAATGCAGTCTGGCTGTGAGTCTAGGAAGCGATGATTTTGGAGCTCTAACAAGCTCCGCCCACAAGGTAGAATAATTAGTCAGTAGCAGTGGACTCCTTCAGACATAGGTCTATTTGGTGCCAAGACTATTCACTCAGCTAATGTGCTGTATCATTTCCTTTTCTGAAGCTTTATTTACTTTTTGATTAGGGCATATTTAGATAAACAGCTAATCTGCTTCTCCCCTTACACTTCTGCATGTCACAATTTTTTCTAAGGCCAATAGTGCAATACCAGTCTTTGGGGTGGCCTTTTCACAGACTTCTTAATCATGAAACAAATCTTATCAGAATTTTGTTTTCTGATCATCTTTCTTGTAGTAAGATTTCACATTAATTGAAAGAAAAACAGGGTGAAAATAAATCTTACATTTTTATCATCTCCCTGCAATAGAGAAAGGAGGGGGAAGAAAAGCCTCAGCTAGAATAGGCCCCATCTCTGAAAGCATATCAGAGCTAAAGAAGAAAGGGGAAAATGAAAATGATCTTTAGATGTCCTTCCAGAAACTTGTGCCCAAAGATTTGCCCAGGAATATCATATGGATGTCCAAGTGGCTCACATCAAGAATTGTACTAAAAAAGTTCCCATTGTTATATATGAATACTTTTCCTTTTCAACATCTGAAAGCCACATGTGATTTTCAATCAGCCAGTGAAAACAAACTGACAGACAACATCCCTTAGGAAATGCTTGGTACGCCATTAAGTTTCAACACACTTCTCCTTCCCTTTCTTGAGCAATCCTATATTTCTGCATTTGTGTAAGTACATATGTGTGGCACATTTGTTCACATGCTGCTGAGGAGAGCAAACGACTCTGCATTCTTTCCTGGGTATGTGCTCATGCAGTGACTACACATTCCTTGCGTGGTGAGTGGCGTTCACCACACTGGGGAGTCCACAGGTGCTCACGAAATACCTCGCAGTCCAAGGCTACAGCCTGCCTTGCAAGGCCACGCGCCTTCCTGGCCACCACCCACACCCACAGGAGGGTTGTGTGAGGTGTGTCCTCCTCCCTGCTCCCCCTCAGTGTCCCCATGGTTCTGGATACATAGCTTTTGATGCTATTGTGCTGTAAATGCTAGTTTACATCTGTTCTCAACTTTATGGCAATTGATCCGTTTTAGAACCGATCACAGACCATTGCATATAATAATTCTGTAAAATGTTCTTGATACGTGAAGTCATAAAGAAAACAATCAGAGCCCTGAACAGCAGCTTGCCTTGATAATTCAGGGACCTAAAAATTTGGCATATAATAATCATAGTATTCTGACTCCACCTAAAACCCTAAACATTTGATCAACTTATGTAGTTACTAATATGCTGTTCAGTTTTAGTTATGATTAGAAATTTAAATACCATTCTTTAAATGGTGATCTGATTTTTCTGACTGCACACAATGTTCCATGCAAATGTTATACCTTTCCATTGCATATGTTAATTTATTTAATCTTGACAACAACCCTATGAAGTAGGTGCTCTTAGTATCCCCATTTTACAGATTAGGAAACTGAGTCACAATGAGGATAGTTAACTTGCCCACAGACACACAGATGGCAAATGCCAGAGCCTAGATTCACTTAGCAAGACTGGCTCTGGAGCTTGAGTTCTTATCCACTCTGCTAAACGCATTCATTTAATAGCAGCTTATTGATATCTAATGATGTGCTCAACAGAAATAAATTAATTTCAAATAGTGCTAAGTGCTCTGAGAAAATAGTCTGATATGGAGAGAGAGAGAAGCATTAATTAGTAGGGGCCAGGGAAGGTCTCTCTGAGAGGTGACTTTTATGTTGAGATTTATTTGATGAGGAGGCACCAGCAAGGCAAAGCTGAAAGGACAAGATGTTCCCAGCAGGAGATATTGCAAGTGTAAAAGCCAAGAAAAAAGGGAGAGCTTGGTGTGTTTGAGGAATAGGCCAGTGTGGCTAGAATATAGTTGACAGGGGGAAAGTGGTACCAGGTAATGTCAGAGGGGCTGGCAGAAGCTAAATCAGTGGAGTTATTCTTAGGATTTATGATCAGTGTGATAGACAGCCACTGGAGCATTTTAAATCATTCTGACTCTTTTGTGTGAAATTAATTGTGATGAGAAGACTAGAATGGAAGAAGAGAGTCTAGTTGGGAGGCTGTTGCAGTACTCCATATAAGTTCAGGTAAATGATGATGATGGCTCAGGCTAACATAGTAGTACTGGGGGGAAGTAAGTCGTATCCAAATATGGTGGAGATGACGGGAAACATTTAGGATGTGTTTTGGTGATAGTGCCTATAAATAGAAGCAGCCATCAGGAAAGGGCTATGCCAGGAGCCACCTCTGATCTTCGTCCACCTTGACCCTCTGGCCAGTCGTCAGGAACCGGGAATTTGGAAATAACTCTCTCATCAGCAAGTATCTTCTGCTCTGGTTTCTGACCTGGAGTTGTAATGTATGGGATCTCTTCAGTGAGAGATCATCATTCAAAATCTATTAGAATGACTTCTAGGAACTGTCAAGGCTGTTTACCTCCCCTGCTTTCAAGAGATCTGTGTATTCACATAACACTGAAGGGCATTCACTCATGCAGAGTGGATGGGAATTTGATAGGAAGATATGTCTCCAAGCAGAGGGAACAGGTAGAGCAGAATGTAAAGTCAGGAAAATACAAGGAGAATTCAGGTACGTTTAGAGCAAATTAAGCTGGAAAGAGAGTGAACTGGGTGCATTTATGGAGAGTACTGATGTTTTGTGTGCTTTATGTAGGGTAGTAGAGAATCAGCAGCAGATTTTGGAAATGGGAGAGAGCCATGAGCTGTCTTTCTTTTAAAGCTAAATGGGACTCAGCAATTACCTATTCCACCTGCCTACTATTCCCTTTTAAAGAAAATAGCCCCACTGTGCCTTATCTATGGGAAAGCCTACAAATTTCATTATGTTAGCACTCGTGTTGCACAGGAGTCTTTTGCTCAGAGTAAATCAGCAAATATTTTTGATCACTTAATGTGTGCCAGGTTCTCTGGAAAAATCCAAGATGACTAAGACCGGTCACCTGCCCTCCACTCATTCATACCAATGATGTCAAACTTATCAAACCTAAAACATATAAGACCAAATGTAAATCTCTACATTTGGTCCAGATTTACATATAAGACCAAATGTAAATCTCTAAATTCTCAATTCTCTACCTCATCTACAAGCTTTTGTTACTGTGCTCCTCTGACCAAATCTTCAGGCTCCTCAAATTGAACAGAATGTCAGAAAGACAAGGTCTTAACCATTGTAAAGTAAATATGTCCAGAAAAGAAACAAACTTAGCAATTCAGACATTCAAAAGCTACTTAATTGAGTTTTCTGAATAGTGAATGCCTTTTAGTTAGCATATTGGTGAAGATATCAGTTTAATTATTTAGCAGAGGAAAGAATAACAATAATTTATACAAAATAAAAGTTTACTTATCTCACTTAAGAATATGAGCTGGGAGGCAATCCATGAGTTTATTTAATACCCAAACTGCTATCTTGATGCTTTGCAATTCACTAATGTTGTCTTTATCTACACAGTCATGGATGGCTCGCCCTATTCATAGTTTAGCTCCTGGGAAGAAGGAAAAAAAAATGAATGGAAAGTAAACCCCTTACTTTTACGAATATGAGCCACAAATGGCATGCATCACTTCTGTTCAAATGTCATTGGCCAGCAGTTAGTTACATGATCATACCCGGCAGCAAGGGATGCCGGGTAATCATGACCTCAGCTAAAATTCTGGGATAATAGTGCTAAAAGAAAGAAGGGAAGAATGGATATTGGAGGCCAACAGCAGCCTCTGCACCATGGGAATTTGTGGTGTGATTCTAGAATGCTCTAATATCATTACATTGACTTTAGGTAATATATCTGAGAACCATTTTCACTCAAGTTTGGTTCTCAATTTTAGGATAGAAATGGATCATTTTCAGAATTATTTAAAATGAAGGTTTTTAAGCTGCAATCCTTGTCTGTCGAGGAATCTGCATTTTCAAGAGACGTCACAGGTGATTCTTTTGCAGTTTCCGCAGTTTGGGACTGGTGGCCTCTACTATGGGCTACCTTGAATAGAATTCAGGCCTGGTTTATAAGTTGTACATAATAAAAACCTACCACTTGTGGCATATAAACATGAACTTGGGTTTACATTAGGGAATGGTGACCTGAACTGAAGGAGTTTAGATCACTGTTAAGACTATGTTAATTGGCTGGGCGTGGTGGCTCACGCTTGTAGTCCCAGCACTTTGGGAGGCTAAGGTGGGCGGACCACCTGAGGTTGGGAGTTTGAGACCAGCCTGACCAACATGGAGAAACCCTGTTTCTACTAAAAATACAAAATTAGCTGGGCGTGGTGGCCCATGTCCATAATCCCAGCTACTTGGGAGGCTGAGGCAGGAGAATTGCTTGAACCCAGGAGACGGAGGTTGCAATGAGCTGAGATTGCGCCATTGTACTCCAGCCTGGGCAGCAGGAGCAAAACTTAGTCTCAAAAAAATAAATAAATAAATAAAGACTATGTTAATCAAACTTTCTCACACTAGATCTAGGATTCCTTGAGTATAAAGAGATTATTATATTTTGAAAAGTTGACTCATTTACCTCTTCATGCTGTAATAAACACAATATTAATAAACTACTATACTATTTATGTGGTTTTGTAAGTACAATTTTGGGCCTTATCTCATTTTGTCTTTCCAGTAAACAAGATTTTGCAGGTGAAGTAGTTGAGAGATAGAATTGCCTTGCTCATAGACTCCAAACCCAGATCTTCTTGCTTTCAATGCTAGTGTTTTTTTTTTTTTCACCATGCTACAGTGCATCTCTTTGTTTCCCATCCTAAGTTGAGATCAAAATAGAAACAGCTCAAAATAGAGCAGAAGCAGTGAGCAGAGTGAAGAGTAGACAAATGCATTATAAAAAGCATGAGGCAACAAGAGAGAGGGGTCTCAGAAACATTATACTAAGTGGAAGAAGCCAGACACAAAAGACTTTATATTACACCATTCCATTTACATGAAACATCTAGAAAAGTAAAACCTATAGACACAGAAATAGATTAGTGGTTGCCTAGGGCTAAGGGTAGGAACAGAGATTAACTGTAAACAGGCATGAGGGATCTTACTGGGGAGAATAAATTTCTAAAACTGGATTATGATGATTGATGCACAACTCAGTATGTTTACTAATAATCATTGAATTGTACACTTACGCATGAATTTGATAGGATGCAGATTATAACTCAATAAATTTGTTTTTTAAAAGAATCATGAGTTAATATTAGAAGTATAGATTTTATTTTCAGTTCTGCCACTTACAACTTGGATTAAATTGAGAAATTAACACAACCTTCCTAAGATCCTTCTATTAGTCAGAGTCCTCAGAGAAACAGAACCAACGGGAGATTAGATAAATAAATGGAAGGTTAGGGCGATAGATAGATGATAGCTAGCTAGCTAGCTAGCTAGATAGATAAGATAGATAAACAAACAGATCGATAGATAGAGATAGATGATAAATAGATAGATAGATAGATAGATAGATAGATAGATAGATAGATAGATAGATGATAGATAGGCAGATGAGAGAGAGAGAGAGAGATTGAGATCTGGAGACCCAGGAGAGTCAGTGATGTAGTTCTGGTCTGAGTCCAAAGGCCTGAGAAACAGGAGAGTCAGTAAGTCTACTGTAAGTCTCTCCTACAAGGACAGAGTGTACATTCCAGTTCAATGGCAGGTGATCAACATCTAGCTCAAGAGGTCAGGTAGAGAGAGAGAGAAAGAGAGAGAGAGTGCTCATGCACATTTTCCCTTTCTCCGAATTTTCTATTCAAGGCCTCAACAGACAGGATGATGCGCACCCATATTAGAGCAGACAATCTGGGCAATCAGCTTTACTTAGCCTATGATTCAAATGCTAATCTTGTCCAGAAGTATCCTTACAGACATACCCAGAAATAACATTTAACCTAATATCTGGGCATCTCATGGCTCAGTCAAGTTAACATACAAAATTAACCATCACAACTCTGAATTCTCATCTCTAAAATGGGGATAAAATTAGTGTGTACCACATACAGTGTTCTATCTTCTTAACACATTGGAAGAGACAAAAAATGTTGGACATCCTCGGCATTAGGGCTGGAAGTTTACAATCACATGTAAAATAAGTCATGATAATTCACATATGATAATGTTGGTTAGGGATAAAACTGTCAGTAAAAGATCATTAAAATGACACTTAAAAAATACATTAAGGACAATATATGAGGACCATGATGACTGATTGTGACTTCAAGTTCAGTATTCTATTTATCTACATTATATCTACAAATATGTCTTTAAATTGGTACATTCCATACCTATATATGTGTACAAATTCATGTATATACCTGAATATATGTGTACATATATATATATATATGTACACATGTTGAAATGTTGATCATATGTTGATCTCCTGCCATTGAACTGGAATTTACACTCTGTTTTTATAGGAGAGACTTACGGGGGTACTTATTGGCTCTCCTGTTTCTCAGGCTGTGGACTCAGACCAAATACTTGACTATTTATATTTCAAGTATACTTTCCATATATATTTTATATCTGTCTCATATATATTTACATATACATGTGTGTGCACATATATATATACACATATGCACACATTCCATTTATCTGCAACATATATTCCATCTGTGTGTCCATGATGATTTGATGGCAGCATTGAAGCAGGAGATGAAATACAGGATATCTTACGTAGCCTCTTGTTCTTAAATTCTACAAAACAAGAGTAATTTTGAAATGCATCTGTCTACTTTGGCTGCCTTCAGATTTGTGAGTAGCATCTAGCATTCCCTTTTACTTCACACCTGAAATCTAGAAACCACTCTCCTATGGGAATATACACTTGAAGAATGAACTTCTGTTTTGCCTTATGAATAAGAGTCATCACAAAATAATGGGACATGCTGGACGACCTGTCTGTGTTGCACCATTTGTAGTTCACCTCGGAAAATTACAGCAACAACAATGATCAGGCAAGCAGCTCTGATTACTAAACACTATTTCCATTAGGCCGATACAAATATGCCACTCCTCTTCTTTCCCTGGAATCACTTCCTGACAAAAGATTATTTAAATTATTTTAAGATGTTTATTTTATCATCTTCTTCCTTCCTCATGTGATTTTTGAGAGTTTAGCTTTAATGCATTATGTGCCTCTGCTGTAAGCCTTTTAATGTCAACCTGTCAAAAACTAATTACATTTTTTAAGTCAGAAAACACTTGATAGCTGATTTTTTAAAAAAAATATTATTTAAGTCAGTATCACTTTTCTATCTAACATTCCAGGAAATCTGCCATGTGTATACTCATCCTTCTTTAGGTCCAGGATGCACTTATAAAGAATGCAGTGCTCTAATAGGGCAGAGCTGAAATTCCCTCCTGTGTTGCAGTGGTTTGCTGTGCTATTTAATGCATCCTTAGCAGATTGGCACACCAGTTTCCTGATATAATTTAATGTTAAATAACACTCCCAAGACTGTGTCAGGAAATAAGCTACATGTAAAATGTCACCTTTGACGAAAAGAAAACAATTACAGTTATGACATGCAATTTGTATCAGCCTCTTTAGAGATAATCAAAGAAAGATAACAGAATACACTAGCCAATGAATGGGCTAGCAGGGAGGAAAAGAGAAGAGCCTTTGTATTTTCATGGTTCCATTTCATAGGGAGGAAAAGAGAAGAGCCTTTGTATTTTCATGGATCCATTTCTCCTTGGCACACCCAAGCCAGTCTTTTTCTGAGTCCACTGGATAAGCATTTGTCATAAGCTTTACTGTACCATGGAGTTATGATTAATATTACAGCTCAAGTATAGCAGGTTGAAAGACCACATTCATTTTCAAAGTCACGTCGCATTGATTAGAATTCACTGCAGGTTATTCAAATAACGATCCTCTCTTTCCCCAGGAGAATCTCTGTCTGATTTTTCTTTATCCTCATTAAAGATCCCAGGTGCAGACAAAGCTTTACGTACTTCTAATTTGCATTATCCTTGGGAAGGAGGTAATTCACATGCCTTCAGTATATAGCACTTGTTTTTGTAGTTTGCTCTTTCCTATCATCTATTTAAATAAATCAAGAAATTTAGCCTTTATAAACCCTCAGACAATAGAAAATGCCAAATTTTATTATCCTTAGTAATGAGCCCATGGATCCCGAACCCTTCATGATAATTCAGATAAAATGAGGCATTTTTGTTCAGTTCTTGGCTGTACTTCGCTTAAAAAGACAATGATTTTTTTTTTCTTTCTCAGGGGAAAAGGATTTATTTTAGGAATAAAGAGCAGCACAGAGCATTTTTCGGCCTTATCAGAACTGAAAAGCAAGGGTTCATCATGAAATAAATGTAGCACTGAGATAAACCTCAGCAGAACTTGATATGTTGTTTGGCTAATTAGATAAATTTCTATGCAAGGACTGATCAATTATTGCCTCGGTTGAGATAATTTATTAGCTACTCTTCCCAATTTAGCATTTTCATTGAATCACATATGGATTTCATTGACATAAGGTGTGGGCCTCAAAATTATGACAAAGAATTCTGCCTTGTACTATTTTTACCTTTAGTTTTTGTGTAATGAGTTTAGCCTGAAGCAGACTGACAGCATTGTTGACATTTCATTGAGTTTCCATTTCTCAAGAGAGAAGAAATTTTAGCTAATTAAATAATGCTAGAGTGTCTTAGAAACTACAAAAGCAACACGAAACCACACGGCAGTCGCACTATATTTGTTAAGACCACTTGTGTATTTCTGAGATGTTTAGAAAATTGAAGTCTGCATAACAAAACTTTTAAAGAGACTCAGAGGCTCAAAATGATGTGGCTGGCATAATTGGAAAGGTAGGAGAAGAACAACTGAAAGAGAATTTTCATAAAAATAATCATTGTTCAGGATGTGGATGGGGAGTGAATATGATTGTTTCCTTGGGTATGGTACAGCAGCTTAACGGTTCTGAAAATTGTGTATTTTATATGTATTGCATGTGTGTGTTTCATGCTGAAAGTCACATGTGTTATTTACAGGGTGGAATTGCTACTTCCAGGCCAGGGAATCAGCATTAGCTATATATTATATTTAGGTATTAATGAAAGCTGATCTCTAGCCTCCTCTTTCATTTTTGGGGGACAACATGGTTGCTATGATCTGTGAACATGCTCTTGGTAAGTCTCTTTATACATAACCAATATAAAATAAAATTAAATATTTTATTGGCATTGGTATTAATTTGTTTCTGATAAAAGGATGTGTAATCAGGCCCAGAATCTCATTGACTCTGAGTGAAATAAAATAGAGTGCACAGTTGGTGGGAAAAAAAAAAGCCCTTTTAATTCAATGAGGAATTATTTCACATGAAATAAAATTTTAATGAAAAATAACTGAAGATTCTACTCAGGTATGTCTTTTCAGTTGAGCTTGACAGAGCATCACTGTGCATTTAATAAAAATATGAGTCAATGACAGAACAGAAAGGCAATACAGAAATGTTATCATGTCCACTCCGAGAAATATGCTAAATCATTCTGATGACAAGAGACAATATAGCTGTTGACATTCTAGAGCCATGTTGAGAATTATAGTAAAGTGACATGTGAACCTACCCTGAAAAAATTAAATTTTTAAAAAGAGCATTGCATAATGAAATAGACACCTACTCTCTGTATATGTGCACCTGAATGTGTGTGCACATGTGTGCATATGGGTGTAATATGTGCACACACACAGGTGGTGTGTGTGTGTGTGTGTGTGTGTGTCTTCAATCTTGAGTATCTCAGAGAGGAAGGCATGGAGAATCCAGAGAGATTTATTTTCTCTTTAATCCTCAGGAAACCTCGGAGATTTCATTGACATTAATTAAGCCCACCCCAGGATCATGGACTTGGTGGGCTTGGTGAACTTTTGTTTTAAAAGGCAAGCTTGCCTGCCAGACGAGTTTTTTCCCAAGCTCTCATTTATTGTGGTTTCCAGCAGGGGATCTTGTTTCAAGGGATATAATCAAAGTAAAGGACATTTCTTCTGGGACATATTTTACATAGATTAAATCTCATTATGCAACTTACTCTTTAGTCTATATTCTTTTTTATGAGCTTCTATTGCATGAACAAATTTAACACAGCAAAGTGTGAATTTATTACATCAGATACACTGAGCTCCAAGGAAGGTAAGGTCCAGTAGAATAACACTTTTAGTTTTTCTTACCTACAGTGAATTTCAGCTCACAGAATTTTAGTGGAATCTCATTAAGGTATACATATAATTACTTTTTGTAAGAAACTATATTATGTGTGTGTATGGTGAACATGTATTTCAGAATCTGTTAAGAACACATGTTCAATAGATAAGTGGAAGGGGTGTTATATTTTAATAGTTTCATTGTTATTTGATTGCCAAAGTAAATTACATATTTTCAGATCTAATCTCGTGTTTGCTCTTCTGTGATATAGTCAGCCCTACAATTAAAATTGTCAGGGTAAACTGAGAAATTGATTTTTTTAGCCGGACAAAAGGATAGGATGTGCAGTCAAGCTTCAGGTTAAATTGTCCTGCTCTTTCTAGCAATTTTCTTCACCATTTAGTCTCTAAAGGTACAATTTCCTTCAGTGGAGTGGAAGTCCTCTCTGTTTCAGTTCTCAGCCTCTCTGCTATGCATTTAATGAAAAACTGACTTATAATTCTATCTGTTTTGTAGTGTCTGAGGGGATCCTCTTGCATCCTATCTGTATGTTGGGTAGTTCAGTAGGATGACTGAAAAAGAACCATCTTAAGAAGCCAACTGACCAATAGGTCAGTTAAATGGCCAATCAAAACATAGACTTCTTTTTCTTTTACTGATCAATGAAGTCAAATTCCCTGTGTAAGTGGTTAACTCATCTTCAGAACTTGAAACATAATTAAACCAGAAGGAGTCTGTTATGATTAGAGGTGAGAAGCTGGGGCTAGTTAAGCCATAACAAAGAAAATGAATTCAAATGAAGCTTTGCACAAAATGCAGTTTTCCTTTTCTAATCATATTATGTAAAATGTATTTCCTAATGCTTTTGAAAAACAAAGCGATTTATATAACAATTCAAAAGTATATCCAACATGTCTGACAAACACATATTCTGTTCTTTGTGGATTTCAGACACTTTACATTCCATTGATGTATTTTCAGAATTTTTCCCCTTTCTCTCCGTGGTTTAATGTCTTTATGGTGACCTTAATAATCTTCAGTAACCTAATTTAGTTCACTACTGAATAAATATTTCTCTAGATGACTTTCACATAGCTTAATAATGTATGCACTACCTACCTTAGATAGTAAGTTCCTAAAATCTGTACTATTTATTATGTTCTAATTCTTTATGGCTATAATAATTTCTATCAGATTTCTACTATCTAATTAGATTTTGTAGCTTTTATGATATAACACAGATAATTTTTTTCTCTTGGTATTAAGTTAATCTTAGATAACTTCAAATAAAATGAATATCATCAAATTTGAGAAAATGTTTAAAAGAAAATGCATGTTCAAAATGTGCTTTTTGTCTATTTCATTATGAAATGCTCCTTTTTTATTATTTCACCCTATTTTCATCAAACTATTTTCCCCTCGTTACTTATGTTGTAGTTATTCCAATGTTTCTATCTTATTATCTGTTTGTGTATCAATCAAGGTAATGGTGCAAGTAAAGATAGTGTAGATAAACACACAATTTTGGTCAAATGTGAAGAGTGCCATATTCTCTGGTAAGTTAACTTGTGGAAAGTACAATTTCTGACACCATCCTAAACTATCAGTTTAGAATTTTCATCAACTGACAATGCTCCCTTCTACAGCATGGACAGCTGCATACTTCAGCACTGGATTCATTTAACTCTGCATGTTGTTTTCAAAATGAATGAGAGTGACATGCTCTGAACAAATGTTCCTTTTATATTGCAGCAGACAATGAGGTCCTCCACCAGTGCTTCCTAGAACCTGGGGACAACACAGTTGTTATGCAGCCAATCCATGCCCTGGATGCAAGTTTCGCAGGCTCCAGTATCATTCTGGTCATTCCTCTGCAAAACACTACTGAAAAAGCAGTTACGCATGGGATCTTGAATTTTCCTGTAAAAAATGTATTTGTAAGCCCTGGATCTAGAGATCTAGAGGCCTATTGGTTAATAATTAAGAGGGTGTGTGTGTATGTGTGTGTGTGTGCATGTGTGTATGTGGGTGATCCAATACATAAGGTGATTTATAAAATACAATACTGCCAAAAAAAGTCTCTTTTAATGCCCTAAGACTTAAGAGAGCTGCAGTCTTTTGTTTTGTTTTGTTTTGTTTTTTTGCTGTTGTTGTTTGGTCTAATTTAAAAATAGTCTCTTCTAAGCCATTAAGAGAAATAGATACAGTGAGCGAGTCCAGGGCTGTGAGGCAAGAGAACTAGTTTTAACCCTGCAGCGGGCTGGCTAACACTTAGCAATTCATTCTACCCTTCAATGGAAGACTAAACTAAGCTGAACGTACTCTGTTTTCTTTCAGCTATAAAACTATGCCTTCTGAATATTAATAGCCAGATTTGTACCTACCAAGTAAAGAATGAAGGAATTTGTAAAGGAATTTTAGTCCAATATCTTCATGGCTTTAATAATCTGAGCCATTTTCTCACTCACTTTACTACTCAGCTTAGAGAGACTCCAGTTTGCTCTGTCTCACCTCAGACAAAGCCTCTTGAAATGTTGGTCAGACCTTCAGCGGGAGCAGTCAAGTAGCAATCATTGTAATTGGTAGGAACTAACATTTAAGAACCTGCCCTGTACTTTCACTGCTTAATGTGCTCTCTCTATATTAACTAATTTCATCTTCATAACAGTCGCAGGATTTATATACATTTATATATTGTAAGTAGTCCCATTTTGAGGATGCGCATACTGAGGTACTAAAAGCCTAAAATTGTTTCTCCTGTAAATGTGTTGCACTGAGAACCAGCCAATCTGGTTCTCGGTGCAAATCTGATGAACCCAAGCCAGATTCTAGAAAGTGTGTTCATCCTTAGAGTCTACCTTCAGCCACAGTGATTACTGAATTACTGTCTGGATACTGAACAGTTCTATTATAAAGAAATCTTTTTTAAAAAAATCTCCTTCCCCAGTGACCTAATAAAGAGTGCTCTGTGCCCAACGGCCTACTCTTGGCCATCTTCACCAGCCAGCCACACTTCAGGCACTGCCTGAGGGGTGCAAGCCAGGACCCAGTTCCAAGCTGTGCAACTTTGACTTATGAGATGGAGGAGGGGGATGAGAGCATGTGTTAGGGCCTTTGACAAAGGAAAGAGCTAGTTCTTGGGTACTGAACGCGAGCCCCAGGTTCCTAAAAGCATAAACTGTTCTTGTTCTTCTCATATTATACAATTTTTATTTAGTAGCTAAATAATAAGCAAAGCATTATATAATCATGTATTAGTGACTTATTTCAATTTTGCTACCAAGAGATGAAAAATTGTTATCAAAATGCAGAGCATAAATCTTGGAACTGTCATTTGGATGTGTCACATCAATGTGTTTGGTGATATGAACCTACTATGTGCAGACGTAGGGGTTACAGCCGCAAGTAGAACACGTCTTGGGTGGGCCCGGCTCTCTTGGAGCTCAGGCAAAGGCCACAACTCCAATGATGACGTTTTACTAATTACTGGAGACAAAGTGTTATGAACATGGCTTGATTACTAATTGCTCTGCTCTCTTCTGAAAAGATATATTTCATTTGAATAACAGAAAATCCTTTGAAGCAAATGTCACAAGGTAAAAGTCATATTGGTTTTTAAGCATATACAACTTGGGATAGTTAGTTAAGCATTGAACTGGAACAGGGGTGAGAAACGGGCAGTATTTAAGAGCATGTGCAGCCCTCTCAGAACTCATTACATCTCAACATTCCGATGTAACAAAGCCAGGAATTTTCTTTTCGCATTTGACCATTTCCCTTTTAAGAGATATAGGTATATTTAGAAGAAACTGAAGCCCAGAGAAGTTAAGTGAGTTGCCTAGGGTCCCCCAGCTAGTAACTCAGAGTTAGGATTCTAATTCACTTTTTTTGACAGCTACACCAGTTGTTCCTAGTTGACAGGTACATGGCTGTTTCTAATTGTCCCATCTTTCCATCCATAAGAGTTACAAGGATTTCTTTCCTCTTGGTTTTTGTGTAGGATAACTAAATAAGATTTCTCAATCATATTTTTAAGTACTAAAAATAGATTATCCATATTATTCGTATAAATATTTAAAAATACAAGAAAATAATAACTTACAACATACCAGTTATAAATCTCTGTTAACATTTTCTTATATATCCTTCCAGTCTACCTTCTTTTTCTATATATCTTCATATGGATTTTCAAATAAGTAGGTTTTCTTTGTTTTGTTTAAAATCATTTCGAATTGCTCTAGAATAAAGAGGAGTTACCTTTTTATATAAAAATGATTTAAAACTATAATTTAAATCCTTTGGGATACCTTCAAAATTATCCTAACATTAAATACCAAATAAGACTCCATAGTACACATCCTACAATGTTTGGTTACTTGTGAGTGAACAGGTGTGTGTGTGTGTGTATGTGTGTGTGTGTGTGTGTGTGAAATGTATCTTATTCAAACAACAATATAATCTAAGTATATTTCCATGTCATTAAATATTGTTGTACATTATTTTACATCCTTTAATAATACTTAATTATACTAAGTACCATAATTTATTAACATATTCCTCATTTTAAACATTTAGGATGCTTTCAAATTTTTTATTCTCATAAATGACACTTGAAGTAAGGTCTAGATGAACAGCTTATAAAACTAAATGTTTTTACATATTTATAATTTTTTCTTGAGCTTAAATTCCAAAAAGTAGAATTTTAGAGTGGAAGGTATAAAAAATTTACAAAATTTAAAAATACTTTATGTCCAAACTACCTTTAGAAAAGTTGCATCTCTGTACATCCCACCAGTGATATATATATGTATGGATGTATATGTGTGTATATATATATATATATATATATATATATATATATATATTCTGTCACCAATATTAAATATTATACTATGCTCTCTTCTCCACTTTGACAATTTTATATGCAAAATGCAGCTAATTTCTTTAAATCAGCATTCATTAATTTATAGGGAAGTTAAACTTACATTTATCGGTCATTTGTATTATTTTGATTATTTCATGTCTATAGGATGCTCTTTGCTTAAAACTATTTGTGAAATGACCTTCATTGTAAATTTTTCTATGTTGTAGGCTCTATAGCCTATCAATGGTCAAACTCTAATCAGCAACTCAGATCAATATAAAAACTAATGTCTTGAAGATGGGTTTTGTGAGAAGATTGTAGACAATGGAAGGGGACTCCTTCAGAGATGAATGTAACAGCTTAGTTAAGATTTGATTACCCATGTTCTCTAAAGAGAGTACAGACAAATTTAAACATGGGATAAGTTGAGATCTAATGAGCATCTTCATGGAGACAGTTTGGGCACCATAAACTCCAATGAACTAGGTAGACAATATTGATTGCTGTATTTGACTGGTAAACCAACTTTTCTCAGGAAATATTAAATTTACAATATATACCAAACAACTCCTGCATTATGAGTCTAAATCACATGAAAATAGCACGTAAGATTTCTTTAGACACCAAAAACTATGAAGCTGAAGTTTGCAAAATTTTGAAAAAAAATGTTAACAGCAAATCTCAACTTACAATTTTGGACTTTTATAGAACTGAGTCAAAGTAGGTTGCAAAGAGAAAATGCACATGTGGATTCAATTGTAAAATGTGTAATATAATTTTTGAATAAAATATGCACGTTATAAATATATCAGATTATATTTATAGTGTATAAATTGTATAATGGGGTTAGAACTATTTAATATTTTTTGGCTTTCATGGCTTAACAGACAGGAGTGTCATTTGCTCCTTGAAATTAAAACACACCCACACACAGTAACTCCCCACGCTGTCTTTGATGAAGAATCTGGCCTTCTAGTTCATTTAACACGAAATAACAGATTTGTGTTGATGGTGCTTTTGTTCTTGATAGTGAGAGAACTGTTACTGAAAAATTAGCTACTCACCCTCAAGCAATCACTAACATTCCAGTTCCTGAATAGAAAAGGGGAGAGGAGAGCAGATGGAAGCAAACAAAAATTGTATTAATAATACATAACAAAGTGCTGCTAAAAATGATATTTCAATAGAGGAAAACAATAGGAAAACTGCAGTTTTCATTGGATCTTAATGTATTTATCAGTCTCTAATGCTTCCATCTTCAAGCAGTTCTCTTTTATTGACACGACAACACAAATTGCAGAAGTAAATTGAATCACAGACTCAGAATGTAAAAATCAATGAGAAATAATTTTGTAGCACTAAAGTGAATAGTGTAATGCTAGGTATTCATTTAATTAACCATGAGCCTTTCCACATAATGCACAATCATTGCCAGCTTTTCAGCTCATAGTTGTTCCAGGAATAATGGGTTTGGGATTCATCTTTAGAAAACCTGCATTAATATTTGAAAGCGTTTAAATCCATTAGTGGGTCATCGGAACACTGCAGGTCACTTTTACATTGCTAATTGAAACAATAGTAATGGGTTATAATCTACTGTCTAATAATGCCTGGAGTGTTTTACCGCTTTTATATCTGCAGATTCCAGGAAATATGTAAATTTGTTGCTGAACTGTTATAAAAATATGGAAATTTAAGCCGCAGACATCAAAGCATTTTTTCCTAAAAAAAACACCACGTTAATAAACTGAAGAGTTACACTACATTATGGTGTCAGGATAAATTCCTTACTCTAGACCTTCCCTGTTCTCTCTTCTGTGCTCTGGGCGCAGCATCTGGTACTCACATTTTCCACGTTGCCATTAGGAGAAAGTGAATATCATTAAACCAGTGAGTAAACAATCATGTCATTGTTTCCATATGCAAGCTATACATTGACTCAGCCTGCTGGGTCCTGGCTGCTTTTTTTATTTGCCCTACATGAATTTATGCAGGCATTTTATTTTTCATGGAGATTTTCAATATATATCAACATTTTCTTGGATGGGGGCAGTAAATGTGGCAGCAACTCTAGCATATGAAATGAGAATATGATTTCAGTGTGAAACATACATGTGTGTAAATACATACACATATATAAAAGGAAATATATAAGAAAGAGTAGCTTTCTGAATTCTTGTAAATTGAATGTCATACAAATTGATACTTAACCAGAATTTTCTCTTTTAATTAAACATGCATCTCATGCCCTTACCTGCAGCCTCCTATGCTTAATTACAGTCTGATTGTGCAGAAAATCCAGAAAGATACATCTCATTATAATAAAGAAAATGCTTTGGTATAGGTAGAGATTGTGTATGCATGCATGCCTATTTTATATAAATAAGATATGTTCTTAGGAGCACTTTATGCTAAAGCTCAAAGGAAAATAAGGACTTAAATCTATTCACTCTTTATCAACATGATCACATTAGCAAATTTGGAGGAGAGGGGATGACTACAAGAAGCCTCAGAGAGGGTACGGAATTTGGTGCTGTATCAAGAAAAGCAACATTTTGATTTCTGGTTTTCATCGTCTTCTCAAATGTATTTATGCCCAAGGAAGGTGATGTAAGTTGGAATCAAAATTCTGATTTCATCCACAGGGCACTGGTGAGAGTGCTTCTAAGCAAGGTAGTATGAATTGCATACACAGACCAGAAGAATCCATGTATTAATTGTATTGTCTGTAGAATTTAAATGAAACATTTTAATGACTTTAATGGGGGTTGTGGATAAGAAATGGGCCAAATATCCATTGGTTCCTGAAAATAGAAAGGAAAAAAAATGGTTTGAGATGCTCATAAGGACATTGCAAAAAGGAAAACTGACCTTGTAAAGTCCTCTCTTAAATATTCCCGCCATGTTTCCTGTCTTTCTCCATGCACTAGTAAGCTCCCTTTGAAGTCAGTATTACTATACTTGAATCAGCAGTACAGGACATGGAGAAAGATGAAACAATGACCCCAGAAGCGAGTTGTTACTTTATCAAAGAAGGACAAGTACTATTAGCCTATAGTGCAATAAATAGCCACCTCAAAGGTATTTTTCACTTTTTTTCAGCTAAAGGAATTGACAAAGGGATTGTGACCTGATGCTTCACAATGAGAACCCTGTTGTGATTAAATGGTATGACAAATTGGCCTTTGTGTACCCAGTTATAGCTCTTACGAGTTTTATTGTGCCTACAAAAGAGATAGGTACTTAAGGGTTAAGAGAAAATCCCACAATAATATCACATATCCAGTGAACCGAGAAATCCTATGTGAAGGTCAGAAATCCCTTTCCAACCCCTGGGAGTTTGTATAGCTTTACCCTTCTAGTCTAGCTGTGTTATGATAATACCAAGCATGCAGAAACCCAAGAAACCAAATTCTTGCCTTTTCTTTAGGCAAATTGTGGTACGTTTTCATTGACATATATAAGAACATATATAACTGAACTGACACTAGAACTCCATCACTCTTCACTCACCATTCTCTATCTTAACAGCAATTAACACTTTTATTTTAGAATTCTATTTGTTTCCAGAGTGGGGAACCTGGCCACCAGTCATGAATGAAGATTTGCCCCAACTTGTCACCAAGAACACACTACTTCCTTTTCCTTTAGGAGTTTAGTCATCCTTCATTTCCTTTTAACTAACCTAGTGGTGCACATTTCAAGATGTAAAGGAAACTCTTTAATGTAAAAGCTCTTCTAGTTCTAGGTTGCCGATCATTTCCTTTCAGTGCATTGAAAGAACACTCATTTGGGTAACCCGATTCCTTCCCATAACTTAAGACATCCATTAATGGTATGTCATTCATTGGTTCACTGGCTATTAGCAAAAGAAATGCCTGACCTTGCTGCCAGGAGTCAGGGAAACAAATCTCTCCATTTTAGTGTATGCGCTTTGCTTTGCATTTCAGTGACTTAGCAGATCCCTTTATTTCTGTGTTAATCTGTTAGGCAATATGCTTTCTTGTCCAAAAGTGTTGTGACCCTGGTTCTGGGTTAGATGACAAGGCGAGCACTTTGGCTAAAAGGTGACATCCCTCTTTCAGCCATTCTACCAGACCTTACTGTCTCATTTTTTTATTTTATTCCTAATTTTTTCATTTATTATGATGGTTTCATTCTTCATTCCTTCAATAAACAATATTTACTGCTTCCTACTTAAGAGAAGAATTTAGGAACCTACCGTATTCCGATGCTTATTTATTCTTTACTAAAGTCACCCAAGTTTTAGTCTATGAATATATGGGTAAAGACCACACACACACACACACACACACACACACACTCTAGCTCACAGTTACATGGATAAGTTCTTCAGGGGTGACTCTGAGATTTTGGTGCACCCATCAGCTGAGCAGTGTACACTGTACCCAATGTCTAGTCTTTTATCCCTCGCCACCTTCCCACCTTTTCCCTCGAGACCCAAAGTCCATCGTATCTTTCTTATGCCTTTGCATCCTCATAGCTTAGCTCCCACTTACAAGTGAGAACATACGATGTTTGGTTTTCCATTCCTGAGTTACTTCACTTAGAATAATGGTTTCCAGTTCCATCCAGGTTGCTGCAAATGCCATTATTTCATGAATAAGAGTGAGTTGCTTGCATCAGTAAGTTGATCTTATTTTCTGTAATTTTTGAAGTTCCAAACTGTTATTGTTCTAAAGATTACAATAGTCTTTATATTGTCTATTAAGAAGCACGAGGCCTCATATATTCTAACTTTGACTCAGGGACAGTTCCTCCACCCATGAGGGAAGACCCTGTCCCCCAGCTGTGTGTGACTTTAGGAGGGGTAAATGTAGAACACTGAAAGGTGTGTGATCTTACCTAATCAGCAGTTCCCTAGAGTCATCCTTAAATATCAATGAAATACCAGCTATCATTACCAGCTAAATATTTATCTTCCTAATGGCACCATTTTGTAGAAGAACACAATTCTCCCTTCTCCAGAAGTAGGAAAATGGGAACATAAATACAGCTTATTGATAATTATTAGTATGATTATTACCTGGACATCATAAATAACAACAGCCAACATTTAATATGCATGTAAAAATCTGTCAGACACTGATCTAAGTGTTCATATGGACCATATTTTATCAATCCTAAAATGAATATTTTCTTTCACATATTCATGGCTCTGGAATTGGGCTATGTTTGACAACCTATAGGAAATTATTGTTTACTTGGCATTGTTTATTGGTTTATAAAATATAATGAGTCATATTCTATGAGATAAAGTATTAATTTGTTCAAAGACCACAGCAACTTTGTGAGTTAAGTATTATATTATATTCATTGTGTAAATGCAACTGAAATACCAATGCAATTAACTATCTTGTTCAAGATTAAAAATTATTAGTTTATAGAGGTAGGATTCAAAGCCAGGCAAAGTGATTCCAGAGCCTGTGCCATTAATCTCAATGCTTTGCTACTTCTTAATGGACAAAGAATCTCTTGGATGAGTCTTTCAACTTCCTGCCTGCATGGTATTGTGTGTGTTTTATCACCCAGAATTTAAAAATACGCCCTTATACGTTTCTTTCTCTATCGCAGGTTAAGTTGAAAGTTAATGGAAGCTGCAAAGTGTTTGCCTTCTGTATCTGCAATGGAAACCCCACCTGCTGTCTTCTTGGTGTTTTTGTTCCTTGTCTTTAAGACCTGGTCTCAAATTCAGAAGTTCAATACCAGCGTCAGTTTGACTTGACACAATCTATGGTTGTAGTGTATTGATTTCACAAATTGAACCTATGGTGAGTTTGAATTATGAATTGAGAGAGAAACAACTGTGGTGAAAACTGAAGTCATGAGGTTTATCTATTCAGAACATTCAATAACTAATTCAAACACAAAGTTTTTTTATATGTTTAAGGCAGATAAGGTATTGAATCTGATAGCTTTATGGGTGGGTAAGAAGAGATAATAATAAAACTAGCTCCCAAATAGAATAACAATTTAAAAGTAAAATAAGCATGTGTTCATATTAAATCACTCTCGCTTTCACTATCAAAAACAAAACTATCCATGTAAACAGAATAAACAGATGTAATTCTACTAACTCAGCCTCATGTACAATGATATCATTACTTCATTACAACAAATAGCATGACAAGTTTACCATAATTGTTTAGATAATCAACATGACAGTCTCAAGCAAGTAGTATGTCTCTGTCCAATAATGCAGCTAATGAGTTAAGGTGAATGTTCTCACTAATTTGAGACACCACGTGAGGTGCATATGCTAAGAAGCAATGTCTGGGATGGGTGCGGTGGCTCACGCCGGTAATCCCAGCACATTGGGAGGCCGAGGCAGGCAGATCATGAGGTCAGGAAATCGAGACCATCCTGGCTAACACGGTGAAACCCCATCTACTAAAACTACAAAAAATCAGCCGGGCGTGGTGGCACACGCCTGTAGTCCCAGCTACTTGGGAGGCTGAGGCAGGAGAATGGCGTGAACCTGGGAGATGGAGCTTGCAGTGAGCCGAGATTGCACCACTGCACTCCAGCCTGGGCTACAGAGTGAGACTCTGTCTCAAAAAAAAAAGAAGCGATGTCTGAGCAGAGAGACACACAAGGTTCCTAATGAAGGCAAAACAGGTACAATATGTCATGTTTGTTCAATATTATAAATAAATTGTTTCATATTTGTATGTATTTGCTTACAGACTTCAAATGGTATGCATAAATCCTAATTTCAAGTTAAAAATTGCCATCTTATTTGAACACAATTGGAAGATGTAGAGTGAACAGTTATAGACTGTCTTTGAACTATTAGATTTCCTATAGAATCATGCTAACTAAACATAGAACATGTTCCTTTATTAATGACTGTTGTAAATGGAAGAAATCATGGATCGCTGGAAAACATTATTAATTCATCATTCTTAATTCATTGTCAAAAAACTCACTTCTTCAAATTAGTCTTACTATTTTTATTCATGGCACAGAAATGAAACTCTGTCATCAAGAAGCTATTGGACACCTATATGGACATGCATTTACCTCTCTGCCCAGTGCAATTATTTATAAATGTCTGTGGAAGAATAGAGAGAGGAGGGAGGAAAGGAAGAATAGATTATTCTGTGTCTTTCAGGTAAATAATTTATTTGTTTGGTTTAAATAAACCACATTGAGGAATATCAATCATTTAAGGTTACTTGTACACAACTTAATAACCTTATGTAGCAAGATCTTGGCCCTGGTACCTCAGTGGTTTCAAAGAGTTTAATGCCCTCTTTAAGTGGGAAGAATATTTTTCACTTCAGGATCTAGACTTATAGGTCATTTGGCCTCAACCACATCTTGACCATTAGTTTAAACCTAAATCCAGAATTTTGTTATCAACTGATAAAAGTTTAATTACCTTTGTTTATTTTATGTAGCAACTACTGTGGTTCCTTTCCTATTGTCTAGTACAATTCTGTAATGGAGTCATAATCAAAATTACTTTATTCATATAAAAACATTGATTATTTTTTATGTGCCTAATATTGTTCTGTGGACTATGAATATTAGAAGCAAGTATATGATTATTACCTTTAAAAATCTTTCAGTCTTCTTGAGACATATATTGTAAATTCATACAAAGTTAAAACAGAGTATTATTAATTCAACCTTCTTCACCTGAGGTTCTTCCTCCACCCGCTCCCCCACAAAAAAGTTAAAACACACAGCAAAGCCTGACTTAAGTGGCACGGAGTCATAATAAACATTACATGGGAAGTTTATAAAAGGACGCAGTCATAGTCACAAGCGTCTTGGTCAGAGAGGGCTCCATGGTGAAGAAGAATTCAGCAGATCCTGACTTATGGTTAGTGTCCATGGAGGTGTCTTGCTGGGCAAGGATGGGGAAAAGATAAAGATTCTTCATTTAGGAAAAGTATAAGTCAGAGAAGCCAGAATGAGCAAGAAATGATTGGGGAATAAGAAGAGTAGTAAGTCCAGAGGTCATGCAGGGGATATGGCCTGATCAAGACAGATCCTGGATGGCTTGAAATTTATTCATTCAATAAATATTTACTTGAATACCTACTATATATAAAGCACTTAGCTAGGAGCAATAGACACAACTCTTAAGAAACAAACAAGTTTAAAAATGTTTGTCCCACCAACCTCATGAAGTTTGTCCTTTTTTTCAGGAAGAGAGAGACAAGAAAAGAGAAAATATGAAAAACACTAGAGCAACACCTAACTCTTGATTCCTGGGTTAGAGAAGGCTTTTTGTGAGAAGCCTAACACTAGAAGGCTATGAAGGAGTTTGCCGGGTAAAGGGGTGGTGGGAGAAAGGAGGAAACAAGTCCAAACTAATATAAGGTCAAGACACAATGACAGTGGACTGAATCACAAAGTCTGCCATTTTTTTTTTTTCCAATATGGTTGGAGAAACTAGAGATGAAGGTGGAACAGTAGTCAGATCATGGCCGGCCTTGAGGGCCATACCAGAGAGTTTGAATTGCATCCGGAAGGCAGTAGGGAGCCATGGAAAACTTTTAAGTTGAGTGATTAGAAACAAAACTCTCTCTGTTAATGGAGAATAAATTCAAAGGGCAAAAATGGAAGCAGCACACAAGAGATGATGGAAACCTGAGCCACAGTCAAATATACGTGGCTAATGATTGGATGCAGGGACTGAGAGAGACAAGAGCTTGAATGTTGTGTAAACCAAATGGGGCTTGGTCAGTAGACAGCAGTGAAGGCATGAAGTCAGTTACGAACTTTGGATCAAGTAAACAGCACCACAGAGCCAATATTAAAAAGATATTAATTTTTGGGTGATTGAAGTATTGTTTTGGGTGAGAGAGACAAAAAGCAGGGAGAAAGGACAAATAATACGTCAGCTTTGGAGGAAGTACGGAACTAGAAATGAAGATTTTGGAAGTGCCTACATTTAGAAGATAGAGGATAGACTACTAAATTAAACTGAAAAGCATTTGATTGATGAAGGTTACATCTGGAGAGCACATAATTGAGTAGGCCAAGGAAGAGCAGACTGTTTAGTAGTGGCAGATTCCTCTGAGAAGCCAATATTTCTACAGTCAACCAAATGTATTTAGTGTTTACTATGTGGCAGCCACTAGGGCTCATACCCTAACAGGATAGACAGAGAGGTTAGACAAACAGTCCTCTCCCCACCCCCCAAAGCATACAATGAACCATATAAACAAAACAATGCACAAGTTACTAGCAACTTAAATGTTTCTAGCCCTTACTATACTTTAGGCATTGTGCTAAGGAGTTTACTTATCTCATTTAGGCCTCACTACTCTTCCTAACTTCTAGATAAAGAAACTGAAGCTTAGAGAGTTCTAAATCAATGTTTGTAACAACTTCGCTAGATTGTTCAAATGTAGCAGGAATGATCATGATCCACTTGGAGTTTTTGAAGAAGAAACGTGATTGGCAAAAGGGCAATATGTTCAGATAGGTGAGATAATACATGAAGAGGCCCAAGGATGAAGGGTGCTTACTGCTGGCACTCTATGAAAGTTTTAGGAGAGACCATGTACTAGGGTGGACACAGCTGAAATTGAGATTGGAGCAGTGAGCAATGATTTGTATGCTTTACTAACTAGGCATTTGGGCTTACACTATAGATTCCAGGGCCCAGTGACTAACAGGTTTTAGATTTGTGTTTTAGAACTATTAACTGTGTTAGCCAGCTCAGGCTGCTACAACAAAATACCATAGACTGGTGTTGTATTTTGTTTTTTAAATTAGATTATTTTTAACTTTTATTTTAAATTCAGGGGCACAAGTGCAGGTTTGTTACATAAGTAAATGTGTCATGGGGCTTTGTTGTACAGATTATTTCATCATCCAGTTATTAAGCCTAGTATCCGTTAGCTATTTTTCTTGATCCTCTCCATCCACCCACCTTTTACCCTCTGAAAGGCGGGTGTGTTGTTCTCTTCTATGTGTTTTAACAACAGACATTTATTGATCACAGTTCTGGTGGCCAAGGTCAGGGTGCAGCCAATTCCATTCTGGGTAAAGGCCCTCTTTCTCACTGTGTCTCACGTGGCAGAGAGAGAGCATCCTGATCTCTTTTTCTAAGAACATTAATCTCATCAAGGGGCCCGGTCTTCATGACCTCGTCTAACCCTAGCTACCTCCCAAAGGCTCTACCTCCAAATACCATTACACTGGGGGTTAGGGCTTCGAAATATGCAATTTGGGGAAAACATAAACCTTCAGTCCTTAATATTAACTTAGCAGCTCTGTGGAGTAAAGATAGAAGAGCAAGCACAGAGACAAGGAGGCCAGTAAAGAAGCTGATGTGTTGAGTGATGGAGGCTGGAAATAAGGCCAAGTCAATGGGAAGAGAAAGGAAGGAGATCATTCAAGAGATGCTATGGAGAGAAATACTCAACCTGAAGGCCAACGTGGCATCAGAGCTAAAGGAGAGGACACTGCTTGGAATGAGTCCCAGATTCCTGACTTGGGCCAAGGAGTAACTGGTGATACTTTTTTTTTTTTTTTTTTTTTTTTTTTTTGAGATGGGGTCTCATTCAGTCACCCAGACTGGAATGATGATGCCAATTTTTAACAGAGGACTTTATATAGTCACTTTGTCCTACCCCCACTCCCACTCAAAACCATCTCCTAAGCAGTAGTACAAGAGAATTAAATTCAGTAAGTACCACAATAGAGAAAATGTTGCAATATTTCAGATGAGGTGATTGTACAGAATTATAGGAAAAAAATCAGATTTCAGAAGTTTTCACAATGGGTAAAGAGGAAAAGAGAGGCAGAAATATTGACCACTCAAAACTATTCAAGAAGATTAGCAGAAAAAGTAGAGAATTAAAACCGTAGACAACCATGAATGAACATCCAAAATGTCCAAAAAAAAAAAGTCCTCAGATCACCTGGACTACAAGAATTTTCCAAATAGAAATATGCTTAGTGAAATCAGCATTTCACTTTGGGGCCTCATTTGGGTGGTGAGTAAAAGAACATGCACTGGGGTCATTCCCTGAAGTCTGTGACACTGACCATAGGAGGTTTATGGCTCCCTCTTCCTGGTCTGTTCCTGGCCTGTTTGTGACATAGAACACTGGACACCCTTCTAGGCTTTCACATCATGATGATACAGTGAGAAGGCCACAGTTCCATGAGTATAGCCTATATCTACTTGAGGATGTTTCAAAATTATTTTTAAGGTGGCTAGGAATAGTCTTATGCCCTTTGTCTAGAAAGAAAAGACCTGTCAGTACTCAGGCCCCCATGCATCATCATCCCACTTCAGTCAGTTCAGAATGTACCAAAATGCATGGTGGGTGCATGTATCTAACTAAAGTGTTAGAATTTTCATTACTAGGATAATTGCCTTCACAGATTGTGTTCCACTGCCAGGACAGGGGTAGAGTCCACAAATGGTTCTGAGACATGATTTGAACTGCCAAACTTTGAAACACAGAGAAACGGAAAGCTGAAGCAAGCAGAACCCCATTAAATGCCCAACCCTATGATCTCTTGGGAAATGTATCCCCATCGAGCCTTTTCCCCTCCCTTCCCACCCGCTTTGGTAATAGTTCTGAGCAAGGATCAGCTTCAGCTGTGCAACATGCTGGCCAAAATTTCAGAAACCCTGGAACCAATTTATTCCATCTGGAAATTAGTTTCAGCTTTTATTGCTGTAGAATTTAGTCAAACCAGACCCTATATCCAAAAGGAGTTCCCTGCTTCTTTACTGTTAAAATTTTTTCTCTTCTAAAGCACACTCACTTAAAAGATTTAAAATGATAATCAACATCAAAGATCTGTGACTTTTTTTCCCACACCAGATACATTTTCCCATGCAGTGTTTCTCCCAGGTTGCTCTCTTTCAAAGACATAAAGAAATTTTACCATTGATTACCATAAACAGGGGAATCTGGAGAATTTAAACTGTCCTCTTGTAAATGTATATTTTAGTTAACTTTTCTATTATGCCAGGCAGTGACTCACTTGCTTTCCTAAAACAGCAGCTAGATGGACTGCTTAATCTTCTTGCCAGAAAAATACAGAACAAAATATTAACAATTAAGTTCAAATAAAATCTTGGCCCCTAAAATCAGTTTTTACAAACATATAAAAAAGTATGCAATGCTGAACGTTTCAAATAGCCTTGTACATAAAATTTCTTTGTTTCAGTCCATCTGCTACTGATTAAACATTTTATATTTCCATTGTGATTAATTATGCTATTTATATACTTGAAAATGATTTGTTTGGAAAGGTATGGTCTAGTGTAAGTCTTTCATTTCTGAGAATGACAGCCCTTCCAAAAGTAGAGCAACACAATGCTCTCAGGAAATCCACCATCTGCTTTCTTATGCTTTTATAACAAATTACAAACCTATAGCAAAACAGAATTGAGAGAAAACAGAGTATAAATAATGCTAATGGCATTCATTTGAGATGTTCAAAAATGTATCCACTTTTAATTAAGCCAAGATACTCTCTTGGTCCCCAAAGAAAACTGCTTTAGAGTTAAATCGCCAAATGGCCAGACATTTTCAACCTGGTCTAGGAGGCATTCTTAATTCATTCTAATCTAGGCTGAATTTATCAGGTATTAGAACAGACCAAGATGGTGGACACCAGGCCTCTGTGTCACCTTAATCCCATGAAAAGAACCGGATTAGAGTTATAATAAACATAATTGAGAAAAAGACATGCTCTGGACAGTGTGTGATAGACCATTTTTCAACATGACTGTTTGTTGGTGCCAACAGACAGGAAGGACCTAGTGCCAGCTATTTCCCATCATTTGAAACTTAACTATTGTTTCAGTTTTGCATGACCAAACAGGCATCTGAAACCACAGAATAAAACCATTTTATTCTGCCTAGCCAAACCATTTTCAGTGAAATTTCATAAATCCAAACAATCTTGCCCTCAGACTAGAATAAAAGTATGCCAAATATCAGGACGTGATTTTTTTTCTTTTAATGACTACTGTCCATCTCCAGAAAGAAGGATTCTGTAGCAAGGAATCCTCCTAAAGACCATCAGCAAAGGTAGCCAGCAGCCACAACTGACATTCTGCTTACTCTCTCTTTCTAGCAGATGCCCTCCTCATTAACACACCCAGGGCTTCTGTGGCTCCGTGTGCACTGCAAACCATTAGCTTGCTCTAGTGTCTCTGTCTTTCCTCTGCTGTTTTCTCCATCCCAACTGAAAGCTATTCTATGATTTCTGGCATCTCTATTAAGTAGTGAGTCGCATGGAAATGATTAACTTTTGAACTGCAAAACTGAAAACACTCTCTTGCAGACTGTGGAAATGAAACATGTCATGCAGCAAACGGTTTCCCGTGATGGAGTTTGCAGCAAGAAAGAGAAATCATTGGCTGAGATTTCGGTTTTGTTGTTGTCATTGTAGATCAAAAGGATGTGATCATCCTTTCTGATAGCTTTTTTTCTCCCCTTGGTAAACAGTCTCTGAGTGAGTTCATTAAATATTTAAACAGCCCTGGTATCTATTAATGTTATCAGACACATGAAATATGTCTGATGGATTTATTCTGCCGTTAAGGAGCCATACCCCAGTGTCCCTCCTGGGACAGTGCTCCAGCTGTTTAAACCATAATTCCATCACTAGGAGGCATGGTGAAAGCACTGACCTCTTTGAAACGGACTCATTGCTACTCAGCCTGTAAATTGCAAATGAAACCTTTCTGTAATAATGTTAAAATATGCATGCATAGGAATTAAGGCACTTGGGTCATCAGCAAAGCCTGGTGCGTTTTCTGTAACCTCTAAACAGCTGGTAGAAAGAATCCAATAAGTCAATTCCTTGAGAAGATTAGCAATTAGGGGGTGTATGAGTCTTTTTGGGTTCAATAGCTCTCCCATCATATATTGGGGAAATTTAATTAATTCTCTGAAGCTTTTAAGTTTTTTAAATTCCATTACTGTTTATTTGATCCTGTTTCTCAAAGGAGATAAATTATGTTGATACTGTGGTCCTTACTTATTCTCCATATAATCAATCTAATATGAGATCATGCATGAGGTCCTTCAAACTGTGTGCTAATTTGTTGTCTCATTTTTACCTGCTTCATGCTTATGAGAAAACAACCATGACAAATATGATAAAGGATGTCTCGCCAAGTCTTCCACATGAAGGAAAGAGATACTGTTGTTCACTTCTGGTAGGTTATCCGTGATATTTTAAGTGTGTTTGTTTTACATCAATTTAACTTAACATGAAAATCCTTAAATAACTTACGAGAAATACTGATAAAGTCACGTGTTGACATCTCCTGAAGTTTTCGGTTTCAAGAATATGAATTGGATGAGTTGAACTCATTATCTTAAAAAAAAAAAAACTTGTTATTCTTTCTGAAGCCATCAAACAGGTGGCAGACTTGGCACTTGAAATATAAACCAATCCTTTAGTGTCGCTCAATGTTGGATACGTACAACCATCAATGCTAATTGAATAGACAGATCAAACTAGTGAAAGACAAAAATCTGGGAAGTATAGTGAACACACTAAAGGACAGAAGGAAGATTTCAAAAGATCTGACAAGTAGGATAACGGCCGAAATCTAATACAATAACTTAATGGCAATAAGTGCATAATTTTACATTTCATTCTCTTTTTTTTTCTTTTTCTTTCTTTCTTTTTTTTTTTGAGATGGGGTTGCCTCTGTAGCTTAGGCTGGAATGCAGTGACACAATCTTGGCTCACTACAATCTTTGCCTCCTGGGCTCAGGTGATTCTCCCAATCCAGCCTCCTGAGTAATTGGGACTACATGCACACACCACCATGACCAGCTAATTTTTTTGGTAGAGATGGAGTTTCACCATGTCGCCCAGGCTGGTTTTAAACTCCTGGACTCAAGTGATTCTCCTGTCCCGGCCTCCCAACATGTTGGGATTACAGGCGTGAACCACTACACCTGACCTATATTTCATTCTTTGGGGGAAAATTCTATAGAAAAATGGGAAAATATGGCTGGGAAAAGACAAATGAGGTAAATGGCATAAGACAGTGTGTTCCAGTGAAGTTCTGGAATCAATGAATCCACTAGCCTTTGCACATTCTTCTGTCTGTGAGAGGGGTTAATGCTGAGCATGTGTGAGATGGAGGTTAGTGGCAGCACGTCTGTCCTTTGCTTCTCTGCTTTGTGCTGGAATGAAATTAACATGGATAGAGGAAGGACTCTCTAATCTAGCAAGTAGTAGAGAGAATTAAGAGAAGCCACCTGGCTACATGTACAACTTTCTCTCTTAACTATGTCAGTCTATGTGGGATAGACATACATGATACAAATCATTTTTTACCTCTAGCTACTAAGTACTTCTGTATTTTGAGACCACAGTTAAACCAAAAAGTGAAGAGTCAATAGGTAATCCAGTAAACAACCCTAATTATGTGCAAGAGATGAAATGTAACTTTACTGTGAGAAAAATTAACAGTAATTTTAGTTGGCTTTATGAGTCAATTCAATAAAGACTAGCAATAAAGGCTAATATAATCTTATTTTTCAATGGTCCACGTAGAAGCTAGTCCAAAGCTGACAATATAATGCAGTCCTATATAATGCAGTGGTCACACTACTTCTGGAATATCATTGTCCTTTAGGAAAAATAGAGCTTAACTGGGGCATCCCAGGATCAAACCAGATGGAAAGAGAGCTGAAATGATCAATGACTATCAGCACACAATTAGGCTCAGTAAGTGAATCAAACTAGGTTAGGAATAGGTACTGGAAATGTGGAAAGGGGATTAGGTCTGAACTGTATGGTACTTATTAATATAATTAGGCTAGTTGGTGGGTGTTATAAAGGAATCAATTTCACCTGAACATAAAGAAGCGCTTTCTAACAAGTAAAGCTGTCTGAAGATTAACTAAGCTGCCTTGCGATATAGCAAGTTTCTGATATTAGAGGTGCAGATTATAAAATCATTTGGTTTGGTGAAAGATTCACGCATGGGAGAAGAGGCTGGATAAGATGGCCTGTAAACCCTCAGAGTCAATGAATCTATGATCTTTCGAAGACCCCAATGAAGGATTAATATAAAAGATATTCCAGAATACATAAATGGCAAGTCTCTGAAAGAGAAATTTATACAAAGAAGTTTTCAAGACAACACTTTCAAAGTAGTAATGCCCACTTTTTCCATGGTGAAAAAATTGATATGGCAAAGGAATATTCTCACAAATTCAGCAAATCCAATTCAGTTCTCCGTTTTGAAAACAACACTTTAAGCAATGAAAATACTATTTGAATTTCACCAGAGCTTTGGAAAAAGATATATTTAGTGGTTATTAACCTAGTACTTATTCTTCCATTGCACAAAATGCCTCTTTTCCTGAAGAATCCCCTGCAGAGAATTCCCAGGCTGGGGCAGGGCAGCTGCCTTGCAATTGGCATCCAAACCACACGGCATAGCCAATAATAACTTGCAGTTAAAGTAGCTGCAAGACAAAGATGGTAGTCATTTAAAATAATTTCTGCCACTGGAATTTTTTTAATTTTCAATTACTTAAGGGTCAATTCACCTGGAATTCTGGGTTTGACCTCTTTAACTATTTTTTTTTTTTAAGAATCAAGGGTATAGAAGGTATAGGCATAAAGCAATGTAAGTACTCCTTCATGGGACATAAGCTTTAGGGAACTAAAGATAGGTTAATTCTATGCCTGATTCATTCCATGGACCATTTAACGAGAGTCTTCGGAATTGTTCAGCCAATAATGAACTCACAGGATCTAAAGGTAATCACTGCTGCAATTAAAATTTACACCAGAATTCTATTACCCTTTCTACAGATAAATGTCTTGTATTAAGTGGTCTAGAAGGAATGCATAAACTGGTTCAATAACACCAGAAATCTCTGTTATTTGTTCTTTCTTATATTCATTCTCCTCTGTCTCCCAAGCATGGGACCATGCTTCCAGTTAATTCTAGGAAAATATTTATTTTTTGTATAGTAATTTAGAACTTAAACCTGTTTTCTCATGTGTTAGCTCATTTAATTCCTATAACCCAGGTTCTTTCCATTATTGATAATACTAAAAGCTAATCTCTTAATTTCATAGCTATTTACTATTCTATTCCAAGAATTCTTCATGTATTATCTCATTTCATACAACAATCTCCATGAGATAAATATTATTATTATCCTCATTTTGCGAATGAATAAAAAAAGCTTCAAAAAGTTAAGGATGTCACTGCAGATCACAGACTAGTAAGTGATGGAACCAAGATTTGAATGAAGGGAGCTTGATCCATGCTCTTCTCCACTACACCCCAGCCCACATCACCTTGAGGTCTCCTTTGTGTCTTCACAGTGCATTCTAGTACATAGATTCTGCCACAGCTAATGGAAGGTTGTTAAAAGAAGCATGAGAGTATTTGTCTTTGTTTTGAGTAAAGATGATCCCATGGTTCTTTTAACAAGACACATAATCTGAATAAAAAATTCCCCTTTGACTCTTATAAAGCTAGCAATAGTAGTTGTGATTATTATAAAGTAAACAGTGTGAAGTATTCAGTGGGTCAATGAGTTCAGTAGTGTGTAAGATGACAAAAAAAATCAATCTCTGTCTTAGTTCAATACAGATAAAAATCCAGACATCAGCTGTGAGCAAGCACAAAATGTAATTTCAATTTTGTTATTTTAGTACTAATTCAGAAACCAAATACTTTTCAAAATGGCATAAAAAGGTGGCTATAAGCCAAGAACTTCATGTTTAACGTGATGTATGGCATTTCCTCATGTTTAAAAGTATGTGTATCACCTTGAGTACTTATGCAAACAATCTGAGCACAGGTTCCTTTTAAAAGTTAGTTGATTCCAGTCCACAGAACAGTAAGAAACATGTGAAACCATTAGAAAAATTTAATTCCCCCTTTTATGCTAATTCCGGTTTGAAAATAAAATGTGTTCTAAAGAAAAAACTGAGTTATATTCTATAGACCTTTCAAAATAATTCCTAGTAATTATAAAGAGTACTTGCTGTTCAATTTCAACCCCATTGTTCAGATGTGCAGGAAGACCCAGGAGTAGCTCAGTTTCCCTTTGTATTTGTTGTTCATTTGAAAAATAAAACGTTATCACTATAGACTCAGTAAGTGGGCGTACTCAAGATTGGGAGAAGTCAAGCACATTTTGAGTCCACCGATTGCTTCAAATTATATTATTTTTCAAACATTTTGGGTTTGAGGAAACTCAAAACACATTTTCTAAGTTCTCTTTTCCTTTTAAACCCATGTGTTTGGTAAGAGAGATTTAATCCATATGTTTCTGATTCATTTTGAGTTAACTCATCAAATTGTTGATTTTTAAGATCCATTTGATGTCCAAAAGCTTTCTGATGGTTGTGATTTTTCCCTCTGAAATAGTATTTTGTTTTTTCATGTGTAAACAAACATGGGTCTCAAAGATTCATGCTCCATGTACCAAGAACTTAAATGGGTGCTAGCTCATTCAAACCCACTTCACTCACCCAGGGGGAGTTATGACATCTATAATAGCTCAAATTGCTCAGCTTTGTTTTTCTTTATATGGCTTTCTCTTCAAACCCAACTGGAATCACATTATGGATACATTTTATAAAATCTAAAAATATATTTTTCAATTATGTCTTATTTAATATAAGCAGGAGATAAAATCCACAAAACTTTTCTTGAAACATGCTGTTGATAGGAAGGCATGTCCATACTGAAGACAAAAGGAGAGAAAAAAGAAAATTGTCACTATACTAATAAAAATCCTGTTGCTCATCTAATGGTCCCCAAAATGAGATCAAATCATAACTCGTTTGGGGAAGCTTAAACAGGTCTTTAGAATTCTTGTTATATAATTTAGAAAAAAGGAAACCAGAAGTTTTAGAGATTGGAATATGTGTAGCGGAAGTTCCCTATCTTGCTTTGCTTCATTTTTTTTTTTTTTTTGAATCCGGATGGAAGAAAATGAAGGATACATGTTGGTCTGCCCACATAATTAAAATGCTTTAGCCCAAGGCGATGTCTTCCATCATTAAATACCATTGATTTTAACATCCCTCCCTACTAAAAGAAATGCTATCAGATGAGGTCCCAATAAGTTATAATATTTCCCATGAATAAAGAGAGAGAGAGTGAAGAAAAAAAGATTTCACGGATCTTATGAAATCCTACAGTGCCCTGAAGCCCAAAGCTGTGTACACATAACACAGCATCCATTTCTCATGGTCAGGGAAGAATTTTTTTTTTTTTTTGGCCATGAAACATCACGGAAAACTAATTTTCATGCACAAATGTCTGCCTAGTGTACAAATCTGTGAAGCAAACATCCACATCTAACGCAACAAATTACTCTTAGGTTAATCAGTGGTTGTTTGCATTACAGATGTTTTTAGTGTGAACAATACATTCTCACACTGCAGCCCCTAAAGGGTTCCCAAAACATGTTGAACTCAGCCTCCAGTATGAGAAGCAGGAAAGGTATGGTGCTTTGAGTAACACTGAAAAAATAAAGATAAAGGAAATGTTTCCTCCCCTAACTTCTAGAGAAGTCATGGCTGATATGCCTGGAGAAGCTGTCCTTGCCAGCCCAGAAGTAGATGATGCTCGTTCCACTGTATGAGAAAACTCTGGAAAAGAGAATGATAATTAAAATTCTTTCTGCTCAGATGAGGAAAAACATAAGCAAGCAGACAAACAAAAGCCAATCAAGCATACCTTGAAGACACTGTGGGTACATTTTCAGACCACAACTATAAAGTGAATATCACAATAAAGTGAGTCATATAATTCTTTGGTTTCCCAGTATGTATAAAAGCCATGTAAAAGCTATGTTTACACTATATTATAGCCTATTAATGTGTAACAGCATTATGTCTTAAAACAAGCTTGTCCGACCCATGGCCCATAGGCCACATGCGGCCCAGGAAGGCTTTGAATGCAGCCCAACACAAATTCATAAACTTTCTTTAAACATTATGAAATTATTTTGTAATTTTTTTAGCTCATCAGCTAGTTAGTTTTAGTGTATTTTATGTGTGGCCCAAGACAATTCCTTTTCTTCCAACGTGGCCCAGGGAAGCCAAAAGATTGTACACCCCTGTCTTAAAATATATACATACCTTAATTTTAAAATACAAAAAAAAAATTTCTTTAAAAAATGGTAATGATCATCTAAGTCTTCAGAGAGTCATAATCTTTTTCACTGATGGAGAGTCTTACTTTGATGTTGATGGCTGCTGACTGATCAAGGTGGTGGTTGCTGAAGGCTGGGGTGGCTGTGGCAATTTCTTAAAATGAGACAACAATGAAGTTTGCTGCATCAAATGACTCTTCCTTTTACAAAAAACAAAAAAACAAAACAAAAAAAAAAAACTTCTCTTTAGCATGCATTGATATTTGATAGCACTTTACCCGCAGAACTTCTTTCTTAGTTGAAATCAGTCTTCTCAAACCTTGCCCCTGCTTTATCAACTAAGCTTATAAAATATTCTAAATTCTTTGTTGTCATTTCAACAATGTTCACAGCATCTTCATCAGGAATAGATTCCAACTCAAAAAAAAAAAAAAATAACACTTTCTTTGCCCAACTTTAAGAAGCAACTCCTCATCTGTTCAAGTGTTATCATGAGCTTGCAGCAATTCAGTCACATCTTCAGGCTCCGCTTCTAATTGTTAATTCTCTTGTCATTTCCACCACATCTGCAGTTATTTTCTGCACTGACATCTTGAGCTCCTCAAAGTCATCCATGACGGTTGGAATCAACTTCTTCCAAATGCCTGTTATTGTTAATATTTTGGCCTCCTCCCATGAATGACAATGTTAAGGCATCTGGAATGATGAATTCTTTCCGGAAGGTTTTCAATGTACTTTGCCCAGATCCATCAGAGGAATCACTATCTATGGCAGCTATAGCCTTACAAAACATATTTCCCTTTTTTTTTTTTTTTTTTTTTTTTTGAGATGGAGTCTCCCTCTGTCGCCCAGGCTAGAGTGCAGTGGCACAATGTTGGCTCACTGCCAGCTCCACCTCCCAGGTTCATGCCATTCTCCTGCCTCAATCCCCGAGTAGTTGAGACTACAGGCGCTGCCACCACGCCCAGCTAATTTTTTGTATTTTTAGTAGAGACGGGGTTTCACCATGTTAGCCAGGATGATCTCGATCTCCTGACCTCGTGATCCGCCCGCCTCAGCCTCTCAATGTGCTGGGATTACAGGCATGAGCCACCGTGCCCTGCCACAAAGCATATTTCTTAAATAATAAAATTTGAAAATTAAAGTTACTCTTTTATCCATGAATTGCAGAATGGATGCTGTGTTAATAAGCATGAAAACATTAATCTCCTTGTACATCTCCATCAGAGCTATTGGGTGACCAGGTGCATTGTCAATGAGCAGTAACATTTTGAAAGAAATCATTTTTTTCCTGAGCAGTAGGTCTCAATAGGAGGTTTCAAATATTCAGTAAACTATGATGTAAACAGATATGCTGTCTTCCAAGCCTAGTTGCTCCATTTGTAGAGCACAGGCAGAGTAAGTTTAGCATAATTATTAAGGGGCCTGGAATTTTGAGAATGGTAAATGAGCATTGACTTCAACTTCAAGTCATCAGCTGCGTTAGCCCCTAACAAGAGTGTCAACCTGTTCTTTGAGGTTTTGAAGCCAGTCATTGACTTCTTTTCTTCTGTAGCTATGAAAGTCCTAGATGTCATCTTCTAGAAGAAGGCTATTCGTGTAACTACCTCCATCTGTGATCTTAGCTAGATCTGGGTAACTCCCTCCATCAGCACTTACTGCATCACCTTGCACTTTCACGTTAAGGGGGCAACTTATTTTCTTAATCCTCAGTAACCAACCTCTGCTAGCTTCAGAATTTTCTTCTGAAGCTTCCTCACCTCTCTGAGCCTTCAAAGAATTGAAGAGAGTTAGGGCCATGTTCTGGATTATGCTTTTGCTTAAAGGAATGCTGTGGCTGGTTTGATTTTCTATCTAGATCAATAACGTTTTCTCTATTCAGGCTGTTTCACCTTCTTATCATTCATGTGTTCACTGGAGTAGCACTTTTAATTTCCTTCGACAACTTTTCCTTTGTATTCTCAACTTGGCAAGCTATTCAGTGCAAGAGGCCTACCTTTTGGCCTGTCTCAGCTTTTGACATGCCTTCCTCACATTAAGGTTACATATTTCTAGCTCCTGACTTAAAATGAGAGATACGTGACTTTTTCATTCAAATACTTAGAGGCCATCGTAGAGTTACACATTGGCCTAATTTCAATACTGTTGTGCCTCAAAGAATAGGGAGGCTAAGAAAAGGGAGAAAGGTAGGGAAACGGCTGGGCAGAGGAGCAGTCAGGATACACACAACATTCATCAGTGAAGTGTCATCTTATATGGGTGTGGTTTGTGGTGCCCCAAAACAGTAATAACATCAAAAATCACTAATCAGATATCAGCATAGCAGATATAATAATAATGAAAATTTTGAAATATTATGATAATTACCAAACTGTGACAGAGATAGGAGGTGAGCGCCGGCTATCGGAAAAACGGCATCGATAGACTTGTTCAACACAGGGTTCCTACAAAACTTCAATTTGTAAAAAATGTAATATCTGTGAAGTTCAATAAAGAGAAGTGCAATAAAACAAGGCGTGCCTGTAGTTGTTCCCCAGAGCCTTCTTTCGAATGGTCATAAGCCAATCTCCATTGGTCATTCATTTTTTTCTTATTGAGTCCTTTGTAATAGCATTATCTCAAGAGTGAACTATTTAAAAACCTTGACATTTCATTTTAACTATAAAACAGTAGCTTAATGCTGGCCATCAGTGTTCAATTCACTAACCAAAGTCCTCTTGCAGAAACAGCACAATGTTCTTGCAGAAATAATGTTGACAAAACTTGCACCATAATAGCTTTTATAAGTATATATACCGCATACACATACACACACATATAAACATACATATAAACTAGGATTTCAGTATTGAACAAGAACTATCACCTTAAGATTTTTAGACAAATTGGCACTAATTTCTTAAGAGTAAAATTTATCTAGATAGTGTATCTTTGAATCTTTTGTATATTATAATTGAAAGAATTTTAAGATTAAAGTGAAAAGGATTGCATAACTCTGAAGTGAGTATGTTTGTCACTATGATGAAAACTGAAGACAGAACAGCAGCATTACCCATATCGCAATTCAACTGATATCACCAGGAGGTAAATTCTTCCCTTTGAGGAGCAAGTGAAAGAAACCTCTAGCACAGTGGCTCTTCATCCCATTGCACATTAAAACCATCTGGGAAGCTTTTAAAAAAATTCAGTGCCCAAGTCCTACCCTAGACAAAATGTATCAGAATTTCTAGGATTGGTGCACAGGTATCAGTATTTTTAATAGGTTGGTGCAAAAATAATTGTGATTTTGCCATTATTTTATGGCAAAAATTGCAATTACTTTTGCACCAACCTAATAAAAGCTCTCCCAGTTATTTGTAATACACACCTCAGCTTAAGAGTTTTCTCTCTGAGAACTTCGTATTTCCTTGGTATATCAGCTCCAGAGAGTGAGAAGTTAGGTACTGGAGAAGAGAGAAAAGAGGGAAAGTTCCCAGAACAGCTGCAGCTACCATATGTAAATAATGATGTCCATATCCACATACACATGCTATAATAATAGATGGGAAACCAAATAAATATGACTTTAAAATTCAGCTTTCTAGTTTTTGTTTCTTCGGATATTTTGTTATATCTGAAGTAGTGGTTCACTTAGGTCTTGGTGCCCTGGCATAAATCTGTCTAACCTTGAAACTAACTCAAACTTGGATACCATTCTGTATGCCAATTTGGAGTTAGACGGAAGCTCCAATTTTTGATGTTCAAAACATCAAATGTATGAAGCAAATGCTGTTATCCTTTATTTAATCTCTACCAAAGACATCTTAAATACTTATTCTTTAATAACCAAAAAAACTGGTGTTTCACAAGTCATTTGCCACATAATTTCTTATACTCCCTAACTAAAATACTATAGTTATAGAATTTCAAAAACATATCTCCCATAAGAATTTAATAATCACACAGGAGAAAACTTTTAACTGTCACCTTACCTGTCAGTAAGAATTTTAAGTGTATTAAAAAGTGTGTAATCTTTTCCCAAACACTAGGTTCTAAAATATCTGCTGGCCAGGAGTAATGGCTCATACCTGCAATCCCAACACTTCGGGAGGCCAAGGTGGGAGGATCGCTTGAGCTCAGAAGTTTGAAACCAGGCCTGAGCAACATACAGAGACCTCATCTCTACAAAAAATTTAAAAAGTAGCCACACATGGTGGTGCACACCTACTCGGGAGGCGGAGGTGGGAGGATCACTGGAGCCTGGGAGATTGAGGCTGCAGTGAGCTGTGTTCCCGCCACTGAACTCCAGCCTGGGCAACAGAGCAAGATTTTGTCTCAAAATGAATAAATAAATAAATAAATAACAAAATAAAACATCTGCTTATCAAATCAAATGAATTTGATATATTACAAAATAAAATAATGAATCTTCAGAAATAATTAAACTAAATTGCTTCAAGAACTGTCAAAGACCTAAAATATCTTAGAGAAATACACAGGTATAAAGGCACTTACTATGTGTCAGACACTGATGTACATCTTGCATTGATTCTCAGTGTCTGAAGAGCTGGCAGAATACTTTTCTCCATTTTATTCAAGATTATCAATGACCTCTCTCCTTTGAAAATGGGTGGACTCCCATTTGCCCATATCTTACATTATGCTGAAGCATTTGTACTATTAACCACCCCGTCCTTTTGAAACTTCTCCATTGTCTTCCATGAAACCTGATGTTCTTTTTATATCTCTGGCTTTATCTCCTTCTTTGTGAGTTCTTCCTCCCCAGGCCACTCCATAAATGAAGCCATTACCCAGGTTTTCACCTATGATCCTCTTCTGTCCTCATATCTTTTAAGTTGCATGTTATCTTAGCCCCTCTTGTTATTTCTATCTTCTCTTACTTGCCAATATCTTAGACCCATTATTGCTCTCCATCCCATCTCCAACCTGCTCCTCCTTCTTCATTTCCAATCTCAGTGAACACTATCAACCCATCCACCAAGTTGCCCCCAACTCAAGTCTTAAACCTGAGTCCTTCTAAAATACCACTCTCTGAGTCCACATCTAATTACTAATCCAGATTGATGAATTCATCATTGTTAGGCTACCTAGAATCTATCACCATCTCTCCAGCCTCACTCCCACTAATTTAATTCCAGTCTTCATTTCTGGGGGTTGTTTGTAATATCCTTAAACCAATTGCCTTAATCCTCATCTTGCTCATTTCAATCTAGAATTCACAAAGATTTTAAAATACAACACTGAATTTGTTGCTTAGTGCTTAAAATCTTCCCCAATGCATTCTCAACTCTTCCAGGTAAGAGTCCAGAATTTTTGGCCTGGTGGATAGGCTCTTAATGATTTGTCCACCAATTTCTCCAATGCGGTCTCTTCCTCCTACCACACCTCACCCCGCTACCCCTGCCTTTCTCATTATAACCTTAACCATGCTCTGTGCCTCTAAAGCCATTCTCTCTCTGGAGTTTTCTTCTTGCCTCATCCTAACTTTTCCCCCACCCTTCTGGAAGACTTCTATTTATCCATCAAAATACCCCTCATGGATTAGCTTCTCTAGAAGCCTCCCTGGATTCATAATGACCCACAAACTCCTACCCTTTTATGTGCCACAGCTCTTTTCCATTCACTGAGACATTATAACCTTTCCTTACCACTAAACTGTAAACTTCTGGAACGTGAGGCCATGTCTTATTGTCTATTCAGAGTTTAGCATTCCCAGTACTAAGGAGGTATTAATAAATATTGATTGACTGGATCAATAATGTGCTAATGAATAAAAGCACCCAAGAATAGTTACATTTTAATGCAAGCGTCTTAACCTGAGCCCCCTGGATGGACTTCAGGGAGAATCTACATGTGAGTCACCTGAATTTCACATGTGCATTTCCTGAGAAGAGAGCTCGTCGCTTTCAGTATGTTTTTCTTTCTTTCCCCTTAATAGTTAAGAAATACTATGTGGAAGAAACCTTAAGGGGTTCACAATATGCCTCAATTTTAGACATGGGAACCCTGAACTGTCTTCCCAAAATTCATTACAGGCAGTTAATATATTGGGGAAAGTATTAACACATAAATGTTTCTGCTCCTAATCATCAAGCTAGCAGTTATCCAAAGGGAGTCAACCACCAAATATGGATAACATTTATTAACTATATATTTAGATGTATTTATATGTGTTCAGCCAAACACATTTACGACAATTACTTATTTCCTGCTCTCAGCACATGTTGAGGTTATCATCAGCTTTAATTAAAATAAAGACAGGCTCGGGATTGGATGAATGAGTTGACAAATCACATAGTTTGTGGGAAAGCATTGTGGCTTACACAGCTCTTTTCTAAGTTATAAAATGAATGAAGCAGTGAAATATCGAGTTTCTAATTTGGGTATCAAATAATCACAGATTTGAGCATTCAATTTCAATTTAACTAATAATTGCTGAGAACTGCTTGGTGCAAGGCATTGTATTAGGGGCTGGCATCGGAGAGTCCATGGTGCTAGAGGCACGGGCATAATTGGCACAGAACACACCGGCTGAAGTGGCAAAGTCCCAATAACTGTTTCTGAATGGCTCAATGATTTTTACCCAGAATAGCAGTTACTATAGGAATACTCACACAAAATTTGAGTTTAAAATTTGAATTTGGAAAATTATAAATCATGGAGAATTCCTGGGCCAGCCTTCTGCTCCACCCCCCTCAGGTTATGGTTCAGACAGTGAATGGTGGGACTATAAATCTGCATTTTAACTGAGTGCTTTTCAAGTGATCCCAATGGAAATGCAGAAATTGCACTTTAAGATCATCCCTGGAACAGTGGGTACTAGCTTTGAATTCCAGATATAGCAGCCAGCAATAGAATTTTTTTTTGAACAGTGTCTTGCTCTGTTGCGCAGTCCAAAGTGCGGTAGTGTTATCATAGCTCACTGCAGCCTTGAACTCCGGCGTTCAAGTGATCCTCCCTTCTCAGCCTCCTGAGCAGCTGGACTATAGGCACGTGCCACCATGCCCAGTGAAATTTTTATGTTTTATGTTTTGTAAAGATGAGGTCTCGCTATGTAGTCCAGACTAGTCTCAAACTCCTGGCCTCAGGTGATCCTCCCACTTCAGCCTCCCAAAGCACTGGGATTACAGGCATGAGCCACCACGCCCGGCCAAAAATACATTTTAAATGTCTCCTACTCAAACGTATGTCCCAGGATCCAGTCATGGCCCTGATTGCCATCCACCCTCATTCATATCCGGCCCTGTGGGTAGAAGGGAGCCAGATCGTGATGCAACTTGGATCCCAGATTACCTCCAACAGAGGAAGTGTTAGTACTAATTTCCCTTATCTTACTACTATTTACTGAAAAGTTAATTAAATTATGCTTTAAAGAGCTAGTCTTGGCGTCTGACCAAATATGAATTGGCAATTTTGGAATGTTCATATACTTTAAAACATTACATAATACTGCCTATATATTTAATGCTAAATTAATTACTTTGGATGAATAGCTTCAGTCTCTTTTATAATATATTGCATTATTCTGCTCATACAGCCACAGGAAATAACCTCACCTGGTCCCCCAAGCCACCAAGGCTGGGAGAGATGCATTGAGTAGTTATAATGCTATGGTCTTTCCCTTGCAGAACAATTATATATCAGCAGTTGTTAGTGCCTGATTGTTTCTGACCTAAGCAATTGGAAGCCTGTGCTCCTTCATTTCTTGTCCTTCTGATTGCAATATGAAACTCTTTTTCCTTACCTGAGATGTGTAAGGTAGCCCTTCCTATATTCCTTTTTGCCTAGGTAAGTCAAGGTCACTTTGAAGAGTCAAACTCAAATGTCAGCACTAACGTAAGACTTGCAGTGGGGGTGGATGTGTTCTATTTTCTGCCCCCCAGAGTTCACTAAGTCTGAATTGCAAAATTCTTTTTCTTCTTTCCCTTTGAATTCTGATGAGGTTTTCAACTCTTGACTTCATTACACAAACAGTTTTATTTTTTTAAATGGAGCTGCTGTTAAGGCAAATGGGCCTGGGGATTGATGAAGAAACAAACTTGACTGCCTGCTTCATCAGAGTACATCTATTTTTCTCAGAGCACCATGCTACAGGATTCTGTTTTCTCTCATCTTTAGACCAAGAAATTCTAATAGAGTTTATAATAACCGGGGAATTGTGACTTTGGCTTCTCAAAAGAATATTTAAAAGCACTCCAGATTCTTACCCTTTGGAGCATTTAATCTTTCAACTATTCTAATCTACTTTGCGTTGGGTTCCTCACCATACTGGACTTCGTTCAGTTCCTGGAACACACCAAATTGATCTTACCCCAGGGCCTTTGATAGGCTGCTCCTACTGCTGAGAAGAATGTGTCACGCTCTGTGTGGTCAGCTCGACCACCTTCAAGAGAGGACCTTCAAGTCTCTGCTTAATGTTGGCTCCAGGAAAAGGATTTCTCTTCCAATGCAGTTTAAAACAGCTTTCCCTAGTTTATTTTTTTTTTTTAATTTTCCTTTTTTTTTTAATTTGTGTACATTTATGGAGTACAAGTGTAATTTTGTTACATACATAGATTGTGTGGTGGTGAAGTCAGGGCTTTTAGGGTGTCCATCACCCAAATAACAAACATTGTACCAATTAAATAATTTCTCATGATCCCCCCTCCACTCCTCACTCTTCTGAATCTCCACTGATTATTATTTCATAATCTGTGTCCATGTGTGTGCATTATTTAACTCCCACTTGTAAGTGAGAACATGCCATATCTGAGTTTCTGTTTCTGACTTATTTCACTTAAGATAATGGCCTCCAATTCCATTCACGTTGCTATGAAAAACATTATTTCATTCTTTTTTTTTTTTTTTTTTTGAGACGGAGTCTCGCTCTGTCGCCCAGGCCCGACTGCGGACTGCAGTGGTGCAATCTCGGCTCACTGCAAGCTCCGCTTCCCGGGTTCACGCCATTCTCCTGCCTCAGCCTCCCCAGTAGCTGGGACTACAGGCGCCCGCCACCGCGCCCGGCTAATTTTTTGTATTTTTAGTAGAGACGGGGTTTCTCCTTGTTAGCCAGGATGGTCTCGATCTCCTGACCTCATGATCCACCCGCCTCGGCCTCCCAAAGTGCTGGGATTACAGGCGTGAGCCACCGCGCCCGGCCTATTTCATTCTTATGTATGGCTGAATAGTAACCCATTGTGTATATGTACCACATTTTCTTTATCCAGTCAACCTTTGATGGGCACTTTGGTTGATTTCATATCTTGCTATTGTGAATAGTGCTGCTATAGACATATAGGTGCAAGCATCTGTGATTTCATACAGAAGTTTTGCTTTTTGCTTCATGACAATTATAATACTAGTTAAAAGGTATTTTGTTTTTACTGCATGCCAGACCATGTTCCAGGTTTTTAGGAGAGATCAGTTTATTTAATTCTCATTATAACCATATGAGTATACACACCTTTATTATCCCTGTGATGAAAATGAAGAAACTGAGGCATGAAAAGTTTTAATAATTTGTCCACAAACAGCATATAAATTTCAGAGCTAGGATCTGAACCCACAAAATCTGATTCCAGAAATGACACTCTTTAGACAACACTGTGCTGCCTTGCAATTAGAAATTATATACATATGTATTTATTTACATATTTATTGTCTGTGTCTCCCTCCCAAGTGGAAGCACCCTGAGGTGAGAAAGCACATTGATTCTGTTCATTACTATCTACCTAGGACCCAGCATAGCATTTGGCAGATAATAGGCACTGAGTAAAAGAAGACAGCAAGGAAGGAAAGAAGGAGAGAAGGGAAAGGAATGGATGAGAAAGACAACTAAGTCAATACTGAATGGGCTGATGCTTGATCAAAGGGATGCTATAGTTTCAGTGGTGCTCACTCTGACTTCATCTCAGACCTTAATGATAATGTTCATGGAGGAAAAACCCAAGCCTCATTTTCGAAATGTAAACTTGAGTTCATGCCCCAAACTGTAGACCACACCGCTTGAATGTAATAATCTTACTTCACCATAAGCACTCATATCCTGTAATGTTCAATAAAAAAAGTACTGACTATAGCTGAAGTATATCTAGGATATGGGCACATGCTCATATTGTAGCAGCAAACACAAATCCCAGTGCCTACTTATTGTGGACTATAAGCTAGCAGTATGTTCCAGGCAGCAAGGAGACTTTGTTCAAAAAATTGCCTCTGCAGGGAAAATGTAGTGAGTTGCCTGTACAAACTAATGTTAGGCATGTCTTACAAATTGGTGCAATGTGGGTGGACAAGATTGAGATTGGGATACTTGGCCACACCCTCGACAGGCAAATCAATGCCAAACAAGTTGGTTTGATTTCAAGGTGACAGAACGACTAACAGAAACCTGGCTCCCATGAGGTCAGGGCTTACTGTGGCATACACAATGTCTTCTTTTTTAATTAAATGGAGTTTTGGGGAGTTAGATGGGGGAAGAGAAAAAGGATGGCAGATGAGTGAAAAGGGACCTAAGGCTACAAGAGAAGCTGGGCTTTGAATAACGGCTGACCCACAGTGTGTTCTCTAATGCTATTTGGGAAATGATGCTTTCAGGGAGCACAGATCTTGCTCCTGCTTGCAGAGCAGACATTTGCGGGTGCATGCTTGCAGGAACATGAATTATACTCCTCTGTGTCTGATTTGTAACTACACCTGTACACTCTTAGAAATGCTAATAGACAAATATAAATTTAGGTACAAAGGAAAATCTAATAAGAAGAGCATTTGAATGAGTAAGAAATGTCTAATTTTTTGCAGTCATTAGGAATGGAGGAACATGCTTATAGTAATTAGGTAAGATTGATTTCGAGGCCGAACACCACCCACAATTTGTGTAGTCTGGGGGTCAGGCGGGCAGCTGCAGAAACCGCTTGGCTAATTATGAGAATTCACTGTTCGTTAATAGAATCTCTCTCCACAAACAGCAGCTGTGTGTTTGCTCACGCAAATTATTAATTCTGGCCTCGCCTCAGCTGCAAGTTTCTGCTGTGTGGAAAGGAATCCTCAGATAGTAGTGTCAGTTATCACCCAAGCGATACTGAGGAAGGAAGAAAAATATGAAATGAAAGAAAATATCTTCTAATCACAGGTGTATAAAGATTTTGCATCTACCTCCCTTCTCTCCCTTTCACTCCCAAACAATTGAATGCCAATTTTGGAACTCATTAATCTGTAGGCAACCTAGCGAGATCTAATTTATACCTGTCAGGAGCAATGGGCAGCAGCTAATAGGAAAGTAATTGCAATATAAGTCTGCTTTCCCACTTGATAGTATGCAAGATTTTAATGACAGCCCTTCTCCACTGGAATATCTGACTGGCCAACAGATACTTTCTCTCTTTTGCAGAGAGTCACACTGTGAACAAAAGAGATGTCTCCTTGGGTTTTATTATATACTGCAAATAAAGTGATAATGACATAGTAGATGGAACACGGATGTACACCTATTTATTCTCTGGAAGAAATGAAAGGAATATTCCTGCAACATATAAACTGCGAACTAGTATTCCCATATTTTTATTTTGTTAAAAAAAAAGTATCTGGCTGGAATCTAATACCTACATAATATATTATCTCCCGTTTAAAATTGAATTGAATATCTATATTCAATAACGACATAGTTTGCGATGTCTGGGTGCTTAAGGAGACTTAGGATTCCCATATTGTACTGGAGTGTTTAGGAACAAAGAGCGGTATATATTACACAGAAAAAGAACAACAAAAGTGTCTGTTTATTCTATACCCTTTTTCTTCCTCCCGGGATTGTCTTAAACGGGATTTTTTTGAGAACAAATTAGGAACATCGAAGGTTATCTAAGGTTATAGAATATGTTTGATAAGCAATTTTTTGCACATGACTTCTTGTTTCTTCGTTCATTGTCCTAATGGGTGATCTTCTAGGTGATCCCTTGGTTCAGACAGGACCTAAAAAGAACATGACTTCTGGAGCATAAAGCCTAAGTTCAAATTTCTGGCTTTACATGTCTTCCCTGTATAGCTTTGAACAAATCCATTAACTTCTCTAAAATGTACTCCCTTCACATATAAAGGGAACACATGTGGTTGTGACAGAATCAAATAAAAGCATGTACAGGAAAGCACTTTCGAAGAAGACATACAAACCTTAGTTGTTACTATTTTGTAACAACTGAAAGTACTTATGGGGAGAGCATCCATTAAAATGCAAATTTCTCGAGGGAAGGAAGAGAGAAAATGGCTTACTACTGTACACCACATGTATGCTGCTGTCATTCTTGTTTTCAAACCAAATTCAACCAATCTTTTAGGGTATTTGATTTGAGCTTAAAATCTGTCCTAGGCATTGTAGAAAATACAAAGTTAATAAAGCATAATCCCTGCCTGCAAGTGGCTTATCATGGAAACAAAGTCAGCGCTGATACTGTTTATTTATTCAATAAACATTAGAGGCCCTACACTGTGACAGACAATAGTTAAGAAAACAGTGTGCACATGGGGGTGAGATAAAAAGCCAGAAAACATGAGTCCTAGATCCCAGTCTGCATAAATTAGCCATGACCTATGAAAAGTCACTTCACTCTTCCAAACCTTAGTTTCTTTAATTGTAAAAAGGAACACTGGGATGGGTTTTTTCAAAGGTCTTTTCCAAGTCTTAAATTCTATGGTTTTATAATTTTTTAATTTAAAAAATGAGGAGTTCAAAATGATTATTATGCTTAATCCTTGACTTTAGTGAATAAAGATGTAGATAACAGAATTAAATAAAAAATTCAAAGGAAAAGGTCATTAAAATATAGAACAATGAATTGTTAATAAAGGGTATTAAAATGACCTATTTGTTATGCCTTCATGGTGGAAAATTAGAAATTACTCAGAAAATTTACTCCCTGTTCATAATCGAAATAGATAATTCAGGTCAAAGATTGATTTGGACAAATCACTTATACATTCTGAGACTTATTATTCTAAATTACAAAAAAAAAAAAATGAAGCTCAATCCTTGCCCTTTCCATTTCACAGAGTTTTTATGAAGATCAAATATGTGAGAACTATTTTTTAAAGTAATATTTTATACTTTAATTATTATAATCTTGAATTGTCTAAATTGCTTGAGTATACTAAGAAAAACTGTAAGAAAAAATAGAAAAAAATCTGTAAGAATGGCCAAGTCTCTACTTCACTGTGTTCTGTTTAATTGGTTATTGCTTAGGAGGCAGAGAAACCAGGGCAGGGTACCTAATACTTTTATTCACTCATTAAATATTCAATGTATGAGAATCAACAAACCTCCCTGCACTGTTATTCCTTTACCTGTAAAAGAGGATGAACATACCTTCTTGAAAATGTGTAAGATGGTGGTCTATAAAGAAGAATCTAGTAGGAAGCCAGATCCTTGCCAGGGGAAGATGTGACATTGTAGGACGTGTGCTGTGAAGTGGTTCAGGTTATAGCAAAAGCCATTTTTCTGGCTTAAGAAGCTTGATATTCCTTGTTTTGCTTGCTATTATCCCTAATTCCAGGGTTTTGTTATGGACATTCACACTTAAATAAACTAAAAGTGGGGGAAAGAAAATCAAACACTCCCTCTATTACACAGTTGCCTTTGTGGCAGAAAACATGGCATTACTAAGTAACCAGGCTTCGGGAAAATATTAGAACTGGTTCTGCGATGTGGTGCAAAAGCTTATGGAAGGGTCTCTTGTCTTTAAAATCCCCTTCTACCATGTTCCTAACTACATACCCCTACCAGCTCACATGTTGGTCCACTTTAGGGGAGCCCAAACTAAGACAATGCTTTAGCCCAGATTTCACATCTTCGTTCTTATTCTACACATATTTAGGTTTAGAAAATGTTCCAGGTATCTGTTGCTCCATAACAGACCATGCCAAAACCTACTGGCTTAACACAACAGCAAGGTCTTATGATGTCTTTGCCCAACTAAGAGAGACCGATTTTCACATTCAAATAGTTGCAGCTTATTCAAGTGTGATGTTCATTACAAAATCCTGGCATTAAGGGTAATAGAAAAGCAAATCAAGGAATATTAGATGTCTTAAGCTGCAAGATGGCATTTGCTATTAACTGAACAATTTTTTTTTTTTTTGGAAATGTATGCTTATGAGTCTACTACTTGGGCAGAGCTAAGCAGGGAAGGTTCATCTCTATTTGATGTGTCATCATCTGGGGCAGCGTGACTGAGGCTAGAGGACGTACTTTCAAGATGGCTCACTTACATGATTGGTGAGTTAGTACTGGCTGTTGTCTGTCTTCCCTTCCTCACAGACTGAAATCTAGGTTACAAGAGCTAGTTTCCCAAGAGACAAAAATCAGAAGCTGCCAATTTCTTAAAACCTGAGCACAGTGTCACTTCTATTGTATTTTATTAGTCAAGCAATCATGGAGCCCAAATTCAAGGGCAGGACACAATGGGAAAGCTTCAAAGAATTTGGAGGCGATGTTTTAAAATTGTCACAGCAAATGTCTCAATCATGGTCAGGTATAGGAAACAGATCCCATTCTAGATATGTTAAGTGGAAAGTACTTAATATAGGCATGAGATTACAGGACTATTGAAGAAGCAAGTTCTAGGTTGGTCCTTCTCAAATGACTTCCAGAACAATTCTGGTGACTTACTAGGGCATCTCTTTCCTTTGAGGCTGCTTCTAGGACTCTGATGAATGAAAGATACTAATGTTGGGGGGTACAGTTGTTTCTTACACTCAAAACAAGAGGAAAACGAGTACCTACCTTTTCTATTAGAAAGTCAGATCAAGAAGATGTGACTGCTGCGACTGCTTCTCATCACCCCAGAAGATGGAGAATGGAATGTTGTGCAGGAACACCTCCAGTGTCCTCCATCTTGTTATTTGTTTGTTAAGACACAGATTGTTGGACCCACCCAGCAATTGCTGGACAATTTCTGATTTAGTAGGTTGGGAGTGGGGTCAAGAATTTGTACTTCTAAGATGTTCCCAGGTGATGGTTTGTAGATGGTCCAAGGGCCACACTTGGATAACCTCTAGCCTAGAGATAAGGGAAGGGGACCTCCCCTCAAATTTACCTTCCAAATATCCTATTGAGTGTAATAAGTAGAAATTGACTTGCAACCACAACCATGGTTGTGAGGCAGCATAATAAATGTAGTTTTTAACTTTCCAACCTCTCCAATTAGAAGAAGATTTTAATGGATGGGGGAGGCGAATTCAGATATTTAATACTCAGAACTACTACGTAAACCATCCACGCATTATTATGAGTCAATTTTCTGATATTCAGAATGGGTTAACAGTCACCACAATCAAAATCTATTACACAAATTGAAATTATTGTAAAACTACTGAAGTCATCGTTGTGAACATGAGCTATCGCTATTTTCTATGTGTGCTCATGTGAAAATTAAGTTTACAATGAAGTTGTTCATGTCCTGGAGTCCAAAAACATTCCAATATACACATATATTTTATATGTGGAAAGTTTTCCTGGCACCCAGAGGAAAATTTTTATATCACTCTATGTTAAACTAAGTTGCCATTTTCTCAGGGTGAAAAAGAAAAATGACTTTATTATTTGTGAATTCTCATTTCAGATAAGATTTTGACACACAAGTGTTTCTGTCAGTTTCTTTTTTCCCATGCCTTTCCTCTTTAGCAGAGCAGCTCCAGTGCCCATGGATATAACCTTCTTATACTCATTCCACATTTTAAACAGAAAAGTGGAGGAGGGGAAATTTGTATGCAGTGTTCATTTGAAGAAAGTGCAGATGAATTTTATGCTGTTTGCCAAGTTAGTCTTCATTTGATTAAATAACATGTTTGCATTTAAGAGAAGAAGCTGGAGGTCTAAGGAGGAGGACAGCCCACCAGTCGATGATGAGCAGGCACATCTGCTGCACCGAGCATCCCATGGGTGGTGGTGAGTTGTGTGATGATTACTTCACAGGTGCAACAACCTCATTATTCAGGTACGTCAGGAAGTGCTAAGACAATTCCCAGCAGAGCTAAAAGTGGAACTCAAGCAATAGTAACTCAGCTGGGTACATCAAATTACATGAGGTGTTTCTGTGCCTGAGGCTGACCAGTATCTGAAGGCTGTATACTATATACTACTTTTCCTCCTCATAAAAAAAAAAAAAAAATCTTTGCTTTTTATTTTTTTGATAGGCAAAGCTGAAAGAGTGTCTCACTTAGGAATATTTGACTTCTATTTAATTAAGCAGATATGCATCCACAGCCTAAAAATTCAACGAACTAATCCATAATTCAATCTTGATTTCTGCATTTGTATCTCTAGCACCACTAGGCAATAATCAATATTTTTAAATGGTCACATAAATTAGAGCACCAATACGAGCCTTTCTGGAAAAAAAAAAAATCCCATGGCTATCTTCTAAATAGTGATTGCTAAAATCACTCTCTGCAAAAATGGCTTGTAGTAGCCTTGCCTTTGCTGCAAGAAATTTCCCAAGCAGATCTGCTAAGTCATTGCAGGATTTCTTATATCAGTTTCAATAACAAACATTTTATTTAATACTAATACAAAATTTAGCAATGAGTCAAAAGTTGTGACAAAATAAAGAGAAGAAAGGGAAATGAACAGGGAATTATTTTGAAATGTGATAAAAATGTAGGTAAATTAAAAAGATTTGTGAGGGCAGAGGTGTCTCTTTCAGAATAATACAGGTCAGAGTTCTCTTTCTGCTGAACTTTACAGCATCAGTTCACGCCTGATTCATTTGGAAATCAATCATTAGAGCACTACTAAACTATTCATTGCCAGTGCTACTGATTTGGCACTTAGTATGTACTGTCTAGTGTAGTTACTTGCATATAGTCTGCAAATTTGCTAAATAGTAACATGTATTTTTTAATTCATAAAAAGTAAAAATAAAACAAGTTATTCTATGTAGCTTTACAATGATTCCGTTACTGTACTACAATTCACAGAAGTGTTTTATGTTTGAATAAGATTAATTTTTACCCTGAAAAATTATCAAAGGCTCGGATGGGTGGCATAGAATACAAGGAATGAGAGAGCAAGATAGACAGAAACAGAAAATGAAAACATAGGCTAATAACAGCAGAAACATCTTCCTGCAGCCTTGATTAACACAGCAAATGAGACATAGCAGGGTTTGCATACTTTCAGTTTTAATCTTTGTTTTTTAATTTACTTTCATGGAGGTGCAGAAGAAAATGAGTTTTTGTGCTAATGGGCTAATGCTACGGTTTCTTTTTAATGTCAAAGCTATATATTTTTTAAAGTCACAGAGTTTTATGTAAGCAGCAATATTGAGATAATATAGGTAGAAAAACATCATGGTCAATCAAAATTATGTTCATTTTAATTTTTAGTTACGGGGAGAACTATTTATTTTATTGACTTTTGGGTGTGGTTTTTGATCGCTCTTAGAAATAATGACTGGTGAGATGATAATAGCGCTACACTGTGAGAATCTAGAGCTAGGTCCCAAAAGGCAGGCACAGATTAAATTGAGTGGGAATTCAGGCAATTGTGTCTGATGGGTTAAGAAAGCCTTTTGAAGGTTGTAGCAAATCACTCAGTCATTCATTATTTCAACACATATTTACTGAATGTCTATTATGTGCTAAGTTTTTGTTCCTCTGTAGTTTATAGTCTAGGTAAGGCAGGAGAGGAGGAAAGACAAAGGGTCTTATAACCATGCAGGATAATAGGTGAACAAGTGTCTTAGTTCATTTTTGTGTTACTATAAAGGAATATCTGAGGCTGGGTAATTTATAAAGAAAAGATATTTATTTGGTTCACAGTTCTTCAGGCTGTACAAGAAGCACAGAACCAGCATCTGCTTCTGGTGAGGGTGTCAGGCTGCTTCCACTCATGGCAGACGGGGAAGGGGAGTAGGCAAGATCACTTGGCAAGAGAGAACGCAAAAGAGACGGGAAGGGGGAGGAGGTGCCAGGTTCTTTTTCTTTTTTCTTTTTTTCTTTTTTTGAGATGGAGTCTTGCTCTGTCACCCAGGCTGCAGTGCAGTGGCAGGATCTCAGCTCACTGCAAGCTCCGCCTCCCGGGTTCACGCCATTCTCCTGCCTCAGCCTCCCAAGTAGCTGGGATTACAGGCACCCACCACAACGCCCAGCTAATTTTTTGTATTTTTAGTAGAGACGGGGTTTCACCATGTTAGCCAGGATGGTCTCGATTTCCTGACCTTGTGATCCTCACACCTCGGTCTCCCAAAGTGCTGGGATTACAGGAGTGAACTGCCACGCCCAGTGGTTCCAGGTTCTTAATAACAACCAGCTTTCAAAGGAACTAAGAGTGAGAGCTCCCCTGGAATCCCCCACATGGCATTAATCTATTTATGAGGGACCTCCTCCATGACTCAAACACCTCCCATTAGACCCCACCCTCTAACACTGGGGATCAAATTTCAACATAAGGCTTGAGGAGCAAACATCCAAACTAAAGCAACAAGTTAATTTCAGAAGGTAATAATCCCTATTAGAAAACAAAACAAAACAAAACAAAAAAGGTGATATGATGTGTCTTGAAGGGTAGAAAAACTTAGACATTGACAGTTGAATAAAGCTAGGAATCAGGAAAATAGGTAACAGGACCAAAAGCAGAGATTCTAGAAATGGGGTATAGCATACAATGAGCAACGTTTCATGGGTGCTTGGCATGTGAGGGACAGTCAGAAATATGATTACAAATGCAGGCTTAGCATCAGGGATGAAGTGCCTTCAATGTCAAAGTGATGAGTTTAGATTTCATTCAGTAGGAGTTTAGAGAAAATGGTTGACCAAAGAGCTGTGCTTCAAAACAATTAATCTGGAAGCCAGCTGAGGAAGAATTGAGTGGGAAGATACTGAGAGGTGACAGCGTGCTGGCAACCCTCGCTCACTCTCAGTGCCTCCTCGGCCTCAGCGCCCACTCTGGCCATGCTTGAGGAGCCCTTCAGCCTGCTGCTGCACTGTGGGAGCCCCTCTCTGGGCTGGCCAAGGCCAGAGCCAGCTCCCTCTGCTTGTGGGGAGGCACGGAAGGAGAGGCGCAGGCAGGAACCGAGGCTGCACGTGGCGCATGTGGGCCAGCACGAGTTCCGGGTGGACGCGGGCTCAGGGGCCCCACGCTCGGAGTGGCCGGCCGGTGCCACCAGCCCGGTCAGTGATGGGCTTAGCACCCAGGCCAGCAGCTGCAGAGGGTGCACCAGGTCCCCCAGCACTGCCAGCCAGCCTGCACCATGCTTGAATTCTCGCCGGGCCTCAGCTGCCTCCCCGCAGGGCAGGGCTTGGGACCTGAAGCCTGCCATGCCCAAGCCTTCCCCCTGCCACCCCGTGGGCTCCCACGCAGCCTGAGCCTCCCCGACAGGCGCAGCCTCCTGCTCTGTGGCTCCCGGTCCCATCGACCGCCCAAGGGCCGAGGAGTGTGTGTGCACGGTGCGGGACTGGCGGGCAGTTCTGCCCAATGTCCCCAGCACAGGATCCACTAGGCGAAGCCAGCTTGGCTCCTGAATTGGGTGGGGACTTGGAGAACTTTTATGTCTAGCTAGAGGATTTTGAATGCACCAATCAACACTCTGTGTCTAGCTGAAGGTTTGTAAACGCACCAATCAGCACCCTGTGTCTAGCTCAAGGTTTGTAAATGCATCAATCAGTGCTCTGTGTCTAGCTAATCTAGTGGGGACTTGGAGAACTTTTGTGTCTACCTAAAGGATTGTAAATGTACCAATCAGCACTCTGTGTCTAGCTCAAGGTTTGTAAACGTACCAATCAGCACCCTGTAAAAACAGACCAATCAGCTCTCTGTAAAATGGACCAATCAGCTCTCTGTAAAATGGGCCAATCAGCTCTCTGTAAAATGGACCAATCAGCAGGATGTGGGTGGGGTCGGATAAGGGAATAAAAGCAGGCTGCCCGAGCCAGGAGCAGCAACTGGGGTGGTGTCCCATTCCAAGCTGTGGAAGCTGTGTTCTTTCACTCTTCACAATAAATCTAGGGGCTGGTAACCCTTTGGGTCTGTGCTGCCTTTTTGAGCTGTAACACTCACCGCAAAGGGAATGAAGCCAGTGAGACCACGAACCCACCAGAAGGCAGAAACTCTGAACATGTCTGAAGATTTGAAGGAACAAACGCAGGACACACCGTCCTTAAGAACTGTAATACTCACGGCGAGGGTCCGCGGCTTCATTCTTGAAGTCAGCGAGACCAAGAACCCACCAATTCTGTATACAATATTATAGGGAGAGCTAGTAGGCCTTTACTGGAGAAAGCCAGGGAGAAGACAAAATGGTTTAAATCACTGTAGGCCCTAGAAAGGAATGGGAATAAAGGAATTGGCTAAGAATTAGATATGGGATCTGAGAGGAAAGATGTAAGGGTGATCTCACCATTTTAGTATTGGGCAACAGAGAGATGTTCACAGTGTCATTCTGAAAAGCAAAGCAAGAGGAACTGATTTCTCAGAGAAAGTGGTAAATTTAGTTTTTTTTTAGGTACCTGCAGCTAGCCAGATATTCAGCTGGTGCTCAAAACGCAGGACTATATCTTCAAAATTGTCCCCAGTGTACAGTATGGCATCAAGAGCCTAACATAACACAGGTGAATAAATGAACAAATAAAAGTACCTAATTATTTTTAGAATTCTGTGAGCAAGGCAGGGCTGATAATTGGTGGCTGGTCTGGTTGTGTTGTTTTCAGCTGTGTCCATTCTGTTTGGTTAGAACCCATACTATATTGGTTATGAAATATTTTTAACACTATATAGTGTTATAAATCCCAGTTTGGCAAATAAGAAAGTGATCTTTGAAAAGTTTGGGATTTTTTTGCAATGCGTAAGCCAGTAAAGCCAGGGGTAGGCTTTGTCTTTTCACATTGCTATAAAGGAATACCTGAGGCTGGGTGATTTATAAAAGAAATATTTATTTGGCTCACAGTTCTGCAGGTTGTACAACAAGCAGGTAACTGACACCTGCTTCTGGTGAGGGCTACAAGCTGCTTCCACTCCCGGCAGAAGGGGAAGGGGAACAGGCAAGATCATGTGGTGAGAAAGAAGGAAAAGAGAGAGAAGAGAGTGCCAGACTCTCTCTAATAGCCATATTCCCTGGGAACTAAGAGCAGGAATTCACACAATCCCAGAAGAATGGCACTAAGTTATTCTTGAGGGATCCACACCCGTGACCCAAACACCCGCTGCTAGGCGTCACTTCCAACACTGGGGATCAAATTTCAACACGAGCTTTGAAGAGGTAAAATATCCTAACTATATCACACTTCATATTCTATTCTCTTCTCAGGTTTTCTTTTCTTTTCTTTACTTTTCTTTTATGAGATGGAGTCTCACTCTGTTACCCAGGCTGGAGTGCAATGGCACGATATCACCTCACTGCAACCTCTGCCTCTGGGTTCAAGAGATTCTCCTGCCTCAGCCTCCCAAGTAGCTGGGACTATAGGCACCTGCCACCACGTCAGGCTAATTTTTGTATTTTTAGTAGACACAGTTTCACCATGTTGGCCAGGCTGGTCTCGAACTCCTGACCTTGACTGATCTGCCCACCTCGGCCTCCCAGAGTGCTGGGATTACAGGTGCTCAGCCTCTTCTCAGGTTTTCTGACTCCTCCGCTTCTGGTCTTTCATTAGCCATTCCTCACATTTTCTCATGGTATTCAACAAGATGGCTAGGAAGCAATGAAAGTATAGCTGAGGCTGCCATTTGTTGAGAATGCTTTTCTTAACAACAAAACTAGGTCTGTCCTGCTTAACATACACACACCTTAGTTGTATTAAGCTCTGTTCACTTTAATTTCCTAGTAAGATTGGAAATCACGGGACTGCTTTGAGTTTCTCAAAACAGCAGAATATTCTGCAGCTCTTTGTTTTATTAAAATGACTGACCAGGGTAAACTATACTCCTCTAGCTAAACTGACTACAATATATAGTGTATAAATACTTCAGATTGAGGAAGATCAACTCCCACCGCAAGAACTCTCTGTGCTGAGTTTAAACTCCTATTTTAGCTAACTTTCCACTTTTCCCTTTCTTAGTAAGCCAGTTAGTTCCTCTTTTTTTCTCTCTCTATTTCTCAAGCTTTGGTCACCTGTAACGCTGACACTGTATCTTGCATTAAAGAGCATTTACTAGAGTTTCTTTCCTATCCTTCTATTCATTTCTCAAATGAATTCACCTAATAGTACTTCCAGTTACTGGACTACTCAGGAAATTCATCAGGTATCTCCATTCTTGTGGCTGTCAGTGATTCACATTATCTTTGGTCTTTATTTCGGAATGAATTTAAAAAATTTTTTTTCATACATTGTGTGTTCTAGGACTTTTCTTGATTCTTAAAACATTTACCTTTTTCACTTTTTTATTTTTATTTTTCTCTGCCAGAATTTATTTCCTCTTTAGGGCTGTTTTTGCATTTATTTTCTGGTTCTGTTTGATTGCCTTTGGTTTTCTCCCACTTTTTATTGCTTTGCAGAGCCATTGTCAACACTTTCCAATCGAAATAAAAATGCAGATGGCCATAAAGTATATTGTTTAGACTGTTGTTTCCACCTACTTTAAAAAAAAAATCCACGTTTATAGAGAGGAATTATTCAACAATGGCACTGTTGACACGTTGGACCAAATGATTCTTTGTTAGGGAGGGCTGTCCTGTGCACCAAAGGTTGTTTAGCAGCATCCTCGGTCTCTACCCTTTAGATACTAGTTGCACTCCTTCCCCCTACAAAACATACGCAAATTGTGGCAACTAAAAATATCTTCAGGCTTTGGAAAATGTTCCCTGGAGGGCAATATTGCCCCAGGCAAAAGCCATTGCTACAGGGGCTAGTAAGTCTAGCTTATTGGACCTGATTTGTTAGGGACTTAGGAGGGCCACAGAATTTTGGTTTAAAACATGTAGTTTCATTTCCCTGCGTTTTCAGTTTCTTAATCTGCAAAATGGGGCATTAAAAATTATCCTACCTTGCTCAAAGAATTATCCTGAGGATCCTACAAAATAATCAGGGTAAAATCTCACTGTAAACTGTGCAGCCTCAAAAGATCAGTTCTTCCTCTACCTTTCTTTTTCCTTTTGTATTATGAGAGAGAATATGAAAGAAAAGTCGTTAAAATTAACTTGGATCAGACATTGAAGTCTTCTATTTAGGGGGGGAAACTGCCCCAGTTGGCAGGTTAAGTAGACTGCCCACCCATTCCTTCCTTTTCTAATTTCTCAGACCGTGAAAAAAAAAAAAAAAAAAAAAAACACTAAAAGAGCTTTATTTCCATTGGAAAATGTCGAACTCCCAGTGTTCCCTTGGGCTTTCTAATCCCTCTTGTCCAACACAATTAGTATGGCAAGAACCAGAAAGAGTTATGTTTATGATGGCTCGAAGTTGAAATGTCATCTTTTAAGCACTGATATTATTTTTATATGGAGCAAATAGGTTGACAGTAATTATTATGTACTACCCACAGCACCTTAGGTCTAAAACATTTTGTGTATAAATATTTTAATGCCTGAGTTTTATCACATTCCCATAAGATGCAAAGAAAAGAAAAAACATGCACAGCATAAAGAAGATATGCTTAACTTCTCTCAGGATAATGAGGTCCAAAAGCAACATCCCCTGGAAATTTGGTTCTCTCATGGGGTACTCTTGATTACAAAGAGAAAGGCAGGTGCCACTTAGCAAGAAAAGAAATCCAATTCCCTGCCTCTCATTTATGCCCTTACTCACGTTATATTGCAATTCAGTTGCCACTTTAGCTAAGTGACCCCCTTAAATAATCTCATTTACACCTACACACATTTTTTTAACTTGGTCTGGTCTACTTATACCAACATGTGTTGTTTATATATATAAGTTGCTGAGCTTTTCATACAATAGGGATAATTTCAAGACCATAATGATACCCCCTGAAATAAATTATTTAATATATTTTTTGAAAAAAGAAGTAAAGAAACTCTTCTGGGTAATTGATGTGAGGTAAGCTACAGCATCGGTTGTATATTCATTTTTCTCCAATGTATGCAATTATCCACTCAGCCCGTACCCATTAATATTATTTTTCTTCCTAAGCTAGAAGTATTTAAAGCCATTAGAAAATAATCCAAAGAATTCTATTTGCTGAATAAATTTTAATTTGCATGGCACCAGGAATTTTTTTATTAATGGGAAATAAATTATTGCAATCTTTGGGAAGGAGACAAGTTAATAGCTTTGTGAAAAGGAATAGAGAGAAAATGATCTTGAAAAGGTCAGGTCTCCTGTCACAGTGTCTTTATGCACAATTAAAACAAGTCAAGAAAGTGGCTATATAATCAGGACCATGAATATGCATTATATCCTAATGAGAGTGTGAAGATGTAGCAGGCTTAGTGCTAAAGTCATGGTGGGGTGGTGACATAAAAATGGTAATTTGTGATGTAGTATTTAACTGTGTTTCTCTTTCTTATGGAAAACTTAACTCTTTAGTAGCTAGCTAGTCCATTCTCTCTTGGTATATTTAGTCTCTTTCCACTTTTCACAGAACAACAACAATGAATTTAAAGGATAATTCTGTCAATTCTGTGAGAGAGAGAGAGTGGGAGAGAGAAATAGCCAAATAGTACATACTGTTATGCATGAACTAATTGATGCACAATTTATTTTGCCACCAATTGCTTTGATCTTTGAGACAGTTGGGTTTGTGTGTATCTGAGCATGTGCATAAATACGTTGTAATTTAAAAGAAAATCCTTTACCAATCATATTCTGAGCTATCCATGTTGGCTTTATTTTGCTGTCCCCTTCATTATCCTATTCCTCTAGGATATTGTATGAATTCCTGACAAATGATAGGGGGAAAAAATAGCATCATGCTTTGATGGAATTTTAAAAATCATGAGCAGTTTTTATCTTGAACGCCCTATTGCAGGGTATATTGTTTATGAGTGCTCTTTCTGTAGGAAAAGCCTCTCCTGATGTAGAAATGACATTAGGGGAAATAACTGGCTGCATCAAGAAGTTAACTTAAGTTCTTAAGTGGTCAATTACCTCTGGGTAATGGCTGCTTCACTGGGTCATATTGCTGCTGCACTGTACGCTATTGAGTCATTTCTGGCTATTCTACATTTTAATTGAAAAGCAGTATGAACATTCTGATTCAGTGGTCATTTAATAAAAGATAATAATCACTGAACAATGATTCTGATTAGCTAATGGCAATTTAAAGGTTTATAGAACCTTTCACAATTCTGCCTGCTTATTCCAGAATATTAATAGAAGACCTTGAACTAATAGAATTTCTGTTCTTATCTTGGTAAGAAGAGGAAAATTTTGAAAAAAATGTAGGAGTTTCTCCTCCTGCATCTTTGATAGCATGGCTAGCTTATACTATAAACTGATAACTCTGAGTGTCTCAACAATCAGAACCAACATGAGAGGAGCCTTTGTCTCTTTAGCTTTGCTGGATGTGAACACCAGTCATCCTATTAGCCTGGTTTCATGTTTCAAAGAATTGTTTCACTGTTTCTGCCTGGTATCTCAGCATATACTTTCTATTAAGTGTGAGATGATACCTCTAGGGCTGTGTGAGGCACATTCCAGGGGCCACTCTTTCTCATAAATAGTATAGAAACCTAGCAGCATGCTATGATTTTGGAACCTGCCCCCTAATGTGTCCTTCACCATTCTCTTATCGATGAACTTCAACCATTAGAGATTAATTCATTTGGCTGTTAACATGCATGGTCATTAAGAATAACAATGTGTGGTATAGAACGGTACAAAGAATTCAGAAAGTGGGAGCTTAGGGTACTGAAAGGCAAGTTTCATCCTCTTGTTATTTTTCCAAGGGCCAGCCTTAAACACAGTCTAAATGATATAACACTATGTACTGCATTGCTTTCTGTAGGACTTAAACATGCATAGGAAAAAATATTCCCTTCCATGTCATCAGTCCTATTCTTGTTTTCCATTAGTCATTAAGTATATATTGCTAACTCTAGGACCAACGAGCATGAGGATCAGGAGACTGGAAACAAAAGAAGTGTCTACACTGGCACAGGGTTTTAAAATTGAATTCACCCCTAGAAGTATAGTGAATTGAATATGATTTGGGGGCAGTGGTATTAGATAAACATACACTGCAGTATTCACTAGGCATAGTAACATACAGCTTAATAATATTTGAGTATTAAATATAATATAAAAACAGCATCAGGATGTAATATCATGACCTCCCCTAAAATGGAAAACATATTCAATAATCCAAAGACCACTGACATTGACAAGCTCTGTTGTACAGCACATGTGAGCTTTAAATGTAAGAGAGACCCCTAGACTCTTGGTCAGTGCCTATTAACAATTTATTCACTAAGTTGGCTTACTTGGGCCATTTTGGAAAGTTTATATACATTTATGAATTTTGAATCATTTAACACTGAGTTTAATTTCAGTTCTTAGATGTAGTTTAATTTCAATTGTGTTTCTTAGTAGCTGTGTAGCTTAGGCAAGTTGATTAAAGTTTGAGCTCAGGTTATCTCTTTAACCATGAAGAAGTAACAACAGCTCTTCACAGAGTGGCAACAATACGTAAACTCCTTAGCAGGGTATATATTGGATAACACCAAATATAAAACTTAACTTTTCTTCTTTCTCTCAGTGCAGTGCAGGTGACAAGTAAGATGCTTAGCTCCATTGCCAGTGACATTTCTTATTTATTAGGTTACCCACAGTGACCTGATTGAGGGTAGAGCTCAATGCACAAATTGCATCCCTTCCAATGCTGAGGTTCCCCAGGAAAAGGCAAGAATAGAAATTTTCTAACAACTTTCTCCCTTCCTCATTGTGAGAGATGAGGTCAGAAGGCAGGGGCCTTGAATGAACAAACGAACCTGACTAGGGGCTACATGAAAGCCATACTGTGCTTCCTCCTCCTTCTCATGAATCCCTTTCCTCCCTTCTCTTTTCCATCCCCCATAGATCAGAAATGTGAAGGCGGTTAGGAAATGTCCAGACTCCAAACAGAAAAAACTGTGATCCTCAGCAGACACAAGACATAATATTGGATTATCTGCAGCTTCATCCTGGGAAAAATATAGGAGACTGAAGGGAAACAGGAAAATAAGTAAACACCCATAGAAAAATAAAATGTAAGATAAAAACTGAAATGTAAGAACTATCACATGGTGAGTGTCTATATTCACTCATAATAGAGTAACTACAAAATCATAAGTTTGATATTTAATCCTAATGGGGGTGAATAATTTTTTTAAATGTTGCTACTGTCGTGATAAAACAAATTAGCTACATACTGACAAAGTAAAAGCGTGTTTTCTAAAATTGAAATAATTCTCAAAATAACAGTTTAGAAAGGCTGCACATTTTACAGGAAATGGGTTGAACATCACATGATTTACTCATTAAGGAGATAATTATTGAGCGCCTAAATGAGGAAAAAAGATTTATAGATTTTAAACAAGCATCCAATTAACTAAATATTACTGAGTAAAAGAAAAACAAGTTAATGATACTTTTGTACCAATTTTATTATAAAATGTATGTGAAGAAAGGCTATTTTGTCAAACTGTTTTTCCGTATCATGTCATATTTTATATTTACAGCAACATCCTGAAATAGGAATTTCTGAGGATATGCTTCCCATTTGAGAGATGAAAACCTCGAGGCACAGAAATACCATAAAATTGTCTAAATTACACATGCAAATTAATCTTGGGGCTAGAACTTGATGGAATATCTATGTTCTTAGACAATGCTAATTGATTATAGGAACTGCCTTTAGGACCAGAACAAGAATCTAATGTCTAAATGGTAAGAGCCTTGCCTGAATTTTCTGCTTTTCGCCATTACTGAATCAAAATATGATTTAATTCAATGTCTATTTTTGGAGGCACTATGATATTGAAGATATTTTTCTAGATGTTATTGAGTATAGATGATGTAAGGTTTTTTTTTTCCTTCAAGACATGTACAATCTAATGAAATTCACTAGCTTGCAGGTTTATAAGCATCTTCATGATGTTCATTGCTTAATTCTTCTTAGCCAAAAGTTATGTTAAAACTCTCAATATTATACTTTAAAAAGACATCATGATGCACATGTTCTCAAATTTCTGTCTGCTTAAGATTAGTTCAGTCATTGTGGAAAGCAATGTGGTGATTTCTTAAAGAGCTTAAAGCAGAATTACCATTGACACAGCACTCCTATTATTGAGTATATACCCAAAAGAATATAAATCATTCTACCATTAAAACAAATACATGCATATGTTCATCTTAGCACTAGTCACAATAGCAAAGACAAGGAATCAACATAAATGCCCATTAATGGTAGACTGGATAAAAAAAATGAGGCACATGGCCAGGCGTGTTGGCTTATGCCAGTAATCCCAGCACTTTGGGAGGCTGAGCGGGGTGGATCACAAGGTCAGGAGATCGAGACCATCCTGGCTAACATGGTGAAACTCCGTCTCTACTAAAAATACAAGAAAAAAAGAAATTAGCCGGGCGTGGTGGCAGGCACCTGTAGTCCCAGCTACTAGGGAGGCTGAGGCAGGAGAATGGCATGAACCTGGGAGGCGGAGCTTGCAGTGAGCCGAGAATGCACCACTGCACTCCAGCATGGGTGACAGAATGAGACTGTGCCTCAAAAAAAAAAAAAAAAAAGAAAGAAAGAAAGAAAATGAGGCACATGTACACCATGGAATACTACAAAGCCACAAAAAAGAAGGAGTTCATGTCCTTTGCAGCAACATAGATGGAGCTGGAGGCCATTGCCCTTAGCAAACTAATGCAGGAACAGAAAACCAAATACTGCAGGTTCTCACTTATAAGTGGGAGCTAAACATTGAGTACATGTGGACAGAAAGAAGAGAATAACAGACACTGGGACCTATTTCAGCATGGAGGGAGGGTGAGGATCAAAAAACTACCTATTGGATACTGCAGTTATCACCTGGGTGATGAAATAATCTGTACACAAGACTGCTGTGACACACAATTTAACTAAATAACAAACCACATATACCCCTGAACCTAAAAGTTTAAAAAAAAATAAAACTTTTTTAAAAAATAAAATGTTTTAGAAAAGAATCTTTTGGATTGGTGGGTAAATTAAGATTGTGATTTAGTTGTGTCCAAGAATTTGAATGTTCCATGAACATCCCAAGAGGTTCCAATGTCTGAGATGAGGATCCCACTTTGAGAAGCACGACCTTTATCTCCCCTCCTTCTTATGAGCTCGCCATGCCACTGCATTGTTTCTGATGAAATGCAGGTAACCAGAATGTCAGCTGCTTATTCCAGCAGTCACACAAAATGCCAAGGATGCACCAATTATAGTGTAAAGTGAGGGAAGATTTTTATTTTAAGAAGAAAGGCTATAGTAAAAAGATGAAGACAATAATAGAATGTAGAAACACATCTAAATTGGAAGAAGCAAATCTTCATAAGTCAATGAGACAGGACTGGTGAGGGTCAATGGCTACTCCAGTAATAAGACAGACCAAATATACCTTAACATTTGAAACTAAGATCAACAAGGAAGTCTGCCCAAGTCCTGACTAATCAAGCCAGTTGTATTTGGATCCTTCCCTTTCTTTCTTCTCCATTCTTAGAATAAAAAGAAAATAAATTGCATGTCAGTGGATGGTGAAATGTTTTCCAGTTACACTGATTTCAGACTGTTAACTGTTGAACTAATACTAACATAATGAAGGAACGTCCTTGATGAAGGCTTCAGCATTCAAGTGACACTGGCTTCTTCTGGAACAAATTATGGAAGATTGCAAATGACTTAGAAGGACTGTATATATGCCAAATCTCACACTGAAATGACAAGGAGCTCTCCTCACCGCACACCCAGGTTTATCAAGGTATAATTGAAAAATAAAAATTGTATATATTTAAGCCATATACTATTTTAATATACCTATACATAGTGAAATTGATTACCATGATCAAGCTAATTAACATATCTATCACCTCACCTAATAACCTTTTCTTTTATGGGGAGAACATGTAAGATCTTCTCTTTTAGCAAATTTCAGGTGTACAGTATAGTAATATTAACTATAGCCACCATGATGTTCATTAGAGCTCCAGAATTTAATTCATTCTGTGTAAGTGAAACTTTGTATACTTTGACCATCTTCCAGTTTCCCCAGCCCCCAGATCCCTGGCAACCACAAGTCTACTCTCTGCTTCTATGATTCAACTCGTAGATTTCACATAATTGAGATCACACATTATTTGTCTTTCTGTACCTGGCTTATTTCATCTAGTATAATGCCCTTCAGTTTTATCCAGGCTATCACAAATAGGATTTCCTTCTTTTTTAAGGCAGAATAATATTCCAGTGTGTGTGTGTGTGTGTGTGTGTGTGTGTGTGTGTATGTGGTATATATATACATATATTATTTATTTATTTATCCATCAATGCACACTTATGCTATTCCATATCTTGGCTCTTGTGAATTACAATAGGCATGGAAATAGAATTTTTAAAAATTATTTTAACGTACAGAAACCAGGATTTTTTTTGTTGCATAGAAATTTGTACTGTTATGAGTGGTTGATATGTGTATGCTTTTTTTGGTATTCAAATCTATGCATTCATTCGTTCATTTAAGGAATGTGTCTTGTTTGCTACTCTGGGTGAAATGTTGTTCAGGGAAAGGGGGAATTTAAAAATTAAAAGTTATGATTTCTCCTAAAGGAGTTTATATCTAGATTAAACAAAAGAGAGAGATTTTAAAGTAAGTAAGTATTATGAAATAACAGTTTTACTGGAGACCTAGACAGAATGTAGAAGAGAATCACACCTTACTTTGCCTCAAAGAACTCAGGGGATGTGGAGTAATAATGAGATAAGACCTGAAGAATGTAATCATGAACCAGGTGGACAAGTGGAAGAAGGTGTGTCAGGAAGCATAAATAGTATGTGTGGGTCATGGAAGCCTGAGAGAAATGATATGTTTGGAGGCTTGGAGAGAGATGAGGGTGAACAAATCAGGGGAGGCCAGCTCATGGAAGTTCTTGAACACTATGCAAAGAAATTTTTGTGGGTTTTTTTCTTCCTAAGGGAATGAAGAGATTCTGAACAAATTTTAAGCCCAGAATGACATTGTATTTTGAGGCTAGAAAAAATACTTCTTTTGAGTCCTTGAAGAAAGATAGAATTAGGATGCACAGAAAAGATGGATCATGGAAGAATTAGTACATCCTTAATTATTTTTCACGAGACCACAGAGAGCTACTGAAATGTTTGAGGGAGAGGAGTAATCTAATTAGATTTGCATTTTAAAAAGATTATTCTGGCGATGATCAGAAGGATGTGCTGAAAGTGGCAAAACCGGAGCAGGGAATGAATAAAGAGACTTGAAGTGGCAGTGGTGAAGATGCTGGGGACAGATACCTGAACTATTTGGGAGATAAAATCTATAGGACTTGGTGTTAGTGGTATGTCAGTGTAAGTGAAAGATCGATGTGTTGGATGACTCTTAGCATCCCCTAGATTTTTCAAATGCTATATAGAAAACATAGGCTCCAATTTTGAGGTGAAAGAGTATGGGTTTCTTTTTAGATATGTGTGGTTCAATCCAACTTGGAAAATTAGATTGCTATCTGATTAGTCAGGGTTCTCTAGAGGGACAAGACTAACAGGATAGATGTATGTATGAAAGGGAGTTTATTAAGGAGTATTGACTCACACGATCACAAGGTGAAGTCCCACAATAGGCCGTCTTCAAGCTGAAGAGCAGGGAAGTCAGTCCTAGTTCCAAACCTCAGAAGTAGGGAAGCCAACAGTGCAGCCTTCAGACTGTGGCCAAAGGCCCGAGAGCTGCTGGCAAACCACTGGTGTAGGTCCAATAGTCCAATAGCTGAAGAACTTGGAGTATGATGTCCGATGGCAGGAAGCATCCAGCATGGAGAAAGATGGAGATCAGAGGACTTAGCCAGTCTAGTCCTTCCATGTTCCTCTGCCTGCTTTTATTCTGGCTGTGCTGGCAGCTGACTAGATGGTGCCTAACCAGATGTAGGGTGGGTCTGCCTCTCCCAGTCCACTGACTAAAATGTTAATCTTCTTCGGCAACACCTTCACAGACACACCAAGAAACAATACTTTGCATCCTTCAATCCAATCAAATTGACACTTAATATTAACCGTCACACTATCTGTTAGGCAGATGCAAATTTGCCACAAAGCTGATAAGCTTTAAGCTTCTGGGTTCCTCACTGTACAGGTTCCTTCCAAGGTCTCCAAAGCTAAGCTAACAAATTTGTACTCATACTTTTACTTTTTTAAAGAAATCCCCATAGGTATAAGCCTTAGGCTCCACAAACCTGAATTTTCACCTCCTATGAAGTGAGTGACCATGTAAGTCTAAGCCTATGAAGAGAGATCGGGGTATACAACAGCATGTAGAGAGTGAAAAGAAAGATTGGTGGGAATGTTATTTTCACGCTCGTCCGTTTGAAGAGACCACCAAACAGGCTTTGTGTGAGCAATAAAGCTTTTTAATCACCTGGGTGCCGGTGGGCTGAGTCTGAAAAGAGAGTCAGTGAAGGGAGATAGGGGTGGGGCTGTTTCATAGGATTTGGGTGGGTAGTGGAAAATTATAGTCAAACGGGGTTGTTCTCATTCGGGCAGGGGCGGGGGTCACAAGGTGCTCAGTGGGGGAGCTTCTGAGCAAGGAGAAGGAATTTCACAAGGTTAATCGCTCAGTTAAGGTGGGGCAGAAACAAATCACAATGGTGGAATGTCATCAGTTAAGGCAGGAACCGGCCTTTTTCACTTCTTTCGTGATTCTTCACTTGCTTCAAGCCATCTGGAGGTATACGTGCAGGTCACAGGGGACATGATGGCTTAGCTTGGGCTCAGAGGCCTGACAGTTATGGTGCTGGTGGTTGCTTGACATAAATGAGCTAACATAGGCAATTTAACTATTTGCTATAAAAGCTTTTGTTCTAATGAATACTTGATATACACAAAGTCAAAGCACGCAGTGCTACTGATCTTTACCTTATTTTCACAAATTCTTTCCGGAATGTTATAAAAGGATCACTGAATTTATGAGTAATTAGGTTAGAAGAACTTTAGGGTTCCTTGGAGCTTAAAAATTCCATGATTGGCATAGTAACACTGTGGTTACATCCTGTGGCCCAGTCATCCCAAACGGAAACATTAGGCTGTCTGGTCTTTTCCCAGTATACTTCACAGAAACCTACTCATCTTTCTTACCAAGTTTTTCTAGATCACATTTTACCCTGAGAACTGGCAGTTTCTCCTTCATGCCTCTATACTTATTACTAGCATATTAATTATAACACTTTACTACTCTTAAATTATATGTCCCTCCGTTATATAAAACAGGGGTCAGCAAACTACAGCCCAGGGGCAAAACGCAGTCCACCACCTGTTTCTGTAAATACAATTTTGTGGGAAGACAGTCGCATCAGTTCATTTATGTATTTTCTAAGGCTGCTTTTTGTGCTAAACAGATGAAGTTGAGTGCTTGTAACAGAGAATATTGTAAATATTGTAAAATATTTACAATCCAGTCCTTTACAGAAAATGCTTGCTGACTCCTGATATAGAGGGTTCTTTAGAAGAAATAAACAGGACATATTCTTTTTCTGTATCCTCAATACTTAGCAAAGCACCTGGAATAAGGGATATACTCAATAAATATTTGTTGTATGGATGAGTGAGACATACAATTACACTACTATCATTAGCCTTCTCATCACATTGTACATGCAGTTATAGATTGCTGTAATTTTTTTTAATGTTTTAAGATAATCAAAGATGTTTCCAGGAAGGGAAGTCTAACTCACTGAATTAGTTTTGTTGGAAACTTTGAAGACTGAATATTAAGTAACGGAGTTAGGCCTGATGGTCTCCAGAAAGCAAGAAGAATGTAAACAACATAAGAGATGGGGTCAGTACATGCAGAATGAATAGGGCATTTTCATTCTTTCTCAGGCCCCCATCTTTTTTTCACTCAGGAATTAATAATTATACACACTACAACTTGATTTCTACCTGTTTATCCTCAAGAGAATAAAAGAGGAGAGGGAGAATTTTAAGAGAGGATCATGTGATACCACCATTAGCAAAACACTTTCTAAATGATAGACTACTGTAGTAGATTTCATGATCAGATTTATGGGTTTGTTTTTTTTTCCTACAGAAATCCAGAAGTGTCATCTAAACTAATAAAGCCTTCTATTTATCAACACATTTTTCTATTTAGTGTCCTGACTTCTGAAGAAATGCAGACACAGGCATAGGAACTTGTCAGTATTTTACTGCTTGTTTGTCCGTTTGGAACACAAACAATAAAAGGAATTAAAAAATAAACATCAACTGTATTTTGCTCTATGGAACTAAAATCTCCAAGCTCACAATGCCAATAATGTTGACATAATTAGATAATAATTAAAACAATTTTAGAATTAAAATATGCTGGCTTCTTTGTTGATTGCAAAGATTATATTTTGCACAAACAAGATAGATGGAAACTATTCCTTTTAAGTTCATAAATCACAAAATTGAAAGTCAATTTATTAATAAAAACCCAGCTCAATCTCTGCAGAAAATCACCTACCTCCTAGATACAGATGTATAATACTGTTCTACCACTTATACATCAAGATAGAGATTATAAAGATTATAGTCAACATTGTCAAGTAAATGGATCCATGGAGGTCCCAATGTTTAAAGCTCCAAGTTTTGAGGATAAACAGAGGCAAAATTATTCCTCAGAAAAAAAAGGCTCATGACTACACTGAGTCCTCTTCTGACTCCTTAGTAATGACTTAGGGACTGTGGTAGATTATTTGCAAAGATGACCACAAAGTCCCTTTCTTATTAAACATGTGACTCTAGCTTTGCCACCTCTCTCTCATTGAGTAGAGTCTATTTCCCCCGTCTTGAATCTGGGCTGGGTTTGTGACCTCTCTGATTAATGGAATGTGGTGGAAGTGATGCTGTATGACTTCCAAACCTTTACCTGAAAAGATCTTCTACCTTCTACCCTTGCTGCCTTGGAACCTGGGACCACCATGCTGTGAAGACTCCAGGGACATGAGGCCATGTGGAGAGAGTCCCAACCATTACAACCATCCCAGCCATTTAGCCTGATCCCCCACACTGAGTCTGTTATTGGTGTTCTTGTAATCTCCCAGGATAGAAATCAAGAGAGATCACCAGCCACAGCAGCAAAGAAAAAGAGAAAGCTTCATTTAGCTGGTGCACAGGGAAAGGCAGCACCATGGAAGGTAAACAGAGGGCTGTGTCCTGAGCGTAGACTATGTGTTAGTTTTATAGGTCCTATTCTACAGAAAACGATTTCACTGGGGCATGGATAGGAGGGATTTCTCTAGCACTTGCACAGTGGCTTTACATGCTTCTTCATACAATTCATGTAACATTAACATTTTAAACCTCCACCTCTGAGTATGATTTTTAGCATTAAAATGAGAAAAAAGATCACTGTGAGTTGAAGCTTAAGCCTAGCTGTGCATTCAGGTCCTCGGTGAAGTCCCTAGCCCCAAAACCAGGAACTTGTGGTTAATAGTTTCTTGGGCCTTTGATGCTGATTGGCTGTAGATGAAGTAAGATACAGGTTGAGTTAAGGGGTCTTTGTTCTTTTTCTCCAGACAATATCAAAACAGAAAACCAGCCAGCTCGTCTGTCTCAACTGTAGCTCATGTATGAACTAGGCAATTACAGCAAAAGAACTACCCAATCAATATAAGCAATAATTTGTTGACATTTTCAGATACCATGGCTTGGGTTGGTTTGTTATGCAGCAAGAGATAACTGTTACAAAGCACAAGAATATTACAGAAAATACAGAGAAGGACTTTACCATTTACTCAATGATTATCCAGTGACAGTTGTGGAAGCAACTGCAACACTCATTTTTACTGTTCTATATTCACGTTATTTTTAAGTCCCAAAATATCATTATTCTTATTGGTACCATGTTATATTTTCTGTATATTGAGAAATCTAAAACCCAAATTATGTATGCCATGAGCCTTACCTACAGAATCATTACCTACAGTAATGTTTTGATTCCAAGAAATTTGCCCTCATTTTGAAAGTATTCTGAACATATCAAATAAATAGATCCATGGATCCTTCATGTGTTTAAAGTCTTTTTGGGTTAGCTTACTATTTTAATTTCCATTTCTTAGGTTAATTGGGAATCTTTCATGTTTATAATTCATTTTTATTTCCCCAGAGTTAATTTGGGCCACAATCAATTCCAAGGTCTCTGATGGAGTGGTTTTAGCATGGAGGTGGGAGAGAATACTGAAAGCAGGAGGGAAAATATGTTTGAGGTGTTAGGAGAGGAGGAACATGGAGATGAAGTTTCTTGGGCCCAATTCTCAACCTTCTCATGAGGCCCAAAATCTTCCTTTATTCCAGAGCTGAATTCCCTCAGGGCCCTTCTGCTTCACTTGCTTTTTTTTCTTTGTATAACTTCAACTTCTATTTTAGATTCAGAAGTTACATGTATAGGTTTGTTACATGGGTATGTTGTTTGGAATACCGATCCTGTTACCCAGGTGATAAGCATAGTACCCAATAGGTAGTTTTTCAACTCACACCCTCCTCCTTCCCTTCCTTCTCTAGTAGTCCCCATGTCTATTGTTCCCATCTTTATGTCCATGTGTACCCAATGTCTAGCCCTCAGATGTAAGTGAGAACATGCGGTATTTGATTTTCTGTTCCTCTGTTAATTTGCTTAGGATTACCCAAAGGAAAACTAATTGTTCTACCAAAAAGACACATGTACTTGTATGTTCATCACAGCACTATTCACAAACCAAAGATGGAATCAAACTACATGCCCATCAACAGTGAATGGTTAAAGAAAGTGTGGTAAAAATTAGCCGGGCGTGGTGGTGGGCACCTGTAGTCCCAGCTACTCAGGAGGCTGAGGCAGGAGAATGGTGTGAACCTGGGAGGCGGAGCTTGCAGTGAGCGGAGATAGTGCCACTGCACTCCAGTCTGGGCAACAGAGCAAAAGAAAAAGAAAAAAGAAAGTGTGGTACATATACGCCATAGAATACTACACAGCCATTAAAAAGAGCAAAATCATGTCCTTTCACTTGGTTTTTCCTGTTAGAGACTGGTTCTGGTTTTTAGGGCCTCGCTCATTCCTCCTTTAATAATATTTATCTTAACCAAAACAAGCTTCCTTGGTCATCCTCCCCGACGAAGCTCTGCTCACTCAGGGGACTCAGGCCTCAAAGACTGTGCCCTGGACAGACTCCTTATCAAGTGCAATAGTAAATGAGAAATCGCAGTTGAAAATGATGGCGATTCTATTTGATTTTTTTCTTGTGCTATTTTAGTATTGGATAAATAAATACGAAAATACTGAAGTACTTATTTTGCTCCAATATTGAAATCACAATGTGAGAGCTTGTTCACTACTGCCAAGAGCTGAGTTTAATTTTGATTTCAAGATTTAACACTTCCATAGTCCTCTAGCTCACCTCTTGATGCAGCCTCTGGCTTGTTTCCTCACCAGTCAGGTACACTACGACTGATCACCATTTCATAATTAATCCTTTGAGGGATCCATGGACTTCATTCAGCCTCACCTGTGGGAAGGGACATTCCCATTATTACTGGCTGAGGCATGAGCAAATCTTCCAGGCTCTGTGAGGCCCCTCTGTGACCTTTGACTTCATGTCATTTGGGTTTATGCAGCATTCTTACTTCTGCTTGGCCAAGAGTGTCTCAGTGTGTCTTTTATCCCTACAGCCCCATCAGACCCCAAAATAATAGTAGCAATTACTTTTTGAGCACTTACTACGCACAAGTTACTGTTATAAGAATTTTGTAAGCATTCATTAAATGGTCACATTATCATCATCATCATCTTGTTGTTACCCCTTAAGTCCTGTGGCGATATGTTTAGTCACTACTCTCGATAATATGAAACAACTTAACACCAATTTTTTCCTGCCTTGGGGCTTTATCCAAATTTCCAAATACTTATTACAGAAGCTTAAGAAATATTTTATCTCTTCCACAGCTTTGTAGAGAATTGCAACACACATTAGCATAGCAAATCTTGATAAGTTTATAATTATTTTTGAAACTTATTTAATCTTATTTAATCCAATATTTCCTAACATTATTAACTTTGGAAACTTTCTCCTGTAGTAGTTAACAGTTCTGCAGAACATTTTAGAAATGGTAACATAAGTATAAACAACAAAACAGTGAGATTCTGATACCAACTTCCAGTTCCTCCTCACCAAGACTTCGTGAAAACTCTTCAGCTCATCTGGCAAAACAAACAGGTTATGTTCTGGTTCCTTCTGGATGTTCTTTTTAATATCTCACACTTTTCCAGGCTTTTGCTGGTCTGTAATTGAAAGTCACGTTTTCCTATGGAGGCCCTTAATCTTATGTTTCTGTATAACTTATTAAAAGGTTATTTTAAGGGCATGAACGAGAGGCCTCTTAAAGTCTCACTCTTCTTACTGCCCAGAGGTAGCTGGGCTCTGTTTGTTGTATGCTGCCTCTTTTTTTCTAATTAGAGTGATCTGTTTGTTATCTACTGTCTGGGTCCTGGCTGATCTGTTTTCTCTCTTTGTGAAGCAGGGAGGGTGGAGTTTTTAAATATCCTTTTGGCAGGAAGCATAACTTTCTGATATGAATCTAAACTGGGAAATCAATCTCTCCTCAGGCAAAGACGCAGATACCAGGACACTTCCTTTTGAACACTTGGCTGCAGAAGCTAAGAGACATGGGGTAAGGAGATGAGAGATCTATTCCCAATACTCCTAATGATTTTCTTCTGCACTTAAGAACAGAATATCTGGGAAAACATGTTATATGTATGAAGTTCTTCATTGTCCAACAGCAAGCTCATAGATACAGGTCAAACCAATATCTAAAGACACTGGTGCTTGATAGAGACTGCCAGAACAAAAATCCAGGAGAACCATTACAAAGTCATTTAACAAAAATAGCTCCTGGCATTTTAATCTTACTCTGTGATTCTGGTGGTAGTCAATTTCACACTATTTTGATTTATTTAGCACTGAGAATGGTACTGCCTATATGTAGATCTGAGCTAGCTGACATTTCCTAAAGGAATACAAAATCGCAAAAGAAAAAATTTGTATTATTATTATTATTTGTATTAACCACTTGAGGTATTCTTCTAAAATAACATTCTAAGACAGCATTGCCCAAAAGAAGTTTCTGAAATGATGGAAATGTTCTGTAATCTGCACTGTCCAATATGGTAGCCAACAGCCACATGTAGCTATTAAGCATTTAAAATTTGGCTAGTGTGGTGAAAGAGCTGAATTTTAAATTTCATTTAATTTTCATTCAGTTTAAATTTAAATAGCTACATTTGTCTAGTGGCTACTGTACTGAGCTGTGCAGCTCTAAGAAGCTTGCTGTATAGTTAGCCAACAGAAGTATCAAATCAAAAGGATCTTTGCTTGTGTTTTCCGAAATTAAGTGAAAAACACACAAATCATAATCTGTAGTCTGCCATCTATGTTTCTATTTATGGTAATGTTTATGTGTGAGTTAGTCATGTAAGAGACATAGCAATGTAGGCCATTAAACATATTGAGTCTCTAGGAGGCACCATGCCTGGTACTAGGTGCAGGAGAAGATAGCAGAAATCACACTAGACAAGGTTGTGAAAAGCAATTTATAGTATCTGGGATAAATTGATCATGGAATAAGAAACAAAACAAACAATTAGGCAAAATAGTAATTAATGCACTAAAGGAGAATGTTAAGTATTCACAAGCCAAAATGTTTAAATGAGTTGGGTTTTCTTTTACTGACAACAAAACAAACAAGAAAACATAAAGCTGGTAAGGAAATCTTAATCTCAGACTTGTTTGGTGATGATCTCTTGTTACTTTTCTTCTGCCTAACACCAGAGTTCAGCATCCAGATCTCGACTGAATACATTCTGAGTCCTAGTGGATTCAGAAGCTTAAGCATTCAACAAAAATAATGCATTCCCAAATACTCCTAAAACTTAACTTTAGTCTGGGTTGGCCCGGGTTTAACTTTTAGTCATTTTTTTTTGTAACTTTAGCACACGGCAAAATAAAATTGAAATGTCAATAAAAAAATATACTGCCAAATACATTGGAACATTAAAAAGGCCACAGGGGAGATTTTGACAACTAGTGATAAGTTAAATTTAAAGTGACATAAGTACATACAGTTGGCTAAAGTAAGTATAATTTACTTGTCAATATAACAGCCTTTAAAAAGATCACAAAATCAGGAGGTTATAAACCATTACATGAAGATTGAGTTATAATATTCTTTCCAAACATTAGCAAAGTAAATTGAACTGGATGAAGCAAAGAAATGTACAGATGAAAAAAAAAAGGTGAAGGAAAAGTAAAATGTAATACAGGAGGAATAAAGTAGTTGAAAAAATTGGAGTGAAATAGCCAGACTCCAGAGGGAAATGGATTCTTTAATGTGATATATCCATAATCTGATTTTGGTCTTAAATGCAAAGTAAAACTATGAAAAAAGCATTGATATCATAATGTGTTCTCTTTGCAGATACGCGAATTGATTCTTACATAATATGAGAGATATAGGTGAGTCAAAAGACTGCAGAACTTCCAATTTTATCTCCTCAGCCAGTTATTAACCACTCATTTTTTGAAAGTCCAACATTAAATGGATACCAAAAACCTAGTTTCATTTATTTTGCTCTGAATGACATTTTATAAGTTTAAAGTTCTCTAGCTTCAAGTATTTTTCTTATGCTTTAGTCTAAACATTATTTGATTTTACTTTATCTTATTAAATTATCTTAGTACACCCCTTAATGTATGTATGTTAAAATGTTTAGAAGAATCACTTAATTTCTTCGTTAATCTATTTTCTGTTTTAAAAAAGCCTTAATACATTTTATTTATTTTCCCACTCAGACTTTGTCTCAAATTATTCCTTCATTATCTTTTACTCTCTGATATGTAAGACACTGGCTATAATTTTTTTAATCATTTTAAGTTAGTCCTGTTCTACATATGCAAAATGATGTGGGAACTTGACATCCCATACTGCCTTAAATACTCAAGATTTATTTGAGTTGTTTGTCTATCTTCAGCAATTGCCTCAGTTTACCCTACCCATTTCTTGGTTACCTGAAACCCTCCAACAAGCATCCCTACAGACAGATTGCTTGGTCAGGGGTGCCCTGAATGAAGTTAGATGTATTTGCCTACCCAGTCTCCAACGCATGAGAAGATGACATATGATTCTCATCTTACAAAAGAAGGAGTGATGTCAGTCCAGGTTGTCATGAGTTGAGTCTGGATGTAAAACTTGAAGTGATTCTGGAACATAGAGATAAGCTATCTCTGACCTTGAAGACATGCAACTTTTGAGTAAATTACTCAGCTACGGAGATCACGGCAGGCATGAACTACAGGTGGCTAATAGCCTATATAATTTTGGTGTATATACAAATTATTGTCATTTATAGGGAACTGTAAAAAAAATACCAAAAACATTTTTGTTTTTTATGGGTTTTTTTTGTTTTGTTTTTTGGCTTTTTTTGAGACAGAGTCTCGCTCTGTCACCCAGGCTGGAGTGCAGTGGCGCAATCTCGGCTCACTGCAAGCTCCACCTCCCGGGTTCACACCATTCTCCTGCCTCAGCCTCCCAAGTAGCTGGGACTACAGGCACCTGCCATCATGCCCAGCTAATTTTTTTGTATTTTTAGTAGAGGCGGGGTTTCACCGTGTTAGCCAGGATGGTCTCGATTTCCTGACCTCATGATCTGCCCTCCTCGGCCTCCCAAAGTGCTGGGATTACAGGCGTGAGCCACCGTGCCCAGCCACTTATGTTTTTCTTTTTTTAAAAAAAACTCTAAATGTGTTGGGTGTTGGTATAATTTGTATTATGGGTTTCTTAGGTTTTTATGTTCACACTTTATAGCCTGGAATCCCTAAAACATACAATATTATATAAACTTAGCTCTATGTATAAACTATCATTACTCAACTACTTGAAAATATTTTAAATTGTGATGGCTTTCATTTTGGTCTTTTCTCAAAGGAGATTCAAATGTAATTTTTTTCCTATGCCAATCTTTGGGCATTTTAGCATTGCTGCCTTATAAGAACTTCCTTCCTCTTAACTGGCTATAAATTATTAGCCTATTAATTGGACATTACAAAGTAAAGAAATTTCTTTAGTTAAAAATATAAATCTTATTGAAACACAGACACAAGAATGATTCATTTGAATACTGCTAACAATTGCCCCTTCCACACACACATTGAAAGCTATGTCCTTACTCTCCAAGTTAAATGTGAGTGATAATTAAAATGTAATATTAAAAGTTTATCAAAACTTATATTTCTGTAAAGTATTTACGCCCCATACACCAGAAGACTATATAACTAAAGTGGCATATATTTCACACATTATGATAGAAATCTATTTTTTCAGGTATCAGTAGAAAACTGCAAACGTATACTTCATACAAATGTAAATTAAAATTATAGCCATTCTTTCACCACAGGAAAAACGTCGGAAGGATATTTTCAATCATGAAGTGTGTAGGTACACTCATTAACCCATGGGAATTAACCATCTGGCACATTATATCCTTACAGGTTTGAAAGAAAAATAAGTCCTTCTCAACAAAACACTTTCCATTCACTATGCAGAACAGTCATTAATTGAACACTCACTGTTGAGTTGAAACACAAGGAAATAAGATCTGTGGCACAGAAGCAGGTCACCCTTAAAAAGTTATTAGAGCCCCAGTGACATTGATAAAAGACCACTTAACAACTTTTTGCCAAACCAAAGACTCAATAATAAAAAAAGACATCTGTGTACAAAAAAGTGGTTCCAATCCTGGGCATCTGCAGTAGTTTACATTCCAGGTCTGTTTATCTATACACCTATAATAACATTCCATAGATTAATCACTGCTCCTCCACCCACAGATCTAGTTTTGGAAGATGATGGTACATTGAATAAACCTGAAATGCACCTGTGCTGACATGCAGTCCAATTTCATTAGTCTCTGTGATACTACAGAACCACCAAAACAGCAACCCAAGACCTTCTTACCCCAAATAAATGGGACAAGTAGTTAGATGTTAAGAACAAAAATGTTGGTAAAAGTAAAATTATTTACCCTAATATTCCCACACTAAGACAGTACACTATAACTTCAAGCAATGTAAATTATATATACCTTGTTAACAAAGAATCATAAAAACTAAACATTTGTTCTCTTACAAAATCAATTCTTATCACTCTGTTAGGGGACCATAGTAGTACAGGAGGATGTCTTCATCTGTTGAGTAAGCATTACTTGAGTGCCTCCTATGGATTCACATTTCTATTTGAGGCTTAACAAAACACAAAATAAGTAAAGGATGTTGCTCAGGAATTCAGACTGTAATTAGGGCAAAAAGCTACACACACATGAGTCAACTTGTAAATAATTCTTAGGCTACAGGTATGTTTATAAGATTATTCTGGAAAAATCTTAAAACCACTGTAAAGTAAATTTAATCAAAAAATGTTTCTTGTACCAGGTAAAACTTAATATATGAGTTTGAAAGAAACGGAGGCTTTGGATTGGAGGGGAAGAAATGGAAAAACATTACCAAAGAAGGAGAAATGACAGGGGGGAGGGGAGAAGAAAATGTTTCCTTGCTAGAATAGAAGGCCCCATGAGAAAGCAGTGAGGGATGAATTGTGAAAGATACAATGGGGCTAATGGAGATATCGAACATTGGATATTGAAGTATAGGGTTTGAAGCAATAGGAAGATACTCTACATTTTTCTTTTTCAGAAAACAGAAATACTTAATCCTTTTTCCACAAATTAGAACTTGCTTTATCCTCAGAGCATAGCTTGATATGCATACATACACACTTAACAATTTGTTTCACAAAGTGTTAGTTAGACTGGTATTGCAGTGCAGCACTTGGGAGCAGATCATTGCAGGAGAAAAAGATGTGAAAAAAGCCACACTTCTGACTGGTCATCTGGAAAGTCAACATTTTTCTAATTCTATCTTGTTACTTATTATTCCAAATTATTCTTTATCATAATCTTTCTTTTCAGGGGAGAGAATTATTATGAGAAGTGCCGCCATGAATTTTTCTTTCCCACCATCAGTGCAAGAGCCCAAAATGTTCTCAATCAAACCCACTCACCCACTTCCAGAAACATGTCAACCAGGGTGATCAATCCATCTCCTGAAATTTCCGTTTCTCCCAATACGCTGTGCTGCCAAATTCTCTGAAGTCCCTGAACCTCAAAATTCCAAGTATCAAAGTCAGTGCCAGGAGTCAAACCTGAAAGATAAAAGCAGAGAAGTTCCCCTCTGCCAGCCCTGGGTTTCCTCTTCTCAATAATAATAATTATAATAACAATAATTTTTTTAAAATCCTAGTTCCCTGTAATTATGGAAAAGAAAAACTTTTTGCCAAGATTGTCTCCTCCCCTTTCCTCATTCCCGTGCCCCCATCCGTCTGCCAACAAGGTCTTCTCTCCCACCTGAGGGCTGGACCACACGTGATTCCCGTGGCACGCTGCTTCTGAGCACTCTACAGCCGCCCTCTAGCCAAACCCAGCACCGGTCAGATGGGGAGAAACCAGAGATAGGAAAGTGCTCGCACGTGGGAGGTCACAGTGGAGCCTCCGTGAGAACCTGTGAGTGACCTCCAGGGCATCCTAATTCTTGATCACTCATCACTGCCTCATTTCTATCCCTCTCCCCAACCCTGACCTTCGACACTGGGGGATCTGAGTGAAGGGGGACCTGCCTGCAATCAGGGCCCAGGAGAGGAGGGGAGAAGGGGGCTCTTTCGCAGTCAGTCAGTGATTCAATCTCAGCTTGTCGAAGGACTACACTGGAGGCTTTCCACCACTACCCCAGTCGGTTCCAACAAAGGTAAAAAATGAATGTTCCTGATTTTCTTGTGTAATTCCAGTCACCAGAAGAAGGTTACAGGCCATGAACTGCAGACTCAGGAAGATAAATTGGCAAAGCAGCACCGCGATGGAAGAGCTCCTGGCAGCAATGTAAATACTGGAGCCCAGTAGAAAGAGTCTAAGTCGAGGAGGCATGAGGACAAGATGATCAGTAATTGCCATTGATTGCATGGGTGAGATCTCACCATTCCCATACATTCACAGAGCAACCCACAGAGTGAACTATATACCAAGTGAGCAGAGGATAAAGTAGGATGATCACAGGAAGGGTTAACAGGCCCCTCCCTAACCTGGAGAACCCTCACAACATTTGCTCAGCAATTTAGGACAAGTCTGCTTTTTATCCTGCTGTAGATACCTAAATGAGCCCAGTATCCCAGTTAAGTCCTGAAACTCCAAAATTCATGTAGGCTCATATGCCATCCTATTGACATTACCACTCTTTTGCTGGTTCCCCCACATCATCTCTCCAATTTGTGTGACTATCCCACATGCCACAACCATTTTTAGTTTTTATGTTAGCTCTCATTCTAACTGGCTCTGTGGATTAATGTTTTAATTTTGATCTTACCATCCCAATTCCTACCTCAAAGCCTTTCTCCTAGTTGGAATCTAGCCTCAAGTCCTAAGTGCCATGCACCCTTGAGATTCACATCCTCGTCTATTTTGTGTCCAATTATATCTTCTATTCATTTGAATTCACGTGAATAATTAAAATCAGAATTTGAATGGTCTCTGCTACTAAATCTACTTTTTAAAGTATATGTAGTTCAGGAATCACTCTAACGTCCTATGTACTCAAACTAGAGAAGTCTTATACTCCTTCCGGAGCCAAATGTATTAGACCACAAAGCCTTTGGCAAAGCCCTTGGCTTTTGCAATTCAGACTAGTGCCTGCGACAGTTCCTTTGCAAGTTAAGATTTGGAGAGTTTACTAAACACATGAAAGACTGAAATTATCTCCATAGCCACTTCCTTAATACTCCATTCTGTGTTACTCTGAAAGACAGTTTCTTTAAGTCCAAATTTCTAAGGAAAGATTCTTTGCGCAAGACATTCCTCTAGCACTTCATGCTTTTCCTTGGAGAATTTTCTCAAACACTTATAAGACCAAGTACAGTTTATAAGGCCAGCTACTTTTCAGATATTGAAATCCCTCAAGCCTTAACCCCAGGTGGTATGGCCATAAGCACAAATTTTCAGGAGAGTCATGAATTTTTAATAATTTTTTTGGTGTCAGTAGGCTTTTGCTTTTTTTCTTAGCTTATTCACTTTCCCACTCACATTTGTATGCCATCTCTTCAATTCCAGTTTCAAAACAAGACAGCAAAACTTTTGAAAACAGAGTTAAGAACATTTGACCACTTGGTACACAGAACAGAGTAGCAATAGCCTCTCCCCATCCCCTTGATTAAACATCCCAGACCAGAAATAAATGTTAAAATCTCAAATACGGAGATAGAATTCTACTAGGTGTCAGCTGTTCCAGAGTAGCTTTAAAAGGCCAGGCTCGGAATACCACATTAGACACAGGAATTCTGAAGGCTGAGAACCTAGTCCCATTTATTAGTTCTTTCATCCAACCTCCACTAACCAGCACTGGCTCTTACTATTCCATTCCACCATAGAGGCTATAAAGATAAATAAGGTTTTGTGCCTGCCAGATATATTTCTTCTTGGCTTAAAGAGAGACATATTGCTGTCGTGCATACAGCTTATCTAGTGAATACAATTTTCCCATCTACTTTTATTCATCTTCAGGTCCTCTCAGTTTCTGCCTAAAGTTTTACCTATATTAACTCTAGTATCTTGGTCTATAGAGGGTACCCTACAAGTGTCTGTCAAATGAATGAAAATGCAAAGGACCAAATGAACATACTATGTGCCAGTTACTAGGTAAACAAGAAAGACATGGTCCTGACCACATCTTACAGTTTGCAGAGATTACAATGGAATAAACAAGTACTTGTGAGAGGTGACAACGTGCTAGCAGCCCTTGCTCACTCTCGGTGCCTCCTCGGCCTTGGCGTCCACTCTGGCCATGCTCAAGGAGCCCTTCAGCTCACCGCTGCACTGTGGGGGACCCTCTCTGGGGCTGGCCGAGGCTGGAGCCGGCTCCCTCTGCTCGTGGAGAGGTGGGGAGGGAGAGGAGCAGGCAGGAGCCGGGGCTGCATGTGGTTCTCGTGGCCTGGCACGGGTTCCGGGTGGGTGCAGGTGGGCCACGCACTCGGGCTGGCCGGGGCCTGCTGGGCTTGATCAGGGGACGAGCTCCCTCTGGGCTGCCAGCTGCTGGGCTTGATCAGGGGATGAGCTCCCTCTGGGCTGCCAGAGTGCCCGGGCTATGTGCCGCAAAGTCCTGCAGCAAGTGCCATTGAAAGGTGAAGCCGGCTGGGCTTCTGGGTCGGGTGGAGACTTGGAGAACTTTTGTGTCTAGCTAAAGGATAGGAAACGCACCAATCAGCACTCTGTGTCTAGCTAAAAGTTTGTAAACGCACCAATCAACACTCTGCCAAAATGGACAGATCAGCTCTCTGTAAAACTGACCAACCAGCTCTCTGTAAAGTGGACCAATCAGCTCTCTGTAAAATGGACCAATCAGCAGGATGTGGGTGGGGCCAGATAAGGGAATAAAAGCAGGCCACCGAGCCAGCACAGCAATCCCTTGGGTCCCCTTCCACACTGTGGAAGCTTTGTTCTTTCACTGTTCGCAATAATCTTGCTGCTGCTCACTCTTTGGGTCTGCACTGCATTTAAGAGCTATAACACTCACCGTGAAGGTCTGCAGCTTCACTCCTGAGGCCAGTGAGACCATGAACCCACCAGAAGGAATGAACAACTCCAGACATGCTAACTTTATGGGCTGTAACACTCACCGCGAAGGTCTGCACCTTCACTCCTGAGGCCAGTGAGACCACAAACCCACCAGAAGGAACCAACAACTCCAGACGTGCTGCCTTTAAGAGCTGTAACACTCACCGTGAAGGTCTCCAGCTTCACTCCTGAAGTCAGCGAGATCACGAACCCACCAGAAGGAAGAAACACCAGACACATCTGAACATCTGAAGGAAGAAACTCCGGACATACCATCTTTAAGAACTGTAACACTCACCGCGAGGGTCCACGGCCTCATTCTTGAAGTCAGTGAGACTAAGAACCCACCAATTCTGGACACATTTTGGCAACCATGAAGGGACTATTGCCTATCACCAAGAGGTGAGACTATCGCCAAGTGGTGAGACTATTGCCTATCACCAAGTGGTGAGTACCATCAGACACCTTTTGCTTGCTATTCTGTCCTATTTTTCCTTAGAATTCAGGGGCTAAATATTGGGCACCTGTCGGCCAGTGAAAAGCGACTAGCGCTGCCACCAGACTAAAGACACGGGGTGAGGCTTTCTGGGAAAGGGCTCTCTAACAACCCCCAACTCTTCGGATTTGGGAGCGTTGGTTTGCCTGGAACTAGCTTCCACTTTTCCTGTACTTCTGGGCTGAGCCAAGGGTCGACAAATAGGAAAGCCATTCAGCTACAGGGTCCCAACAACAAGTTGGTTGACCCTGCGGCCATGAGCAGAACTCTGAAAGTCATGTCACCCAAGCAAGACTCGCCCATCTATCCTATCTACCCTGACCCTTGTCTCCTGGGTCCTAATGCCTGCCAGATAAACTTCCTCTCGCCTCTCTTCTCCGAGGCTAGTTCCGCTTCTAAAAACCACTCCCTGTCTCTGGTGCTTTTCTAGTTTCTCCTATAAGAATGATTTCTAGTACAAACTCCAGGACTCTGTTACCTTCTTTTGGCACCTGATCTCGCCAATCAGAAAGACATAATTTTTGCCCAAAGCCCCACCTAGGGGGGACTATCTGGAATTTTAGGATGCCACCTCAGACAAGCAGACCTAACAAAAGCTATTCTTGAAGCTAGGATATGGGGAACCTGATAAATTGTATCCTTCCTATTCATATAAGTGAGGACAAAAGATGTCAGTCTTCCAACCCTGGAGATCCCTTCCCTCCCTCAGGGTATGGCCCTCCACTTCATTTTGGGGGCATAACATCTTTATAGGACAGGGGTAAAGTCCCATTGCTAACAGGAGAATGCTTAGGACTCTAACAGGTTTTCGAGAATGCGTTGGTAAGGGCCACTAAATCCAATTTTTCTTGGTCCTCTTTGTGGTCTAGGAGGACAGGCAGGGGTGCAGGTTTTCGAGAATACATCAGTAAGGGCCACTAAATCCGAACTTCCTTGGTCCTCTTTGTGGTCTGGGAGGAAAAGTAGTGTTTCTGCTGCTGTGTTGATGAGCGCAACTATTCTGATCAGCAGGGTCCAGGGACCATTGCAGGCTCTTGGGCAGGGGTTGCTTCTGCTGCTGTGTCAGTGAGCACAACTATTCTGATCAGCAGAGTCTAGGGACCATGGTGGGTTCTTGGGCAGGGGGAGAAACAAAACAAACCAAAACCTCGGGCAGTTTTGTCTTTCAGATGGGAAACAGGCATCAACAGCCTCACCCTTTAATGCATCCTAAGCCATTGGGACCAATTTGACCCGCAAACCCTGAAATAGAGGCAGCTCATTTTTTTTCTGCACTATGGCTTGGCCCCAATATTCTCTCTCTGATGGGGAAAAATGGCCACCTGAGGGAAGTATAAATTACAATACTATCCTGCAGCTTGATCTTTTCTGTAAGAAGGAAAGCAAATGGAGTGAAATACTTCATGTCCAAACTTTCTTTTCATTGAAGGAGAATACACAACTATGCAAAGCTTGCAATTTACATCCCACAGGAGGACCTCTCAGCTTACCCCCATATCCTAGCCTCCCTATAGCTGCCCTTCCTATTAATGATAATCCTGCTCTAATCTCCCCCGCCCAGAAGGAAATAATCAAAGAAATCTCCAAAAGACCACAAAACCCCCTGGGCTATCGGTTATGTCCCCTTCAAACTGTAGGGGGAGGGGAATTTGGCCCAACCCAGGTACATGTCCCTGTCTCCCTCTCTGATTTAAAGCAGATCAAGGCAGACCTGGGGAAGTTTTCAGATGATCCTGATAGGTACATAGATATCCTACAGGGTCTAGGGCAAACCTTCGATCTCTCTTGGAGAGATGTCATGCTGTTGATAGATCAAATCCTAGCCTTTAATGAAAAGAATGCTGCTTTAGCTGCAGCCTGAGAGTTTGGATATACCTGATATCTTAATCAAGTAAAAGATAGAATGACAGCCAAAGAAAGGGATAAATTCACTACTGGTCAGCAAGCCATCTCCAGTATGGATCCCCACTGGGACCTTGACTCAGATCATGGGGACTGGAGTCATAAACATCTGTTGACCTGTGTTCTAGAAGGATTAAGGAGAATTATGAAAAACCCCATGAATTATTCAATGATGTCCACCATAACTCAGGGAAAGGAAGAAAATCCTTCTGCCTTCCTCGAGCGGATACGGGAGGCCTTAAGAAAATATACTGCCCTGTCACCCGAATAACTCGCGCATCAATTGATTCTAAAAGATAAGTTTATTACCCAATCAGCCGCAGATATCAGGAGAAAGCTCCAAAAGCAAGCCCTGGGCCCTGAACAAAATCTGGAGGCATTATTAAACCTCACAAACTCAGTGTTCTATAATAGTGACCAAGAGGAAAAGGCCAGAAAGGAAAAGCAAGATCAGAGAAAGGCTGCAGCTTTAGTCATGGCTTTCAGATAGACAAACCTTGGTGGTTCAGAGAGGACAGAAAATAGAGCAGGCCAATCACCCGGTAGGGCTTGTTATCAGTGTGGTTTACAAGGACACTTTAATAAAGATTGTCCAATGAGAAACAAGGCACCCCCTCGTCCATGTCTGCTATGCCAAGGCAATCACTGGAAGGTGCACTGCCCCAGAGGACAAATGTTCTCTGGGTCAGAAGCCCCCAACCAGATGATCCAACAACAGGACTGAGAGTGCCTGGGGCAAGAGCCAGCTCATGTCATCACCCTCACTGAGCCCCGGGTACGTTTAACCTTTGAGGGCCAGGAAATTGACTTCCTCCTGGACACTAGCATGGCCTTCTCAGTGTTAATCTCCTGTCCTGGATGACTGTCCTCAAGGTCCGTTACCATCTGAGGAATTCTGGGATAGCCTGTAACCAGGTATTTCTCCCACCTCCTCAGTTGTAATTGGGAGACTTTGCTCTTTTCACATGCCTTTCTTGTTATGCCTGAAAGTCCCACACCCTTATTAGGGAGGGATGTATTGGCCAAAGCTGGAACTATTATCTACATGAATATGGGGAACAACTTACCCATCTGTTGTCCCCTACTTGAGGAGGGAATTGACCCTGAAGTCTGGGCATTGGAAGGACAATTTGGAAGGGCAAAAAATGCCCCCCCAATCCAAATCAGGCTAAAAGTTCCCACCACTTTTCCTTATCAAAGGCAATATCCCTTAAGGCCTGAAACTCATAAAGGATTACAGGATATTGTTAAACATTTAAAAGCTCAAGGCTTAGTAAGGAAATGCAGCAGTCCCTGCAACACCCCAATTCTAGGAGTATAAAAACCAAACAGTCAGTGGAAACTAGTGCAAGATCTTAGACTCATCAATGAGGAAGTAATTCCTCTATATCCAGTTGTACCCAACCCCTATACCCTGCTCTGTCAAATACCAGAAGAAGCAGAATGGTTCATGGTTCTGGACCACAAGGATGCCTTATTCTATATTCCCCTGCCCTCTGACTCCCAGTTTCTCTTTGCCTTTGAGGATCCCACCGACCACACATCCCAACTTACATGGATGGTCTTGCCCCAAGGGTTTAGGGATAGCCCTCACCTGTTTGGTCAGGCACTGGCCCAAGATCTAGGCCATTTTTCAAGTCCAGGCACTCTGGTCCTTCCGTATGTGGATTATTTACTTTTGGCTACCAGTTTGGAAGCCTCGTGCCAGCAGGCTACTCTAGATCTCTTGAACTTTCTAGCTAATCAAGGGTACAAGGTATCTAGGTCGAAGGCCCAGCTTTGCCTACAGCAGTTCAAATATCTAGGCCTAATCTTAGCCAGAGGGACCAGGGCCCTCAGCAAGGAACGAATACAGCATATACTGGCTTATCCTCACCCTAAGACATTAAAACAGTTTCAGGGGTTCCTTGGAATCACCAGCTTTTGCTGACTATGGATCCCCAGATACAGCGAGATAGCCAGGCCCCTCTATACTCTAATCAATGAGACCCAGAAAGCAAATATTCATCTAGTAGAATGGGAACCAGAGGCAAAAACAGCCTTCAAAACCTTAAAGCAGGCCCTAGTACAAGGTCCAGCTTTAAGCCTTCTCACAGGACAAAAATTCTCTTTATACATCACAGAGAGAACAGGGATAGCTCTCGGAGTCCTTACTCAGACTCGTGGAACAACCCCACAACCAGTGGCATACCTAAGTAAGGAAATTGATGTAGTAGCAAAAGGCTGGCCTCACTGTTTATGGGTAGTTGTGGCAGTGGCCATCTTAGTGTCAGAAGCTATCAAAATAATACAAGGAAAAGATCTCACTGTCTGGACTACTCATGATGTAAATGGCATACTAGGTGCCAAAGGAAGTTTGTGGCTATCAGACAACTGCCTACTTAGATACAGGCACTACTCCTTGACAGACTGGTGCTTCAAATACGTACGTGTGTTGCCCTCAACCCTGCCACTTTTCTCCCAGAGGATGGGGAATCAATCGAGCATGACTGCCAAAAAATTATAGTCTAGGCTTATGCTGCCCAAGATGATCGCTTAGAAGTCCCCTTAGCTAATCCTTACCTTAACCTATATACCGACGGAAGTTCATTTGTGGAGAATGGGATACAAAGGGCAGGTTATGCCATAGTTAGTGATGTAACCATACTTGAAAGTAAGCCTCTTCCCTCAGGGACAAGGGCCCAGTTAGCAGAACTAGTGGCACTTACCCAAGCCTTAGAACTGGGAAAGGGGAAAATAATAAATGTGTATACAGATAGCAAGTATGCTTATCTAATCTTACATGTCCATGCTGCAATATGGAAAGAAAGGGAATTCCTAACCTCAGGGGGAACCCCCATTAAATACCACAAGCAGAAAGGAAAGAGAGAAAGAGACAAAGTCAGAGAGAGAGAGAGAGAGGAAGAGACAGAGAGACAAAGAGGGAGTCAGAAAGAGAGAAAGAGACAGAAAAAGGAGAAGTCGAAGAGAGAGAAAGAGATAGAAGTAGTAAAGAAAAAACAGTGTATCCTATTCCTTTAAAAGCCAGGGTAGATTTGAAACCTATAATTGATAATTGAAGGTCTTCTCTATAACCCTATACCACCTTGTTGTCAGTGTAAACAAGGGCATAGCCCAAAAGCACTGAGGCCACTGAAAAACCCATAGCCTTCCTATCAAAAATCCTTAACCCAGCAGGTGTCCTAACAAAGGATCTAAATCTGAAGGTCCACCAGACATAGGAGGAACTCCCTTCAGGACAGGACGATAGATGGTTCCACCCCATGATTAAGGAAAAAGACACAATGGGTATTCAGTAAGTGATAAGGAAACTCTTATAGAAGCAGAGTTAGGAAAATTGCCTAATAATTGGTCTGCTCAAACGTGCAAGCTGTTTGCACTCAGCCAAACCTTAAAGTACTTACAGAATCAGGAAGGAGCCATCTATATTAATTCTAAGTTAAATGGCTAGAAAGAGGTCTTATTAATAGCAAAGAATAATTGAAATCCCAAACTTACAAGGTTTTCAACAAAAGTAAAGTTTGCTAAAAGTTAACAGTGTAAACATATATTATCCTAACTTCTAATCTTGTGGAAATCAGACTCTATCAGTACCCCTCAAAGCTCAAGTCTGTCAGTGCAGAGAAATACAACTAATACCCCTACTTATAGGGCTAGGAATGGCTACTGCTACAGGAACCGGAATAGCCAGTAGGATACTTCATTATCCTACTACCACACACTCTCAAAGGATTTCTCAGACAGTTTGCAAGAAATAACGAAATCTATCCTTACTCTACAATCCCAAATAGACTCTTTGGCAGCAGTGACTCTCCAAAACTGCCAAGGCCTAGACCCCCTCACTGCTGAGAAAGGAGGACTCTGCACCTTCTTAGGGGAAGAGCATTGTTTTTACACTAACCAGTCAGGGATAGTATGAGATGCCACCTGGTACTTACAGGAAAAGGATTCTGAAATCAGACAATGCCTTTCAAACTCTTATACCAACCTCTGGAGTTGAGCAACATGGCTCCTCCCCTTTCTAGGTCCCATGGCAGCCGTCTTGCATTACTCGCCTTTGGGCCCTGTATTTTTAACCTTCTTGTCAAATTTCCTCTAGAATTGAGGCCATCAAGCTACAGATGGTCTTACAAATGGAACCCCAAATGAGCTCAACTAACAACTTCTACCAAGGACCCCTGGACTGACCTGCTTGGCTTCCACTGGCCTAAAGAGTTCCCCTCTGGAGGACACTACAACTGCAGGGCCCCTTCTTTGCCCCTATCCAGCAGGAAGTAGCTAGCATGGTCATCGGCCAAATTCCCAACAGCAGTTGGGGTGTCCTGTTTACAGGGGAGATTGAGAGGTGACAACGTGCTAGAAGCCCTCACTTGCTCTTGGCACCTCCTTGGCCTTGGCGTCCTCTCTGGCCGCACTTGAGGAGCACTTCAGCCTACTGCTGCACTGTGAGGGCCCCTCTCTGGGGCTGGCCGAGGCTGGAGCAGCTCCCTCTGCTCACGGGGAGGTGTGGAGGGAGAGGTGCTGGGGCTGTATGTGGCACTCGCAGGTTGGCGCAGGTTCCAGGTGGGTGTGGGCTCAGCAGGCCCCACACTCAGCATGGCTGGCTGGCGCCTGCTAGACTTGATCGAGGGGACGAGCTCCCTCTGGGCTGCACAGGCTAGGTGCCGCAAAGTCCCATGGCGAGTGCCATTGAGAGGTGTAGCCGGCTGGGCTTCTGGGTGGGGCGGGGACTTGGAGAACTTTTGTGGCTAGCTAAAGGATTGTAAATAAACCAATCAGCACTCTGTGTCTAGCTAAAGGTTTGTAAACTCACCAATCAGTACTCTGTCAAAATGGACCAATCAGCTCTTTGTAAAATGGACCAATCAGCTCTCTGTAAAATGGACCAATCAGCAGGATGTGGGTGGGGCCAGATAAGGCAATAAAAACAGCCACCCGAGCCAGCACCGGCAACCCACTTGGGTCCCCTTCCATGCTGTGGAAGCTTGGAATTGACACTAATTGACACTCCCACCAACAGCATGAAAGTGTTCCTATTTATCCACATCCTCTCCAGCATCTGTTGTTTCCTGACTTTTTAATGATCGCCATTGTAACTGGCATGAGATGGTATAACATTGTAGTTTTGATTTGCATTTCTCTAATGATCAGTGATGATTAGCTCTTTTTCATATGTTTTTTGGCAGCATAAATGTCTTCTTTTGAAGTGTCTGTTCATATCCTTCACCCACTTTTTGATGGGGTTGTTTGTTTATTTCTTGTACATTTGTTTAAGTTCTTTGTAGATTCTGGATATCAGCCCTTTGTCAGATAGGTAGATTGAAAAAAATTTCTCCCATTCTGTAGGTTGCCTGTTCACTCTGATGACAGTTTCCTTTGCTGTGCAGAAGCTCTTTAGCTCAATTAGATCCCATTTCTCAATTTTGGCTTTTGTTGCCATTTCTTTGGTGTTTTAGTCATGAAGTCTTTGCCCATGCCTATGTCCTGAATGGTATTGCCTAGGTTTTGTTCCAGGGTTTTTATGGTTTTAGGCCTTAAAGTCTTTAATCCATCTTGAGTTAATTTTTATATGAGGTGTAAGGAAGGGGTCCCATTTCAGTTTTCTGAATATGGCTAGCCAGTTTTCCCAACACCATTTATTAAATGGGGAATCCTTTCCCCATTGCTTGTTTTTGTTTGGTTTGTCAAAGATCAGAGGGGTGTAGATGTGTGGCATTATTTCTGAGGCCTCTGTCCTGTTCCATTGGTCTATATATCTGCTAGGTGTTTTATTCTCTTTGTAGCAATTCCAAACAACAGAAAAAGAGGCAATTCTCCCTAACTCATTTTATGAGGCCAGCATCATCCTGATACCAAAACCTGACAAAGACACAACGAAAAAAGAAAATTTCAGCCCAATGTCCCTGATAAACATCGATTGGAAAATCCTCAATAAAATGCTGGCAAACTGAATCCTGCAGCGCATCAAAAACCTTGTCCACCATGATCAAGTTTGCTTCATCCCTGGGATGCAAGGCTGGTTCAAAATAAGCAAATCAATAAATGTAAATCATCACATAAACAGAACCAATAACAAAAACCACATGATTATCTCAATAGATGCCAAAAAGGCCTTTGATGAAATTCAACACCCCTTCATGCTAAAAACTCTCAATAAACTAGGTATTGATGGAACATATCTCAAAATAATAAGAGCTATTTATGACAAACCCACAGCCAGTATCATACTTAGTGGGCAAATGCTGGAAGTATTCCCTTTGAAAACTGGCGAAAGGTAAGGATGCCCTCTCTCACCATTCCTATTCAACACAGTGTTGGAAGTTCTGGCCAGGGCAATCAGGCAAGAGAAAGAAATAAATGGCATTCAAATAGGAAGAGAGGAAGTCAAATTGTGTCTGTTTGCAGATGACATGATTGTATATTTAGAAAACCCCATGGTCTCAGCCCAAAATCTTCTTAAGCTGATAAGTAACTTCAGCGAAGTATCAGGATACAAAATCAATGTTCAAAAATCACAAGCATTCCTATACACCTATAATAGACAGCCAAATAATGAGTGAACTTCTGTTTCACTTTTAAGAATGATTTTTCCTCTGTGAGGTGTTTCTTAATAATCCTCTTCCCCCCATCTTTTTCTTTTGTCAAGCAACAGGCTAGTGTTGTAAGGTAAAATCAGCCTACCCCTTTAACCTTGGGGACACTGAGGAAAGAAGAAATTTAGATTTACACTGAGAACACTGAGAACTAGAGAAATTTTGTTATCCTGCTTATTTAGAATACAACCAAAGAGATATAATTAAATAATAAAGATCTTGGATTGCTGAGCTCATAGTACATTCCTGATACTCACTGCTCTGCTAAAAAATAAAGACTTTCCTTTATTAAAGAAAACCAATAGATGAGGCTGCAAGTGCCTTGTAAGCCTAACAGGACTGGAGTCCAGGTTTAAAAAAAAAATCTTATACAAGGAATTACCCATCTCCAAAAAATGACCTGATTACAGTGCTCCTGATTCCAAATAATGATCAGAATTGTCAGGATACATTCCAAAAGTTGATATCCACTTTAATAAGAGGTCTGAACCTAGATGTGGTACAGTTTGCTGTATCTTTATCCTTTTCAGCAATTAAGATAGTCTGGATGCAGGGGCTGGCAGGGATGAATCCACCTGAGTCCCTCAAGTGATTGAGCTCATCAAGTAACTGTACAGACAGAGCTAAGCCAAAGGTTTTATAGAAATCTCCTGTAGCTCTGCCAGGGCCAAGAACTTTCTCTTGGGGAAGATTTTTAATTACTTCATCTATTTCTGAAAGTAAAGGGGAATCAAGTAATTCCCTAGTCTTCTGCAAATCACCTAGACAACTTGGAAGCAATGAGAATTGACTGTTTATATGTTCATGATATTGTGTTCTAATTTCTGTATCACTCTTCATCCTGTTTCTGAAATAACTTACTAAGGAGCCTTGGGCCTGTATTTGTCTTTTTCTCCTTTGGGCACCTAACTCCCATTATAGTTATGAGTTTATTGTCAGAGCTCAGCAGCCAGCATAGCAATCACTGGCTCTTATCCTCCTGCTGGTGTAGGTACTGCCTGGCTGAATGATGGATATCTTCACTTTATGGGTTATGAGTGCACTCAGTGCCACTGGGGCAAAGGAAAAGTTTGCTTATGACTTTTGGCAGAGGTGATCTTCTGAGTCTGGATTTTGCCTTTCCTTCCTAGACAGCTTTTCTCAATCAGCCTTTCCCATATATATTTTTATTGAACAAGAGGATCAGAGTCACAAAAATGAAACAGGAGAGAACACACAACAATGTTCAGAACACGATCAATCTGTAAAGGAAACAGTCACCATTAATCCTTTTGAGAACTAGGTGGTTATAAATAAATACAATAAGTGAAACATAGATTTATAAATTTCACACCAATGTCAAAATTTTAAATTTGGCTAATTTGTGCCATCCAGTATATTTTATAACAATTTTGGACGCTAGATCAGGTAATCTATTTCACCAAAACTACTTCTTATTCAATTGAAGACCCTAAAAGCCTCATATAATAAACACTTTCTCTTGCCAAGGAGGCATTCATTATTATAAGTTAGGAGGAGTTTCTCAGGTGACGTATACAACTACACAAGATGTGTACAACTGCAGTATACAACTGCACTAAGATGCATTTTATAGGTTTTCTCCTAACAAATTAATGGTAAGATTTGTGGTCTCCTTAATTCAAGAGAATCTATTTTCCAGAATATTGCCTATTTCAAAATGTAGGTCAGTATTTCAAAATGTACGTCAGTATCCAAGCATTTCACGCACTTTAATAGTCGCATTTATTGTCGAACATTGTTCCTTCCAGTTTTAAAAACACTTCTTTTGATATTCAATCTATCTTGTTTTAAGTTTTCATAATTATTTAGACTTTTAAGGTTAAACTGCCCCCCCCACCAACTAAAAAATGTTTAACTATTTTTATGATCATTATTAACAAAATTAATTAAACAGAATCACATTTTTTAAGTAAAGTTTAATGAGCCTCTTCAGATATTTGGCATTGGGCCTCCAAAATTTGTTCTGTATTTTCCAAGTTGTTGAGACAGCAACTTGATCTATATGGTAATTTTCTGGAAACTCTCTTCTTATTATAGTTGATTATTTTAATTAACTCAAATTTAGTTGCTAATCTGTTATAATCCTTAGTGATGCATTGCACAACCATGTCTTTTTCTTGTAAGCAAGCACTGATAGTAGAATTTCTGGGCTCTGGTCTCCACTTTAGACCTAGGAAAGCACTAATTATTTGTCTCCCTGGGTGCAAAAGGGAAAATTGAAAGCCTTGTAGTGCACTCCTTCATAATCTTGGAAGTTTGCCCTCCAGCAAAGACCTTGAAAATGGAGAGGTTATAGAGTTGTTTTCTGGCAATGTCATTTTATAGTTCGGGTGACCACAGTTCCTAGATTTTTCCAGTTACATCTCATTCAAATATTCTGCCCTAGTGTATGACCATGTGTGTTTAATTTTGGTTCAGAAAACATGGTCATTACCATCTCACTTATCATCAGATCATATCCCTAAATTATAATTCCCCACAACCCCTGCCTCTACAAGCCTCATATAAAACAGAAGTATGTAACACCTGCCAATTTACAGAAAGCCACTAAGTTGAAAGAAACAGGAAAATCCAAATGTATCTCTAAGTAAGATGGTCCTTGCCCATCATAGAACTGCCTTGGAACTAGCAAATCTAGGTGCTGCATAATAATCATAATTTACATTCAGGGAGCAGTTTTAGTTCATGAAGCACTGTCACCTGAGCTTCCCATCTCTTTGAGGCAGGTATTACTGTGTCCATTTACAAAACAGTACATACTTAGCTATAGCAATTAAGTCATGGGAGTTGACCCCTGCTATTCCCACTCACTGCTCTTCTACTACTCCATGGTTCTTTCAGGATTACACCTTTTGGGGTATTGCAAACAATGGTTATGTTATCCAGTGACCCACTCCTGAAGCATGAAGATTGCATTAAAAAGCCTGGCCCAGTGTCAGCATAACATTTCATTCAAAAAAACAACTCAAATTCACACTCTCTGACTAAAAGGTAGATTTTGTATTGAGTTTCCTTAAAGGAAAAGGAGGTAGGGATTTTACACTGTTCTTCATAAAGAAAAGCTTCTTAGAATTTCTCCTTAGACACTGCTCCCTTCCTCCAGAGTTTTAAATTCAAGGCTCCTGCTAAAACTTTCTTCCATTCTTAATTATCTCTCCCCACCCCAAATTCTCCATGTTGTCTTTTCATTGCCTTTCTTTTTGCCCCTTCACTTTTTTCTCCTCTCCTGTCATTTCTTACCATGGCTAAAGATTTTTTCACTCACCAACCTGCCCCAGTGCACCACTCTAGGATACTTGGAGTATATGACCACTCCTCCAACCACTACCTTCACATTGCTTATTTTGGAAGGAAGCCCACGGAAACCCACTGGGAAATATTGTTCTTTTCTCACTTTTACTGAGAAAATCTTGTTGAGAATTCCACCTTAATAACAGTAGAAGTTTGCAGAAGAGAACAAAGAGAGGATAGTTAACATTTGAGGAGTGATTATTTTATGTCATGCTCTGATGGAGAGTCTGCTAGAGCAAGAATACTACAGCATTTAAATAAAGATTGATACAATTTAGCCGTCTACTGGCTGTGTGTTCTTGGGCATGTTGTTCTGCCTGTTTCAGTACTCACAGGACTGTTATGAGAATTAAATGAATTGATGTATGTTATGTGCCCGGTATGTAAGTACTCAAGGAAGTATATTTTTGTAGTAGCATAAAGCAGATATTGCCAAAAAAGGAAACTGAAGTTTTCAGAGATTAAATACTTGACCCAGGTCACAAAACTAATAAGTAATGAATACCAAAAGAAGACCTCAGTCTACAACAAGTGGCCAGGAAAAATGTGTTAACATGTACATTTGGTGCAGTGGGTCTTCAAAAGTGAAATTCTCAAATGGGAATTTAATTTTTGTCAAAGGTCTACCCTCCAGCAACTTCATTGAGATGTTTTAATTTGGGTTTAGATCAGCAGTTCACATGTTTGATCATCGATATTATTCTGTTCTCCCTTCTGCCCCATGACAGCAAAGCACACACACTGACATATGATAGAACAACTGAATTAAATATTATTTTCCTTGTCACATTTCAGCTTTCTCTGCTAGCTTGAAAGTTATGATTGTCTGGACAATTTTTAAAAATAATTAAAACAAGCTTTCATTTCAACTGCAAATAAATCAATCATTCTAGCTGAACTGATGGAGAACAGCAGAGCTCTTACAGTTCCCTTTAAACCTAAAACAAGGTCAAAATATAAAATGTTTATGTTTGACTTAAATGCCTTCAAATATTTTTATTGGTATTGTGTATACTGTACCTCATACCATTTCTACTTGTATGAATCAAGCCTCAAAATGTATTGTATGTTCTTATCAGAATCCAAATGGCAATGATTTCATAAAGATTATTTGTTGCTCAACTCATTGACATTCACATTTTCTATAACCACAAAGCAAGACAACCTTGACCAAGAACAAGGTTTTCTGAAGCAATTTAAAATTCATTGACCTCTTCTATTGAATGTATTCCCATCAACACTGCAAGTTTTTCATCAAGAAAATGGAGGTCAGCTTAGGCAAACTTCAAAGTAGTTAATATTTGGCATCAGCATCTTCAACTCCCTACCTCTGGAAAAATCATATGGGTCTCAAGTCTTGTTTCTTCCAGATTTGAATATAAGCCTCTCCTTCACTTCTGAACTCAATGTGTGATGGCACATATTTCCTTCTCTGACAGCAAGACTTTATCATTGTGTGGGGACATTCATCATAAGATCACACTCCTTTCTGGGCTATTTGACTGAAATGAGGGCAAGAAAGTCTACATTTAATCCAAATAATAGGTGGTACCAAAAAACACTAAAAACATTGAAAGCATTACAGTTTTAAAAGGACTTTAAAATACGATACCATATTTATTTCTCTGAGTAACCATATGTAGATGGTACTATTCCTTTATTAAAGGAATAACATATGTAATTTCTTAAAAAAGAAATTATTCGGTCAGTGAAGCCAAGATGACTGAATAGGAACAGCTCCAGTCTACAACTCCCAGCATGAGCGATGCAGAAGATGGGTGATTTCTGCATTTCCATCTGAGGTACCGGGTTCATCTCACTAGGGAGTGCCAGACAGTGGGCGCAGGACAGTGGGTGCAGCACACCATACACGGGCCGAAGCAGGGCGAGGCATTGCCTCACACGGGAAGTGCAAGGGGTCAGGGAGTTCCCTTTCCTAGTCAAAGAAAGGGGTGACAGATGGCACCTGGAAAATCGGGTCACTCCCACGCTAATACTGCGCTTTTCCGATAGGCTTAAAAAATGGCTCACCAGGAGATTATATCCCGAACATGGCTCGGAGGGTCCTACGCCCATGGAGTCTTGCTGATTGCTAGCACAGCACTCTGAGATCAAACTGCAAGGTGGCAGCGAGGCTGGGGGAGGGGTGCCCGCCATTGCCCAGGCTCGCTTAGGTAAACAAAGCAGGTGAGAAGCTGGAACTGGGTGGAGCCCACCACAGCTCAAGGAGGCCTGCCTGCCTCTGTAGGCTCCACCTCTGGGGGCAGGGCACAGACAAACAAAAAGACAGCAGTAACCTCTGCAGACTTAAATGTCCCTGTCTGACAACTTTGAAGAGAACAGTGGTTCTCCCAGCACGCAGCTGGAGATCTAAGAATGGGCAGACTGCCTCCTCAACTGGGTCCCTGACCCCTGAGCCCTGAGTAGCCTAACTGGGAGGCACCCCCCAGTAGGGGCAGACTGACACCTCACACGGCTGGGTACTCCTCTGAGACAAAACTTCCAGAGGAACGATCAGACCGCAGCATTCGCGGTTCAAAAAAATCTGCTGTTCTGCAGCCACCGCTGCTGGTACCCAGGCAAACAGCATCTGGAGTGGACCTCTAGCAAACTCCAACAGACCTGCAGCTGAGGGTCCTGTCTGTTAGAAGGAAAACTAACAAACAGAAAGGACATCCACACCAAAAACCCATCTGTACATCACCATCATCAAAGATCAAAAGTAGATAAAACCACAAAGATGGGGAAAAAGCAGAGCAGAAAAACTGGAAACTCTAAAAAGCAGAGCGCCTCTCCTCCTCCAAAGGAAAGCAGCTCCTCACCAGCAATGGAACAAAGCTGGACAGAGAATGACTTTGACGAGTTGAGAGAAGAAGGCTTCAGATGATCAAACTACTCCAAGCTACGGGAGGAAATTCAAACCAAAGGCAAAGAAGTTGAAAACTTTGAAAAAAATTTAGACGAACGTATAGCTAGAATAACCAATACAGAGAAGTGCTTAAAGGAGGTGATGGAGCTGAAAGCCAAGGCTCGAGAACTGCATGAGGAATGCAGAAGCCTCAGGAGCCGATGCGATCAACTGGAAGAAAGGGTATCAGCAATGGAAGATGAAATGAATGAAATGAAGCGAGAAGGGAAGTTTAGAGAAAAAAGAATAAAAAGAAACGAACAAAGCCTCCAAGAAATATGGGACTATGTGAAAAGACCAAATCTACATCTGATTGGTGTACCTGAAAGTGACGGGGAGAATGGAACCAAGTTGGAAAACACTCTGCAGGATATTATCCAGGAGAACTTCCCCAATCTAGCAAGGCAGGCCAACATTCAGATTCAGGAAATACAGAGAACACCACAAAGATACTCCTCGAGAAGAGCAACTCCAAGACACATAATTGTCAGATTCACCAAAGTTGAAATGAAGGAAAAAATGTTAAGGGCAGCCAGAGAGAAAGGTCAGGTTACCCACAAAGGGAAGCCCATCAGACTAACAGCGGATCTCTAGAAAGAAACTCTACAAGCCAGAGGAGAGTGGGGGCCAATATTCAACATTCTTAAAGAAAAGAATTTTCAACCTAGAATTTCATATCCAGCCAAACTAAGCTTCATAGGTGAAGGAGAAATAAAATACTTTACAGGCAAGCAAATGCTGAGAGATTTTGTCACCACCAGGCCTGCCCTACAAGAGCTCCTGAAGGAAGCACTAAACATGAAAAGGAACAACCGGTACCAGCCACTGCAAAATCATGCCAAATTGTAAAGACCATCGAGGCTAGGAAGAAACTGCATCAACTAACGAGGAAAATAACCACCTAACATCATAATGACGGATCAAATTCACACATAACAATATTAACTTTAAATGTAAATGGACTAAATGCTCCAATTAAAAGACACAGACTGGCAAATTGGATAAAGAGTCAAGACCCATCAGTGTGCTGTATTCAGGAAACTCATCTCACATGCAGACACACACATAGGCTCAAAATAAAAGGATGGAGGAAGATCTACCAAGCAAATGGAAAACAAAAAAAGGCAGGGGTTGCAATCCTAGTCTCTGATAAAATAGACTTTAAACCAACAAAGATCAAAAGAGACAAAGAAGGCCATTACATAATGGTAAAGGGATCAATTCAACAAGAAGAGCTAACTATCCTAAATATATATGCACCAATACAGGAGCACCCAGATTCTTGCTAGACCACTAGCAAGACTAATAAAGAAAAAAAGAGAGAAGAATCAAATAGATGCAATAAAAAGTGATAAAGGGGATATCACCACCGATCCCACAGAAATACAAACTACCATCAGAGAATACTGCAAACACCTCTACGCAAATAAACTAGAAAATCTAGAAGAAATGGATAAATTCCTGGACACATACACTCTCCCAAGACTAAACCAGGAAGAAGTTGAATCTCTGAATAGACCAATAACAGGATCTGAAATTGTGGCAATAATCAATAGCTTACCAACCAAAAAGAGTCCAGGACCAGATGGATTCACAGCCGAATTCTACCAGAGGTGCAAGGAGGAACTGGTACCATTCTTTCTGAAACTATTCCAATCAATAGAAAAAGAGGGAATCCTCCCTAACTCATTTTATGAGGCCAGCATCATTCTGATACCAAAGCTGGGCAGAGACACAACCAAAAAAGAGAATTTTAGACCAATATCCTTGATGAACATTGATGCAAAAATCCTCAATAAAATACTGGCAAACTGAATCCAGCAGCACATCAAAAAGCTTATCCACCATGATCAAGTGGGCTTCATCCCTGGGATGCAAGGCTGGTTCAATATATGCAAATCAATAAATATAATCCAGCATATAAACAGAACCAAAGACAAAAACCACATGATTATCTCAATAGATGCAGAAAAGGCCTTTGACAAAATTCAACAATGCTTCATGCTAAAAACTCTCAATAAATTAGGTATTGATGGGATGTATCTCAAAATAATAAGAGCTATCTATGACAAACCCACAGCCAATATCATACTGAATGGGCAAAAACTGGAAGCATTGCCTTGGAAAACTGGCACAAGACAGGGATGCCCTCTCTCACCACTCCTATTCAACACAGTGTCGGATGTTCTGGCCAGGGCAATTAGGCAGGAGAAGGAAATAAAGGGTATTCAATTAGGAAAAGAGGAAGTCAAATTGTCCCTGTTTGCAGATGACATGATTGTATATCTAGAAAACCCCATTGTCTCAGCCCAAAATCTCCTTCAGCTGATAGGCAACTTCAGCAAAGTCTCAGGGTACAAAATCAATGCACAAAAATCACAAGCATTCTTATACACCAACAACAGACAAACAGAGAGCCAAATCATGAGTGAACTCCCATTCACAATTGCTTCAAAGAGAATAAAATACCTAGGAATCCAACTTACAAGGGATGTGAAGGACCTCTTCAAGGAGAACTACAAACCACTGCTCAATTAAATAAAAGAGGATACAAACAAATGGAAGAACATTCCATGCTCATGGGTAGGAAGAATCAATATCGTGAAAATGGCCATACTGCCCAAGGTAATTTATAGATTCAATGCCATCCCCATCAAGCTACCAATGACTTTCTTCACAGAATTGGAAAAAACTACTTTAAAGTTCATATGGAACCAAAAAAGAGCCCGCATCGCCAAGTCAATCCTAAGCCAAAAGAACAAAGCTGGAGGCATCACACTACCTGACTTCAAACTATACTACAAGGCTTACAGTAACCAAAACAGCATGGTACTGGTACCAAAACAGAGATATAGATCAATGGAACAGAACAGAGCCCTCAGAAATAACACCACATATCTACAACTATCTGATCTTTGACAAACCTGATAAAAACAAGCAATGGGGAAAGGATCCCTATTTAATAAACGGTGCTGGGAAAACTGGCTAGCCATATGTAGAAAGCTGAAACTGGATCCCTTCCTTACGCCTTATACAAAAATTAATTCAGGATGGATTAAAGACTTAAACGTTAGACCTAAAACCATAAAAACCCTAGAAAAAAACCTAGGCATTACCATTTAGGACATAGGCATGGGCAAGGACTTCATGTCTAAAACACCAAAAGCAATGGCAACAAAAGACAAAATTGACAAATGGGATCTAATTAAACTAAAGAGCTTCTGCACAGCAAAAGAAACTACCATCAGAGTGAACAGGCAACCTACAAAATGGGAGAAAATTTTCGCAACCTACTCATCTGACAAAGGACTAATATCCAGAATCTACAATGAACTCAAACAAATTGACAAGAAAAAACAAACAACCCCATCAAAAAGTGGGTGAAGGACATGAACAGACGCTTCTCAAAAGAGGACATTTATGCAGCCAAAAAACACATGAAAAAATGCTCATTATCACTGGTCATCAGAGAAATGCAAATCAAAACCACAATGAGATACCATCTCACACCAGTTAGAATGGCAATCATTAAAAAGTCAGGAAACAACAGGTGCTGGAGAGGATGTGGAGAAATAGGAACACTTTTACACTGTTGGTGGGACTGTAAACTAGTTCAACCATTGTGGAAGTCAGTGTGGCGATTCCTCAGGGATCTAGAACTAGAAATACCATTTGACCCAGCCATCCCATTACTGGATATATACGCAAAGGACTATAAATCATGCTGCTATAAAGACACATGCACACGTATGTTTATTGCGGCACTATTCACAATAGCAAAGACTTGGAACCAACCCAAATGTCCAACAATGATAGACTGGATTAAGAAAATGTGGCACATATACACCCTGGAATACTATGCAGCCATAAAAAATGATGAGTTCATGTCCTTTGTAGGGACATGGATGAAATTGGAAATCATCATTCTCAGTAAACTATCGCAAGAACAAAAAAACCAAACACCGTATATTCTCACTTATATGTGGGAATTGAACAATGAGAACACATGGACCCAGGAAGGGGAACATCACACTCTGGGGCCTGATGTGGGGTGGGGGGAGGAGGGAGGGATAGCATTAGGAGATATACCTAATGCTAAATGACGAGTTAATGAGTGCACCACACCAGCATGGCACATGTATACATATGTAACTAACCTGCACATTTTCTACTGACCCTTCCATGAACCCTACTCACTTCCAGACACTAATGGGTGAGACGCAGGAAAGTTTGAGACTAGATGATGAACAAATTGATTCACACACAGAGGAAAATTGTGTGTTAATATCATCCATGGTATATACATCCAAGAGTAACTTCATTACACTCAAATCTGAAAGTACCAAGATTTGAGAACCAGATAATTCTGCCAGAGGTAGGTAAAAGGAAAAAGATAGCATGCAGGTTGGAGGCTTCTTTTGCTCCACAGGGAAGGTACTGGTTGAACAGATTCTAGGTATAGCTGGAAGAAAAAAGAAGCTGACATACCAAAGCAGTACCTATTCTCAGGTAGCTTTGTTTGACAGATAAGGAAGCTGGGCTGTGATCACAATACAGACTGACCTATGAAACTATTGTGAGAAATGAACTCAATTCCTTTCTTTTCTTCTTCTTTATTCCCTAATATCTACTCTTCATGACAAAAGAAATATTTTTTAGATTTTTGAAATAGCATTTTATTATAAAATTAGTACAAACTCAATACAAAAAAATCAAACACAGAAAAATAAACACAAAGAATATAAACCACCTTACATCCCTCTACCCAAAGATAATCACAGTGAACATGTTGATTTGTATCCTTCCAGTAGTTTTTTCTTTTAAAATGCTATTACATGATGCATGTTGCATTATATACAGTTGTTTTCACTTAGTATTGAGTACCTTTTTACTTATAGACATTTGTGTTTAATTGATTGAATACATAGCCCAAATTGTTCATACCTTCCTATAGTCATACTCTTTGGTCGACTTTGTTAATGCCCTGACACACTGATTCTGAGCTTGGTCATGTGACTTGCATAGGCCAGTGGCACTGTAGGAAATTTGCAGCCAGCAGAGAGGTGCCTGAAAAAGCACATTTTTTCTTTCTCCCTCCTGGACCTCTGACACATTCATGAGAATGTGCCTGAGCTAGCTTCCTGGATGACGATAGTACATGGCCAGACACCCTTCAACTCAGCCAATAGCCAAAAGCCCACCATATGCGGAAATGAGCCCAACGAAGACCAGAAGAATAACAAAATTAAGACCAAGTCAACAGAATTCCCCAGCAGATCTATGTGTAGAGTTTGAGAGGTTGTTGTTATTTCAAGCATCTAGGTTTTGAAGTTGCCTGTTATGTAGCAATAATTAACTAATACAACATTTCATAACAGATAGACAACACACACACACATAAATGCATGCTAAATTCACTCTTGACCCCCTGTTGTTCTATACATATCAAGTCTTCTTAAAATGTAAATTATATCATGTTATTTCCCTACTTAAAACACTTCAAGGGCCTCCTCATTGTTTAATTTGAATAAGATTCAAATTCAGCATACACTCTGATGACACTGCTCCTGCCACCTGTTACACCTCATTTCTTGGCTCTTCTCCATAATGTACCAAACTCCCGTCATGCTGACCTTTTTAAGACAGCTCTTCCCCTCTTCAGAGCCTTTGTATAGGGTCTTCTCTCAGCCTTGAACATTCTCTGTATGCTACTGCTCATCCTACATCCCTGATTCTAAATATCTACTCCTACCAAAAAAAAAGAAACTTTGACAACAGTATCTAAAGAAGAGTTCTCCATACCTCCAGTTATTCTCATCTTCAGATACTTTATTATTTCTCTGTTAGCACATGTCACAGTAATAATCACTTCATCCATTTGATTGTTTACTCATTTCTTGCTATATGCCCTTCTTGGTCACAAAATCAAGAAGAAGAGAGCCATGTTGGTTTTGTCCATCATAATACTGCCAATTCTATCTCAATATCTGAAACCTGTAGACTCAACAGATTTGGATTTAATGTATGAAAGTTTATACCATAATTCATCAAAAAGATTCCCTATTTTGGACATATAGGCAGTTTCTATATGTACATTTGCTATGTATGCTACATATTTATCAAAACTTTTAAAAATTAATAAGAAAAAAGATGAAAGCCCCCCAAAATTAGAAACGAACATGTATAATTTCATTCACGGAATAAAAAATACGACTAAAAATATATAAACAAATGCACTAATTCATTAGAAATCTAAAGTTAAAGCATGATATACCCTTAATTATACTTTGAAAAAAATTGAAACTAGTGTTATAACAATTTAAGACACAAGCATAAATGAATATAAGCGTTCTAGAGGCTTTATGGACTTATATACCAAATATATTAAAAATGTTCAATTCTTTGACCCTGCAATTCCACCCTGGGAGGTTGTCGTAAGGAAATAGTACTGAAAGGATACTACCATTGTAAATGCCTATCCATAGGCCAGTGGAGTGACATCCAAGAGTCTGTCCTCCTCCTGCACTAGCTGCACTGAGCAGCCCAGCAGATGATGCATGAGGAACAAGATGGCAGAATCCACTCTTTTTTGTGTGTATTTCTCTATAGACTGAAAATTCTTACTTTCAAGAACCAAGTTGTACTATGCATTCTACCTCTCTTATGTCTCCTCTTTGTATTTTGTAGGGGGGAAAAAGGTGAACAGTCCTGCCAATGATTACCCACTTCCCACAGTTTCCTAAAGAACAAGTCACTTGGATAATATTGGAATGCATAATAAGTTCAGTTCCACAGAACAAAACTTAATTACTTAACCTCTTATAGCTTCAAACTACTTAATGAGGATTTTAAAATAATATTGTACATGAAATTGCTTTCTAAATTCTAGTTGATGGTTTTACTAAAGTTTTTGTGGTTAATTCTTCACCCAAGTCTCTAAAGTCTCTTCTTCACCTTTATTTAGGACTCTTTTTGTACATAAATGTTAGTTTACCCCAGGATTCTGTTCTTGGCCTTTGTTTATTTTCATGTTGTATATAATTCTGATAAGCTGATTTTATCTATTGTAATATCCTCAGACATCACTTATTATTAATGACGGCTCCCAATTCTAGTCACTGACTGCCTGTGCTCTGGTAGATATGATGAGATTGTGTTCCACCAATTCTCTGAAGTTGCACCTGGCCATATAACTTGGTTTGGCCAGTAAAACATTAGCCAGAAAGACATGTGTGACTTCCAGGCAGAAGTGTCTAAAAGATAGTGTGCAATTTTACCAACTTCTGTCCCCCTCAAAGACCAGCAACACTCCAGTCATTGAAGCCCCCTTCATCTGATGTCTGCGAGTGAGGACTAAATGTATATATAACATGAGCAGGAAATAAAGCTATTGTTTTTAAGTCACTGATATTTGGGGACGTTTGTCACTGATGCATAGCCTAGACTGACTGACACTACCTCTATTCTAATTTTGTTTTAGCCTGGACATCTGCACTTCCATGCTCCACAGACAAAATATAATTTTACCCCCATATCTCATCATCCTCTGATGTTCTCCACCTTTGTTAATGGCACTGCTGTCCAATTAGTTATCCTAGGACTCATGTTAGTTTCTCTTTATCACATCCACCTCTAATCAATTACAGAATCCTTTTATTCTAGCTCCTAAATACCTTCCTTCCTATGACCTCCAAACTCCACTTTACACACTGGTGTACCCTGATTCATGCCATAGTTATTACAAATCTATCCCAGGTAGTTTCAAGTTCTTCAGAATGCCACCCTTCCAATCTGTCCTTCACAAAACAACAGTACGATTAAGCTTCCTAAAACCTAAAGCTGATCATATCCCTTCCCCACCTAAAATGCTTCAATAGTTTTCTTTTTTCATTCAAGATTAAGTCTAAAAATATAGATGGTATACTAAGCTATCCAAACTATTGTTCCTGACTACTAGTTTTCAAGCTTTCTTTCTCTCGCATACACAGACTGTTTGCTCTAACAGTACTGAACTCCTTGGATGAATATGCCCCACTATTTCCTAGTTTGATGTCTTTTCTGTGCTTTTCCCTCTGCCTACAATGTTCTCCCACACACTCCATTTTACTCTTTATCTACTTGCCAGCTTGTAGTCAGCCTTCAAGACTCGGCTCAACTCTATGAAACCTGCTTGGACTGCACTCTCCTGTCCTGTACCAACTTGGACAATTTTTTTATAGTGTTCCTAAAGAGTACCTCAACAAGTATTTTTGAATACCTGCTAAAGCGCCTCTATAATATTTTTAAAAAATAGGAAGGAGAATTCATCAGCTAAAAAACACAACTTATATTGTAATTATTCATTTGTGTATTTGTCTACTCAAGTAGACTATAAGCCTGTCCATCAATGGCAAGGGTCATTTCCTGATTAATCTTTTTGTTCCAGAAACTAACCACTCAGTAGGGATAAATAGTTAAAACACAATGTTTTGAAATTCATATCAACAGTGTTTAATAGTAAAACCAGCAATATGAAATCAGAAGAGGCCAAAGATTTATAAGGAGCATAATTCTTTAATGTACCTGTTGACTATTTCATTTCTTTTTCTTGTCTCCATTCTCAAACATCTCCATGTCAAGCCTCTGACACTGGAGTATTCAGCCAGTTTTAGTTGCTAGCAACTAAAGATAGTTTTAGAAGATAACAGTTCTAGTTGCTTTTTGGAGAGGAGGCTGATTTCTCTTGAAGTTAGCTAGGAATGGAAGGGAAATCCACCAACACATGTTTTAATAACAAAATGCTCTCTATCTCTCTGTAGGCTCTAAATATTTTTCAATCATTGTTTGTCTTACAGTTCTCAAAGCAAAGTTGAAAACTAAAACTATAGGTCATTTTTAATCTGCAATTAATGGTATGATTTTTTAAGACTATAATGGAATTCATTTGGATTGGTTAACCTCTCATACATTACAATCTGCTAGTTTAGTATTCTCCGGGTAGAAATAATGTGCACTACTTAAAAGCCAAACCGAATGAATATCAAAACAAAACAAAACAACTCTAAATTAGTAAAGTTGCTGAGACTCTCTCCAAGTCACCACTTCCAGATGACATCCTTTACAATAAAATATGAGTGAAAAAGGAATTATAAATACTGACAGCAAGCCCCAGGTAGAATAGCCTCTATCTTTTGGAAGGTGAACTACGTGAAGCTATAGTCACCCAACTTCCACTATCTACCAGTCAGACAGGCGCAGGATTGCTAGGAGTTGGAGAATGTGAACATTTAACTGGAAAATGCTACCACAAATTCTCACTATGACAAAAGATGATATGTATGTTTATTTGACAAATGACATTCTACAACTTCAAGATTTCAAAAACTACCCCGTTAGATTCTATGGGGTCTTAGACATCTCACTTCTCCCCAACCTGCCAGTGTTCCAACGAGGTGATCAGACACCATTGCTACCACCACATTTCTTGACACTGATGATATAAAACTCCTTTCAGAACAGTCACCAAAGTGATCCAAAAATTTAATTTGTTGTATCTTAAAATGCTTTGTGATTTAAAGCATTTCAAAACTTGCTTTCCCTCCAGAGTGATAAGACAAAAATGTATTTGCATCACCAATTTTGGCCTCCAGGCATTTTCAGTTCTTAACATTTAATTTTATTAAAAGGAAAAGATAACAGGAAAAATGAAGTAAAACAACCATTTTAAAAGGACAGTTTGGTATCATTATTTGTGATTGAGACTAACCTGGTTTAATAAATCATTTTATTTACTTTTAGCAGCAGTTAACTACAAAGGAAATGCTGGCCAAAAAAGGAAATGCATACGTATATATGCATATGTATATATACACACATATATTTATTTTCAAATAGTTTTGAGTCATATCCTTTTCTTTTATTTCCAGAAAAGCAAATTCCAAGGTAGAGTCATCGGACGGCCCAATGGAAGAAAGCACAAAATACATTGGCCAAATGGCCAAACTAAGAAAGACTGCTCTCTACTAAAAAAGTAGAGAACACTCACTTGTTTAGCAATAATTATTATTCCCTTATAATAATTACAATACTAATTATTTCCCTTGGATCTCCAGAGGTATTTTATTTGCCAAACCCTTAATACCCTCTACCCCTCTTGGTTCAAGATTGTTTACCTTCTAAAACAGAAACTGGTAGAAGTCAGCATGTGTGTGTGACGGAATGCATTTGTACCTTTTCAAATGTTTCTCCTGTAAGCTTATGATTCTGGTGCAGCCTCCTTGCAAGCCTGAGTTCGCTACTCATGGGCTCCAGTCTGTGGTTGTAGCTGAGTCTTCTCACAGACAGCTGGTGTAGAATGAGCCAACCATGAATTTCTACTTTGGAGATAAGGGAATGAAACATAACCATGAGAATTTTGATAGCCACAGGGAGACACAATAATCATCTGCATTTTTCGAAAGACTACTACATTCTATCAAATAATAAAATTTCTTCTTCTTTTTTTTTGAGACGGAGTCTCGCTCTGTCGCCGAGGCTGGAGTGCTGGAGTGCTGGAGTGCAGTGGCGCTATCTCGGCTCACTGCAAGCTCCACCTCCCGGGTTCACGCCACTCTCCCGCCTCGGCCTCCCGAGTAGCTGGGACTACAGGGGCCCGCCAATACGCCCGGCTAATTTTTTGTATGTTTTGGTAGAGACGGGGTTTCACTGTGTTAGCCAGGATGGTCTCGATCTCCTGACCTCGTGATCCGCCCACCTCGGCCTCCCACCCGGCCTCAAATAATAAAATTTCACTCTGAAAATCAAACCAAAGAGAGTGGAGACAATTCCACTATCATGTAAACAGTAAAACTCACTACCTATTGGAAAGAGTGAGGCATTTGATTTTGAGCTCTGCAGGCCTGACTGTATCCCCAAATTACATAGGTAAAAACATCCACTTCCCACTTTGCTTACCTATCTAAATAACTTTGAAACATTCATAGAAAAAATTTTTAAAAATTGTATTATTGAAATTTGTCAAGTATAATTCTGATTTTTTAGCTATTTTTCTGAACAGTTTTGCAATATTTATTTGGTCTTACCATGTAGGTTTATCAATAAAGTAACAAAAAAATCATTGTTGGAAAATGATTCAGAGTAAATCTCCTGTGTTTCTCCATGTCTTCTACTTTCCTTCTACTTCTACTTCCCTTTGTTGCTTTGTTTTCAGTGAGAGTTATAGTGTGAGCAGCCTTAGAAAATAGAGATAGTATCTTCCTCTAGAGCAAAACACAGGTATGCTTACTGCCAATTATAAACTTAAAGGTTCCTTAAACTCAGTTTCTTTCCTGAAATGCAACCCATTGTGTATGCAGAGATTATCTGACCCTCTAAGGCCTAGAAAACTTAGCTCGGAAATGCTGACACTCTGGATACCACTAATGCTGTGAGTAATAAACAGCCCTTTGTCCCTGGTTCTGGAATTGTGTGTTTTCTACCAGCCTTCATAAAATTTATCAGACAAAGTTGTTGACTTACAAGTAGGGTAAAATCTCAGACTCTTCAGATTTCTTGGAAATCTGATGTATCACACTGAGGATGGGTCTCAAACAACTAGTTGGACTTAGTAATGAACCTATCACGTTATTGGGTTAGAATACGAGCCAGTAAACTTTTTCTTAAAAAGTCAGATAGTAAATAGTTTAGACTCTGCAGGCTAGACATTATCTGTTTTAACTATAAAATTCTGTTGCAGTGTAAAATTAGCTATTGGCAATACACAAATGAATAAACATGTCTGTGTTCCTATAAAATGTCATTTATGCACACTGAAATTTGAATTTTATATAAATTTCACACATCATGAAATATTATCTTTTTAAATTTTTTCCAACCATTTAAAAATTTAAAAACCACAACTAGCTCACAGGCTGTACAAAAGCAGGTGTCAGGCTGGATTCAGCCCATGAACCATAATTCTGCCAACCACTAGATTAGAAAAAAATTGTCAAAAATAAAAAATGAAATAAGCCTATGAGTTTATTTTTTGTTTTTCTGTTTTGTTTTGTTTTGTTTTTCTGTTCCAATTGATCTGGAAAGACCAAAGGCAAGTGGAAGAATTGAGACCAGAAATATTTTTGTAAGCACAATATAAAAAGTTTCTGTTTCTTGACCCTTCAGTTTCCAACCCCAGATTCCTTGGTACTCAGCTTACCTGTTGTTAATTTATTGTCTGGTGTGTGCTACGTGAATGCCAAGGAAATGTAATACTAAAGGGACACTTACTAGTACTTAACATTTAGATTTCACTTAAGCAGTAGTGACTTTAATTATTTCTGTATTATTTTTACATATAGTTCTTAGCCCTCTTTTTACCTTAGTGTTCTGTGAAACCCCCTCACAGATAGGCATCATGCCTATGACTAGTTCCTAATACCCTCAAAGCTTTGTGCCCCAAAGAGCAGAATTTTTTAAACTGAGGTTTATTTTTGCCATACATATTATGTTAAATTTTATAATTCACTAAGGAGCCAAAGATCATTTGAACCACTTGAAAACTTAAAGGAAGCACGTAGAACAGTGCCTGGCAGGTAGTGTAGACCTAATAAATAAATGTCAGTTATTATTATCAATATTATCTTTTCTTGGAGTTTGACCCAAATTCACCTGAACCAAGTCATACAGGCTTTTCCACATCTTCCATTATTTATATAAACAAGAAAGCAAAGTATGCACCAATTTGCATAATGCTTAAGGCTGAATTTGGATTGATATTTATGTGAAGTTTGCTTTGGTGGGAATAGGTAACTGTTCCTTCTCAAAGGAAGGAATTTGTAATTCACAAAACATTGAATGAGTGAGTGAATGAGTAAAACTTTCACAATCAACTTGACCTTGAATTTTACTGGCTAAACCAGAATGTAGGTTCCAGAGGGCAGATTTCATACAGATAGTAACACTAGGTAGCTGCATGTTACTTCTCTGTTTAAATTATGAAGCTTTCTTTTTTCATCCTGCACACACATTAGAGAATGACCTGGCAGAACAAGACCGCACAGTTTGACCCTAATCAGCACTAAATAACATCCCTGAGTCAATGTGTTACTTAATTTGCTATATAATTGCCATTGAGCAATACCGAATTCTCAAGTAAACACTCAGCTTTGCATTCTTCACACACATATTCCTTCAATCTAGACAGTATTATTGAGTCAAAACTTAAGATTTTCTGTAGTCTGAAAGAAATCTTTCCTTTATAAATCAATGTTAGTCTAATAGCATTAGCAATTTGCCAAGAGAAGAGTGATAACCCTATTGTAGCTTGGCTGACAACAAACACGTTAGTAATTTCTCAGGAAAAGTATTTCCTGTTGATCATTAAAAGCCAAATTTTGAGTCACTTCCCCCTCTGGATTGAATAAATACTATTAGTTTTTCAACTGTGTACAGTAAATATGGATTTCAAGACTTGTTTGTCTGCATTTCTTAAAACATTTATGAACATTGAACAGATGAATTTGTTTTAAGCATATTTTTTCATTTGAACACTTTTCCCAATGGTTTTTAATATGGATACTGTTCATCACATATTGAATAAAGCAACTTTTACTTTATTTAATGTCTTGACCCAAATCACATTGTCTCCATAAATATTTTACAGTCTGTGTGCAACAAAAGCATGATTACCAAAGTCATGTCTGCACTTGTAGGTAATATACCATAAAAAATGGATTATTTTTCCCTTCTCTTGTTTTTGAAAGAGGGAATTGGTGCTTGCATTTGCCCAAGTGGGTTTTTTTCTTTTTCCTTTCTCTCTTTTTTTACACTAACTAGCTCCTTAGGGGTAAGATATTGGAAGCATGAGTCTGTGCCAAGTTACTAACTCTATAAAATTCACAAAAGAATAAGAAAACATTGCTCTCTTTACTTCTTTCCAGCTGCTTTTCCCTGAAAGAAGAAATTTTGAGACTTTCATTATCCTGATAAATAGAATGAAACTACTCCATGACTGATTAGAAGTTACACTGCTATTCAAAGGAGCAAAATAAAATAAAATAAAATTTGAACATTTCTTTCTTCTAAGAGCTAGCAAGCATCTCACCTTCTTTTAGCACCTGATGTCTCACATAATTGAAATTAGAGTATTTCATAAAAGTATCTATAATTTGGAAATGTATTTTTAAATATTTTTAAAGGGTAAGATGGTTTGTAAATTCCACAGAATTTACACCTTTTGCCTTTATATTAATAGTATAAAAAGTTAAGATATATTCTAAATTCTTGGTGAAATGCAACTATCCTAAGTAAACAGTGTGGATTTTGGCATACTTTATACTAATCATTTATTCCCGTTGAATTCCTGTCAACTGAGATAAACTAAAGTTTACATACTTAATAAAGGACTTCTCGAAGTTTCCAGGGAACAAGTAGCCTTTTCACAGAGGGATCTCTTTAACATTTGTCTCACTTAGTGGTCAGTCCAGCCAGAAGTAACTCTGACTACATGATTTTAAAAAGAAATAGAGCAGTAGTAGAATGACTACACATTTATGCGTTTATGCTTTTTCTAAAAGCTCAAAATAAAATAGCTGTGTCACATTTGTGTGAGATAACCATAAAGTATGCTTATTGTGTTTGTTTGTTTATATATGTAGAAGAAGCTTAGCTATAATATTTTACAAGTGATACCACATGGCTCTTGGAAAGGCAGCATGAAAACATCACTATAATACCTTACAACCACAATTAGATTGGTGTAGTGGTTATTGTTTGTGGCCTTCCCAGTCCTTCCTCTCCATTACTTTCTTCCCAAAATAGACTCCACTTCTCTTGGACATGGGCTGGACACACAGATGAAGCAAAGCCTGGTCACAGTTCAAGCTCTAAGGGACAGGCCTCGGTATCAATCCTGCTTGATTAGAATTGTTCCCCTGGGATTTTTTACGCTGGTGCTGACAGAGAAAAATAGTCTTTTCTTTGATGTTCAGGACACCGTAAAGATGTAAGTTTGGAGCTACCAATCACTGAATCCCCTACAGTGGTTTCATCCCCTGAGCAACTGAAATGGAGAGAAAGAAAGATGAGAGATAAAGAAAAAGAAAAGAAAAGAAAAGAAAAAAAGCCTGAAGGCAATTAAGTCCCCAGTTCTATTTTTCTACAAAGCTAGCTCTACTCCTGACCTTCCTATAATCTGGTCATATGTAGCAACAAATCCTTCATTTTTGCTTAAGTATTTTGACTTTGGGTTTCTTTCTCTTTCAGAAAAAAGAATCCTGACCTAGACAGCTGATGGATGAATGAATATTATTAGTAGTAGTCTCTGCCCTATGTCAATTTAGAAAGATTGAAAGTGCTTTTGGCCAAATCTCTCTCCCATCAGTTTGTTATGATACTAGGTGAATTCTGAGATTTTAGTTCAAGTATAAATGTCTCCTATAAGAAGTAAGTATTAAAAAATGATTTCTGAGGGAGGAGCCAAGATGGCCGAATAGGAACAGCTCCGGTCTACAGCTCCCAGCGTGAGCGACGCAGAAGACGGGTGATTTCTGCATTTCCATCTGAGGTACCGGGTTCATCTCACTAGGGAGTGCCAGACAGTGGGCGCAGGTTAGTGGGTGCGCGCACCATGCGCGAGCCGAAGCCGGGCGAGGCATTGCCTCACTCGGGAAGCGCAAGGGGTCAGGGAGTTCCCTTTCCGAGTCAAAGAATGGGGTGACAAACGCACCTGGAAAATCGGGTCACTCCCACCCGAATACTGCGCTTTTCCGAAGGGCTTAAAAAACGGCGCACCACGAGATTAAATCCCGCACCTGGCTCGGAGGGTCCTACGCCCACGGAGTCTCACTGATTGCTAGCACAGCAGTCTGAGATCAAACTGCAAGGCGGCAGCGAGGCTGGGGGAGGGGCGGCCGCCATTGCCCAGGCTTGCTTAGGTAAACAAAGCAGGGAAGCTCGAACTGGGTGGAGACCACCACAGCTCAAGGAGGCCTGCCTGCCTCTGTAGGCTCCACCTCTGGGGGCAGGGCACAGACAAACAAAAAGACAGCAGTAACCTCTGCAGACTTAAATGTCCCTGTCTGACAGCTTTGAAGAGAGCAGTGATTCTCCCAGCACGCAGCTGGAGATCTGAGAATGGGCAGACTGCCTCCTCAAGTGGGTCCCTGACCCCTGAGCAGCCTAACTGGGAGGCACCCCCAAGCAGGGGCACACTGACACCTCACACGGCAGGGTATTCCAACAGACCTGCAGCTGAGGGTCCTCTCTGTTAGAAGGAAAACTAACAAACAGAAAGGGCATCCACACCAAAAACCCATCTGTACATCACCATCATCAAAGACCAAAAGTAGATAAAACCACAAAGATGGGGAAAAAACAGAACAGAAAAACTGGAAACTCTAAAAAGCAGAGCGCCTCTCCTCCTCCAAAGGAACGCAGTTCCTCACCGGCAACGGAACAAAGCTGGATGGAGAATGACTTTGACGAGCTGAGAGATGAAGGCTTCAGACGATCAAATTACTCTGAGCTACGGGAGGACATTCAAACCAAAGGCAAAGAAGTTGAAAACTTTGAAAAAAATTTAGAAGAATGTATAACTAGAATAACCAATACAGAGAAGTGCTTAAAGGAGCTGATGGAGCTGAAAACCAAGGCTCGAGAACTACGTGAAGAATGCAGAAGCCTCAGGAGCTGATGCGATCAACTGGAAGAAAGGGTATCAGCGATGGAAGATGAAATGAATGAAATGAAGCGAGAAGGGAAGTTTAGAGAAAAAAGAATAAAAAGAAATGAGCAAAGCCTCCAAGAAATATGGGACTGTGTGAAAAGACCATATCTATGTCTGATTGGTGTACCTGAAAGTGATGGGGAGAATGGAACCAAGTTGGAAAACACTCTGCAGGATATTATCCAGGAGAACTTCCCCAATCTAGCAAGGCAGGCCAACGTTCAGATTCAGGAAATACAGAGAACGCCACAAAGATACTCCTTGAGAAGAGCAACTCCAAGACACATAATTGTCAGATTCACCAACGTTGAAATGAAGGAAAAAATGTTAAGGGCAGCCAGAGAGAAAGGTCAGGTTACCCTCAAAGGGAAGCCCATCAGACTAACAGCGGATCTCTCGGCAGAAACCCTACAAGCCAGAAGAGAGTGGGGGCCAATATTCAACATTCTTAAAGAAAAGAATTTTCCACCCAGAATTTCATATCTAGCCAAACTAAGCTTCATAAGTGAAGGAGAAATAAAATACTTTACAGACAAGCAAATGCTGACAGATTTTGTCACCACCAGGCCTGCCCTAAAAGAGCTCCTGAAGGAAGCGCTAAACATGGAAAGGAACAACCAGTACCAGCCGCTGCAAAATCATGCCAAAATGTAAAGACCATTAAGACTAGGAAGAAACTGCATCAACTAACGAGCAAAATAACCAGCTAACATCATAATGACAGGATCAAATTCACACATAACAATATTAACTTTAAAAGTAAATGAACCAAATGCTCCAATTAAAAGACACAGACTGACAAATTGGATAAAGAGTCAAGACCCATCAGTGTGCTGTATTCAGGAAACCCATCTCACATGCAGAGACACACATAGGCTCAAAATAAAAGGATGGAGGAAGATCTACCAAGCAAATGGAAAACAAAAAAAGGCAGGGGTTGCAATCCTAGTTTCTGATAAAACAGACTTTAAACCAACAAAGATCAAAAGAGGCAAAGAAGGCCATTACGTAATGGTAAAGGGATCAATTCAACAAGAAGAGCTAACTATCCTAAATATATATGCGCCCAATACAGGAGCACCCAGATTCATAAAGCAAGTCCTGAGTGACCTACAAAGAGACTTAGACTCCCACACATTAATAATGGGAGACTTTAACACCCCACTGTCAACATTAGACAGATCAACGAGACAGAAAGTCAACAAGGATACCCAGGAATTGAACTCAGCTCTGCACCAAGCGGACCTACTAGACATCTACAGAACTCTCCACCCCAAATCAACAGAATATACATTTTTTTCAGCACCACACCACACCTATTCCAAAATTGACCACATACTTGGAAGTAAAGCTCTCCTTAGCAAATGTAAAAGAACAGAAATTATAACAAACTACCTCTCAGACCACAGTGCAATCAAACTAGGACTCAGGATTAAGAATCTCACTCAAAACCGCTCAACTACATGGAAACTGAACAACCTGCTCCTGAATGACTACTGGGTACATAACGAAATGAAGGCAGAAATAAAGATGTTCTTTGAAACCAATGAGAACAAAGACACAACATACCAGAATCTCTGGGATGCATTCAAAGCAGTGTGTAGAGGGAAATTTATAGCACTAAATGCCCACAAGAGAAAGCAGGAAAGATCCAAAATTGACACCCTAACATCACAATTAAAAGAACTAGAAAAGCAAGAGCAAACACATTCAAAAGCTAGCAGAAGGCAAGAAATAACTAAAATCAGAGCAGAACTGAAGGAAATAGAGACACAAAAACCCTTCAAAAAATTAATGAATCCAGGAGCTGGTTTTTTGAAAGGATCAACAAAATTGATAGACCGCTAGCAAGACTAATAAAGAAAAAAAGAGAGAAGAATCAAATAGACACAATAAAAAATGATAAAGGGGATATCATCACCGATCCCACAGAAATACAAACTACCATCAGAGAATACTACAAACACCTCTACGCAAATAAACTAGAAAATCTAGAAGAAATGGATAAATTCCTCAACACATACACTCTCCCAAGACTAAACCAGGAAGAAGTTGAATCTCTGAATAGACCAATAACAGGATCTGAAATTGTGGCAATAACTAATAGTTTACCAATCAAAAAGAGTCCAGGACCAGATGGATTCACAGCCAAATTCTACCAGAGGTGCAAGGAGGAACTGGTACCATTCCTTCTGAAACTATTCCAATCAATAGAAAAAGAGGGAATCCTCCCTAACTCATTTTATGAGGCCAGCATCATTCTGATACCAAAGCCGGGCAGAGACACAACCAAAAAAGAGAATTTTAGACCAATATCCTTGATGAACATTGATGCAAAAATCCTCAATAAAATACTGGCAAAACGAATCGAGCAGCACATCAAAAAGCTTATCCACCATGATCAAGTGGGCTTCATCCCTGGGATGCAAGGCTGGTTCAATATATGCAAATCAATAAATGTAATCCAGCATATAAACAGAACCAAAGACAAAAACCAGATGATTATCTCAATAGATGCAGGAAAAGCCCTTGACAAAATTCAACAACCCTTCATGCTAAAAACTCTCAATAAATTAGGTATTAATGGGACGTATTTCAAAATAATAAGAGCTATCTATGACAAACCCACAGCCAATATCATACTGAATGGGCAAAAGCTGGAAGCATTGCCTTGGAAAACTGGCACAAGACAAGGATGCCCTCTCTCACCACTCCTATTCAACACAGTGTTGGAAGTTCTGGCCAGGGCAATTAGGCAAGAGAAGGAAATAAAGGGTATTCAATTAGGAAAAGAGGAAGTCAAATTGTCCCTGTTTGCAGACGACATGATTGTATATCTAGAAAACCCCATTGTCTCAGCCCAAAATCTCCTTCAGCTGATAAGCAACTTCAGCAAAGTCTCAGGATACAAAATCAATGTACAAAAATCACAAGCATTCTTATACACCAACAACAGACAGAGAGCCAAATCATGAGTGAACTCCCATTCACAATTGCTTCAAAGAGAATAAAATACCTAGGAATCCAACTTACAAGGGATGTGAAGGACCTCTTCAAGGAGAACTACAAACCAGTGCTCAAGGAAATAAAAGAGGATACAAACAAATGGAAGAACATTCCATGCTCATGGGTAGGAAGAATCAATATCGCGAAAATGGCCATACTGCCCAAGGTAATTTATAGATTCAATGCCATCCCCATCAAGCTACCAATGCCTTTATTCACAGAATTGGAAAAAACTACTTTAAAGTTCATATGGAACCAAAAAAGAGCCCGCATTGCCAAGTCAATCCTAAGCCAAAAGAACAAAGCTGGAGGCATCACACTACCTGACTTCAAACTATACTACAAGGCTTACAGTAACCAAAACAGCATGGTACTGGTACCAAAACAGAAATATAGATCAATGGAACAGAACAGAGCCCTCAGAAATAACGCCGCATATCTACAACTATCTGATCTTTGACAAACCTGAGAAAAAGAAGCAATGGGAAAGGATTCCCTATTTAATAAATGGTGCTGGGAAAACTGGCTAGCCATATGTAGAAAGCTGAAACTGGATCCCTTCCTTACGCCTTATACAAAAATCAATTCAAGATGGATTAAAGACTTAAATGTTAGACCTAAAACAATAAAAATCCCAGAAGAAAACCTAGGCATTACCATTCAGGACATAGGCATGGGCAAGGACTTCATGTCTAAAACACCAAAAGCAATGGCAACAAAAGACAAAATTGACAAATAGGATCTAATTAAACTAAAGAGCTTCTGCACAGCAAAAGAAACTACCATCAGAGTGAACAGGCAACCTACAAAATGGGAGAAAATTTTCGCAACCTATTCATCTGACAAAGGACTAATATCCAGAATCTACAATGAACTCAAACAAATTGACAAGAAAAAAACAAACAACCCCATCAAAAAGTGGGCGAAGGACATGAACAGACACTTCTCAAAAGAAGACATTTATGCAGCCAAAAAACACATGAAAAGATGCTCATCATCACTGGCCATCAGAGAAATGCAAATCAAAACCACAATGAGATACCATCTCACACCAGTTAGAATGGCAATCATTAAAAAGTCAGGAAACAACAGGTGCTGGAGAGGATGTGGAGAAATAGGAACACTTTTACACTGTTGGTGGGACTGTAAACTAGTTCAACCATTGTGGAAGTCAGTGTGGCGATTCCTCAGGGATCTAGAACTAGAAATACCATTTGACCCAGCCATCCCATTACTGGATATATACGCAAAGGACTATAAATCATGCTGCTATAAAGATACATGCACCCGTATGTTTATTGCGGCACTATTCACAATAGCAAAGACTTGGAACCAACCCAAATGTCCAACAATGATAGACTGGATTAAGAAAATGTGGCACATATACACCCTGGAATACTATGCAGCCATAAAAAATGATGAGCTCATGTCCTTTGTAGGGACATGGATGAAATTGGAAATCATCATTCTCAGTAAACCATCGCAAGAACAAAAAAACCAAACACCGTATATTCTCACTTATATGTGGGAATTGAACAATGAGATCACATGGACACAGGAAGGGGAATATCACACTCTGGGGACTGTGGTGGGGTCGGGGGAGGGGCGAGGGATAGCATTGGGAGGTATACCTAATGCTAGATGACGAGTTAGTGGGAGCAGCGCACCAGCATGGCACATGTATACATATGTAACTAACCTGCACAATGTGCACATGTACCCTAAAACTTAAAGTATAATTAAAAATAAAATAAATAAAATAAATAAATAAAAAATAAAAAAATAAAAAATAAAAATAAAATAAAAAATGATTTCTGATTTCTGATTTGAGGATGTCTGAGTAAATATGATTTTGTATTCTCTTGGAAATTAGAAGTTGCTTTTTTGTATATGCAAAGAAATTTTTATTTCTATCAGGTTAAGTTTCTTTGGAAGTAGAGTGGAAACAAAAACTCTACCTTGAACATAATTAAGTGTTATCTGTTGCCCCAAAATATAATATATGAGAAAGGTAAAAATCAAGTAGAGGTACAGAAAGACACTTGCTGTTACAGATCTCAAAGAGAGAGAGGAGTTCAGTTATCCAAAATACTTAGTGTAGCCTAAAGATTACAACAAGGAAGCAAAAATGCTTATTGAAACAATGATAGTGATTGCATGGATTGCAATTAGTAACTTGCTATAACCCTGCTGACATGAAAGGTAGCAGGAAATGCTGGGAAGAGTAAAGAAATGCATAGTCAGGCTATTTCTTTCAGAAAGTAGTCTGTATAGGAAACATCATACAGGAGAGTGATTTCAATTTTCAAGTCGTCTTAGAGCTGCATATGTTTGCTGGCTAAGAATAAAGGAAGCATCAGACAATCTCCTAACTCCAACACACACACTCAAGAATCCAGTGCATTTTGGGAAGCCAAGGCAGGTGGATCACCTGAGGCCAGGAGTTCGAGACCAGCCTGGCCAACACCGCAATACCCCATCTCTACTAAAAATACAAAAAAAAAAAAAAAAAAAGCCGGGCGCAGTGACTCATGCCTATAATCCCAGCTATTCGGGAGGCTGAGGTGGGAGAATCACTTGAATCCAGGAGGCGGAGGTTGCAGTGAGCCAAGATGGCACCACTGTACTCCAGCCTCGGTGACAGAGCAAGGCCCTGTCTCAAAAAAAAAAAAAAAAAAAGAAAAAGAATCTCTTGCAGGCCAAGAAAACTAGCACAAAACAATCCATTAACCCCTCTCCTACATGAAGCTCTGATAAACAAAAGATCCAGGAAAAATTTCTGAAATTAAAAAATGACTGATTATCTAAAATTACCAGAACAGAATCTATATAAAAATAATTCAAGTAAAAGGTTTAACAAATGGCAGACAAATAATCTCTAGGGGGTAGGGTCATTACTATTAAACAGATAAAAACCTGATCTAATTAGCTGGGCGTGGTGGCATGTGCCTATAATCCCAGCTACTTAGGAGGCTGAGGCAGGAGAATCGCTTGAACACAGGAGGCAGAGGTTGCAGTGAGCCAGGATTGTGCCACTGCACTCCAGCCTGGGCAACAGAGCAAGACTCCGTCTCAAAAAAAAAAAAAGCTCACCAAATACATTGCCATACACTCAATAGGAGAGCTTAAGAAAGATAGTGTAAAATGATACAAGAAGGCTATACACAATGCAGCAAAAGCTAAGGTAAGAAATGGATGATAGAACTAACACCAAAAGTCACATTATAGGCAATACGAAAGAAAATAAACACAGCTGATGACACAGTTAGATATGTGGAAGTTAGGAATGGGAAAATTGAACAAAAGTAAATGGAAACGAATGAAGATTTTAAAATTATTGAGATCATAGGTATGAAATATGACAAAGGAGATTCAACATATGTATATTTGGTATTTTTAAAAATCAAATCTGATCTAATGAAATAGAAAATTTTCAAAGGTTTAATAAAAGACAATTTTCCAGGAAAAAAAAAAAGGTTTGAATTTTCGGATACCAAAAGCACATTATACTCTAGGAGGGGAAAAAACACAAATGATAATAGCCTGGTAAAGTTGTTGGACTTCAAATATTAAGGGAAAAAAAAAGATCTTTCAAGTATCTAGGCAAAATGATCAAATAATCTATAGGAAGGGAAATTCAGGTTAGCTTCAAATTCTCCACAATAAACTTCAATCTGGGAGACAGTAGTGTGATGTTTTTTAGGTTTTCAGAGAAAATGCAATCCCAGAAATTGATGGTGATTCTCCTGTCCTGGGGAAGGCCTCAGGGTGTGAGCAGATACCATAGTAGTTTGAGTGCTTAGCAAAGCACTATGTTGATCAGAGTCACTTCTGGTTTCTGGCTTGTCTTCTTGGAATAATCTACTTTTCTTAAGAACTTGCCTGCTTCCCTCCTATTTCCATCAACTGCAATTCCAGACAGGATTTTTATTTTTATTTTTTTGTATGCCTGTTACTTAAAAGGAATGGACAAAATGTATCTGTTCCTATCTAAGACCAGTTCCTCTATTTCTACACTGAATTCTAGCCCTGCCCCCTTATACTCAGGGTTTTTGCTCCTGCATATATGTTTTTTCTTTCCTGCATCATCATTTTTCCCTTTCTACTGGTTTATCTCATCATCATTAGAATACATTGTCAAGTTTTTCATCTGTGATTGCTTTCTTGAGTTCCTTTCTCTCTTCAACCCACTTAAGTCAGATTTTGCTCTCACAAAGCCACTGAAAACTCTCTGTTAAGATCTTCAAATACCTCCACTTTAACAAATCCAATCATCTGTCTGCATTTCACATTACATCCTTTTGCTTAACAGAAAAGATTTTAGGGCCCATAGATTCTATACCCTATCTTGGATTTATTGGAATTAAATAGACTTAGGTAGAGGTAACCTGGAACAGTACCCTTTTAAGAGGCTCATAGCTCTAAAATAATCTCCGCGAAACTTCAAACCAATCTTTTTAAGTTAAACCTAGCTTTGTCTCTCCTGTGCTTCAACTTTCAGTACCCTTCAATGTCCAACCCGTTGGCTGAAGATTAGTTTGAGGCTTTGTGGATAATATTTTGGAACTATGGGCCTCTTAAGAAAGTATTGTTCCAGGTTACCCTTATATAAGTCTGTTTAATCTCAGTAAATCCAAGATAGGATATAAAGTCTATGGACCCTAACATATGATAACCAGGCATATGAGCTCTTTTGCAGTCTAAGCTTTGCTGCCCAATCACTTCATCATTCAGCACTTTGCACCACGCTATATACCATGACAACATTGAGTTCTCTACAGTTTCTTAAGAACATCGTGCTGTGTCACATTCCCATGTCTTTGTGTGTCTTTAAGCCTCCTCTGTGTGGAATACCCTCGGTCTGCCTTGAAAACTCTTGCTCATCCTTTAAAGGACAATTTATACATTAGTCCTTTTTGGAAATCCCTAAATAAAAATATCTATTTCTCTCTCTCTCTCTCTCTCTCTCTCTCTCTCTGCTCACCACCAAGCAGAATGAATTATTTCCTTCTCTGTATGGCAATAAGTGGATACTACCATTATGATTGCACTTTTTATGGTATATTATAGACATTTTTTAACATGTTGCTGAACTCCAGTGGACTGTGAGTCTCTTGAGGACCAAGATTTTCAGCATTGTATTCCCAGCACACAGCCCAGTGATTGACATGCAGTAGGAATTTGGAGAGGGATCGTGTGCAGAGAGGGACAGTAAAATAAAAAGTGATGAATGAATAAATGAACTTCCATCAATAGTGTTCCAATGGAAAAGTATTTTCCCAATTTCCAAAAATCAAACTACAGATGAACATTTAAAACAGTTTGTTACACAATTAAGAACTTTACTTCTATTCTTGATGTCTTTGTTGTTTACTTTCTGTGCTTAAGCCAGATGTTCTTAAACTGGGGCCTATTGACCTCTTAGAAATTCACAGATGGTCTTTAGAGAGACTGTGAATTTCCCCAAATCTTATTCAAATTGTTGTATAATTTACATATAGCAAAGTTTTTTTGGGAGGAGAAGGCCCACAGCTTTCAACAAAGTGGCATGTATGAATAAAGCAAAGCTGGGAGGCACTACGAGATACATGAGAACTTGTTTATGAAAGCTTAAAAACAACTTAAAAAAATTGTTGTGCTCTTTCCTTCCTTCTTTCTTTCTCTCTTTGTTTCTTTCTTTGTTTGTTTCTTTCTTTCCTTCCTTCCTTCCTTCCTTCCTTTTCTTTCTCTCTTTCTCTCTTTCCCTTCCTTCCTTTCTTTCCTTCCTTCCTCCTTCCTTCCTTCCTTCCTTCCTTCTTTCTTTCTTTCTTGCTTTCTTTCTTTCTTTCTCAGACTCTCATTCTGTCATCCAGTCTGGAGAGCAGTGGCGCTCACTGCAACCTCCACCTCCCAGGTTCAAGCAATTCTCCTGCTTCAGCCTCCCAAGTAGCTGGGCTTACAGGTGCATGCCACCACGCCAGGCTTATTTTTGTATTTTTAGTAGACATGGGGTTTTGCCATGTTGGCCAGGCTGGTCTTGAACTCCTGCCTTCAGGTGATCCAACAACCTTGGCCTCCCAAAGTGCTGGGATTACAGGCATCAGCCACCGCACTCGGCCCAGTTGTGTTCTTTCTGATAAACTATTTTTGGCCTTTTATGATAAAAAAGACAAACTTAAAGGTGGATCACTTCTATAAATAAAATATTTTTCTGGCCTAAAGAATTCAGTTATGTGAGATGTTTTTCAGGAGGGAACAGCCAGATGCCTTAAAAATGAAGGCAAATGGCAGTCATGTGCTGTCCACAAGCTAAGTATCCTTAGGCTGGGCCAGGCTGTGGAATTCCATTTCCCTGAGTGTGGGATCTGGAGACCCAGCAACAGTCTTCTGTCTTCTTTTCTCCTCACACCATTATTGGAGAAATAATAGTTATTTAGCATGGAGAATCAGTCCCACTTCCCCAATCAATCTCTTTCTCTCTTTCTCTCTCTGTCTGCCAAGAATCCGGGAGGGATTGCTGGGTTTGGCAGCTGTCAGCCCATCATTATGGGCTGACTGTCCCATCTGCACTACTTAGATTGGTGCAGTCACAGGGGGTTTTACCCAAACAGGCTCTCAGGGGAACAGTAACATACCTCTTGATTTGGCTGTGAAGTTATACTTGTGATTATTAATAGACAAGATAAGAGGCTGGTGCTCTATTCATCCATGTTAGAACTAATTATTCAGTTTGATCTAAGCTGATTATAATACTGATAGATAACCACACTACATTTATAGCCACAGCAAGCAGTGGCCAAGAGCCTTGACACAGTGCTGCCATTTGGGTTTGTCAGATAGGAAGAAGTGGGAGGGTGGGTGGTGAGGGAGAAGAAGAAGCTGCTTTGGTTGATTAGCAATGTGCTGCATGGGACCATTTATAATGAAGCATATCATTTAAATTTCCTTTACAAATGAGTCCAACGCGTGTTGCAGGCTGCAGGCTCTGTTAATTGTCACAAACATTGCTTTTTTTTTTTTTTTTTAACATTATTAGCTCTTTGGCAGGATCTCCATTGTTGACTAAAAACTTGGCATGATCAGGGCTTGCTGAATAATTTAGGTGGTTGGCAGCTGGAGAAGGAGAACACACACATCTAGGCAGACAGACATGCTGCTTGAGCTCTTTATATAATAGGATTGTATACAAAGCAGAGTACAGTCAGCAGTGACTTCTGTGTCTGTTTATAGGTAAACACTGATGTTAGTTTTATAGGAAAACTGGAGGGATACTTCTCACAAATCATATGCAGCATATGAGACAGATGCACTGGAGGACTGTTCAGATGACTCGGATCATCTCTGACTCTCACAGAATATGATTGCTGGAGTTTTCCCACACCAGCACTTACGTTGCCTCTACAGTGGGGGTATTTGAGGACTTGATTGCTGGACACAGCAGGACTAATACGATATAGAGCCACCCAAAACTCTGAATGGTTGCAAGCAGCAAATCAGAAAGACTCATGAGTCACGAAGACTATGAAACACGTTCATTTGGGAAATCAAATATATATGGTTATATATATATATATATTTATATATACACACATATATATGTATACATATATTTGATGAGAATGTACAATTACTGTGTCATGTAAAAGGACGTGAAGATCATGGGTAATATGGCAAATACTTAATGTACATGTATAACTCTTTTGTAAATGAACCAGATCCATTATTTCTCTTTCAACTGGGTATTCTGTACCATTTAGGACTGTACAAGGTTCAAGGAACAGAAACTTGATCCAAATTCCTTAAGCCAACAGTATTTATCAGCTCAGATAAGTGCAAGTGCAAGCGTAGAAACGGCTGGATAAATATTTGAATGACATTACCAGGACACTTTTTTCTGCCTCCACCATTGGACTTTTCTCCCAATGTTCTGTCTTCATTCTCAAAACGCTTATCATCATCTTGGTGACAAAGGGGTCACAGCTCCAGCTTCTCATCACCTTCTCCCTTTCAAGGCCATTAGGAAAGAGTGAATGAGATGACACTAATGAAAGTTCTGAGATTGAATCCTGATATTCTACCGACCAACAGGGTCACAGGCTCCTTCCTAAGGCAATCACTACAAAGCTGGGGTTGAAATTTAGAGAGTACAAGATACCTAAATAAAAATTGGGAGGTAAAGATACTAGGTGTCAAAAAAAAAAAAAAAAAAGAAAGAAAAAAAAAAAACTAATAAAAACAAAAACATAATGAGTACAGTTTCCCTTAGCTTGTTTTATTTTAGGATCCGAGGTTAATTTCTCCACATCTGTCCTAGTCATCAGCCTGGGAATAGTTTTTTGAACAACAAAATATATTAATGAAAGACATGGGTAGGTGTGTAGCCATGGTCAAACTTACCCCAGCCCTTATGACACAGCAAAAACTAGACTCTGGAAGTATATGACTGTAGTGAGAATTGTCTTATAGAATAATAAGTTGAGTGTCCAGTACCGATGCAGCTGTACCCCCAGCCTATAGGAAGTAAAGTCAGCCATTGTTGATCCTGGGCTCCATAGTGAATTTGTCTGCTTGTATTATATGCACTAATCACTGAGTTTTAGATGCTCCTCTGGCAAGAAATAGCCATTGAAAAGCTATGTCCACTGTCATGTATCCTTGTGTGTGTATGTGTGTATTTTATACTGCTTGCTTCCTAGTTTAGAGTAAATTTAGGTAAAAAACAAAGTTCATGTGAGTCTGCATCCATCTCTGTCCCCCTTTATATTAGGTCTGTCCTATATGGTTTGTCTAGCTTAGCACATGCAAAATATCACAACAGTGCTAAGCCAGTTGACCCTCCTCAACAGGATAGAATCCATGATCACCAGTCTATCCAACCACACTAATCCACCAATTGTGGCATTTTCATAGCATGACATCATCATATTCAAATTGTACTGTCTCCAATAAATAGATCTGCTGCATGTTCTTATTAGCAGGATCTTTTCTGATCCCATCCTTTTAAGAGTTCTAGTTTTAAAAAAGGATTTTTGATGACCAGGTAGATAGGACTCTTACTTACATCCCAGGAATGTCTTCCACCATGTTTAGCTCCCTCATTTTCACAGGGTGCTAGCCTCACAGTAAAATTTTACCAATAAAGAGTTAATAATCTTCTTCTTAATAAACAATTCTCTACTAAAGTTCATGCAGACAAAAAAATTGATATTTAGATATTGTAAAATTCTGACAGGACAAGATGAAAGTAAGAAATGCTGATTTCCCCCTGTTCCATTCCCTCAGTGATAGTTTTAATTAGACTTTTGTCTGGATCACCCCAATCCCTAACTCAGCATAGTAGCATACTGGATTACCGTAAGGTCATGTATATTCTATTTGGACATAATTTGCTGTCTAGAATCTTGAGTATTATAGTTCCCCTTGAGCTAAGAAACAGCAGAAGTCTTGCAATATTAACATGAATAAAAGAAACTAATTATTTCAGAAAACATTAATAAAATCAATTTAATTATTATTGTGCTCATAGAATAAGTCTCTGATAAATATATGTATACAATATCTACATAAATATATGTGTATGTAACTGTTTGTTTATATGTTTGTATGTTTTTTGATTCATGTTAAATTTATGTATGTGTATATATATGTGTGTATGTGTTTTATATTTATAGATAACCTAGATATTTATTACTACTAACTTGAGACAAGTGTAAAGATTTTGAAATTGGCATGAGAAAATAAAAAATATTTAAAAATTCTAAATTAAGAAACTGTGCACAAAAAAATCTTTAAAAAAATCAATGAATCAAGGAGCTGGTTTTTTGAAAAAATTAACAAAATAGACCACTAGTTAGATGAGCAAAGAAGAAAAGAGAGAAGAATCAAATAGACACAATAAAAAATGATAAAGGGGATATCACCACTGACCCCACAGAAATACAAACTACCATCAGAGAATACCATAAACACTTCTATGCAAATAAACTAGGAAATCTAGAAGAAATGAATAAATTCCTCGACACATACACCTCCCTAGACTAAACCAGAAAGAAGTCAAATCCCTGAATAGACCAATAACGACTTCTGAAATTGAGGCAGTAATGAATAGCCTACCAATCAAATAAAGCCCAGGGCTAGACAAATATACAGCCAACTTCTACCAGAGATTCAAAGAGGAGCTGGTACCATTTCTTCTGAAACTATTCCAAATAATTGAAAAGCAGGAACTCCTCCCTAACTCATTTTATGAGGCCAGCATCACCCTGATACAAAAACCTGGGAAAAACACGACCAAAAAAAAAAACTTCAGTCCAGTATCCCTGATGAATATCGACGTGAAAATCACCAATAAAATACTGGCAAACTGAATCCAGCAGAACATCAAAAACTTATGCACCACAATGAAGTTGGCTTCATCCCTGAAATGCAAGGTTGGTTCAACATATGAAAATCAATAAAAGTAATCCATCACATAAACAGAACCAATGACAAAAACTGCATGATCATCTCAGTAGATGCAGAAAAGGCCTTCAATAAAATCCAACATCCCTTTATGTTAAAAACTCTCAATAAACTAGGTATTGATGGAACATATCTCAAAATAATAAGAGCTATTTATGAGAAACTCACAGCCAATGTTATACTAACTGGGCAAAAGCTGGAAGCATTCCCTTTGAAAACTGGCACAAGACAAAGATGCCCTCTCTCCCCACTCCTATTCAACATAGTATTGGAAGTTCTGACCAGGGCAATCAGGCAAGAGAAAGAAATAAAGAATATTTGAATAGGAAGAAAGGAAGTCAAATTGCCTCTATTTGCAGACAGTTTGATTCTATATTTAGAAAACCTCATCATCTCAGCCCCAAAACTCCTTAAGCTGATAAGCAACTTCATCAAAGTCTCAGGATAGAAAATCAATATGTAAAAATTATGCCAGCAACAGATGAGCAGAGAGCCATATCATCATCAATGAACTCCCATTCACAATTGCTACAAATAGAATAAAATACCTAGGAATACAGCTAACAAGGGATGCAAAGGACCTCTTGAAGAACTACAAACCACTGCTCAAGGAAATAAGAGAGGACACAAACAAATGCAAAAACATTCCATGTTCATGGATAGGAAGAATCAATATCATGAAAATGGCCATATTGTCCAAGGTAATTTATAGATTCAATGCTATTCACATTGAACTACCATTGACATTCTTCACAGAATTAGAAAAAACTACTTTAAATTTCATGTGGAACCAAAAAGAGTCTGTATAGCAAAGACAATCCTAAGCAAAAAGAACAAAGCTGAAAGAATCAAGCTACCTGATTTCAAACTATACTACAAGGCTATAGTAACCAAAACAGCATGGTACTATTACCAAAACAGACATGTAGACCAATGGAACAGAACAGAGACCTCAGAAACAACCCCACACATCTACAACCATCTGATCTTTGGCAAACCAAACAAAAACAAGCAATGGGGAAAGGATTCCCTATTTAATAAACAATGCTGGGAAAACTGGCTAGCCATATTCAGAAAACTGAAACTGGACCCCTTCCTTACACCTTATACAAAAATTAACTCAAGCTGGATTAAAGACTTAAATGTAAAACCCAAACCCATAAAAACTCTAGATGAAAACCTAGGTAATACCATTCAGGACATAGGCATGGGCAAAGACTTCATGACGAAAATGCCAAAAGCAATTACAACAAAAGCCAAAATTGACAAATTGGATCTAGTTGAAGTAAAGAGCTTCTGCACAGCAGAAGAAACAGTCATCAGAGTGAATAGGTAACCTACAGAATGGGAGAAAATTTTTTCAATCTACCCATCTGACAAAGGGCTAATATCCAGAATCTACAAAGAATTTAAACAAATTTACAAGATAAAAACAACCCCACGAAAAAGTGGGTGAAGGATATGAACAGACACTTCTCAAAAAAAGACATTTATGTGGCCAATAAACATATGAAAAAAAACTCATCATCACTGATCATTAGAGAAATGCAGATCAAAACCACAATGAGACACCATCTCACATCAGTCAGAATTGCGATTATTAAAAAGTCAAGATACAATGGATGCTGGCAAGGCTGTGGAGAAATAGGAATGCTTTTATACTGTTGTTGGGAATGTAAGTTAGTTCAACCATTGTGGAAGACAGTGCGGCAAGTCCTCGAGGATCTAGAACCAGAAATACCATTTGCCCCAGCAATGCCATTACTGGGAATATGCCCAAATGAATATAAATCATTCTACTATAAAGACACATGCACATGTATGTTTAATGCAGCACTATTTACACTAACAAAGACATGGAACCAATCCAAATGCCCATCAATGATAGACTAGATAAAGAAAATGTGGTACATACACACCATGGAATACTATGCAGCCATAAAAAGGAATGAGATCATGTCTTTTACAGGGACATGGATGCAGCTGGAAGCCATCATCCTCAGCAAACTCACACAGGAACAGAAAACCAAACACCACATGTTCTCACTCATAAGTGGGAGTTGAACAATGGAACACATGAATTCAGGGAGGGGAACAACACACACTGGGGCCAGTCAGGGGGTCGGGGGATTGTGAGGAAAGGGAGAGCATTAGGACAAGTAGCTAACACATGCGGGGCTTAAAACCTAGAAGATGGGTTGATAGGTGCAGCAAACCACCATGGCACATGTAAACCTATGTAACAAACCTACATGTTCCACACATGTATCCCAGAACTTAAGGTAAAATAAAATTTTTAAAAAAAGAAACTGCAAAAATTTATAGCTTAAAAAATAAACTAGAAGTTTATTTTTTTCTCTTTTGCTTTCCAGAATCTCCCTATTCCTGTCTGTCCCTTTCAATCATTCTTTAGCTATATATTTATTAACTCACCTACTTAAGCATTCTACAAATGAGTTTTAAGCAATTAATAGATTTCAAGCACTGTGTAAGGTCCTGGTAATATAAGATTAAAAAATGCAGCCTCAGTCTTCAAGAGATTAAATGTAGTGAGGTGAGACATACCAGTGAACAGATGGTTTAAATACCTTTTAGTAAGAGCTCCATTAAGGTTTATACAGAACTTTTAACAACAGTATGGGAGCTACCAGGGAACACTTCTTGGAGGAGATTATATCAAAGCCAAGTCCTAAGATTCTAGTCCTATTAACTAATGGTAAGGAGTTTTCAAAGGACTCAGGGGAAGGAAGAGCATCAGTGCTAGGGAAAGTCCAAGTAAGGATGCTTTGAATCCTAGAATGCCTAGAGCAATTTAAGCTGGAAAGGTAAGCAGAGTTGGGTCATAAAGGAACCTGAAGGCACCACTAATATATTTGGATTTTTATCCTGAAAAATCAGTCTGGAAGCAGAGTGCAGTAAGTAAGATTGGATCAAGACTAGAGGCTGTGAGAACAATTACAGAAATAATAAACATAAGAAAAAATAAAGGTGGTGTGGCAGCAAGGAGGTATGGAAGGATACAGACCAAATCAAGAGATTTAAGAAGGTCGAATTGATAAAACTTAATTCATTCTTCCTTCAGTTTCCAACATGAACATTCTGTTCACTTAACTTTCTTTCCATTTTGTTTTCTAAAATCTAGCAGTCTCTCTATAATCAGGTATATCTCTTTCTTTACACTTCCTCCAGTTAAGTAGAGGAAATATGGCTCATAGATTTACTTGATAGCCCATTAACTATACTATAACATTTAAAAATACATTAAAACCAGTCTTTTTAAGTGCAGATACTACTTAGCCCAGGGCCTGGTGGCTAGGCTGGTTCTCTCCTTTCCAATTAGAGGCCTCTATCACAAACATGTTCCGCCAGATCATCAGTCAGGCCAAGAAACATATGAGTTTGATCTACCTCTGTATTTATTGGAGCTGGATGTACTGGAGCAGCACTGTATCTCGAGTCCAGCATTGTTCGATGGAGATGTTAGTTGGGACAGAAAGAATAACCCAGAGCTGTGGAAGAAACTGGGTCCCAGTGATTGATACAGGTTCTAATCAGTGAATGTGGATTACAGCAAATGAAGAAAGATGGTCTAGATTTCTAAACGAAGTGTTTCACTATAAAGCTGCTTTAAAATGAAGGTCTTCCAGAAGCCATCCGCACAATTTTCCACTTAACCAGGAAATATTTCTCCTATAAATGCATGAAATCATGCTGAAGTAATCTACTGGAAATTACACTGATTAATAAATAACTGAAACTTGGAAAAAAAGTCTTTTCAGCAGTGTGAAAAATCAGAGATTTGAGTGTGCCACAAAAGCCAAGTGCTCTTTAAAGTTATGCTGCTATATTGCACAACTGGGAGCATCATTCAAATACAGTTCAATGGAGTTGTATGACTCAGCAGCCCTTACACTGAGGTTCAGAAACAGTAAGCAGGTACTACCGTGATTTCTTGGACGTCTCTATGGAACTTCATTCCAGCTTCTAGAGCTGGCACTCAGACCCCAGGAAGAAATTTGATTAAAAAGACATGAAAAAGCAAGATTTGTTCATCTATACATTCTGAACATGAATATGGTTCTACATGAGGATGAATATAAGGCAAACATTTAAATATCATTTCCAACAATATTATTACTATCCTTGTGCTTCCAGTTGAACATCTGATTACAATTAAACTTTACTTTCCTGGAAAAATAACTCTCCAATCATATAAACATTCTTGAATTTTAGCCAAGGAATTATGTTTCAGTAGTTTCTTACAATATACATTTCATTGCATATTAATGAATCAAACAAAGCAATGTTCTAATAGGCCATTAGATAACCTTTCATGTGTCCTTCTTTTCTTCTAATTATGCAATCAAATGAAGACAGATCCACATTATGACTGCAGATTAAAAGCATCACAACTCATAAATTTGCCCAGATTTTTTTTTTGGATGTTTCAGAGATTTATTCCAGAAAGCTAAATATTTTTACATGAATTAATGGGCCTTGATCATCCTGAATATTTTGTGTAATGAAGATTTATAAATTATACATTTGGTCTGCAAGAATGGAATTGTCATGTACAGTTTTTCTGATCAAAATCTTTTTCTAAGTCATTTATTAAATATCACATTAATTTAAAATATTAATAATATTCCAACTCACGTAAAAAGGAATAATAGTATGAGTGGAGGAGATTTTCATAATAAAAGTAATTATTTTCTAAATAGAGGTGCTCAAAAAATTTTAAGTTGTTGACTACTGTAAAAAATTATTGAGAGTAAAAAACACATCTCCAAATAGTAAGATGGTCTAAATGATATTGGATTAAAAGAAGGGTTACATATTTATTCCCTTTTGATTTTATTTTTAGCTAGTTTATAACTAAGTTTGGAAGGAAATGAAAACTATGAAATTTTGAAAAAAATATTTTGTACTTTATCACTAAACTACTTAAAATGACAATAGAGAAACACTGAAGATATTTGTGACTACTAGACAATAAAAAGACAAATAATAAGATGGATAAACTGAGATCTTAAAGACCCAGATATAATTTTAAATAAGGCTCAAGAAATGTCCATACCAAAATGATATTAATTCCCAAAATCCCACACTTAGACTACTGTCAGGTTACTCTACTCCTTCATCCCACCTTTGTAGTAACTAGGTGAAGACATTGAAGCTGAATAATAAATGATCCAATGGATTTGGAAAATTTTATATAAAGAGCCAAGTAAAAGGAACATGCATGTTCATAACCTAGAGTTAGTAATTGATGACATTTGAATGTATGAAATATTCTACTAGGAAAATGTTGCAAGGGAAGGGACATAAAAGAATGGGCATCTGTAGTTCAAGTGATTAAGAAAATTTTACTATAGACATTTGAGGGCTCCTTTTCCCTCTTTTGAAAAATTGATGTTAAGACCACATTTAGCAGATTTCAAATTGCAACATGTATTTGAAATGAAGCATGAGTTCTTCAAAAATCTTTTTAATATCCCACTCACTATAACATTGAAAAGGATTGCACTTGATAATCTGAATAAATGCTTCGTTAAATCCAGTGTTAGTTAAGTAACAGTTTCTGAAATTGGGGAGGTTGGCCTGAGGTCAGGCTCTGCATCTCTAATACAGCCATCTCCTACCCTCTACCTCTTGATCACTGTAGTCCAATGCAAATGGCTTTCTTTTTAGATCCATCAAAGTAGTAGGCTCCTTCTGCCTCTGGGTCTTCACCCATACCTTAAAGATTCTGATACAATGGTTACGTGTTGGTTCTCTTAAAACAAATCGCCACTGATGCTGATGTGCAGCTCCCTTTGAGAACCATTAGCAACTCTTCAAGGGCAGATGTTCTGCCAGTCTTATTCTCTAGCAAGGTCAAGAACATTGTAACATGCAGGAAGTATTAATTAAATGAACAGATGAAAATGATTAAAGAAACAAAGGGAAGGGAATATTTTTAAAAGATGGGACTACACAACAAATTGATAAACTTCCCATGGCTTTTTAAATTTCTCTTGAATTAACATGTATTTCTTCTAATATAATAATGGAAACTCTTAGCTCTTTGAGCTCACAAGAGACTCTGAAGCACAAGAACCTTTTAATAAAGTAGCTCTCTTTGTTATAAATCATTCATGGGGTAAGAGACTCTTGGAGGACTAGCAGTGTTACTCACTTTGATGAATCTCATAAAGAGTTTAACAACGGACTCATAAAAAGGTTGTTCATGATGACGTCCAAAGACCTAAGGCTACTTGTGTACACGTTGCTACATGATGTCCAAGATGAAGAAATAAAGAAACTGGAAGTTTGTTATTATGTTCAAATAATTCAATGAATTGAGACCCAATAATTCCTCTCAAAATGAAAGGTAGCTCTTTATATAGCCATGGGCTGTTCAGAACAATGCTAATGTAAAATGATAAAGATCTTGGATAGAAAGAGGAACTTTAAAAGCAAAATTGTATATTCTATTCCATTTTGTGTTCTTCCCAGAAAGGTAGATAGATGCTTCTAAGAAAGAACCCCCTAAAGGAAAGACAGACTAATAATCATGTTGAGGGCTAAACCATCTCTGGTATGTTTATCATGTGCCAGGGACCTTGCTAAGACTTTGTATGGATTTTCTCATTTGATTCTCAAAATAGCTCATCAAGATAAATGCTACTATTCATCTTTGGGAGGTTAATTGACCTACTGAAAGATTTACAGCGATAAGTACTAGAGGTGGCTCTCCACGCAACCGTGCTGACAACAAGACCGCACTCTACATTTTTCTACTCTCTCTACTCTCCTCACAGGCATCCAGGGATGTCTTGTAAATGATAAAATGCATGGCCCTTTCTTGCATTCTTCTCTTACTGTGTTATGAGCCTGTTGGATCATGAGGGCTAATTCTTTTGGAATAGCTTTAATACTTAACACAAACAAAAATATTGATAGAGTTGATGATAGGTAATAATGGCACAAACTGTTTTTTCAGTTTTACATATAAAAATTTTAAAATCTCCCTGGCGAAGTGACTCACACCTGTAATCCCAGCTAATCTGGAGGCTGAGGTGGGGGGATCACCAAGAGTTTGAGACACGCCTGAGAAACATAGTGAGAACTGTATCTTTAAAAAATTAAATAATTTTTAAATTAAAAAAACTTTAAAATCTAAGTAACTGAAGTGTTCTGATTCTATTTTATTTTTATTTTTCCGCTGTGGACTTGAAATGCCATCCCAAGCACCAGCAGCTTCTCTGAGTATCTGCTATGTTCTAAGCACATAACTAGGGTCTCTCCATGTCTCATTTCTCATCCCATCTTCAAAATTATTGTTAGTTATTGCCATTTATAAGACGAGGAAGCTTGGAATTTGAGAGATTATATAACTTGCTCAAGGTAAAAGAGAAACTGGGTGGCAGGGCTAGAATTCAAATTCTGTCTTCTGTGATATCAGTTGCCCCTCGGGGACATAACTGGATATTTCTGCATCGGAAAACAGTGTATTCAATTCTTTCGACTCAATTAGTAATTTAAGAATTTTTTTTTCTTCCCATAATTGGTCCTTACAAGTGCTGCTCTTGACCCAAATAAGTAGGAAATGTTAGAATAAACGTTTGGACTTCTAAAAAAGAATAAAATAATTTTAAGAAAAAAAACTTCTAAAATATACCAATAAAATAAGGAGATGCCAAGGTGCTTGCATAGAAGATGATGCTGTTCACGACCACTTGGCTCCAACCACGGGTGCTTTTCAGAGAAAAGCCAGTACTTGAGTAAAACATTTTTCATCTGATCACAGCCAAGCGTTTTATTTTTTCAAGCAAAACCAAGTGCAAATTGTGTTTGTTTTTGAAATTATGATCTCTACTTTACAAGTGAAATTCCACACACTAAAGTGTGAGTTTATTTTGATAAAACTACATTTCAGATTCCACATGCAACTGGGTATAAAATCAGGACATGTGGTGTGGGGTTTTCGTAAAAGTCAAAATCTGGTAATTAGCACCAAAACTGTTCTTTGAAATCTGAAACTATTGGAGATAATAGAAATAAAAGCTCATGGAAATGCCAAGAATTTCTGCTCTTGCTAAATTCTACTCAAATACCATAAAGCACCAAGGTGATAAACATTCCAAATCTATTTTACCTTGCTTATTAAGGAAAAAAAAAAAACCACTGACATATTTTTGCAACTATTTTATTTCTATAAAGTTTCTGTTGATCTTTAATTGTCTAAATTTGAAGTGGAGTTGTACCAACTTGGAAACTATCATATAGACCTGAACAAATATACTGGCCTTAGCTAGAAAAAAAAAAACTTACATAAAACATATCAAGGTAGTTCCACTGCATGTAACTAAGTATCTCAATGGCAAGGACAAGAAAATTGTCCAGAAAGAGTTTAAGGATGGATTATATGAGAAGAAACTGGAATCTCAAAGTCCCCAACACCCCTAACTCATATTCATTTTTGTCCCTATTTGTAGAGAGAGAGTGCGTGTGTATATTTAATTCTGCCAGCTTTAACAGTAGTTTAAAAATAAAATAAAATCAACCTTGGCAAGTTTCCAGCCCAAATTGGTGACTGGATGCCTGAGTCTGTTGATTTCAATAGCTGTACCAGCTCCTGTTCTCCAGTGCACCTCAAGCCTATATTTAGTAGAGGAGTAGTAGAATTTAATGTTTCAAGAATTGACAGCAGATTGCACCAGCAGTCCTTAAACAGCAGCATACTGTATTTATTTGTGTACTGCATTTAATCCAATGTATGTAATTCTATCTCCAAATTCAACATTTATTGGCAATAAAATGGGGAATGATTCTGTTTAAGTCAAAACAGCAGTCAAAACAGGAACAATACTATATTATAGCCCAGATATGAACTAACTAGTTGACATTGATTTTTTGGAAAACAACCAATATCTTGTATTCAAATAATACACTCTATTTTTATAGAAAGTAAGTCAAACCTTTACTTACACAGAAAAACCATTTCAAATACTCAACAGAAATTAACTTGTAATAAAACACCCCAAAGTATTTTCTTAGAAGACAGTGTCACCTATGAGGCTAAGAGTAATGAAATACTGACATTCGAATACATGTGTGAGAAACAACTAAATAGCCCCATTAATTTTAAGATGTTTAACATTGTTAGCACAATACTTCTTAATGTATATAGATATGTATATTACATATAAAAGGGGAAGTGAGAGAACTTAATTGGGTAAAGAAAAAATATTTTAAATACCTTTAAACACCTAAAGTTTTAAATGTTTAAAGTTACTTAGATTTGACGATATAAAATTATAAAATTTATCTGCACTTAGGCTTTGTACAGCTAGATACAATTCTATTTCGTTAATTAAAAGAGCATATATTATTTATGTTGTCAGTTCCAATTATTTGTCCCTTCCAGATCACATCATTTTATATGCTTGATATTGAGTTTGGACAAAATCATTTAGCCAGACACTGGGCATGTGAAATCATGCTACCATCTGGGACTATGAGAACAAAATGTGGAGCTCCAAGGATCACCAGCCAAATGATTGTTCCACTGCCCAAAATCTTTTATGATGTCTCCAAGTGGCCTCATATGCTTTATGTGTTCCTCTCTGGATGAGTCTGCACAGCCCAGGTAGGAAAAAAAAAAAAAAAAAGCTGGCTTTTAAAACTCTTCAGCAAAGTAGAAGGACATTACCACTGACTATCTTAGAAGTGGGAAAATCACTTCAACTTCTGGGTCTGTTTCTTTATCCATAAAATTAAAAAGTTTACTATTTGATCTTCAGTTGAGTTTTGTTCGAGGAGCACTTCCTTATCACCTGTTATATTAGGTTTTAAGGATGCAAAGATGAATAAGCTATATCTGTGTCCTGAAGGAATTTACATTCTAAAAAAGAAATGATGCCTAAATAGATTATTTTGAGATCATACAAGGTTAAGAGAGACATATTTACAGAGCTCTACAGGTATCTAAGGTTCACTTTATGAATCTTTGCTAGTAATTTTTCTCAATATTTTTTCTTCAGTAAGAGGAAATATTATGCCCTTACTTCAGGGAGGAAAAGGGAATGTTAAGAACAGTCAGGGGAAGGACATGGGACAAGATCCATGGTTTTTGCTTCCAAGAAGAGACAAGGGAAAAAATGAGAGAGGGAAGCCAAGAAACCTCACATTCAAATGACTTAATTATCTCTCAGCTGGCTTGTGCAATGCTGAAGTGATTTTTCTGTCCAACTTGGACTATAAGCAGCCAAAGAAACACTCTGTCTCCTTCCTAATAAATACAAATTTTGCACTCTACAAATGATTGAATAAGTTTGACAATCATAAAAGTGGTCAAAGAAGTAAAAAGATGTGCTTGACCATGTTCCAATCTAAATGTAATGGATGTGATTGATGATTTTTGTACATTTAATAAACTTTCCCTCTGCCAACCATTTAATCTCGTTTTTAAAATTTATAAAGCCTTGGGGTTGAAATGCTAGTAAAGCACAATAATTGATATTCTGTAATATAAAACTACAGCACCTGTCCCATTTTCTTTGCAAAACTCAAAATAACTGTGAAGGGCTACCTGAATAGATGTAAATGCATATGTTTTCTTTCCTTTAGATTACTCCAAGCAGTGAAGTACACACTGATAATTTATACTGCCAAGATTGTGAAGGTAGGAATAATACTATAAATAAGAAGATCGGAGGTTTTTCTGCAAATAAATTGGCATATAGTCGTTGTGACTTCAATACTCTCTTCTTGCTGTGTGTTGGGTTCAGTGCTTCAAAATGGGAAAACACATATATCTGAGAGTCAAGGGAAAAGAGTCCTTGCCAAGCAGATGTTGGTAAATTGCCAGCTGAAACAAAGTCGTGATGTTGGTGACAACAAGATTGGTTTCTAGAGGATATTTAGAAAGCAGAGAGTCTGGCTTTGCTATCATTTCCCTCAGGAAGGGCCTGGATGATGGGCTATAGCACATTACCAGCTAGTATCTTGCTTCCAAACATCTGGATTCCTAGTCTTATCCATTTAAAAAATGATTTACTCATTGTAGCTTGTTGTTTGTGGAGGTTTCAGCCAAGAGAGAAAACATTCAGCCACCTCTTCTCTACACATCCATTTCTTAGCTAGGTCTGCCACAATTCTTTTAAATGATTTAAAGAGTCTCACATTTAAATCCCTTTTTCTTCTTACAAACAAATCTAACATTTAAATTTTGATTGGTTGATTATTATAGTGTACCTTATCAAATCAAGGATAAAAGGAAATTTAAACAAATATGTCCAAAACAATGAATGTTTTTGTCTCAGCTTCTCAGACATTTGAGAGCAAAATATATTCAGGACTTGAATTATACAGAAAATTTATTAGTATTTTATTGATATAGAACAGTGTTTCACAACAAGGTTTTTACATTAGAATAATTTGGGAAATTTTTTAGAATAAATGTGGTCAGGCCCTAGCCCAAACCTATGAGAGCAGATGAGATGTAGAAATGGTTATTTTGAAAAAGACTCCCAGCCTTGATTAAGAAACACTTAGAATTTTGTTCCATTTAATAGTAGGTGTTGAACACCTGGTATAAAGAAAACTGTTGCTGCATTCTGTGTGTGTGGCAAGGGAGGAAAAGGCAGATTGTGTACATGAAAATATAAAATAATTTATAGATAAGTTATTAAAACAAGTTAATTTAGCAAAATTACTGGACAAGCTTGGTATTTTTAAAAATCAATATTTCTATTTGTTAGTTATGAGTTAGAATATGAGATTTTTAAAAGTTAATTTTAAAAGCACCAAAAATACCAATAAATAAAATCACCAAAAGATATGGGGAAAAACTATAAATCATTATTGAGGTTAGAAAAAAAAAAACATATTCAGTGACTGGAAGATGCAATGCTGGGAAAATGTCAGTTGTCACCAGTTTGATAAGAAATATAATACATATAGTCCCCCAAAATGTCAAAATTTGTATTTTTATTTTGTTTTGCTTTGTTTGAAACTTGACAAGCTACTCAGAAAATATACAAGAATGTCCAAAGCATTTTCAAGACGAATCATTTTCTCCTCTGCTGTCTTGGTTACAACTGTGATCAGATAACCATTAAACTAAATGTAACACCTCCTCCTGGCAGAGGGAAACAGAGCATGGACAATTCATGAAAAGGGGCTTAACACTTTTCCTCCAACTGTGCCTCTACTACTTATGAACACATTCCGTAGCATAAAGCAAGTCATATATCCAAGCCTCAAGTCAATGGGGCAAGAAAATATTTTCCTTTCACAATGAAGTTCTGTCAGTTACATAGCAACTGGTAGGAATGTGTCATCTTCCTAGAGGAGTGACATCAGCAAGATGTCTAAATAGAAGTTCTTTACCACCACCTCCCCATAGTGCACCCATAGTGCACAAAGGAACCACAAAGAGTACCCTTGTGGGTGTCTGGGAGCCCAGCAGAGAAGTTCAAAAAATATATTCTAATAATACATTAAAAGGGAAGAAAATCAGTTTCCCTTTACCCTCTTCACCACTCACCCAAGGTGGCACAGCTTAGTGACAAGAGAAAGCCCCTCAGCCCATGATGCCTCTCATAGGGGAAAGTGAAAACAGACTGAGCCTGGCTATGCCAGCTATGCAGGACACTGACTCAGAGGCCCATCTCTTTCTCATCTCCCCATGCTGAAGGGATCAGCGTGGCTAAGTGGCTGGGGGAAGCTGGGAGCAGGAAACAGAGGCAAGGCTAGAAACTCAAAAAAGGGCCATTTGTCCAACTAACAACCACATGAACTCCATCAGGAGGACCACCCACAAGTGACTTGGAGTGCCTAACCCACAGACTCCCTCCTCTCAACTGGCCCACAGGCACCTTCACTGTTCCACATACTTCACCCATATTCCTGGTAGCTTACTTCCCATGTGCACTCCCTCAACAACGAGTGGGAGCCTTTGCACACAAGCTCATGAGCACATGCAGTCAGCCAGCTTGATTCTGCAGGATTGGAGAAAGGCAGACAAACTTAAGCATTTCAAGGCACTGCCATAGGGAAAACAAACAGAAGACTGTCAACACCAGACCTGGTTTTGGGAAACTCTTGAATTTGTAAGAATTTTCTCCCAAAAGGGAACATGAAGGATGGAGTGAGTAAATCCATAGAAAAGGTCTGAGAGAGCCTCAGAATCCCTAGCCTGGCTCACTGATGAAGGTATTTCTTTCCCAGGGCCAATCACCAAACGGTGATTTCTTCTTTAAATGTGAGGGTAGCAATGCAAGACTTCAAAGAACATTAAAAAAACAAGGAAATATGACACCAGCAAAAGAATATGCACATTTTCTAATAACTGTCCTCAAAAAAATGGAGTTCTATAAATTGCCTAACAAGGAATCCAAAATTATTGTTTCAAGGAATGTCAGTAAGCTAAAAAAGAACACAAATAGATAAAAATGAAATTAGGAAAAATACATAAGCAAAATGAGAAGATCAACAAAGAGATACAAATTATTTTTAAAATGAAATTCTGGAGGTGATGAATACAGTGAAGGAAACGAAAAATGCAAAATAGGCCTTAAATAGCACACTTCAGTCAAACAGAAGAAAATATGTGAACTTGAAGTTAGGTAATTTGAAATTATCCAGTCAGAGTGAAAAAAAGAAAACACAATATAAAAAATAAAGAAGCCTTATGATATTTATAGGACACCATCAAGAGAAATGATATAAGAAATATGGAGTCCCCAGAAGGAGAAAAAAAAATAGACAGAAGGAATCAGAAAAGTTATTTAAATAGATAATGCCTGAAAATTTTACAAATATTGAGAAAAATATGAACAATTCATGTACATGATTCTCAAAAGTTCCCAAATAGTTTCAATGCAAAGAGGACTTCACAGAGACACATTCTAACAATACTATCAAAAATCAAAGATAAGGCAAAAATTTTGAAAGCAGAAATAAATAAGAGACTTGTTACAAACAAAGAAACAAAAAAGCTACCTTAGACTCAGTGAATTTCTTAGCACAAACCTTGAAGGCCAGTATAGAGCAGAATGATAATATTCAAAGTTCTGGGGAGGGGAAAAGTCAACTAAGAAAACTTTATGTAGCAAAATTGTCCTTCAGTAATGAGGGAAAGATAAAGACTTTCCCAGATAAACAGAAGCAGAAGGAATTCATCACTACTATACCTGCCTTACATGAAATATTAAAGGGAGTTCTTCAAGCTAACAGAAGGGACACTAATTAGTAAAATGAAAGCATATAAAAGTATAAAACTCACTGGTAAAGGTAAGTAAATAATCAAATTCGGAATAATACTGTAATTGTGGTGTATAAATCATTTTAAACTCCACTATAAAGGTGAAAAGACAAGCATATTAAAATAGCTGTACCTATAATAATTTGTTAACGAATAAACAATATAACAAATTGTGAAATCAAAAATTAAAATGTGGGCAGTAAAGGGTAAATGGTAAAGTTGCTGTATGCTATTGAAGTTAAAATAAACTTAGACTTTTATACCTGTTAAATGTTTTTTGTAATCCCATGATAATCACAGAGCAAAAACCTAGAGTAGATATTTAAAAGATGAAAAGAAAAAAATCAAGCACACTGCTATATAAAATCAAATAACAACAGAAGAGAGCAAGAGATGAAAAAGGAACTATAAAACAGAAAATAATTTGAAATGGAAATAGCAAGTCCTAATCTATTAATAATTACTTCAGATTTAAATAAACTGAATTCACCAATCAGAAGGACACAGAGTGGCTGAATTTTAAAAAACACATACACAAGATACAACCATATACTGCGTGTAAGAAACTCATTTTAGCTTTAAGGACATGCATAGGCTGAAAGTGAAGGGATGGAAAAGATATTCCATGCAAATAAAAACCAAAAGATAGGCCGGGCACGGTGGTTCATGCCTGTAATCCCAGCACTTTGGGAGGCCGAGGCAGGTGGATCACGAGGTCAGGAGATCGAGACCATCCTGGCTAACACGGTGAAACCCCGTCTCTACTAAAAATGCAAAAAATTAGCCGAGCGAGGTGGCGGGTGCCTGTAGTCCCAGCTACTCCAGAGGCTGAGGCAGGAGAATGACGTGAACCCTGGGGTGGAGCCTGCAGTGAGCCGAGATCGTGCCACTGCACTCCAACCTGCGCAACAAGGAGACTCCGTCTCAAAAAAAAAAAAAGGAGGAGTAGCTATATGTATATCAGACAAAATAGACTTAAGTCAAAAACTGTAACAAGAGACAAAGAAGTTCACTATGTAATGACAAAGGGATCAATTCATCAAGAGGATATAATTGTCAATGTATATGCACTCTACAATTAAGCACCTAAATATATAAAGCAACTATTGGCAGATCTGAAGGAAGAAATAGACAGCCATATGATATTATTAGGGGATGTCAATACCTGTATCTACACCATGAAACACTACCCAGCCATAAAAAGGAATAAATTATGTCTCTTGCAGCAACTTGGATGGAGCTGGAGGCCATGATTCTAAATGAAGTAACTATTGGCAGATCTGAAGGAAGAAATAGACAGCCATATGATATTATTAGGGGATGTCAATACCTGTATCCCATGGTATGGATATCACACAATGAATAGGTTATCCAGAAAGAAAACCAACAAGAAAACTTTGGAAGTGAACCTCAATTTATTCAGAAAAACTTCCCTTTACTCTGCTCAAGTGTATACAAAACATTCTCCAGGGTAGTTAATACGTTAGGCCTCAAGACAACTTAACAAATTTAAGCTGGGTGGAGTGGCTTACACCTGTAATCCCAGCTATTCAAGATGCTGAGGTGGAAGGATAAATTGACTGAGACCCCATCTCTAAAAAATATTTGAGGACATTAAAGTTGTATCATGTCTTTTTTTAATTTCAATAGTTTTGGGGGTACAGGTGGTTTTTGGTTGCATGGATAAGTTCTTTAGTGGTGATTTCTGAGATTTTAGTGGATCCATCACTTATCACAGTACTCAATATGTAGTCTTTTATTCCTTACCCCACTCCCATCCTTCCCCACATATCCTCAAAGTCCATTATGTAATTCATATGCCTTTGTGTCCTCATATCTTAGCTCTCACTTATAAATGAGAACATACGATATTTGGTTTTCCATTCCTTAGTTACTTCATTTAGAATCATGGCCTCCAGCTCCATCCAAGTTGCTGCAAGAGACATAATTTATTCCTTTTTATGGCTGGGTAGTGTTTCATGGTGTAGATATACCATATTTTCTTTATCTGCCCATTGGTTGATGGGCACTTAGGTTGGTTTCATATCTTGTAATTGCAAATTGTACTGCTATAAACATGTTTGTGCATGTGTCTTTTTTGTATAATGACTTCTTTTCCTTTGGGTAGATACCCGGTAGTGGAATTGCTAGATCAAATCTTAGTTCTACTTTTAGTTCTTTAAGGAATCTCCATATTGTTTTCTATAGTGGTTGTACTAATTTACATTCCTACCAACAGTGTAAAAGTGTTCCCATTTCACCACATCCACTCCAACATCTTTTGTTTTTTGACTGTAATTATGGTCATTCTTGCAGGAGTAAGGTGATATTTCATTGTGGTCTTAATTCGCACTTCCTGATAATTAGAGAGGTTATGCGTTTTCTTTTTTCTTTCTTTCTTTCTTTCTTTTTCTTTTTCTTTTTTTTTTTTTTTTTGAGACAGAGTTTCTCGTTCTTGTCACCCAGGCTGGAGTGCAATGGTGCAGTCTCGGCTCACTGCAACCTCTGCCTTCTGGGTTCAAGCAATTCTCCTGCCTCAACCTCCCAAGTAGCTGGGATTATAGGCAAGCACCACGTCCAGCTAATTTTTGTGTTTTTTTTAGTACAGATGGAGTTTCACCATGTTGGCCAGGCTGGTCTCAAACTCCTGACCTCAGGTGATCCACCCACCTCGGCCTCCCAAAGTGCTGGGACTAAAGGCGTGAGCCAACGAGCCTGGCTGCATTTTCTTATATGATTGTTGGCTGTTCATATATCTACTTTTGAGAGAAGTCTATTCATGTCCTTTGTCTACTTTTTGATGGGATTATTTATTTTTTCTTGCTGATTTGTTTGAGTTCTTTGTAGATTCTGGATACTAGTTCTTTGTTGGATGGATAATTTGTGAATATTTTCTCCTCTGTGGGTTGTCTGTTTACTCTGATGATTATTTCTTTATCTGTGCAGAAGCTTTTTAGTTTAATTAGATTCCTTTTATTTATTTTTGTTTTTGTTGCATTTGTTTTTGGGGTCTTAGTCATGGATTCTTTGCCTAAGCCCATGTCCAGAAGAGTTTTTTGGATGTTATCTTCTAGAACTTTTATAGTTTCAGGCTTTAGATTCAGACCTTTGATCAATCTTGAGTTGATTTTTGTGTAAGGTGAGAAATGGGGAACCAGTTTCATTCTTCGATATGTGGCTTGCCAGTTTTCCCAGTATCATTTACTGAATAGAGTATCCTTTCCCCAATTTGTGTTTTTTATGCTTTGTCAAAGATCAATTGGCTATAAGTATTTGGCTTTATTTCTGGATTCTCTATTGTATTCCATTGGTCTATGTGCCTATTTTTATATCAGTACTATGCTGTTTTGATAACTATAGTCTTGTAGCATAATTTGAAGTCAGGTAATGTGATGCTTCCAGATTTGTTCCTTTTGCTTTGTATTGCTGTGGCTATGTGGACTCTTTTTTTAGTTCCACATGAGTTTTAGGATTTTTTTTTCTAGTTCTCTGAAGAATGATGATGGTATTCTGATGGAAATGGCATTAAATCTGTAGATTGCTTTCGTCAGTACGGTTATTTTCACAATATTGATTCTTCCCGTCCATGAGCATGGACTCTGTTTCCATTTGTTTTTGTCATTTATAATTTATTTCAGCAGTGTTTTGTAGTTTCATTGTAGAGATCATTCACCTCCTTGGTTAAGTATATTCAGAAGGTTTTTTATTTTATTTTTATTTTTGCAGCTGTTCTAAAAGATATTGAGTTCTTAATTTGATTCTCAGCTCAGTTCCTTTTGGTGTGTAGCAGCACTACTGATTTATGTACATTGATTTTGTATCCTGAGACTTTACTGAATTTGTTTATCAGATCTAGGAGATTTTTAGGTGAATCTTTAGGGTTTTCTAAGTATATAGTTATATCTTCAGCAAAGAGTGAGTTTGACTTTCTCTTTTCCAATTTGGATGCCCTTTATTTCTTTCTCTTGTCTGATTGCTCTGACTAGGACTTCCAGTACTATGTTGAACATAAGTAGTAAAAGTGGGCATCCTTGTCTTGTTCCAGTTCTCAGGGGAAATGCTTTCAACATTTCCCCATTCAGTAAAAATGTCAAGTATCTTTTCCAAACACAATGCTATGAAACTAGAAATCAATAACAGGAGAAAAACTAAAAAGTTCACATATATGTAGAAATTAAACATCACACTCTTGAACAACCTATTAGTCTAGAAAAACATTAAAGGAGAAATCAAAAAATATTTTGAGACTAAAATGGAGACATAACACACTAAAACTTATGGAAGGCAGCAAAAGCAGTTTTAAGATGAAAGTTTAGGGGGAGGGGCCAAGTTGGATGATTAGAAGCAGCTGTGATCCATGACACTCAAGGAGAGGAACAAAAAGGGCAAGTGAATACAGCATCTTCAACTGAAATATCCAGGTTCCCACATTGGAACTGATTAGGGAAAGAACTCAACACATGGAGAACAAAGAAAAGCATGGTGGGGCAACAGCTCACCTAGGAGCAACATGGAGCCAAGGGAACCCCCATCCCCAGCTAAAGGAAGTGGTGAGTGATTGTGTGACCCTGGGAAACCACACTTCTCCCACAGATCTTTACAGCTTGCAGATCAGGAGATCCCCTTGTGAGCCCCTGCCACCAGAGCCTTGGATCCGACACATAGAGTTGGATGTCTCTATGGAGTCTTCTCAGGGCAGCTGCTCAGGCACACACAGAGACCCAGGAGCTTTAAATACTCTAGACCTGGGATCTGCAACAAATGAGTCTGCAATTCAGGCATGGCAAGAATTACACACATACCCCTAGGAAGTGGCAGAATCCAGGGAGCCAAGCAGTGTCATTTTGTGGGCTTCCTTAGCACCTCATAAGACCCACCAGCTTGGAATTTGAGCCAGCCACCAGCAACAGGGTAAAGCCTGTCTGAGACTGGATGGAGCCCTGTGGAGAGGGGCAGGCACCATCTCTGCTGTTTGGTTCACTCAGCCATTCCAGCCTGTGGGCTTTGGAGAGTCCAAACAGATGAGGAGGCTCCCCCCAGCAGTGCAACACAGTGGCTTTGCCAGATTGTGGCCATAATGCCTCTTTAAGCAGGGCCTCCATCCATTCCTTCTCACTGAGTAGGACATCCCAGATGGACCCTCCAGCCATGCTGCTTCCATGTATTAGAGATAGAGATCTGATCTCTCCCTGGCACGAAGTACCCAGGGAAGGGGAGGCCCACCACCAAGGATGGTTGGACAGCTCAGCAGTTCCAGCTTGTGGGCTTTGGAGAGTTGAAATGGTCTGGACAAGGGAGGGTCCCCCCAACAGCACAACACAGCAGCTTTTCCTGATTGTGGCTGGACTGCTTCTTTAAGTGGGACCCAGATCCTCCTCACTTGGCAGGATCTCTCAGCCAGACCCTTTAGCCATGCCCAGTTGTACGTAATAGAGACAGAGCTCTGATCTCTCCCTGGTATAGAGTGTCCAAGGGAAAGGAGGGCTGCCACCTGGGTTAGTTGGAAAACTCAGCTGTTCCAGCCTGCAGGTTTTGGAGAGTCCAAGCCAACAGGGGCAGAGGAAATTCCCCTCCACAAGATAGCTGTTTTTTCAAAGTGAGGACAAACTGTTGCTTTAAGTGGGGCCCTGATCCACTCCTCCTTGCAGGGCAGGTTCTTCCAGCCAGGTCCTCCCAGCTGCAGCCTCCAGCCACCCTTGTACATATTCTCCCTGGGACAAAGTGCCTGAGGGGCAAGGGAGGCCTCCACCTTGGCAATTCACACTTCTCAGCTGGTCCAGCCTATGGGCCTTAGAGAACCCAAACTGATCAGGGAATGAATGGATCTCCAACACAGCAGAGCTCCTCTACCAAAAAGCAGCCAGACTGTTTCTTTAAGTGGGTCCCTGATCCTGTTCCTCCTGACTGGGTGAGACCTCTCAGCCAGGGTCTCCAGCCACCTACTACAGGCACATCTAGGCTGGCAATAGGTCAGTACCCCACAGGGATGGAGCTTCCAGAGGAAGGGGCAGGCTGCTTCTTTGCTGTCTCACAGCCTTCAACGGTAGTACCTCCAGCTACAGGAAAAACTGAGGCAACTAGGGTCTGAAGCAGACACCCAGGACACTGAAGCAGCCCTTTAGAAGAGTGGTCAGACTGTTAAAAGTAAAACAAATAGAAAACAACAACAACCCACAAAAACCCCATCAGAAGGTCAGCAACCTAGAAGATCAAAGGTAGATAAGCCCACAAATATGAGAGAGAATCAACCCCAAAATGCTGAAAACTCAAAAAGCCAGTGTGCACTTTTTCCACTGAATGGCCACAACACCTCTACAGTAAGGGCTCAGAATTGGGCTGAGGCTAAGATGGCTGAATTGACAGACGTAGACTTCAGAAGGTGAGTAATAACAAACTTCGCTGAGCTAAAAAAAGAAAAGCATGTTACAAAGAAGCTAAGAATTATGCAAAGAAGCTAAGAATTATGATAAAACAATACAAGACCTGACAGCCAAAATAGCCAGTTTAGAGAACATAACCAACCTGTTAGAGCTGAAAAACACATTCCAAGAACTTCACAATACAATCACAAATATTAATAGCAGAATAGACCAAGGAGGAAAGAATCTCAGAGCTTGAAGACAATCTTTCTTAAATCAGACAGGCCAACAATAATACAGGAAAAAAGAATGAAAAGAAATTAATGAAACCTCCAAGAAATATGGGATTATGTAAAGAAACCAAATCTATGACTGATTGGAGTACCTGAAAGAGAGGGAATGAATGGAACCAGGTTGGAAAATGTACTTCAGGATATCATCCAGGAGAACTTCCTTAACCTAGCAAGACAGGCCAACATTCAAATTCAGGAAATGCTGAGAACCCCACTAAGATATTCCACAAGAAAATCAACCCCAAGACACATAATCATCAGATTCTCCAAAGTTGAAATGAAAGAAGAAATGTTAAAGGCAGCCAGAAAGAAAGGCCAGGCCACCTACAAATGGAAGCCCATCAGACTAAGAGCAGACCACTCTGTGGACACCCTACAAGCCAGAAGAGACTGGGGACAAATATTCAACATTCTTAAAGAAAAGAATTTCCAACCCAGGATTTTATATCCAGCTAAACTAAGCTTCATAAGTGTATTAGCCCACTATCATGCTGCTATGAAGAAATACTGAGACTGAATAATTTATAAAGAAAAGAGGATTAATTTACTCACAGATCCACATGGCTGGAGTTGCCTCAGGAAACTTACAATCATGGCAGAAGGCATCTGTTCACAGGGGAGCAGGAGAAAGAATGGAGTGCCAGCATGTGAAATGCCAGATGCTTATAGAACCATCAGATCTCATAAGATCTCACTCACTATCATGAGAACAGCATGGGGGAAACTGCCCCCATGATACAATAACCTTCATCTGGTCCCACCCTTGACATGTGGGGATTATTACAATTCAAGGTGAGATTTGGGTGGGGACACAGAGCCAAACAATATCAATAAGCAAGAAGAAATAACATCCTTTTCAGACAAACAAATGTTGAGGAATTCATTACCAGCAGGCCTTCAAGAGCTCCTGAAGGAAGCACTAAATATGGAAAGGAAAAACTGTTACCAGCCACTACAAAAAAGAAGTGAAGTACATAGACCAGTGATACTATGAAGCAACTACATACACAAGTCTGTAAAATAACCAGCTAGCATCATGATGACAGGATTAAATCCACACATAACAATACTAACCTTCAATGTAAATAGGGTAAATGCCCTTATTAAAAAACAGAGTGGTGAGCTGGATAAGCAGCCAAGATCCATTGGTATGCTGTCATCAAGAGAATCATCTCACATGCAAAGATGTACATAGGGTCAAAATAAAGGGAGGAGGTAAATTTACCAAGCAAGTGGACAAAAAGAAGAAAAGCAACGGGTACAAACCTAGATTCTGACAAGACAGACTTTAAACCAACAACAATCAAAAAAGACAAAAAGGGCATTACATAATGGTAAGGGGTTCAATTCAACAAGAAAAGCTAACTATACTAAATATATATGCACCCAATACAGGAGCACCCAGATTCATAAAGCAAATTCTTAGAGACCTTCAGAGAGACTTAGACTCTCATAAAATAATAGTGGGAGACTTTAACATCCCACTGACAATATTAGACAGATCATCGAGACAGAAAATTAACAAAGATATTTGGGCTCTGATCTCTGCTCTGGATCAAGTGAACATGATAGACATCTAGAGAACACTCCACCCAAAAACAAGAGGGTATAAATTCTTCTCATCACCTCATGGCACTTACTCTAAAATTGATCACATAATCCGAAGTAAAACACTCCTAAGCAAATGCAAAAGAAAGGAAATCATAACAAACAGTCCCTCAGACCTCAGTGTAATATAATTAGAACTTAAGTTCTAAAAATTCTCTCAAAACCACACAACTACCTGGAAACAGAACAACCTGATCCTGAATGACTCTTGGGTAATTAATGAAATTAAGGCAAAAATCAAGAAGTTCTTTTAAACTAATGAGAATGAAGAGACAGTGTACCAGAATCTTTGGGATGCAGCTAAAGCAGTTTTCAGAGGGAAATTTATAGCACAAAATGCCCATATCAAAAAGCTAGAAAGATCTTAAGAGAACATCCAAACATCACAACTAAAAGAACTAGAGAATCAAGAGTAAACAAACCCCAAAGCCAGAAGAAGATAAGAAATAACCAAGATCAGAGCTGAACTAAAGGAGACAGAGACTCAAAAAATCCCTTCAAATAATCAGTAAATCCAGGAGCTGGTTTTTTGGAAAAATTAATAAAATAGATAGACTGCTAGCTAGAATAATGAAGAAAAGAGAGAAGAATCAAATAAACACAATCAGAAATGATAAGGCGGATATCTCCACTGACCCCACGGAAACACAAACAACAATCAGAGGATACTATAAGTACCTCTATGTACATAAACTAGAAAATCTAGAAGAAATTGATACATTCCTTGACAAATATACCCTCCCAAGTCTGAACCAGGAAGAAATTGGATTCCTGAACAGACCAATAATGAGTTCTGAAATTGAGGCAGTAATAAATAGCCTCACAACCGAAAAAAAGCTGAGGACCACATGGATTCACAGCTGAATTCTACCAGAGGTACAAAGAAGAGCCCCTACCATCTCTAATGAAACTCTTACAAAAAATTGAAAACAAGAGATTCCTCCCTAACTGATTCTATGAGGCCAGCATTTTCCTACTACCAAAATCTGACAGAGATACAACAAAAAAAGAAAACTTTAGGCCAATATTCTTAATAAACATTTATGAAAAAATCCTCAATAAACTACTAGCAACCTGAATCCAGCAGCATACCAAAAAGCTTATCCACCATGATCAAGTAGGCTTTATCCCCAGGTTGCAAGGTTGGTTCAGCATATGCAAATCAATAAATGTGATTCATCACACAAACAGATCTAAAGACAGAACCCACATGATTATCTCAATAGATGCAAAAAAAGCTCTCAATAAAATTCAGCATCCTTCATGTTAAAAACTCTCAATAAACTAGATATTGAAGGAACATACATCAGCATAATAATAGCCATATATTACAAACCCACAACCAGTTTCATACTGAATGGGGAAAAGCTGGAAACATTCCCCTTGAAAACTGGAAAAGACAAGGATGCCATCTCTTGCCACTACCATTCAATATAATATTGGAAGTTCTGGCCAGGGCAATCAGGCAAAAAAAAAAAAAAAAAAAAAGAAATACAGCATATTCAAACAGGAAGGGTGGAAGTCAAACTATCTTTGTTTGCAGATGACATGATCCCATATCTAGAAAACCCCTTCATCTCAGCCCAAAAGCTTCCTAAGCTGATAAGCAACTTCAGCAAAGTCTCAGGATACAAAATCAATAAGCAAAAATCACTAGCATTCCTACACAGCAACAAAAAACAAGCTGAGACCCAAATCCTGAATGAACTCCCACTCACAATTTTCACAAAAAGAATAAAATACCTGGGAATACAGCTAACAAGGGAAGTAAGGGATCTCTTCAAGGAGAACTACAAACCTCTGCTCAAATAAACCAGAGAGGACACAAACAAATGGAAGAACATTCCATGCTCATGGACAGAAAGATCAATATTGTGAAAATGACCATACTGCGCAAAGCATTGTATAGATTCTGTGCTATTCCCATTAAACTACCATTGACATTCTTCACAGAATTAGAAAAAGAAAACTATTTTAAAATTCACATGGAATGAAAAAGAACCTGAATAGCCAAGACAATCCTAAACAACAATAACAAAAAGCTGGAAGTATCATGCTACACAATTTCAAACTATACTACAATGCTACAGTAACCAAAACAGCTTAGTACTGGTACAAGAACAGAAACGTAGATCAATGGAACAGAATAGAGAACGCAGAAATAAGACTACACACTTACAACCTTCTGATATTCAACAAACCTGACAAAAACCAGCATGAGGAAAGGATTCCCTATTTAATAAATTGTGTTGGGAGAACTGGCTAGCCATATGCAGAAAATTGAAACTTGGCCCATTTCTTATATGGTATACAAAAATCAACTCAAGATTGATTAAAGATTTAAATGGAAAATACAAAACTATTAAAACTGTAGAAGAGGGCTGCGTATGGTGGCTCATGCCTGTAATCCCAGCACTTTGGGAGGCCGAGGTGGGTGGACCACCTGAGGTCAGGAGTTTGAGACCAGCCTGCCAACATGGTGAAACCCTGTCTCTACTAAAAATTACAAAAATTAGTCGGGCATGGTGGCAGGCCCCTGTAATCCCAGCTACTTGGGAGTCTGAGGCAAGAGAATTGGAGGGGAGGCAGAGGTTGCAGTGAGCTGAGGTCGAGCCATTGCACTGCAGCCCAGGCCAACAACAGCGAGACATCATCTTGGGGAAGAAAAAAGAAAAAAAAACCTCTAGAAGAAAATCTAGGCAATACCATTCAAGAGATAGGCACAGGCAAGTATTTAATGATGAAAAGACCAAAAACAACAGCAACAAAAACAAAAATTGGCCAATGGGATCTAATTAAACTAAAGAGCTTCTGCCCAGGAAAAGAAACTATCATCAAAGTGAACAGACAACCTACAGAATGGGAGAAAATTTTTGCAATCTATTCATCTGACAAAGATCCAATATCCAGCATCTACAAGGAACTTAAACAATTTACAAGAAAAAATAAATAACCCCATTAAAACATGGGCAAAGGACATGAACAGACACTTCTCAAAAGAAGACATACATGTGGCCAACAAACATATGAAAAATAGCTCAGCATCACTGATCATGAGAGAAATGCAAATCAAAAACACAATGAGATACCATCTCACACCAGTCAGAATGGCTATTATTAAGGTCAAAAAACAATAGATGCTGGAGAGGTTGTGGAGAAAAAGGAATGCTTTTACGCTATTGGTGGAAGTGTAAATTATCAGTTCAACTATTGTGGAAAAGAGTGTGGAGATTCCTCAAAGACCTAGAGGGAGAAATACCATTTGACCTATTACTGGGTATATACCCAAGGGAATATAAATCATTCTATTATAATGACACATGCATGCATATGTTCATCGAAGCACTATTTACAATAGCAAATACATGACATTAACCTAAATGCCCATCAACTATAGACTGGATTTTTAAAAATGTGGAACATATACATCATGGAATGCTATGCAGCCATGAAAAGAAATGAGATCATGTCCTTTGCAAGGACATGGATGGAGCTGGAGGTCATTATCCTCAGAAAACTAATTCAGGAACAGAAAACCAAATACTGTATGTTCTCACTTATAAATGGGAGCTGAATGATGAGAACACATGGACACATAGGGGGGCATAACACACATAGGGGCCTGTTGGAGAATGGTGGTAAGGAGGACAGATGGCATCAGGAAGAATAGCTAATTGATGCTGGGCTTAATACCTAGGTGATGGGATGATGTGTACAGCAGACCACTATGGCACATGTTTACCTATGTAACAAACCTGCACATCTTGCACGTGTACTAATGAACTTAAAAATAATAAAAGACAAAAGTTGTATTCGTCCATTTTCACACTGCTATAAAGGATACCTGAGACTGGGTAATTTATAAAGAAAAGAGGTTTTATTGATTCACAGTTCCACATGGCTAGGGAGGCTTCAGGAAACTTACAATCATGGCAGAAGGCAAAGGGGAAGTGGGGCACATCTTACATGGCTGCAAGAGAGAAAGAGAGAGAAGCAGGAAGTGCCAAACACTTTTAAACCATCAGATCTCATGAGAACTTACTCACTATCTTTAGAACAGAATAGAGGAAACCACTGCCATAACCCAATCACCTCCCTCCAGGTCCCTCCCTCAACATGTGGGGATTACAATTTAAAATGAGATTTGGGTCGGGACACAGAGCCAAACCATACCAAAGTTTATAGCAATAAGTGTCTACATCAACAAAGAAAATTATCCAATAAACAACCTAACATTATACCTCAAGGGACTTAAAAAGAAAAAAAAAAACTAAGCCCACAGTTAGCAGAGGAAAGAAACAACAAAGTTCAGAACAGAAATAAATAACAAAATGAGAAGAACTATAGAAAAGATCAATGAGATTAAGAGGTTTTACTAAGATAACAAAAAGCACAAAAAGTTATGGAACTGAAATAAGCACAAAAAATTATGGAACTGAAATAAGCAGAAAAAGTTATAGAAATGAAACAATTGAAATCAGAAATAAGAGAAGAAATATTACAACTGATACTATAGAATTTCAGAAGATCATAAGAGACTACTATGAACTATTATACATGAACAAATCAGATAAAATAGAAGATGGATAAGTTCCTAGAAACCTACAACCTACCAAAACTGAATCACCAAAAAATAGAAACTATAAAAAGACCAATAATGAGTAAGGAGATTGACTCAATGTATTAGTCAGTTTTCATGCTGTTGATAAAGGCATACCTGAGACTGAGCAATTTTTGAAAGAAAGAGATTTAATTGGACTTACAGTTCCACAGTGGCTGGGGAAGCCTCAAATCATGGCAGAAGGCAAGGAAGAGCAAGTCACATCTTACATAGATGGCAGCAGGCAAAGAGAGAGCTTGTGCAGGAAAACTCCCCCTTATAATAACCATCAGTCTCATGAGACTTATTATCACAAGAACAGCATGGAAAACATATGCCCCCATGATTCAATTACCACCCACTGGGGTCCTCCCAGAACACGTGGGAATTCAAAATGACATTTGGGTGGGGACACAAGCAAACTATATCACTCAGTAATAAAAAATCTCCCAACAAAGAAAAGCCTAAGACTGGATGTCTTCATTGGTGAATTCTACCAAACATTTAGAGAAGAACTATTGCCAATCTTTTTCAAACTCTTGAATATTGAAGAGAAGGGAAAAGTTCTAAACTAATTTTATAGTTCAGTGTTACCCTGATACCAAAACTAGGCAAGAATACTACAAGAAAAAAAAATTACAGGATAATATCTCTGATAAGCATAGACACAAAAATCTCCAACAAAATACTAGCAAACCAAATCTAACAGCACATTAAAAGAACCATACACCATGACCAAGTGGTATGTATCCCTAAGATACAAGGATGGTTCATCATAAGCAAATTAATCAATGTGATACACCACATTAACAGAATGAAGGATACAAATTATATGGTCATGTCGATAGATACAAAAAAAATTCACACAATTTGGTATCCTTCCATAATAACAAATTAGATATAGAAGGAATGTACCTCAACATAATAAAAGCCATATATCTCAAGCGCACAGCTAACATAATACTCAACAATGAAAGCTGAAAGCTGTTCTTTTAAGATCAAGAAATAAGACAAAGTTGCCCACTCTCACCACATTTACTCAATACAGCACTGGTAGTCCTACCCAGAGCAATTAGGCAAGAAAAAGGAATAAAAGTCATCCACATCAGAAAGGAAGAAGTAAAACTGTCTCTGTTTGCAGATAACATGATCTTATATAAAGAAAACTGTAAAGACTTCACTAAAAAACTCAGAAATAGTTGACAACTTCAGTAAAGTTGCAAAATACAAAATTAACATATAAAAATCAGTAGCATTTCTACACACTAAGAATGAATTATCCAAAAGAGAACTTAAGAAAGCAATCCCACTTACAATATTTAAAAAGAATAAAATACTTAGGAATATATTTAACCAAGGAGGTGAAAGATCTGTACACTAAAAACTATAAAACAGTGATGAAAGAAATCAAATAAGAAACAAATAAATGGAAAGATATTTTATATTCATGGATTTGAATAATTAATATTGTTAAAATGTTCAGGTCAGGGTACAGTGGCTCATGCCTATAATCCCAGCACTTTAGGAGGCCAAGGTGGGTGGGTCATTTGAGCTCAGGAGTTTGAGACAAGCTTGGGCAACATGAAAAAACCCTGTCTCTACAAACAAATACAAAAATAATTTGGGCATGTTGACACATGCCTGTAGTCCCAGCTACTTGGGAGGCTAACGTGGGAGGATCGCTTGAGAGGCTAAGGTAGGAGGATTGCTGGAAGTCAAGGCTGCAGTGAGCTGAGATCGTGCCACTGCACTCCAGCCTAGGTGACAGAGTGAGAGCCTGTCTGAAAAAAAGAAAAAGAAAAAAAAAATATCTATACTACCCAAACCAATTTATAGATTCAAAATTCCAGTGGCATTTTTCTGTAGAAAAAACAACTCTTGAATTCATATGAAACCCCAATAGACCCTGAATAGTTAAAACAATCTTGAGAAATAGCAACAAAGCTAAAAGGATCAGCCTTCCTGATTTTGAATTATACTGTAAAGCTACGGTAATCAAACAGCTGGTACTGCCATGAAAACAGACAACATAAACCAATGAAACAAAAGAGAGGGAGCCCCCAAATAAGCTCACACATACACGGTAAACTCATTTTCAATAGAGGACCAGGAATACAGAATGGGGAAAGGATGATCTCTTCAATGTTGTTGGAAGAACAGGATATTGGTATGCAAAAAAATAATCATAAAAGTGGACCTTTATCTTATACCATGCATGAAAAGGAACTCAAAATGGATTAAAGCCTTAAACATAAGATCTGAAACTGTAAAACTAGAAGAGAACATAAAGAAAAATCTCCTTAATCTTGGTCTTCTCAAGAACTTTTTGGATAAGACACTAAAAGCATGGGGAGCAAAAGCAAAAATAAAATGAGACTACATCACATTTAAAAGTTTCTGCATATCAAATGAAATGAACAAAATGAAAAGATAACCCATGGAATGGGAGAAAATATTTGTCAACCATATATCCAATAGGGGGTTGATATCCCAAATGTATAAGAAGTTCATGCGACTCATTAGCAAGAAAATAAATAACATGATTTTTAAATGAGCAAAGAATTTGAATAGATACGCTCTAAGTAAATGAAAAGGTGCTCAGCATCATGAACCATGAAGGAAATGCAAATCAAAATCACAATGAGCTATCACCTCACACTTGTTAGGATGGCCACTATCAAAATGTCAAAAGATAACAAATGTTGACAAGGATGTGGAGAAAAGGGAGCTCTTATACACTGTTGGTAGGAATATAAATTGGTACAGACATTGTGGAAAACAGTATGGAGGTTCTTCAAAAAAATGTTGGTCAAACGGTAAAAACTTTTAGTTATGAGACAAATAAGTTGTGGAGACCTAAAGTACAACATGGTGACAATAATTAATAATGTATTATATATTTGAAACTTGCTAGGAGAGTGGATCTCATCACAATAAAAAGATAACTATGTGAATTGATGGATATTTTAATTAGCTTACTGGTTATAACAATTTCATAATATATACATAAATCAAATCATCACATTGAACACTTTAAATATATACAATTTTTACTTGTCAGTCATACCTTAATAAAGCTGGAAAAAATGAACAAGAAAATGCAATGGGTCAAGAATAACCAAGATACTCTACAACAAAAACAAAAAGATGAGAGGACTTCCTCTAAAAATAATCAAGACATATTATAAAACTACAATAGTTAAGACAGTGTGATCTTGGCACAAAATTAGATAGATAGATAGAAAAATAGATAGATAGATATAGACAGATAGGTAAAATTCTTAATAAATATACATATTTACCAATGAAATCAAATAGATATCCAAAAAATAGGCTGTTGATTTTTGGTGAAATGTCCCTGCAGAGCCATAAAGAAAAGATGGTTATTTTTTTTTCTCCCAATAAATAGTGCTAAGATAATTTTATCTTTATATGGCTAAAATAAAATTGGCCAGACTCAAAGCTTAATTTCAAGAGGATTAGATCTAAATGTGAAAAAGAAAAATAACAAACTTTTACAAATTGGTATAAAAGAAAATTTTATGACTTCAGTGTAAGGTTTTTTTTAAAAAAAATAAATGTACATAACTATTAAAAATGATAAATTTGACTGCACTAAAATTAAGTGTCTGCTCATCTAAGGTGCCATTGAGAGAATAGAAAAGCAAGCAGCTGTGGAGCAGAAGAAGGTATATACAATATATACATTTCACAAAGAACTTGATCCAAAAAATAAAGGTTTTTTTATAAATCATTTTTAAGAGAAAGGTAGTATTATTTGAAAACAAACAGGAAAAAGATCAGATATCCATATGGCTGACAGAATAAGTGATGTTGCTGAACTTCATTAGCAATCAAGGAAATATAAATAAAAGCACCATAAGACACCATGATATATCCACCAGAAAAAAAAAAAAAAGATGCTAAAACTAAAAAGACTGACAGTAACAAATGTTGGAGAATACTTGAAGCCACAGGAAACTTCATATATTACTGGTAGAAGTATAATTTGCTACAACTGGTTTGGAAGAGTTTAACATTATATACTAAATTTGAATACACACAGGCATCATGAAAAAAATTTTACCCTAGGTATTTACAAAAAATATTGTGTGAATATTTGCACCAAGAGGCATTTACAAAAATGTTTATAGTAGGATTTTTCATACAGCTAAATATTCATCAGCAACACAATGGTGCTATATTCATACAACAGCATGGTGCTATATATTCATATTGTGGAATACTACCCCACACAGAACATTAACTACAGCAACATGTAACAGCATGGGTAAATCTCATAGACATGTTATCGAGCAAGAGAAGCCAGACACAAAAGAACACATTACTTCATTTCTATAGGGTTTAAAAACAAGCAAAACTATAGTGTTTAGGCATGCACATTTTGGAATAAAAAGTGAAGAAAAGTATGGAAACAATTATCATAAACATCAAGAGTAGAAAGTGTGCATTGTAACTCAGAAGAGCCATAGAGGGGACTTCTGGGTTGCTATCAGTGTACTATATCTTGCTCTAGTTGGTGGCTGCATGGCTGTTCACTATAATACTATACTAGTTCTACATTATGTATTCTGTAATTTACTGTGTGCCTGTTATATTCCAGTATAATTTTTAAAATATATGATAAAATAAAACAAAAAAAGTATTACTTACGAAGATCTCCTACCAAAATTGACACTATTGACCACTAACTACTTCTTTGTTTATTAAACTGTCTTAACAAAAGAGGGTATCAATATGGCTAATAAATACAGTATTTGTAAAGAGGCTGTTCATCACTGGTAATCAAGAAAATGCAAATAAAAAGCTATGCTTATAAACTACCAGACTTCCTTGATGTTTTTCCTGCTTTTCTAGACTTTTTTTTCCCCTCAGTCTCTTCCACCTCTCAAATTTTATTGAGCCCGAGGGTTTTATCTTTCTGCCTCTTTTCTAACTCTATACACTCTCAAAGGAAACTTCACACTGCTTGAATCTGCTCAGGTACCAGAGGTACATCAAAAACAACAGTCCAAACTGAACTCATTAGCTCCCACCTCAAACTTTTTTCCTCTGCCTCTGCACCCTGCCTTATTAAATTTGTTTGTTAATAAACTTCTAATGAGTAATATATTTGAAGTAAACTCTGAAAGTACTTTGCTGGACTGCAAGCATATAAAGATGTATATAACACACATTTCCCTTGGCCTAGCAATGTACTTGAAATACAGTAGGTACGAAATAAAAGTTAAGTGAATGAATTCATTCACTAGTATATTCTCAAGAAATTTACAATCTAACGGTTCTGCAAGGACATAGTTCAGAACACAGCTCCAATACTTGCACAAGAATTCCCAAGATTTGATTAACCTAATACCCATACAGGTATTATGGAATAGTCTAAGTAATTTTGGGACCAAATATTACCCTTACGATCTGAACTATGGATTGGTCTAGGTTATTAATGCTGTCAAGAGAACACAGAAGTCTTGAAATCTTTCCCCCTCTGCTGAACTACCCACAATATGTGAAATAACTCTTCACTTAAATATTGTCTTAATATTCTGTGATATTGTGAAATACATATTTGGTCTTCATCCCAGGTTGTTGACAACAGTTCTTAAAACCTTTGTAATCTCTGAAGTAATAAGAGTGTCTCTTGTGTGCTGATGAGACGACTGATAGCTAGGGGCCTCTTGATGGCTTTAGGATGGGGACTGGTCACCAGAAAGTCCAAAGACATGATTCCAGTGTTAGGACTTTCAGGCCCACCCTCCCCCACCAACCTCTAAGGAGGGGAAAGGAGCTAAAAGTTTAATTGATGACCAATGGCCAATGATGTAATCAATCATGCCTGCACAATAAAGTCTCCATAAAAACCCAAAAGGACAAGATCTGGAGGGTCTTTCAGCGAGTTGAACACATGGAGATTCCTGGAGTGTGGTGTCCACAGAGGGTATGTAAATTCCATGTCTCTTGCCACATACCTTGCTTTCATCTGGCTTTTTATACATATCCTTTGTAACATCCTTTATAATAAACTGGTAAATGTAAGTTAAGTATTTCCCTGAGTTTTGTGAGCTACTCTAGCAAATTAATTGAACCTGAGGAGGTGACCATAGGAACCCCAATTTATAACCTGTGTGTCAGAATCACAGGTCACAGTCTGTGCTTCCAATTGGTGTCTGAAGTGGGGGCAGTCTTGTAGGGCCGAGTCTTCAACCCGTGGAATTGGACACTCTCTACGTAGATAGTGTCAGAACTGAATTTGATTAGTCTGCCACAGAATTGCCTGGCGTGTGGAGCAAAACCTCCACTCATCTTGTGTCTGAAGTGTTGAATGACTGTTTAAGAATAGAGGGTAAGAAAACATTTTGGTTTTTCCTATATCCACATATATTCTAATAAGCCAACAGATATTTATTAACAGGCTCTGGAGCTGGCCTGCCTGAGTCTGAAGCCTGGTTCCACCCCTTGCCAGCCAGTGACCATGGTAAGTTTTCCACTTATCTTCATCTCTGCATCCTCAGCCTCACTGAAATCATTAGGAGTTGCAATGATAGCAGCACTAGGATTGAACAGACTGGGTTGCAAAGTTCTTACCAGAGTATCTGACACAAAGAAATTGATCAATCAATATTAGCTGTTGCTACTCATTCAGCAAATATATATTATACAGTTCCTACTTGATAGGCATTAGAAATGCATTAATGAGTTAAACAAATATGTTCACTGCCTTTCTGAAATTTTCAATACAAAAGGACCTGGCAAATACACAAACAAAACCTATTTCTGAGTAAATTACTATGTTTTTGTTTTTAACTGGGAAGTTGTTCAGTTTTTCTGGAAGTTATGCGACTTCCTTCCCTGTACACCTCTTAGGGACCCCCAGATGATACTATGTTCCCCTGTCTGGAGTCCTAAGTTGCAAATGACAATGAAAAGCTGCAAATATCTTCAAAGTTCTCTTTGGAAGCTAAGTTAATGTTACTCCATCGTACCTGCCGATTTCCTTTTTTCATTCCATTTATTTTCTCTCTATTGTTGTGAACAACAAATACATGTAAAACAAGAGAGAACTAGGGAATGAAGATGTTTCTGAGACAGAAAGAGAAGGCAGAAAGACAGAGACAGCCAGTCCAGAGTTGCATCAGAACGTTTGTAAAATAGATATTTTTTATTCTGAACCTGAATTTTAATTATTTTAACATGTCTACTTCATTCTTCCTTTAAAGGAAAGGAAGTCAAACTACAGTCTCTACAGATACTCTGTAGAAATAAAAATGTTACTGTTCTTAAGACAATAAATATTTCAGCAGAAAAATGAAGAAGTGATGTAAATGTGTTTGAGGAAACCAGTGGCAGGCTTTGGATTCTCTTGGATCTCCAGTGTTCTTTCTTCACCGGGTGCATATGGAGAGAAAAGGAGCATTCTCTTGCACTAGTCATTTATTATTTATCTTTATGCTTTAATTATTTGTGGAAATTCCTGACACCTTCTTATTCAGCCAGTTTTACTGACAGTCAGGAGTGGGAGGACAAAGCACCCACTGGAGAGGAGGAAACAGTGCCAGCAGCTTCGTGGTTGGGAATTGCATAGCTGAGCATTGAGAAATAACTTGATTTTAGGAGGATGATAACAAATATTAAAATGATGCTAATGACACAGTTTGACATCTTTTCTGGGAGATGTTTTTAGAGTATTTTCCACTGGTGAAAAAGAAGGTAGCTGAAACTTGCTAGATGTGGGAATTTTCTTTCACTCTGACCCGAGTGTCACGTCACTGCTCCCTGTGACTATAGGAGACCCTTGAACATCCCTGGAGTGAGATGGCACTTGGTTCTAAAGCAAGAGCCTGACGGTGTGATAATAAGGACTCAGGAAAGTTAAACTAGTTACACTGAGAATTTATTGAAGTCTGCTCATTCATTTGCATATTCATTTCATCCCTTCACTCATTCATAAATACAGAGTACCAAGCACTCTATTAAATATTAGATTGCGAGACTATTTGAGCAATTTAGTTTGAAAGAATGAAAATTTGAACCAGAATAGTGGCTCTAATATCTTCCTAATTCTTACAAATTTGTTTAAACCAGAAAGGGTTTGTGTTTCTTTTGGTATTGGTTTTAGTTTTGGGTTTTAGGGTTTAACCTTTGTTGTTTCTCTGTTTTCACTTCTTTGTTTATTTGTCGTTCAGATATCATCAATAATATTCACTCATCCACACACACAGTTTCACCCTTTCATCCTGAAGATCAATAGGATTCATTGCTGTCCGTGATATGACATATTTTAAAAACTATATCCAAGGTTTTATTTCTTCATTGTTATTTCTAGCACCCAAATAATATCTACCATCCCTGTAGCACCTCTTCCGTGCCTGGCACGATTCTACTTACTTTAACCTCATTATCACCACTCCTTATAACAGAAGAGAAAGGAGATTATTGTTATTCCCATTTTACACGTTGAAAAACCAAGGCTCCTTGAGGTTAAAAATAGCGTCATAACTAGTTAACAGTGAAATAGGGTCTCAATGTGTTTGGCTCAAAAGCCCACACTCCTCAGTTTTACTTTTCATAAAAACTTGACCTTAAAGAGCAGCACAATGACAATTACAATTCCTCTAAATGTATACCAAAATGGGAAACTGCTCTCAGGTTTGCCTTCTTTTATAGCAGCTCCCCAGAGGATTTATTTCAGCAGCTTCTAACAATACAATGAGCACAAGAGACAGGCATTATCTGCTCCCTGCGCCACGCACCAGGACCTCGAGTTTTCTCATTGCCTTGCACATCACACTCTTTTCTTTGAAGGGAATCCCATTTTCCCACCTGCATCCATCATTCATCTGTCATCCCATTCAACTAGTGAGGTTTTTAACTAGATGATTTTTTTTTAATCTTTCTTGGCTAACCTTGTCGCTCAAGGTCTTTGCTCTGACTACAGTTTTAGAGCTCACTCATTTTCTTGCCCCCAGCTCACTCCTTTGAGAGTAGCAATTAACACAGGCAACTGTTTTGTTGGGTTTTGCTTTTTACATATTAAAGGGCAGAGGCAACCAGCTTGGGTTTGTCTCAGCTTCCTTTTGATCTTTCAGGAGCCACACAACAATATCCATCTGCACAACCTGAGCAGGGTAATTTAGGGATGGTTTAAGGAGTAAGCTTCGAGATGCTATTGCTTGGGGTTTGAAGAAGGACCCATTACAGCAAGAGCATGACCCTTCTCAAATACCTCTCAGAGCAGAGATGTACTCTACTGAAATCTCACCTCCCTCTTCTGATGCAGGGGATGAAAGTGCCTCTGAAGAGGAACAAAGATCTGTGCTATTGTAAAGCATAGCATTTTCCCATTGCATTTGAATTGAGTATATTGCTCTTTTGGTTTTGCTAAGATTACACAAAATGTAATTACATCGACACTGTTCACCTGGGAACCTAAGAAACGAATGCTAATGCAGCCTTACTGGGGGAGGGAAGCTTCTTGTATGGTGAAGACACTTTTCCCCTGACCAGAATTTGCCTGGTTTTCTCAGTTATAATCAATCCAGGCAGCATAGGAAAGCACTGTGCCTCTGCACTGCTTTAGAATCCCACAGTTTCTCCATATGGGAACACATGTGTGTTTATGTTTTAGTGTTGGGGTTCATGGACTAAATGTTCTCATTTCCCCTTTTTTCCTATTTAGTCTGCCTAGCAGCCTTGTGAATACCCATGTATTCTCTGCAATTAAAATTTAATTTAGGACTAACTTTATTTTAAAATAGAAGTTGAATCAAGTAATGTGGGTTTGGGGCCTAAATAACTTAAACTTTTTGATTAATATCTCAAAACTGGTTTACCATGCCTCTAGCATTCTTTGGAAGTAGGATAAAGTTTCAGACATGTGTTTTGGGTTTTTTGTGTGTTTTTTAGTGATGAGGTAAAATTAATATAAGTGGAATCCTGGTTGTTTAGTAACTTGTCATCTCAATAGCCAAAACTAAACCCAAGAAAATGTGTCTTAGTAAAAAATCAAGATCTTTATGTGGCTTGCTCTTTATAAATGAACAAAAACTAAAATATAAAAAACTTTTTACTTGAAATTGGCAAGAATGACAATGAGAATAGAAAATGAGAAGAAAAAGAAAATACAAGCATAGCTCAGAGAGTTGCAGGTTTGGTTCCAGACCACTGCAATAAAGCAAATATTGAAATAAGTGAGTCACACATATTTTTTGGCTTTCCAGTGCATATAAAACTTACGTTTACACCATAGTCTATTAAGTGTGCAATAGTGTTATGTCTAAAAAAACAAGCCTTAATTTAAAAGTGCTTTATAATTAAAACATGCTAATGACCATCAGAGCCTTGAGCAAAACCTCATCTTACTGCTGGAGAGTCTTGTCTCCATGTTGATGATTGCTGACCTATCAGAGTGGCAGTTGCTGAAGGTTAAGTGGCTGTGGAAATTTCTTAAGCCACCCTACATTCAAGCCATTCAAAAACATTAAAATGTGCCACCCCACATTAAAGTCATTCAAACTACAGTGAAGGTTGCCACATCAAATTATTCTGTCTTTCATGAAAGATTTCTCTGCAGCATGCGATGCCGTTTGACTGTATTTTACCTATAGCAGAACTTCTTTCAAACTTGGAGTCCATCCTCTCAAATCCTGCCGCTGTTTTATCAACTAAGTTTACAAAATATTCTAAATCTTTTGTTGTCATTTCAACAATGTTCACAGCATCTTCACCAGCAGTAGATTCCATCTCAAGAAACCACTGCCTTTATTCATCTATAAGAAAGAACTCCGCATTCGCTCAAGTGTTATCATGATATTGCAGCAATTTAGCCCCATCTCCAGGCTCCATTTCTAATCCTAGTTCTCTTGCTATTTCCACCACATCTGCAGTGACTTCCTCTACTGAAATCTTGGATCCTTTGAAGTCATCCAGGAGGGTTAGAATCAACATCTTCCAAACTCCTGTTAATGTGGATATTTTCACTTTCTCCCATGAATGATGAATGTTCTTAATGAAATCTAGAATGGTGAATCCTTTCCAGAAGGTTCTCAATTTACTTTGCCCAGATCCATCAAAGGAATCATGTCAGCTATAGCCTTAGAAAATGTATTTCTTAAATAATAAAACTTGAAAGTCAAAATTAATCCTTGATCCATGGGCTGCAGAATAGATGCTATGTTAGCAGGCATAAAAACAAAATTATTCTCCCTGTACATCTCTATCAGAGTTATTGGGTACCTAGGTATATTGACAATGAACAGTAATATTTTGAAAGAAATATTTTTTTCTGAGCAGTAGGTCTCAACAGTGAGTTTCAGATATTCAGTAAACCATGTCATGAACTGATATGCTGTAATCCAGACTTTGTTGTTCCATTTCTAGAACACAGGCAGAACAGACTTAGCATAATTCTTAATGGCCCGGGGATTTTCAGAATGGTAGATGAGCATTGGTTTCAACATAAAGTCACCAGCTGCATTAGTTCTTAACAACACAGTCAGCCTTCCGTCAAAGCTCTGAAGTTAGGCATTGGCTTCTCTCTTTCTTTTGAAGTTCTAGATAGCAGCTTCTTCTACTTCTTCTTCTTGTTCTTCTTCTTCTTCTTCTTCTTCGTCTTCGTCTTCTTCTTCGTCTTCTTCTTCTTCAATTTCCTCTTCTTCTAGATGGCACCTTATCATTTACATCTACTTCTTCTAGATGGCACCTTTTCATCTACACCGTTTCTTCTTCTTCTTCTTCTTCTTCTTCTTCTTCTTCTTCTTCTTCTTCTTCTTCTCCTTCTCCTTCTCCTTCTCCTTCTACTTCTACTTCTACTTCTCCTTCTCCTTCTCCTTCTCCTTCTCCTTCTCCTTCTTCTTCTTCTTCTTCTTCTTCTTCTTCTTCTTCTTCTTCTATTTCCTCTTCTTATTCTTCTAGATGGCACCTTTTCATCTACCAAAAGGTTTGGTATTGCCATCTTCATCAATTATCTTAGCCAGATCTTCTAAATAACTTTCTGCAGCCTTATATTAGCACTTCTTGCTTCACCTTGCACTTTTATGTTATGGAGATGGCTTCTTTCCTTAAACCTCATGAACCAACCTCTGCTAGCTTCCCAACTATGTATCTGCAGCTTCTTCATCCCTCTAAGCCTTCACAGCATTGAAGAGAGTGAGGGCCTTGCTTCGGATTAGGCTTTGGCTTAAGGAAATGTTGTGGCTAATTTGATGTATCCAGACCACTCAAACTTTCTTTATATTAGCAATAAGTCTTATCATTTGTATTCACTGAAGTAACATTTTAAATGTTCTTTGCATTTACAATTTAGCTAACTGTTTGGCACAAGAAGCCTAGCTTTTGGCGTCTCTTGGCTTTCTACATGCCTTCCTCACTAAGCTCAAACATTTCTAGCTTTTGATTTAAAATGAGAGACATGCAACACTTCCTTTCACTTGAATACTTAGAGGCCACTCACTGTAGAGTTATTAACTTGCCTAATTTTTATATCATTGTTTCTCAGGGACTAGAGAGAAAAAAAGGAAAGAACTGAGGAAATGGCCAGTTAATGAAGCAGTCAGAACACACACAACATTTATCAAGTAAGTTCACCATCCTATATAAATGCAGTTTGTGGTGCCCCTCCAAAATTACAATAGTAACATCAAAGATCACTGATCAAAGATAATCATAACAAATATAATAATAATGAAAGAGTTTGAAATATTGCAGGAATTATCAAAATGTGATACAGAGAAAGGAAGTGAGCACATGCTATTGGAAAAATGGCATGCATACACTTGCCGCAAACACAGAGTTGTCACAAATCTTTAATTTGTTAAAAAGAAATGCAATATTTGCAAAGGACCATAAAGTGCAATAAAATAAGCTGTTCCTATGAAATGGGATTAATCACAATTTTGCAAGTTTTTAATGAAGATTAGAAATTATATATCTAAAGGAAATAACGAGAAACCAGACACACAAAGAAAGAGAGAAAGCATTGTCACAACCTTCATCTTTATCCTAATCATACAACCAAATTACAAGGTGCCTTAATATACATTGTGTCACTTTATTTGAGGCTAACAGTAATTCTCTGGAGATCATGAGGATAGCCAGTGACAGTATAAATATTATAGGTAATGTGGGTTGAGGTCAACAAAGTCTTAATTGAGCACCTACTTATGTGCCAGGCACTACACCAGGTATTGAAGATGCACTGGTGAGGGGGAAAAAATGTTCAGTTCTGGGTTAAGAGGGCAATTCAGAAATACACAGAGCCAAAATACCACTAAAACTATAGCAAAGTATTTTTTTCTAAAAACAGACATAAGCCACAAAAATGAGGAGACCAAGAGAGAAAATATGAGCAATAAATGTTTGGAAGCCAGAAAGAATATAGTCCAGAAGTAAGTGACCTACAAGACAAAACAAGGCTAAGTGCTGAAATGAGAAGATATTGAAAACAAACCCCTATATATAATATTCTCCAAGCTGCCATTGATGTTCCTGGGGCCTGAACGTGCATATTTATAGGCTGGGTAGAAAGAGAAGATCACTCTTTTTCTATATAACTAAGAGGTATACTGGCCTTGGAGTATAACATAGAAGTTTCCATACTCTGTTCTCTAAAGCAGCTTGAGATCTCACTGTGCTTTACTGAGCTGAATCAGTACCATAGAATCAGCTCCCTGCCCAACTTTGGAAAGCGGAGACAAGGGAGCCAGGAAGCCTAAAAATCTGTCTTTTCAGGAAAAATGTTGAAAGCATTGGAAAAGTAGTTAGATTCTTTTTCACTCCTACCCTCCTATCATCACCACCATCACCACCTCTACAGAGATCCTGGAAGCTCATTCTTTGCAGAGAGTAGAGGGTCTCTGACAAAGTAGGACAAATGGGTATTCTGTTTAAAAGAGGGAAGTTAAATGTTCATATATGTGCTGAATGCTAAGTGAAGAAACCCTCAGTCCTCTTCTTCCAGTTGGCTCTTAGAGTCATTGCAACTAAACTTGCACTTCTAGGCAGGAGAGAGGTGACTACTCTGAAGGTTCTAACTGACTCAGTTTTGACCCCACAAAAAGATCTAAAGATGGAGGGGTTCCAAGATGGCCAAATAGGAACAGCTCCAGTCTGCAGCTCCCAGTGTGATCAACACAGAAGACAGGTGATTTCTGCATTTCCAACTGAGGTATCTGGTTCACCTCACTGGGACTGGTTGGACAGTGGGTGAAGCCCATGGAGGGTGAGCCAAAGCCAGATGAGGCATCACCTCACCCAGGAAGCATAAGGGGTTGGGGGCCTTCCCTTTCCTAGCCAAGGGAAGCTGTGACAGATGGTACCTGGAAAATTAGGACACTTCCACCATAATACTGCATTTTTCCCATGGTCTTAGCAAATGGCACACCAGGAGATTATATCCCACACATGGCTTGGTGGGTCCAATGCCCAAGAAGGCTTGCTCACTGCTAGCTCAGCAGTCCAAGATAGAACTGTGAGGCAGCAGCCTGGGGTGGGGAAGGGGTGTCCGCCATTGCTGAGGCTTGAGTAGGTAAACAAAGTGGCCAAGGGAAGCTCAAACTGGGTGGAGCCCTCTACAGCTCAACAAAGCCTTCCTGCCTCTATAGACTCCACCTCTTGGGGCAGGGCAGGGCATAGCTGAACAAAAGGCAGCAGAAACTTCTGCAGAATTAAACGTCCCAGTCTGACAGCTCTGAAGAGAGCAGTGGTTCTCCCAGCATGGAGTTTGAGCTCTGAGAATGGACAGACTGTCTCCTCAAGTGGGTCCCTGACCTCCATGTAACCTAACTGGGAGACACCTCCCAGTAGGGGCTGACTGACACCTCATACAGGCAGGTGCCTTTCTGAGACAAAGCTTCCAGGGGAAGGATCAGGCAGCAAAATTTGCTGTTCTGCAGCCTCCACTAGTGATACCCAGGCAAACGGGATCTGGAGTGGGCCTCCAGCGAATTTCAACAGACCTGCAGTTGAGGATCCTGACTGTTAGGAGGAAAACTAACAAACAGAAATGAATAGCATCAACATCAACGAAAAGGACATCCACACCAAAACCCCATCTGTATGTCACCATCATCAAAAACGAAAGGTAGATAAAACCACAAAGATGGGGAGAAACCAGAGCAAAAAAGCTGAAAATTCTAAAAACCAGAGTGCCTATTCTCCTCCAAATGATCACAGCTCCTCACCAGCAACAGAACAAAGCTGGATGGAGAATGACTTTGACGGATTGACAGAAGTAGGCTTCAGAAGGTCGGTAATAACAAACTTCTCTGAGCTAAAGGAGGATGTTGAAACCCATCACTAGGAAGCTAAAAACCTTGAAAAAAGATTGGATGAATGACTAACTAGAATAAACAGTGTAGAGAATAACTTAAATGACCTGATGGAGCTGAAAACCATGGCATGAGAACTACGTGATGAATGCACAAGTTTCAGTAGCCGATTCGATCAACTGGAAGAAAGGGTATCAGTGATTGAAGAGCAAATGCATGAAATGAAGCAACAAGAGAAGTTTACAGAAAAAAGAGTGAAAAGAAATGAACAAAGCCTCCAAGAAATATGGGACTATGTGAACTGACCAAATCTATGTTTGATTGGTGTACCTGAAAGTGACAGGAAGAATGGAACCAAGTTGGAAAACACTCTTCAGGCAGACCAACATTCAAATTCAGGAAATACAGAGAATACTACAAAGATACTCCTCAAGTAGAGCAACCCCAAGACACATAGTTGTCCGATTCACCAAGGTTGAAATGAAAGAAAAAATGTTAAGGGCAGCTAGAGAGAAAGGTCGGGTTACCCACAAAGGGAAGCCCATCAGACTAACAGCAGATCTCTTGGCAGAAACTCTACAAGCCAGAAGAGAGTGAGGGCCAATATTCAACATTCTTAAAGAATTTTCAACCCAGAATTTCATATCCAGACAAACTAACCTTCATAAGTGAAGGACAAATAAAATCCTTTACAGACAAGCAAATGCTGAGATTTTGTCACCTTCAGGCCTGCCTTACAAGAGCTCCTGAAGAAAGCACTAAATATGGAAAGGAAAAATCAGTACCAGCCACTGCAAAAATATACCAACTTGTAAAGGCCACTGACAATATGAAGAAACTGCGTAACTAACAGGCAAACTAACCAGCTAGCATCATAATGATAGTATCAAATTCACACATAAAAATATTAACCTTAAATGTAAATGGGCTAAGTGCACCAATTAAAAGACACAGACTGGCAAATTGGATAAAGAGTCAAGAACAATCAGTGTGCTGTATTCAGGAGACCCATCTCACTTGCAGAGGCACACATAAGCTCAAAATAAAGGGATGGAAGAAGATCTACCAAGCTAGTGGAAAAAAATAAAAATAAAAAAGCAGGGGTGGCAATCCTAGTCTCTGATAAAACAGACTTTAAACCAACAGAGATCAAAAGAGACAAAGAAGGCCATTACATCATGGTAAAGGGATCAATTCAAGAAGAAGAGCTAACTATCCTAAATATATATACACCCAATACAAGAGTACCCAGATTCAGAAGGCAAGTCCTTAGAGACCTACAAAGAGACTTAGACTCCCACACAATAATAGTGGGAGACTTTAACACCCCACTGTCAATATTAGACAGATCAATAAGACAGAAGGTTAACAAGGATATCCAGGACTCAAACTCAGCTCTGCACCAAGCCGACCTAATAAACACCTACAGAACTCTCCACCCCAAATCAACAGAATATACATTCTTCTCAGCACCACATCACACTTATTCCAAAATTTACCACATATTTGGAAGTAAAGCACTCCTCAGCAAATGTAAAAGACAGAAATAATAACAAACTGTCTCTCAGACCACAGTGCAATCAAATTAGAACTTAGGATTAAGAAACTCACGTAAAACCACAAAACTACATGGAAACTGAACAACCTGCTCCTGAATTACTACTGGGTACATAACGAAATGAAGGCAGAAATAAAGATGTTCCTTGAAATCAATGAGAGCAAAGATACAACATCTCAGAATCTCTGGGAAACAGAGATAGAGACACAAAAAAACCCTTCAAAAAATCAATGAATCCAGGAGCCGATTTTGAAAAGATCAATAAAATTGATGGACCACTAGCAAGACTAATAAAGAAGAAAAGAGAGAAGAATCAAATAGATGCAATAAAAAATGATGAAGGGGATATCACCACCAATCCCACAAAAATACAAACTCCCATCAGAGAATACTATAAACACCTCTACACAAATAAACTAGAAAATCTAGAAGAAATGGATAAACTCCTGGACACACACACCCTCCCAAGACTAAACCAGAAAGAAGTTGAATCCCTAATTAGACCAATAACAGGCTCTGAAATTGAGGCACTAATCAATAGCCTACCATCCAAAAAAATGGTTGGACCACATGGATTCACAGCCGAATTCTACCAGAGGTACAAAGAGGAGCTGGTACCATTCCTTCTGAAACTATTCCAATCAATAGAAAAAGAGGGAATCCTCCCTAACTCATTTTATGAAGTCAACATCATCCTGATAACAAAGCCTGGCAGAGACACAACAGAAAAAGAGAATTTTAGATCAACATCCATAATGAACATTGATGCAAAAATCCTCAATAACATACTGGCAAACCGAATCCAGCAGCACATCAAAAACCTTTTCCACCATGATCAAGTTGGCTTTATCCCTGGGATGCAAGGCTAGTTCAACATACACAAATGAATAAACATAATCCATCACATAAACAGAACCAAAGACAAAAACCACATGATTATCTCAATAGATGCAGAAAAGGCCTTCAACAAAATTCAACAGCCCTTCATGCTAAAAACTCTTGATAAACTTGTGTTGATGGGATGTATCTCAAAATAATAACAGCTATTTATGACAAACCCACAGCCAATATCATACTGAATGGGCAAAAACTGGAAGCATTCCCTTTGAAAACTGGCACAAGACAGGGATGCCCTCTCTCACCACTCCTGTTCAACATAGTGTTGGAAGTTCTGGCCAGGGCAAGCAGGCAGAAGAAAGAAATAAAGGGTGTTCAGTTAGGAAAAGAGGAAGTCAAATTGTCCCTGTTTGCAGATGACATGATTGTATATTTAGAAAACCCCATTGTCTCAGCCTAAAATCTCCTTAAGTTGATAAGCAATTTCAGCAAAGTCTCAGGAAAAAAAATCAATGTGCAAAAATCTTAAGCATTCCTCTACACCAATAACAGACAAACAGAGAGCCAAATCGTGAGTGAACTCCCATTTACAATTGCTTCAAAAAGGATAAAATACCTAGGAATCCAACTTACAAGGGATGTGAAGGACCTCTTCAAGGAGAACTACAAACCACTGCACAATGAAATAAAAGAGGACACAAACAAATGGAAAAACGTTCCATGCTTATGGATAGGAAGAATCAATATTGTGAAAATGGCCATACTGCCCAAGGTAATTTATAGATTCAGTGCCATCCCCATCAAGCTACCAATGACTTTCTTCACAGAATTGGAAAAAACTACTTTGAAGTTCATATGGAACCAAAAAAGAGCCTGCATTGCCAAGACAATCCTAAGCAAAAAGAACAAAGTTGGAGGCATCATGCTACCTGACTTCAAACTATACTACAAGGCTACAGTAACCAAAACAGCATGGTACTGGTACCAAAACAAAAATATAGACCAATGGAACAGAACAGATGCCTCAGAAATAACACCACACATCTACAACCATCTGATCTTTGACAAACCTGACAAAAACAAGAAATGGGGAAAGGATTCCCTATTTAATAAATGGTGCTGGGCAAACTGGCTAGCTATATGTAGAAAGCTGAAACTACATCCCTTCCTTACACATTATACAAAAATTAATTCAAGATGCATTAAAGACTTAAATTTTAGACCTAAAATTATAAAAACCCTAGAAGAAAACCTAGACAATACCATTCAGGATATAGGCATGGGCAAGGACTTCATGACTAACACACCAAAAGCAATGGCAACAAAAGCCAAAGTAGACAAGTGGGGTCTAATTAAACTAAAGAGCTTCTGCACAGCAAAAGAAACTACCATCAGAGTGAACAGGCAACCTACAGAATGGGGGAAAATTTTTGCAATCTACCTATCTGACAAAGGGCTAATATCCAGAATCTACAAAGATCTTAAACAAACTTGCAAGAAAAAAACAACCTCATTAAAAAGTGGGTGAAGGATATGGACACTTCTCAAAAGAAGACTTTTATGCAGCCAACAGACACATGAAAAAATGCTCATCATCACTGGCCATCAGAGAAATGCAAATCAAAACCACAGTGAGATACAGTCTCACACCAGTTAGAATGCTGATCATTAAAAAGTCAGGAAAAAACAGGTGTTGGAGAGGATGTGGGAAAAAGGAACGTTTTTACACTGTTGGTGGGAGTGTAAGCTAGTTCAACCATTGTGAAACACAGGGTGGCAATTCCTCAAGGATCTAGAACTAGAAATACCATTTGACCCAGTGATCCAATTACTGGGTATATACCCAAAGGATTATAAATCATGCTACTATAAAGACACATGCACACGTATGTTTGTTGCGGCACTATTCACAATAGCAAAGACTTGGAACCAACCCAAATGTCCATCAATGATAGACTGGATTAAGAAAATGTGACACATATATACCATGAAATACTATGCAGCCATAAAAATGGATGTGTTCATGTCCTTTGTAGGGACATGGATGAAGATGGAAACCATTATTCTGACCAAACTATTGCACGGACAGAAAACCAAACACTGCATGTTCTCACTCATAGGTGGGAATTGAACAATGAGAACACTTGGACACAGGACGGGGAACATCACACACTGGGGCCTGTCTTGGTGTGTGGGGGATGGGGGAGGGATAGCATTAGGAGAACTATCTAATGTAAATGATGCGTTAATGGGTGCAGCACACCAACATAGCACATGTATACATATGTAACAAACCTGCACATTGTGCACATGTACCCTAAAACTGAAAGCATAATAATAGTGGAAAAAAAAAAAGATCTAAAGATGTTGACACCAGGAATTCTCCAAGAAATGCTTCTCATTTAGGTCATCTGGCAATAATGCTCAAAGCCAGGTAGCCCTACTCATTATCTCAGGGCTCCTAAATTGCTTTTTAATGGTCCAATCCTAATCATGAATAACATGATTAAGACAATCAAGAATAATCAGACATCTAAGAAAAAATTCTAATATGGACACAAGAGACCAAAACAAAACAAGCAAACAGACAAACAGAAAAAGCAACCCGGACAAAACAGAAACTATTCAGGGAGAAAAACTTCAACAATAATATCAACAATAAAAGAAATCTCATTATCTGTTGTGAAATAAGAGGATATATTTCATCCATGAAACAAGAAGTAGAAGCTATAAAAAAAGAACTTACTGAGAAGAAAAAAAAGACTTTTGGAATTTAGCAATATTATAGCAAAAATAAAAATAAAAGTCTCAATAGAAAGCTCAAAGATAATGTTGGAGTAATTGTGCCAAAAGTTCATTAAAAACCAAAGAGATGGAGAATAGGGGAAGAAACATATTAGCATTATTTTAAGAGGCACAACATTCAAATAATAGGTGTTCAGAACAAAAGTACAAAGAAAACAGAGAGAAAAAAATCATCAAAGAAAAAATGCAAGAAAATTTCCAGCAACTCCAAGTTATAAATTTTTAGATTGAAAAAGCCCATGGAGTAGCCAGCAAAATAGGTAAAAATAGATCCACACCAAGGGACATCATTGTGAAATTTCAGGACTGTGGAAACAAAAAGAAGGTTTTACAAGCTTATCAAATGAAAATTCAGGGCTCACTTAAGAGGTCAGTTATCTGACTGACATACTGAAAGCAAGAAAACAGTAGAGCAATGCCTTCAAAATTCTGAAACAAAATCATTACTAAACTAGAATTCCACATCTAACCAAACAATTAATCTCATCAGGGAAGAATAAAGACATTTTTAGACACCCATCATGCAATAGCAATCAATTAATTAATTCAAAATAGCCTGTTTTTCTTAAGAAGAGAGTGGAGAAAGTTTACCACCAAAATATGGGAATACGCCAAGAAATCAGAAGAAAAAGAAAAAGAGAGAATCCAAAACTGAAGGGAGAGAAAGAGTATCTGCAGGTTGTTAGTGAAAGAAGATGCTATGGAGATGGCTCATTCAGAGAGCAGCAGCGTGATTCAGGAGACGGACATTTTGGTAGCTGTCATCATATTTTTTTTTAATTGTACTATCTTTTCAACCTCATCAAACTAGTGGAATATGTGGTCTATCAAAGGAGTAAAACCAAAAAGGAGGAAGTCATAAAATGCAGGAAACATGTAATAAAACTCAGAATGGTAAAGGGAATTCCAAGTATGAAAGAAAAGGAGAAACTCAAGGTATCTGGGAAGCTCAAATGAAACTTCAAAGAAAAATTTCTCTAAGTAATAAAAGTAACTAAAAATCCCTAATATTAGGAAAAATGATGCTGAGAGGCCAATAAAATGTATGAAAAGAATAACTGCAATTGGAAAAAACTACCAACTTTAGTGACAATAAAAAAGGAACATAATCTTATGACAATGTTCATTAGTAAGTAATATTTGCATAGGCATAATAATGAATAATAAACAATAATGATTTAACTAAAATTATAATACAACTATATTGGAAGGATGGAGGAAACAGAGTGATAGGAAGTCATTAGATAATATATAAAACAAAGATAGTAGCATACACACACTATGTAGAAATATGAGTGTGTAAATGCCAAAAGAAATAGCTTAAAAAGTCAAAAACAGTTGCCAGTTGGAAGATGTATTGTTGGCAATGAAGGGCAATGGGTGGGGAGCCACTATACTTTATTAGTAGCTTTGTACTATTACTTGACATTTTGAACCATGTATGTATAATAGATTGATAAAATGTTTAATTATCAAAATTTCTAGCTTCATCATCATTTTTCTCCAGCACCCAGCACAGTGCCTAGCACGTAGTAGGTCTTTAGTAAGTATTTACTGAAACTGAATAAAAGAACAAAATCATGATTCTATTATAGAGGAGCCTTCAGCAGAATAAATGGAGAATATAGAAAAGATTCACTGGATAAGGCACAGTTGGTTATGTCTATCTCCTTGCAAAACAACTAGAACTGCTGAATAAAACAGAGGCCCTTCTTCACCCTCTCTGAGGTTCAAAGGCCATTTTCAGCAGCATAAAGGAGTAAGAAGTAGTAATATTTGTGGTGGTGGTGGCAGCAGCAGTATACGTCATCATTGTAAAAAGCAGCATCATACACCTTGTTCATAATCATAATCTTAAAAACCATAATATCTCGGCTGGGTGCAGTGGCTCATGCTTGTAATCCCAGCACTTTGGGAGGCCAAGGTTGGGAGGATCACCTGAGGTCAGGAGCTCGAGACCAGCCTGACCAACATGGTGAAACCCTGTCTCTACTAAAAATACAAAAATTAGCCAGGCATGGTGGTGGGTGCCTGTAATCCCAGCTACTCAGCTACTCAGGAGCCTGAGGCAGGAAAATCACATGAACCCAGGAGGCGGAGGCTTCAGTGAACTGAGATTGGGCCACTGCACTCCAGCCTGAGCAACAAGAGTGAAACTCCATTTAAAAAAGAAAAAAAAAAAAGCACAATATCTGCAGAAATACTCTAGATCACTGTAGGGCGGTATAGTAGACAGGAAAAAGTACAACTTTGAAGGAAGACATACCTGTGGGCAAATACCAGTTTTTACAGTTACTTCATTGCTTTCAGAAAATCGTTTAACCTCTTTCTGCTTGTTTTTTCAACTTTAGAATGATAACAATATCACCAACCTTGCAGGAGTTCTTAAAGAATACCAGAAAATGTATTAAAACACTTTAGTATGGAGTAGACATTCAATATAAGAAGCTGTTATTACTATAGTTAGACTAGAATAAAAGTTTCCTGAGATTGGGAACCTTGAGTGTTTTGTTGCCAGGTCCTAAAACAGTGCCGGACACACAGTAGGTAGGCAATGAATATTTGATGAATGAATGAATGATCATTTCAAAAAGAAAAGCATTTATTTGGCCTCTTCGGTATACATAGCTCAGCTTTGAAACCATTTACTACAGCATCTTAGATAAGCACTGTTTTTTGGGAATCAATTTCCTCAAACAATGCCGCTAGTTATCTGCAGAGAAACACCCATTCATTCAGGTGCCTAACCTCAAACATTCCACTAACTTTGAGGACCTACAACTTTCTGCATCATAGGTGCTGAGACTGTAATGAAAAGCTAAAAAAATCTCATCCCAACATACCAATATATTATCACATTGTGTTGTTTAGTTTTGTTTTACTTGGTCAAAGAAGATGTCTCCACAAACTTTAATCATTAGTCTTTCTCATTAGAAAAAAAATTTTTTATCACCGATAGCAAGAGATACATTGACTTATGCAAACTAAGCATTTTTGTGTAGTTCAAGCATTTTTGTCACCCTAAATAAAATTGTTAACTTTATGTCCTCTTTAGGTTGCACATGTCTAGGCAAAGAACTTCCTTTACCAAAAGGAAATCATTCGAGATGTTTCAGAACCTTTAAATGAGTGGAAAGCATTGCTCTCTGGAGCAGTTGCTTTATTACCCTATCCACGAAGTCAGATTATAATAAGGAAAAGACAAAAGCAGCTTAGCTACTTTTCTAACTCTTTTTTTCCCTTCTGTATTCTTTCCTTTTATATGTATCCTTTCTGCTGTCCATGACCATCTGGAGAACATAAACAACCATTTTAGAACCCAGATGCCCAGCCATTGAGAATTCCCTAATTGAGTTATGCCGCAGTCAGCTGAACACAGAACCACACCCAGAGCCCTGCTGTGCTCCACAGCTCTGCTGCAGAAACTTACAAAGACTCCGAGGTTTCCAACTGGGAGGTGTGCTGCTTCAGGAAATATCTGTTCTGACTTCCCTCCAATTTCCCATTTGCTGGCATTTTTCATTGATCTTGGAAAACACATGGCCAGCATCTGTCTGTGAATAACTATTTATCATTGTGTAAAACATCTATGAAATGTTCTGCTTATAGAGATTTCTGCAAAACAAAACACAGGCTATGTCTTTTTGGTGAAATTGTTTTCTCTGAGCCAAGTTATGAAGCAACTACAATTTTAAGATAGAGATCAGTGTCTTGATCACATTAAACGTAGAAATGTCGCTTTCAAATAAACTTAAATTCTGAAATAATTATTTCCACTTCATGGTCTTTTTGTTTTTGTTGTTGTATACCAAAATAACTCTTAAGTACAGTATGATTACATGCTCATCTTCACCCTCAGATCTGGGCATTATTAGCTCATTTTATTGTTGAAGAAATTGAGCCCCAGAGAGGTTAATGTAGGTTCTATAATTAAAATATTCTATGTACAAATTCACTTTCAGTATTCTTTGTTTTTATTTTAATAAGTTTAAATTATTTAATTATATAAAATATTTTTTATTTTTTTTAAGAGACGGGTCTCACTGTGTTGCCCAGGCTGGTCTCAGTCTCCTGACTAGGGCTACCTGACTTTGAGCATTATTGCCAGATCTCCTGAGCTCAAGTGATCCTCCTGCCTTGGACCCCCAAAGCGCTTAGATTACAGGTGTGAGCCACTATGCCTAGCTCCACTTTCAGTATTCTTAAATTAAAGCTACACAACATTCTTTCAATCATATTTTTATATTCATTCATGCATTTATTCAACAAAAGCTCTGTAACATGAAAGATCTTAGTAGAATCAAACTTTATAGCAAGGCTTTCTGATGGTTGTTATTGCATCAGATAAATTCTTGGAATATTTTATGTATGACCTATTTTGAGGGCAAAAATAGACAATAGTAATTATCTCATTTAATGATAATGTGGAAATTAAATTTTATGATCCAGATCCAAGGAAAAGTCTTATTAGAGTAGGTATACATCTCAGCATCTCTCACAAATATTCTTTCCTTCAGTTCATTCAATAAGCTTTTAAGCACTTACCAGATGTTTGATGCTGGTACTAGATGCCCATGTGAGAAGAATAATCTGGCCCTTGGTTATGAGGAATTTGTTGGAGTCTAGTGCAAAAGACAGACATTCGAGAAAACTAAGACTCACACAACGCAAATCATACAATAAGGTGTCAAAGGCCAGATGTGGAAGCAATTGAGTGCCTAAGCAATAGGGAAACCTTCACAGAGTGGGTGACACCTGAATTGCCTCCTAATGGGTGATTAAGAGTTTTACACACTAATAAAGGTAGGAAGGGCCTTCAAGGAGAGCAAAGAGAATGCATAAAGGTGCAGGGACAAAAAAGAGTCTGCTATTTGAGCTAGGGTGAGAAGTCTGGTTGGAGCAAAGGTGTTGGGAGGATTGTGGGTGATAAGGCTAAACAGATCACATAGAAGCTATGTTCTACAATGTGGCTTGGGTGACCCTGGGCAAAAGAGAGAGCAACAGGAGGATTCAAACACAAAAGTGACATGATCAGATGCATCATTTCAGAACTGTAACCTGGTGACAGTGATACGGCAGGGCAGGGAAGTGCTGAGTAGAGAAGAGCAGAGTCCCTGGAGAGGGCTCCACTCTTGGGCCTGTGCCCACGGACCTAAGTGAAAACAGACACTCCTGTTTTCACACCAAAATGTTGCGTTTCTCCAAGTCCACTCTGGCCCACCACGTCCCCCATCCTGTGCCCGTATAAACTCCAGACATTAGTGGGCACAGACACAAGTGGCTGAATGTCAAGAGGAACAGAGGAACAGACCAGTAGACACTAGCAGACCACAGACCAGTGATGGCTGAAAGATGCGGCAGAGAAAGAGAGAAGAGACGGCATGGAGTTCTGGGCGTCTGTTTGGCCAGGGGCGGTCAGGGAAGACTCCGGCCACTGGGCAGCCCAACTCCAGGGGAAGATCACCTTCCCACTCCATCCCCGACTCCGGCTCTCCATCCATCTGGCCGAGAGTCATCTCCAACACTCAATAAAAGCTTGCCCTCATCCTTTGGCCCCACACATGATCCAATTTTTCCGGTACACTGGACAAGAGCTCAGGACACAAAAAGCTGTCACACTGGGTCTACTGAGCTAATTAACACAAAACATCTGCTGACAGCAAAGCTGAAAGAGCACACTGTAATACACATGCCCACTTGGGCTTTGGGAGTTGCAGACACCCACCCCTAGATGCTGCCACAGGGCCAGAGCCCAAAAGCGCTCCCCATGGCCTCTGCACTTGCCCATCTGCATGCTCCCCCTAGGGATTTGAGCACCGAAGGAATGAGCCACACCCCTGTCACATGTCCTGTGAGGGGGATAAGGGAACTCTCCCATTTCACCAAAATGAAGGCAAAGAAGACTGCAGAGGGGCTTGGGAAACTGCTCTGCCTGGAGATACAGCTTTAGGAGTCATGGTCAAATAAAAACAAAGGTATAGTTGATTCTCATTGTCTGCTATGATTATGCTTTATAAATTCACTGAGTGCACTAAATTAGCAAATACTAAGATGTTGCTCCTTGGGGAAATACATGGTTAGGTTCCTGTGAGCCTCTCTTCACACATTTTCATCCACTGATCAATACATAACATTGTTTTATGTGTGTTTCTGCTTAAAAACACCTTATTATATATATATGTGTGTGTGTATATATTTATTTATTTATATTTGATTCCTTGAAATTGAAAAGCCAACAGCACCCTAACTGATGCCTAAACGAAGCTTGTCAAATGTATATATTTTCTCTGTAAGACATCACAGCCATTTCGTGCTTAGCAGCAGTAGATAGCACCTTGCCTGGAAGCCATTTTAAACAGTGAAATCACCAACAAAAACACAATCATGTGAAAAATGTGGCACTAAAAACACTGTAACAAGGAGGCTTGCATAAAATGTGAGAGCTGAAATGAGAAGGCAGTGTAGCCTCCTTGACCTCAGTTGAGAACATCCAAGTCAGGTGACTCAAATTTTTCTCAGCTTTTACCATCAAAGTGTAAGGAGTATTGATTTGGGGGTTAAAAATACATTTTAGCAATTAAGTAAATGTGCAAATATGATAACAATGATAATGAGAATTGACCAAACATTAAATCATTCAAGAGGATAAGAGAGCTGGAGATGTCCACAGAGTGAACACCCAGAGGACAGGAACACCTAAAAAACATCTGGAAAGTAAGCAGGAACAGGCAGAGATGGAGAAGAGACCAGATTCTTAGAGGCCAAGGAAAGGGGAGGATTTGAGAAGGAGACTGCGTTTAATAGTTTACAATGTTACAAAATGAACAATAAGGCCAGAAAACGGGGTTTTGATGTGTCTATCTACCATGGTCACCTTAACAGGGAGTGGTTTCAGTCATGGAACAATGGCAACAGAGGTAACTGGATCCCTCCTAGGTGCTAGTTAAGATCTTATACATTTTAGGAGACTTTCTGACTCTGAAGGAACTAGGCAGGCATAAAGAGTTATTCATGTATTTTTAATAAACATCGAGTATCACTAGGTGTCAGATTTTATTTAATCACTGGGAACAGAGTAATATACACAGTAGGCAAAATTCCTGCCCATATGGAGCTCCCATTCTACTGCAGGAGTTGTTCAATAGATACACAAATGATAACGAAAATGTCAAATGCTAAAAGTGCTGTGAGAATTATAGAGCAATATAAGGGGAGAGATATTGACGGGCGTTTCTAATTTAGTTGATGGTCAGTGATGAAAGTTGGGCAGAAGCCTAATGGAAGTATGGGAGCAGATCATATGCTTATCTCAAGGAGAAGTGTTCCAGGCAAGGGAAACTAAGAGTACAAAATCCCTCCTTCCCGAAGGAGGTTGCTTGGTGTGTTCCAGAAAGAGCCAAGACCCCAGAGGGGCTGGAAAAAGCAAGCAAAGAGGAAAGTGGTAGCAGAGACAGTCAAGTGACTATAATACAGCAGTCCAAAGGAGGGCAGGGTGAGTGCTGCAGGTCATTAGAGGAGAGAAGAATCTCTGACTGCTGTTGGACTTATGAAGGTTTTGAAAAATAAGTCAGACTTGGGCAAGATTTATAAGACAGGATTAAGCTACGTGCATAGGAGTGGAAGGGTAAACTATTTGTGTGTGGGTAGGGGTGTGTGGGGAAGATATCAAGAAGTTAAAAGCAAAAGTAACAATGCACAGGGAGCCAATCTGGCTGGCATGGAACATCTATACCAGGGTGACTGGGGAAAACTTTAGAGGTCAAATAGTCTCAATGTGGGAGATCATGAAAGCCAAGATAATGGCAGCCTCAGAGGGTTCTCAATAGTCCCGTGTTAGATTACAAGGTGCCTTGGAAAATTGAAGATGGCAGTGACAGGTGTCTAGGAATGACTGAAAGAGACGATATTCAGAGGCAGAAAGAAAATTAAGAGAGTATTGCAGTAGCTCTGTTGATGAGCTGATAAGGTCCGTGACAAAGGTTCTTTCCACTGGAGTGGAAAGACAGCAACAAACATGAAAGGAAAACGTGGCAAGATTTAAAGACTTGATAACAGGGAAAGACTGTTGAAGGGGTGATGGCACCATTGACAAAAAACAGAAAAATTGCAGGAGAATAATTGGTTTAGGGAGTGGAGGAGGAGAGCGGTTAATAAGTAGAAGAAAATGATAGGATATCAAGAGGAAGATGCCCTATAGAGAGTGGAAGATACAGGATAGAAATTCAGGGGAAATTAGAGATCGTAAGTGCCTCTAGAGCAAAATCTTGGCCTGGTTCACTTTGAATAACTCTTATGCCAAACACAGTAACTGAAACTCTAAAATAAATGATTACTACAAGAATGAAAAGAAAGTACACCATGTGCTGGGACTTGCTTTAATAGAGGAAAGCAGTGAGTGAAGTATTGAACTTTGGAATGTGATAGTATTTGGCAAAAGGAAAAAGTAAAAGAAAACCAAAGAATCAATCACAAAGTAGTCTAGAAATTTTACAAAATTATGCTAAGTTCATGTTAGAAGAGAATCATGTGGCTAGGAATCCTCAACAGAAATTCAAGGCTTAGAAGCACAGAGGCTACTGCTGAGCCCACAGGGAAAAGGTGCCACTCATTATTTCTTAGGTGCCGCAAGTGCAATGTAAGTGGAGGTCACTTTGGGAAAAGAGGAGCCCTCCTAGTTCCCTGGAACAGGTGAAAGGGGTGAGTTTCTTAAGGAGAAAGTCTCCAAACAGCATCAGATGAATTGCAAGCTTTCAGCCCCACCTCCCACATGGATACAGGGAGAATTTTACATCGTTCTTACACAGCTTTATTTAGGACTGGAGGGAAGCCAACTGTCTATTGTTCAAGTTCACATTTTAGCTGATGATGGAAATTCACACATTCTGTATGAGGCCATCCTGAGGAGCAGTCCTCAGTGTGGGACTTTGGCAATCATACTACATTCTAGGACAAACATGCTTTCCAGAGAGGCAAAGATTTTCAAAACAAACAAACAAATCAGCCAGCCAGAAAATGGATCTTTCAGTGTTTACCACAGGGAAGATATCTGCTGAAAAGTTTAAGAGTAGTGATAAGCATCATTTCCTCTATTAATTACTTTGTTGGGTTAAAGGAGAAAAAAATGAACACATTGTCCTGGCATTTTCTTGTAATTATTGTGGGAGGCCCACCTTGCTCCTCATGAGCTATAATTTCTTCAGAAGTGCAGAATCTTGAAAAGAAAAAAGAAATCTCCATTATTCATCAAAGTGTATTAAAAAATATTGAGAGTTGGCTGGGCGTGGTGGCTCACACCTATAATCCCAGCACTTTGGGAGGCTGAAGTGGGTGAATCACTTGAGGTCAAGAGTTCAAGACCAACCTGGCCAACATGGCAAAACCCCATTTCTATCAAAAATACAAAAATAAACCCAGTGTGGTGGCGCACACCTGTAGTCCCAGCTACTTGGGAGGCTGAGACATGAGAATCACTTAAACCCAGGAAGTGGAGGCTGCAGTGAGCTAAGATCGCACCACTGTACTCCAGCCTAGGTGACAGAGCGAGATGCTATCTCAAAAAAAAAAAAAAAAAAGTTGAGATCTCAGCATGAATTTGGGAAGAAAATGTAATAACTATGTGACTTATGACATAAACTTTATCTCCTTAGCTTTGTAAAATAAGAAGGCTTAGTAACTCAGGGTCATTAAATCCAGGGTTCTGGCAAAGACGAAGTAAAATGTTGTATATTCTCATCATATTCTCATCTGCACAGGAAAACCATCCCTACCCGTCCAATTTAGACAGCCAGCCACTACATGTCAATCACGCTTGTCCAAGTCTTTGCTTAGCATTTATAACAATCTAATATGTGTTTGCTGACTTATGTATTTAATATCTGTCTCACTAGAGCAGAATGTAAACTCCAAGAGAACAATGACTGTCTCATTCACTACTCTATCCCTAGTACATATAACAGTCTGGCACATAGTAAGTACTCAGTAGATATCCATCGAAGAAATAAAAATGGGTTGCTTATTTAATGCTAGTTCTCTTCTTTTTACTCCATTCCAAACTCACAAGGCAAATATATATTTTATATATCTAGATATTACCATTACATTGTACATGGTTACAGTTGTTATAGCAACTTCTCTTCCCTTTGTATGAAATGAGATAATAGATACTCCTAGCATGATGTTGGCCAATAGAATCGGTGCTTAACCATGTTAATTTCCTTTCCCTTCTATTGTATGTACTTCTGTTCATAATATATTTTGGATTAGAAAACGGAAATGGATTGAGGGGTCAAGATGGCTGATTAGAAGCAGCTGTAGTCCACAGCACTCACAGAGAGGAATGACAGGGACAAGTGAATTCAGTGCCTTCAACTGAAGCATACAGGTTCTCACATTGGGACTGGCAAGGCAAACCACTCAATTCACTGAGAATGAAGAAAAGCAGGGTGGGGCAATGGCCCACCCAGGAGAGGCAGAGAGCCAAAGGAACCCTCACCCCCATCCAAGAGAAGTGGTAAGTGATTGTGCAATCCCACCTAGGAAATCATGCTTCTCTCAAAGATCTTTGCAACCTGCACACCACTAAGGCCACACACAGAGGTGTGTGGAGTCTTGGCAGAGCAGTTGCTCAGGCACACACAGAGACCCAGGAGTTTTATATATTCTGGCCCTGGGACCCCTGACAAAACAGGAGATCTGTTCATGCATTCCCCTAGGAAAGGGGCTGAATCCAAGGAGCCAAGCAGCATCATTCTGTGGGCCCCACTTCCACACCACCTCACAAGCTAAGACCCACTGTCTTGGAATCCCAGCCAGCCAACAGCAGCAGGCTGGAGTCTGCCTGAGGTGGGACCGAGTCCCAGGGAAGAGGAGTGGCCACCATCTCTGCAGTGCAGTTCATTCAGCTATTACAGACTTCCAGCTTTGGAGAGCCCTAATGGTCTGGATGAGGAAGCATCCCCCACCACACAGCACAGCTGCCTTGCCAGCTTGTGGCCAGACTGCTTCTTTAAGTGAGACCCTGATTCATTCTTCCTCACTGGGCAGGACCTCCCTGTGGGGGCTTCAGCCACTCCAGCCAGGGTTATATGTAGAGACCTCTGCTCCCTCCCTGGAATAAAGCTTCTAGGGGGACAGGCAGCCACCAACTCTGTAGTTTTGTCAACCAAGCCATTCCAGTCTTCCAGCTTTGGATAGTCCAAATGGTCTGGATGAGGAAGGGTCCCCTCCAATGCAACATACCTGCTCTACAAAAAGCAGCCAGACTGGTTCTTTAAGCAGGTCCCTGATTCCATTCCTCTTGACTGGGTGAGACCTCTCAACAGGGGTCTTCAGCCACCTCCTACAGGTGCGTTTGGACTGGCAACAAATCTGTAAACCCCTGGGACAGAGTTTCCAGAAGAAGGAACAACTTGCTATCTTTGCTGTTTCACAGCTTTCACTGGTGATACCACCAGGTATGAGAAAAACTGAGGCAACTAGAGTCCCAGCAAACCACAGCAGGCCTACTACAATAGAATGACCAGACTGTTTAAAAAAAAAAAGAAGAAAAAAGAAAGAAAGAAAGAAGAAAGAGAAAAGAAAGAGAACAACAAGAACATCATCCAAAAAGACCCCACAAAAGCCCCATTTAATAGTCAGCAACCTCAAAGATCAAAGGTAGATAAGCCCATAAAGATGAGAACAAATCAATGAAAAAATGCTGAAAACTCAAAAAGCCAGAGTGCCTCTTCTCCTCCAAATGACTGCAACACCTCTCCAGCAAGGGCTATGAACTGGGCTAAGGCTGAGATGGCTGAATTGACAGAAGTAGGCTTCAGAAGGTGGATAATAATGAACTTGGCAGAGCTAAAGGAACATGCTGTAACCAAATGCAAAAAAGCTAAGAATCATGATAAAACAATACAGGAGCCAACAGTCAGAACAGCCAACTTAGAAAGGAGCATAACTGACCTGATAAAGTTGAAAAATACACTATAAGAACTTCACAATGCTATTACAAGTATTACTAACAGAATAGACCAAGGGGAGGAAAGGATCTCAAGCTTGAAGACTGTCTTTTGAAAATAAGACAGGCAGACAAGAATAGAGAAAAAAGAATGAACAAAACCTCTGAGAATTATAGGATTATGTAAAGAGACTGAACCTATGATTGACTGGGGTACCTGAAAGAGATGGGGAGAATGAAACCAAGCTGGAAAACATGCTTCAGGATATTACCCAGGAGAACATCCTTAACCTAGCAAGACAGGGCAACATTCAAATTCAGGAAATGCAAAAAATCCCAGTAAGATACTCCATGAGAAGATCAGCCCCAGGACACAAAATCCTCATATTCTCCAAGGTTAAAATGAAGAAAAAAATGTTAAGGGCAGCCTTAGAGAAAGGCCATGTCAGGTACAAAGGGAAATCCTCGGGCTAACAGTAGACTGATCAGTGGAAACTCTACAAGCCAGAAGAAATTTGGGGCCCGATATTCAACATTCTTAAAAAGAATTTCCAAACCAGAATTTTATATCCGGCCAAACTAAACTTCATAAGTGAAGGAGAAATCAGATCCTTTCCATACAAGTAAATGCTGAGGGAATTTGTCACCACCAGGCCTGCCTTGCAAGAGCTCCTGGTGGAAGCACTAAATATGGAAAGTAAAAACTATTACCAGTCACTATAGAAACACACTGAAGTACACAGACCAGTGACACTGTGAAGCAACACATAAACAAGTCTGCAAAATAACTTGCTAGCATAATGATGACAGGATCGAATCCACACATAAGAATACTAACTTTAAATGTAAATAGACTAAATATCCTAATTAAAAGTCACAGAGTGGCAAGATGGATAAAGAGCCAAGATCCATTGGTATGCTGTCTTCAAGCAACCCATCTCACATGCAGATACACATAGGCTCAACATAAGGGAATGGAGGAAAATTTACCAAGTAAATGGAAAACAGAAAAAAAAAGAGGTTGCAATCCTAGTCTCTGAAAAAACAGACTTTAAATGAGCAGAGATCAAAAAAGACAAAGAAGGGCATTATATAATGGCAAAGGGTTCAGTTCAACAAGAAGAGCTAACTATCCCAAATATATATGCACCCAATACAGCAGCATCCAAACTCATAACGCAAGTTCTTAGAGACGTACAAAAAGACTTAGACCCCTACACAATAATACTGGGAGAATTTAACATCCCACTGACAATACTAGGTCATTGAGACAGAAAATTAACAAACACATTCAAGATTCTGAACTCAGCTCCGGATGAAGTGGACCTGATAGACACCTTCAGAACTCTCCACCTAAAAACAATAGAGTATACATTCTTCTCATTGCCACATGTCACATGATCTAAAATTGATCATATAACCAGAAGTAGAATACTCTTCAGCAAATGCAAAAGAACTGAAGTCATAACAGTCTCTCAGCCACAATGCAATCAGATTAGAACTCAAGATTAAGAAATCCACTCAAAACCACACAACTACATAAAAACTGAACAATCTGCTCCTGAATGACTCTAGGGTAAATAATAGAATAAAGGCAAAAATCAAGAAGTTCTTTTAAACTAATGAGAACATAAAGACAACATACCAGAATCTCTGGGACACAACTAAAGCAGTGTCAGGAGGAAAATTTATAGTACTAAATGCCCACATCGAAGAGCTAGAAAGATCTCAAATTCACAACCTAACATCATGACAAAAAAAAAAAAAACCTAGAGAATCAAGAGCAAACAAACCCCAAAGCTAGAAGAAGACAAGAAATAACCAAAATCAGAGCTGAACTAAAAGAGATGGAGACATGAAAAAACCCTTCAAAAAATCAATGAATCCAAGAGCTGGTTTTTTGAAAAAATTAATTTAAAAAACCACTAGCTAGAGTAATAAAGAAGAAAAAAAGAGGAATCAAATAAACACAATTAGAAATGATAAGTGGGATAGCATCACTGACCCCACAGAAATACAAACAACCATCAGAGAATGCAAGTACCTCTGTGTACATAAACTAGAAAATCTGGAAGAAATTGATACATTCCTGGACACATACACCCTCCGAAGACTGAACCAGGAAGAAACTGAATTCCTGAATAGACCAGTAACAAGTTCTGAAATTGAGGCAGTAATAAATAGCCTAGAAACCAAAAAAATCCAAGGACCAGATGGACTGACAGCTGAATTCTACCACAGGGACAAATAAGAGCTCCTACTATTTCTACTGTAAGTATCCCCAAAAAATGTAAAGGAGGACTCCTCTCTAATTCATTCTATGAGGCCAGCATCACCCTAATACCAAAACCTGGCAGAGATACAACAACAACAAAAAAAGAAAACTTCAGGCTGATATTCTGGATGAAAATCAATGGAAAAATCCTCAAAAAAATATTGGCAAGCCGAATCCAGTAGCACATCAAAAAGCTTATCCACCACAATCAAGTAGGTTCATTCCTAGGATGCAAGGTTGCTTCAACATATGCAAATCAATAAATGTAATTCATCACAGAAACAGAACTAAAGACAAAACCTGGCTAGGCATTGTGGCTCACTCCTGTAATCCCAGCACTTTGGGAGGCCAAAGCGGGTGGATCACCTGAGGTCAGGAGTTTGAGACTAGCCTGGCCAACATGATGAAACCCCATCTCTACCAGAAATACAAAAATTAGCTTGGAGTGGTGGCAGTCCCCTGTAATCCTAGCTACTTGGGGGCTGAGGCAGGAGGATCACTTGAACCCAGGAGGCAGAGGTTACAGTGAGCCAAGATTATGAGACTGAACTTCAGCCTGGACAGCAGAGTAAGACTCCATCACCAAAAAAAAAAAAAAAAAGGTAAAACCCACATAATTATCTCAATAGATGCACAAAAGGCCTTCAATAGAATTCAACATCCCTTCAAGTTAAAAGCTCTCAATAAACTATGTACTGAAGGAACATACCTTAACATAATAAGAGCCATATATGACAAACCCACAGCCAATATCATACCAAAAGCACAAAGGCTGCAAGCATTCCCCTTGAAAACAGGCACATGACAAGGATGCCCACTCTCACCACTCCCATTCAATATAATTTTGGAAGTTCTGCCCAGGGCAGTCAGGCAAAGGAAAGAAATAAAGCATATTCAAACAGGAAGAGAGGACATCAAACTATCTTTGTTTGCAGATGACATGATCCCGTACCCAGAAAACGCCATCGTCTCAGCCCAAAAGTTTCCTAAGCTGATAAGCAACTTCGGCAAAGTCTCAGGATACAAAACTAATATGCAAAAATCACTAGCATTCCTATACAGCAACAACAAACAAACTGAGATTTAAATCATGAATGAACTCCTATTCACAATTGCCACAAAAGGAATAAAATACCTAGGAATACAGCTAACAGAGGAAGTGAAAGATCTCTTCAAGAAGAACTACAAACCACTTCTCAAATAAGTCAGAGAGGATGTAAACAAATGGAAAACCATTCCATGCTCATGGATAAGAAGAATCGATATCATGAAAATGGCCATACTGCTTAAAGTAAATTATAGGCTCTATGCTATTCCCATTAAACTACCATTGACATTCTTCACTGTATTAGAAAAAAACTATTTTAGAATTTATATGGAACAACGAAAGAGCCTAAATATCCAAGACAATCCTAAGCAAAAAGAACAAAGTTGGGGATATCATGCTACTTGACTTCAAACTATACTACAATGATACAGTAACCAAAACAGAAAACCTGCATGGTACTAGTACAAGAACAGACACATAGAAAAATGGAACAGAATAGAGAGCTCAGAAATAAGACCACAAACATACAACCATCTGACCTGTCAGCAAACCTGACAAAAACAAGCAATGGGGAAAGTATTCCTTATTTAATAAATTGTGTTGGGAGAACTGGCTAGCCATATGCAGGAAAATTGAAACTGGACCTCTTTCTTATGCCATATACAAAAATTACCTCAAGATGGATTAAAGACTTAAATGAAAAACGTGAAACTATAAAAACCCTAGAAGAAAATTTAGGAAATACCATTCAGGACAAATTGGGTCTAATTAAAGATCAGAAATACCATTTGACCCATTACTGGGTATATACCCAAAGGAATATAAATTATTCTATTATAATTAAAGATTGAATTTGTCCAATTTTGCTTTTGTCTCCATTGCATTTGGTGTTTTCATTAGACAATCTTTGCCCATTCCTAATTAAAGAAACTATCATCAAAGTGAACAGACATCCTACAAAATGGGAGAAAATTTTTGCAATCTACCCATCTGACAAAGGTCTAATATCCAGCATCTACAAGGTACTTAAACAAATTTACAAGAAAAAACAAACAACCCCATTAAAATGTGGACAAAGGGCATGAACAGACACTTCTCAAAAGAAGACATATATGTGGCCAGCAAACATGAAAAACAGCTTAACATTGCTGATCATTAGAGAAATGCAAATCAAAAGCACAGTGAGATATCATCTCATATCAGTCAAAATGGCTATTATTAAAAAGTCAAAAAACAACAGATGCTGATGAGGTTGTGGAGAAAAAGGAATGCTTTCACACTATTTGTGGGAGAGTAAATTATTAGTTCAACCATTGTGGAAGATAGTGTGGAGATTCCTCAAAGACCTAGAGGCAGAAATACCATTTTACCCATTACTGGGTATATACCCAAAGGAATGTAAATCATTCTATTATAAAGATACATGCATGCATATGTTCACTGCAGCACTATTCACAATAGCAAAGACATGGAATCAACCTAAATGCCCATCAATGAGAGACTGGATAAAGAAAATATGGTACATATACACCATTGAATACTATGCAGCCATAAAAACAAAAGAGATTACATCCTTTGCAGAGACATGGATGGAGTTGGAAGCCATTATCCTCAACAAACTAACACAGGAATAGAAAACCAAACACCACATGCTCTCACTTATAAGTAGGAGCTGAATGATGAGAACACACGGACACATAGAGGGGAACAACACACACTGGGGCCTTTTGGTGGGGGGCAGGAAGAGGGAGAGCATCAGGAAGAATAACTAATGGATGCAGGGCTTAACACTTAGGTGATGGGATGATCTATTCAGCAAACCACCATGGCACACATTTACCTGTGTAACAAACCTGCACATCCTGCACATGTACCACTGAATTTAAAATAAAATTTGAAGAAAAGAAAAAGAAAGAGAACAGAAGTGTATAAGACAAAGCACCCAGAGGAATTTCATAAACTGATTTCCACAAAACCCACACGAGAAAAAGAGGCCAGACCATTCCAGTTGACTAGGATTGCTGCCTGATTTCATTAAGCATGACCTGATTTCTTTTACTTCCTGGAAAAGTGCTATTGTCATAGTACTTCTAATGTGGTTTTACTTCCTTCCAAGAAAAGCTCCTCACAATTCTGCCATAGATTTTTTTTTAAGTAAATCTTTGTGATGACAGTTCAAAGGGTATTGAATTCAAAATACTCTAATCTTTTCCCAAACTCAGCTTTGTATGAAGGGGAAAAAAATCTTAACAGACTCCCAATTCAATATATAAAAATTTCCATCACTTCAATTTTTACTAAAACTCATTAGCCTTTTATATATTATGCTTATTCTAATTTTCATCTAACACACTGAACTATGAGTCAGTTCAAATAAGAGTTAAAATAAGACTTCATTTTCATTGCACAGAACTACTCTTAATTGCATAGAACCAGTTTATACTGCCTTTATCCAATCAAGACAAAAGGTAGAAAGGATAATTTAAAATAAATCAAAACAATCAAATACTACATTTTAAATTTCACTTTACATGGTGTTTGGGTTTCGGTTTGGTTTTGTTTTGTTAAGTGAGGCTTAGAACAATAATGAATTTAAAGAAACCACTTCTCAGTTTGAGAAATGTTATACAGATTTTTCTCAGGAAGAGTTTGACTTTATCTCAGAGAATGAGCCCTGAACAGTGAGATAAGAGAAAATCAGCTTGTCTTTTTGGCTTCTAAGTAGCTGAAATTGTTTCCTCATCTGTAAAATTAGTTATTTCGACAATCACGAAATTTCTTCTACTGCCTACATATTATGAGGCTATATAAGGATTTTTAAAATTAGCTTCAATTTGAAGTGTAATTTTGATCTGCAACACTTCTTCTAAGCAATTGTTACTTTGAGTCATTCTATTATTGAGAAATGTTGTTTGATACATTCAGGCCATTAAAATATTTCAGAGCGCTACCAAAGTGTTAAGAGTGTTTTCTTTAAACAACGTTAACCCTGCTATGTTGTTAAGAAATAGAGACTGAGAGATTTGAGAATTTACGTATTAATAAACCATTACCAATAATATTATATGCTGGTTTGAGGCTTTTACCTTATTAAAGTTATCTTTCTATTTCAATAAAACTCCATCATAAGTACTTTTAAATTATGATTTAAAATCTTAATGACGTTTACTTCTTCCAAATCTGTGAATTCAGAATAATTCTCCTTTTTTAACTACGTAAACAACACTGAAAAGAACATCTTGCCCACAAAGTTTTATTTGCATTCCCATATATTTCCATTGGAAGACATGATTGAGAAGCCGTTTCAGAGCCCCACATAAATATATATTTCCACTGGTTTGCTGTGGAACTAAAAGCATTAGTAACATACTAGAAATAAAAAATGATGGCATGGATTGCAAGTAAATTTCTCTAGTATAAAAATGTATTTAGAGGTGGATCCATCTTATGTAAGACATGTTTGTGATTCAGCTTTGTGCCTCACTCAGACGCTCAGAAGGCATAATCAAGGCTATTATCTTGTCAGTTCTACTCTCCTCAATATTTCTGGAGATGACAAAATAAGTCTTGGTTCAAAAAATAATGTTTTTGAATGAATTCTGTTCTGACAGAGTTGTTGACAAAAAGTGTATTGGGATTCCACAGCTATGTGAAAATACTTTGGGGATATAATAGTTTATCTAAAAATAAAGGCTTAAAGCAAATAATACAGAGGTAGTTGTATACCTTTTCTAAGTAGGTAAATATGTATGTCTCTGCTTCACACTTAATATTCTGAAAGAATCTATATGTTGAGAAAGGGTGTTCACATAATCCCTGCTACGGTTCAGATATTTGTCCCCTCCAAAGCGCATGTCAAAATTTGATCCCCAGTGTTGGAAGAAAGTGGGACCTAATAGGAGGTGTTTGGGTCATGGAGACAGATCCCTCATGCATAGATTAATGTCCTTCCTTTTGGGAGAAGCAGTTCTCACTCTACTAATTCCAGAGAGAGTCCGTTGTTTAAAAAAAAAAAAAAAAAACCTGGCACCTCCCAGCCACCCCTTCCAGCTTCCTTTCTTGCCATGTGGCCTCCACCCTGAGTGGAAGTGGCCTAAGGCCCTCACCAGAGGCAGATGCTCAATCTTGAACTTTCCAGCCATCAGGATTGTGAGCCAAATAAACATTTTTTTATTTATACATTACCTAATCTCAGATATTCTATTATAGCAACACAAAATTACTAATTGTTAATAAACATGTACTGGAATTCTATATGAAGAATGGTACCATAAGCCAGACATACAAAGGATCCAGAGGCTATGAACTTATAGTTTAATTAATCTCTGCAGATGTGTGACCTTTAATAACATAAACAATCAATTCAAAATATAAAATGTCAGAACTCATATTTGGTTATCTTCTTTTCCTGAATCCTATCCATTTCTATTGAAATTGCCATTAACTTTCTTAAACCAAAGATTTTTTCCTGATAATAAAAGGAATAAATCCATTTTTAAAATGTTGTAAAATAAAGAAATTTATAGAGAAGAAAGTAATGGACCACCTATCATCACACTGTGCAGAAATACCCTTATAAACATGGTTCCATAATTACTTCCTGTCTTTTTTCTGTAAGTTTTTTCATTTGTAATTCATATGTCAGGATACCTTCTTCTGACTCCTTTCTTATCTATTCTTCTCTTAATATTTGTACTCACACTGTATATATAATTTGTGTGTTGCATTTTTCTCAACATTACTGATTATTAAAAGCATTTTTATGTCATTAAAGTGCTCTTCATTTTTAATTACTACATAAATATTCTATTGTGCAACTGTACCATGATTTACTTCCTCTAATTCAGAATATTTGACAAGGTTTTGTTTTTGACTGCATAAGTAGTACTGTAGTAAACATACCTGCTTACAATTTTTTTGGCATTTCTTATTATTCCCTAATGATAGATTTCTATAAGTGGAATTAATGTCCACAAGGTATAAATGTTTTTAGGCTTTTCAATCAAACTGTAGTATCCACCAATTTATGTTATTAAGTTTTAATGAAAATAATGATTATTAAATCTATAATAAAAATAAAAATATCAAACATTAATAGATGTCTTTTATTAGTTTATATGATAAGGAATCCCAAGATAATGCAAATTTGGTTCTCACCGCAATAAAACGTCTCATGAGTGACAGCTTTCATTTGACCATTAGTTTACATACACTTGTTAAGACAGGTTGAAATAACACAGTCAATATATGACTTCCTTGAAAAAAGAGAAGAAATACAAAGCCAAATCTTGCTTATTTCTCATCTTCAAACTATTTTATTTTTATGTAGATATGCTCATCATTTTGAAAAAGACATATCAGACATACTTAATATTAAAACAATCATTTCAAGCTCTTTTTAAAAAATGAGTTTTTCTGTGTTTCTCCTCCAGCAGTAACATAAATACAAAGGAAAAATAAAGGAAGAGTGCACCTTCATGAGAAAGTAGGCAGCTAAGGGAAGCAGTGGTGTTTGGGAGCCTGATTTACCTGGATCTCAATTCATGGGCTAACACAATTTTGCATGAACATATACATCTTTATCCATTAAAAAATCCAAGTCCTTAAAGCTTTAGACTTTTGACCCTTTTAAACTTAAATATGGCATATTTTAGATTTTCTCTTCTCATACTATGAAAAGTTTTAGCCTAAAACTATAAAATTATATACTTTTTTCTTCAATAATCATCAGTATTGCATATTACTTAAGTGGATGGGAATCTGAAGTTGAACCACCTAGGTTCCAATCTTAACCCCACCATTTACCAGCTGGGTGGCACAAGAAAAGTCATTTGTTCTGTGCCTCAGCTTTGTAATTTTTAAAATGGAGATCATAATGGTATCTACCTCTTAGGACTGCTGTTAGAACTAAGTGAGTTACGCTTGCAAAGTGCTTGAACCACCTGACTTACCTGGCACGTGGTATTGAACGTTAATGACCATCAGTGCCACTGGCCATTATTAACTGCAGGATCCTAGGAACACAACACTTGTATACAGAACCTGAATGGACAGAGAGTAAGATATATGATAATATGGTCTAGCATGTATTAGGTACTAAGTGAATGTTATGGGTAAAAGAAATTACAAGACTGCCAAGGAGGAAACACTTACTAAAGGATAACACTCCCTGGGTAGTCCCCTCACAGAAAGGGTGGGATTTAGCAGAACTTTGAAGAAAAGAGACTTGGAACAAAAGTGGAAGAGCATTCTAGGCAAAGAAAATGTTGATAAACGTTTGATGTACTCTGGGAGCAATGAATAAGCCAGCTGTGCTATCACAAAAAAATGGTTCATCTAGAAAGCAATCAGAAAGTGAAGGACCTTATGTGGTAAACCACCCAGGAATTGATTGCCTGTAAGTATCTGGAAGCCACTGAATGTTCTGAGATCAAGGACAAATGAGAGTAAAATGTGAAGGAGATTAACATATTGTTAATTTTAAAAGGTGAGTTACATTGGGAGATATTACAGACAAAAAATTAAAAACTAGTCATGAGCCGACATCATAAAGAGCTGGTATTAAAAGTAATGGCAAAAACTGCACTTATATTTGTGCCAACCTAATAATTCATAGTCTTCCTCCCTAGTAATTATTTACTCTTTGTGAACTATCACTTAGGAAAAAAGCTTTGCCCAGCCTCAGTTGAGTTTGGCTTTACACTTCATGTTCTTTTTTGAGAATAGAGCTCTAACAAGCATGTTAGCTTCTTTCTCAAACCTGTAGCCCTTACCCAACAAAAAGAGAATAATAACGTAAGGGATTTCATACACACAATTTGAAGACTCAGATATTTAATAAAGTCTTATTCATAGTTCAGCAGCTATCAGCACAAACATCATGAGACTCGTAGGAGTGATTCTTAGGCTTGTACAAATTAGTGGGGTTTTTTGGATAAACAGAGAGCTGACTATTGGGTTAGCAGAAAACCCACAGTGCTAAGATCTTGGAGGTGGATTATGAGTTTTCAGATGTCCTTGGGAAATTTGAAAAATGGCTTATGATGTTAAAACACAATCAATTGAGGGATACTTCTAGGAGAGACTATAGAACATTTATCTTTGTAAATTTTGGGGAAACAACTAGCAATCAACTGTCTTTTTTCTAACATCGAAGATTTGCTAGTTAGATGTGATCTTTTAAAACACCTCTGAAAAATAAACACTAGCCAATGTACCTAAATATAAAAAAAAATCAGGATAATTATGGACATGAGGAAATGAAAATATATGCAATATGCAATATGCTCTGCTTGTTTTTATAGGCTTTGGTTTAATGGAATTTTCTCTTTGTAAGTGAAGTGAAATATTTTTTCACTGAAAAGTCTATTACCTTAAGAGTGTAATAAGATCAACATAAAGGAGGTAGAGAGATGTGTCTATTTTTTCAGGCCAAAAAGAAACCTTGTGGGTATAATTCATTCTGCAAATGCATTGGAAGGCTATTTTTAAATCCTTCTGTTATTGTGATTGTGTGATATTATGAAACTTTGCTGCTGAATTACTATTGACCCTGGAAATTCTCTGCAAGTCACTGAACCTCAGTTTCCTAATCTATAAAAAAAAGGTAAAAACAGCAGGAAAGTGATGAGGGCATATTCCATTAAATGCTTATAAGGCTTTTTGCAAAACATAAAATGTTGATAATCACTTCTCTAGCAAGAGTTCACTTGCCATAAAATTATCTGGCTTGCTCAGTTCTTTGGAAACTGCTCAGGCCAAGTAGCATTCTTTTACCTGAATTGTGTGCTGAACAGCATCCTCCCTTCAACTAGCAGAGTCTGAAACCAAATGAGTGTTCAATTACGATGACACTTCTCTTCTAAGGTGAGCCCATACAGGCTACGATAATAAGAGTCCCAATTAAGCTGAAATTCTCTGTGGATTTATTTATGTTTTACTAGTATGGACAATTCTGAGAGGGGCTCTGGATGCTAACCATTGATTAAGTCTGAAGGACTCTTCATTTTCCTTTCTCTTTCTCCCATCTTGCATTTTTAGTCATTCTCTGAAGCCCCCTAGACTGTACAAACTAACACCAAGCCCCAGAGTTTCCTTTTGATGAAAGCCCTGATAGTCCAACCTTGCTCTACATTTTCAGTCTGCCATTTGCTAGCATATTACATGACCAGCTGAGCCACCGAGCTAGAATAAACAGAATGCACTTTAGCATACAGGGATATTTTGCGAGAGATATATTCTCAAGTCTTGGAAACTTAACTGTGTGTTACCATATTGTCTTCCTTATGCTCCTTCTGTTTCTTAATTTCACACATCACTCCTTTCTTTGAAGAAATTTTCCCCCAATGTGTTAAGAAACTGAGTCATGTCCTAAATTCTGTGGAAAAACTCAGGAGGGTGGGAGGAGGTTTAGATCTGCAAAGAGCGATCTTGAAAGAACGATCTTGTTTTCTCTCAATAAGTTAATCAACCTGGCCATTTCACATGCGAGTTAATACAGGTGAAAGTGCTTAAGAACTTTAGTGTCATACAAATATGGATTATTCCAGGATTCCTATTCAGCTGTGGGCTACAGTTGGGTCACATGTCAGTCCTTTCATACTCACCGGGCTCATTTTAGGTGAAGTGGTTTTCTTGAAGTTCTAAAGCGAAAGTTTCAGCTTCAATAGGTCCGTTTACGCTTTGAGTGGTAGAGAGACCCTCATTTGCAGGGAGATTACCCTTGTTCAACTGCAGGAGCTGAGGATGGCTCACTAATCAGCTGGTCACAAGACGAAAGTATCTCTTTGGATGTTAAAATATATTTGTTTATTCTAAATCAGTGGCTCGGCTCGTCAGGTGGCACACTGGCCTTTCAGGCTTATATTCTCTCTCACTAAAACAGATTTTTTTTTTTTTAAGAATGAATTATCTCCAATTTCAGAAATAGAGAACTGAGCTATAACTAAAAACTGTTATTGAAGCCGGTAATTTTTTTCACCTTCATAATTCTCTGTTTCTCAGCTACATTCTGTGCTGTCCTGACATATGTTAATCAGTGCATTTGTTACCACACAGCTTGACTATTGCATTTCTCTGGTGGCTGGCTTATCATCGTCTATAATTATTTCAACTCCAATTAATTCTGAACTTCTTTGCGAGGTTATTTACTTGCTTTAAGCAATAAGACAACATGGCACCTCTTTGATTTCTAAGCATCTGGTCAACTACAAATTGAATTCAATGCCCTCTTCTTTGGCTGAGCAGTCTATTTCAGTGACCCTTCTCACTTGATCACTGGTATTAGTGGTCATTGGTCTAACTGAGAGGAAAAAAATAATGCTTCTGATGAGACAAATACTCTCATTATGACACTCTTGAAGGCCACAGAATTAATACTGGAAGTAACACAAAAATGAATGAGGGGAACAGATGAAAAACGTTTATGGAGGTGTGTTTATTCATGAATCCAAAGAGATAGTCTGTTAGTTTGTGTTTTAGATCCATCTTAGGGAAAGAAGAGAAACCTATAATGTCCCAGGTATTATCCTAGGTGCTTTAGTATCATTGGATTATTTCATCATCATGCCAATTATTGAGAGGTAAAAATTACTTGCCTTCCATATCAGATAGGCAAAGACAGTCTCAGAGACAGTAAATAAGGATCTGCTCAAGGACACACAAGTAGTAAGTGACAATGCCCAGACCGGAATTCAGGCTTTCTGACCACAATACCACTACAGAAAGAGCTAGAAGTAATAAAATTTTATAGATTAAGGTGTATAAGGGAGTGGGAATAGTGTACTCAGAGGTATAGAATATAAGAATCAGAATCAAAGAGAAACAAGCCTCAAAATGCAAGTCCTGAAGCAAGATTGTTAATTGATAGACAGAATAACATAGAAATAGATCTAGGTAGACCCAAAGATTTTTTCTGTCTCTTTAAAGAGCCAGAGAGTGAATATTTTTAGTTTTGCAGCCTATACAGTCTTTTTCTAAACTATTCAACTCTGGCCTCACAGTGTAAAAGCAGCTATATATGTCAACAAAAGGGCATAGCTATGTTCCAAGAAAATTTTACTTACACACATGGGTCCAGTTTTTTGGGCCATAGTTTGCAGGCTCCATAGTCTAGATCAATGTCTCCAAACACAATGTGATAACATCACCTCAGGGGTTGTTTGGAAATGAAGGGGGAGCTTTTTTGATGATTACCCTCATGGGAGTTAAGGAAACATCTTTAATGGATTCTGGCCAGGAATGCTGAAAATCCTGCAAAAATCCTGGGACAGTCTCATGTAAGCTAGAATTTCCCCACCTTAAATGGAGATAGCATCCCCAGTGGGAAACACTGAATAAGGCAAACTAGACAACATATGCATTAAAAATCAAAACGTTTATTCTCATTTGCAACTAACAACAATCAGTAATAGGACGTGAAAAGAAGGAAGACTTTCTGGAAAGAAAAGGGCCTTTTGAAATGACAACAATCTTCTATGAATAAAGTTTTCCTACCAAGTAGCTGTGTGTATTAAGCAATGTCCTTGATGTTTCTGAGCCTATCTCCTATCAATAAATAGGGAATAATCATAACTTCTTCACCAAGTTGCTATAAAGATTTAAGGAGAAGGTATATGTGAAATGACTAGCATGGCGCATAGATTGTGTAGGCCCATGCTGTCCGAAAGAAATATAATGTGAGTCACATGTATAATTTTAAATATCTACTAGCCACACAAACCAAAAAAATTAAAAAGAAACAAACAGGTAAAATTAGTTTAATATTGTACCTAACCTGGATATATCAAAAATACTATCACTTCAACATTAAAAAATATCAGAAATTTATTATTAATATATTTTGCATTCTTTTTTCTAAGTTTCCAAAATCTGATGTGTATTTCATCCTGACAGCACATCCCAATTTGAATGAGCCACATTTTAGACACTCAATAGCCACATGTAGCTAGTAGCACAGGTGTAGATATAAGCTAAGATTATGTTCTTCTCATTCCTTCAGTTCACAACAGGTCACTAACTCCTAGTGAATGTGGGGCATCACACCTTGTCATACCCTTTTCTCAAGACTCAAAATGGAGAATGACCCCCAACCCTTGCAGAACGGGTCTTCTAGCACCTTCCAGGTTTTCGTTATGAAGCACTTCTTAGGCTGCACTCCCCAAATTTAACTGAATGTGAAATTAAAATAACTGTACATTCTCCATATTAAAATCTCCTAATGTGTTCAAGAAACAAATACAGCCAGAAGGCCTATATTTTGTGGTGCCTCTTTAACAACCTCTATGTTGGGCAATTTTCTGAATAGCGATGCAATAAATTTGATTACCCAAGAGTATCCTGCAACTTTAATATCTCAGCTCCCACTAAGAAAATACTTTTAAGAAGTCTAGCAGAAGGGTAGTCATAGTTACACAATTGGTTGAAAATGATTAAACATGCCCTGTTGGTGGCCCATCAATGTTTATGATTAATGTAGGTTTAATCATCAGCATGTCGTAAGAATTCAGCTCTTCTAATTTGCTTTTTTTCCCTACTGAAACAAATGAATTCCTTCTCTCTTAGTGTTTTGAATCTTGCCAGTCAAAGAAATTTATAAAAAGAATATACATGTGTAGAGGTGCTGTATTTCAAAATGTCTGTATGCTATAAACTCATCCCCATTAAGTTCATGTGCCCCGTGCTTCGTTTGGCATAGATAGTTCAAGAGCAAAAGATGGAACCCAGAAGTTATCCCCCCCCTTTCTTTCTCTAATTATTTTGAGCTGAATTCACTGAAAATGAATATGAATACATTTCCAGCTTTTAGGATTATGGAGGCGCCTAAAGCCTGCAGTGACTTTCATTAAAGCAGATGCTCTCGCCGGAGCGGCTTGACTCTGCAGGTTCCCGGCAGAATGATTGAAGCCGGCACCACTTGGAGAGAGGCAGGTCTTTTTGGGAACATCAGCAGTTCAGGAAAAATACTGTTTTGTTTGATTCCGTTTTCCACCCTAGTAAAATTTTGCCTTCCCCAAAGACATTCCTTATCTTTTTATTTGTCTGTGTTGTTTTGTTTTTTTAATAAGAGGATAAGGAAAGATAATATTTGCTTAGTTAAAAGGACTCCTATTTAAAAACTTGACCCTTTATATATAATGGTGATTGTATCAATTGATGCAATTGGGTCAGGCTATCAACCTCTTAAGCCCTCACCCCAAAACTGTCTCTGTCACACTCTCTCTCTCACACACACACACACACATACACACATATCACACACACTCTAACAACTATTGGTTAGGAAATGTGAGAAACAAACATTTGTCTAAACAAGGTACTTTGGGACAGTTCCTAGAATATTGATCTGGTTAGAGGCAAGAGAAGCTAATGAATTTCAGTCCATATGGCCTGCTAATGAGGGTCTTGCAAAAGCTGGAACACCTATTGATTAACCTGTTTAATATCTTAAAACCAATGCCTCTTTATGGATGATGCCCACCCAGCTGCCTATCCAGAAGAATAATGTCATTGTTTGTTTTGCACATGCCAGGAGGAAGTCTCTGCTGATTCCCTAGATGACAAAAGTGCAGCAAGGGCTTTCTCTCCCCCTCTTTGGCAATAAGAAAGCTGCCCCTCCAGATGATAGGGTCCTTCCCCGCTTCCTGCAGGTAACTGTCAGTCAGGCAGAGTGTGAGGTATGATAATTCCATCTGCGCCATTCGGATTGTCAGCTGCATTGTTCTGCTCAGTGTGCTGTGGATTGTGAAAAACAACCAGGACGGATGATTTTAAGTAATTGCTCTGACAGAGACTGATTACTACAGTAACAACAGTCAGTTATGGTTAAGGAGTAGCCTTGGCATATGGTCTACATTTGATGTGGGAAGGAGAGTGGGGGGAGAAGAAGGGAAAAGCTTTATAATTTTACAGATTGCTTTATGTTTTATAATGACTGAGTTTTCTTTTCCTTCACTTGATTTGGAAAATATCACCAACAGAAGCCTGGGGGAAAAAAATCTAAATATTGTTACAGATAAAGTAATTCAAAGAACATATTTAACTGTATTAAGATAAACCATAAAATGATTAGGATTTGTAAGACTGATAATTATCCATTGCCACAGCATTTATTGTTCTATACATTAAGTTTTTTTTTCAATTTTGTGTGTTCAGTGATCACCTTTGTGAAACATTGGCTATTCACTGATTGTCTAAAACTATTGCATTCATTTTGCAAGATGAATCATTAACATTTGTTGGCTTACCTTCCAAGTAGTCTGATGTTTCATTCATGAAAAATACTTTAACAAAACAATTTATTCAATGTATGTATCTTTCATAAAATATCAGATGTCTAATATTTAACATAATAATATAGATATTTGTCTATCATTGCTTAAGGAAAGAATAATAAAAATAATCCCAAATATATTTCACACACACAGACATATATACACACCCCATTTGCCTTAAACAAACTTGAAAAGATCTATTTACTTTAGCTTGGTAGCAATGTGTAGAGAAACAAAGTAACTAATAGGTTTCATTCTAGTTGAGTTTTTAATTTTTATGCCATTCTTATTTTTAATTTTTTCTAATACTCAAGAAGTGGCCCATGAGATTATATGCAGGGCAATGAACTAGAAAGCTCCTTCAAGAATAATTGAAATGATAGTGATTTTTTAAAATAAATGGTAATATGCTCAATAAAATAATTCAATAGCAGATAAATAGGAAAGTCTTTGGAATAAAAATTAGGGTAATAATTTAACACTGTGAAAAGTAAGTATGATAAAGTACATCTGAAGGACATTAATTACTTATACGTGTGTGAGCTATTGTTGGGCACATAATGGCTGATCCATTTGCCAGCATAGTCGAGCTGTTCCCATTATTTTAACTCATTACTTTGTAAACCTCTTTTGCGATACCTTGAGAATAAAAGGTGCTATTTAAAACATACTCCTATTTAATATTAATTAGTGTTAAGCAAAATAATGTTCACCAATTTTTGTTTAAGCAATGGAAAGTGCTGGACTAGCTAATATTTTTTAATATGTTTGAACCTAGTGTCCTAGAATTTCCAGTAGGGTTCTGCATATCACCTTCATTTTCAAATGAGTAAATAAGAAGGACTGTGATTGGGCTTCTTACACCAGCAGGCTTTAGAAAATATTTCCATGTACTAAGCAGTCTGTGAGACCAGGGAAGTTTAGAAAAATAGAAGGCCTTTTTCCTCAGTGATTTGGGTCATGACCTGGTGATAAAGAAATGCAAGTCACATTGTCAATTGACCTTCCAGCTATTACAAATCATTCACACTAAATAAAATTCTCTACTGGAAAAAAACTGGCAGTTATTCAGGAACACTATGGCAATTGGTTCTAAATAGTACAGTTACTTAGGATTTGGGGTTTCTAAAAATTACTGTTCCCAGATATGCTTGTTATCCTCTAAACATATCAATGCTTCAAAGAGCTGACTGCTTACATATTTAGTTGAATAAGCAAATTGTTCATAATTAATTTAAATTAAATGTCTTCCTTTCTGACTCTGAAATTTGTTTAGCATACTATAGTACTGAGATTTTTTTAACCAAGTGAAATTTCACTAAATAAATTATGAACTAAATATATTCATACTAAGGATAAGAACACTTTATAAATTTGCTAATTGTAAAACCTGAGATTTTGTCCTGGACATTAAAGCCGATTGAGAGAGTCCAATTTCATAGTTTATTTTTTAAATGGTACAAAAAGTGTTAACATTTTGAAAAATGTTGCCAATATCTTATCAGAATTCTCTCTTCACTATTTTCTTACACCTGGACAAATTGGTAAGTGTGTAATTGTCTAGTCGGTGTAGGCATTTGGATTTGAAATACTTGGATTATTAATGCTCATTTTCTTTTCTAATAAATGTCTTTTATTTAAACTTCCCATTTTTTGAATATGGGGAAAAAACTAATTTGGGGAAACTTACAGCACCTTTGGTAACCTCCTGAATTTTTATTAATATATTTTAGTCTGTTTTGAGAACATTGAACATATATACAAATTTACAGAGTGTAGTAGAGAATTTATTCTCTATTCTTTGTTTAACTCTGCCTTCATCACTTATTACATTATAATTCATACCAAAACCTAGTGGCTTTAAACAACAACATTGTATTATTTCCTATGATTCCATGGATCCAGAATTTGTGCAGGGCTCAGATGGATGATTCTTCTGCCCCATCTGGTTTGACTGAGGTCACTCACTCAGCTGGCTTGAGCTGCCACTGGGCCAAGCTGAAATATCAAAGAAAGCATTGTGCATGTGTCTGGCATTTCAGTAACTCCTGCAAATGGAGTCTTCTCTCTCTTTCTCTCTCTCCCACCTCATCCGCACCCCCCCGCCCTGGCCATGTGATTTTCCCTCATGCAGTAGACTTGCCAAAGTTTCTTTATAGCATGGTGGCTGAATTCCCCAGAAAGAGAAAATTGTCAGTCCTCTTAAAAATTAGGCCTGGAACTGGTGCAGTGTTACTTGTGCTGCATTCTGTTGATTGAAGTAAGTTTGAAGACCATTTCTGATTCAAGAGGAGAGAAAATAGAGTCTACCGCTGATGGAAGGAGGACCTATATGTATCAGGAGGGGAGGACTTGATGGCAGCCAAGTTTAGAAACTATCTCCACACCTTCTAAGAAATTATTTGCCTCCTTGCCCAAGATGAGCAAACATTTCAGCCAGACAAAATGACATTAACTTCCTTAATTTCATTAGTTATCATAATGGAAAATGGTGAATTATGCAACTATTTTGTTTTGTATAGTAAACTTTTGGCCCATTTTTAAATTAGTCACTAATTTCATCAATCTATATTTCTTAATTTTTACTCTCAACCTTACAAGATGTTTATACTTTTTAAAATGTAAAGTAAAACTCATCTCTGAAGAATGATTTCTAACAGTGTTTTCCAAAGGAGCTAATTGGAAGCAAGAATATTGATTTTAATGTTCTGAAAAATTAGTGGAACTTTGGGTTTTAGAAAGGTTAGTCTATACCTCTAAGAAGCTAAAGAGCTAATACTGGAGTCTTTCCCTTTAGGCCTTTTTCAAGATCAGCATTCAAAGCAATTTTATCATATTGTGAAACACATTATTCTTTAAGACTGTTCATTGTGTGGGTTGATAAAACCAGAATTCATTTGTTTTATAAAAACATATTTGACCTTACTCTGCTCTCATTATTCTCAACAATACAAGGATTTAAAATTATTATTCTAGATTGAGGTCTTTCCATTGGAATCTCAGAGCCTTTTATACAGGTTACGCTCAAAATCATGTCTAAATAAATATACAGTTTGTTTTCATGTTCATCTCTGAAACAATTTTTAATGTTTCCCCAAAAGAAGGAAGCCATATAACAGAATATTTCTCTGGCACCAGACAGAGCCCCCTGGGTTTAAAATTCTGCTTATAAGTTATAAGGTATATGGCCTTTACCAAGATAATTAAGAGTAAGTCATAGTGTACTCATTTGTAGAATGCGAATAAGCTCATCCGCATATATGGTTGTTGGAATAATTAAATAAATGTTGAATGGGACATAACCATCAATGAATGGTGGCTTCTAATATTAAGCTTTAAGACAAGAGTTTTGAATAAATGGCCTATTTTTAATTTTTTGCTTGCCAAATATGTAACGTTAAACAGTAATTGTTTCAATTTTATTAAATATCAATAAAATAGAAACTTTTATTTTCTGTTTCATTAGAAGAGGTGTACTCACAGATGACTAGTTTCCCAAACTCTTCCTTGAAAAGGGAATATTATGGTGAAGTATATTTGGAAAATATTATATACTGTTATATACTCACAGAAAACTATGATGTATATTAAAGGCTCTAAAATATTATGTATACAATTTTTAAATATGATTAAGTTAATTAATTTAACATTTCATAAACTTTAATAAAATCTAAATGTTTATAACAAACTGAACATGAGACCAAAAATAATCAACCCACTATGTAATCCATATGTATGAGGCCTTTTTTATTGTTTTTATTTTTTTAACTTCAGAGAAGAGACAGTTAAATTTAAATATGAGAGCTCCCAGTAAACTTTATCTTACACAGAATAACCAATAACTTTATATATTTTAAAAGGTTGATAAAAATTCAGGGCCATTATTAAGAACACCAGTTTTTATATTCTCCTAATAAATGTGAACACATTGCACAAGATTGTGTCCCCTTAGACTAAAAGCTTCCAGACAACGATGCTTTAATAGTTGATTTTTTAATATCTCTTATGGTCACCTCAGCCTTCCTAGTATGTCTGCTTTACTATTTCCCACCTCAACTGCCTGCTGATGTTACTAAAATTTAATGAAAGAGAAAAGATTTCCAGGAGAATCAGACAACCAATCTTGTTAAGTCAATAACCTGAATTATATACTCTAAATGAATTCTGTTAACTCTGCCCAGAAAGTAGTTGCCTTGCTGCTTAGAATAAAATACTATGCTTTATGACAGTTGTATTCTTTTTTCCTCAATTTTATATCCTCTTTCCCATCATTCAAGTTGTAACTTCCAAGGCACAAATGGTCTGTATTCTGACATCACAATATTCATTACATAAGTTGCTCTGTAGAATTGAATGGGAAGATGGATAAATCAGTAGCTCACTGGAGGGTAAACAAAGGAAGGAAGTGAGGGAGGGACAAAGAAAAAAAAGAAAGGAAGGAAGAGGAGAGAAAGAGAAAGAAGGATGAGACAAATGACAAACTTACAGATTCACAACTGTTGTGAAGGATTCATTGGAAGTCAACACTAAATTATCCAAATGTCCTTTTAAGAACCAAATAATAAGCCCTGAGATGCAAACTGATATGCATAATGACAATATCTAGAGAATGAAAATGTTCAAATATATCAATTATTTATTTGTTCATTTGCTTCTAACATTAGAAAGAAACTCTTTAGCAAAGAGTTTAGTAGGGTCAGTGTCTTAACACAATACCTGGCCAGAAGGCAGGTACTCTTTATATGTTGGTTAAATGAATAACATCATTAGTCACATATTACAAAATCTATGGTTTCATACCAAAATGACTTTGCCAAGCAATAAAAAAAAATAGAAAACACCTCAAGCAAACAATGATTACATATTTCCTATGTTTAGGCATCCCATGAAGACCCATTATCTTGATTTCACTATCCATGGTTGGTTGGTTGTTTTGTTTGTTTGTTTGCTTTTTGAGACAAAATCTCACTCTGTCACTTAGGTTGGAGTGCAGCAGCACCATTTCGGCTCACTGCAACCTCCACCTTCTGGGTTCAAGGGATTCTCATGCCTCAACCTCCTGAGTAGCTGGGATTACAGGCATGCACCACCATGCTCAGCTAATTTTTGTATTTTTAGTAGAGATGGGATTTCGCCATGTTGGCCAGGCTGGTCTGGATCTCCTGACCTCAAGTGATGCACCCACCTTGGCCTCCCAAAGTGTTGGGATTACAGCCATGAGCCACTATCCACGCATTATTGGACGGAGCAGTGACATGATAGGGAAAGTCCTTTAACAGTGAGTCTCAAAAATCACGACATTTTGCCCCCTAGAGCAAACAAACTTTTCTTTCAGTATGACAGAAGACATCAGCTTTAAGAAAATATTTGGGTGAAACATTTCATCCAAGGAATCAATTTAACTGTGTCAAAATAGCTACCCACAAATGCATAAACCAATGTATTCTTTTTGGAGCCATTTGTCTAACACAGGTTAAGTTGGAATAAGTCAATGAAGGAGTATGTAAATTTGAATAACAAACAGAATATATATCTATGCTGAAAATTTTCCATAAGAATAACGCTTTTTAAGCCACTATCCTCTACTTTTCCAGAAAAATACTATAGCTACCTCACAAACTTCACTCATTAATTTTGCAGTATTCCCTGTGAGATAAAGCAAACTCAACATTAAAGTATTAATTCAAGAGCATAAAAGGGAAAAGTAAATGAAAAAGATGATTTTCTTCCCCCTTTGATTTTCTTAAAAAAATATTTCAGGGGTGGAATTATTGTCTTCCTAAGAGAACAGGATGTTTAGTAATACTTTTAAAATACTATAATTTAGCTAAAATTGAGAAGCAAAAGGGAAATGATTGAAAACTTCTTTATGGCTCCAAACGAAGGGTGGAGGGCAGAAACAGAAAAATCACATACAGTATACTAGTTACAAGTTAAGTCCTCTTAACTGATCTATTTTACCATTTTTTTTGTTCAAGTAACCTATTTAAAAACGCATCCATGCATAGACTGCCCCTATTATTAATAGTAAATGTACATTTCAACCTGTCAAGTTTTTCTAGCCCCACTTTTGCAAGGTTTTTTTTTTTAAAGAAAAAAAAAAACTAAAAGCAAAGGCATTTCCTAGGGCACATGCTGCCAGACACCCAGCATTTATCTTATCTCAGTTGATGACTTTCCTTTTATCCTGAAATGATTTGACAATGACTCTATGATTTCCTGTACAAATTACCCTTTGAAAGTGGCAGTGGCGCTTGGCAGCGATCTTCACTTAATTACTGAGTGGATTATTAACATACGGCTCCCCCCCCCCTTCATTTCTTTATATCTTCTAGATTGCGTTGACAGTTCCCTTTCATTGCCTGCTTTAACTCACTGAATACTAAACATTATGCAGATTGCAGCTGAGAAGTACCCAGGCTACTCTAAACCCCTAGTCTGCACCAGAACCTTTTTGATGGAGAGTAATTTACAGGTCAGAAATCAATAGTGTGCCTGGAAAGTGCGTTTGTGGGTTTTCTTAATTTAGATTGGGGTGGGGTGGAGCATAGCACTGATGTGCAAAAGTGAGTATTCCTCTGCAATCTTTCTGAAAAACAATTAGTTTTGTTCCTCTGTCTTTAAATAGACTGAGATCTTGAAATTCTCTTTCTCTTTTTACTCATTATGCTACCTAACTCGGCAGGAAGGGGTTAAAGAGTCCGTGTTTTAAGAAATGGCAAGTTTCACTCTTCATCAGTCTCTGAAATCAGGGGGCTGATAAGCTGACCTCCTCAGCATGTGTAGAGTGTTATTTATTGTTTGCCAGGGCAAGACAAATGCAAATGATAAATTGCAAGGATCTCTTCAGCACTCTCAGAAGGAACCTTCTCTTCTGTCTTGGCTCTCATCTTTTGGCACAAATTTGCACATATGTCGGGCATTCTCCATCCAGATCTTTATCCTTTTTTTTCTCCCTGAACTGCATTCAAAAGCATCTTCCACATTTCCCAGGCTATAGTAGGGACATGAACCCCTTCCCATTTCAACCTTATGGTATAGCTTAGTTATTTTTTTTTCTCTCCTTGGGAGGAGAAAACAATACATGAGTGATTTCAGGAGTTGGTGGAAGTGACACCAAAGCAATAGGAGTCAGTGTGGGTGGGGGGAACAGCTGGGTGCTTACTATGTCATCTCCATTCCAGGACTATCAACCACCAGCTTTATTCTTCTAGTGTTACATCTGCTATGAAATTTGGGTCTTCCAGGTGGCAGCCCAACATGCTGTCCAGTGCTATCAGGCCATTTAAATGCTTTGAGCTAATGCTGCATATCCATTTTCTAAACAAGTTAGCAGATACCATATGCAGCAATTAAAGTTTTATTGAGTGGTGCCTGCTTACCATACTGAATTTGGATTGGCTACCATCTGTCTCAAAGCCTGTGGTACCATCCCTGTTGCTTGAGAGAGCATTTGTAAGGATAGAAGATTTTTCTCAACTTCTGAAGAAGCTGCTCGGATTATTTTTTACATGAAAGCCCACAAAAGTAGAATTGGTACAAATAAAAAATACCAGACAATTAGAAGTTTGAATTGAATGTGTTTTTGAGTGTTATAGGCCACTGAACCATGTGTTCAAAGTCTTGTAACTTCTGCCCTAGCTATTTTTAATATATAGATCTTGCTGAATATGCTATTTTTCAGAGGGGCAACCCAACAAACCAAAATTAGAACTTAGCAAAGGACAAGGGAATTGTTTTGCATCTGTGAGAATTAATGCAATTGTCCTCATTTTCTGGGAAAATTTTACCTGGACCACAGGGAAACATTAAAATATAAATTTACATTTGACTCTACTGGTAAGTCTCTAGGGAGACAAAGCTGTTTAAGATCAATCAGCTGAACAAAGGGTTTTGAAGACAGCATTTATTAAAATTTAAGTAATGCCTAAATACTTGAGCTCTGCTGGTTTACTAATATGTTGTTAATGTTTGATGTTTTCTCAGTCATATTTATCTCTGTACCTTTGACCTTCATGAACGCTGAGAGTGAAAAACATATCATAGTGCATTCAAAACCACTTGAACATTTTAAAACAACTGCTTGGGTATTAGTGTGTACTAACAGAGGAAGGACTGGAGACCAAATCTGTTGCCAAACTCTTGGTTTTATAAATCTTTGATAAACTGTTTGATATTTCCATGAATACCTTTTTCCATGGGAAATGGATATTTCAGAGCCTGTTGATTCTGTCCCATTTAATCCTTACTTGAGAATTTCCAAGCAAAGGCATTGAATCTCAAAAATAGCTGGCAAGTATGAAGAAAAATAGCTATAGTGGCTTGTTTACATCATATGGTAATGTATTTCATTAGGGATCCCTCACTATTTGTGTCCTGGTGAGCAACGTCAAACATCATGAGTGATAAGTTCATAGCACTATAGGCTTAATCTTCATCTAGTTAGAGGAAGTGTAATGTATCTGAACAAAAACACTGACTGTGATTCAGAAGACCTATATGCTAGTCTCAGAACTGCTGTTCACTGCCTGGGAACATCAGCAGTCTCTTTGAATCCTTTTTGCTGCTCTGTATAATAGTACTTAAAGTCTATGTCCACTTCTTTGGTTCAGTGTGAGATTTAAAAGAGTCTATAAAATCTGTAAATAACCATTGGAATATGAGGTGAAAAACAGTTTGCAAATTGTAATGTGCTGTCACAAAGCCCACTCACCCTTCAATTGAAGGTAAAACGTCATGTCTTTCACAAATAATCCTCCATACCTCCTCTGAACTTAAATAGTAATGTATTTGTATCTGTCTTAAGACATTCTTAGTCTGGGCACGGTGGCTCACGCCTGTAATTCTGGCACTTTGGGAGGCTGAGGCTGGCAGATCACTTGAGGTCAGGAGTTTGAGACCAGCCTAACCAACATGGTGAGACTCCATCTCTACTAAAAAGACAAAAATTAGCCGGGCATGGTGCCACATGCCTGTAATCCCAACCACTCTACTAGGGAGGCTGAGGCAGGAGAATTGTTTGAATCCAGGAGGCAGAGGTTGCAATGAGGCAGAGGTTGCAATGAGCCAAGATTGAGCCACTGTACTCCAGCCTGGGCAACACAGCAAGACTGTCAAAAAAAAAGACATTCTTTCTTATGTTTTATAATCTAAGAAAGGATTTCCACAACCCCCTGAACCTTTGCTATTCAAAGTGTGGTGGTTCATGGAACTGAAGTATCAGTGTCATGTGGGAGCTGTTTAGAAATTCAGAATTTTAAGTCCCTCCCAGGCCTACTGATCCAGACTCTGTATTTAACAAGATTGTCAGGTGATTTGTATAAACAATAAAGTTTGAGATGCACAACCAGGGGTGCCCAATCTTTTGGCTTCTCTAGGTGATATGGTTTGGCTATGTCCCCATCCAAAATCTCATCTTGAATTGTAATCCCCATTATCCTCCAAGGGTTCCACCAGTTGGAGGTAATTGTATCATAAGGGCAGTTCCCCCAAGCTGTTCTTGGGATAGTCAGTGAGTCTCCTGAGAGCTGATGGTTTTATAAGCATCTGGCATTTCCCCTGCTTGCACTCACTCTGTCCTGCCACCCTGTGAAGAAGGTGCCGGCTTCTCCTTTGCCTTCTGCCACGATTGTAAGTTTCCTGAGGCCTCCCCAACAACAGGGAACTGTGAGTCAATTAAATATCTTTCCTTTCTAAGTACCCAGTTTTGGGTATTTCTTCATAGCAGTGTAAGAACAGACTAATACACTGTGCCACATTAGAAAAAGAATTTCTTGGGCCACACATAAAATACACTAACTCTAACAATAGCTGATGAGCAAAACAAAAAACAAACAAACAAAAAAACACAAAAAATCACAAATCTCATAATATTCTAAGAAAATTTATGAATTTGTGTTGGGCTGCATTCAAAGCTGTCCTGAGCCACATACTGCCTGTGGGCTGTGGGTTGGACAAGCTTGCTAATCCATATAATAATTTTGATTCTCAGGAAATTGTTTCTTTTGCAATCAAGATATTTAATATATTAAGATCCATTATATTTTAAAGATAACTAACACAACACCATCATTTTAAGAGTAACAGAAATCAAATTCAAACTGAGATTCATATAAATTGTGGTGTGTATGAGATTAAGTATCTGGTTCATTCATTTATTTCTTCAGCAGTTACTAAATGCCTACTGTAAACTGGACTGTGCAGTAGGCATGGTGTATTCCACTTAGGGTAAGACATGGTACCCAATACCAGAGGCTTGCTGTCTACTTGGTGGGGGGTAGAGGAAAGTTTTCTGGCTCCTGTTGGGTGTTTCTTCAGTCACACCACAGTAATCTTTTTAAGGAGTATCTAATCCTGCCAAGTCATCTCTCCTTTCTCTTAAATTTCTTTCAGAATCAAATATTTATTTATCTTCACTGCATTGGAAAATCTCTGCTTAATGAACCTGGTGAAATCAAATGTCACTGTTTGGCTAATCATCTATAAGAGAAAAATGGCTTATTGGCCACCCATAGTGGAGATCATGGCAGATACATCTTGTAGTATGTCCTTCTCACTTACTCACTAACCCATGTGCACTATAACCTAGAATTAATATTATTATCATACAATAATAATCATACTTAACATATATTGAGAGCTCACAATAAGACATGTCACTATAAAGCATGTCACACATATTATCTCATTTAATCTTCACAACTATACTATGAGGCAACGTCACCCCCCTTTTATAGATAATCCAAACCACTGAAAAATCAAGCAACTTGTCCTATTTAAGAGACTGGTAGATATGCATTACAGCCCTGTGCAGTCTGACTTTAGAAGCCTATCATGGTAGAGGAAGTCTTAAGAAGATGATTGTACCGTTTGGAATAATTTCCAACAGGATGGGTTATCTCTTATTACATATCCTATTCTTTCTGTCCTGAAACTGGCACATCTCCCACCAATGATGATAAAGGTTCTAGACACATTAATCCCAAGTGGGTCTTTCAAAAGAATTAAACAAACTGATGAAGATCTTAAGCTTAATTAAAACTTTTATTTTCCTGACTGAAGGCCAGTAGAAGCAGAAAGGAATGGCAGTTTCAATTATTTATTGGCTGCATAATGTTCCTTCATGAACAGTAATTCCCTAATTTTTAAAACTATAAATATCTTGTAATCGTTTTCTTTACTAGGATTGGATTGGATGAATGCTGTGTTGCTCCCTTGCATTTTCTCAGTAATGGTTTCTTAGAGTATGCTCTTCTCACCTTTTTGGTTACAGATTTTCATTATTGGGTCATTTGTCTCCAAGTGGCCTAAAAATGTATTTAGATATCAATAGTTGATTAGACTCTTATGTAGAGATTCAGCCATCTAAGTCAAAAGAGTGACTCTAATATCAGTCTAGAATTTGCTGGCAACCACCTCCTCACTCCTTACTGTCTCATTTTTACAACTGGACTTGACTATTGGATAGACAGACACCAAGTCTACAGAAGAATAAATGATCAGAGTGTAGTGAGTTTCAGATGAACGTCCTTTCTTCCAATGTTGTCAGTACAGAGCAATGTACTGGTCACTTGGTTTATGCTGCAGTTTATAAGCTGCTTGGATTCTCTGTTTTGGCTCCTAACTGCTCATTTTCTATGATTCTTAGTATCCCAAGAGAAGATTGGTATGAGAATTGCACCAAATATCCAAGTATTAAAGGTCTAGCAGTCTTACAATTCTCAAAATGTTAATAGAAAATAAGGTCTAAAGAATATCTACACCTTCATTTGCCCTGTTGTTTATAAGCTGAGCCAATGACATGCTGCATGCTCTGTTACCAAGGTCTCCCCAACATTACAACATGCAAAAGGTATATTTAGCACTGTTGTCTTTTTGAATAGACACATTTCTAGAACCTCGCTATAATACTGTTCACTGTATCTAACAATTCCCCTGAAAATTTGGAGAAGTTCCAAGAGGGTTATGTGATTAAATACCAAGAGATAATAGAGCTGCACCAAAGATGGTCTCATGGTGCATGCCCCAAGATCGAGTTGTATGTAGAGGCTCCAGGCAATTTCTTTCAAAGGGTTGAAGATCTCAGTCTACAACCAGTAGCTCTTTCCACCCCTTGGCCTCTGCTCATGGGGTTTGTCATTGATTGCAACTTTGCCCTTGAATCCTCCACAAACAGCTTTGTTCAGATCTTTTGTTGCCGGTGTGATTCACAGCTATCGATCTTTCAACAGTCTACAAGTGTGCTACTTTGCTAAAAATTCTTTGGAGAGTTTCTGTTCACCCTATATGCAATCTTATATTTCTCCCACAATCAATAATTTTCCAAGCATGTGCTCTAAGTAATACCAAAACAATTCATGATCAAAATCCTTCAAAAATGATCATTGAGTAAAATACATCATCAGTACTCTTTAGCCTAGCATTCAAGATTCTCCAGGATCTAGCAAAACCACTTCTCTTCCCAGCTGTGGTTCCAAATATTCCTGTCTCCAAATCTCTCCTTTAATCATTCTGAATTACTTACTCCTGGTAAGTAAAAATAGTAAAGTAAAAATGAGTCAGAACTGAGCCTAGCATGGTATACCAGTGGCTCACTTATACTAGCTAATAAGGTTGAGAAATAATTAATACCTATGCCTGATAGCCTGTGGGTAGAGCAAGCCCTGGGAACTGGTGAGTACATGCTCTGCAGTGCCCCTACAGGCTCCCTTTTGTTGAGACCAGGTGACAAACTAGCCCATCTTCCAGTATCTTGAATTCAGTGCTTCCATCAGCATCCCTAGGGGAGGTAATACTAGTAGGAACATCATTCCTTCTAGCTTGACTTTGATTTTCTTCTAAGAATCTCTTAAATTTCTTCACATAGATCCTCTCTATGAATTCAGATTGTACCTGATAATGGAGAACCTGCTTTTCCCAGAACACTTAATATTGCAGCCTGGATTAGGTATAAATTTGATTCATAGAATTAAGATCTGTCCTCTTGGCTGTGGCTCTCTGCACTTCATATCCCACTGTTCTGTGCCACCCCTTGCTCTTCCCTGATTTGTTTTTCATCACCCCATTCAAAAACTACAGGCCAGTCTCCCACCTAACCCATCCCCACTGTCCTCCATGTCCAACGGACTCACTAGTGAGTGAGATCATGACACAGGTATCAAGGAAGCCTGTGTACCCCAAACTCAACATGTCCACTATCAAAGTATCTGTTTACTCAATCCTGCTCTATCTTGATAAAGAAAATAATTTTCACTCACTTCTCTGAATTATTAGCTTCTATCAATTCTCTTTCCCAGGTATCCCTTGAATTCAAATTTATCAGCACCTCTACTATTAGCTCACCAGATGTACATAAAATATCTTCTAGAATATTGTAAACATCTTCTAACTTGCGTCCCTGATTTTATTCTCCTGGGATTCATCTCTATCCTTTACCTCAGACATCTACCAAGTCTCTCTCGGAATCACTGCTATAATCAGGACTGACCCCCACCTTGAAAATAGATTCACTGTTGCCTAAAAAATAAAGGGAACATTCTAAGGCAGAAAAAGTCCTGTAAAAGCTACACCCACCCATCTTCCTAGCCTCGTTCTTTGCTACTCTGTGTGCCTGAAGAATTTAGGAGCATACCTGTGGTGTTATGAAATAGATTGGATTTGGGCCAAGGTTCCTGGTTCATAACTCCCAAAGCCCTTGTTACAGTTTTTTGCTATAATTTGGATGTGTTAGGCCTCAGAGGAAGGTCTCTGATCTTCTCCTGCCCTCCTCTCACCTGTCTCAAGGCAGGACTCTCCTTTTTTTCTGCCTTTCTGATTGTGGTTCTTAAGACTCTTCCCAGAGAGGGTCCTGCCCTTATACTCTAAGGGAAGGAATGCTCCTGTAAAAACCCAGGAGGACAGGGCTCAGAGAAGGTCCGAACACATGGAGGTTCCTGGAGGGTGGCATGCCCAGGGAGGGAATGGAAGCTCCATACCCCGTCCCCCATGCCTCACCCTACGTGTCTCTTCTTCTGTATCCTTCGCAATATCCTTTATAATAAGCCTACAAACACGTTCCCCGAGTTCTGTGAGCTGCTCCAGCAAATTAATCAAACTCAAAGAGAGGGTAGTGGGAACCCCAACTTGAAGCTGGTGGGTCAGAATTTTGGGAGGCCCAGACTTGCAACTGGTGTGTGTGGGGGAAGTCCTGGGGACTAAGCCTCAGCCTTTGGGATCTGACACTATGTCCCTGTAGATAGCGTCCAAACTGAATTAGAAGACACCCAGCTGGTGTCCGCTGCGTTGCGTGTGAGGAAAAATCCCACACACATTTGGTCACAGAAGTCTTTTTCTGTGTTGATGATTGCTGCAGTGTGAGAGTAGAGAAAAAACACAGAGTTTTCTCTACATGATACCCAAATGATTATGGCTGCATACCTGTTCATCATTCTGTTGTCTCTGCCTGGATTGTCCTCCCACTTTGTCTTCCTAACAAACTCCCATGTCCTTTTAGATTATGTTCAAATATCATCAACTTTGTGAAATATCCCCGATCACATCTGATAGTATTATAGCTTTCCCTCCTTTATATACACTTATCATCCTTTTTTTCTTTCCTTTTTTTTTTTTTTTTTTTCGTTTTGACACACGGTCTCACTCTGTCAACCAGGCTGGAGCACAGTGGCGCGATCAAAGCTGACTGCAGCCTCAACCTCTTGTGTTCAAGGGATCTTCCCACCTTAGCCTCCCTCCCAAGTAGCTGGGACTACAGGTGTGCCACTGTGCCTGGCTAATTTTTTACTTTTTTGTAGAGAAGGGGGTCTCACTATGTTGCCCAAGCTCATCTTGAACTCCTGTCCTCAAGCAATCCTTCTGCCTCAGCCTTCTAAAGCATTGAGATTACAGGCATGAGCCACGGTGCCTGGTTCTTTTTATGTCTCGGTATTTCTAAGGTAAATGGAGCGACACAAATACAAGGTTGCCAGACTTTCTTACCAGTGTCATTTAAGTCAACGAATACATGGTAAAAGTTTTGGCAATAGGATAGGTCTTTCTCAGCCAATATTTGAGAACCAATGCACTGCAAGTTGTCTATTTTCATCAGAATTAAGTCTTCCTCGGTTGGGTGCAGTGGCTCACACCTGTAATCTTAGCATTTTGGGAGGCCGAGGTGGGAAGATCACTTGAACTCAGGAGTTCGAGACCAGCCTGGGCAACATAGCAAGACCTCATCTCTAAAAAAATAGATAAATAAAAAATAAAAGAATTAAGTCTTCCTCAGACAGTCATCTGCTCAGGTTCCAAGGTGTCCCACCTGGGAAGTATAAGCTCCCTGGAAGAGAAGACATTTGGGGTTTCTCCAGCAGGGCACAAAATACAGAGTGTCTTGTTATCAATGACCCAAAAGTCATGTCCTCCATAAAGAATTTTAGATTTTCTTCTGCTTTTGTCTTTTAAGCTTGGGACTCTGCTTCAACTTCTCAGACCAATCAATAGTAGCAATAATAATTATTACGACAATTAAGTAGCTTCATGTGAACCAGGCATAAGTTCTATAATCATCACAAGAAACCTATTCGATAAACATTGTAGCTCTAATTTTCAGATGAGGAAACTGATAGCAACACTCACATAGTGAATACCAAAGAGTGAATGACTCATAGTGAATAGTCTGACTAACTCCAAGGCCTTTGCTCCTAACCATACTGTAATGCTGCTTCCCTGAATCAAAAATTAACTAGCAGCTCTATTGTTATTCATCTCTCTGGGTGAATACCTCTTGTCACCTTTGTCTTCATGACAGAGACCTAATGACACTCTGAGAACTTGTAAATCATTTTTACACTGACTTCTAATGTTAAACAGGGTGCATATAAGACAATTAAGATGTTTCTACAAAAGCCAGGCAGTATTACTTGGAGCTTCACAGCCATTTGAACCATTTCACTATTTTATACCATTTAAGTAAGTTTGAGTGTAAAGTTTTTTGTCACCTTGTTGTCTACTGATTATATTGGGTGGAAAAGTAAAATATGATGATTATTTTATTTGACCTGGTAGCAAGAAGAAGGACATTTTAATGGCACTTTCTTTCTTTTTTAACTTTTTATTATGAATGACTTCAAACACACACCAGTAAAGAGCTCAGTAAATAACCCGTGTTCCCATCCCCAGCTATAATAATCATCAGCTCTTGTTTCACTGTGACTTTCCATTTTGCTCCCCTACTTGACTACATTGAAGAAAATCTGAGATATGCCATAGGTCCATATTTCAGAATTTATTATTATTATTTTTTAAATACCTTTATCTACAACTTAAAAATTAACACTAATTCCTTATGGACATTAAATACCCAAGCAGTGCTCAAATTTCTTCAAAGTTTGCCTCATAGGTATTTCTTTAACACCTGCTTTGTTCTAATTGGAGTTCAAAGTCCACAATTTTTACTCACTTGATATATACTTCTTTTTGTGTTTTCTTATGTTTATTTTTATTTATTTATTTTAAGACAAGGTCTCACTCTGTTGCTGACCAGGCTGGAGTGCAATGGCATAATGATGGCTCTCTGCAGCCTCTACCTCCTTGGCTCAAGCGATCCTCCCACCTCAGCCTCCCGAATACCTGGGACCACAGGCATGAGCCAATACACCTGGCTAAGTTTTCTATGTTTTAATAGAGACAAGGTTTCACCAGGTTGCCCAGGTTGGTCTTGAAGTCCTAGGCTCAAGCAATCTACCTACCTCAGCCTTCCAAAGTGCTTGGATTACAGGCATGAGCCACTGAGCGCAGCCATGATATGTACTCCTAAATCTCTTTTAATCTACATGTTGCTCTTTTTTTTTATTTTTTGCAAATTATGTTTTGAAAAATCTTGGTCGTTTGTCCTGTGGGGTTTTCCCTATTCTAGAATTCAATCATTGCTTCCCCTTAGTGCCATTTAATATATTCCTCTGTTCTTTGTGTTTCCTGTTAATTGGCAAATATATCTAGGGACTTGATCTGATTGTTAGGTATTTCTTCAAGGGTAGTAATATTTTGTTTTATATTTCATAAGAAAAGAATATTTCATTGCCTTTATTATTCTTCTAGGTGTCATAATTTGTCTCTTCTTTGTCCAGCGCGAATCTCTTCAAGGCTCCTGGAGTCTTGTGACATACCCCCAGTTGTCTTTGGTTGCTTCCTTGTTTTCTGGTACAAGATATTTCAGGCTCATCTTATAGCTTCCAGTACTCAGACATGGAGTCAGCTATTTGTTCAAGAAATCTATTTAGAAGTGGGAGCCGTATATATTGGCCATAGTCTGAGGACTAAGAATATACATTTTTTCTAGAAACAATTGCAAATTGTTTCTAGGTCTTTTTAGTGAGCAGAAGTTAAAAAAAAAAGTTTAAAAAAATTTGTAATGGCTTAGCTGATTTATATGTCAGGCATTTTATATATATACACATATATGTGCTTGTGTATGTGTCATATATTTTATACATATAATAGTTTCAGAATAATAACTGTAAGTTTACTGAAACTTTCTTTTTTCTTTCTTTTTTCTCGCTGAGGATAGTTTTGGGATATATCCCACCAGAGATAAGTGTGTTTAGGCAAATTACTAAATTTTAAAGTTACTTGAAACAATTTCTCAGTTTTGGATGAAGCCGCTAGCTCAGCATATGGTTTAGTGCATTCATTTAACCTTGCTTTTAAATTTTAAAGACTCCTTTATGTTCTCATTTTCATTTAACTTTGTCATATTCATATAAAACATACTTCCAATATTAAATCAACTGAATAAGTTATATTCAGGAAAGCCTAGCTTCTATCTTTGTCTTCTCTTTATGGTTGATCCCTACAACTTTAATTTTTTTAATATTTATATATTTATAAATTTTCTAAGATAAAGAGCAGAATACTACGTACACTTTTCTCTACCTTGCTTTTTTAACTTAATGTATCTTGAAAATCACTAACAGTTTATAGAGATATCCCTTTCTTAAAATAGATGCATGGTACATGACTGTGTATATATGATGCATCATTCAACTGGTCTCAATTGTGATAGACATTGAGAATATTTCCACTGATATTGCAAATCGTGCTGTAATAGATAGTCTTATGTATATATCCTTTATGTTTTTGTCACTGTATCTTTGGAATATACTTCTAGAAGTAACATATCTGGTTCAGATGATGAATGCATATAGCAGTTTTCTAGCTGTTGTCAAATTCCCATCAATAATATAGGAAGTGCTTTTTCCCCCACAGTCTTACAAATAGGTTAACATTGTCGATTTTTGGATTTTTTCTAAGTGGCAGGTTAGAACTGGATCTCAGTGAAGATCTAATTTGCACTTCTCTCATTATGAGTAAAGATGAACATGTTTTCATACTTCTTGTTAAGAATTAGTCATACTTCTCTTCTGTGAACTGTTTTTCCTGATTCTGGCCCATTTTTCCAAAAGTTTCAATCTTTTCTTCTTTTTTCAGAAGATTTTATTATATTAGGAATATTAACCTTCTTACTGTGAAGTGAATTTCAATTTTTTTTCCAGTTTGTCATTTGTCTTTATAAATTACTTACGTTTTATTTTCTATGCCATGCAAAAGTTTTGTTTCATTAATTTTGCACAATAATATGTATCAATCTTTTTCTTATTGAATTTAGATTTTAAAACATGGTTAGGAAAGTTTACCCTAGTCTCAGATTACAGAAAAAATCCTCATGTTTCCTTTTCATAATTATATGAATTAATTGTTTACATCTACATTTCTTAATCCATATAGAATTTAGCAGGACTTATGGTATGGTAATTATATCCAATCTTATTTTCTTGTATGACTATATAATTATCTTAACATCAACTGATAAAAATTTTATCTTTTCTTGAGTTGAGATAGTAGTTTACTCTATATTAACTTTCCAAATGCAATGAGGAGTCTATTTCTAAATTGTACAAGTTATATTAATTTATCTGTTTCTATGTATGAGACAATATGTACTATTTTAATCATAGAGACTTTAAAATATATTTTAATCTGATAGGTTTGGTTCCCTCTCATCGCTCCTATTTTTCAGGATTTTCTTCGTTATTCTTGCTTTTTATGCTCCAAATAAATTTTGTAATCAAATTGTTTGGGTCCATAGAAAAACAAGATGGTGTTTTTATAAAAGTTGCATTGAATTAATTAAACTTGAGAGAAATGACATTTATTGATGATGATTCTTTCAGTCCAAAACCATAGACATTTTGTTGTTGTTGTTGTTATTTGAAACCTACTTTTGTGTTTTATAGTTTTCTTCATGTACGTTTTGAACATTGCTTGTTAAGTATTCTACTTTATCATTATGATAAATAGATAATAGATACATAGATAATGAAATGTTAAAGAATTTATTGGTGTTTTCACATGCAGTACATGTTTATGTGCCCTCATTTCTTTTTAAAAACCTGCTGTCTTACAGTACTTTTTATATCTCTCACTCTTTCAGGAGCATATTAACCAACCACAAAAACAACCCTTGTAGAAAGTAAATGGTTCAGCAACAAAGTGACAAAAGTTCTTAAAGTTCCGTACTTTCTCTGGTTCTTCTTAGAGAAGGTGTCAAGATGTATATTTATAATACGATGAGATACAACATAAACTATATGTACTTTATTGTCATTGTCCCTGTTTTTATTTACTCAAATTATCACTATATATCATTACATATATATAATGATAATTTGAGTAAATAAAAAACAGGGACAATGACAAAGAATTAGGAAAAGAAAAACATTATATATATTATATATGTAATATGTATATTATATATGTAATATATTATATATATAGAGAGAGAGAGAGAAAAAAGGAGAAAGACAGAGAGAGAGACAGAATCTGTTGCCCAGGCTAGGGTGCAGTGATGCGATCATAGCTCACTGCAGCCTCCACTGCCCCAGGTCAGGTGATCCTCCAACCTCAGCCTCCTGAGTAGCTGGGACTTACAGGTATGTGCCACCATGCCTGGCTATTTTTTGTATTTTTTTATACAGATTGGGTTTTGCTATGTTGCCCAGGCTGGTCTTGAACTCCTGGGCTCAAACAATCCACCTGCCTTGGCTTCCCAAAATGCTGGGATTACAGAGGTGAGCCACCAAGCCCAGCCCATTTTATTTTAGAAAACCTAGATGTTCTGAATATGTTTTTAAAAAATAAAGATATTTGGATTTTGCCTTAAAATAGAACAAATTTGCAACTCTGACCAAGTTATCCATAGCTTTACTTTTATTGTCACCAAATGCATACAATTTTTAATTGGAGAACTTGATAATTACCTCTTGATGGCTTTTTCACTCCAGACTAAATTCCCATGCCTCCTCTCCTGATTTTAGTGGCTGAGAATAATTTGCAGAGGGGCTTCCTGGAAGCAGTCCAGTGCAAACAACCTAGAGAGCTATAGTTCTTCATTTAAAACAGGCTATTTAAGTTTAATTATCCTTTGGCTGATCCTCCAGGCTGCAAACTCATTTATCAGTACCCATAGATATAGTGTAAAAAAATAAAGCATTTTATACTTCTTAAAGATTTATTTCCCAAACTATTTTTAAATTTAAAAATATTTTGATACCACAATGTGAAAGATTACATTGTTGCCTTCAATTTTTGACCATTCTCCCATTCACATTCTAGCCATGACCTCATTGCGGATAGAGTGAACTTTCTTATCCCTTGACTTTGGGCGTGGCCATGTGACCCCCCTTAATCAACAGCCTGTGGCAAGAAATGGCAAAATACCATTTCTGAACTTACAACTTAAAAAGCCTCTTGTTGTCCCTTTTGCAATCATGTAGCTCTGCCATTGCCATGAGAAGCATATGCCTAGCCTTACACACTGGTATGAGGAGGATGAGAGACAGAGAGGGGAATTGCCCCAGCCACCCCAGAGATCTTCAGTGATGGGATAAGCTCCCTTAGCTGCCCCAGCCTGAAGCAGAGTCACATGGAGAAGCCCAAACTACATCAGGAGAGCTCCACTTGACCCACAGATTCACAAGGTTATTATATGATTGTTATTTCAGTCTCTGGATTTTGGAGTTGTTTGTTACACAGCAGCAAATGACTGACTCAACCAATCACTCAAATCCCCAAACTAGAAAATGGTTTAGAGTCTTGGACTTTTCTTTCTCTTTCACCCTCCAAATCCAACCAGCCATCAAATGTTCATTGGATCCCCACGATGTTTCTGCAGTGCTTCTTCCTTTCCATTTGCTCTTTCACTACTCTAATTCATGCCATATTATAGCATATCTGAATTGTTACAATAATTTATTATGTATATTATGTATATTAAATAATATATATATTATAGCATATCTGAATTGTTACTACTCTAATTCATGCCATATTATAGCATATCTGAGTTGTTACAATAACCTTCAAACTAGCCTTTAATTTCCTTCCCCTCTAATTCATCTTTTTCACTGACATGAGTCTGATGTTTTGTTTGTTTTGTCCTCCAAATTATAAACTTGGTCATGTGTATTCTTTGCTTGGAAACCTTAAATTAGTATCTACAAAATCACACCCACAATTTCCTCATCTTTCTCCTAATCGATCATAGATGCAAGTTTTTCTACTGAGTCCAAAAACGGCCTTAATAATGAGTGTTCTTAACAGTTACTCCCCATCAATACAAACTCTTTCCTACCTTTGTGGTAGATGATTTAAAATCATCCAAACTTACTCTGCCATCAGATGCAGACTACCACCCCAAACTGTCTGCCCAGACTTCCCTTCTATCATTCTTTCTGTACCCCCATTGAATCCCATATATTAGCCACACTAAACTAATGAATTTCTCAAACAGGCTGTTGCTCTTCATGGTAATGCTCATGAAATGTTCTCTATCAGGCATGCCCTATTGACCTTAACATCAAGCTAAAATATTTCATCCTCTATGAAGATCTCTTTAACATCTTCCTCCACTTCTGTCCCAAGGTTCCACTCCTCTGGATTTATTTATTTATTTATTTATTTATTTATTTATTTTTTGAGACAGAGTCTCGCTCTGTCACCAAGGCTGGAGTGCAGTGGTGCAATCTCAGCTCACTGCAACCTCTGCCTCCTGGGTTCAAGTGATTCTCCTGCCTCAGCCTCCCAAGTAGCTGGGATTACAGGCACATGCCACCACATCCAACTAATTTTTGTGTTTCTAACAGAGACAGGTTTTCACCATGATGGCCAGGCTGGTCTCAAACTCCTGACCTCAGGTGATCCACCTACCTTGGCCTCCCAAAGTGCTAGGATTACAGGTGTGAGCCACCGCACCCTGCCAACTTGAATCTTTTTTATGTTGGCAAAATTAAATTTACTTGGACCTCAGTATCTCTTGCTGAAGTATCTCCTCCTTAAAAATGGGACCTTGTCCTACTAACCAAGCCTCACATAGTACTTGGCATTTAATAGGCACAATACAGATGGGATAGATAAAACTATTTCTGTGAAACCATCCAAGAGATACTTGAGAGTCTGTGACACAATGTTTTCCTGCTAAATATGATTACGAAGAGGATTTTAGAGTATTTTTTATTAAAAATCTTTTTACTTCAAAATTATTTAGAAGTCAGAGATTGATGAAGCTCCAGGGATACTGTCACGGAGTAGTATAATTTGTAAAATTAAACAAGTTTTCAAGGTAGATTTTACACATGCTAATTAATACTATTTAAGGAATGCCTGATTTAATGAGAGATTATTACACATACAAAAGTGTTTGAACCAATTAGAGTAATAGAAAATTGGTACCAAAAAATGTGAATGCAATTATCATTTGACCATGCTTATCCAAAGCCATAAGTATTCAATAGTTTATTTATGCAACAGAATAAAGAATAATTTTCAGTTTTCACATTAGTATAATCACTTCTAGCAAATATAGGTATTACTGTAACAAATTAAATTTATGAAAGAAAAGAAATAGGTGTATCATTTAGCAGCCTAAACATAAAATAAGCTCGATATTAAATGGACACATGAATCTACAGATGCTATTTATACCAGAAGTATTATTTAAGTTCAGAAGCAGCACAAAAGTACCACCTATTAAGTTATGACCACAATTTATGCTTCAAGAGACAGAGCATCATATCTCAGCATGTCACCATCCAACCCTGACAGAATGACCCTATTCCATAGCTCATGGATTCAGGGGCCTGCTTTCCATCTCAAGTGACAGATTTGAAGATAAAATAGTTTCTCTTAGAGCATTTGTCAATCAAATTTAAGGTTCTGAATAATGATAACAGTCCATTGCGGGGCTTGAGAATTCAGAAGATAAGGGCAGAACCAAAAGAGTGGTGAGTCCAGTTCACATCTCCTACTGGTTGTTTCTGGAAAGGTGGGAAAAGAAGAACACCCTAAACATGGTCAGCTATTGTGGTCAGTCCTTTTTACTGAATCATTCATATTTCTCATCCTTTGCTTAGTAACAAAGCATAAATTTCTAGCAACAGATTTTCAGTCCCTAAAAAAGTGCTTTCCAGAATAGAGTACACAAAACCACCTGCAATGATAGAGACAAAAATTGTTAAGCAGTTTTCTATGTGTATTTTATCTCAACCCCTTTAATTCAAATGTTGTATTTTCATATCCTTGTAATAAATGTGTATATTTTATCACAATAATATGAGTATTTTTTCTAAACACGTATTGGGGTAAGTTATTATAGAATATTTTGAAAAGAGCACACAGTGTCAACCATTTGGGTCTGGATAAAATACAATAGGGCTTTTGTTTATGTTTGTTTTCAATCCATAAACAATAGTCTATTAAGTTTTAATGTATCCCACATGTAATTATTGCCAGAGCTGTCCCTTGATACCCATCTTTAGTCCTTTGACTCAGAAGGCCAAGCATTCCATCTGCTATACAAGATTTCTTCAGGAAGTGTGGGAGAGCCTGCAGTTGTCTCTAAAACATGCTACAACACAGGACAGCCTTGGCATGCACAGAAAGGGTGGTTTACAGATCATATTATTTAGTATTAACTAAACAAATCTTCACATATGTGAACAAGTGGCTTTTCCCTAAAAGTACAAAAAAAAAAAAAAAACCACAAGATATTGGCACACTTGATATTTTGCCAAGAATAAGCAAAAACAAGAAACTGACAGAGTTAATACGTCTTTTACCCCTGGCATTATTTCACTGTCTGCTTCACAGCAAGGTATAGATAATGGCTGTCAGACCAGTTATGACAAGGAAAAAGCTGGGTATTCACAATTATTGATAGAACTATTTAATATATGTCATAAACTCATATTACTAATGAGGAACTGTGTCCTAAGTTTATATTGTACCCTAGATATTATCTATCCTTTCATCATCATTGTATTCTTGTCTATTTGGAAAAAAAACTTTTTTTAAAGCAGAGACAAGATCTCACTCTGTTGCCCTGGCAAGTCTTGAACTCTTGAGCTCAAGTGATCCTGCCACCTCGGCCTCCCAAAGTGCTAGGATTACAGGTGTGAGCCCATTATGTCTGCTCCTATTCTTTTCTAATTTATAAATCATATTTTGAAATACACATAATTACATACACATGTAAATAAATGGTTATAATTACACATATAGTATGTATCAATATTTATTATTGGGAATGTATGCTTAAATTTCTTAACACTTCAGGATACAGGATAAAAATTTAGATACTATGACTCTAGAAAACATAACAAAAACTGTGTTTTAATGTTCTGTAAAGAGCTATTATATTAATTAATTAACCTGTATAAACCACGTAAGGGTGTAACTGGTGGAATATTATAGTTAAGAGGGAGATAATTCTTAAAGCCAATTGAATATTTCATTTCTCCAATTAATTGATTCCTATTGAATTTTTTGAAAGAGAGAAGATTCTGTTTTCTGACTTGCTCCTGATAATTATGTGATTTGAATGTTCTTACCTAGAAAGACCTTGAAAGTTATCAAATTCATCTTCCAAATGAGTCTACGGTTCACAAAAGTAAAGTGGCTTGTGAAATTCCTGAAGCAATTTAGTATCAGAGCCAGAATTAGAACACAGGGAAGATGATGGATAAGTTGTTCTTAAATAATGTTTACAATTTATTGGCATTTTAATAGACTTCATTTCATTTGATTCTCAAAATAATTCCATGATCACATAGTTGATTAAGAGTAGAACTGTGTTTACTAGAACCTAGATCTTCAAACTATACCCCTACTCATTCCAGTGCTCTTTGGATTTGGACTTAAATGGTACTTATTTACCTTTGTCATTCAGTTGTTCTGTGAGGTTGTATAAGTCCTTTAGCAAATCCAACTCATATCCATTGAACCCTACAAAGAGCATAGTTATACTGACAGATATTAAATATGAGTAAAAATTTTTAAGGTCCATGTACAGATGGTCAGGTTTTTATTAACAGGAAAAATATAATTAAGGTAATTTTTAAACATTAAAAATTTACACTTTTTTTTAACTTTTATTTGAAGTTCAGGGGTACAAGTACAGGTTTGTTGCATAGGTAAATTTGTGTCTTGGGGGTTTGTTGTACAGATTATTTCTTTACCCAGGTATTAAGCCCAGTACCCATTAATTGTTTTTCCTGATCCTCTCCCTCCTCCCACCCTCCACCCTCAGAAAAGCCCCAGTGTCAGCATTATTTTATTAAGAAATTTTTCTTTTTTTAATTTTTTTTTTAATTATACTTTAAGTTCTAGGGTACATGTGCACAATGTGCAGGTTTGTTACATATATATACATGTGCCATGTTGGTGTGCTGCACCCATTAACTCGTCATTTGCATTGGATATATCTCCTAATGCTTTCCCTCCCCCCGCCCACCCCACAACAGGCCTTGGTGCATGATATTCCCCTTCCTGTGTCCAAGTGTTCTCTTGTTCAATTCCCATCTGTGAGTGAGAACATACGGTGTTTGGTTTTTTGTTCTTGCGATAGTTTGCTGAGGATGATGGTTTCCAGCTTCATCCATGTCTCTACAAAGGACATGAATGCATCATTTTTTATGGCTGCATAGTATTCCATGGTGTATATGTGCCACATTTTCTTAATCCAGTTTATCATTGATGGACATTCGGGTTGGTTCCAACTCTTTGCTATTGTGAATAGTGCCACAATAAACATACATGTTCATTTGCCTTTATAGCAGCATGATTTATAATCCTTTGGGTATATACCCAGTAATGGGATGGCTGGGTCAAATGGTATTTCTAGTTCTAGATTCTTGGGGAATTGCCACACTGACTTCCACAATGGTTGAACTAGTTTACCGTCCCACCAACAGTGTGAAAGTGTTCCTATTTCTCCACATCCTCTCCAGCACCTGTTGTTTCCTGACTTTTTAATGATCACCATTCTAACTGGTGTGAGATGGTATCTCATTGTGGTTTTGATTTGCATTTCTCTGATGACCAGTGATGATGAGCATTTTTTCATGTGTCTGTTGGCTGCATAAATATCTTCTTTTGAGAAGTGTCTGTTCATATCCTTTGCCCACTTTTTGATGGGATTGTTTGTTTTTTTCTTGTGAATTTATTTGAGTTCTTCGTAGATTCTGGATATTAGCCCTTTGTCAGATGAATAGATTGCAAAAACTTTCTCCCATTCTGTAGGTTGCCTGTTCACTCTGATGGTAGTTTCTTTTTGACAAACCTGACAAAAAGAAGAAACGGGGAAAGGATTCCCTATTTAATAAATGGTGCTGGGAAAACTGGCTAGCCATATGTAGAAAGCTGAAACTGGATCCCTTCCTTACACCTTATACAAAAATTAATTCAAGATGGATTAAAGACTTAAACGTTAGACCTAAAACCGTAAAAAACCCTAGAAGAAAACCTAGGCAATACCATTCATGACATAGGCATGGGCAAGGACTTCATGACTAAAACACCAAAAGCAATGGCAACAAAAGCCAAAATTGACAAATGGGATCTAATTAAACTAAAGAGCTTCTGCACAGCAAAAGAAATTTTTCTGCTAGCACAGTGGCTCATGCCTGTAATCCCAGCACTTTGGGAGGCTGAGGTGCGAGGATTGCTTGAGGTCAGAAGTTTAAGACCAGCCTGCGCAGCGTAGTGAGACCCCTGTCTCTATTAAAAAAGTAAAATACAAGTAATAAAAAAAAAAAGAAGAACATTTTTAAAGAAAGATATACGGGTGGATTTGAATTGGATTGCCAGACCACAATTGATTACTTTTAATTTTCCATACTATAAAAAACAAAGACTATAAAGATATTTAACCCCTTGTTATTTCACATTAACAAAAACTAAAAAGATACTAGATAGATTTTCTTTTCTTCAAAATCTCCAAGACTGTAAGTTTTTACTACTAAATCCTTAACTTGTAAAATATAATGATATAAAGAATGTTATTTTTGAATAAATAAAAAATAACTGGCACAGAAAATGAAATGGGTTTTAAAACTGAGCAATTAAAGTACAGAATTTTGACAACACAATGAATGTTTTCTTATTTCCAAAGGCAGTTTGTGAAGAACTCATTCTGTCTAAACAAACTCTAATTTTTGTTTTCTTCAGTGGAGGAAGTATTTATTCAACCCACTAATAAAAGGGCATGATAAAAACCTCAATAATACTTCCCAAATGTGTACACTTTCTAGACATTATTTGGGTTACCAAATCCTTTGTGGCCCACCCAAAATCCAGTGTGGCGTGGTCATAAATCATTTCCATTTTGAGTGTAGGTATTTTTTTATCCTACACGTAGCAACTTTCCTCTAGTGGGAAACTTTTCATAATGTTTCCAGTGTGTGTTTTTATTCTGGGTTATGTGTGTATATATTATAGGGCATGAAGTACAGTCAGGAAAAATGAAAAGATGACATTCTCTTACATCAACAACCTTTTCTTGAAGTACTGGCAATTAGTACCAAAGATTACATCAGCTTCATAACATTCAGACAGCTAAAGAAAAGTGCAATATACAATGAGCCACATGACTGAAAGAGTCAGTCATAAGCTAGAAAGAGCAGTTAACTCTTTATGATTTAAAATTGAGAGTTCCTTAGTGGAACATTCCTGCCTTTCTTGACCTCCTCTTTTATTTAAAAGCCCAAACTTGGCTACTTTATTGCTTATGAGTACCTAATGGACAGATCAGGAAAGAAAAGTAAAGGAAGGAAAATTCATATCAGTAAAAGTATCTACTGGCAGTTCTCATTAACAGCCGGGTAAGAACAGACATTGAAATATTGTGCTAAACAGATTTGAGGTTGATTTCATTATTTGCAATGACTCAGTTCCTATTGTCTCAAATAATAGAAATTAAGCTTTGTCAGTTAGTTATTATGTGATACAATTATAGAGGAAAAAGCTTTCTATTACTCACATTATACATGTGTGCTTGTCTCCAAAATCACTTAAGAAGGTGGCATAGGCTGGGAGACATCAGATAAAGATGTTAGGACAGGAACTAGAGGAATATTGTCTCTAACACTGAATAAGAAACATATTACACATACTACAAGGACAGAATCCAGGAAGGAGGCTTGGTCTCCATCTCAGATGTGGAATACAGAATTGCCACACTGAGTAGAAGATCCAGCTACCAGGACCAGCAGCACCAGCTGCAGTCCTTTGCTTCTCTCATCAAAACTATGCCCAAAAAAAGTGGACATAGAACAAGTACGCCACACATTTCTGTCTTGGAGTTCTATGAGGAGTAAGTACCACTCCCCATTCCCCACCACCTTCCTTGCTTTATTTTTCTCAACAGCACTTAATACCGTCAGCTGTACCAACTATCTTACTTAGTTTTTTCTTTGTTCATAGTTCATCTCCTCCTGTAAAATGTAAGTTTTAGGGTACAGGGATCTTTGTATTTGCACATATGACCACATATCTGGCACCCAGAACCAGACCCAGCACATAGTAGGTGCTGAATAAATATTAGTCAAGTGAATAAACAAGTGCTCCTCCTGTCTGTCCACTTCTCTGCCTGTGCACCCAGAGAGTTACTTGGGCTACAGTGACATCACAGATATCACCAAAGGGCTTTCACCAAAGTTACAACCTGCGTAGCTGGGGAACTGATGAGGAACTCTTCCCCATTCTACCTCCCTAAATCTCTGTCAAGGAGTATTGAGAAAAGGAGGTAGGAGAAGGTAAATATTTCTCCAGAAGCTGTAAGTATCTGCTTACTCTTGATCCCATTTCAGTTGGTCTTAGAATAAAATAATAGACTATGGGGAAAGCAAATAAATCTCAATAAGGGCTTGTAAGTCCACACCCAACACTGAAGGCTCATGATGGTACCTTGGCTCCCCACTGCCACCACTTTCAATGCCAGGCATGAAGGACTGGTGTCCATTCCAAAGTTCTTCTCATACTGTTCTCCAAATGTCTGACTCCATTTGGGTTGCTATAACAAAATACCTTAGATGGGGTCACTTATAAACAATAGAATGTATTGCTCACAGATCTGCAGGTTGGGAAGTCCAAGATCAAGGCACCAGCAGATTTGGTGTCTAGTGAGGGCCCACTCTCATAGATAGCACCTTTTATGTGTCCTAACATGGTGGAAGAGAAAAAAAAAAGACTCTCCCAAGCTTTTTTTAATGACAATAATTCAATTCATGAGGGTGAAGCTCTCATGACCTAATCACTTCCCAAAGGCCCCACCACTTAATACCAACACCTAGAAAGTTAGGTTTCAGTATATGAATTTTGGAGGGAAACAAACATTCAGACCATGCACCCAGCTAAAGGCACTACTACTTAAAGTTGCTTAGGCCATGACTGGCTTCAAAAGACACTGAGGCTGTCTGATGTCATTATGCCTACCTGTCAGCATGCTGCCACCACCACCTGCTCAAGTTGCTGAGATCATGAAAATGTACCAGGTGAAGGCACCATCACCACTAACTGAAGATGAGGCTGGCCCCCAAGCAAACTGAGGTGAACTGGAGCTTCTCACTCTGCTGAATGAAGCAGAGGAAAGCCCTTTTCTGGCTTTGTGACCCAGACTGACTACATTTTACTATTTGCATTTAACAGAGATTTTGTGTGTGTATGTGAAAATAACTTTATCAAATTTATTTTTTAAATCTTATGTGTCCCTGACCCAAAGGTAACAAATATGGGAAGGGGTTTGGTCCTCCAGTGAGTCTGAGTAACTAATATAATTATTATAGCAAGCATCTATACTTAATAAGTGCCAGTCTCTGTGCTAAGTATCATATGTATACTGTCTCACTGAATTCTGCCAACACTCTGAGGAAACCAATGTTTAGAGAGGCTGATTGGAGCTGAAAATTAAACCATACCTCATCTCTCATTGCTCCTCCCCTCTCATTCAATACATCAGTCCCAACTACTTACAGTTCCCAAGTGCTAAGGTCTGTTTTTCTTTCCATTTTGCAGAGGGAAGCCAAGCACTGTGAAGCTCAAATGACTTTCCCAGTACAACACAGTAAACTGTGGGGCTGGAGGAGCTGAGACTCAAAACCCACACTTTCAGTCATTTCACTACACTGCTTCCTGATGTCTCCTCATACAGATGCTGGGAAAAAAAATATACAACATACATTTGTAGAGCACTTTAAAATGTACAAAACTATCTCTCACCTATTATCCCATCCCATTTGAACAATTTCTGCAGTCATTATCTTGAGCCCGAGACTAAAGTGCCTAAAAAATGATTCTGCAGGAAGCATCAGACACAGATTTTCATAGGACAAACAGAAAATGCAGTTGAAGTGATGGCTACCATTTTCTTCCTTCAGTCTAGACTGACAGTGGCTAGAGACTCTTCTGGAGCAACTGGAAAACTTCTCCAGTCTCTTTATTTTCTCTCTGCTTTTTCGCCGTTACACAATCATTGCTGTCCAACTCATTTCCCAACTACTAGATAAATTATAATTTAATTAGGAAATTTTCTGTTGCATTATACTAGGTTAGATCTGGGCTACGCCAACTGCTGATAAAAAAAAGTCACCTTTGTCTTAAGACTTTTTAGCTAGTATTTTTTACAAGTACCCTCATACCTATTGTTTTAACTTGGAAAGTACTGTGAAAATGTTTTTGATGTGGAAAATGCCCGATTTTTGACTGAGCACAGTAGCTCACACCTATAATTTCAGCACTTTGGGAGGCTAAGGTGGGCAGATCACTTGATTTCAGGAGTTTAAGTCCAAACTAGATAACATGGTGAAACCTCATTTCTACAAAATATATACATATAGGTGTGTGTGTGTGTGTATATATATATATATATATATATATATATATATATATATATATATATATATATATAAATTAGCTGGGCATGGTGGTGTGTGCCTGTGGTCCTAGCTACTCAGGAGGCTGAGGCAGGAAGATCACCTGAGCCCCACAGTGCAAGGCTGCAGTGAGCTGTGATGGCGCCATAGTACATTCCAGCCTGGGCAACAGAGTGAGACCCTGTCAAAAAGAAGAAAGAAAGAGAGAAAGAAAAGGAAAGGAAAGGAAAGGGAAGGGAGAAAGAAAGAAAGAAAGAAGAAAGAAAGAAAGAAAGAAAGAAAGAAAGAAAGAAAGAAAGAAAGAAAGAAAGAAGAAAAGAAAGAGAAAAAAGAAGGAAGGAAGGAGGGAAGGAGGGAAGGAGGGAAGGAAGGAAGGAGGGAAGGAAGGAAGGAAGGAAGGGTGTGCCTGATTTTTCATAGATTGGGGGCTGAAACTGGTGGAATTGGGGATCATTCTAATAATCACAACCCTAGGATTTACCTTTTAGAAAGAGAATATTGGCAAGAGTTCATTTTACCCTAAATATTAAATCAAGGCTGGAGAAAGACCTAAGAATGTAAATACTTCTGTAATTATGTCAGACCCTACCACAAAAGGGGTGCAAAATAGGCAAAAAATCTCGCAGCAGCTGAATTCATCTACCAAAGCACAGGGCACTGAACCAGTGCATCGCTTGGTTCTTGTCTCTCATGTGTGCATCTATGCAGATAGGCAATTGTATTATGATCAACAGATACCATTTTAGCAAATACTCTTGGTGTCTATTTCCCATGAGTGTGGGCAAGAAGACAGTCACTCTGGGGTAGACAGTGCCAAGCCCACTACAGAGATCCTTGTGACAGAAACAGAAATGTGTAGTTGATCCAGGCCTCCATGGGCTGCAATGAGACTTGTGGAATCTGCCTTGTGGGCACTAAATGCATGACAAAAGAAGGCATGTTGTCTCAAAAGACAACACCTTTGTGACTAAGCAGTTAGGATAGGGCATCAAAGAGCAAGGAGATAGACCTTTTACTTCCAGGGAGTCAGATCTTGTTTTAGAATCACTCATGAAGGGTCTTTTATGAAATTATTTGCACAGGAGACCACAGTGGTAGCTCCTGGTTACATGCCCTACCCTTGCATACTACACTCCAGCCTCTTCTACTTGTAATTCCTAGAGCAAACCCACCTCTCTTTGCTCTCTGATCTCTATCTGAAATACCCTTTTCCACACCTCTCTATATCCCTGAGTCAGACTAACTCATCCTATAGGTCTTATCTTTGAGATTATTCAGAAAACCTTTCAGGACCAAATTAACCCCACCCCAACATTAGAGGGAGAAAATTACTTACATTCTCTATTTTTATTCACTTATATTCTAATTATCTGTTTGTCTCTAATTTGAAAGATTCCATCAGGTTTACCATTATCTCCTCAGAGCTTAAAACAGTATCTAGAACATAGTAGTAATTCAACAAATACTGAAAGGACAAATAAACAAAATAAAAGAGAAAACTTAATAGATTATAGTATACATCATTCTTTCTTGGGACACCAAGACTTTTGCTAAAGCAAATAAAAAGAGAAATCAGTTGGTGAGCTCCATGTGGTTGAAGGAGAGGTCGATCTATCTCTTGAAGTCTAAACTTACAGTAGTAAGTCTGAGACCTCCATGCAGTTAGAAGATCAGCACTGACACCAGGAAGCAATCAGTCAGGGGTAAACCGCAGTGAGAAGCCAAACTGGAAATGCAAATGGGAGAAATAGAACTAGGTTTACAAAGAAAGAAACAGATTCAAACTAAAATAAAAGCAACTTTGGACTCAGAATTTTATCAACAGATACATACTGTTATAGCTACTTTGTAATAGTATGTATATCATCTACATTTATTCTTAAATTAACAGATAATAACTGAAATAAATTTAAATTTCATTCCATTACCAAAAAAAAAAGGTGGCTCATGCCTGTAATCTCACCACTTTGGGAGGCCGAGGTGGTCGAATCACCTGAGGTCAGGAGTCCAAGACCAGCCTGGTCAACATGGTGAAGCCTGTCTCTAATAAAAATACAAAAAATTAGCCGGGCATGGTGGCCCATGCCTATAATCCCAGCTACTTGGGAGGCTGAGGCAGGAGAATTGCTTGAACTCGGGAGGCAGAGGTTGCAGTGAGCCGAGATCATGCCATTACACTCCAGGCTGTGCAACAAGAGTAAAACTATGTCTCAAAAAAAATAATCATAATAAGTTTGTGGTCCTTATAAGGTGCAATTGAAAAGGATCCCCCCCTTTTTTTTTTTTTTGGAAACAGAGTCTCACTCTATCTCCCAGGCTGGAGTGAAATGGAGCAGTCACAGCTCACTGCAGCCTCCACCTCACCAGGCTCAAGCAATGCTCCTACCTCAGCCCTCCGAGTAGCTGGGACCCCAGATGCATGCCACCATGTCCAGTTAATTTTTGTATTTTTTGTAGATATGGGGTTTCTCCATGTTGCACAGGCTGGTCTCAAACTCCTGGGCTCAACAGATCCTCCCACCTTGACCTCCCAAAGTGCTGAGATTATAAGCGTGAGCCACCACCCCAATCAGGATCTCTTTCTTTTATTTTTATTTTATTTATTGATTTTTGGTAGAGATGGGCCTCGCTATATTGTCCAGGCTGGTCTCAAACTCCTGGCCTTAGAGATCCATCCACCTCAACCACCGAATTTGCTGGGATTACAGGCATGAGCCACTGCACCCATCCTATTTTTGCACAAGAATTATTCAAACCAAGTATATTCAGTAGATAACCTTTTTGTGTGCCAACTACTATGTCAGGCTATATGTAGACATCTCAGTCAATCCCACTGACAATGCTGATAGAAGTATAGCTATTAAGTAGATGTCAAATATTTTCTCCTTAGTCATCCAGTTGGTAAGGGGTAGAGCCATGATTCAAGTCTAAGTGTGTCTGATCTAAATTTCATGCTCTTAATCATCAAATTATATGATCTGCCAAAACTGACATTTGGGTCACTATTTAGCTAAAATATTTAGGTAAGTCAGGTAAGCATGCCCTACTAAGTGGCATAAATATTTATGTGGGTCAGGCCTGATGTATACTGAACATAAACACAGAATCTGTAGTGACTCAAGAGCAATGTTATCTGGCTCAGCATTCTAAACCAATGGAATAAGTGGCAAAAGTTGTCTTCTGGCCAAACAAGACAGAGAATTCATTTTGTTTTCACCAACGTCTTGGCTGAGAATCCTGATTCAGGCAAGTAAATTGATCTAAATCATACTCATACACATTAAAAACTGAAGGGGTAGGTGGGATGCAGTGGCTCATGCCTATAATCCCAGCACTTTGGGAGGCCAAAACAGGAGGATCTCTTGATCCCAGGAGTTTAAGACTAGCCTGGGCAACATAGCAAGACCCTGTCTCTACAAAAAATATTTAAAAATTAGTTGGGCATTGTGGTGCACACCTGTGGTCCCAGTTACTTAGGAAGCTGATATGGTTTGGCTGTGTCCCCACCAAAATCTCACCTTGTACTCCCATAATTTCCATGTATTGTCGAAGGGACCGGTGGGAGATAATTTGAATCATGGGGGCGGTTTCTCCCATACTGTCCTCATGGTAGTGAATAAGTTTCATGAGATCTGATGGTATTATCAGGGGTTTCCACTTTTGCATCTTCCTCATTTTCTCTTGCCACCGCCATGTGAAAAGTGCAGTTTGCCTCTCATCATGATTCTGTGGCCTCCCAAGCCATGTGGAACTGTAAATCCAATTAAACCTCTTTTTCTTCTCAGTCTTGGATATGTCTTTATCAGCAGCACAAAAACGAACTAATACAGTAAATTGGTACCAGCAGAGTGGGACATTGCTGTAAAGATACCTGAAAATGTGGAAGTGACTTTGGTACTGGGTAATAGGCAGAGGTTGGAACAGTTTGGAGGGCTCAGAAGAAGAAAGGAAAATGTGGGAAAGTTTGGAACTTCCTAGAGACTTGTTGAATGGCTTTGACCAAAAGTCTGATAGTAATATGGACAATAAGGTCCAGGCTGAAGTGGTCTCAGATGGAAATGAAGAACTTGTTGGGAACTGGAACAAAGGTGACTCTTGTTATGTTTTAGCAAAGAGACTGGCAGCATTTTTACCTTGCCCTAGAGATTTGTGGGACTTTGAATTTGAAAGAGACGATTTAGGGTATCTGGCAGAAGAAATTTCTAAGCCGCAAAACATTCAAGAGGTGACTTGAGTGCAGTTAAAGGTATTCAGTTTCAAAAGGGAAACAGCATAAAAGTTTGTAAAACTTGCAGCCTGACAATGTGATAGAAAAGAAGAACCTATTTTCTGAGGAGAAAAATCAAGCCAGCTGCAGAAATTTGCATAAGTAATGAGGAGCCGAATGTTTATCCCCAAGACAATGGGGAAAATATCTCCAGGGCATTTCAGAGGCCTTCACAGCAGCCCCTCCCATCACAGGCCCAGAGGCCTAGGAGAAAATGGTTTCATGGGCTGGGCCCAGGGTCGTCCCAATCTGTGTGCAGCCTGGGGACTTGGTGCCCTGTGTCCCAGCCGCCCCAGCTGTGGCTGAAAGTGGCCATTATAGAGCTCAGGATATGGCTTCAGTGGGTGCAAGCCCCAAGCCTTGGGAGCTTCCATGTGGTGTTGAGCCTGCAAGTACACAGAAGTCAAGAATTGGTGTTCGAGAACCTCCACCTAGATTTCAGAAGATGTATGGAAACTCCTGGATGCCCAGGCAGAAGTTTGCTGCAGGGGTGGGGAGTTCATGGAGAACCTCTGCTAGGGCAGTGCAGAAGGGAAATGTGGGGTCAGAGCCCCCACACAGAGTCCCTACTGGGGCACTGCCCAGTGGAGCTGTGAGAAGAGGGCCACGGTCCTCCAGACCCCAGAATGGTAGATCCACTGGAAACTTGCACTGTTCACCTGGAAAAGCCAGACACTCAATGCCAGCCTGTGAAATCAGCTGGGAGGGAGGCTGTACCCTGCAAAGCCACAGGAGTGGAGCTGCCCAAAACCATGGGAACCCTCCTTTTGTGTCAGCGTGACCTGGATGCGAGACCTGGAGTCAAAGGAGATCATTTTGGGGCTTTAAAATTTGACTGCCCCACTGGATTTCAGACTTGCATGTGCCCTGTAACCCCTTTGTTTTGGCCAATTTCTCCCATTTGGAATGACTGTATTTATCCAATACCTGTACCCCCATTGTATCTGGAGTGTAACTAGCTTGCTTTTGATTTTACAGGCTTATAGGTGGGAGGGACTTGCCTTGTCTCAGGTGAGACTTTGGACTGTGGACTTTTGGGTTAATGCTGAAATGAGTTAAGACTTTGGGGGACTATTGGGAAGGCGTGATTGGTTTTGAAATGTGAAGACATGAGATTTGGAGGGGCCGGGGTGGAATGATATAGTTTGGCTGTTGCCGAGACCAGCTCAGTCAGGGAGACCCTAACCCAGTGGGGCTAGAGGAATTAAAGACACACATACAGAAATATAGAGGTGTAAAGTGGGAAATTAGGGGCCTCACAGCCTTCAGAGCTGAGAGCCCCAAACAGAGATTTACCCATGTATTTATTAACAACAAGCCAGTCATTAGCATTGCTTCTATAGATATTAAATTAACTAAAAGTATCCCTTATGGGAAACTAAGGGATGGGCCGAATTAAAGGAATAGGTTGGGCAAGTTAACTGCAGTAGGAGCATGTCCTTAAGGCACAGATTGCTCATGCTATTGATTGTGGCTTAAGAATGCCTTTAAGTGGTTTTCCACCCTGCGCAGGTCAGGTGTTCCTTGCCTTCATTCCCATAAACCCACAACCTTTCAGCATGGGCTTTATGGCCATCATGAACATGTCACAGTGCTGCAGAAATTTTGTTTATGGTCAGTTTTGGGGCCAGTTTATGGCCAGATTTTGGGGGGCTTGTTCCCAACATGCCCACCTTCTTTGACTTGCAAATCAATAAAAGCAAAGGCAGCTTTGTCATGGTGAGCTACTTCTCTCAGGAGTCAGGATCCACATCTGCAGACTATACAAAGACAAACAACACAGATTAAAAGCACAATCATCATTGAAATTACAGAGCTTCCAAGTGTTTTTATGTATTTTAATGGGTTACTAGCTGCTAATTTGTCTACAGCTCCTTTAAGCACTCTAGTTCCTGGCATTAAGGTCAGGTGGGCCTGGGATGCTTTAAGTATTTGTTCTTTTAATTTTGCTATATCCAAAAACAAGTTTGTAGAGTGTCCTTCTAGATGCTTTTTTATTCTTTTCCAAATTTTTATCTTATTAAGAGCATTTAATAGTTTCCACAAATCCTTATGTTAAGCTCCTACAACAAGCCATATCATTTGAGGTTGAGGTGCAACTATACCGCCATGGTTCCAGATAATAGGAACTTTCACCATACTTCTTATCATTTCTACCAACTGATCATTTTGTTCAGACCAGCTGAACATAGTGTGGCTGTGACGCAGACTGAGAGGTGCAATTTAAGCTAAACATCCCCTTAGGGGACCAATCAATAGTGATTCCATAGGAATCATTGTGCAGCACCTCTGCCTGTTCTTCAATGTAATCTTCCCAAATGAGTATGTTCATTTTTTCTAGCCAGGTTGAATTTTGTTTACAAATAGGTTTTTGAGGGCGGTGTGCCTCGATTATAGGAGCAGATTTATTATGGTAAACACTGAGATCGGAAAGCATGTGTAACTGTGTCAGAGTGATTATATCCAGGCATTATTACCAGCCAAGATTGATAAATATGCCCAATAAGTATAATTGTTCTGTGTCAGCTCTTGTTGAAGGAATACTCACGGCAGTGGTGATAACTGCTATCATAGCTACCATTAAATTACTCGTTGTGACTGGTTGTCCCACTTTCTTCAGGTTTTCTTCTGCCATCTGTGACAGCTTCTTGATCTGTCCCCAGGTGGGTGGCCGTGTTCAATGGGTGTTGCTTGTGACAGTTGGGGTCCTCCTCAGTGTCAGTCTTGACATGGCTGCAACTGGGGGGTCCTCGGGGTCCTCCTGGAATCTCTTCCTTGGCACCCGGCCCATGATAAGGTTTCAGGTGTCTTGATGGTATCCAAATCGGCTGTTGATTTTGGCCTGGAGAAACACAAGCATAACCTCTACCCCAAGTTATTATTTTACCCATTTCCCAAATTTTTGTTATTGGATCTCTCCACCAAATCAGTTGTTCTGTTTCTGTCTTTGCAGCTGGTTTCTATAGATGCTGTTCAGCTGCTGATAACATCTGGCCTTTGGGCAGGCTCAAAAAATTTAAAGTTAATAATGTTAGATTCAGTTGCATCTGTGGGGTTCCATATTCTCTGTCTCCCCCTTTCTGCTTTTACAACTGCTGTTTTAGGGAGAGATTCATTCTTTCCACTATGGCTTGTCCTTGAGAATTGTATGGGATATCAGTAATGTGTTTAATATTCCACATGGAGAAAAATGTAGCTGGAGCTCGACTAGTATAGACTGGGGCACTATCTGTTTTAATAGAGGCTGGAATGCCCATCACCGCAAAACACTGCAAAAGGTGATGTTTAACACAGGCAGAAGACTCTTGTTTGGCATGTAGCCTAGAGAACGTGAGAAAAGGTGTCCACACACACATGTACATAAGCTAGTCTCCCAAATGAGGGAACATGTGTGACATCCATTTGCCAAAGAAGAGTTAGGTTCTAATCCTTGAGGATTAACTCCTCCTGTAAAAGATGAGGAATGTACCATTTGGCAAGTTGGGCATCACTGGATAATATTTTTAGCTTCTCTCCAGGTGATGCTGTATCTGCATTTGAGACCAGAGGCATTAACATGGGTTAAACTGTGAAAGTGTCTAGCATTAGATATTGCATTAGCAACTAGGCAATCAGCCATTTGATTCCCTTCAGTCAAAGGTCCTGGAAGAGGTGTATGAGCCCTAATGTGAGTGATGTCAAAAGGGTGCGTTCTACTTCTAACTGCTGTTTGCAATTGGCTAAATAAAATCATCAGTTGTTCATCTGTATGAAATCATAACTGAGCATTTTCAATTAACTGTGTTGAATGAACCACGTATGAAGAATCAGAAGTGACATTTATAGGCATATCAAAAGCAGTCAATACCTCAATTACAGCTACAAGCTCCGCTTTTTGAGCTGAAGTATAGGGCGTCTGGAAAACTTTACTTTTTGATCCAGAATAAGAAGCTTTACCATCACTAGACCCATCTGTAAAACAATGAAAGCGCTTAGCAGGCTGCAGGTTGTTTACCGCAGGAATTGTAAATGCAAGACATTCACAGTCTTGCTCAGCTAAAGGAATAGTAAAGAAACAGTCTTTTAAATCTATGACTATTAAAGGCCAATTTTTTTGGAATTATAGCAGGAGAAGGCAATCCTGGCTGCAATGCTCCCATAGGTTGTATGACTGAATTGATAGCTCTTAAGTCAGTTAACATTTTCCATTTACCTGATTTTTTCTTAATTATGAAAACTGGAGAATTCCAAGGGGAAAATGTTGGGGCTATGTGCCCATTTTCTAATTGTTCAGTAACTAATTTCTCTAAAGCCTCCAGTTTCTCTTTACTTAGTGGCCATTGTTCTATCCAAATTGGCTTATCTGTTAACCATTTTAAAGGTAAAGGTTCTGAAGGCTTAACAATGGCCACCATCAAAGATGATATCCTAATCTTTGGCGGGAATTTTGTCTTTCCTCTTGAAGTGGTTCTTTCAAACCTTGCAATTTTTTTTCTAGTCCCATACCAGGCACATGCCCCATTTCATGCATTGTATGAAATGTCACTTGTATGTTGATTGTATGTTGATTCTGAGGACTATATAATTGTTCTGGAATTAGAACTTGTGCTCCCCATTATTGTAATAAATATCTTCCCCATAAAATTATATTCCCCATAAATTTATATTATATTTATATGTATTATAACAGAAGTTACAATAGGTTGAATAGTCCCAGGTTGTACATCAGGCCCTTCACAATGCAAAATATAACTACTTTGATATACTTCAGGGGCTTTACCAACTCCAACTATGTTAAATTGAGTGGGTTGAACTGGCCACGTGGACAGCCAGTGCTGTAGAGAAATGATTGAAATGTCTGCTCCTTTATCTACCAAACCTTTAAATTTCTTTCCCTGAATAGTTATTCCACAGGTAGCACATTTGTCAATAATTTGATTTACCCAATAAGCTGCTTTGCCTTGTTTATTTGTGCTTCCAAATCCTCCTGTTCATTTAATTTCACTTTTTCCCATTCTCACATACGGCACAATCAGGAGCTGTGTTATGCACTCTCCTGGCTCTGCTTTCCAGGGAACAGAAGTAGATATAACAATTTGAATTTCCCCATTGTAATCTGAATCAACGACTCCTGTATGTATTTGTACCCCTTTTAAACTTAAACTAGATCTTCCTAGAAGTAATCCTATTGTCCCTGCTGGCAAGGGTCCACAGAGTCCTATTGGGACCTTTTGCAGGGGTTCCCCAGGCAGAAGGCTCACAGCTTTTGTGCAGCCTAAATCTAGTGCAGCACTAGGGCTGTGGCAGGGGACAGACATTTTACAGGGGTGAGGGAATGGCCTGAGCCAGAAATGCTCCGGTTTAGAACGGGGCCCCGGATGGGCCCCTCATGGCTTTTCCCAAAATTGGGTTTCCTTCTTTATCAAACTTAGAGTGACACTGATTAGCCCAATGTTTTCCTTTTTTACATTTTGGACATATTTCAAGCTCAGCAATTTTCTTTTTTCCCCTATCTGGCAGCCTGACTCGCTGATTTTTTCTACATTCTCTTTTAGTATGACCATGCTTTCCACAGTTAAAACAAGCTCCAGGAAATGGAGTATTTCCTTTATCCACTCTCAGTCCTGCCATGGCCTGTGCTAGGAGAGTAGCTTTATGCAGATTACTTCCGATACCATCACAGGCCTTGATATAATCAACTAAATGTGCTTTCCCTGTGACAGGTTGCAGAGCAGCCTGGCAATCAGGATTAGCATTGTCGAAAGCTAATAACTGCAACACTATATCCTGAGCAGCCAAATCTGCAATCAACTTTTTAAGAGACTCCTGCAATCACCTTTTTAAGAGCTATAAAATCAACATGTGGTTCTCTTGGTCCCTGTTTCATAGCACTAAAGGAAGGGTATTGTTCCCCACCTGAAGTGATTTTTTCCCAAGCTCTAATGCACACTCCTCTAAGCTGTTCTATGGCATCATCCTGCATGACCAGTCGTGCATCTAAACCGGCCCAGCTGCCAACCCCCAAAAGTTGGTCTGCAGTTATATTAATTTGAGTTTGGGCCTGGGTGTTGTAAGCAGCCTGAATGGAAGCTTCATCTGCACGCCAAGTTTTAAATTGTAAGAACTGAGCAGGAGTTAGACAAGTTCGAGTAAGAGCATCCCAGTCAGTAGGAACCATCCAACTGGACACAGCAACATTCTTTAACAGTCCCATTACAAAAGAAGAACCTGGTCCATACTGATTTATAGCTTGTTTAAATTCTTTGAGTAATTTAAAAGGAAAAGGCTCAAATGTAGCTATAATATTTCCCTGTTGATCTGGGGGGTGTATTTTAACAGGGAACTGCCAAGCCTCTAAATCACCCCTCGTCTAGCTTGCTGAATTCCCGCCTGAATAGAACTAAGAGCGGTTGCTCGAGGTGCTGCTGGAACAGTCACTGGGGCAACTACTTTTGGCCCAGTGTCCTCCAGAAAAGAAAGATCTGGAGGGTCTTTTTCTTCAAAATAATAATGAGGGGGTGAAGAAGGGTAGGGATGAACCTCTCCCTCCTTTGCCGCTTTAGCTTTAGCTGGCAAATAAACATGCTCTGTAACCTCTTCTGTTACTTCACTGTACTCTCCTTCTTCCTCATCATCAGTGTGAAAAAGTTCCAAGATGGAACGAACCACACCCCACACTTGACCCATTGTTACCCTGATGCTTCCGAGCTCCCCTTCTTACTCACCATGGGGATTGCTTTAAGAGTACTCGTGTGTCTTCCAGCTAGTTCCACATTCTCCAACCATCAATCCGGTGACCCTTCGACCTGGATTTGAGCCCCCACGATGGACGCCACTTGCCAAGACCAGCTCGGTTGGAGAGATCCTAACCCAGTGGTGCTGGAGGAATTAAAGACACACACACAGAAATATAGAGGTGTAAAGTGGGAAATCAGGGGCCTCACAGCCTTCAGAGCTGACAGCCCCAAACAGAGATTTACCCACGTATTTATTAACAGCAAGCTAGTCATTAGCATTTTTTCTATAGATATTAAATTAACTAAAAGTATCCCTTATGGGAAATGAAGGAATGGGCCAAATTAAATGAATAGCTTGGGCTAGTTAACTGCAGTAGGGACATGTCCTTAAGGCACAGATCACTCATGCTATTGACTGTGGCTTAAGAATGCCTTTAAGCAGTTTTCCACCCTGGGCAGGCCAGATGTTCCTTGCCCTCATTCCCATAAACCCACAACCTTCCAGCGTGGGCTTTATGGCCATCATAAACACGTCACAGTGCTGCAGAGATTTTGTTTATGGCCAGTTTTGGGGACAGTTTATGGCCAGATTTTGGGGGGCTTGTTCCCAACAGGCTGTGTCCCCACGCAAATCTCATCTTGAATTATACTCCCAAAATTCCCATAATTCCCACTTGTTGTAGGAGGGACCTGGAGGGGATAATTTGAATCATGGGGGTGGTTTCTCCCATACTGTTCTCATGGTAGTGAATAAATCTCACAAGATCTGATGATTTTATCAGGGATTTCCACTTTTGCATCTTCCTTATTTTCTCTTGCTGCCGCCATGTAAGAAGTGCATTTTGCTTCCTGCCATGATTCTAAGGACTCCCCAGCCATGTGGAACTGTAAGTCCAATTAAACCTCAGTTTCTTCCCAGTCTCAGGTGTGCCTTTATCAGCAGCATGAAAACAATCTAATACAAAAGCTGAGATGGGAGGATCACTTGAGCCCAGGAAGTTGAGGCTGCAATAAGCCGTGATTGCACTCCAGCCTGGGTGACAGAGCAAGACCCAGTCTCAAAATAAATAAATAAACAAACAAATAAACTAACTTAAGGGGTCACCTTGGGGAAGATAAAATTCCAATAATAACTGAGATTTTGTAAGGGTCTCTCAAAAAAATGCCTATTTGGTTCCCAATCCAATTTAGTATTCCTTTTAAGGTATCCCTTTATTGATCATTCTTTGAGTAGTTTCTAAAAACAATTAAAATCTAAAGAACTGAATTACAATATAAAAATATCACACATCTTTGCAAGAAGATTATTTAGGTTTTTCTTAGGATTTTTATGTGTGCTAGCTGTCATTCGTTTCCTAAAAGTAACATTGATCCAAAGAAAAAACTAAGTGGATAAATCCAAGCTGACTCCTTGGTTTATCAGTTAAATTGAGTCACTCTCCTAAAGAGTGGCTAATGTTAGATTTTTGGTTACCAGATGTCCTTCCATTTCTTATGATATCATCTCTTTTGAGTCTAACTGGTTACCAAAGAAGATCAGTGATTAGCTTCGTATCATATGATCTTACCAGTCTACTTCTTTCAGTTTTCTCCACAGAGCACTAGGGTTAATTTCATGGAACATTATTGAACGCAATCAGAGAGAAGAATCCTTATGGATTAATAATAATACCTCTTCCTATTTATATGTCAGGCCATCAAAGTCAAAAATCATCCTCTTCAAAGAATACAAATTGACTGCTTAAATAGCATGCACTGTCTCATGTAAGTCAAAAGCTGATAAACCAAGGTTCCCCAGAGATTGTATTCTGAAACCAATAATATACAGTATTTTAATAAGGCTTTATAAACCTATACACCACTTTATACAAGTCTCCTAAAGTGCAGGTATAAGTGATAGGCAGGTGGTGAATAGAATAAATTAACTCTTGCATAGAGGAAATTTAAATATGTTTAAAATATTGGTGCCTAAAGTGCAGAGTCATAATGTTGTTTGTATAGTTTTGTACAGTTCCATAGTGCTATCAAAAATAGCACCTGTGTCTTGGAAGATTGCTGTAGGCATTTAAACTCCAATTACCTCTCTCCAATCCAAGGGCAATTTCCAAAAATGGAACTTGCCTTGCCCTTTGAAATACCCTTGCCTGTTAAGGAGCTTGCAGAATTCTGCAAGGCCAAGTCATTTGATAAATTTCTCAGGTGTTGATGACTCCTCCAGTTAAAGTTAACTGGTAGAAACTAGGCTTCTTGTAGAGATATGATTTGTTGGCAGTTCCTAAAACACCAACAGAAATGCTGCTTCTTCCAGAATATGCCAAGAAGTCTATTCCCATGAGTATTTGTTGACAATTAAATTACCCATGGCCTGTAGTCCATGTCCTTATAGTCTTCAGGTGACTTCCCACCTGATGTTCATGATACACAAAGGGATAAGACACCTACCGCATAGAAAAAGATAATTTCTTGACCTTTGCTCCTCCAAGTCTCTGGTTTGAAATTGAGCATATACTGGCCAGGCGCAGTGGCTCATGCCTGTAATCCCAGCACTTTGGGATGCCGGGGTGGGTGGATCACGAGGTCAGGAGATCGAGACCATCCTGGCTAACATGGTGAAACCCTGTCTCTACTAAAAATACAAAAAAAATTAGCCGGGCATCGTGACGGGTGCTGTAGTCCTAGCTACTTGGGAGGCTGAGGCAGGAGAATGGCGTGAACCTGGGAGGTGGAGGTTGCAGTGAGCTGAGATCGCACCATTGCACTCCAGCCTGGGCGACTGAGCAAGACTCCATCTCAAAAAAAAAAAAAAAATTTTGAGCATGTACTACTCTTTTGAACTTCAAACTTAAGAAGTCCATATACATTACTCTTTCTATAATTAGAACACAGAAATGCAAACATCAGTCATGCACCTCACAGGTAACATAAAGCTACTACATTACCCTGACAAAAATGCAATACCCTGACACTACCAAACACTACCTTAGGTAGTCAAAACATTCCTGCCCACACAAAATCTAACACAAACGCTACAGAACAATGAGTATATAGCTATACACTGGCTTGTGGTCTTGTTCCACCTAATTTTCTTAAGTAACATGTCATCTCCACTTGAGAGAGGAACCTTATCTAATTTGTTTGTTCACCACTCTATGCACATTGTGTAAAACAGTGCAGACATTGGATATAATCAATGACAAAGTTTCTTGGTCTTCTAGAGCTTTCCTACCACCACTACCACTGTGGAAATGAATCTGAAGGATAACAATGAAAGGACAGTGAAGGTTGGGCAACAAAATAAGTCATAATGTCTCCTAATTTGGGGTAAATGTAATACCTGTTTTGTTTGAACACCACTTTAGTTGTTCACAGGTGGGAAATTCCCAAGCAATACTTGAATCTGTAAGTCTCTCACAGTTCGGAATCTAGAAAACTACTCTCCTTGAGTTCTCTTGCTTGCTGTGCCATATTGCTTGACTAAGTGCCCACTCTAAGTCAAGTATCCCCTTCAAAATAGCTTGCCAGGGCATCACAAGTTGTCACAAAATGAATATTTTATCTCTATCATTTCAATATCTTATTGAGGCATGATAGAAGTTTGTAGGAATAAGAGACTCAGACATCTTGTCTTTTGTTAAGTTGAGCCAGTCAGATTTTGAAACTAGGCACTTTCAGCACCTGCTCCTATAAACGAGTGCCAGTCTGAACATCCAATATTTCTAGCCCAGCCAAGCATATATTGAATAACTGGATGGATGGATGGATGGATGGAAGAATGAACGAATGATGTAATCAGAGAGTCAATGTGGAATAAAACTAGAACATGATTCCTTCATATTACTCTCCCTGTCCTCTGTCTACCTCTTTTTCATATTTCTGCCTCATAACCTCTTTATAACATCCCTGAAGCTGCCATACAGAAGACCCTAAATTATCTCCCAAGACCATGTAAATGCCAAGCTTTGATTATACCCTATACCATTTATCTTCCCATGAAATGGAAGAATCCCCCAGGGTCATATATTCGTGTATGCATGACAGAGAGGCAAACCTTCCAGGAGATCAATCCATATATCTAGCTGCTTTGTAAGGGATTTACTAAGTGCAAAACAAATCATTCTTGGCGCCTGACTTTTGAAACATTTCCTTTTGTGTTTAGAGAGTGCAGTCACCTGGTCACTTGCATTCTGAGACATGAAGTCTTGCAGATGGTGTACGGTGTGCTCACTAAGATGGTCTTCCCTATTAACTCCTCAACTCTCAACACATGCTGTTCCTGAGTCTGTTCTGGGCAATAATCTCATGGCCTAGCAATAGCCTAGTAGAATTAGTATTTGGTGCTTGGCTTCACACTAAAAGATTTAGGAATGTATTAACAGAAATTCTACTAAAGTACTCCATCTGCAGAATCTAAAGTACAGACTTTAAAACACACACACACACACACACACACACACACACAGAGTGTAAAAGAGCAGTGTTTGCAAAAAAAGAAAGTTTCAGGAAGCATCTTATTTCTAGTGTACTCTCTTGGACTTTATATTCCTATGTTTTTCTGAGTTCCTTGAAAAGAGCCTGAGTTAATCATTGAAATGCCAGTATTTTATTGGAGAGTACTCTCAGAACTGCCAAGGAACTGAAGAAAGCAGAATTTTAATCGAGGGAGAAGTTGAATAGAAAAGCATTTGTAGCCAAGATCTCAGCCAATCTTCTGAGTAACTCTAGAACTGGATAGGCCTTCCAATTTGTCCCCTACTAAGCCAGAGGAGTCATACCATTTTACCCCTGCATCACCCACTCACTAAATGTGTGCTGCCCCTAGAGAGAGGTTGTAACCTTGGGGAAGGCAGCTCCCTTTGGCAGAGATAGCCTGCTGGTGTGTTCGGAATTGGTGGGTTCTCGGTCTCACTGACTTCAAGAATGAAGCTGTGGACCCTCGCGGTGAGTGTTACAGTTCTTAAAGGTGGCATGTCCGGAGTTTGTTCCTTCTGATGTTTGGAGGTGTGCAGAGTTTCTTCCTTCTGGTGGGTTCCTGGTCTTGCTGGCTTCAGGAGTGAAGCTGCAGATCTTCACAGTGAGTGTTACAGCTCTTAAGGCGGAGTTGTTCATTCCTCCCGGTGGGTTCCTGGTATCACTGGCTTCAAGAGTGAAGCTGCAAACCTTCGTGGTGAGTTTTACAGCTCATAAAGGCAGTGTGGACCCAAAGAGTGAACAGCAGCAAGATTTATTGCAAAGAGCAAAAGAACAAAACTTCCACAACGTGGAAGGGGACCCCACCGGGTTGCCACTGCTGGCTGGGGCAGCCTGCTTTTATCCCCTTATCTGGCCCCACCCACATCCTGCTGATTGGTCCATTTTACAGCAAGCTGATTGGTCTTACAGAGAGCTGATTGGCCCATTTTGACAGGGTGCTGATTGGTGCGTTTACAATCCCTGAGCTAAACACAAAAGTTCTCCAAGTCCCCACTAGATTAGCTAGACACAGAGCACTGATTGGTGCATTCACAAACCTTGAGCTAGACACAGGGTGCTGATTGGTGTGTTCACAAACCTCAAGCTAGACACAGAGTGCTGATTGATGCATTTACAATCCCTTAGCTAGACATAAATGTTCTCCAAGTCCCCACCAGATTAGCTAGATACAGAGTGCTGATTGGTGCATTTACAAACCTTGAGCTAGACTCAGGGTGCTGATTGGTGTGTTTACAAACCTTGAGCTAGACACAGAGTGCTGATTGGTGCATTTACAATCCTTTAGCTAGACATAAAGGTTCTCCAAATCCCCACCAGATTAGCTGGATACAGAGTGCTGATTGGTGCATTCACAAACCCCAAGCTAGACACTGAGTGCTGATTGGTGTATCTACAATCCCTTAGCTAGACATAAAGATTCTCCAAGTCCCCAGCCCACCAGACTCAGGAGCCCAGGTGGCTTTACCTAGTCGATCCTGCACTTGGGCCACAGGCCGGGAGCTCCCCACCAGTCCCATGCCCTGCGCCCACACTCCTCAGCTCTTGGGCAGTCGATGGGACCAGGCACTGCGAAGCAGGGGGCAGCACTCATCAGGGAGGCTCCGGCCACGCAGGAGCCCACGGTGGGTGGGGAAAGGCTCGGGCATGGTGGGCTGTAGGTCCTGAGCCCTGCCCTGATAGGGAGCTGAGGCCTGGCGAGAATTCAAGCACAGTGCTGGTGGGCCAGCACTGCTGGGGGACCCCGTGCACCCTCCGCAGATGCTGGCCCGGGTGCTAAGCCCCTCACTGCCCGGGTCTGGCAGCACCGGCCGGCCCCTACAAGTGCAGGGCCCACTGAGTCCACACCCACCTGGAACTCGCGCCGGGTGCAGCCCCGGTTCCTGCCCGCCCCTCTCCCTCCACACCCCCCTGCAAGCTGAGGGAGCTGGCTCTGGCCTCGGCCAGCCCAGAAAGGGGCTCCCACAGTGCAGTGGCAGGATGAAGGGCTCCTCAAGCACAGCCAGAATGGGCGCTGAGGCTGAGGAGGTGCTGAAAGCGAGGGCTGTGAGGGCTGCCAGCACGCTGTCACCTCTCACTGGGAAGGGACTCAGCTATGAGCCCTCAGCAGTCAACATTCCCTGCAGCTGAAGGAATGAGTGTCTTGTTCCTGAAGGGGAATACAGGCAGCGTATCTCAGCCTCCACTACATCGCCAGAGCTAAAGTTTGAAATATGGGCACACAATAGCCAGTTGAAAAGTATAACCTTGTTTTAAATATCATAATTTTTTTCCAAAATATGACATAAGGATAATATTACTAAAATAAAACTGGCATAACTGAAGATGTCACACCCATATTAAACTTTTTTTATTTTTTATTTTTTTTTTAGAAACAGGATCTCGCTACATTGCCCAGGCTGGTCTCAAACTCCTGGGCTCAAGTGATCCTCCCATTTTGGCTTCCCAAAATGCTGGGATTACAAGTGTGAGCCACTGTACCCAGCCTAAAGTCTTCATATAAGTAAATAATCCCAAACTATATGAGCTACCAATCTATCACTGGAGAAAGAAAGCAATTTTAATCATTGTTCAGATACTAATAATGATCATCTCTAGTTTCCAAAGGTATATTCAAACTGAGAAAAGTATGTGTAAATAAACTACAATAGGACATAATGGTTTAAACAATTCCAGTTAGCCCTTTAGGAACTATCAGCCTATGAACGTGCATCTCATAGATACAGAAGCAAAATTCCTTAGAGGTTCTTCTATCAATAAACATAAAAAATCCTTCTAATAAAATTACTTGTCCAATCATAGCAAGCCAGAATTGGAACCCAGAGCTCATAAAATTTGTAGGAATAAGACATTTTAACATCTGGGTTTTTATTAGGTTAAGCTGGTGTCAGATTTGAAACGTATGCACGGAATGCACAATAATGCATCTGTGAAGGCACTGAATTTCTTGGGAATGTCTGTTAATACTACAAAGTTTTCTGTTACGTATGTAATGTGATTTTTCAAGGAGAAGTAAGACACTCACCATAAAAAGGATACTGATTTTCTCCTTGAAATAAATGAGAAAAGAGGATTCTTATAAAAAATATGGCGTTAGCTATGTCCATGTTATTATCCTAACTTGACATTATATTTTTAAAGATATTCATTTTCTCAAGAAGACTTAAAAGTAATCACAACTACTTAAATGCTTTTCAGAGATTTGGGAACTGTAAAAAAAAAAGTCTGTGTTACTCCTCTTGAATATTGTGACAGTCCTGTTGAAACCATCAATGGCAACAGTTCCAAAGTCAAAGACTGTTCTTTCTCTAGTTTCTGTGAGTTGTAGGAATAATGGGTGCCTACTTAATAAAGCCTTTAATAGATGATTACCTAATAAAGTTGTAAGTGAGAATCCTGACTGTTGACCTCTAACCTCAGGATCTGTATCAAGTTTCCTTATTCATTACTTTGTGATCCACTAAGAAGCTATAAGACCCCAGCTAGGTTTTAACCTGTATTGCCCTATCCATGCTGTGCTGTGACCTGTTAGCCTGTGGCCTCCTAGTGAAATACAGGTCATCCAGGAAGGTCAAAAGTCAAACAATTGGGAAATATCCATGTCTTAATCCTTTGAAAGTCCGTTGATACAAGCTTCAGTGGAAATGAAATAGATCCATGAGCAGAAAAGCCAATGCCAGCTAATAATTAGGCCATGTCTTGATCTCGCACTCTGTACAGACACCTCCCCCATAGCCCAGCACTTGAGGGATCACTGTGTCTCTCCCTTTGTCTCCATGCTACACTCTTTCAAAATAGTGCCATATGATGGCACTGACCAGCTAGATTCATCAGAAAGGCCACCATGTCAATATAAACTCCAACCCAACCCAGGTATTCTACCACTCCTAGGAGAAATGCATGACAGAGAGAGATGGAAATTGCAGATCAGTCCTTTTCCACGCAAATGAAACTGAGCGTGGGAGTGGGGAGGATGAGATAAATGAGAAAAAAGTAAAATCCTTGGTTTTAACTATATAAATGACCCGTAGTCTTTCACAAGTGACCACGTCATTTCAATATCCTCCATTTCATTTTTTAAAAGGGTGCTTGTTAAGTATGTAATATGTGCAAATCACTGTGCTAAGTACTAAAATTACTAAATGCAAATTAGAAAATATGATTGGGCTCTGAAAAATAAACATATGGGCAAAAACACTGTAGTTGTTAGCTAGATACCTATATGATTCCTTGTTTTCACTTGTGAAACTTTATGTAACTACATAGCAACAAGGAAGAGGTACCTGACTGAGATAGCTGGTCTCCAAATCATGGCTGTTTGCCACAAGAGAAAATCTTTTCCTTATTTCTTTACCACTTCTTTGTAGAAATGAGGCTTTCTATCCAAGAGATAATGAGAGGCTTTGAGATGTACAACCAGAGTGGCATCTACTCTTTATAGGAACTATTTAACAAAAATTTCATTCGAGTTTTGAAAAAATGTACCTGTCCAGGTTCACTCTATTCTAGTGTGTGGATACACTCTAACATCAAATGAAAAAAAAAAAAGGACAAGCTAATTTAGTATTAAATAGTGTATTTAATTTAAAAGCAGACAACTTCAAATAATTGTGGAACTTTAAGGATATAGCCTGAGACTCTCCCGAGGCAGCTTGTTTGGGGTGGTTTAGTCCTTCTATTAGCTACACGTGCAAAGATTGCACCTGCAGTTAATTGCAGCCCAGGTTAGACCACTGTGGGAACAATTAGACACTTAATTTTGAGGATGTGAGTGTTGGCCCAAGAGTAGCCCTGGCTAAAGTGTTGTAGCCATCTTAAAGGGTACAGTCAAACTAGTCCTGTTACCAAAAAGAGATCCCAATCCAGACCCCAAGAAAGGGTTATTGGACCTCGTGAAAGAAAGAATTCAGATCAAGTCCATAGAGTAAAGTGAAATCAAGTTTATTAGAGAAGTAAAGAAACAAAAAAATGGCTACTCTATAGGCAGAGAGGCCACATGGCCTGCTCAATTGAGTATACTTATGGTTACTTCTAATTATATGCTGAACAAAACTTGGATTATTTATGAGTTTTCCAGGAATGGGGCAGGAAATTCCTGGAACTCAGAGTCTCTCCCCCTTTTAGACTACATAGGGTAACTTGCTGATGTTGTCATGGGATTTGTAAACTGTCAAAGTGCTCAGTGGGAGTGTCTGTTAGCATGCTAATTAATTATAATTAGCATATAATGAGCAGTGAGGAAGACTAGAGGTCACTTTCATCACTATCTTGGCTTTGGTAGGTTTAAGCCAGCTTCTTTACTGCATCCTGTTTTATCAACAGGGTCTTTATGACCTATATCTTGTGATACCAGTCCTGCCAACCTCCTATCTCATCCTGTGACTAAGAATGCCTAACCCTCTGGGAAGACAGCCCAGCAGGTCCCAGCCTTATTTTACCCAGCCCCTATTCAAGATGGAGTCACTCTGGTTTGAACACCTCTGACTGTTCTGCTCAAACTAGTCAAACTTTCTTACCATGCACTTCCATGTTATCTGTTCTTCCTTTAAGGACAGACAGGAATGAGGAAAAATAATTGGGCATGTGGTGGTAAAATACCACACTGAGTGAAAATGAAACTGTTGACAAAAATACAAATAAGGGCAGGAGCACACATATAAATATAAACCAGGAAAGAAACTCTGTCAAAAGACTTGCTTCAAACAATGAATTCTTTACTTATGTCTCCCTTGCCAAGCTAGCAATTTATGATAATGGGGTGGGGAAGATGGCTGTGAGCTTGAAATTATTAGGTGAGCGTTCTTCACCTGTGATATGTTTATCCTTTTGAATGGGGAGGTTGTTAGGGATTTGTGCCTACACTGAAGTGACATCCAAATGGACTCCCTTTCTAGACTCTGATCTTCCTTTTTTAACTCCTTCTTTTCCCCTTGGGATGTGCCTTCCCCATTCATGTTTTGAAAATATAGAGATTTTCTACTTAGGCAAAAGAAAATAGTTTTTTCATTCCCCAGTTCAAAAATGTCTACAGTTAATCCCAAAGTCTTTCTTAAATCATAGGTTAGTTTTGAGAAAAAAAGACCTGCTTTTGAGGTTTTGTTTTTATTTTATTCTTTCAGATAAAAGACTTCTCCTTGAAAAATAACAAGTCTTTTAAGTGTGTTCTTTTACATTTTACTAAATGCTATATAAAGCTTAATATTCTGTTTACTTATTGCTCAACTGAAAAAAAATGTAACTGGACCAAATTCTTACTATTACAGAGAAGTACCCTTTTCTATGGAAGATAAAGTAAATATTCTTACTTTGTCCTTCTAACATTTCATCTTCTTGAAGGGCTTATATTTCCTCTATCTATTGTTTAAAATATTAATACATCTTAACATGAAAATTTCCACATAGAAATGTCTTGCTCATGCTCAAAGAGACAAGTCGGTCTATTACATGCTGCTGCAGACTTTTTAACTAAATCATTAATTGGTTTTTAGAGCTCCTGAATTTACTGGCTGAAGTTTAAATGTACCCTTAAAATCAAGCAAGAGGAATATAATAAATGTAGAAACCCTTTATCATCCCTTCAACTAAAAGACCACTTCTAAGTTAATGCTGTGCATCATAACTGCCAGTTACATAAGCTTTGTTTATAAATTATTAAGCATTTTAGATAGTAACACTAAAGCCTGTCCAAATGGAAAGATGCAGTGAAGTTCAGCCATTTCTATGACTACGAACTAGTAAGCCTTCCTTTGTTATGGACACCACACAAATGTCATAAAGATTCTGTCAGGGATTCCATATCACCCTGAACTGCAACCTTTGCATGGTACCATTCATAACCAAGTGACCTGCTGCAGCTCATTAAAGTTAATGTAATGGATCATTCCCCTCTAATTGTAATCATCAGCAAATTAAACTCTTTTCTAGACTAGCCAGGCAGCAGGGAAGTATGTGACCAAGCAGATTGCATGAATAACTTTTCCCTTAGCCATAGGCCTTTATTAAACACAAAGGAGAATAATGTGGGTGACAGGAGGAGAAGATACAGAAGTTCTAATAAATGCTAAGATGTGCCTATTTACATTGCTACAATACAGCCACAAAATAACTTAATGCTTTTCCAGAGCTAGACCTTATCTCAAAGCAGAGACAAGAATAGAAACGATGATGTGGGTAATTCAGGTGAGGCTCCTATTTGGCTAATATGGCAGTTATTGCCTTTTCCCTTTGGCTGACATCTACCATTCTCAAACATTACAGATATTATTATGTAACTACTGGTTGTAATTGTATACTCTTTGGAAAACACAATGCTGTCATATTGATTTTTTCATTTAAAAAAAGATATATAAAAACACAAATGCAGAAATGCATGTGAAAGATAAACCACAAATGCTTAGAATTAATCAAAATGATGTATCTAAATTCTTATTCTATCTAATGGTTCCTACTTGAAATACATTTGTCACTGAAAGATCATTAGTACATATTTTATTATTATGCTGTGGTTATAATAGTCCACTAGCATTTGGAATGTTACTGGAAATTGAAGGTTAAAGAGTAATCTCATTAGATCATGACATTGTGTGAAGGATTTTCTAATCTACTGGGCTAAGCAATCTCTAGAGAAGAGCAATTTTCAGCTGAAACAGGAAAGGTGCTATGCTGTAGTGGCAGGATTTATTATCTCAGTTAGCAAAGTGAGCCCTCTACCACTCCAGGTAAATGAACATCCAGAAAAAGGATGTGGAAGAATTAGAAAACACGCATAATCCCTATGCTAGAAGTGTCCCAAAGTGCCTTAAACATAGTGACACAAAAACTATTTTATAATGGCCCTGTTTCTCAAGGTATATTTCCGATTCAGCAACATCAGCATCATCCGAAACATGTTAGAAATGCAAAATTCTCAGCTCCAGCTTAGAGGTACTGAATTAGAACCCCCAATGGTGGAATCTGGCAATCTGTGTTTTACCAAGCTCTCAAGGTGATTCTGATTCATGCCAAAGTTTCAGAACAATTGTGTTAGGGACTAAAAACCGTGGGAGTAGTCTGTATACATTAGCTTTATATTCAAAGAAAATGACTTTTGTCATTGTAATTTGTCAACATAAGTTACTTAGAAATATATCACCATAAAAATGTAAATATACAGACCACAATTACACATACACACATACACACACACAGACATATACACACACAATTGGATAACTACTTACACTAATATGGTATGTTGTGCTTCCTAAACACAGTATAAGAATACACATAATAAACAGTGATTACTATGAGAGCAGTCAGTATATTTGTCTTGTTTACCTCTGCATCTATAGTATCTACAGAGCCTGGCATACAGGGACTGTTAATAAAGCATTGAATGAATGAATAAAGGGGGTGAGATATAGACTATGTGCATCTGCTTCAGAGTACAGATATTTCATATATTACAGCATTAGGATAAACAAACTATTGAAAACCACTGTTAGGAACCTGAAGAGTATGAATCTTAGACAACTAGAAACTTAGGAACCTGAAGAGTATGAATCTTAGACAACTAGAAACTAAGAATTAAAAGAGTTTATGATTATCACCATCAAAAAATAGAAGCTTAAGTGCCTTAAGATTAATTGTAAATATCTTTATAAACTACGGAGCAAGTAAATAAATATTCTGTATTTCTTTATTATAATTTAAATATAGGGTGAAGAAGTCCACTCTCATCACTTCCATTCAACACTGTGCTAGAGGTGATAGCAAGAACAATTAGATAGAATAAAGAAATAAAATGCATAAAGACTGGAAAGGAGGAGGTAAAATAATCTCTAGTCACAGATAGCCTAATCAAATATATGGATAATACTAAGGAATCTATGAAAAAGAAAACTTCTAAAAACTACTAAACAAATTCAGCAAGTTTGCAAGATCAACACATAGAAATAAATTATATTTCTATGCACAAGCAATAAACAATCTGTAAATATATTAATGAAATAATTCATTAATCTATTTTATGATGATAATCATGAGCTCTTTTAATTATTGGTTTCTAGTTGTCTAAGATACAATAGCACAAAAACAATAAAATACTTAGGAATAAATTTAACCAATAAAGTAAAGACTTGTACACTGTAATTGCAAAGCATGGTTAAAAAAAATTAAAGATCCAAATAAATTGAAAGATATCCAATGTTGGCATAACTTGCAAGATGGCCAAATAAGAACAGCCCCGGTCTGCAGCTCCCAGCAAGATGAATGCAGAAGGTGGGTGATTTCTCCATTTCCAACTGAGGTACCTGGCTCATCTCATTGGGACTGGTTAGACAGTGGATGCAGCCCACTGAGGGTAACTCAAAGCAGGGTGAGGCAATGTCTCACCCAGGAAGCACAAGGGGGTGGGGAACTCCCTCCCCTAGCCTTTGATAAAACTTAACACCCCTTCATGCTGAAAACTCTCAATAAACTAGGTATTGATGGGATGTATCTCAAAATAATAAGATATTTATGACACACCCACAGCCAATATCATAGTGAATGGGCAAAAGCTGGAAGCATTCCCTTTGAAAACCAGCACAAGACAAGGATGCTCCCTCTCACCACTCCAATTTAACATAGTATTGGAAGTTCTGGCCAAGGCAATCAGGCAAGAGAAGGAATTAAGGGATATTCAATTAGGAAAAGAGAAAGTCAAATTATCTCTGTTTGCAGATGACATGACTGTATATTTCAAAAATCCCATCCTCAAAGTCCAAAATCTCCTTAAGCTGATAAGCAACTTCAGCAAAGTCTCAGGATACAAAATCGATGTGCAAAAATCACAAGCATTCCTATACACCAACAATACACATAGAGAGAGCCAAATAATGAGTAAACTCCCATTCACAATTGCTACAAAGAGAATAAAATACCTAAGAATACAACTTACATGGGAAGTGAAGGACCTCTTGAAAAACTACAAACTACTGTTCAAGTAATAGGAAAGGATACAAACAAATGGAAAAACATTCCATGCTCATGGATAGGAAGAATCAATATCATGAAAATGACCATACTGCCCAAAGTAATTTATAGATTCAATGCTATCCCCATCAAGCTAAAACTGACTTTCTTCACAGAATTAGAAAAAACTACTTTAAATTTCATATAGAATCAAAATAGAGACTGCACAGCAAAGACAATCCTAAGCAAAAAGAACAAAGTTGGAGGCATCACGCTACCTGACTTCAAACTATACTACAAGTCTACAGTAACCAAAACAGCATGATATTGGTACCAACACAGATATATAGACCAATGGGACAGAACAGAGGCCTCAGAAATAATGTCACACATCTACAACCATCTGATCTTTGACAAACCTGACAAAAACAAGCAATGAGGAAAGATTCCCTATTTAATAAATGGTATTGGGAAAACTGGCTCACTATATGCAGAAAACTGAAACTGGACCCCTTCTTACACCTTATACAAAAATTAACTCATGATAGATTAAAGACTTGACTTTGCCAAGATGGCTGAATAGAAACAGCTCCAGTCCACAGCTCCCAGTGTAAGTGACACAGAAGACAGGTGATTTCTGCCTTTCCAACTGAGGTACCAGGTTCATCTCACTGGGGCTTGTTGAACAGTGGGTGCAGCCCACAAGGCATGAGCTGAAGCAGGGCAGGGCATTGCTTTACCTGGGAAGTGCAAGGAGTCAGGGAATTCCCTTTCCTAGCCAAGGGAATCTGTGACAGACGGTACCTGGAAAATTGAGACACTCCCACCCTAATACTGTGCTTTTCCAATGGTCGTAGCAAATGGCACACCAGGAGATTGTAACCCATACCTGTCTCGGGGAGTCCTACTCCCATGGAGCCCCGATCACTGCTAGCACAGCACTCTGAGATTGAACTGCAAGGCAGCAGTGAGGCTGGGGTAGGGGTGTCCACCATTGCTGAGGCTTGAGTAGGTAAACAAAGTGGCCAGGAAGCTCAAACTGGATGGAGCCCACCGCAGCTCAAGGAGGCCTGCCTGCCTCTGTAAACTCCACCTCTGGGGGTAGGGCATAGCAGAACAAAAGGCAGCAGAAACTTCTGCAGACTTAAACGTCCCTATCTGACAGCTTTGAAGAGAGTAGTGTTCTCCCAGCATGGAGTTTGAGATCTGAGAATGGACAGACTGCTTCCTCAAGTGGGTCCCTGACCCCTGAGTAGCCTAATTGGGAGGCACTTCCCAGTAGGGGCTGAATGACACCTCATACAGCCAGATGCCCCTCTGGGACAAAGCTTCCAGAGGAAGGATCAGGCAGCAACATTTGCCATTCTGCAATATTTGCTGTTCTGCAGCCTCCGCTGGTGATACCCAGGCAAACAGGTCTGGAGCGGACCTCCAGCAAACTCCAACAGACCTGCAGCTGAGTGTCCTGACTGTTAGAAGGAAAACTAACAAACAGAAAGGACATCCACACCAAAGCCCTATCTGTACATCACCATCATCAAAGACCAAAGGTAGATAAAACCACAAAGATGGGGGAAAACCAGAGCAGAAAAGCTGAAAATTCTAAAAATCAGAGCGCCTCTTCTCCTCCAAAGGGACACAGCTCCTTGCCAGCAATGGAACAAAGCTGGGTGGGGAATGACTTTGACGAGTTGAGAGAAGAAGGCTTCAGACAATGGGTAATAATAAACTCCTCCAAGCTAAAGGAGGACATTTGAACCCATCACAAAGAAGCTAAAAACGTTGAAAAAAGATTAGACGAATGGCTAACTAGAACAAACAGCATAGAGAAGACCTTAAATGACCTGACGGAACTGAAAGCCATGGCATGAGAACTACATGATGCATGAGCAAACTTTGGTAGATGATTTGATCAAGTGGAAGAAAGGGTATCAGTGATTGAAGATCAAATGAATGAAATGAAGCAACAAGAGAAGTTTAGAGTAAAAAGAAATGAACAAAGCCCCCAAGAAATATGGGACTATGTGAAAAGACCAAATCTATGTCTGATTGGTGTACCTGAAAGTGATAGGGAGAAAGGAACCAAGTTGGGAAACACTCTTCAGGGTATTATCCAGGAGAATTTCCCCAACCTAGCAAGGCAGGCCAACATTCAAATTCAGGAAATACAGAGAACACCAAAAAGATACTCCTTGAGAAGAGCAACTCCAAGACACATAATTGTCAGATTCACCAAAGTTGAAATGAAGGAAAAAATGTTAAGGGCAGCCAGAGAGAAAGGTCAGGTTACCCACAAAGGGAAGCCCATCAGACTAACAGCAGATCTCTTGGCAGAAACTCTACAAGCCAGAAGAGAGTGGGGGCCAATATTCAACGTTCTTAAAGAAAAGAATTTTCAACCCAGAATTTCATATCCAGCCAAACTAAGCCTTATAAGTGAAGGAGAAATAAAATCCTTTACAGACAAGAAAATGTGGAGAGATTTTCTCCCCACCAGGCCTGCCTTACAAGAGCTCCTGAAGGAAGCACTAAATACGGAAAGGAACAACCAGTACCAGGCATTGCAAAAACATGCCAAATTGTAAAGACCATCGATGCTAGGAAGAAACTGCATCAACTAATGGGCAAAATAAGCAGCTAATATCATAATGACAGGATCAAATTCACACATAACAATATTAACCTTAAATGTAAATGGGCTAAATGCTCTAATTAAAAGACACAGACTGGCAAATTGGATAAAGAGTCAAGACCCATCAGTGTGCTGTATTCAGGAGACCCATCTCATGTGCAGAGACACACATAGGCTCAAAATAAAGGGATGGAGGAAGATCTACCAAGCAAATGGAAAACAAAAAAAAGCAGGGGTTGCAATCCTAGTCTCTGATAAAACAGACTTTAAACCAACAAAGATCAAAAGAGACAAAGAAGGCCATTACATAATGGTAAAGGGATCAATTCAACAAGAAGACCTAACTATCCTAAATATATATGCACCCAATACAGGAGCACTCATATCCATAAAGAAAGTCCTTAGAGAGTTACAAAGAGACTTAGATTTTCACACAATAATAATGGGAGACTTTAACAACCCACTGTCAATATTAGACAGATCAACAAGACAGAAAGTTAACAAGGATATCCAGGAATTGAACTCAGCTCTGCACCAAGCCAACCTAATAGACATCTACAGAACTCTCCACCCCAAATCAACAGAATGTACATTCTTCTCAGCACCACATCTCACTTATTCCAAAATTGACCACATAGTTGGAAGTAAAGCACTCCTCAGCAAGTGCAAAAGAACAGAAATAATAACAAACTGTCTCTCAGACCACAGTGCAATCAAACTAGAACTCAGGATTAAGAAACTCACTCAAAACCACTCAATTACATGGAAACTGAACAACCTGCCCCTAAATGACTATTGGTTACACAACCAAATGAAGGCAGAAATAAAGATATTCTTTGAAACCAATGAGAAAAAAGACACAACATACCAGAATCTCTCGGAAACATTTAAAGCAGTGTGTAGAGGGAAATTTATAGCACTAAATGCCCATAAGAGAAAGCAGGAAAGATCTAAAATTGACACCCTAACATCATAATTAAAAGAACTAGAGAAGCAAGAGCAAACACATTCAAAAGCTAGCAGAAGGCAAGAAATAACTAAGATCAGAACAGAACTGAAGGAGATAGAGACACAAAAAACCCTTCAAAAAATCCATGAATGCAGGTACTGGTTTTTTGAAAGCATCAATAAAATTGATAGACTGCTGACAAGACTAATAAACATGAAAAGAGAAAAGAATCAAATAGATGCAATGAAAAATGATAAAGGGACTATCACCACCAATCCCACAGAAATACAAACTACCATCAGAGAATACTATAATCACCTCTACAAAAATTAACTGGAAAATCTAGAAGAAATGGATAAATTCCTGAACACATACACCCTCCAAAGACTAAACCAGGAAGAAATTGAATCCCTGAATGCACCAATAACAGGCTCTGAAATTGAGGCAATAATTAATACCCTACCAACCAAAAAAATCCAGGACCAGACGGACTCACAGCCGAATTCTACTACAGGTACAAGGAGGAGCTGGTACTATTCCTTCTGAAATTATTCCAATCAATAGAAAAAGAGGGAATCCTCCCTAACTCATTTTCTGATGCCAGCATCTTCCTGATACCAATGCCTGGCAGAGACACAACAAAAAAAGAGAATTTTAGACCAATATCCCTGATGAACATCGATGCAAAAATCCTCAATAAAATACTGGCAAACGGAATCCAGCAAAACATCAAAAAGCTTATCCACCACAATCAAGTTCGTTTCATCCCTGGGATGCAAGGCTGGTTCAATATATGCAAATCAATAAATGTAATCCAGCATATAAACAGAACCAAAGACAAAAACCGCATGATTATCTCAATAGATGCAGAAAAGGCCTTTGACAAAATTCAACACCTCTTCATGCTAAAAACTCTCAATAAACTAGGTATTGATGGGACATATCTCAAAATAATAAGAGCTATTTATGACACACCCACAGCCAATATCATACTGAATGGGCAAAAACTGGAAGCATTCCCTTTGAAAACTGGCACAAGACAGGGATGCCCTCTCTCACCACTCCTATTCAACATAGTGTTGGAAGTTCTGCCCAGGGCAATCAGGTGGGAGAAAAAAACAAAAGGTATTTGATTAGGAAAAGAGGAAGTCAAATTGTCCCTGTTTGCAGATGACATGATTGTATCTTCAGAAAACCCCGTCATCTCAGCCTAAAATCTCCTTAAGCTGATAAGCAACTTCAGCAAAGTCTCAGGATAGAAAATCAATGTGCAAAAATCATAACCATTCCTATACACCAATAACAGACAAACAGAGAGCCAAATCATGAGTGAACTCCCATTCACAATTGCTTCAAAGAGAATAAAATACCTAGGAATCCAACTTACAAGAGATGTGAAGTACCTCTTCAGGGAGAACTACAAACCACTGCTCAAGGAAATAAGAAAGGACACAAACAAATGGAAGAACATACCATGCTCATGGAAAGGAAGAATCAATATCATGAAAATGGCCATACTGCCCAAGGTAATTTATAGATTCAGTGCCATCCCCATCAAGCTGCCGGTGACTTTCTTCACAGAATTGGAAAAAAACTACTTTAAAGTTCATGTGGAACCAAAATGAGCCCGCATTGCCAAGATAATCTGAAGCCAAAAGAACAAAGCTGGAGGCATCACACTACCTGACTTCAAACCATACTACAAGGCTACAGTAACCAAAGTAGCATGGTACCAAAACAGAGATATAGACCAATGGAACAGAACAGAGCCCTCAGAAATAATACCACATATCTACAACCATCTGATCTTTGACAAACCTGACAAAAACAAGAAATGCGGAAAGGATTCCCTATTTAATAAATGGTGCTGGGCAAACTGGCTAGCCATATGTAGAAAGCTGAAACTGGATCCCTTCCTTACACATTATACAAAAATCAATTCAAGATGGATTAAAGACTTAAATGTTAGACCTAAAACCATAAAAACCCTAGAAGAAAACCTAGACAATACCATTCAAGACATAGGCATGGGCAAAAACTTCATGACTAAAACACCAAAAGCAATGACAACAAAAGCCAAAATTGACAAATGGGATCTAATTAAACTAAGGAGCTTCTGCACAGCAAAAGAAACTACCATCAGAGTGAACAGGCAACCTACAGAATGGGAGAAAATTTTTACAATCTACCCATCTGACAAAGGTCTAAGATCCAGAATCCAAAAAGAACTTAAACAAATTTACAAGAAAAAATCAAACAACCCCGTCAAAAATTGGGTGAAGGATATGAACAGATACTTCTCAAAAGAAGACATTTACGCAGCCAAAAAACACATGAAAAAATGCTCATCATCACTGGCCATCAGAGAAATGCAAATCAAAACCACAATGAGATACCATCTCACACCAGTTAGAATGGCGATCCTTAAAATGTCAGGAAAAAACAGATACTGGAGAGGATGTGGAGAAATAGGAACACTTTTACACTGTTGGTGGGACTGTAACCAAGTTCAACCATTGTGAAAGACAGTGTGGCAATTCCTCAAGGATCTAGAAATAGAAATACCATTTGACCCTGCCATCCCATTACTAGGTATATACCCAAAGGATTATAAATCATGCTGCTATAAAGTCACATGCACACGTATGTTTATTGCAGCACTATTCACAATAGCAAAAACTTGGAACCATCCCAAATGTCCATCAATGATAAACTGGATTAAGAAAATGTGGCACATATACACCATAGAATACTATTGCAGCCATACAAAAGGATGAGTTCATGTCCTTTGTAGAGACATGGATGAAACTGGAAACCATCATTCTCAGCAAACTATTGCAAGCACAGAAAACCAAACACTGCATGTCTCACTTATAGGTGGGAATTGAACAATGAGAACACTTGGACACGGGGTGGGGAACATCATACACCGGGGCCTATCGTGGGATGGGGAGAGGGTGAACGGATAGCATTAGGCAACATACCTAATGTAAATGACGAGTTAACGGGTGCAGCACACCAATATGGCACATGTATACATACGTAACAAACCTGCATGTTGTGCACATGTACCCTAGAATTAAAGCATAATTTTAAAAAAGTAAAAAAAAAGAAGACTTGAATGTACAACCTAAAACCATAAAAGCCCTAGAAGAAAACCTAGGCAGTACCATTCACAACATAAGCTTCAGTAAAATCTTCATGACTAAAACACCAAAAGCAATGGCAACAAAAGCCAGAATTGACAAATGGGATCTAATTAAATTAAAGAGCTTCTGCACAGCAAGAGAAACTATCATCAGAATGAATGTGCAACTTACAGAATGAGAGAAAATGTTTGCAATCTATCCATCTGACAAAGGGCTAATATCCAGACTCTACAAGGAACTTAAACAAATTTACAAGACAAAAACAAACAACACCATCAAAAAGTGTGTGAAGCATATAAACAGACACTTCTCAAAATAAGACATTTATGTGGAAAACAAACATGAAAACAAGCTCATCCATCATCACTGGTCATTAGAGAAATGCAAATCAAAACCACAATGAGATACCATCTCACACCTGTTAGAATAGTGATCATTAAAAAGTCAGGAAGCAACAGATGCTGGAGAGGATGTGGAGAAATAGGAATGCTTTTACACTGTTGGTGGGAGTGTAAATTAGTTCAACCATTATGGAAAACAGTGTGGTAATTCCTCAAGGATCAGAACCAGAAATACCATTTGACCCAGCAATTCCCTTACTGGGGATATACCCAAAGGATTATAAATTATTCTACTATAAAGACACATGTACACATACGTTTATTGCAGCACTATTCACAATAGCAAAGAGTTGGAACCAACCCAAATGCCCATCAATGATAGACTGGATAAAGAAAATGTGGCACATATACACCATGGGATACTATGCAGCCATAAAAAGGATGAGTTCATGTCCTTTTCAGGGACATGGATGAAGCTGGAAACCATCATTCTCATCAAGCTAACACAAGAACCGAAAACCAAACACCACATGTTCTCACTCATAAATGGGAGTTGAACAATGAGAACACATGGACACAGGGAGGGGAACATCACACACCAGGGCCTGTTGGTAGTGGGGGTCGAGGGGAGGAATAACATTAGGAGAAATACCTAATATAGATGATGGGTTGATGGGTGCAGCAAACCACCATGACACATGTATATCTATGTAACAAACCTGCACATTCTGCACATATATCCCAAAACTTAAGGTATTAAAAAAAAAAGACATGCAATATTGATGGATCCGAAAACTTAATATTAAGATAGCAATACTCTCCAAAATGATCTACAGATTTAATACAATCTTTATTAAAATCTGCATCTTTATCATTATCAAAGGATGGCTGCTTTCCAGAAATGGACAAGCTGGTCTTAAATTTCATATGGAATTTCAAGGGTCTCAGAATAGCAAAAACAAAAAAGGAAAACAAATCTTGATAATTAACACTTTCCAATTTAAAAACTTACTACCACAGTAATCAAGATTATTTGGGACTGCAATGAGACTTGAAATATAGGACAATGAAACAGAATTCAGTGTCCAGAAATAAACTGTATATTTATGTCAACTGATTTTCCACAGAGGTACCAGTACAATTTAATGGGGGTAATAATAGTTTCTCAGTAAATGGTGCCGGGAAAACTGAATATTCACATGCAAAAGAATAAATTTTAACTTCTACCTCATACTATAAACAAAAAATCAATTCAAAATACAGCATAGACTTTAATGTAAGATCTAAAACTATACAACTGTTAGAAGAAAAAGTAAGAGTAAATATTTGTGAACATGAGTTAGGGAATGGATTCTTACATATAGCACCAAAAGCACAGACCACAAAAGAAAATAATAGATAAATTGTACCTCACAACTTTTAAAGTTTGTGCAATTAAGAAAGTAAAAGGACAATCTATAGATTGGGAGAACATTTTTGCAACTCATATCTCTGATAACAGACTTGGATTCATACTATACATAAAAAAAGCTCTTAGCAGCTCATCAATAAAAAGACAACCCAATTTAAAAATGGGCAAAGTATTTGAATAGGCATTTCTCCAAGGAAGACATGCAAATGGCTAATAAGCACATGAAAAGATGCTCAACATGATTAGTCATTAGGGAAATACAAATCAAAACCATGATGTGATTACCATTTTATACCCACTAGGATGGCTACAATAAAAAAGACAGATGATAATTAGTGTTGGCTAGGATGCAGAAAAATTGGAGCACTCGTACATTTCTTGTAGGTTGAAAAATTGTATAGCCACTTTGGAAAATAGTTTGGCAGTTTCTTAAAATGTTTAATATAGAATTACTGCATAACCCGGCAGTTACACTCCTAGACATAAACTGAAGGAAACTGAAAGAACATGGCCACCCAAAACCTGTACATAAATGTTCACAGCAGCGTTATTCATAATAGCCAAAAAGTGAAACAGCCTATATGTCAATCCACTGATGCTTAGGTGGTATCCCATGCAGTGGTATATTATTTTAGCAATAAAAAGGAATGAACTAATACATGACAGTGCTATATGGAAAAATCTTGAGAACACTATGCTAAACAAAAGAAGTCAATCACATATAGTATAATTCAAATAATGTAAAATGTCCAAGAGAGGCAATTCCACAGAAATAGAAAGTAGATTAGCCATTGCCAGGGCCAAGGGGAGAAGGGAATGGGGAATGTCTGCTAATGGATGTGGGGCTCCTATTTGGAGTGATAAAAATGTGCTAACATTAGATAGTGGTGATGGTCACATAACTCTGTAAATATACTAAAACCCATTAAACCAGATTTGAAAAGAGTGAATTTTATGATATGTGAACTATATCTGTATAACTGTAAGTGGTGAGAAATATTATTAATCAATTTTTAAAATATACTCTGCATGTGTAGTTAATATATCCTTATTTTATTATCAGCAATTTATCATTTGGTATCATAATACATTATTATAGTGATAATTTAATTCACATTTAAATAAAGATATTTCATTAAGTAGCTTTCACATTAACCAATAATGCAATCTACTAATTAGAAACCTCTTCTCCAAAGCTATAACTTAGACTGAGGCTTTTTTCTTATGGTCACATTCACAATATGTGCTGAATTCTCATTTGTTTTTAGTCAGAGCAAGAGAACCCATTGTGAAATAAAAAGAGAACATTATTGACAATTTGAGACTTGGATTCTAGTCTCACCTTTATTACCAATTACCTGTGTTAATTTCTCTAAAAGAAGGACTTTACCCTTTCTATGTACAGAATAGAAATATCTGACTTGTTCACCACCGTATTTCCACCATCAATTCTGTATTGAATTTGATTTTTTTTTTACCAATGGTAAGTCTCATATCAGAGATGAACCTAGTAAATGGAGATAAAACTTGATTAATTCTGAGCCATGATGTTTAATCCCAATCCTGCTACCAGTGAACTATATGAGTGTTGGCAGTCATTGAACTTTTTTTCTGATTACATATCTTTAAAATAAAGAGGTGGGATGTGGATAGTATCCAAATTTCCTTTCTAGTTCTCTCATTCAATTCTCTATGCTATCACTGATCATTTTCAACTATGTGATATTCCTTAATTGTCCCCATTGTTTTCTTGCTATGACATGATGAAATCCAATCATGAAGACCATGGTTTACAGTGATCTTCACAATCTCATCCTAAATAGTAATGAGGGCTCAACCCAGATTCCTGCCCCTTCCATCTCCTTCTCACCTCACCATTTCTAGAAGAGATCATTCTGTTGGACGACTCTGGGCCTTTTCAAATATTGTTACACTTATCTCCAGTGCACTTGCAGATTTCTGCACAATGTTCAAAACCTAGTTTAAATATGACTTTCTCAGCACAACAGTTCTTTAAAAATGGTTCACTTCCTCCTCTACTGGGCTTACAGAACATTGTTCATGTCATAATCTACTATAAGACTTAACTAATCATGTTATAAACCACCCTTTACATGGCTTTTGCCCCACCAGACTATGAGGCTCTAGAAAAAGTAGAAAGTTTGCCTTTTTCTCTTGTTTCTACATCGACTTTGTGACTATCATGACAAAAACTAAATGAACAAATAATTCACTCATTCATGCAAAGAATTCTGTCCATCTTTTTTATGTTTTAAATGATATTAAATTGCTTTTAAAACTTACAATTCTCACTTTGGGGAAAAATAAATTTGAATTTGAATACTAAACTTTTATGAATTGACCTGCCCATTTCAAAGCAAGCTGTTTAGAGAACCTGTTGAAAAAATAAAAGGAATAAACCAGAATGTCAGCATGTAAAAATATCAGTTCATGCCTTTGAGCCATTTCTTGTTAGAATACTTTGTGCAGTTTTTGTTAAATTCCCAGAGTAGCAGATTTTTTAACAATCATCTAAATTGAATGAGGGGGCAAATATACATAAGATTCAATTCAACATTGTCTATAATATGCACTATAAGTGAGTAAAATGCTTTAATAATTAATGTACATATTTTCAACTAAATCCTCCTCTACTATTATGACATACATGTATAATTAATATTATTAATTAATATTTATTAGCAGTTGCTTTATGCAGATTAATATTATTATAAAAGAGAGTGTAATGCATTCAGAGCATTGCACTTTGGCTTCAGATGCATCTGTATAGGTTCCTAAAAGGCAACTGTGAAATAACAACTCAGATTATCCACATACAGAGCACATAACTTCATACAAATCTGTAGGCCAAGGGATCTGAAAAGACTGAGACACATCATACTGAAAAAGAAAGTAAGGCAAGCCACCTGCTGAATTAGGAACTTATTCTGTAATACTGCCAATATTACCATGAGGAATAAGATCTCAAATGACTTCTAGAAACATAAAAATGGATTTGGAATGAAAGCCTTAATGGCTGAGTTACAGTCACCTGAACAATAAATGGACAGGGAGGATAAGCCAGAGGAAAAAACTAAAGAAACACAAATGAAAACAACTCCGTCCTCAAAAATGAGTATGCAATCCAATATGTAAAGCACCAAAAAAAAATGAGAAAAATAGCCAGAAAAATTTATAATACAAATTCACTCCAGATGGAATTAATTTTGTAGAAAATCTTCACAAAGATTTTCATAACATATAATGAGAAATGCTCAAAATGTACGTGTAAGAATAACACCCACTGAACAAGAAGAAGAAGAATGGCCACATTTGTGCAGACACTGCTAGGAATCAAAAAAAATTTAAAAAAAAATCCATTCTCCCCTTATGGCTGGGTCCCTGGTTAGATTACATGTCTCTGCTTCCCTTGCAGATGGGGCAGTATGAGTAAGTTTGGGTTAATGGAATCGAGCAGAACTGATATGGGCCAATTTCATGCCAGAGATTTTAAGCTAGTAGTAGACAGGGTTATGCTTCTTCCTTGCTTTTATCTCCCTTTTACATCTGTATTTCAGACTCAGCTTTGGTTCTAACAGATGAAAGCCACAAAACAGAAGGTCACTGAGTTCCTAAATTAATGTGGGAAAGACAGGTACCCTATGACCTGGACCAAATACAGTGTAGTAGGCTGTGAATGAGAAATAAAATTATTATGATTTATTAATCACATTTCATGATCTATATGTTAAATTGTTGAGCCTACCATAAACTAACAAGCTTACAGACTCACATAACTTACATGACACAAAAGCAGACAGAAAAAAATAATAATAGGCAAATATGAGGAAAAACCAATAAAAACATTTAAAATAAAAATATGATTGTTCAACTTTTGAAAACATAATAAATAGGGTAAATTACTGACAGGCACAATCAAATGAAAAACAGTAAACTGGAATGTCACATTGAGGAACTTACCCACAATGAAACATGAGAAGCAAAAAAAAATGTAATGAAATAACATAAGAGAAATAGGAAATAGGCGGGGCGCCATAGCTCACACCTGTAATCCCAGCACTTTGGGAGGCCGAGGCGGGCGGATCATGAGGTCAAGAGATGGAGACCATCCTGGCTAACATGGTGAAACCCCGTCTCTACTAAAAATACAAAAAAAAGTTAGCCGGGCATGGTGGCGGATGCCTGTAGTACCAGCTACTCAGGAGGCTGAGGCAGAAGAATAGCATGAATCCGGGAGGCAGAGCTTGCAGTGAGCCGAGATCACGCCACTGCACTCCAGCCTGGGCAACAGAGCGAGACTCCATCTCAAAAAAAAAAAAAAAAGAAATAGGAAATAAAGACTAAGAAGTTTCTGGAACTCCTATGTCTAATAGGAGTTCTGCAAGCTGGAGAACCAGAACAACTGTTGGGGTAATTAATTTGGTCTCACCACAAAGACCTGGGAGCCAGGGGAGCTAGTGGTGTAACTTGGTGCAAAGCCAAAGGCCTGAGAAACCCAACGGGGGTTGGGGGGTGTAAGTCCTTGAGTGTGAAGGCCAGAGAGCCAGGAGTTCCAATATCCAACAGCAAGGTGATTGTCCTGGCTGAAGAACAGAGAGAATTCACTTTTCCTCTGCCTTGTTCTATGTGGGTCCTCGGATTGCATGATGCCTACTCACATTGGTGAAAGTGATCTTTCCCAGTGTACTGTTGGAAATGCTAATCTCTTCTAGAAAGCCCCACACAAATGCACCCAGAATAATGTTTTACCAACTACCTGAAGATTCCTGAACTCAGTCATGTTAAATGAAATTAACCATCACAGGCTGTATCTCTTAGGTTCCTAGAAATTGAACTATTGGTAAAATTTCTTTTGTCTATGCTCAGAAAACTTTGTCCCTATAACTATTAGAGGACATAACTACCCTTCAAGATTCAAAGAAAAGACAAGGCTATTCTGTCTATGGAGCAGCCATTCTTTTATCCCTTTACTTTCTTAATAAACTTATTTTCACTTTACTCTATGGACTCATCTCAAATTATTTCTTGCACAAGATCCAAGAACCCTCTCTTGGGTTCTGGATGGGGACCCCTTTCCGGTAACATCTTTCTGGTGACCACAGAAGGGACAATACTGAGGAAACCCCTGACCCAAAGGCTAACTTTGGGTAAGTGGAGGGGTCTGATAACATCTTTCTAGCAAACCATGGAAGAGGGACAATACCAAGGAGACCCCTGACCCAAAGGAAAAATCATCTGAGTGCACCAATAGGCTGACTTTGAGGTGACCATCTTGCCCAGAGACCACATGTTGAAAATCCTTGTTGGAGGTTGGATTAACGATTATGGGGCCCAATCAGGGGCAAATTTGAGTCTCTCCAGTTTGATATTGGGCTCTAAGTGGAGTAGCCAGTGTCTATGTTTTGACACACGTATTTTGCTCTGGCCAGAACGGAAAAAATAATTTTCCTTTGTGTTGTGGCTTGACCCCCTGGGCTGTGGTGCAGCCAGCTGGGTCACTAAGGAAGCTCAGGGAAAGGGAACCTAGAAACCTGGCAAATACAAATCTGTAGGCCAAGGGATCTGAAAACACTGAGACACATCGTACTAAAAAAAGAAAGTCAGTCAAGCTGTCTACTTAATTAGGAACTTACTCTGTAATACTGCCAATATTACCATGAGGTAATATTGCCAGTAAAAGGGTAAGAATTTCTTACCAGTCAAATTTCTGGCCCCTCTCTCTCATTCTCTCTCTGTGTGTGCAAACTTGTTGAATGAATGGTATTTGTGAGGCTAGTCTTAAGCTGTAGTGAATCTGTTCTACTTTGTACTGTGAATTTGTGTTTCTATATTTTTCTATAGAAAGAGGGGCACCTTAAGATAGAATGTGGGCCTAGGACCCCATAAGTCCACTGTTCAAGATGGCCCAGCAAACTGGTCAGTTGTTAATACAAACTTTGTTGCAGGTCCCTGAAAAGAAACTGGATAAGGTCTCCCTCTTGTCTTGTATGTCCTTGGAAGCTTGACCTTGTAACAATGTGGCCATGCTTTCTCTTTTCACAATGGCAGCCCGGGTTCAGGATTCAATCCCTGGCTTAGGAAATGAGTCCTTTCTGACTTGATATCTGTTTGACCTTTACATTTGTTGATTCTCTTCCCCTTCACAAACCATCTTAAATTTTCCTTTCTCTGAGCACAGAAATATTGGCCATTCGGCCTGGCTAAAGTCGGGTAATAAGAAATTTAAAAGGACTTTTTTAAGAGCACAATGGTTAAAAGTCAGCTTAATTAAAAATGGATATTCAAGCTCTAACAGCCTGGGACTCCTTGGGAAAAATGGAGGAGGCACCACAGATCCCATTTTGGGAAAAGTCTCTGTTTCCCTCATGAAACCCCAAGAACTGGAAGTGGATAGATCCCTCTCAAAATCTAAGGTTCTGTTCTGTTTTGCATTTCATTGTCTGATGGTTTTAACTTTTGGGGATATCGGAAATTACTTTGCAGTATGAGAGAGCTTTGGTGTGTAATAACTAATAACTCTTACCTAATAACTAGGTAGGAGATATACCTTTGGGCATAGCTAATGGAAGTTATGGAGGATATGCAGCTCTTCACACGTTTGGATCAGAGAAGCATGCTCTTGGTCACCTAGGAAGTATCAAGATGTCCCCACTCCCCACTGAGAGATAAGACTCGCATGGGGATGGGCTGATTCCCTCTTTTTGGGGGGATCTAGCATCTGGTATAAAAATGGGACCCTTAATTTCTAGAGATCTGTTTTTGCCTTCTAGCTGTGCTTTCTTATTAGGCTATAAAAACTGCATGATGTCCTGGCCCTGTTCCTCTAAGGGCTCCACCCTGAAGCCAGTAATCCAATTAAGAAACTAAAATTGGCAAATGAAAAATTTTGCAGCTACTGAATCTTCTGTCTGTCTGTGTATTTACATGTGTTGTATGTGTGATATAAAAAAAAGCTTTAATTAATTTTAAAATAATAAGTGCTTAAAATATTTTGTCAGAAAAGTTAAAAGCATAATGCATTGTAATTCATGTGACTTTAGTACTCTTTGGGAAATAAAGACAGTTTTAAAGATTATTGGTAAAATAAAAATATCTTCAAACATGTAAACATTTGGTCTAAATTATGCAGGTCAGATATTAGGTTTGCTAAATGCTTTAAGGTCATAAGCTGCTTCTTTTACTTTTAAAAATTGTTCAGCTTACCTACTTTGGAGTGTTAGATTCTAGATAAAGCCTGGGGACATGTGGAGAGCCATGGCCCCTAGCTAGTCTGGAGAGTCAGCCCTTATCTGCACTTCTGTCTGATGTCCTAGACTCCACATCTAGTACATAATTAAAATCCCTTACTTATCAAGGTTTTCACCAAAAGTAAAAGTTGCTAAGAGTTAACATTGTAACATGTAATTGAGACTACTAAAGAAATGATTTTACATGCAAGACATGTAAGAAAAGAAGAATATACTTTTGGTAAAAGATTAGAAGAAGGCATGGAAATATGAATTTTTTTGCCTAAATTAAAGGGTTCAAGGATTGTTTTAAGTTAGATAAGATAAAGCTGAAGGTTTGAGCAAGTTGTGGAAGGTTTGTGAAAAATTAATCTTGTAAAAGAAATTATGTGTGTGAACATATTGGCTAGAACCAAAGGGGTATTAATCACTTTTTCTGTAAATTGAACATTGAAATAAAAGCACAACAGATTTCTCTTAGAGCACTGATCTGCTGTATAACAAAAAATTGTAAAGAGTTATAAAAGGTTTATGAGAATCTTACATTAAAATAGGATAGATTTATCTATAAGGTTTTATAGAGAATTGGGTCTGACATTAATAATGCACCAATGCAACAGTGACATTTGGCTTATTTGGTATGAAAGTCATAGAGGAAGCATTGTCAAATATTAAACTGGCTTTCTTTGGGCTGTATTTGTATAAATGTGTTATTGGTTTGTGTTCCAAAATTATGAGAAACTCCTATAATTCTGATATGGCTTAATGTAATAATTAAAATTGTTACATAAAATCATTGTGTGCCATAGAGGTGACCAAAATTTCCTAGTCAACTGTGGCTTTACTAGCGGCTGTCCTAAGACTTTGTCATCCACAAACAATTCTTGTCTTGTTTTGATCCTCTTCAAAAGGTGGTTTATAGTCAGCTATAGGACTTTGACATGTGTTTTTAAATCCAGGTTTCTGGTAACTTCGGAAATTGTAACATTAGAATAGAGGAAAAACTTTCAAGACTCACATGGAGAGCTGAAATGTTCATGAATATCAAACAGAACAGGAGCTAACTGCATGGACTAAGCTAATAGAAAACTGAAGTAATCTTTTTTACTTTGCTTTAAATGTTTCTGATCCTTTGTTTTGTTTTTCAGAGTCAATGAAACTTTTCTTTTGAGCTATTTACAGCCTATGGCTATTGAGTAAAGTATACCCCTGTAAATAAAATTTGGAGCATATTTGTTTCTCTCTACCTGATTTCTCCAAAATTTGGAAACTAGTTGTGAGTATTTTTGACTTATGACAATACAGTTATTTGCATAAGTGCAATATGAATCTGCTTTCTTTGGCCAGGTGTGGTGGCTGATGCCTGTAATCCCAGCACTTTGGGAGGCCGAGGCAGGTGGATCATGAGGTCCAGAGTTTGAGACCATCCTGGATAACACAGTGAAACCCCATCTCTACTAAAAATGCAAAAAAATTAGCTGGGCATGGTGGCAGTTGCCTGTAATCCCAGCTACTCGGGAAGCTGAGGCAAGAGAATCTCATGTACCTGGGAGGCGGAGGTTGCAGTGAGCTGAGATTGAGCCACTGCACTCTAGCCTGGCAATAAAGTGAGACTCCATCTCAAAAAAAGAAAAAAAAAAAGAATATGCTTTCTTTTGTGACAGGACACAATTGGAGAAACCGGTTATTTTACCAAGGCTTTGACTGGAATGGCATGCTTTCCTTTAAGGAATGGAACTTGACTTGTAGAGCCAATGAAAGCCCCTTGGGAAAACTGGCCTCATACCTTGTCTACACAGTCCCTGTACAAGGTTCCTGACCTGTGGTAAGTAAAGATTGTCACTTTCTGATAGGCCCAGGAGCCCCAAGTAACCTTGGAACTTCAAAAGAAGAGGGATTTATCTAATTCATAGGTATCTGAGGGTACACACCCATGACTGGGCTTGGCTTTAAAAAGAAGTCTTATCTGAGATTCCTTCTGTGGAACAGAGTTCCATCAAAGATGATTTAAAAATGGCTTATGTGAAAAATAATTATCCTTGCTGAACTTTATGAATATAATCAGGCCAAGTATAATAAAGCAAATCAGTTTTACCATGATTTGTCTTTACTAAAAATGGGAGACTGGAGAGAGAAAAATTAAGTTTCAAGAACTATGGTAGGTATGCTTGTTATTAATTTAGAGTCTCATTGGTTGTTTTTGATTTTTTTCTGCAATTTAGACTGACTGCTTATTCCTGTGAAACAATCAGTGATCTCTAACTGCAGCTCAGAGGAAACAAGAGGGATGGGTAATGTAAAAATCTGAATCAATAATCTAATTCTGATATGAAGCAATTCAGCTCCATATCATCCCAGTTCCAACAGTTGTCCAGTTCATGGAAAGCCTTCTTATTTAGTTTACTTGGGATAATATCACTTAGTTTGTTTTACTCTTGTGGAATATATTGCTGTTGTACTGTCTGTGCAGGAATGCAGAATAAGCTTACTCAACATTTTCTTAAATTAAATATTTATTAATCTTCCAGATAACACCTTTTGTTGGAACTCAAGAGTTACGTATGGCCCTCATCATACTGATGCTTTCTGATTGAGCCCAGCTCTATCCTGAATATAAGAGACCCTGGTAGGCAGAAATATCATCACCCCTATTCAGCATGAAGAATTTATAGAAGATGAATCTTCATCCCACTGCAACCCTTAGGATTAAAGGGTTCTCTTATAAAAGGGAGGGGGGAAATGTCAGAGGTGTTTGAACTAGAGCAACTCCATCTTGAGTAGGAGCTGGGTAAAATAAGGCTGAGACCTAATGGGCTGCATTCCCAGATGGTTAGACAGTCTAAATCACAGGATGAGATAGGAGGTAAGGACAAGATACAGATCATAAAGACTTTGCTGATAAAACAGGTTACAGTAAAGCTGCAACCCACCAAAACCAAGATGGTGATGAGAGTAACCTCTGGTCGTCCTCACTGCTACACTGTCATCAGCACCATGACAATTTACATGTCATGACAATGTCATGGAAGTTACCTTATATGGTCTAAAAAGGGGAGGCATAAATAATCCACCCCTTGTTTAGCATATAATCAAGAAATACCATAAAAATGGACCACAAGTAGCCCTGGGGCTGCTCTGTCTATGGAGAAGCCATTCTTTTATTCTTTTACTTTCTTAATAAACTTGCTTTCACTTTAAAAACAAAAGGAAACAACAACAACAAAAAAAAAACAAAGTGATTTTTACATTGTCTATGGATAACATGATCTGAAGCAGATACTTACAAGATTTATGATATTCAGATTCTACGTGTTAAATGCTTTACTGGCTTGAAATTATACAACTAATACTTGCATTCTCCCTTAGTTGATCTTCCCAGATAAGAGAAAAAAATGCTCTCAGCATAGTTTTTTTCTATTCACAAATTAACATATAAAGTGAATTTTTAGAGACCTAGTTTTATTGCCGTGTATTAAGGAAGTAACCTATGAATAATTATTTTCTCCTTCTATGTGATTGAAGGGCAACAGTTGTTGTACTTTGTGGCTAAAGGGTACTGAACTGAACTGTATGTCCTTAAAAAGATGTTAGTTTTGTTTTACCACTAGAATACTGTAGTTGGCAAAACCACGATTGCTTAAGAATGAGAGTGATTTTATAAAATTGGTATCTTACCATTTTGGATCTATATAATTTTGTATTTTCTTTTTCTCCTTATATTTTAAAATAATATTGAAAAATACAAATCATTTGACTATAAAATAAAACGTAAAAAGCTTTTAAAATTTAAATTCCAAGGTTTACTCTCCTATATTTAGTAATTGGTTTAAGTCTTCCTTATGTAATAATATAAAATTTGTAACACTATGCAAAACTACTAAAACAATTATCCCTAGTCCTCCATTGTATTTTCGTGTCTAAATTGTCTACGAATTTTTATTATTTGTATATTTTATACATTGTTTTTGTTTTTGGTTTTGTTTTGATAGAGTCTTGCTCTGTCACCCAGGCTGGAGTGCAGTGTCTGGTTCACTGCAACCTCTGCCTCCTGGGTTCAAGTGATTCTCATGCCTCAGCCTCCCAAGTAGCTGGGACTACAGGCATGCTCCACCATGCCCAGTTAATTTTTTTTTTTTTTTTTTGTATTTTTAGTAGAGATGGAGTTTCACCATGTTGCCCAGGTTGGTCTCGAACTCCTGAGCTCAGGCAATCCACCTGCTTCTGCCTCCCAAAGTGCTAGGATTATAGGCATGAGCCACCATGCCTGGCCTATACAATGCTAATTCTAATGAGCTTACACTTTATATTCTACTTTTTCAATTAGGTTTGTTATATAAAGTTTTTCTTAGTCTTTAAACTTTCAAATGTATTGTTAGATAATATTTCAATAAATTGATATTCCATAGGTTACTGACCATTACTCTAATCATTTTGTTTGATCATTCTTTCTATCTTTAAAGTTTTGTTTCCACAGATATTTCTGAAACAGCAATGACCTTAAAATTTTACTCACATAAGTTCCTAATAGTGAGATTATAAGAATCCAATATTCTACAAGTTTCACTAATTTCCTTGTAAGTGATCATATTTTCTCTTCTTAGAATGTGCCTTAAAATTTTTCTCCTTTGTCCTCTTTATGCATTATTTTTGTATATATTTTTCTTTTCTAACTCTACATTCCTTCCCATCCCCTTAGGCTATAGATTTTCCTAGAAACATGTCAGCATTCTCTTCTGTCCTCAACTAATTTCTGTCCCTGTTTTCTCTTTTACTTTGAAGTTATATGAAGTTCAATTTATTCTGATCCCCACAAGAATAAAGCTATAAAAATGATAACAGCTTGCATAAACTTTTCAAAACATTATAAATACCTGCTGGTCTTCAAAGGAATTGTCATAGAAGCATTTTATTTTATTTTACTTATTAAACATTCCACCATTATGTAATATATTTTTCTTCTTTTAGAATTTCCTTGAAAATCAAATTATTTTGCTTATAATCACAACCAAAATAATGTTACTCAAAATGATCATCCTCTTTGCTATTCAATAATTAGCAGTATAATACTTTTTAATGGCCACTATTACATTATAAAGTGTGGCAGCTTACAGATCGCCACAAATTCCTTGGTACTTGATATGGTTTGGCTCTGTGTCCCCACCCAAATCTCATCTTGTAGCTCCCATAATTCCCACGTGTTGTGGGAGAGACCCAGTGGGAAATGACTGAATCATGGGGGTGGGCTGTTCTCATGATAGTGAATGATGGTTTTTAAAATGAGAGTTTTTGGTTTTAAAAACGGGAATTGTTAGAGATCTGATGGTTTTAAAAACAGGAGTTTCTCTGCACAAGCTCTCTTTGCCTGCTGCCATTCATGTAAGATGTGACTTGCTCCTCCTTGCCTTCCGCCATGATTGTGAGGCCTCCCTGGCCATGTGGAACTGTGAGTCCAGTTAAACCTCTTTCTTTTGTAAATTGCCCAGTCTCAGGTATGTCTTTATTAGCAGCATGAAAACGGACTACTGCAGTATTCCTTTCATCAAAAGTTAGAACTGTGTCCCCTCTCATGAGTTTGAGTGGGCCCTCTCACTGGTTTGACCATGAGAATATGGAGGAAGTGACAGACACTGTCAGATGCCAGATAGGCCATAAGAAAATGGCAGCTTCAATTTCTTCTTTTTGAACCGCTGAGTTGCTGTGTGAAATTTCCAACTATACAAAGCCCGCCATGCTGTGAGAAAGCCCAAACTAGCCACATGAAGAAACCAGGTAGAGAGAAGGACAGATGCCTGGCCATTCCCCAGCTATATGGCCCAGCCCCTAGCTTTTGAGTTAACCTACCTGAGGTCCCAGACATTGTGGAGCAGAGATATAGTCCATCCTTGCCGTGCTCTCACACATGAATCTGAGATGTCATAATCAATTTTTATCTTAAGCCACTAAGTTAGGTGTAGTTTGTTACACAACAATAGATGACTGGAACCTGAAAATGATAGTTAATTTACCCTATTTTTGGAAAATTAGGTTATTTTCAGTTTTACACTGTTGCTAATAATTATGGTTAAACATATTTGCATATAAATCTAGATGAATATCTGGTTATTTCTTCAGTATAAATTTCTAGAAATATAATTACTAGGGTGAAGGATATAAATACTATAAAGATTCTTGATATGTACTGCCAAATTTCATTTTAGAAAGATTACGACAAATTATATTCCCACCAAAAATGTAAAAGGATGTCCGTATATTCACATCCTCTCCAACATAAGTAATTAATATTTTAAAAATTAGTTGTCAACATGATGGCCAAAAATGGAAACGTGCACTTCTTGGATGAGACCAGATGAGTCTATTTCTTTCAGAGGATTATTCATCCTTTTTCCCCCTTTTTTGTCAATTGTTCAGTAATATCAAAAGAGACTACTGGCCTGGCACGGTGGCTCACCCCTATAATCCCAACACTTTGGAAGGCCGAGGAGGGTGGATCGCCTGAGGTCAGGAGATTGAGACCAGCCTGGCCAACATAATGAAACCCCATCTCTACTAAAAATATAAAAATTAGCTGGGCATGGTGGCGGGCACCTGTAATCCCAGCTACTTGAGAGGCTGAGGCAGGAGAATGGATTGAACCCAGGAGGTGGAGGTTGCAGTGAGCCGAGATGGTGCCATTGCACACTCCAACCTGGGCAACAAGAGCGAAACTCCATCTCAAAAAAAAAAAAAAGAGATTACTTATAAATCAACTGAAAATTCTTAATTCTTTATTATTTGAATCTGGAAAACTAACCATGAAAATTAGAAACAACCTCAAATATAAAATCAGATTTAATGTTGCTTCTATTAAGAACATAGGAATAGAAAACTCAGCTTCAGCATATTTTTTAATTAGGCTATGCTGAAAATGAAATATGCAATATATATGTATGTACATAAATAGAAATATATAAAAAAATTATTTTACCATATAATATTAGGAAAATGCTTCTTTTTATTGAGAAAATTATATTTTAGGTAGTCAAGTTAGGGAGATAATCTAACCTTAAAATTGACATTAGAATCTTCTGTCCTCTATTTTCTTTCACATTTTAATTTTAAGCAAATTTATCTTTTTTGAAAATATATATATCTAACATCCAAAGGAATGTATACATAATGTCTATGTACAGTCATCTACTAATGATAAAATGTACACCTACTGTAATGTGTTGAATAATAGACTCCCTAAGAGGTATGTCTATTTGAAGCCTCTTTGCAGATGTAATTAAGTTAAGGATTTTGAGATGAGGTAGATCAACCTGGATTAGGGAGGGCCCTAACTTCAATGACACATGTCCTTATAAAAGATAGAAGAGGAGAACACAGGGCAATGTAAGAGGAGAAGGCAGTGTGAAGATGGAGGCAGAGGTTGGAGTGATGCATCTACCAGCTAAGGAATGTCAAGGATTGCCAGCAGCCTACAAAGCTAGAAGTGAAGCAGGAAAAAGATTCTCCTTTAGAGCCTCTGAAAAGGAACAACCCTGCTGACACCTTGATTTCAGACTTCTGGCCTTCAGAACCATGACAGCATAGATTTCTGTTGTCTTAAGCCACCCAGGTCATGGTAATTTGTTACAGCAACCCTAGAAAGCTAACACAGTTGACCTATGAACAACCCAAGGGTTAGGGGTGACAGCCCCTCTCCCCATACCCATGTATATCTTTTGACTCCCCAAAAACTTAACAACGAATAGCCTACTGTTGACTGGGAGCCTTACCAATAACAGAAACAGTTTATTAACACATATTTTGAATGTTATAAGTATTATATGCTGTATTGTTAAAATAAAGTAATGTAGAGAAAAGAAAATGTTGTTAAGAAAATCATAAGGAGGAGCAAATACATTTACAGTATTGTATTTACCAGTTCCATAAGTTTACATTGTCTGTTTACAAGATGTCTGTCTGAAATGGCAACCACAGTTGCAGACCTCAATCATGGTACATATTAAGCAATTCCACTTTTTCTTGTTATGTCATGACTTTTCTGTGTTTTGGGGAGCACTTCCAAGCATCACTAGTGGCACTTCGTATGGGTCAAATGGTGTTATTCAAGGTTTATTATATTGTACTAAGCACGATGAAAAATACAAAAGAAATCATGAGAGATCATTTCACTTCAATATGCAATTTACCGGATAGACAAACTGCTTACGCAGAGATGATAAGGGTCACATGGCTATTTAAGTGGATACTCACAACACTTGATTGCATCACAACAGTGACGGGGTGGCTGCAAAATTATTACAGTAGTACAGTACATACTACAGTTAATTTTATAAAGTTATGATTTAATACAGCATCTTTATGTTTGGTTACATTTCTCTGGACTGAGAATGGTGCCATGTACAGTCTATGTTTGTATGTGTAAGTTTTCATACATGTTAATGTTTTATAATTGATTGGTGTATATTTTATGCAAGTAAATGATAAAATAGACCAGTATCTACATATTTTTATGCATTCATGACATACCTAACGTTTTCTTAATTCTTTCAATATTTCTAGGTTGTGTGGTTCATCTGTGAGTTTTTTCAAATTGTTGAAAATCTCCAAAACTTTTCTGATGTATTTATTGAAAAAATCTGCAAGTAAGAGGGTCGCTGCAGTTAAAACCTGTGTTGTTCAAGGGTCACCTGTACACCTACATACCAGACTTTCCCCTAAAAAAATAGATAAAACCAGCTTCTTAGACGTTTCCTTGGTGTTCCCCCCACCACTGTCATTTCTTTCTTTCCAAAAGTAGCTGCTATCCTAAATTTTATGTTAATTGTTTTCTTTTTCCCTTTATTATTTAAGCATAGATAGATAAATGATAGAAAGAGAGAGATAAATGACAGGTAATTCAATGACAGATAAATAGATAATCTAAAATATGTAGTTTAGTTTTGCCTGTTTTGATACTTTCTATAAAGTGGAACACTGCACATACTGCATATTATTCTAACTTTCCTTTTGGCTCAATATTATGTCTGAGGTAATTTTATGCTCATTTAGATAGATGTAGTTCACTTTTATTGCTGTTTATTCTATTGTTTATTCTGTTTTTGATGGATATATGGGTTATTCCTACTTTCCTTTCTATTACAAACAGTGCTGCTAAAATCATGCATGATTTATGTCTCCAGGCGCATATGGCAAAGATTTCTCTATGTGTGGAAGTACTGTATAGCTAGGATCAGAACTACTGGACTGTAAGGTAGGCCCTTTCATATTCTTTAGGTAATGCCAGAATGTTTCCTAAGTGATTGAGCCAATGTTCACTCTCATCAGCTTTGTATGAGTGTTCCTGTTGCTCTATAGTGTTGCTCTATAGCCTGCCAATAATTGCTATTGTCCAGTCTGATTTATTTAGAAAAATTTCAACTGAACATCACAAAATAATTTTTTGAAATTGTTTTAAAGGCATTACTATCTTGGGTCAGATAGACATTTTGGAGTACCTATTACGTATTACACCTATGTCATTCTATTTAACCATCCTAATCTCCTATGAGAAAGATATTTTAATCACAGGTTTATAGTTGAGAAAACTGAAGTTTGGTCCAGGCACGGTGGCTCACACCTGTAATCCCAGCAATTTGGGAGGCTGAGGAGGGTGGATCACCTGAGGTCAATAATTCGAGACCAGACTGACTAACATGGTAAAACCCCATCTCTACTAAAAATACAAAAATTAACCAGGCTTGGGGGCTTACGCCTGTAATCTCAGCTACTTGGGAGGCTGAGGCAGGAGAATCACTTGAACCTGGGAGGTGGAGGTTGCAGTGAGCCGAGATTGCACCATTGCGCTCCAGCCTGGGTGACAGAGCGAGACTTCATCTCAAAAAAATAAATAAATAAAAAACAAATAAATAAATACATAAAAAATAAAATAAAACTGAAGTTTAGGGAGATTACTAGTTAGTTAACCAGTTTACACAGTAGTTAGTAGCAAGTACTCTAACCCAAGGATTCTGGCTAATCTTGATCTTTCAGTTACACCCACAAATTTTTCAAAATCTGTAGTCATAGCCAATGTCACATGCCAAGTTTATGTACCAACTTACTTAAAAAAAAATTCTAAGAACTAAATTAGAGTGGAAAACTGCCACTCATTTTAGCTATACATGATGTACTGTTGACAAAGAAGAAATCCATTTTTAATGCTTCCGCATATCATTAGGGAGGCAAGCTGACTGAATGAACTGAGCCTGGCATTTATCACCGAACCCAGATAAAGAACCACTGAATTGTGGTATTCTATGACCTTCTTCCTGACAGCCACTGACAACGTATCCAATTACTTAAGCAGTCTTTTCAGCATCATTTAAGCAGTTTTAGCTTTTCCCGTGCCACTTTAATGCAAAAAAAAAAAAAAAAAGTTCCAATAGTACCATTGTAAATATAAGATCCTTCTTTATTTAAATTCTGTGATCTCTGGGAGTAACTTGACAGCACATTTTTCAGCATATGATCATGAAACTAAGATGAAGATTAACAATCCATTTTTAATATATGATCATAAAAACAGTAAGTGATGCTTGCTTCCCACATCTTGTCCCTTAAGATTTCAAGGCAGGTAATAAAAATAAGACATCTTGTACAAGATAAAAACGTATCCCCTGAAACTGGGTCCCTACCCCTTCAGATAAAACTTGAAGATGTAGTGTTGACAACAGCATAAAACTTTGATAGTGTGAGAGAGACCTTACACTCCTTTCTGCTTACTAGATCCCAGAAGTACCCATGGACAACGGAAAGCTTACTGTGAACAGGATTCAATCCAGTCTCTGCCTAGATTACTAGGTCTGTATAAAGCAGAGTTCAAAGCCTGGATCCACTAACTGTTACTCTCACAAGACCATGACTAGGCAATGTGACTAGAGAATCGCCTTTACTGAGACAAAGATTTCCAAAATGTACTTTAAGGAAACATTTATTGGATATATGCAATTTTGCTGTTGAGACAATCCTAAGAACAGTATATGCCAATATAATTTTCTCTGTGTATCCTGATATAGAGATGACTTTTGTCTTCAGTGAAAATAAAAATTCTATACACAAAAAGGTCTTTGTTGTCCACCACCATGTCTTATGTAAATGTATTGATCAGCACTTTTATAAAATGACAATTGATATTCTTACTAATGGCCCTAAGGTTCTGAATCACTGAATCATTTCAGATTCAGTAATGTTAGGGCTATTTAGAATTATTCTGGTTATTTGATTTTTTTACACTGCTAAGCTTTAATGTACCTAATAGGAGAAACAGTTAAAAAATTAAAAGTAGTTGCTTTTGGGAGAGCAACCAAGGTGGTGGTGGGTAGAAAAGAGAATACTTGTTTTTCATTATAAGCCTTTAAATACCATTTTACTATTAACCATTTTGCATATATTAAATTTGATTTTACTACTAAATTAATAATTATTATATATTAAACTAAATCGATGTCTCAAAATTGTAGCATGTAAAACATCATATTTTGACCTTCCCAATTGCCTTGTGGGGCAGACATGACACAACTTTTGACAGTTCTCTATTAAATATTATGTGATAAACATAATTTTTTCCTGGAAAACAGTGAAGAATGGAGAAAAAATAATTAAACCAAAACCTAATGCTTTAGAAAGACCAAAAATATTATAAACTTATAGCCAGACATACAGAAAAAAGTTTCAGGAATGAAAAGGGGAATATAACTACAGCCCTTATGAATGTTTAAAAGATAATAAAGAAATACTACCAACAACTTTGGGCCCACAGATTGGACACCTTGGATGAATGGACAAATTCCTCTAATGATACTAATTACCTAAGCTCACTAAAGAGAAAATAAATACAAAACCTACAGAACCATATATTTATTACAGAAATATAATTTTTCACTTAATATCTTGCCATAGAGAAAATTTAAGGTTCAGAAAGAGGTTCTATAACTATTAGATGAGTGCAAACATATTAATAATTGTGGGTTTTGCATTGCTGAAATTTGCCATTTGATATTGGAATACACTCTTAAATAGATGTGGTTATGTTATACATCATTTTAATGGGTATCTCTCTATTTATTTATTTTTGCTAATAACTTATTGTTTGCTGTTTAATTTGTGTTTATTTTAGACTATGGAAATTAGAGAAAAAGCAAATTCGAACAGTTTTCTTATTTGAGTTCAAAATGGGTCGTAAAGCAGCGGAGACAACTCGCAATATCAACAACGCGTTTGGCCCAGGAACCGCTAATAAACATACAGTGCAGTGGTGGGTCAAGTTTTGCAAAGGAGCTAGGAGCCTTGAAGATGAGGAGCGCAGTGTCTGGCCATCAGAAGTTGATAACGACTAATCGAGAGCAATCATTGAAGCCGAAATTGGAAAGGTGGAAAAGCTCCATAAGTGGGTGTCTCATGAGCTGATCGAAAATCAAAAAACTTCGTCGTTTTTAAGTTTCGTCTTCTCCTCTTCTACGCAACAATATGAACCATTTCTCTATTGGATTGTGACATATGATAAAAAAGGAGATTTTCTATGACAACCAGCGATGACCAGCTCAGTGGTTGGACCAAGAAGAATCTTCAAAGCACTTCCCAAAGCCAAACTTGCACCAAAAAAAGGTCATAGTGACTGTTTGGTGGTCTGCTGCCAGTCTGACCCGCTACAGCTTTCTGAATCCCAGCAAAACCATTACATCTGAGAAGCATGAAGCATGCTCAGCAAATCGATGAGATGCACCGAAAATTGCAATGCCTGAAGCCAGAATTGGTCAACAGAAAGGGCCCAATTCTCCACAACAACACCTAACCGCACGTTGCCCAACCAACGCTTCAAATTTGGCTACGAAATCTTGCCTCATCTGCCATATTTACCTAACCTTTGGCTGCCTACTACCGCTTCAAGCACCTCCACAACATTTTGCAGGGAAAACACTTCCACAACCAGCATAATGCAGAAAATGCTTACCAAGAGTTCATTGAACCTCAAAGTATGGATTTTTACTCTACAGGATTAAACACACATTTCTCAAAAATGTGTTGATTGTAATGGTTCCTATTTTGATTGATAAAGATGTGTTTGAGCCTAGTTATAATGATTTAAAATTAATGGTCCAAAACTGCAATTACTTTTGCACCAACCTAATAAAAGCACGCATTTAAAAATAATAATAGGCTGGGCGCAGTGGCTCACGCCTGTAATCCCAGCACTTTCGGAGGCCGAGGAGGGTGGATCATGAGGTCAGGAGTTCAAGGCCAGCATGAACAACAGGGTGAAATCCTGTCTCTACTAAAAATACAAAAATTAGCCGGGCATGGTGCTGTGTGCCTGTAATCCCAACTACTCAGGAGGCTGAGGCAGAAGAATCACTTGAACCCGGGAGGCGGAGGTTGCAGTGAGCCGAGATGGCGCCACTGCACTCCAGCCTGGGTGACAGAGCAAGACTCAGTCTCAAATAATAATAATAATAATAATACCAATTCTACACAAACTTTTTCAGAAAACAAAGTATACTAAAAGAAGTACATTTAATTATATGTAAATTTCCTGGTGGAATAATGGAAATGAAACTTACTAAACCAAGGTCAGCAAACCTGGCCTTTAGTCCCTGCTTCCTTATTCAGTAGCCAATTGTTTGACTTGAGCAAGTCATTTAAACTCAAATTTTACTTCATCTATGAAATGAGGACTAATTTTACCTGTTCTACTGATATCACAAGATTTTATATATCAAACTAGATAATATGGAACAATTTGAACATCCATATGCAATGGATCTTTTCCAGCTATGATAATAAGCATTTATTTTAATACCTATTCATAATTTGTTACAAAAACAAGCTTCAAGCATGACTGTTCTCTCATCTTATGTAGAAATTCATTGAAAATAATGTAAGATTGCTTGTGGTTTTATTCACATCATCTCAAGTTTGATCTTGTACAAGACACTGCTGATGTCATTGATAGTCATAACATTTATTATGTCCTGAATTTAAAAAGCAATCACAATATTTTACAAAAATAACTACTTTATTATAATACATTTATAATAATCATTTATGTATAATTTGGGGACTTTTATAATTACTTAACATTATGACAATAATATCATAGAAATTTTATTACCTATTTGAAATTTGGGGATTTTTTTGGGTGTTTTTGTTTTGTTTTTGAGACGGAGTCTCACTCTGTCACCCAGGCTGGAGTGCAGTGATGCAGTCTCAGCCCACTGCAACCTCTGCCTCCCAAATTCAAGCAATTCTTGTGCCTCAGCCTCCTGAGTAGCTGGGATTACAGGCACCCACCACAATGCCCGGCTATTTTTTTTTTACATTTTTAGTAGAGATGGGGTTTTGCCATGTTGACCAGGCTAGTCTTGAACTCCTGACCTCAGGTGATCTGCCCACCTTGGCCTCCCAAAGTGCTGGGATTACAGGCATGAGCCATCATGCCCGGCCTACCTGTTTGAAATTTGGAAACAGGATAAAGATTATGGCTGAATTATATACTTAAACTTTATTAATAATAGTTTCTCTTTAATTTTTAATTAGAATTTTTATATTATTGAATTTGAACATTTTTTTTATACCTAGTTGCATGATTTCTGCTGAGTTGTTAATTTTGAAGTGCTTAACAATGCTTAATTCTCATTCTGTAGGAAATTCCAACCTTGTTTAGAAATATAGTAATTTCTCAGGAGCATCTGTCCCCATGTGATTTCCACAGATTATTGTATTCGAATTGAAAAAATAATTTAAACGCACCTCTCCGCATTCATTGCATTGTTGGTGTCAAATAATCACACGGAAGTATTTCTTCTTCTCCAAAATGGCCTATCTCACTTTTAAAAAGTTATTAGAACTGGTGTAAGGAAAAAGAGAAAAAAGAAAACTTGCTTTTAAAAAGTGAAAAATTAAAGTGAAACTTTAAAATAATAAATAAAGCATATGAGGTAATTTTATCCTCAATTTTTGTGTTAATTTTCATACATAAAATCACTTGATTACAAAACTAAGACAAAAATAAATGAAATGAATAGGAAAATAAAATAAAAATTTTTAAGTTTTTCATATAATAATCAGGTTTTTTTAAAGGCTAATCTATTACAACATTAAATAAAACCCTTAAGAAAATAATATTCAAAATTGCACTATCATGTTTATGTTTCTTGTTTTCATGACGTTATCCAGACATAGACATGAAAACATACAAGCAAGATAGCTATTTGTATAAACATTGTCGAAACTTTACTTGCAACTGATTTTCCTTTGGTTCTAAATTGCAATCACTCTGAAAACTTCCTTTTGAGAAATTCCTTTAAGCCATTTAATTTTCTAATAATCGCGACCAACTGGGATTAAGAAAATTAATCATTTCTTTTATTCTTCATAATATGCTCTAAATAGCTTATTAATTGGCTATATTTTTTAGATTTTTTCAAGTAAACAGCTGCTACAATGAACAGAAAGCTGTTTATTTTTTTAAACATCAGATCATGTACCTTAGAATCAAAGAGATAAAATCAGTACCAATTCAAATTATAGTCACTTCTTATCTACTAACCTTATGTTAGTCCTAAATTTCTCCAATTTTCTTATTTTTTATAAAGAAATTGAGTTTTTATTCTTTTTTTTGCTTCTTATAATTTATTTCTAAACACACATGTAATATATGAACATGTTGATTAGAAACGTTTTTAAAAATCCAAACTACACACGAATAAGTAGAACAAAGGTTTGAAGTACCTCTTCCTGCTCCCATCCTCTTGCTGGAAGTTACTTATCCTGCCATTATATTCCAGACTTTTTTCTTTCCATGTACATATGTAGGAACCTAAATAATATTTGTTCCTCAGAGCACCCCTCTCTGGAAAGGAAGACGATAAAATAAAATTAATTAACATTAATTGAACATTTACTCTGTGCTGCTTTCACCTACTACCAGCAAATTTCATTATTATAAAATGTCATTTTTACTTGAAATTTTTGGAGAAACTGTATATTAAAACAAAAATTATGTATTATGGAACAGAATACAAAATGTGCGTTTTTTAACTTACTATTTTTTAAAGACTTTATTTTTTAGAGTGGTTTTAGACTCACAGCAAAATTAAGATGACCGTACAAAGATATCCCATATATTCCCTCCCCTCACGCATGCATAGCCTCCCCCATCATCGATATCTCCCACCAGAATGGTACACACTTGTTACAATTGATGAACCTACATTGGCATGTCATTTTTACCCAAATCCATAGGTTATATTAGGGATCCCTTTTGTTGTTGTACATTTTATGGGTTTGGACAAGAGTATAATAACATGTAGCCATCATTAATGGTATCGTACAGACTATTTTCACTGCCATTAACATCCTATGTGCTCTGCCTGTTTATCCTTTCCTCACCCCTTACCCCTGGCAAAGGTAATGGTGCCTTACTGGGTACCTACTGAACTAGGGTACCCAGAACAGGGTCCTGGGATTCTCAACCTCCAGTTCCCGGCCAATCACAGGAGAAAAACAAAGATCCAAAAAGGGGATCTGGGGACAGGGGGAGAAAAATAGGAGAGACTGGAAGTCAAGATGTGATTATTACTGTCACTACTGTTATTAATTGGAAGAATTCATTGAACAGAGCCAGGAGTTGTTCTGAGTATTATTTCATAGGTTCCTCATACCAACCCTATCGGGTAGATACTGTTATTACCCCACTATAAAGTTCATTATACTAAGTGACAGTGTGGTTAAGTAAATTACACAACATCCCACTGATAGTACAGCACAAAAACAGTTCAAATTTCAGCAGTCTGCCACCAGACCCACATTCTAAAACTCTCCCTGCACCATGTCCAAATGGTAATAGAGGTGGGTCACAGGACAGATGTGGGGAGGGCTTCCTTTGCCCTCCAGCAGATATCCTAAGATTAGAAGAGGGTGTTCCTGGACATGGGGTGTATCAGAGCACACATGTCCGGCAAACGTAAGAGATGAGGGTTATGCATACATGTAAAGAGATTGCTTTGACTAAAGAACACACACTGTGGTGGAAAATGAATCTATAAGAACTGAGAGACCCTGAGGAAGGGAGACGTCTTGTTCCGTCCTTGGACCCAAGCAAATCTTGCTAGGCAGCATCTGTGAGGGCCTCATGTCAAGCGAATACTTTTCTTAATACCGGGTCACCCATCTCAAATGCGGCTATGTGCCCTGGCCACCACAATCAGCGGACAGCAGACCAGGAAAAAAGGACTGAGGTGGCCAGGTTCCTGCTTTTTAACAGTGAAACATAGAAACTTTATGGTTGAAGCCACAGAGAAATGACTCGTTGGCATGAGAAGATTCTTTAGTTTTCCTCTGCTTGGAGGTAATAGCCAGAGCTTAACACAGTCACTCAGCTGGGAAGTTGAAGCCCCAGCTCTTGGCCAACCTAGTCTAACCTCTTTCCCTAGCACAGCTTCAAACAATGCACATGTGCCACAATTTGAAGATGTTCAAATAATTCTCTCTCTCTTTCCCTTCTTTCTTTTTTTGTTTGTTGTTGTTGTTGTTGTTTGTTTGTTTTTGTTTTTAGATACAGGGTCTCACAATTTTGCCCAGGCTGGTCTCAAACCCTTGGCCTCAACAAATCCTCCTACCACTTCAGCCTCCTAAGTAGCAGCAATAACAGGCACAAGCCACCAAGCCCACTCTCACCATTTCTCTTAAGTCATTTTACAAAGAGAAATTCCCAAAAATATTGAGCAAAGGAAGCATTAATAGAACAAGAATTTGGTTTCCTGTATAGCTACTTCAATGAGAATAACAATAATATCAATTTACAATTGTTAGCATTTGTCTTAATATCTGGCACTTTCTTTTGATCATACCACATGAACCTAAGTCCAAAAAGACCATCAGAAACTAATAACAATGGAGGTGTCCTTTTGTGATAGCAATAGATTGTGTTGTAAGCTGATTTGTATGCCCCGAAAAGATACACTGAAGTCCTAACCACTGTTATCTATGAATGTGACCTTATTTGGAAATGGGGTTTTTACAGATATAATTAAGATATATATTAAGATTCGGTCACGCCGAAGCAGGGTGGGCCCTTAACCCAATATAACTGGTTGCCTTATAAGAAGAGAAGAGATACAGAGACAGACACACAGAAGAGAACCTGATGTGAAGACAAACACACACACGGAGAAAGGCACATGACTACGGAGGCAGGGACTGAAGTTATGCAGCTGCAAACAAAGGAATGCCAAAGATTACCAGCAACCACCAAAAGCTACCAGGAAGAGCAGGTTCCTGCTAACAGCCTGATTTCAGACTTTTGGCCTTCTGTGAAAGAATATATTTCTGTTGTTTTAAGCCACCCAAGTTTGTTGTAATTTTTATGGCAGTCTTAGGAAACTCATACACACTGCTAAAGAAATCATGAGAGACTTCATAATACTCTATTTTTTCACTCTATATCTTTTATTTTTGTTTTGCATTTACAATCATGTACATGTAATTTTTTTAATGAAAATTTTGTTTTTATTTTAAAAAATCCCTAGACCCCTCTTAAACAGTCCCCAGCCTCACCCCACACACCCCTAAGCCCGTTTCCTGGGATAAGTTCACCAGCTAGTTCTTCTCCAGTAAGAAGCTGAGGGCCCTCTGCTCTAAGGGAGGGGGCTCAGGGATAAGAAACTCCCTTAGAAGAAAGGTATTTTAATATTATAAACTTTATTATGACCCATGTCAGTATGGAAATCACCATTACTTCCATTTTTAGTGCTGTTTCTACCCATATGAACTCCTAATAAAGATTACTTAATTGATAATGCAATAAGTTTAATATCATGTACTCTGCTCATGCTGGTTTGGGAGCATGGCTCCCTGGATCTAAGAAGTCACCCTTAATGTTGTCAAGAAATAAAGTATCTTCTGGGTCTTACAGAGTGTTCAAATCAAACAAAATCAACAGGGAAAAATAAAGCAAAAAAATCAACAGGGAACAGTAAAAGCAATTTGGGAATCTCACTTCTCCATGCCCACACTTCTTGCCAGTCCTCCTGCCTTGAACACTGTGGTAAGCCAGTGGTACTCTATCACCCAGAGTTCTGTTTATGAAATAGTAATGGTGTTTAAAGAATTAACAGTCAAGACACCTTCAAAAGTGTGTATGAAAAAAAAGAGGAGGGGTTTTTTTCCCTAGAGAGGTGGAGGGGTGTTTCAGAAACCTCAGCATTTAGAAAGGCTCTGAGGAATACTCATGAAGGTAGACCTTGCATAGAAGAAAAAGTATTGAAAATTCAGGATGCCTACAAAAAAAGTCAATCTGTTACAATCAATGGCAGAGACCCTTGGGCAACTTCCTGTTTTGCAACCAATCCAGGTTCTTTGAAGCATGTCCATGTAGAGGAAGTAATTAAGGATTAAGGAGAGAGGTTTTGTGTGGGGACCACTCTACTTTTGCATGGCTCAAGCACACAGCCCTCAAAGGAAATCTAATCAGGGTGAGCTGGGTCAGAGTCTGACTTCATGGAATTGGCAATGAATATTAGTCTCACAGCTGCTGCACTGACTTCTGGCAAGGGTTTCCCCAAACCAGACATAAACCTAGTCAAACAGGAAAATGTCAGAAGGAGAATTCACAGGAGGTTCCTCTTTCTTATGTGCCTGTGAAGGTATTTTTACACGATCTTCAATGTACTACCCAATAATGTGAACTGTGTGACACACTTTGTAGGTGGCATTGCTCACTATTTTTTTCTACCACAAGGCGTATTCATGAGTACCACATTTTCATGGTAATAATTTTCTATTGAATAGCCATTATTCCATCCTTTTCTTTCTCACTTAAGAAAGTATAACCAAAGGCGAGAATGGGAGCATAACATTATCACAAATCCACTCTGACTTAGAAATAATTATCATAAAAACTTTAGGGCTTTAATTATTACTTGGTACAAATGTCTCACGAGATCCCTCACCACTAGCTTTGACACAGTCTGCTATGATGCTAAGCAGTTATCATCTAGTCTGAGGGTGCTGCTTAACTAGCTAACCAAACTCTTTGTTAAAATCCTTAAATATACAAGAAACTATTTTTTTAACCTGTAAAGGTAAATGGGAACACTCATTCATAATGAAAATAGAAAAAGATTCCTTCATAATGACCAAAACCACAATATGAAGTAAATTATTTATGGTCAAATTAAGTGTTTAATGTGAGCATAGGTATATTCAATAATTTATAAATAATTCCTAGAAGATACAAAATGTAAAGCAAGTATTAGAAGATAAGCAGCTGTTCAATAAGTGGACAAAGAAAGGAGGACATTACTAATGAATGTATTAGTATGCACAAAAACTCGGCTTAATTTACGGTACTACATAATTCCAAATGGAGAAGTAGAAAGATATTCAAGAATTCTATGCTAAGGTATAATTTTGTAATTTTATTCTGTAGAAAATTGATGAGGAGAATGGGGCGTGGGGAAGGTTAGAGGCATGAACACCAGTTAGAAAGCCATTGAAGTGGCTTAGGTGAAAGATGTTCTGACAAAGACTGCAACACTGGAGATGAGGAGACAAATTATAAAAATGTTAAAGAGTTAAGATGGACAGGAAGAGGTCACCAATTAAAAGTAGAGGAAATAGGCAAGGCAGGAAATTGAAGATGACTCCAGGTTACTGGATTGGACAACTGGAAAGATGGTGGTGTTATTCAAAAAGAACCATCTATTTAATCTATAAATATTTGTTGATAAGTTACCATTTCTTTAAGCCCATGTACTTAAGGAAATAGAGGTAATATAGCACAACAACTCAGAATATAGGCTCTAGACTCAGAACTGGATTCAAATCTAAGATTTATGCATGACTTGCCTAGCATTTTACTTTTCTAAATCTCATTTTGCTTACCTGTAAAACAGAGTGTGACGGTCATGGAGTGACTGCTACAGGAGTGCAACTTATTAACAGCCCCAGATGTGAGTAGGGACGTTCAGAATCTTCTTCAGCTTCCAAGCTAAGACCATGTGCGCCCTGTGCAGCTCCCCACAAGACTGTGTGGTACAGCCATGAGGAGAGACAGATAGACCAGTGGAATGGAATTGAGAATCCATAAATAATCCCTCACATTTATTGTCAGTTGATATTTGACGAGGGTGTCAGAACACTTCTATAGGGGGAAGGATAGTCTCTTTCAAATGGTGCAGAGACAACTGAATATCCACATGCAAAGAATGAAACTGGACCACCTCCTTCAATTGTATATAAAAATAAACTCAAAATGGATCATAGAGCTAAATGTAATAACTAAAACTATACAACTCCTAGAAGAAAACAGGCATGTGGACTGTAACCTTGGATTAGGGAATAGTTTCTTAGACACAACACCAAAAGCATGAGTAATAAAAGAAAAAAATATATAAATTGGACCCCATCAAATTTAAAAACTTTGTGTCAAAGAATATCATAGGAAAAGTAAAAAAGATATCCTACAGAATGAGAGAAAATACAATATGTTCAAATTATATGTCTGACATTGGACTCCTATCCAGAATGTATAAAAAGTCTTGGCCAGGTGTGGTGGCTCACATCTGTAATCCCAGCACTTTGGGCAGCTGAGGCAAGAGGATTACTTGAACCTAAGAATTCGAGACCAGCCTGGGCAACATAGCAAGACCTGGTCTCTAGAAAAAAGAAATAAACAAAAACTCTTACAACTCAACAGTAAAAAGACAAACTAATTTCAATATTGGCAGAAGACTTGAACAGACATTTCTCAAACAACGACATACAAATGGCCACAATGTTAGTCATCAGAGAAATGTAAATTTTAAAAAACCCACTAAAATAATTATAATTTAAAAACAAATAGTAAAAAATATTAGTGAAGCTGTGGAGACATTGGAACCCTCATACTTTGCGGGTGAGGATGTAAAATGATGTGGCCACTTTGGAAAAGAGTTTGACGCTTCCTCAAAATGTTAAACAGAGTTACCATACAACACAACAGTTCCACTCTTGGGTTATAACAGGAAAAATGAATGGGTTTACCAGAAAAAATGAAAACATATGTCCATACGAAAACTTGTGCAAATGTTCAGAACAGCGTTATTCACAATAACCATAAAGTAGAAACAACCTAAATGTCCATTAATTGATTAGTGAATCAATGAAATATGGTATATCCATACAATGGTATATTATTTGGTAATAAAATATGAAGTACTAATACAGGCTACCACATAGATAAGCCTTGAAAACATTATGCTCATTGATAGGAGTCAGTTAGAAAAGACCACACATTATTAATATATGATTTCCTTTATATGAAGTTTTCAGAATTGGTAAATCCAGAGACAGAGAGTAGATAAATGGTTGCCAGGGGCTGGAGGAGAGGGAAATGAAGAATAACTGGGGTGTTGAAAATGTTCCAAAATTAGATTGTAGTGATAGTTGTGTAATTCTGTGAATATTCTAAAATTTACTGACATATACACATTCCATAGATAGATTTAATTGTACGGCATGTGAATTATACCTCAATAAAGTTTTTTTAAAGAAATTAGTTTTTAAAAAGCATTCATTACTTATAAAAGATGATACTGTATTTTAATGTAGAAAAATAATTTTTAGACTGTGTATTAGTTTCCTAGGGTTGCTGTAACAGTATTACAAACTGGGTGGCTTAAAACAGAAATGTATTGCCTCATAGTTCTGGAGGCTAGAAGTTCTAAGTCAGGTGTCAGCAGGGATGGTTCCTTCTGGAAGTTCTGAAGGAGAATCTGTTCCACGCCTCTCTCTTAGCTTCCAGTAGTTGCTGGCAATCCTTAATGTTCTGTGGCTTGTAGATGCATCACTCCAAAAATCTCTATCTACAACATCACATGGCATTCTCCCTCTCTGACTGCACGTGGACATCTTCTCTGTCCCTCTCTCTCTCTTTCTCTTGCTGTCTCTTTTTTATAAGAACCCAGTCATATCAGCTTAGGGCCTATCTTAATGACCTCATCTTAACCTTATTAAATTTGTGAAGACTATTTCTAAATAAGGTCACATTCAAAGATACTATGGATTAGGATTTCAATATATCTTTTGGTAGGGGGATATAATTCAGTCCATAACAGGCTATAAATTATTTCAGTTGATTCTCTTATACAGTCCCTTGTTTTGAATAGGAGGGATTGTATAAGATGTTCAATGTTAGGAGCAAAGTGGGTGCTAAATAAATATCCATTGACAGATTAAACTATTCAATCTCTAGCTATCTACTCAAATTGGAAAGACCTTTAGGGTTAGAGACTATAATCTTATTTGAACTCCTGCCCTAATGTTTAATTAAACGAGTGCTTCCTCCTAATTAAAGGCTTTGCATTCACGTTCTTTGCCAAAATAACTGGTTAGTAGATTATTTGTTGAATCGATCTAATCCATCACTTAATTGAAACCCTGTTAACTGGTCAAATCAGTCAAAATATTCTTGAAGTTTGGCAGTGTTGACTCAGCCTCTTTTAAAACAATTTAAGCTCATTTCCTCTCGCTTTGCCCTCTGTGGAGATGGAGAATATTCTTCTCATAATAACCCTTCATCTTTCTAATATGCAAGCCAAACAAACCTAAATTCTGTAACCTTCCACAAAAGTCCACATGTATATGCTTAAGGCATTCCAAAAACATAGAAAATGTTTATTTGTCAATTTTTATTTTAAGGCAATTAAAATTTTTATTTTTATACTGTCCTATGTACCTGTGTCACTCTATCTTAAAAAGAAAAATACACAAGAATTTCATCTAGGCTTCTTCAAATATCTGATGCTTATTTAAAGGAGAAACTGTGGATCACTAGCTTTTGCTATTATACATTACACACACACATACACAATTTTTAATATACATTACACACACATACACAATTTTTCTAAAATGTCTTCTATGGTTAAAAAACATAGAAATATCTGCTCTGGTGAAAAGGCATATCTTAGGACTACTAAAAATAACAGATATTTGGCTTCAGATTTTTTCTACATACACCTATTTTGAAAACTCCAGAGGTGATGGAATAAAACATACTTTTTAATTCACTTTAATTCTTAGTTATCTTGCAAAAGAAAATCATATCTAATTTTTTGTTCATATATGTTAAATTATGAAGCAACACAAGAAAATTGTTCTGAAATCTACCATAAATGGTTGTTCTACTCTCCGTGTATTTACACTATTTCCTGGGTTTTCCCTGCACCGTTGTATTTCATTTCGAGTAGTTTGGACATAAGATAAATTTCAGTGTTTGGCATAGGTATATGTTGTTTGAGAGGACCAATTTTACTAAATATATTCAGAGCTATGAAATATTTTGTTGACTCTGTTTCATTTACAAAACCTGAAGTGTAAATGGAGCACATCATTTTAAGGGCTGTAAATGGCTTTTAGTAGTATTTCAATAATATAGAAAAATTTCTAAATGTATTTCATGATATTTCTGAGAAACGTTTTATTTAATTTGGGGCAATTAACCATGAGAAAGAATAAATGCTTCACTAAATAAAGAGAAAAATTTTGTTACAAGTGACATAAAGAAAAGATTTGTAACATACATATTTATGTATTTTATATATAAATATTCTTTTAAAAGAAATATATATATATATATATATATTCTTTTTTTCTTACTTCCAGTTTTGTGAAATGGGGGTCTTTCCCAGGGCCAGATGGCCTTTGACACTGTCTCAGTCTGTTTCCTGGATTCTGTTCCTAGCACTTGTCTATCTTCCTTCTACTGTGTTTCTCAATTTAATTATCTCTCACAGTAACAGGCCAATTATAGGCTGATTTCACTATTACATCTTATTGTACTGAATACTAGGGCCATTTACCTAGATTAAAAGCTGGAGAGGAGGTGGACTATTATAGTCTGTTATATAGGAATTGATGGTCTCATAAAGTACAATGTACAAAATATTATCTTTTACTAGAAAGTAGACTTAAGATTTACATTTTTTCTCCTAATACAAGCAGTAAGTTGAAGCTGCATGTGCAATTATTAGTAATAATGTCCATGTAAGTTACTTAGTTCTCTTAATAGTAATAACAACTAACACTTAATGGTGCATTTAGTAGAAGTGCTATTGTAACAATTCAGGTGAAAATTAATAAGGGCCTTATATTGTCTATATTGGATATAATTGCATCCCATACCCTAAAATGAGAATATTCTGAAGGCAGAAATCAAGACCCACTCATCTCAATATCCTCAATGTCTCAAAAATGTCTTCCAAAAAGTAGAAATTCAATTAAATATTTCTTAATGTTGCTATTGCTTTATATTTTAATTAGGTATATTAGAGATAGAGCTGAAACCCTTTGCAAACTCACCCCTCCCCAGAAGTAATCACTATTTAGTTTCTTTCCTCCCTGTGGATATTTTTCTACACATTTTTCGATGCAATAGATTAAATATCAATAAACAGGATGATATCCTGCTTAGTAAGTTCTTTATATAAATGGTATCATTTTTCAACATTACATTTCAAAAATATATCCATAGTGGAATGCATTTAGCATTTAATTGATTGATTTTAACTGCTACAAGCAGCATTATACAACTATCTCAAAATGTTAAATTTTGTCAACTTATGTATGCTTATGTATCCATTGATATAATTTTATGGCTTCTCCTTTAAACTATCAGTATGATGTGTTGTGTTATTATATTTTTTCTGATGATGAATTCCAGGGATGTCATAAGTTTATTTTGTCTAATATTAATATTGCTAAAATAATTTAATTTGGATTATTATTTTTAAGTATAAACAATCTTTTAAAAGTTTCTATTTTTTGTTCAACTCTTCTATTTGTTCTAAGTAACACATTTTTGATCCAGTTTGATTCTAGAAGCATTTTAATAGGAAAGTTAATGTGTTTACTCTTACTGTTATTGATATATGTGGCTATATCTACATTTTCTGTTTTTCACTTTCCAGTCACCATTTTGTGTTTACTTCTTTTTCGTTACTTTCTTCTATCTCTGGATTAATACTGTTTTCTAATGCTGTCTTATTTTCTATACTGATTTGGAAGCATTAATTTCTCTTAGTCACTTTTTTGTAGTTAGATATAGAAATTTAAAGTTTTCTTAGATAAGAAGACAAGCCACAAATTGGGAGAAAATATTTGCAAAAGACATTTCCAATAAAGAATTTGTATCCAAACTGTACAAGAACTTTCAAAGCCTAGCAATAAGAAAACAAACACTCCAATTTTAAAGATGGGTAAAATATCTGAACAGATATTTCATCAAAGAAGATATATGGGTGGTAAATAAATATATGAAAATATGCCCAGAACCATATGTCATTAGGAAATTGCAAATTTAAACAACACTGCACGCCTATAAGAATGGCTAAAATTCAAAGAACTGACAATACCAAATGCTGACAAGAATGTGGAGCCAAAGGAACTCTCATTTATTGCTGGTGAAAATGCAAAATGGCACAGCCACTTTGGAAGATAGTTTCTACCAAAGCTAAATATAGCTAAACCTTGCAATATAGCAGTTGTACTAGCAAATAATTATCCAATTGAATTAAAAACATGTCTATACAGAAACATGTACATGATTATTTACATCAGCTTTATTCATAATCACTAAAAACTGGGATTTTTCCAGATGTTCTTCAATAGGTGAATGGATAAACAAACTGATACATCCTTACCATGGAATATTTTTCCGTGACAAAAATAAATAAGCTGTCAAGACATGAAAAGACATGGGTGAACCTTAAATGTATATTGATATGTAAATGAAACCTGTCCAAAAAAGCTACATACCATATGATTCCAGCTATATGAAATTTTGAAACAAACAAAACTATAGACATAGTAAGAAGATCACTTGTTGCCAAGGATTCTAGCTTGTCTAAAAATCACTAGTTGCCAAGGATTCTAGGAGAATCCTTGAATCCTAGGCAATCAGTGGGCTTCTCCTAAGGGAGAAGTGGATGAATATCTGGAGCACAGATTTTTAGGGTGGTGAAACTTTTCTGTATGAAACTGCTGCAATGGTGGATACATGTCATTATGCATTTTGAATTGTGCAATGCAGTTCAGTGAACCTAGAACTGTGGACCACAAGAATAAAGCTTAATGTAAACCATTGACTATAGTGAATCATCAGTATCAAAATTAGTTTATCTACTGTAATGAGTATACTACTGTAGTGCAAGATGGTTGTTTTTTTGTTTGTTTGTTTGTTTTTGAGACGGAGTCTCGCTCAGTCGCCCAGGTTGGAGTGCAGTGGCGCGATCTCTGCTCACTGCAAGCTCCACCTCCCAGGTTCACTCCATTCTCCTGCCTCAGCCTCCCAAGTAGCTGGGACTACAGGCACCCGCCACCAAGCCCGGCTAATTTTTTGTATTTTTAGTACAGATGGAGTTTCACCGTGTTAGCCAGGATGGTCTCAATCTCCTGAACTTGTGATCTGCCCGCCTCGGCCTCCCAAAGTGCTGGGATTACAGGCGTGAGCCACCGCGCCTGCGCCCGGCTGCAAGATGTTAATAATAAGGAAAACTGTGTGCAGGGAGGGCGTAGGTGTATGGAATTGTATGTACTATCTGCTCAATTCTGTCAATCTAAAGCTGTACTAGAAAGCAAAATCCATTAATTCTTTGTAAAGCTGTCTTAGGCCACCTACATATATGTGATCTCTTTTTGACAAATGTGTCAAGTTGATTCAATAGAGAGATATTGTTTTCTTTTTTTTTTTTTTTTTTTTTAGACAGAGTTTCGCTCTTGTTGCCCAGGCTGGAGTGCAATGGTGCGATCTCGGCTCACTACAACCTCAGCCTCCCGGGTTCAAGTGATTCTCCTGCTTCAGCCTCCGGAGTAGCTAGGATTACAGGTGCCTGCCACCAGGCCCAGCTAATTTTTTGTATTTTTAGTAGAGACACGGTTTCACCATGTTGGTCAGGCTGGTCTCGAACTCCTGACCACAGGTGATCCACCTGTGTCAGCCTCCCAAAGTGCTGGGATTACAGGCTTAAGCCACCATGCCCCACCAATAGAGAGATTGTTTTCAACAAATGATGTTAGAACATCTATATGCAGAGATAAATAAATAAATAAATAAATAAAGCCCCACCTTCCCTAGAACCATATAAAATATTTAACTTGAAAAAGATCTCAGACCTAAATGTATAACCTGAAAATTATGAAACTTCTAGACAAAAACATGGAAGAAAAATCTTAAATATTGTGCCCCTGGGCTAGTTTGTGGTGGCTAACACTTGCAATCCCAACACACTGGGAGGCCAAGGCAGGAGGATCACTTGAGTCCAGGAGTTTAAGAGCAGCCTGGAGAACATAGGGAGACTCTGTCTGTACAAAATTTTTAAAAATTAGCCAGTTGTAGTGGTTCATGCCTGCAGTATCAGCTACACAGGAGACTGGGGTGGGAGGATCAATTGCTTGAGTCTGGGAGGCCGAGGCTGCAATGAGCCATGACCATGCACCACTGCACTCCAGCCTGGGTGACAAAGAGAGACCCTATCTCAAAAAAACAAAATGTTACCTTAGTTTAGGTAATAATTACTTACTTTTATAAAGTGCTTTTATAAAAGAAAAACTGATAAATTGCACTTTATCAAAATTTAAAACTTCTGGTCTTCAAAACACAGTGTTAAGAAAATGAAAAGATAAACCACAAACTGGGATAAAATGCTTGAAAAACAGGTATCTGATCAAATACTTGAATCAAGAATATATGAGGAACTCTTATTGTTCAATCAGTAGGCAAAATAATTAAATAATCAAAAGATTTAGACACTTCACCCAAGAAGAGAAGTAGATGGCAAATATGCACAGAAAATGATACTCAACATTACTCTTCATTACTGAAGTACAAAATAAAAACAAAATGAAATACTACTATACATCTAATAGAATGACTAAGGTTTTTTTTAACTGGCAATACCAATTTCCAGCAAGGAAGTGAAGCAACTAGAACATTCATACATTGCTCTTAGGAATGCAACATGATATTTGGAAAATAGTTTGGCAATTTCTTATGAAGTTAAATATTCATCTACCATGCAACCCAGCAATTATACTTGTGGACATCTACCCCAGAGAAATGCAAACCTACATCCACACAAAGACTTCCACATGAGAATTCATAGAAGCTTTATTATTTGTAATAGCCAAAATTATGGGAAATAATCCTGATATATTATAATTCACAATATATATCCATAAAATGGAAAACTATTCAGTAATACTGCTCATGCTCTACCAGGCCAGCAGCTTCTGGGAGATGTGGGGGGAGTCTGATTGGACCCACAGCCATGTGCCACACCCATACTTCCCTTGCTATAAAGTGGATCCATGGACCTGAGGTGATATTTGTCGTACTCTGTGTCACTGAACTAGACAATCTGTACTGGCTAAGGCTCTAGGGGCAAAAAGGGCAAATCCATATACAAAATATATGTCAATTATGACCAAAATGAATTGCTGCCCCCTCCAGGAAAGAAAAGGTCCCATATAGTCAACTTGCCATCAAGTGGCAGATTCGTCTCCTCAAGGGACAGTACTGTTACAGGGGTTCAGCCTTGATCTCTGTTGCTGGTAGGCTGGACATTTGGCAGCAGCAGTGGCTAATCAGTCTTGGTGAATGGGAACCCTTTCTTTACAGCCCGTGTGCAGACTCTGCCCTGGTCACTGTGGCTACTCCATTCACAAGCCCGTTTTTCTGACACTGGGGTAGCCAATGACAACAGCTGGCTGAGTTCAAATGCCTGAGTCAGTCTACTTGACTGTTTTGTGCCTCTCTTCCATCCATTATATGGGTGGTCTCTGTTCCATACAATTGTGATGTAAAGATCTCATACCAGCTTCCATGGATTCATCCACATTCCCCTCTAGACCTCCTCAATCTTCCAATCTTTCTCTCCCTAGGCCCCTACCCAACTCATCAAGTTATTCATCACTATCCATGAGTTCATGTAATTCTTCCTTGTTCTTCTTCACTTTCCACTTAAAGTAGATGACCAGAGGTACCACCCAAATCTCTTCCCATTGAGAAGATTTTTCCTCACAACTTTCTTTCAGGGCCACTTCTGCATAGTCCATTTTCAACCTAAAACCACAGAGTGAGTTAACTCATTCACAAATCATACTAGACATTTTTCTTCCTTCCTGTATGTGGTGGGTAACACGGTGTTCTGAGCCCCCTGCTTTGATACTTTCTTGAAGCTTCCTGTCCCGATCTTGCCTGATCCCACTTCCGTGTTACTAATGGATTGCACTGGGACTTCCCAACTTTATAACATGGTGGTTGTAATAGAATGCAGCTCATGACTCACCTCTGGCCATAGGATTATTTGAGTTCCCATAACCTGGGTCCAGAGGCAGTTTCTATAATGAAGTATAGATGCAGAAAACAGCTTCATTCTCCAATGTGAAATATGCTTCCTCAAGAACTCAAAGAGACCTACTAAGCATTGTGCTTCCTTCTTTCTAATGACAAAAGCCATCCATTTATAGTCTATATGCTTACTTTCCCTAAATCTCCCTCTGCCTAAGATAATATCCTTGCTAATGTGTTGTCTTCCACTGATAACCCATCCCAGGTCACCACTGGTAAACTTTTAATACTTCACTGCTACATCATTTCGGAGGTTATCAGTATTCCATTTACCACCAGTGATGGAGTTCTTAACTACCAGCGGGCTGGTGGGCGGCTCAGCTCTAATGTCCCATTTTAGACATGGATTCCTAGGACCAGTTTCCAATTGTGTTAGGTCAGACTCCCTGGAAACAGACTGTGACACAGAGGTTTACATACTGAGTGGTTCTGGGAAATCCTATAAGGAATAAGGGAAACAGGATTGGACAGAGAGAAAAGTTGAACTGAGAGGCAGTTGCAACAGAGGCCTCAACAGATCTTATGAGACATTATGGAGTTGAGATGATCCTTTACAGTTGCCCAGTTTTGAGGCAAAAATGTCAGGCCTTTATATTCCCACATCAACCAGTTATTGGATGTGGGCTGCCCCATATGCCCTAGGAAGGGAGCATAACCTTAGATGAGGAGAAAATTTACTGATAGGACCTCAGCTTTGAGTCATAAGCATCCAATACTCCTGTCAGGTATGGAAAATTGTCTTAATAGTCCAAAATTATTCAAAGTTCTATTTTTCTCAAATTACAAAGCTTTTAGCCTGCTCTAGCTACCCAATGACCATCGCTATTTTTGTTTGAAACACACACATACATAAAACATTTATTATATGTTACAAGTAGTATATTATTATTCTTTGCTCACTATTGTTTGCACGTGTTCCATCCCTTCCTGTTTAGCAGTTCGTTTAGTGTCTGATTATTGCAGTCCCTCTCAGTCTTTGTATGCTTGATATGTCTTGATTTTAACCTCAGTGTTAAATAATAATCTAATTAGGTATAAAATTCTACCTAATGGCAGTTATTTTCCTTCAGCTGACTGTATTGATGTGTCTCTGACATATTCTGTTTCTGAGAAGAGGTTTGCTCTCAGCCTAACTATTCTTCCTTTGCATTTGGGGCAATGTATTTTTTTTCCTTCTGGAACTGCTGTTAGATGTCTATAGGAGTCTGTCAGTGTATTCTCCAAATACCTTAAACACCCTCTCATATATATTTCATCTCTAACTGTTGCCTTCTGGGTGAATTATTTATTACTTTCTTCCAATTTATTAATTCCTTTTTGCCTACGTCTAATCTAGAGTATATCTCATCTATAAAGTTTTTAATTTCACTGACTATATTATTTATTTCTAGAATTTTAAATTATTTTTTATATCCACATCTCTTTTGTTTCACTTTGTGCTGGGTTTTGTTCAATTATTTGCTCATTATGGAGGTTTTTCCTTCATTCATCTCCCTAAATATCCTAAACATATTTATTTTGAAATATGTATCAGGTTGTTCTATTACATAAATTTTTTTTCTTATTTATAAATTTTTTCTGTTTTTAGTGGACACATAATAATGATACATATTTATGAGGTACATAGTGATATTTTGATATATATGATATGTAGTGATCATATCAGGGTGTATAAAATCACATTTTATACATAAATTAGCATATCCATCATACTACATGAGTTTTTATGGGCCAAATTTATATACAAAGTTTCTGTTTTGTGGACTGCTTTCTCTATATTAGATTTACTTCCCTGATGTATTTGGAAATTATCTCCAGGATTTCTTTCTCTGTTTAGCCCTCCATACCTGATTTTGTAGGGCTTCTACCCTAACCTCTCCCTCATAACGTGAGTTATGTCTTACGTTGAAGATTAAATCTTGCATAACATGGATATCAAGAATTTCACAGACACTGTCACAAAACCATTTTGGGGCTTGGTTCCTATCTGGTCACAAGGCTGTGTGTGCTTCTTTCTGTCTCCCATGCTTTATATATGCCACTTTTTTTTTCGCTCTCTCTTTCAGAAGAGAGGTAGGTCCTGGCTTCAGGTGTGAGCCTGGCTCTGACCTATCACTTCCAAGGGAGCAATTTCTCTCACAAGCCTGAGCTGCTGGGCTCTCTGCCCAGGGATGGGCAGACCTAGTCCCACATCTGCACCTCCACCAACCACCAAACACTTCTATTTTATGTCTTTTCCACAGAGATGTTTGTTTTGTTTTACTTTACTGTTTTAGTACAGCTGTATCTTTTCTAAATTTTTGCTTTAAAAATTTATCTATCGTGTTTGTACGTGTGGAACAGAAGGGTACTTCAAAGTGTGCATTTACAAGGCAATCTCAGATGAAAGTTGATACATGTTTGTTTTCAAATATTTGTTGAGTGAATAAATAAAATGGTCTTTGCATTGTTAAGTGTCCCTCCCAGCATTTGCCTGTGCTGTTCTCTCAACCTAGAATGAATTTTGTCTCTTTTCAATTGTATTCATTATTCAAATATTATCTCCCCTACAAAAATTTACCTAATGACCATATCCCCTTCACAAAATTATTTTCTCTCTATTTCCTCATTTTGCCTATTAAAAACCTTTTTAATTGCATATTTCATATTACATAGCAATTATCTTTATGCTTGTCACTGTAGCTAATTGTGAATCCCCACTTTAACTATAATGGTATAAGGCATTATTCATACCTTGTACCATGAACTGCATTTGTGTATTCTCAAATATTTGTAAAATGAATTGCTATGAACCACAGAGCAGGAGAATACACTATTTTAATCCCTAAACTTATCTACTCTAACATATGCACTACAATGTGAAAATATTTTACATTAATCAAGGCAGTGGTAGACCCATTTTATGAGTTACACCAATATTATGGGAAAAGTTTGTGATTTAAATTCTACAATGACAGATATAACCTTTAAATATAATAGAAGTGGGTTGTTGTAGTCATATTGTTATAAATATGTGCTTGGTTTTCTTTGAATTATATGAATTTAAACAAATACCGTTTCTAAAAAGGTGATGTCTTATTTTAACCTATTACCTTAAATTCCCTTTCTAGGGTAAAGACCAACTAGGGAGGAAGTTAAAGAAAGGAAGGCAAAAATAGTAAGTACAAACTTGAAGCTTGAAAATTCAAATCTATTCTATTAAGGAATATAGTTAGGTGTACACAATTTTGGATAAGCATTTTGCTCTGATACATGTTTAAGTTTTATAAAATGAAAAAAAAAAATTCTTGTACAAGCTTAGCAACGTTGTCCTAGACTCCTGATGTAGAACTAAGTCATAAATATCTTTTTATCTCTAATTCCTGGCAAGGCAACAGGTACAATGTAAGCTTTAATGAATATTATTGAACCAAAATGCAAAAATGTTCCCTGCCTGTTATGAATGAGTTGTCTTGCTGTTATCTACACACTATTTATAGAGCAATATAATAACAATCACTATTAACACAGATCTTACTATGTTAACTACTAAAATGCAGTATCATGCTTAATGTTCTAAACAATTAAGAAAGGTATTTAATAATAAAAATATTAAATAATCACATTTTATACATAAAAAAACTTTCAGTTCAGGGAAGTTAAATAACTTACCTGAAGTTACCTAGTAAGTCGCAGCATTACTAAGATCTGAACCTGGGTGGGTCTGACTTCTAACCCTTTGTCCTTCCTCTCCACAATCTCTGTGCCATGTATGACTTCCTAACTTTTTTTTTTTTTTTTTTTTTTTGAGACAGAGTCTCCCTCTGTCACCCAGGCTAGAGTGCAGTGGCACAATCTCGGCTCACTGCAAGCTCCACCTCCTGGGTTCATGCCATTCTCCTGCCTCAGCCTCCCAAGTAGCTGGGACTACAGGCGCCCACCATCATGCCTGGCTAATTTCATGAATTTTTAGTAGAGACAGGGTTTCACCATGTTAGCCAGGATGGTCTCGATTTCCTGACCTCATGATCTGCCCTCATCGGCCTCCCAAAGTGCTGGGATTACAGGCGTGAGCCACCGTGCCCGGCCTGGCTTCCTAACTTTTTGTCCATTGGCCTATCTTTCCCTTACTTCTTCTCAGTAACATCTTTGTGACATTCTAGATCAACTACCCAGGTATAAAATTTAACTCTAACTATGGGGAGAAGAAAGGGGAGAGAAGACAAAAAGGCTCACCAATTTAGAAGATTGAAAGTTCTGATCTGTTTTTTGTGTACATATGAATGATCATTTAAAGTTTTCATCTAAGTAGGAGCAGACAGATACTACCATATGTATTTCCAGGAGATAAACATAGTGCCCTGAACAGAAAATGTGAAGAAGAAGAGATGTAAATGAGATGTAGAATCTGCACCGGAAATGGCTCCACACTCTTGCAGCTGCAAGAGTCTTGTCCATAGAGAGGTTTTTTAGAGACACAAGTCGTTTGGGGTGAAAACACCAAATCATTCATCTAAGACAGAATGAGAGACAGAGAGAGAAAAAGAGAGAGAGCTTGCTCAATGTTAGCAGAGAACAGCAAATAAGCCCGAATAGATCCTCACCAGGAATTATAACAATAAGGTGTGTCATATGGTAAGCAGAATAAACTTCTCTATATTATTCCACTAAGGACATAAGAGGATTAGGTCTTTACTAGTTAACTTGTTATCTCAGTTATGGACTCTCCAATTGAGGGATTTTAATTTTTACAAATAAAAGGATGGTTTCACACAATGGTCCACCAGAGTGAGAAAGGAGGCCACACTTTTACACAGCCCAGTTTATCATGCTACCATGGAATTCTGCAAAAGCCTCATTCTCCTGTGAAAGGTTAGTCCTTATTCCAATAAGCTCTAGACTGTCTGAGCAGTGAACATTTTAAATCAGCATAATTATATTTCACATGGCAATAAACACTTTCAGTTTAAGTGCGCATAATTTGTCTCTTTGTCTGACTGTCTTTGTTGCATTAGTTTTTCACCATGGTGAGCATAAAATAACAGGATTTGTGATGATTCCCCAGAGATTACTCTTTTTTCCTCTGTCTTTCAAAAATGTTCAAGATGCTTTGTTTATTTTTTTAAGAGAAAGAAAAAGAAAGTTGGATTTCAGAGAAAAATCTCATCTCAGGTTTTTGGTTTCTAAAAAAAAACGTAGGCAGGTTTTGAATGTTAAAAGTTGTTCTTACTGCAGGAAACCAGGTTTCCCAGCTTGATCTGCATATCTTCTCTTTCTCTGTTCTATGGCCAGGCCTGAAGTTGGTCTCACCCAAGGTTGGTTGTCTGGCTTTGATTGGTATTCAAGTGGAGTGGTGAGTGTGTAAGGCTCTAATCCCTGCAACACATGGTAATTTTTTCATTCTCTCTCAGCCTCCACCTGTTCCATGGTCCAGTGGAGGACTGCAAATCCTATCAAGGGAGGGCAGCCCAACTAAGCCTGCCTCCCTGGCTTGAGTCCATCACATGTGCACTCGGGCTGCAGAGCACCCAGCCAGCTGCAGCCCAAGGATCATGTTATCAGATGACGGATGGCTTCATATCAGGTGTTTAAACTGATGAGCTGCCCCATCTGGGAAATGATTCGGGAAGTCTGTCCTCGCTTGATGAATGGGGAAAGTGACAATGCCAATCAGAGTGACCCTTGCAGCCTCCCTGCTGCTGCCCCAACAGCCACTGTCTCGTCTCTCCCACTGGTTTACTTTTTCAATTCTATTGTCACTCAGCTGAGGTTAGATCTACTGTCACTAAATTATCATTAAATTATATCATTAATCTAAATATTTTCCTTGCAAAAACCTTCATAAAATAGATGCCAGGCCTCCAACAGACTCATGATCAGAATTAGAGGGCAAAGAGGATTCAGTAAAATAATGTTAGAGGTTGTTTCACATGGCTTTTCACAGCCTGTTTTGAAGTAACTGCGGTTATTTTGGAGAGAACTGCATATTTTACCTGGAAATCGAACCAGGATCCTCTGTAACAAGAAATGCGTGAGGGTTCAATGTGTTGTGCATGGATCTGAAGACTATAAATTCCTCTATAAATAATATTAACTGTCAAGTACCAATTGGTATCCCTTTGTGAACATTCGAAGGACATTCTCAAAATGGCTTTGCCAAATTACCTCTAGGAGGTGGTTTGTGATTTAATAATCTGATTTTAAAGAATTAAAGTTACTAAGAACCTGTGCTAGCCATTGCCTACTTTTGCTTAGTATCATGCGCCTCTAGGGAATATATATGCTTAAGGCTAGATTTACAGAGCACAAGACAAAATGGAAATTTCAATCAGTGGTATCGATGTTCCATCACCCCCTTGATGTTGTATTGTGAAGACACAATCTATTTATAGACAGTGTATCATATCAATTACTCATCATAGCAAATATCAAATAATGGAGATTACGCACAACACATGAACACTTCAAAAACAATTTTCTATGCAATATTTATTTTCATCGGCAGTTCCAAATGACTGTGAAAGACTCAGGAGAAAAACACCAATTGTTTTAGTTTTAATTTAAAAATATATTGTCATCTAGGTCTTTGATGAAAATGTGGCTTTGTCCATGCTGTTATAAAGCACATCAGTTTTTGCAACCATGAACAGTGAATAAACAAAACAAAGGGGGGAGTTAATGGGAATGACAGCACAGCAGGTACATTTATGATTTAGTATCATTTCACTTTTCATCCAGGAAAATTGTCAACCATTCCAGGAATAAAAAATAAAATGCTATGTACAGTAGAGTATAACCTCTTTAAATTGGCAATTTGTAGCTGTTTGATAATTCATTCTTAAGCAAACCTCAACCACTTGCTACCTGCTGTATTCATTAGCCTGTCCATCTTCCTATTCCCTGTAGAGCATGTGGAACTATGATTGTTAGAAAAAGGTTGTGCTGCTGTGTATCTTTGCTACTTAATACATGTATCTATGTTCACCATGTATTTTTATGCAATTGTTTTAAAAAGATGAGCAAGCCCTTTTGGAGGGGTGTCTGGGAGATAGTTATTAATCTTTTCTGGATGTTTTGTACCAGATCCATTTTAGATAAATAATGCATTACACACTGTGTCATATGCAGTAGAATTTTTTTTAATTCAGCTATTGAGCATAATATGCAAACTCAATATAGAAACTACCAAATTTTAGGAGCAACAGCTCTCTGTATGTGGCACATTTGCAAATATGGGTATTTCAGGGTGCAAATTAAAATAGTTTGATGCACCATATCACACTTTCTCAATGAAAGGGAAACTTTCCTTGTGCTTACTATAAACACTTCATTTACACGTTTATTTGAGACTTTGTTAAATTAGATTATGTAAACACAGGCTGGATAGCAAGTCAGATTTAATACACACGAGTTTTAAAACTGACTTGCATGCTGAACATAAAAGTATAAAGGACTTCACCAAGATCTATTGATTCATGTCAAGGCATCATTACTTTTCAAAGTGTGAAAAATGATCATATATTTATGACCTGCCGACTGAAGCTGTTTTGTGAATTAGCAAAAGCTCTGGAGAGGAGCAGCCTAATTGCATTATCATAGAATCAGAGATGGTTGTCAATTTCCCCCATTTAGCTTTTCTCCTTTAGTTTGTTAAAATGAAGGTGCCATACGTTGGTTGAATTCACTAATACCCTGATGAATGAGGTATTTTCCCAGTAGGCTGGCTACCAGTATAAACAGTGAATTAGGAATGATAGACCATCAATCATATCTCCTTCAAAACAGATCTCTGCCCTGAGATTATTCATAATGTATTAGGGCCACTTAAAAAGTTTTCACGCAGGATTCACTGATGAATAGACTTAAATTGTCCATAATCTTCAATGTCTCCTGTGGAAACAAGAGTAGTAAAGTAGGTCACTTTCTTAATTAACACAACTTTCATTGTCTCTTTTATTTTACTTGTATTATTTCTTTTTAAAATATATACAATATTGTTCATCTTACATTGGTTATTGTTCTTTAGCAATATCCTTATTGAAAGAGTAGACTCTATTGCTTGGTAGTTATTTCTTCCTTACAGGAACCGCAGGTTAAAGGCGTAACTCTGAGAAACTCACATCACCTGAATACAGGCTAAAATAAATGCTTGCTAACCTCTTATATTTTTGGCATCTACATGTCTAGGATGACCTGGTGATTTGTGCAGTGTTTTTTATGCAGAGGGTCAGATCTTGCCCTCAGGCGCCCATGTATGGATCCCCTGGGGTTTTATCCCTTTAATGGAAATTACAGTATGCATCCAAGGGCAAGATTCCTCCCGAAGGGATTTATCCTGCCTCAATGTGCAAACATAATTCTCATTAAAATTAATAGAAATTGTACACATGCATCTAGGGAAGAAATAGACTCCGAGGTTCAAATCACCTCATTCTGTTTCATGCAAAAGATGACAGGGTTCACCCTGGAGGTGGGCATGCAGCCAAAGGTTTGAGAGTTCAGATAAGCAATCAGAACTTCCAACACTCACCTACATCATGTGTGAGGCTCTTTAAATTCTTTTTTTCATTGCAAGAGACTGTGAAGGGAACCTAGCTAGAGTCTTATTTGCTAAGCTTTTCTCCAGCATTATAATTATTTCCATGATATCTTCTCCAGGGAGTTCAGGAAAAAAAACTGAGCATTGCTTACACTTGATTCCCAGGTTGAAGGTTTCGGATCATTTGTATTTATCAGAATCACTGGACCATAATATTTGTCTATTCTTTCTTTTTGTAGTGCTTCAAAAATACCTCTTATTTGACTGGATAAGTGGTATTTAACTCCTGGTGTGATTTAGGGTCTAAGAAATCAGCTCTTTATTCTGGGGAAATGCAGATTTAATGCACACATTGCTAAACTTGTGTAAATTCAACCAAACAACTTTTTAGACTAACTGAATCTATGTAGCATGAAGAAATTAAGAGTAAACTTGGCACTCGATTTATTTGATCATTTCCATTGGTAAAGCCACATAAGGCAGCTCATAAAAAGTATAACTTCACCCTTCTGGAAAAAAAAACTTATTGTTAGAAACTGAATAATTGTCTATGGCCATACCACCCTGAACGCGCCCGATCTCGTCTGATCTCGGAAGCTAAGCAGGGTCGGGCCTGGTTAGTACTTGGATGGGAGAAACTGAATAATTCCAAAAACACTAATATAACTACTCTGAAGCTTATCTGAACAATTTCTAAATCTTCTCGGGTGTAAAAACCAGCATAGCATAGAAGAAATAGTAGTGCTTTTATTGACTTAGTTTCACCAAAGTAAACAACATATTTAAAGTTGAAGATTTTTAAAATCACCTTAAGAAGTGAATCTCTGGGGCTGGGCGTGGTGGCTCATGCCTGTAATCCCAGCACTTTGAGAGCCCAAGGTGGCCAGCTCACGAGGTCAAGGAGATAGAGACCATCCTGGCCAACCTGGTGAAACCCCGTCTCTACTAAAATACAAAAAAATTAGCCGGGCGTGGTGGCACACACCTGTAGTCCCAGCTGCTCGGGAGGCTGAGGCAGGAGAATCGCTTGAACCCAGGAGGCGGAGGTTGCAGTGAGCTGAGATCGCGCCACTGCACTCAAGCCTGGTGACAGAGCAAGACTCCGTCTCAAAAAAAAAGACAAAAAAAAAAAAGAAGTGAATATCCAAACCAAATTTGATATCAACCAAATAAACCACAGATCTGTATTATAAAGGACATGTGTATTCAGTGAGTACACTTGGCTAGAAGATATAATTGCTGCAAGTTGTCACATTTCTTTAAAAGAAATATTGCAGGTTAGTAGGACTCTCAAATTTTCAGTTGCAATCAGATTGAACAGGTAATTCACTAAATTATAAAATATTTTCAAGCAAAATCAATAAACAAAGTTTAGAGATTCAGTTGTATGATTGACACACTTGCATTTTGAGCCTGTTTATATCTGAGTAATGACTCTGAGGCTAAGGAAAGGAATTTGAAGATGAATATAAGCAAGATGATGTTAACTTTTCAATAATTCAACTTCTTTTTTTTTTTTTTTAGGCAAGTCTCGCTCTGTCGCCAGGCTGGAGTACAGTGGCGTGATCATCTCAGCTCACTGCAGCCTCCACCTCCTGGGTTCAAGCGATCCTCCTGCCTCAGCCTCCCTAGTAGCTGGGACTACAGGTGCACGCCACCATGCCCAGCTAATTTTTGTATTTTTAGTAGAGACGGGGTTTCACTATGTTGGCCAGGCTGGTCTCGAACTCCTGACCTCTGGTGATCCGCCTGCCTCGGCCTCCCAAAGTGCTGGGATTACAGGCGTGAGCCGCTGCACCTGGCTGCACACTACATTTTTAATCCTATGTATCTCATGGTGCATAAACACCCTTTTAGTCCCTTGCTGTTAGATGAATTAGCAAACATGAATGCCAAAGTATCTAAATACATAAATATCAGGTTAGTTAAATTCAGTTCCATGCCAATAGAATCCTCAGTTTCAAGTGGACAAGGACTACATGTGGGTTTACCTTTTCTCTTCTTTTTCTCTTTTATTTTAAATTTATAAAAGTAGTACACGGGTGCGGTGGCTCATGCCTGTAACCCTTGGGAAACTGAGGCTGGCGGATCACCTGAGGTCAAGAATTCGGGACCAGCCTGGCCAACATGGTGAAACCCCGTCTCTATTAAAAACACAAAAACTGTCCTGGCGCGGTGGCTCACGCCTGTAATCCCAGCACTTTGGAAGGCCGAGGCGGGTGAATCACGGGATCAGGAGATCAAGACCATCCTGGCTAACACGGTGAAACCCCGTCTCTACTAAAAATACAAAAAATTAGCCGGGCATGGTGGCAGGTGCCAGTAGTCCCAGCTACTCGGGAGGCTGAGGCAGGAGAATGGTGTGAACCTGGGAGGCGGAGCTTGCAGTGAGCCGAGATTGCGCCACTGCACTCCAGCCTGGGCGACAGAGCGAGACTCCGTCTCAAGAAAAAAAAAAAAACACACACAAAAATTGCCTGGCACAATGCCTCACGCCTCTAATCCCAGCATTTTCGGAAGCCAAGGTGGGTGGATCACCAGGTCAGGAGTTCAAGAGAAGCCTGGCCAAGATGGTGAAACTCAGTCTCTACTAAAAATACAAAAATTAGCCGGGCGCGGTGGCAGACACCTGTAATCCCAGCTACTTGGGAGGCTGAGGCAGAGAATTGCTTCAACCCGGGAGGTGGAGGTTGCAGTGAGCCGAGATTGCGCCACTGCACTGCAGCCTGAGCTAGAGAGAGACTCCGTCTCAAAAAAAAAAAAAAAAAGAAAAAGAAAAAAAGAAAAAAAAATCAACCAATACAACCACATATAGAATAGCAATGAAAGTCCCTTTTCACGATCACAATCCAACACCATAAAGGTAAATAAAATTAATACTGTTCATCTGCCTGTTTAGTCACAGCCATAAATCTGACATCTAGGATAGCATATATAGGTGTTCACTAATATTTGTTAAATTAACTACTATCCTTGCAGTTATTTTGTATATATTTGCATGTATATTCAACATTTATGTGAACATAGTGGGCCTACTATCCTACGACTTTTTGTTGTTACAACTCCATCTATCAGCTCTCTCCATCTAGCTGGTTTTTAAAAACATACTTTATTATGTATGCTTAAGGTATACAATATGATGTTATAAGATACACATACATCCGGGAGCGGTGGCTTACGCCTGTAATCCCAGCACTCTGGGAGGCCGAGGCGGGCGGATCACCTGAGGTCAGGAGTTAGAGACCAGCCTGGCCAACATGTAGAAACCCCGTCTTCACTAAAAATACAAAATTAGCTGGGCGTGGTGGCGCATACCTGTAATCCCAGCTACTCAGGAGGCTGAGGCAGGAGAATTGCTTGCACCCAGGAGGTGGAGGTTGTGGTGAGCAGAGATCGCACCATTGCACTCCAGCCTGGGCAACAAGAGCAAAACTCCATCTCAAAAAAAAAAAAAAAAGATACACATACATATAACAAAATGGTTACTACAGTGAAACAAATTAACATATTCATCATCTCACATGGTTACATGGTTGCGCATTCCCTCCTCATTCCCCTGTGTCTCCCGCCAAGAGCAGTTATAGTCTACTGAGCAAAAATCCTGAAGACAATACACTATTATTAGTCCCCACATCGTACATTGTACATACAACTTGCTCATCCTACATATTTGCTGCTTTAATCCTTTCACCTACTCCCCATTTTCTCCCTTACTCTGGACCCTGGTAACCACTGCTACATATGCTATACTATGTGCTAAATGTCATTCTAATTCTCTATCTGTAACTTAACCTTTTTAAAAAAGATTTCACATATAAGTGAGATTATACAATATTTTTGTTTGTGTCCGATTTATTTCATTATTTAAAATGTTCCATTGTTTTCTATAGTATGAAAGAATCATTATTTATTTATTGTTCTCCTTTACATTGTGCCCAACTTTTTACTACTGTAATCAATATTGCAATGATTACCTTTCGGCATTTATGTTTATGCACACAGGGAAATATTTTTGCAGAATAGATTTCTAGAGATGGAATTACTGAGCCAAGAAGAGTATATAAGCATTCAAAACTTAGTAGATAGTTCTATATCGCCTGACATTAAAGTTGTTCCAGTATATACTCTTCCAAATAGCACATAAACGATCACTTATCCTAAAACTTTGGTAAACTTTGTAAAGTTCATGAATATGATGGACGAAAAAAAAAATCTACAAAATTGTTGCTTTAATTTGCACTTTCTAGATTTCCAGTAAGCTTTGAACAACATCTTATATGTTCTTTAGGCATATTTATTATGTGTCTCTATAAATTACCAGTTAACAAAGTTTGGTTATCGCTTTCTTATGGAGTCATAAATTTCTTTATATATTATGGATACTAACCTTTGCCTGTTATCCATGCTGGAAAAATGCTTTATGTTGTTCTGTTACTCACCTCTTACAGAAGATTCTAAGTTGTGTTTACTTACACATATGAATATAATTTTATGTCTACAGGGTTTTCTACCTTACAGAGTTGGATCTTTCTCTGTGCACAGTTCACAATAATATTACTTCTGGAGAGTTTTGTTGTGTGTTTATTTTACATTTAGCTCTTTGCTCCACCTCAAACTTATTTGTAGGTGTAGTATGAATTAAAAATCCATTTTTTCTAAATCAATATCTAAATATCTCAGCATCCGTTTCAAATATTTTATACTTCCTCATCTAATATTAATAAAAATTTTATAATATGCTAATTTCCCATTTTTTTCTCTTTACAAATCCCTTATTCTGTTTCATACATTCATTTGTATACAAATACAGAAAGAATATTAGTTTTAAAGCATATGTTAATATGTACTGAGGAAAGCGCCCTGTGGTTATACTTCTTTCCAAATCTTTCTAGCTTATTCTTACTCAGTCACCTTTTAAAATGTCTTGAAATGTTTTTATTGAAAAACTCTCTGGAGATTATATAGGATTTTGCTGAATTTACATATCTAAAATATTCACTGTTCCAATTCAGGTGTGGAAAATTCCCATAATTTATTCATTTCTTTCTTCATGTCTTAAAGTTATTTAGCTTTTTAAAATAGCAATAATAAAAATATTTAATCAAGCAGTTACTATGTGCTAAATGTCATTCTAAGCACTTTTTATATATTGTCTTTTTATCTTCCTACAAGCCTATGAAATAAGTACTATTTTTATCCTTATTTACAAAAAACCACATGGTACAAAGAAATTAAATATTTTGCCCGAGGACTCACAGCTAGTAAAGGTTAAAGACTGGACTTGTAAAGATTATGTAATAATATAATTCATCCTTTTAATCATTACTCTATGCTTTTGCATAGATTATTTCCTAGTAGTTATGATTTTTGCTGATTTTTTAGTTGGCATTTTTAAAAATTATTATTATTATACTATCCAGTTAGGCTATTGTTGTTACATATATTTATCTTACCACTTTAATAAGCACTGCTTACTCAATTTCCTAATTCTTATATAAATATATACTCAATGTCCTAATTCTTATATAAATATATCCTTCTACATTTTCTAATTCCTTAGATTTTTTTAGGAAGAATTAAACTAAAATAATAACAGTTTTGCCTCTTCCTTTCCAGTATTTAAAGTTTACAATTCATTTCTTCCTTCCATATTCTTTCTTTCTTTAAAAACATCAGCTTCTCAGCCAGGCACAGTGGCTTACGCCTGTAATCTCAACACTTTGGGAGGCCAAGGCGGGAGGACTGCCTGAGCCCAAGAGTTCAAGACCAGCCTGGGCAACATGTTGAGACTTTGTCTCTATATTTTAATATTTTTATGTAAAATTAAATTAAGATAAAAGCACCAGCCCCTCTCCTTCCATAAAAGGAAAAGAACACTCACAAAGAGAGTATTATTTAATTTACTTTAACAGAAATAATTTAATGATTCATCATTAAAGTGTAATGTTTGCTTTTGGGTATTGGGGGTATCTTTAGTTATGATAAGGGCTCAGGAAGAGCTTTTATGATTAATACGTATTTCCTTTTACGTAATAATTTTGACATTCTTTACTGTGTCATGTGGATAGTTTAATATTACTTCACACATTCAATGATCTTGTATTCTGGAAATATATCTTAGTTATAATGTGTAATTCTTTTAATACACTGCTGCAGTATTTTATTTAGCATTTTGGCATCTATAATAGTAGGCGATATCGGTCTTTAGTTGTGCTATGTTTATCCAGACTTTGTATCAGGATTATGTAATGCACATGGACTATATTAGTCAGTTATCCATATTTTCCTATTGTCTTCTAAGTGTTTACAATTTAAATAACACTTATTTTTGATCTGACAGTTATGTGAAATTTATGAAGACCTGTCATTTATTTAGGAATTAGGTATTTTACTAACTTCTTAATATCTTATGTAATTGTTCATCCACTATTATCTACCAACTCTTATTGGTCATGGTCATTTATATTTTCCTAGAAAGAATGTCCATTACATCTTGTTTTACAACTGTATTCATGTAAATATATACAGGCTATTATCTCATAATATTTTTAAATTTTTTTAAGTTTTGTCCTTTCCTCATCCTAATGTTTTTTGTGACTTGCCTCTCACATACTCTCATTATCTTAGAAGAGATTTACAAAATCTGTCTTTATTGCAGTGTATTCTTTTTAAAAGTTGGAACCCTATTAGGCAAATCTAATATTTATTTTGCCTTCTATTTCATTAGTATCTATTTGATCTCCATTCACTTCTGTCTTTTATTCACTTAGAATTTTGTGTGTGTGTGACAAGGTCTCTCTCTGTTACCCAGGCTGGAATACAGTGATGTTATCATGGTTCATTGCATCCTTGAACTTCTGGTTTCCAGCGACCTTCTCACCTCAGCCTCCCAAAGGGCTAGGATTATAAGCATGAGCCAGCAAGCCCAGTCAATTTTAGCTTCTTGAGTGAAATACTTAACTAATTTATTTTCAACTTATGCTTTTTAAAAACTAGATGTATTTAAAACTTTCTTTCCCCTGAATAGCCCTTAGTATCTAATTTATAGTTTTTTATATGTAACCATCATTATCATTCATTTCTAAATAACTTAAAATTTTTATTGTTTTTCTTTCTAACTCAAAAGGCATGTATATAAAATAGGAAAAAATAAAAGAAGATAGAAAATTAGAGGAAGAAGCAGAGGAAGAGAAAATATCACAGAAAGTACATAAGATGATGTTAGTACTTCTACTACCTTCTACCAAATGAAGTACTACTTTAGATAAAAGCTCCAAATGAATTTTGGCTTAGTTTAGGAAAGAACTTTGTAAAATTTAGAGTTGTCCAAAAAATTAAATGAACTGCCTCTTCATAAAGTGAGTCCCCCCTTATCAAGGTGTTCAAGCACAAGAATGGGTGATTCCATGATGAAAATATTCCAAAAGGAATTTAAACATGGAGTGGGTAAATTACTTTTAAGATTTTTCTCACTGTTTGCATCCTGTCATATAATTTAGTCTATATAAAGTGTGACAAGTGTTGCTACAAAACTATTTTTAATTCAAGTAAACCCCCCACTGTAATAAACTCCATAGGAAATCAAGAATTATTGAAATATAATTGTGTTAAAAATTAATAGTTTGCTTAAAATCATATTCCTAATCTTCAGGAGTTGTAGAATAAACAGAGATGAGACCAGTTGTCTCTATAGTTTATTAATAAGTCAATAGAAATAAGAAAAGAGAAGCATCATGAACCTCTTTCTCCTCCTAGATGCTGGGTCTTTAGCATAGTGTTTTTCCTTACTACATCGTTTTGGACTTGGGGTTAATGGCTGGGATGTTTGAGGTGCTGATGGAATCTGAAAGCATAGATGTGGCTTAAAAATACAATACATAAATTGTAATCTACTAAGCTATAAACTAGATTAGAACCGTCAATTTTTGCCTTTACTTCTGTTACCAGACCCTCACTTGAGCCAGTGTAGTTTACCATTAATCCATTCATGTGACTCACTAGTTTCTACTCTCAGGAATTAAACTGTCCACTTGGAAAACAGGTTAACTTGACTCTGAGTAGGACGTATGAAAGATTTGCAACATGAGATACTGATTATCTTGATTTAAAAAACACAGCCTCTATTTTGCATCTGTGTTGCTATCTTCTATTAGTCTGAATTTTAATGCTCTGACTTACTATGGCTTCCTGTGCTAGACTACTGCAAGAATCCTTATCTAGGGCTCTGAACCTAGAGAATTCTGCACTGATGTCAACTAAAACCCCTGATTCCCTTCTCTTCTGGGAGAATCTTTTTTCCTTTTTCAACTTTTATTTTAGGTTCATGCACAGGTTTGTTACATGGGTAAATTGCATGTAGCTGGGGTTTGGTGTACAGATGATTTTGTTACCCAGGTAATGAGCATAGTATCCTATAGGCAGTTTTTCAACATTCACCTTCCTCCCACCCTCCACTCTCAAGTAAGCCCCAGTCTATTTTTCCTCTCTTTGTGTCCATGTGTACTCAATGTTTAGCTCCCACTTATAAGTAAGAACGTGGTATTTGGTTTTCTCCTCATGCATTAATTTTCTAAGGATACAGTCTCCATCTGCACCCATGTTGTTCCAAAGGACAAGATTTAGTTCTTTTTCATGGCTACATAGTATTCCACGGTATATATGTACCACATTTTCTTTATCCAGTCCACCATTGATGGTCAGGTAAGTTGATTTCATGTCTTTGCTTTTGTGAATAGTGTTTCAATGAACATATAAATGCATGTGTCTTTTGGGTAGCAAAATTTATATTCTTTTGGGTATATACCCAGTAATGGGATTGCTGAGTCAAATAGTAGTACTGTCTTAAGTTATTTGAGAAATCTCCTCTCCTGTCTTCCTACTCCTTCATCCCTGAACTAGCACACTTCATAGTTCTTACTTAGTATAATAAACATTATTTATTGTGTTAGAAGGCATGACAATTATATAAACTATCCTCACATAGATGTTATATTAAAGCCTTTTGTTTGGGTTTTAATGTTTAACCAATGGAATTTGAACACTATTTTAGATGAAGACCTTGATATTTACTAACTCTACAATAGCAAAGTGAATTGATTAGTCAATGTGTGAATGAATGTCTTTTTATTTTATTATTATTATTTTTTTTTTGAGATGAAATTTCACTCTGTCACCCAGGCTGGAGTACAGTGGCTCCATCTTGACTCACTGCAACCTCTGCCTCCCAGGTTCAAGTGATTCTCCTACCTCAGCCTCCCATAGCGTGCCACCATGCCCAGCTAATTTTTTTTTTCTTCTTTTTTTGGCAGAGATGGGGTTTCACCTTGTTGACCAAGCTGATCTCAAACTCCTGACCTCAAGTGATCCGTCAACCTCAGCCTCCCAAAATGCTGGGATTACAGGCATGAGCCACTGCACCCGGCTAGATGTGGAAGAATGTCTTTTTAAAGAAAATTTTTATCCATAAACCAAGTCTCAAAATTGTCTGAATTGTTAAAACTACCCAGATAATAATCCAGCTACTCCACTTTTTGAAACTTTGCTTCTACTCTGAATGCAATCACAGAATCTACAGCCCCATGTGGCACTGCTTTGGTTGAGGGCAAAATAAAATGCCTGGTTTCATCCTGGTTGATAGTGCATTGATACATTTATTATGAAGATACATAATTTCAATATGAAGAAAGGAGCAAAACTGAAAGGTCAGTGTAAGAAATACCGATGGGAACATTATGTCCCTGGTTCTTTGGTGATTAATATGAAAGTTGCCATGTTTATCCCTCAAGAATCTTCGAGAACTCTGAAGACAAAATTTGTTTTTTATGTGTCTTTATATCTCAAGCACTGAGCGCAATGTTAGGTACATAATAGACACTCAAATAGGTTTGTTGAAAGAAGGCACTTATGTTTTCTTTAGTACTTTAAATATAATTATATTCCATCACCACCACTTCTAGGATTCTATAAATTCCTTCATCAATTTAATACAGACTTGTTTAGCACCTACTCTGTTGCCAGACCCTGTTCTAGGCACTGAGGATACAGTGAACGAAACAAAATCCTTACTGTCATGGAGTTTATGTTTAATCAGGGAAAGGAACAATAATCAAACAAACAGAAAACATAATACAATGTCAAGTAGTAATAAATACCATGCAGACAATTAAAGCTGCTGAGGGGATACAGAGTGATAAGTGGATGCTATTTTAAATAGGAAAGTGATATTTGACAGGGATCTAAACGAAATGAGAGTAGGCCCTGTGAATATTTGAGTGGAGAGCATTGCAGCAGAAAGAACAACAAATGCAGAGGCTTCGTGACATGAGTGAGCATGGTGTGTTTGAGGGGTAGCAGGTGAAACAAAGTGAGCACAGAGAGTGGTGGAAATCAGGTAGATGGATGTCCAATTATGGACCAGGTTCTATATCACTGTTACAACTTGAAATGTATTCTAAGGAAGTCATGGAAAGAGTTTTGAACCAGTAAGTTAAATGGATTAATACATTTAAAAGATCACTCTGGTTGCTACAAGAATAAATTGGGTGGGTGTATGTGGGTAGTGGGAACAGAGAAGGAGAGTAAAACCAGTTAGGAAGCTATTGCAGTAGTCTAAAAGTGATGATGTTGGCGAGGACCAAAGAGTATAGAGGAGGTGGTGATAAAAGATTAGATTAAAAACATATTTTGCTGGGATAAAGATATATGAAAAAAATGAGAAGAGCAAAGGATGACTCTAAGGTTTGTGACATAAGTTATAAGATGAATCAGGGGGCCACTAACTGAAGTGGCGGATGTGGCAGAGGAGTAGACTTGAAGAGGAAAACCATAAGTTCCATTTTGGAAATACTATCCAAGTGAAAAACTTATGGAAGCACTTGGACAAATGGGTCTAGTGTACAAGAGTGAGGTCTAAAATAGGTCATCAGTTTATAACGTTTTAGTGGTGGCCCTGAAACCAGGTCAAGAAAGCATTTCAGAAATTATTTGTTCCAAATGCTAAGAAGTTCAGCTAAAATGCACACTCAGAATTACCCATTGGATTTAGTAACATGAGAAGTCGTTAGCAATCTTGGCAAGAGCTCCTTAGTTGGATATGGACAAAAGCCTGATGAAAGCAAGCTCAAGAGAAAATGAGAGGAATATGGAGAGAACAAACAGACAATTCTTTTATTTCTCTCTTGTAAATAGGGAGCAAAGAAATGTATTCCTATTTTGACTATTTTTTCTATTTCTTTATTGTCTGACTTTGCAGCAAACCTGAAAATTACATCTCTTCATTTTTTTAAATGTATTTATTTGTTTAAGATGATAGATAAATTTACATGTATTTATTGTATACAATAAGGTGTTTTGAAGAATATATATATTGTGACATGGTTAAATCTAGCTAATTAACATATGCATTACCTCACAAAGTTATCATTTTTGTGGTGAGAACACTTACCATCCACTCTACCAGCGTTTTCAAGAATACAATATTTCATCGGTAACTGTAATCACAAAGCTGTACAATAAATCTCCTGTACTTATTCCTCCTGTCTAATTGTTATTTTGCATCCTGAATTTCAGCTTTTTTATTCATCTTTGTGACCAGTTTTTAATACTCAGTAGGTCCCAATGAATAAATAACCAAGTCAATGGAACATTGAATGACAATGTACTTTATTTGCAAAGAAAATGCTACAGAAGAAACTCTGGAATACCAGACTATAAGATGAAATAGAAAACTCTGACAGCTACACTACAGTTCTTATTATGGCTGACCCCATGGTAAATTTGATATAATGAAAAGTAAATTGCTTGGTGGTAACATGATTTCAAGGATGGTGGGGTGTCACAGCGACAAGGCAGTGTCCAGAGATGAAAGTTTTTCATAATTTATTTTCTCCCTCTGCCTTTTTGAAGAATTTTAGGAGTACTCTATGAAGTGGTCTGGAGATTAGAGAGGAAGGAGAATGAGACAAGAAAACATGTATATCAAATTGGGATTATGTCTCAAATAAACAATTATTATTATTATTTTTAAATTTATTTATATATTTTGAGACAGAGTCTCACTCTGTTGCCCAGGCTGAAGTGCAGTGGTGGGACTTCGGCTCACTGTAACCTCCACCTCCTGGGTGGAAGTAATTCTCTGCCTCAGCCTCCCGAGTAGCTGGGATTACATGCGCCCACCACCACACCCAGCTAATTGTTGTATTTTTAGTAGAGACGGGGTTTCACCATCTTGGCCTGGCTGGTCTTGAACTCCTGACCTTGTGATCCACCCGCCTTGGTCTCCCAAAGTGCTGGGATTACAGGCATGAGCCACCCCACCAGGCCAAAACAACTAATTTTTTAGAGCATTCTAAATGCCAGGCACTGTGCCAAGCCCTGGATAGAGCACTGACCAAGTCAACATGGCCCTCTCCTTACCGAGCAAGCTTACAGTCCAGAGGGCAAATTCTTAAACCAGCAAACAGATGTGATTTTAAGTTCTGTGAAAGTAGAACAGAGTTTTCTCAGAGCATATTTTTATGACGGACCTAATAATCTAGGAAGCCAAGCAAAGCGTCTAGAGAAAATGGTACTTAAACTGACTCTAGAAGGATGAGTAGAAACTAAGAAGATAGTATGTGTGACTCGAATATGGTCCAGTTGCCCATTAGTATTTATCACCTTTGAGGCCACTAGATTGTTTCTTTCATACGTTTCTCTAGTAAAGGATGTTTTTAAAATGGAGGGGAAAAATGAAGGCTTAATAATAACTCTATGCTTCTTGAAGAGATGCATTAATGCTTAAGGAAATGGAAAATGCATTATTTTAACATTACTGTGAAAATAGAAACTAAACTGCACTGTTTCTAATCTAACCGTGAGTAAATTTGTTTTTATCAGTTTACAGTGCTCGTGCTTTTTGTCTTCAATGAATACTTTTCCTTTTGTCATTCAAGTAATGTAGTCACCTCCTTTTGTGTGATAATCATATGTAATTAATTTTTTTGACTGTTCGTGTCCTGGTAAACTATTAATGGGATGTCTGTGAATCACATATCTATCTTTTGACTCCTCAAGAAAGTAAATATATGCTAGTTCTAAAGGACGTGGTTGCTTAACTGATTTTGACTGTCGATTGTTAGTTAAAAATATTGTTTTCAAAAATATACTAGTGCTTGATTATAAGGCAATATCTATTCAATATCTATTGAGATGAATTTCGAAGTCACAATAAAAATGCTATTATTTACTGCCATGGTGAATTTTTGCTAGAAATTCATCTTATTTATTTCCATTTCTTTCGAATGAGGTTATGTGAGTTGGAGCCAAGTTTACAAAGATAGTAATTGGTGTGGCTGAGATTTGAACCTATGTCTTAATCTTTTGAATCTAAATCAATTTCTCATTCCAAAACCATAAAAATGAATTGTAACCTGGGCAGTATTGCCTAGCAGTTAGGATTCCAGTTTGTAGAGTCAGACTGCTTTGGTTCAATTCCTGGCCAGACCACAAAATACTATGTAACTTTGGACTTTTTGCCTAACCTTCCTATGCCTCATATATAAAAAAGGAGAAAAACAATAATATTTAATTCATCATTTTTATGAGGATAAAATTAAAAAATAAGTTAACATATGTAAAGCACTAAGAACAGTGTGAGCAAATACCAATAGCCCAATAAATTTGGGTTACTATTATAATTTGCTTATGTATAATATGTAATATATGCATATATTACTACTTCACTTTTTATCTAATAGTATCTCATGTTGACTGTTTGTAATTATTTCCATGCAACAAACATCATACTGACCTTTTGTTAAAATAACTAAATAAAATCAAGAGCACAAATCTTTTTATCATTATTGCCCTGTGAATTTCAATCTTGTCTTTTCTTTGGTCCTATGAGATATAAATTGCCTTAGATTCACAAATTTTATATTAAGTACCAATATTTAAAATATTATTACATGCAAATGTTGTTATATATCTTCACCACAATAAAATATAGTAAAAATTTTAACCAAAAATGGTGTTGACTCATATATATTAAATGTTCTTCAGTGGAAATTATCAACCATTAAATAAAATCTAACAATGTGCCTAGATGTCTATGTAACATCAAACATCCATATGAATTCTAAAAATCTCAATCAAATTTCTGTACTGTTAGTCATTAGTCAGGGTTCTCTAGAGGGACAGAACTAATAGGATAATATATATATGGGAGTTTATTAAGGAGCATTAACTCACACGATCACAAGCTCCCACAATAGGCTGTCTGCAAGCTGAGGAGCAAGGAAGCCAGTCCAAGTACCAAAGCTGAAGAACTTGGGGTCCAATGTTTGAGGGAAGGAAGCATCCAGCATGGGAGAAAGATGCAGGCTGGGAGGCTAAGCCAGTCTAATCTCTCCATGTTCTCCTGCCTGCTTTTATTCTGGCCATGCTGGCAGCTGATTAGATTGTCCCCACCCAGATTGAGGGTGGGTCTGCTTTTCCCAGTCCACTGATTCAAATGTTAATCTCCTTTGGCACCACCCTCACAGACACACCCAAGAATAATACTTTGCATCCTTTAATCCAATCAAGTTGACACTCAGTATTAACCATCACAGTCAATATGATGCCACGTGTACAGATATTTGGAAATATCTCTATAATAGTTTAAATTTCACAATCTGTGTCCAAATACAGGATCTTGATAGACACCACGTATATTTTATACAATTTACCAATTGTTATTATTTTTAATAGTTCAGTTGTACTTGGCCCTCTGGAGACACAAAGATCACTAAGAGTCTCTGTCCTCAAAGAATTTCCAATACAGCATAGAAGCAGAGGCACACAAATATTTGTAACAAGTGTACAGCTAAAATAAAGCATATAAAGTATCAATATGTGTTTCCTATGCATTCTTTCTCACAATGCGACTGAAAAATAGCATCATCCAAATGGGGAAATGGTAAAAAAAAAAAAAAAAAAAAAAAGAAAAAGAAAAAAGAAGAAAGAGGACATAGGATACAGGGAGACAGGTGTACAGCAGGAAGAGGGAGATGAAGGAAGATGAAAGGAATCCCTGGATTGGTGATGAAAGAAGGTCCCAGAATATAAGTTTTATAATAGATGCAGAAACTGCCAGCCAGGATTGAAGTAGTCAAAGTTCTCCAAAGTGATTCCAACAGAAAATGAAATGGATAGAACGTCTGAAGTGCCTGAACCATGAGATTGATAAACAGAATGCAGAGTTTGTGGTTACACTAGTGTTAAGTACACAAAATATTTTTAAAAAAAACAGGGAAACAAACAAAAGGCAATTATTAACTCCAGGAAAAGCAAGTGGTTTACAGGAGAAAAAATAAATAAATATGGTATACCCTGTGGCCAGTTGTGAATAGCATTTACATAATCATCATAATAAAATTATTAAATACAAATTTTTATGAGGAGAATGGAAATGATGCTATGTGTGTCAACGATAATAAGAAAAAACATATGTATTCTCAACTTCTATAGTAGGAAGTCAATAAATAAAGAGTAAACCAGGAAATAAAGAAGTAGTAACATAAACTAAAACAATAAAATAGAAAAGAAGATGCTTAATAGTAAATGTAGTGTATATTTGTGTAAATTATTTAAAAAACTGACAAAAGCAAAAATATTCTATTGGTGTACATACAGAAGTGATTATATACATGTACGTAAAAACATATAAAGTCAACCAGAAGAAAAAGCATCAAATTCATAGTTGCTTGCATTGAGGGCAAAAAGAAAGAAATAGTGTGGATGATGGTTTAAGAGAAGTTGGCTCCATATGTAATTTCTTATTTCTATTTTTGAAAAGACAGGAAAATGGTATGATTAAATAGATATTAATTTTGGGCGGTGGGAATAGGAGTGTTTTATTGTCCTTTGAACTTTTTATTTATTTCCCAAAGTAAAATATTTTTTTAAATGAGATAGCTCTATAACCAGGGCTTATAACTAGAATTTTGGTGAATGAGAAATAAACACAAGGATTTTGGTATATGTGGACCTGGGCAATACTAGTGCATCAATAGTGGAGGAGATACAAATGAAGACTGTAGGTTGGATTATTTTGTTGAGTCTACAGTATGCTATAAACTTACATGCTTTAAGGCTCTTCCCTGACTCTGGCTGGGCGCAGTGGCTCACGCCTGTAATCCCAGCACTTTGGGAGGCCGAGGTGGGCGGATCACCTGAGGTCGGGAGTTCGAGAACAGCCTGACTAACATGGAGAAACCCCATCTCTACTAAAAATAATACAAAAAAGGTAGCTGGGTGTGGTAGCACATGCCTGTAATCCCAGCTACTCAGGAGGCTGAGGCAAGAGAATTGCTTGAACCCAGGAGGTTCTGGTTGCGGTGAGCTGAGATCGTGCCATTACACTCCAGCCTGGGCAACAAGAGCAAAACTCCATCTAAAAAAAAAGAAGAAGAAGAAGAAAAGAGAAAGAAAAAACAAAAGAAGAAGAAAAAACGGAAAAAAAAAGCTCTTCCCTGACTCAGGGTCTTTGTATATGTTAAAATTTATAACCTCCACTGACTCCACCCCTGAAGACACACCGCACTTCACACAACTAACTCTTACTCATCTTTCAGATTCCAATTTAAATACCACTTTGGCTACATCACTCCTGACCCCCCACAAGTCCCATCAAATTAGTAACTGCAATTCATTAGGGCTCATTTGTTTGCTGCCTTTCTCCCTCACCAGTGTCTATATTCCACCAGAGATTTTTTTCCAGTTACTCAAATCAAAATCCTTGAAGTCACGCTTGCCTGCTCTCTTTCTCTCAGTTCCCATGTCCAATTATCAGCAAATTCTATTGGCTCTATCCTGAAAATGTATCCTGAATCTGCTCCCCTTTTCACCATTTTTAGCACTCTGAAGGTAGTTGAAGCCATCATCTCTGTCCCTGATTACCGCCTCCTTACTCCTACAGACCTTCTTTTACCAAGTAGCCAGAATGATCCTCTGGCAATCAAAAATCGAAAATGTTCCTCTTCACTTTCCATATCTTACAGAAGGAAGAATAGTGCTCATGCAAATGGACCCTGATACCTCTCATTCTCCTCTCCTAATCCTGCACCTTTGTTCTTTCTTTTATCACCAGCCTCCACCATGCAGCATTCCAGGCTTGCGCTGGCACTTGGCCATGACATTTGGTGCCCACACTGTCTGCAGCCCCTCTTCTTGAAGATGATCACTTTCACAGTGCTCACCCCCTCACTTCTTTCTTTCTTTCTTCCCCCTGCCCCCTCCACCCCCACCCCAGACAGAGTCTTACTCTGTTGCCCAGGCTGGAGTGCAGTGGCATGATCTCAGCTCGCTGCAACCTCCGCCTCCTGGGTTCAAGCGATTCTCCTGCCTCAGCTTCCCAAGTAGCAGGGATTACAGGCATGAGCCAGCACACCCAGCTGATTTTTTGTATTTTTAGTAGAGATGGGTTTCACCATCTTGGCAAGGCTGGTCCGGAACTCCTAACCTCAGGTGATCCGCCCACCTCAGCCTCCCATAGTGCTGGGATTACAGGCATGAGTCACCGTTGTTGGTCTTTGCTAATTGGAATGCATCCACTCCATGGGAGCAAAGTCTTATTTTTTCCCCTGCTATACTCCCAGTGCTTAGAACAAAACCTGGCTCTTGGTATACACTTAGTAAATAGATGTTGAAATGCCCTTTTTAATTGAATGAGGAAAACATCTTGTTTAGTTTAAGTAGAACTTAGGCCTCTCATTCAGAAGAGTACTTGGAACATAGTAGATCCTCAATAAATATCTTTGAATGAATGAATGGATGAAGCCAATATCAAAGTAGGACGTGAATGAGAAAGAGAGCTTTTCTCTCCATTGGGATTAACCGCCAATGATGGTCAATTATTCTAATAGTGAAAAATAGAGGAAGGCTACAAGAAAGGTGCAGAGGAAGCTAGGCAGCATTAAAGAACAAATGCAAAGAAATGAAATTATCTAGGAAGAGGAAAAGTATGCAGAGAATTTAGGAAATGGGCTGGCATTTATCGTTACAACTATCCTCAGTGTCTTCCAAACACAGCAGTAGACCCATACAAATGTATATTGTTCTCCTAAATTCTCACAGCTCTTTGTGAGATAGATGTGATGGTCCCCATTTTGCAGAGGAAAAAACAAATTCAGACAAGTTAACTAATTAAAGTAAGGTCACAAATCTAACAATCAAAATCTTTCTGACTGGAAAGTTGTTTAAAACCCAGCCTTGTTTTTTCTCTATACACAAACTTTACTCTTAAAGTTATTTTAATCCCCCACAATATTTTACACTAAATAAGCATGCACTAAACATTTGTTGAATGAATAAAAGATCTCTTCACAAAAAATGTTTTCAGGGTAGATATAAACCCAATAGGAAAAATATATATATTTAGGTTGATGGTGATTTTTAGTTTTTATTCTTTCAAAATCACAATATATTTGGTAGAAAAATAAGAAAATAGTACTTGCCAAAAGATTAATTGAGAATATGGTCTAATCATCTTCCAGAGTATTAAGCCAACCTAAACAGAAAGGTAATTTCAGCTTTGAAGAGTTGTTCTTGTGCATGCAGAATTATAAATGGCCTAATTTTGCTTATATCTCCATAATTAACAGAATAATTATTGATCAGCACAAAGCACAAAGTCTCTGGAGACATGATTTGTGTGAGCGCTTAGCTTTTTGAAAGCTTAAATCACTGTAGTCAGTATTAAAAAATGAATTGATAGTAAATGTGGTATAATTAATCCACCTATTCTATTTGCACATGAACATCTTTTCATGCTAAATATCTCATTCGTTTAGGAGAGAATACAAATGTATTACAATGACAGAATAAAAAATAAATTAGAACTTTTATTTTCCCTGCAATACCCCTTGTTTTTAATTTACTCAGACTTCTCATATATTGTGCAAGTTTCAAATGTTTCTCAACTTTTATCTGCAAATTACAGGTGCAAGGAGGAGTCTGCGTAGAGCATTCAAGCAATCCTCTGAATCCCCTAGAATGCACATGTGCTAATGCTAAGCTGTTTGCCCTCTTGCTTCTCCAGCCTCCTCAGCTCTGTTCTGTATCACAGTGGATCATTACCTGCGGCTGAATATCTCAGGCCCTGCAACAGCAGGTTTCCTGCTAGGTTTGGTCAATGGGAGGTACTGGTAGGAAGAAAGAAGAAAGAAGCTAGGATATATCTCCCCATCCCTCTCTGCCCAAGTGGCCTCAGGTGTGAAGCAGCACTTGCCACACCTTTGTGCCTCCAGCTACCTACAGACAGACCTGCCAGGTGACCTTGGCCCCTGAGCTCTGATAGCACTATTAGCTTTTGCCCTGCAGCCCAGGGGCAGTAGTGACTTCTTGCTGTTGCTAATCTCAGTTTTCTCACTATTTCCTATTGTCTTCACAGCAATTCCATTTCCTGTGTAATCAATTAAACTTCATCTGTTTTGAATATTTAAAGCAGTTTGGGTTTTCCTAATTGGACCTAACTGACACAATATACTTTCTGACTGGAATCCAGCTTGCCTTGTTTACTGCTACATCCTAGTACCTAGGAGAGTGCCAAGTGCACATTAAGTAATCAGTGAAACTGTGCTGGATGAATGAATGGAAAATATGTCCTTTATTTATTCCAATAGCCTCAGACTTCATTAAGCATCAGAATTACCTGGAGGGTTTGTTATGACAGATTACTACCCCTCCACATACCCCTTCCCCAAGTTTCTGATTTACTAGGTCTGTAATAAAGCCCCCAAATTTGCATTTCTAACAAGTTTTCAGTTAATGCTCATGTGGCTAGTATAGGAACAACACTGAGAATCAGTTTTAGAATCAGTTTTAGACCATTACCTGTCCTGCAAATCATCCAATCCAAATATCGACAATGGAGTAAACATCTACACCAATGAGTATAACACTTTATACTTGAAATAGGTAAGGTGATCTTGCAACCATCTTCAGTTAGTATAACCATGCTAAATATTTACCATGAAAGGAGGAGACATTCTAATACCTTCCTAAGCTTTTTCCAGGAATGATTACTTGTCATTTAAGTCCTTTTAAGAACTTTAAAAATATTTTTTACCTGCTCTTTTGTTTTTGGTCATATTCTGAAAAAGGAATGGTCAGCTGTCATAAAATACATTATTTAGTTGAAGATTTATGTTCTTTTATTCTCTACAAAGGGCACCAGAAAAGGAAGTTCTTTTTTTTTTTTTTTTTTTTTTGAGACGGAGTCTAGCTCTGTCACCCAAGCTGGAGTGCAGCGGTGCAATCCCGGCTCACTGAAACCTCCGCCTCCCGGATTCAAGCAATTCTCCTTCCTCAGCCTCCTGAGTAGCTGGGATTACAGGTGTGCACCACCACGCCCAGCTAATTTTTTGTATTTTAGTAGAGACGGGGTTTCACCATGTTGGTCAAAATGATCTGGATTTCTTGACCTCGTGATCCACCCACCTCAGCCTCCCAATGTGCTGGGATTACAGGCCTGAGCCCCCGAGCCTTGCCAGAAAAGGGAGTTCTATAAAATAGTATTCAGAAATTCATTGGTTCTCAGTTAAAGCAAATATCACCAATAAAGAAGACTGTTTGTGCCTCACACATTAGTATAATTTGATCAGCCAACTGTTTTGTCATGTGATAAATAATCTCAAATTAATAAAGATGGAGCATAGTGTCTATCGAGTACTAGGTTCCATGAGGAGGGTGTGATTAGGTTAATGTTGGTCTCCACACTCGACTGTAAGCTCCATAACAATGGAGTCCATATCTGTGTTGTTCTACAGTATATCCCCAAGACCCAGGACAGTGGCTGGGATGGGCAAGCATTCAATCGTCATTGGATTAAAAATTTGAATTGAAAAACAATGAATGAATCAATTACTGAATCATTAAGGACTGACTTGTTTTTTGTTATAGATTATTTTTAACAGAATTTTGTTCTCATTCATTTCTCATAGTTCATATATTTCCTTCTTCCCACAATGCCACTTGTTTTTAGGAAAATCTTTATCTATAGCAAGGATGCAATAAGTTGACAGGGCTTTAACTAACAAGCGTTGTGATAACATAAAGCTATTAAAGTAGGCTATATCTCTGACAGCTTGTGAAAGAGCACAATTGTATCATTCCCCAGACTAGATTAAGATAAAATCTAGGAGTTATCTTTGATTTCTCTCCCTCACCCTCTACAATCCATTAGAAAGCCCTATGGGTCCTGTTTTAAAATTTAGCTTAAATATGATTATTTCTCATTATCTATACTGAGCCCACCTTAGCTCAAGCCACCATGTTCTCTGACCTAGGCTTCAGTGTGTAGTTCCTGCTTCCACTTCTGCACACTTGCAGTTTTTTCTTCACATGGTAGGAAAGGTGATCTAAAAAAAAAAAGGAAACTGGATTATGGCACTTTAGAAGCCTCCTCCTCACAGACCACTTCTCTTTCACTTAGTTCAAGTTCCTAGAATTCACCAAGAGAAATTCAACCTCAGTGCCTACCTTCGCACTTATTTTCTTTGCCTGGAATAATCCTTCCCAAAATCCTTTTTTTTTTTTTTTTTTTGGCTTTTTACCCACACACTATTTAGGTCTCTGTTCAAAGTTTACCTCTGCAAAAGGTCTTCTCCAGCACCTCATCATATATATATATATATATATATATATATATATATATATATATATATATTTTTTTTTTTTTTTTTTTTTTTCCCGAGACGGAGTCTCGCTCTGTCGCCCAGGCTGGAGTGCAGTGGTGCGATCTCTGCTCATTGCAACTTCCACCTCCTGGGTTCAAGCAATTCTCCTGCTTCAGCCTCCTGAGTAGCTGGGATTACAGATGCCAGCCACCACACCTGGCTATTTTTTTTTTTTTGTATTTCTAGTAGAGACGAGGTTTCACCATGTTAGTCAGACTGGTCTCGAACTCCTGACCTCAAATGATCCGCCCACCTCGGCCTCCCAAAGCGCTGGGATTACAGGCGTGAGCCACCGTGCCCAACCTCTCCTGGGGTCTTAAAAAGCACCTAACAAAGGACACGTTCTCTATAAGTATCTGTTAAATAAATAAAACATCAAGCACAAACTAGGCTTCAATCCAACTTGACAGTAGAAGAAATTTGCTTTACCCACTTTCCCTCCCTGCCCTAAATCCCCCCTCAGTGGATTCTTGCCCACTCCCACACATACACACTGCCTACGCACTCAATGAATTTGTGTGCTGCCATGTTTCTTACATTACCATGAAAGAATGCTGTCCTATCATGCATTCACAGTGTGACATAAATGACTGAAAGTAACTTCAATAGTCATGGTTTCCAGGCTTATCTTATTTTAACAGTAATCTGAAACTAAGAAAACTAAACTCTTAAAATTTAGGACTTTATCACTATAGCATTATTTGTAATTGCCAAATAGTGGAAACAATGTAAATGTTCATATGTAGTAGATAGGTTGAATGAACTATGGTTCATACACCATATGAGGTCATGAGGTACTATGCAGTTACTTTTTTAAAAGGGGAAGAATAGGACAAGCATGGTGGCTCACGCCTATAATCCCAGAATTTTGGGAGGCTGAGGTGGGAGGGTTGTTTTAGCCCAAGAGTTTGAGACCAGCCTGGGCAACACAGTGAGGCCTTGTTTCTATGAAAAATTTAAAAATTAGCTGGGTGTACTGGTGTGTGTGCCTGTAGATCCAGCCACTTGGGAGCCGAGGTAGAAGGATCACTTGAGCCTGGGAGGTCAAGGCTGTAGTGAGCCGAGATCACACCTCTGCACTCCATCCTGAGTGACAGAACAAGACTCTGTCTCAATAAATAAACAAATAAATAGATTAATAAATAAATAAAATAAAAACGGGGAGACTGAGGAAAAGGTATGAGGAAAATTTCTGTGAGGAAAATCTGTGTGAACTGACTTGAAGTGGTTTCTAGTGTATATTGTTTAAAAATTAAATAAAAAGTACAAGAAAGAATGTATAATCTTCTACTTATTATTATTATTATTTTATTTTTATTTCTCGAGACAGGATCTTGCTCTGTCACACAGGCTGGAATTCAGTGGCACCATCTCAGCTCACTGCAGCCTTGACCTCATGGGCTCAAGCAGTCCTCCCACCTCAGCTTCCCAAGCACCTGGGACTGCAGGCATGCGCTACCACACCCAGCTAATTTTTTAGGTGTCTTGTAAAGATGAGGTCTCACTATGTTGCTCAGCTGGTCTCCTACTCCTGGGTTCAGGCAATCTTCTTGCCTCAGCCTACCAAAGTTTTGGAATTACAGGCATGAGCCACCATGCCCAGCCTCTACCTTTTGTGTAAGGAAGAAGGAAGAATTTTAAAATACTCATGCTATCTGTTTATTTTTGCAAACAAACATAAATAGGCAGAAAGGGTAAACCAGAAACTAACAAAACTGATTTCTTACATGGGGTAGTTGGGAATGAGATGAAAGCAGCAGCAGAAGGAGCAACACTTTTCTGAGTGAGAACTTTGTTTTTGCATAGTTTTGAATTTTTGAACTATTTTGATGTTTTACATATTTGAAATTTAAAATTAAATAAACAAGGATGGGAAGACAAAGTCAAACTACATACAAACAGAAAAAAAGACCCTAACTATATTATAAAGAAATAATATCTCTCTCCGGTCCGTGCCTCCAAGATGACAAAGAAAAGAAGGAACAACGGTCGTGCCAAAAAGGGCCGCCACCACGCGCAGCCTATTCGCCGCACTAACTGTGCCCGATGTGTGCCCAAGGGCAAGGCCATTAAGAAATTCGTCATTCGAAACATAGTGGAGGCCGCAGCAGTCAGGGACATTTCTGAAGCTAGCGTCTTCGATGCCTGTGTGCTTCCCAAGCTGTATGTGAAGCTACATTACTGCGTGAGTTGTGCAGTTCACCGCAAAATAGTCAGGAATCGATCTCGTGAAGCCCGCAAGGACCGAACACCCCCACCCCGATTTAGACCTGCGGGTGCTGCCCCACGTCCCCCATCAAAGCCCATGTAAGGAGCTGAGTTCTTAAAGACTGAAGACAGACTATTCTCTGGAGAAAAATAAAATGGAAATTGTACTTAAAAAAAAAAAAAAGAAAAAAAAAAGAAACAATATAACCACTTTGAAGGAAAGAGGAAAAAAAACCAAGTAGCTTTTGAACATAGTACTTTAATTATAAATCATTTTAAAAGCAAAGGAAATTTCCAACACATCTTGAACTCTACCTAGAAAGTTTGTTTCTTGCTTCCAGAGCAGTGTGGACATAGTGATTCTGAATCTATGTTGTGTGTATCATAGAATTGACCAAATGAGTATGTTAATATCCTTGGGAGATAGAGTTCTTACTGTGAGAGAAGAAAAATACAAACACATAATGGTAGAAAATAAGAAAGAACCCTTTGCTGCTAATTTGGAATTAGAGTTATCATTAACTCATGATTTTATTCATACACATGCTCATCTACACACATATATTTATATGGTGTTCCAAAAATCTTAATGATTACATACAAAGACACACAGACACAAACACACACACACACAAATACACATATGTAGACAGAGTGACTTGGAGGAGGGAAAGGAACATTATTTTACATATTTTATACATGCACATACACATACACATAGATTTATGGTTCATAAGCAATGCCTTTTTTTTCCAATTCTGCCTACTGAAAAGGCCTAGAAGAAATGGTACCTTGGTAGCAATGAAAACATCCAGGGCTCATATGTTGGCTTATAAATACCATTTTTCACTAGAAAAAGTCACACTTCTTTGAAAAATGGTTGATTTCACGCTGGGGCAGGAAAACTACAAGATTAACCTTAAAAAATCTTGTTATACAAAAATGTGAGGAAGTACTCTAAAGAAAGACAGGGACATGTAATCTCAAAGGGACATAAGGATTCATTGAAAGAGGATCTCACTGAACAAATCTGGGACAATTTTACATCAAAATAATAACAATAATAGATTGTAAGGCATCAAATAAGGTGAATTATGTTAGTTCATACTGACAGTATATTAGGGAAAAGGAAAAGCTCTTCCTTATAATAGAATGACAAATAATAAGTGTAGAAAGAATAAGAGAATTTTTAAAATCACCATCGTATGACCATCAGGCAAGAATTATCAATGAACTGTGAAACAACGCATAACATGCAATTTATGGTGCTGGATTGGATGCTGAGCTGGAGAGAAGAAAGTGTTAAAAGGACATTTTAGATGCTGGGCACAGTGGCTCATGCCTGTAATCCCAGCACTTTGGGAAGCTGAGGCGGCCGGATCATGAGGTCAGGAGTTCGAGACCAGCCTAAGATGGTGAAACCCCGTATCTACTAAAAATACAAAAATTGGCCCCACGTGGTGGTGTACACCTGTGATCCCAGCTACTCAGGAGGCTGAGGCAGGAGAATCACTTGAACCCAGGAGGCGGAGGTTGCAGTAAGCCAAGATTGCACAGTTGCACTCCAGCCTGGGTGACAGAGTGAGACTCCATCTCAAAAAAAAAAGAAAAGAAAAAAAAAGGACATTTTGGGAGCAGGTAGCAAAATTTAAACATGAAAACCGTATTAAATAATACTATTTTGTCAACGATAAATATCTTAAGGGTAACCATAATTTTGTGGTTATATAAGAGAATATCCTTTTTCTGAAAAGATTCTAGCTAAAATAAAGGTTTGTGATGTGGACAAAGCATCTAAAATAGTTCTGCTTAAAAAAAAAAAAAAAAAACCCTAGATAGATAGATGTGGCAAAATGTTAGTAACTACTGAATCTGAGTGAAGGGTATACAAAATTTTTTTTAAAATACAGTTCTTGCAACTCTTCTATGAAATCAAAATTATTTCAAATAAAATAAATTATTTCCAAATAATTAGTTCTTAAAAATTAGCACTTCAGGCGCTATATGGTGAAGTAGAACTCTGATAGCTATTATCTGGTTATCAGCATCGGAAGATATATGATGGAGTATTAATTCATTCAATTATGCATTCATTCCATATGCTATTGCAGGAAGACACAAAATAAACTAAAAATAAATATATAAATAACAAGTTTAATGGAGAAAAATAATGAGGGGATACAGAAGAGGGGGTTGAGAGGTGGTTATAGTTTAAATGGGATAGTCACAGGGGACCTGACTATTAAATAGTCTTCAGTAAGTAAAGACCTGAAAAATGTTGAAGAAGTGGAGGAGGTGCTCCTGTAATAGGAGAACATTCCAGGAAGGGAAAATACAGTGGCGTTCTGGGAAATGCTTAACAACGAGCTCTTCATGGGATGAGGAGACCTAATTTTTAGATTTTGCCAGTTTCCTTGGTGTAAATGCTCCCACTTTGGCTGATTTCCAGCTACCACTGGTTTACAACCAGCTAGCACAATTCCCGACAATTTAACAATTCACCCACAAGTCAGTAGGATTGCACCCCGAAACACCACTGAGAGAATAAGCAGTAGATGCAGGAGCCCTGAGGCAGAAGGTGCATACTGTGCCTATCAAAGTAACAAGAGACCCAACCGTGTAGGGCCTGTAGGTCTGGTAAGGACTTTGACTTTTATTCCAAGTGAGCTTGGATGCCATTGGAAAAGTTTGATCAGGAAAGAGACATGATCTAACATTTACTTTGATGAGATCACTGGGAATGCTGTCTTGAAAACTTTTAGGCAAGGAGGGGTAGAAACAGGGAAACAGAAGGCTACTATAATAACAAAAGAGAAAGATGGTAGTGCTTACAACTAGAATCCTAGCAGTAAAGGTAGCTAGAAGTAAAGTAATTCAGGGTATACAGTTGTCCCTTGGTGTCCATGGGGGATTGGTTCCAGGACCCATGCAGATAACTAAATTCACAGACACTCAAGTCCCCGATATAATATGATGTAGTATTTGCATATAATCTACATATATTCTCCCTTATGTTTTAAATCATCTCTAGATTACCTCATAATACTTAATGCAATGTAAATAGTTGTTATACTGTATTATTTTTATTTGTATTTTTTAAATTTGTGTTGTATTTATTATTTTTTCTGAAATTTTTTAATCTGTGATTGGTTGAATCTGCAATGCAGTACCCACAGATATGGAGGGCTGACTGCATTTTGGGGGTTAAAGTTCACTGGATCTGATGGTGGGTGAAATGGGGCATGAGGGAAAAAAGAGAAGTCAAAGATGACTGAAAAACTGATTTACTAAAAGGATGGAGTGGACATTAACAGAGAAAAGGAAGACGGTGAAAGGAACAAGTTTGAGGGAGTTTTTTGTCCTCTGTTTTGAGACAGAGTCTCCCTCTGTCGTCCAGGCTGCAGTGCAGTGGCGCAATCTCGGCTCACTGCAACCTCTGCCTCCCGGGTTCAAGCAATTCTCCTGCCTCAGCCTCCCAAGTCAGCTGGATCTACAGGCGCACACCACCACGCCCAGCTAATTTTTGTATTTTTAGTAGAGACGGGGTTTCACCATATTGGTTAGGCTGGTCTTGAACTCCTGACCTCGTGATCCACCCGCCTCGGCCTCCTCAAGTGCTGGGATTACAGGCACGAGCCACTGCACCTGGCCTGAGGGAGTTTTATATGACATACATTGAATTTGAGATCGGAATGGAGAAGTCCAGTAAACATTATCAGAATACGTACAGAGCAGCAGTAGGCTAGAAGGAGTGAGCATAGAATAATGCAGAGGTAGCTCTGCTCATCCAGGCTGTAGCTGCATCCAGTCCACTGATTCCATTGATTTGTTCTCTATTCCCCTTCTCCTAGCGTATAGAGTTCTCCAAATTTTAATACAGTGTTTAAAAATGGAAATTAATGCAATCAACTCTTTCTAAGCACATACAAAAATGGAAAGTTTAAAATGAATGTCCCCCTCTGCACAACCCAATTTTCTGAGGACATTGGAAAGAAAATACTTGGGCAATTTATATTTTCTGCTATCTGAAATTGAGTGCAGAAAATAAAGATGTCAAATAGAAATCAACTACTACCACCACACAAACACACACAAAAATTCTTTTTCTCTGCCGGGCGCAGTGGTTCACTCCTGTAATCCCAGCACTTTGGGAGCCCAAGGTGGGCAGATCATGAGGTCAGGAGTTTGAGTCTAGCCTGACCAACATGGTGAAACCCCGTCTCCACTAAAAAAAAAAATACAAAAATTAGCCAGGCGTGGTGGCACTTGCCTGTAATCCCAGCTACTCAGGAGGCTGAGGCAGGAGAATCGCTTGAAACCTGGGAGACAGAGGTTACAGTGAGCAGAGATTGAGCCACTGCACTCCAAGAGTCCGTCTCAAAAAAAAAAAATTCTTTTTCTGCACCATATTAGTACCTCAAATATTGTGAAACTTTTGGTTGTAAATAGCATTATATATATTTTTTAAATTAGTGAATATGGTGAAAGTACAGGTAGCAAAATGTGTGCATGTTTGGGTCAAGTACAAAGACATTTTGTAGTGAAATTGCTGAATACGTATTTTAATGCAGAATATGTTCTTTTTTCACTGTTAGACATTTTTTTTAAAAAGACTCCTTACTTCCCCAAGTAGAACGGCTTGAGAGATGATCAGCCGTGACTAGGGAGGAAAGAATGCCAAATTTCCAGTGTGCGCGTGCACATTTCTTTTGCTCATAATTAATAGCCCCTGTGCTTGCTAAGTTTTTGGAAAGCAGCTCAAAGCCTACCCAGGTAATGCCTTCTGACAACGTTTTAAAGATCAGTTATGTCATATGGCTGCCTTTTTGAAAAAAAAAGTCATAATGCATAGCTGTGCCATATGGCATCTCTGAAGAATCAGCCGGATTGGACAGACATTCATTGGATAAGGTCCCACAGCACTTGGAAAAGAATGTAGTCCTGTTGCCAAAATGTGGCCTTTGTTAATCTCCTAACTATTATTGTGCAGAAACCAATTCATCTGTATTAATTATAAACAAATTTTAATTACTTCAGTAAAAGCCCATTATACCAATATCTGATGCCAAACAAGCTGTATTAACTCTTTGTAAGTCTCCAAAGCAAACACGAGGTGTTAGAACGTAGGTGTTTTATACGAGGCAGGAATTTCTCTAGCTGAGTGTAAAAATGCAGTTCTGACATTTAGTTTTCCAGTTCTTTTAAGAGATCCCATGATGCCTTTGCTTTTTGCAAACGATATCAAAAGGCAGCTGATGCATATAAGTTGTTAAAGGCAGATTACTCCTAATGTTTGAGAGTGTTTAGCCGCACTTTATATTCTTACGCTTAAGATTTAAAAGTTAAGGGGGAAAAAAAGTCCATATTGTAAAGCAATGATTTGCAGTGACACAAAACAACCTGTCAAAATGTGACCTGATTCTGGTACAACATTCATCAACTAGTCATTTCTGATAGTGCTCTGGACAATGTGAGACCAAACGTATCCTGTGCATCAAAGCATATCTTAAAAAAAAAACATGAAAAACCAAATCACTAGTGTGTTTTATGGCAGCAGCTTGGCCAAGAAAGCTGGCTGGTCTTTCCCGCACAGAAACTATCTGGTTTGCAGATGACACATGGTGGTTACAGTGCGCGCAGCCGTTGGGGTTGGACGGGATCCAGCGAGAGGGCTCATCTGTGTGCAGCAGCGTTGGAAGCGCCTTTGAATTCAGTTTCACTAATGTGTAGTTCTATTTTATTAGGCCAACCATCAAAAGTTTCTCTTCCTCCTGGAAATCATTCCTTTTGGAATTCATATCACTCCTTGGACCTAAAAAGTTAAACAGTTTTAAATAAATAGAACCACATCCTGCCTTATTCTTCCATTAGACTTTGAAGTTTTTCATGAAAACCTCACATTATTTTTCCCTCATTTTATACAACAAAATAATTTATTTTTGTAACCGTAATGGGTAAATTCTAGAAAGTACTCTCTTCTGTAAATTTCTGTTGGTGGATACATGGCAAATAGCTTGAAACTATGTCATAAACATAATATGGGTATAGAGCTGGCTGAAAATAGGGAAAGGGATGAACATTTAGGTAAAATCAATTATCTCAAGGTTTGGGGGGTTTTTATGTGTACAAGTTAAATATATTATGTAATTGAAGATTTCCTTCTACTCAAGTTTTCCTTCTACTCAAAAAGCCATAATTGTAAATATGTCATATCCTTATAAAGTTTATATTTCAACTATAAAGTCATAGAATTTAAAATTTTGGAGCTGAAAACACCATAGAAGTTTTCCAGGCTATCTCCCTCACTTTACGTATGAGAAAACTAAGGTGCAAAGTAAAATGCCTTATCCAAAGACACAGGGCTAGATAATGGCAAAACAGGAACATATTTCTTATCTCCTCATCTAATATTACTTAATTCTCTGACACTGTATCATTTCAGTTAGTATTGATCAACAGATAATGGATTTACCTTGATCAATAAAAACAAAGTAAAATAATGACCACAAGCTGCAGAGCTTCTATATGTGTAAATTAATTGCACGTATTTTTCAGCCACAATAGGGATTGATTTCATTCATCTGGTAAAAGTTGAGTGTTAACATACCTGGCTACATAGTACCTGATTTGGGAGGATGTTATGGAGGGGGTGAATGGAGTTTGGGAGGGGAGGAGGACAAGATATTATATGTCCTAGGGCATAGGACTCTCCAGCAAGTTTTTTATTCCAAAGAGCTACTTTGCTTCTTTCCAAAATCAAATAAAGAAAAGATAATCTTGAGCTAAAACTCACACATATAAATTAGCCTTAGTGAATCGTTTTCATAATTACCAAAATAAAAAAATTATTGGACACAGGTGAATAACTAAAGGAAAGGCAGCTTTCAGAGGACATATGTGCTCAGTCTGTAGATCTTGCCCCATGTCATAGCACCCCCTGAATCCTGGCTAAAGCAGAACATGCTACCTGAAGATTTTTGTCAGTCACTCATCAATAACTGGGGTAGCTTAGCTAGGAGAGCCTCATTTACTCAAAGCAAATATCCTATTACCTCCCTTCCTTGTGTCAGATCATCGAAAATTAGGCCTATTTGTAGAAATCATAAACATAATTAAAATAACATTATTTTCTAAATAGCACCTTTTGAAAATCTAAGTCTCTAAGGGATTCATAAATATCATCTCCCCTAATCTTTATAGCATTTCTTTCTAGTTAAAAACTGAGATGACAAGGGTAAAATACTGACCATGCCCATGGTATTCGAAATACCAAAACAATGAAATCATATTAATACTTAACAACACATAGTCTATGTGATTCTGTACTTGAGATGACTGACTGACTTACTCAGAACAGCATAGGCTGGCTCCTTGAAAGGTTTTTCCCTTTTTCCTACCTAAGGAAGGCGTTCTATCTGTTCTGCAGAAGGCAATATTGAAGAATAGTGACAGGAGATGAAAGTGAAGTGGGGCTAAGGTAAACAGGGTGGGAGTGAAGACAGGGAGATGTCAGGGAAGGGGGCGTACAGGATACAGCACCAAAGAAATTCTAAAATATGTATGTCTCTATGCCTTTCTCTCTCTTTTTATTTGTTTTCCAGTTTGCATCTGAGTTGAGATGCAACTAAGGAGGCACTTTTGACTACAGGGAACTAAGATGAGCCATTGTAGGCTCCAAGGAGTAATAGAAAAGAAAGGAGAAATATATCATATGCTATGATTTGGATGTGATTTGTTCATGAAAAAACTCATGTTGAAATTTGATCCCCAGTGTGGCAGTGTCAGGAGGTGGGGTCTAGTGTGAGGTGCTAGGGTCATGGGGGCAGCTTCCTCATGAGTAGATTAATGCCCTCCCACTGGGGCGAGTGAGGGCTCCCTCTACTGGGAATGGATTAGTTCCCTTTAGCACAGATTCTCTGTCTGTGTGGCTTCCTCAGTTTCTCTCTCTCTTGCTTCCTCTCTCACTATGTGATCTCTTCATACACCCCAGCTCCCCTTCCACTTTCCACCATGAGTTGAAGCAGTGTGAGGTCCTCACCAGATGCCCAATCTTGAACATTCCAGCCACCAGAATCATGAGCCAAATAAATCTCTTTTCTTCATAAGGGGCCCAACCTCAGATATTTTGTTACAGCAACACTAAATAGACTCAGACATCATGGCACCAAGGAGTTAAATGACTTACTTTTTGGCCAGGCTCAGTGGCTCATGCCTGTAATCTCAGCACTTTGGGAGGTGGAGGCAGGCAGATCACCTGGGTCAGGAGTTAGAGACCAGCCCAGCCAACATGGTGAAACCCCATCTCTACTAAAAATGCAAAAAAAAAAATTAGCTGGGTGTGGTGGCACATGCCTGTAATCCCAGCTACTCGGGAAGCTGAGGTGGGAGAATTGCTGAACTGGGGAGGCAGAGGTTGCAGCAAGCCAAGATGACGCCACTGCATTCCAGCCTGGGTGACAGAGAGAGACTATGCACCCACCCCCACCAAAAAGAAATAAATAAAAAAAAAATCACTTACTTTTTGCCCTTTGGAATTGACTTTGGTTTTGGTTTTATGCTTACAGGGTTAGTGACAAATGACCTAATGCATAGGGATGAAGTCCCCCAAGGGACTAGCATTCATATCTCCTGGCTAAAATCTCTCAAGACCTAACCATGGCTGTAAGAAGCTGTATGCACAGGGGGTATATCAACTTTGCCACTATTGATATTTGGGGTTGGATAGCTTTTTTAAAGTCAGGGGCTCTCCTGTATATCGTAGGATGCATGGCAGCATCCCTGGCCTCTACCTACCAGATAGTCAATAACATATCCCTCCCCAGCTGTAACAAATGAAGATGTCTCCAGACATTGCCAAATGATCCTTGAGAGGCAAAATCAAGAACCACAGATATAAAGATATAGCCCAGGAAAGTGGTACGCCTAACAGCAATAAGTCTGATCATCATTCTCTGTCTTGGCCCTCCCCATTGTTTTCAGTGATGACCTCCTGTTCCCTCATTCCATTTTGCTCCATAATAAAGGGTCCATGGTTAGTCACCATCATTTCTCAGAGTTGTTGCTGGCAATTGAAGTTCATTTTCTTTTAATTGCTGACCTCCTCGCTGGACCATATTGCCTTTTATAGTAGAGGCAGTTGCCTATGTAGGGAGAGTATGAAGAAAAGGAAATGAAACAAAAAGCTTGGGAGATTGAAGCCGGAGAACTGCTTGAGCCCAGAGGTGGAGGCTGCAGTGAGCGGTGATTGTGCCACTGCACTCCAGCCTAGATGATCGAGCAAGACTCTGTCTCAAAAAAACAAAAAAAAGCAAAAAAAAAAAAAAAAAAAAAAAGAAATAAAAGAGAGAAAGACAAAAAGAAAAGGCAAAAAGTGGATTAAAAGCTTATCCTGTGTCAATAGTAAAATGATCCATATTCGAAACGGAAAATCAAGGACAAAATATGGGCACTGCGGAGGCAGCTGGAAACAACTGAAAGGTGATAATACAGGGAGATAGGGAGATGGCAGACTGCCTCTCAACTGGAAGGTAAACAGAGGACATGCGGAAGCCAAGATTAAAGACAGGACATTTGCCAAAAGCAGGCCCCTAAATTTCATTCCTTAAAAGGACAGTCTCCACTGAAACATATCTTTCCCATCCCACAAGAAAAGTGTTCATTTTAACCAATTTGCATCTGAATCGTGTGAAAACCAAGTTGATAGAAAAATGTTCCTTATGCCTTGACAATAAATTCAGTCTCATTTCACATCTTCTACACAATATCCCCTTCCCCCACCCACCATATCCCTCCTCTTGGGTCTGTCCCACATGGTGTCTTACAATTGGGCCTTGGGAAGTTGAGAGTTACAGCCAAAAGCAGCAAGAAAATGCCATGAAACTGGCAGTATGCGTTGTGGAAGGAGCCAGAGCATCTGCTTTCGAGCAGGGCTATGAAGCAGAGCCACAGGAGGAAGAAAGGCTATTAGGCCACCAGCAGCCAAGGGGGAAAAGCCACAGGAACCCAGATTAAAAGTCTGAAAAGACTTGGAACTCTGAGTAAAGGATCAGTGGAAAGTGGTAGTAAAGCCAGGGTTGGCATATGGAACCACTTGAGGGGTGCTGATAGTCAACCCAATAAAATCCTACACAGAGCCTGCTGTAAGCATGGCTAGAATGAGTAAAGCAGGGGCCTCAAAGCACCTGCCTGGGAACTATGGCAAGAACCAACAGAGGGCCCAGAGTCCGCAGAGCAAACAGCATAAATTGCCTTGGATGCCAATTTATATAAGATATAGAGCTTCCTCTTCATGCCAAGCCATTTTCTGAAATGTCCTCTGATCCTTTCAATAGGTCATTTTCAGAGGTGTGCTCTGCCTCTTTTCCTGTTTGTACTCAACATCCTCCCCACCCCTCACCCCCGTCATAAAGTACTTTTAATACAACTCACTAATCCTAAAAGCAACTTTGCCTTGTCCTATAATATTTTTCACAGGCCCCACTCAGATTTCTCAATCCATATGTGTTAGTGAAAAGAGAGCTTCCAAGACTCAGTAAATGCAAGTGAAATGGAGTCATTATTGGTGGTGTGCGCTTTCTGCTTGGTGTTGGTTAAATCACCTTTATTGGCCTATCGCTGGAGTATATATAGACTGGCTAATGTTCTCTAAATCCTGGTTTCTGATAACTCTTACTTCTTCTTCTAACTTCAGTGGCTGATTCTCTAATGTTGCAAACTGATGGAGGAGAGGAAATTCTACAGTTCCTAATTTGTAGGATTACAAGTATTTTTTCTGTCTCCACACCCACACTTGCAATGCCTCATTTATGTGATCTCAACTTCCCAATTCAACAAAATGTAACAAACAGTTTTTGTCTCAGAATTGTGTCCAGATTTGCATGACCCCTCTGTTCTGTCCAGTTGTTTTAGGTGACTCTTTCCACAAGAATGCAGAAAGATAGCAGTAGTAGTGGAAAGCAGCACTGTGGTCTTCTGAAAAGCAGTATTCATGCAGAGGAGGAATGGCTACCTTGTGTTCTAGCTGTATATACCATTGGAAATGGGGCAAATATAGAGTATGACAAATAATGTCTTTCTAGCTGTGTTAAGGTAATTTCTGTTTCGTGAAACAAAATATAGCTATGCTTTGAGTTGAAGGAAGTCTTTTTTCTCCATGATAATGTGTGTTTTTATTGCTTTCTATAAGTTAGAGGAGACTTGATTGAAGTTGCTATTCAGCTACTTTTCTAAAGTGGATATCTCTGTGATATATATTTTAAATATGTTGCCTCTTTTAATATGTTTAAAAACCTGAAGAGGCAGGCATGATTATCTTTGTAACTGTTTCAGGCATCCCAAGGTCCATATATCTCCTTCTTTTGTTAACAGAATTCTGATTTTCTTTGGTGACTAGCTTTCTCCCTTTGGATGTAGCCTCAGATTGGGCATAAGCCCTAATAAAAGGGTTCTACCTTATCTCTAGTCAACAGATAGACATGAAACTTAAGCTAGATCTATGCATTCTCCAGAACCTGCATCTTAAATGGGGTAATATGACGCTAGAAAACGCCACTGAAGCTGGTCCATTACTGCAGCAATGACCTGCTGACACTCAATTGTTTACTATGATCTGTACCTCCAATGCTGACCTAACACCTGTCATTGTTTGAGAGTAGTTCCCCAGCTCTCTCTTCAATTCTTTAACACATAGGATTATTTTCATATAAGTAAATTTCTCAAGATGAAACCAGGACCCAGACCTGGTTGCCTTGTAATATAGTTGCTCACAGCCTTGGGAGCCCACCCTTTGCATCAGTGTGGTGTGGATGTGAGACATGGAGTCAAGGAGATTATTTTGGAGCTTTAAGATTTAATGACTACCCTGCTGCGTTTTGGACTTGCATGTGGGCTGTAGCCCCTTTGTTTTCACTATTTCTCCCTTTTAGAATGGGTGTATTTACCCAGTGCTTGTACTCCCATTGTATCTTGGAAGTAACTAACTTGTTTTTAATTGTGCAGGCATATAGACAGAAGGGACTTTTCTCAGATAAGACTTTGGACTATGGACTTTTGAGTTAATGCTAAAATGAGTTAAGAGTTGGGGGACTGTTGAGACGGGATGATTGTGTTTTGCAATGTGAGAACAACATGAGATTTGGGAGGGGCCAGAGACCGAACGATATAGTTTGGATATGGGTCCCGGCCCAAGGCCCAAATCTCAGGTTGAATTGTAATTCCCAATGTTGGTGGAGGGGCCTGCTGGGAGGTGATGGGATCATGGGGGTGGATTTTCCCCTTCCTATTCTTGTGATAATGAGTGAGATCTGGTTGTTTAAAAGTGTAGCACCTCCCCCTTAACTCTCTTCCTCCTGCTCTAGACATGTAAAAATGTGCCTGCTTTCCTTTCATCTTCTGCCATGATTGTAAGTTTCCTGAGGCCTCCCCAGCCATGCTTCCTGTACAGCCTGTGGAATCGTGAGCCAATTAAATCTCTTTTCTTTATAAATTACCCAGTCTCAAGTAGTTGTTTATAGTAATGTAGGAACGGACTAATACAATACTTTATTGGCACTCCTTCTATAGTAAGGTAGAAACTGGTGGCCAAAATTGTAGCTTCATTGCTTAGAAAATTGGGTTACAATCTGACTAGTATTAGTAGAATATGTTTCAAAACACTCGAATTTGCATATATCCTTTCAACTCCCAGATTACTACCTTAATGCCCAGAGGTTGGTTCTTTCTTTCTGATTTTGTCTTATTGTACCACATCCTATAGATGAAGGAGAAGTTAACTCAAAGAATTATTTGGTCTCAAACCAAATAATATCATTGATACAATTAAATAATTTAGAAATAGCAACCACCCATTTCAGTAAAGGGGAAAGAGAATATATCATTCATTAATTTAATAGAAAGAAAAAACATGTGTTTTCAATTTCTATGGTATTGCTTGAATTGTGGGAAATGGTGGGATAAATATTATCTATTTTTTTTCAGGAGACTTTGAGTCTTCCCATTAACTTTAACTGGATATGTGAGATTATGGATAAATCATTCACTTCCTTCACAAAAATTGGTGCATAAGCAATTCCATTTCCTTTTAAAACTTCAAGGATTTATCAAAGTTATTGAAAAATATATGACTTTTAAAAATGCAGAAGCTGCGAAGTCTTCAAAGGCTACCTAAAGTACGGAGAGCTCATATTTCATAATTTACACTATTGCAGCATTTTTCTGTCTCTGGTGATGAACAGCAATGCCTAAAATCAAGGGCAACATCTCAACTAAACACATATTTGAATGAGAAAATGTATTTTGGGCTTATTATTTCTATTCAGTATTTCATTTGGCAATTTATTCAGGAAATATTTGTTTTTCTTCCCTAAAAAGCAACACCTAATATTAGTTGCCTTGGGAGGCAAATCTCACAAAGAGTAACAATTTTGTGGCATAATAGGTAATTGCTATTGTGTTTAATGCTTTGCAATGATTTTTCTCTATCCTTTTCTGAGAAACAATCTGTGTCACCATATGTAGGTAATTTAGGGATGATGATCTTAGTACTAATAATGTGTATTTTACTTTCGCATACATTATTACATTTGATCTTGATAGTAACTATGAAGGGTCTGCAAAGTAGATGGAAGTTATCTCCATTTTTTACATGAAAAACTGAAGTTCAAAATAAAGCATCTTGTGCAATGGCACACATGTAGTAATAGAGACAGATCTCAAGCTCACCCTGACTATAACCCCAAGATTCTTTCAACAGCATCAGGGGTCAGCAAATGTTTTCTGTCAAGGGCCAGAGAGTAAATATTTTAAACTTTGAGATTCGTATGTTCTGTCACAACCACTTAAATCTGCCCTTGCACCTCAAAATTGGGCATAGGCAATATGTAAATTAATGAGAATGGCTATGTTCCAATAACACTTTATTTACAAAAATAGGCACAAGCTGCAGTTGACTGACTCCTGAACTGCATCCTAACTGCATCCTAACTGCGTTAGTCTAGATTTAACTAACACGAATTGCTTATCACATATGAAGTATTGTGTTGAATACTTTTGTTGTAAGTTAAATTCCTGTACTCTCTTGAATGACAAAGCACAGGAGAATTGTCACTAGTAGCAGAGAAAGGAATGTGGAACCTCTCTTGGACCAGTGGCTGACCAGGCTTTCAGGAACCACCATTGTAACTGGACTATAAGAAGAGCCTTCAGTTGAAACCAGTGGTTCTTGGGTGGGGAGAGGGGGGAGGGATAGCATTAGGAGATAAACCTAAAGTAAATGACGAGTTAATGGGTGCAGCACACCAACATGGCACATGTATACATATGTAACAAACCTGCACTTTGCGCACATGTACCCTAGAACTTAAAGTATAATTTAAAAAAAAAAGAAAAGAAAAGAAACCAGTGGTTCTTAAAATTTTTGGAGTCACAGACCCCTACGAGAATCTAATGATGATCATAGCCTCTCTCACCAGAAAAACACACTTAAACTTACACTTCCTAAATATTGTACACAAATTCTAGGAGTTCATGGCCTTTCAGCCTATTCAAAAGTATACTAGTTGTCAAAGAGCCCTGGTTTAAGAGTTTCACGTTAAAAATTGCAGTTTTTTGTTGTGTTATTGTAGTTGCTGAATTGTGGTTGTACTCCAGTGAATAGTTTTTGTGAACAAATAAATTCTTTTATATGAATCTATTTTAATTATCTATTCCTATAGTACAAGGAGAGGTTGGTGATGGTGGTTAATCTTTCTTAACAAATGTGTAGACTATAGATCTTGATAACTTTGTATTCAAAGTTCCTCATACTTGTAGTGATTTTTCTTCCTGTCTGTTATTGTGACTAAAAATAATTCTCTGCAGCCTTGTGCACACACCCCGCATTGTATGCCTGGCAAGGATTTCCTTTGGCTTGTTGCTAAGACCATTAATTATAGCTAATAATAATGAGGGCAATAGTGATGAAGATAATAACGTGGTTGTTATGTTGAAGGACTCTAGAGTCAAACTGAGTTCAAATCTTAGCGCTCCCACGTACTGGCTACGTGAATTTGGGCAAATCAGATAAACACTTTGAACCTTAGTTTCTTCATCTGTTAAGTGAGGATAATAGCTGATATCTTATAATTAGTGCTTACCATTTAACAGATTCTGCACCGAGCACTTTTAAAATTATCTCCTATAATCATCACAACTACCACTGAGGGGTTATCCTGATTACATAAATGAAGAAACTAAGGCACAGAGTATTACATTACTGTCCAAGGTCACATAACTACCAACAGGTAGAGTTAGTCCTTGAACCCATGTAGTTTAGAACAAAGTCTCTGCTCTTCATGATCATACTTCAATAACTCACTATTTTTTGTCCTGAAGATTTATTAAATAATACATGTAAATATGAATCATAGTACCTGATACAAACTAAGACATACTGTTTCCACATAGATATTTGCAGTTTGTATCTACTGACTTGGTCTTTCCAGGAGTTCTGTTTGGCAGAATAACCTATTTCACGTTGCTAAGTTTCAGATTAACCTGGCAGCTGTCTAAGTTTTCCAGGACACAGGCCTAGTTCGCATCATTTGAAGACTAAAATAATCAGTGGCATTTTTTTTGCATAAAAGCATAATTTCAAAGGATTCAGAACAACCACCACAAGAAACATGCATAACAAATAAAGGAGACTCCCAAGGGAGAGTCTCAGTTCTGGTCACTGAAGCAGTGACTCATATTGGATAGGATTGTTTCTGCAGTTTGCTGATTGCCAAACAGCAGCCAGCCCATTATGAAAGGTGGGCACAAGAGGCATTTCAGCAGACCCACGTTAACTATGGAGCCTATTGATTCCCTGCCCAGTGAGTCATTATGCTCAGCATTTGAGGTGGGAGGAAATCCTATGGAATAGCAATGGCACTGTGGTAATTAAAACAGATGAGCATGTTTCTCCCTGGTTATTGGTTTAAAGGTGGTCTATTGTAGGTTTTGTTTCTTTGATCTCTTTTAGAGTAATCCTCTATTTCAAATATTAGCTTTTGTTAATGTCTAGTAACTGACAAAACAAAACAAAAGTAATCCAAAATCAACAACAAACAACTGAGGCCAGTGTTCTAAGTGCAAAGCAAAATTATCAGATTTAGTATCTTCAATATTCTACAAGGGTGCTATTTCCAAACCACCCTCATAATCTCGTGGTTGATCAAAACATATTGTAAATTTATTACTGGCTGTACTGAAGTTCTAACTGTGACTCAACCACTCACATATTGATGCTGCCTTCTGGCAAAGAAAAGAGAGTCAAATTCCGGAAGGCACAGACAAAAGGCCAAAAGTTTGGATGAATTGTAGAGTGGATCAAAACACTAAGATAATCATAGATTGCCAAAAAATTTCTTGGCAAATGCTTCCAAGCCATGCATGGCTGGATGAGTGAAATAATTCCCATTCGTGCCTCAGACCTCAGGCTAAACATCAGTTCATCACCCCCCATCTAGTCTGGGCCCCTTGGTCTACTTTCCCATTCTGTACTTGTTATTCATGGCATTTATCACAGTTTGCAACCATGCATTTGTCAAAAGGATTGTTTGTTAATATCTGTCTTTCCTTCTAAATTAGGAGCTGGTAAACTGTGGCCCATGGGCCGAATCAGGCCTGCCACTTGTTTTTATATGGCCTGCAAACTAAGAATGGTTTTTACATAAGTAAAAGGTTGAAAAAAATCAAAAGAATGACATTTTGTAGCAAGTAAAAATTACGTGAAATTCAAATTTCAGTGCCCATAAATAAAGTTTTGTTAGAACACGGCTGCACTTACCCATTTATGCATTGTCTGTGGCTACTTGTGTGCTACCATGACAGAGTTGAGTAGCTGCAACAGAGATTATATGACGTCAAAGCCAAAAGTATTTACTATCTGCCTCTTTACAGAAAAAAAAAAAGGCCGGGCACGGTGGCTCACGCTTGTAATCCCAGCACTTTGGGAGGCCGAGGTGGGTGGATCACGAGGTCAAGAGTTCGAGACCAGCCTGGCCAAGATGGTGAAACCCCATCTCTACTAAAAATACAAAAATTAGCCAGGCATGGTGGCAGGCGCCTGTAATCCCAGCTACTCGGGAGGCTGAGGCAGGAGAATCACTTGAATCTGGGAGGCGGAGATTGCAGTGAGCCGAGATTGCGCCACTGCACTCCAGCCTGGGCGACAGAGTGAGACTCCTTCTCAAAAAAAAAAAACAAAAAAAACAAAAAAAAACAAGAAAAAAAGTTTGCCAACCTCTATTCTGGACTTTAAATTCCGTGAGGATATGAGTCCGTCTTGTTTAACACTACATATTCATATACTCCAAGCTCCTAGCACAATGCCTACAACAAAGAAGTTGCTCAATAAATTTGTTAAATGAGGGAGTCGTGACAAAAGAAATAAATAGCATTGATTCCTGTTTTGGGCTGTAATCAAAATTAAGTTTGAGGATCCTCTAAAAGAATCAGATCCTTAGAATTGTTGTTCAATTCCCAGCAGGACAAGAGGACCTGGAAGCTTTTTTTTTGGTGGGGGGGTGGGGGGCGGGGGCGGATAATCAGGAGGAGAAAACAACTTCCCAAGTCACACCATAGCCATAATCATGGCTGTAACCATAGCCTCTTCCCACCCAAGATAACAGTACCAAATTTCACCATTACAGTTGCTCTGAAATAGTAACCTAACACTGTCACCATTCTTCCTTCCTGAATTTCTGAGACAAATGGGAAAGGAGAAGGAAGGGTGTGTGTGTGTGTGTGTGTGTGTGTGTGAGAGAGAGAGAGTCATAGAGACAAAGAGAGAGATGGAGTATGACATGACAAGTAGATAAGTGTGAGTTAAGTGTTTTAGGAAATTTTGTAGAATTTGTAGATTAGATTCAGGTCTCCAGGGTTTCCTAAATCTGCAAGAGTGGAAAGGAGATAAGTGACTGTAAAACTCATGTCTTCTTCAGATCTCTTAAAGTCAGAGACAGTTAGGAAGTAAATAAGGGTGCACCAGCAAAAAGACCACAGGTACAAAATTACTAAGAATGGCTTTCTCTTCTCTTCTCTTCTCTTTTTCTCTTCTCTTCCCTTTTTTCCCTTCCCTTCCCTTTTCTTTTCTTTTCTCTTCTTTTCTTTTTGAGAGAAGGTGTCGCTCTGTCACCCAGGCTGGGAGAGCAATGGTGAAATAATCACAGCTCCCTATAGCCTTGACGTCCCGGGCTCAAGCTATCCTCCCACCTCAGCCTCTTGAGAAGCTGGGACTACAGGCGCGTATACCACCACACCTCGTAAAATTTTTTTTTTTTTTAGAAACAGGGTCTCACTAAGTTGTCCAGGTTGTTCTTGAACTCCAGGGCTCAAGTGATTCTCCCACCTCAGCCTCCCAAGGTGCCGGGATTATAAGCGTGAGCCACCGCACCCAGCCTCTAAGAATGGTTTTCATTCAGTGATCTATGATGCTATTTCCCTCAAACTGAGCTCCAGTTCTTATTTGTTCTTCAGTCAGGAACAATGTTCCCCAAAATTTTTGTCAGTTATTTTGTTGTTGAAGAATTGTTCCTAAAGATGAGAAAGTAGAAAGTGATTCTTCCTCCTAAAACTGAACTCCTCTCTTACATACATTGTTAGCCTCTCTGCAAAAATAAATGCTCACATTGTTTTTGCTTCAGAAAACTTCAGAAAGAAACTGTGGTTCTTCTATTCTTTTTTATCACAAGATCTATCTTATAACATGAATCAGATTCTCTGTTAGTTTTGAGCATTTTGAAGTTACTGTAAAATTCACTCAAGGAGGCTAATCAAAGACTAGTTTTAAAAATAAGTATATGGGCCTGGCGCAGTGGCTCACTCCTGTAATCCCAGCACTTTGGGAGGCCGAGACGGGCGGATCATGAGGTCAGGAGATCGAGACCATCCTGGCTAACACGGTGAAACCCCGTCTCTACTAAAAATACAAAAAATTAGCCGGGCATGGTGGCGGGAGCCTGTAGTCCCAGCTACTCGGGAGGCTGAGGCAGGAGAATGGTGTGAACCCGGAAGGTGGAGCTTGCAGCGAGCCGAGATTGCGCCACGGCACTCCAGTCTGAGGGACAGAGCGAGACTCCATCTCAAAAAAAAAAAATTTTTTTAAGCGAATAAATAATTAAATATATGATTCAGTAAGGCCAGAAGTAAATAATTTTTTTAAAAAAGATTAAATAATAAAAAGAAATAGAAAAATAAATATAAAGTTAAATTTTTAAAGTCATTTAATTCCCTTTGAATACAGATATTTCTATTTCTGTAGAACACATTGTTGCCTCTTTTTAAGTAATTTATTCACTTACATTCTTAACCACTGAAGCTAGTGTAAACTGCAAAAGAAGATCAATAAATTAGATCCATAAATCTTGTGAAAGATAATCTGATGTTTCCTGAAAACTTGAATTTAGAGTATTTGCGTAGTGATAGAAACATTGTGAGCTCTTGCTCTGAAATACTTTCTGAGATGATGGAGCACAAAAGCAAAAGGCATCCTTTATGACTTTAAGTGAAGTACACTTTGGCGACATTGGTACATTGTATGAGTCTGGCAAGTTAGGTCTCATCTGTCCTTATAAAAGATAAAACTGCAGTTCAGACAGGACAAAGCAACTTGCTCAAGGTCAAAAGCAGTTAGATCAAGCTAAGGGTCAAACACATGTCTCTCTAATGCCAAAGCTTACTATATCATTATAGCATTCTACCTCTGGCTTATATTGTTTATTGCAAATTAACTTTACATGGTGGTTTTCATTTCATTGTATTTTAATCCACATTATGATATAGGTGACGAAAAGTGCCTGAAATTGGTTTTGGAATTATATACAGAAAAATTTACATGAGAAACAAATTTTGGGAGAAAGCATGAAAATATAGTTAACAGCATAGTTTGGAGTCAGGTAGAGCTGCATTCATTCCAGGCCATGCCACTTATTATATCAATAATATCAGTTATATCAATAATATTATATCAATTCTTTCACAAAAAAGCGAAGAAATGTCAGACTAAAATTTTGGAGAGATGAAAATCCAAAGAGGTAAACCTATGAGGTTGTTTTTTTTTCCCTATGGGGATTTATTGATTAAGAGAAGACAAAGTACGAGGCGGGTGGATCACTTGAGGTCAGGAGTTCAAGACCAGCCTAACGTGGTGAAACCCCATCTCTACAAAAAATACAAAAATTAGCAGTGCATGTTAACACGTGCCTATAATTCTAGCTACTAGGGAGGCTAAGACAGGAGAATCATCTGAACCTGGGAGACTGAGGCTACAGTGAGCCAAGATCTCCTCACTGCACTCCAGCTTGGGCAACAGAGTGAGACTTCATCTCAAAAGACAAAAAGAAAAGACAAAGTAGCAGACATGCAGAATGAACAAGCCTAGAGATCTAATGTACAGCATGAGGGCTATAGTTAATAAAACTATATTGTATTAGGGATTTTGTTAAATACGTAGATTTTAACTGCTCTTGTCACAAAAAAGTAACTGTATTAGATAATAGGTATATTAATCTGCTCCACTGAGGTAACCATTTTACTATCTATGTGTGTCCCATACCATCATGCTATAAACCTCAAATATACACAATACAGTTTATTTTTTAAAAATAAAAGTCATCTGAAAGTCCAAGCTAAGGTTTAGTTAGTCTCATGGAAGTAGCTGAAATCCAGGACCTACCAAGGGTGGGAATCCTGATAAACCACCATTCATTTTACAGTGAAATGCTGAAAGGGTACATCTTTAGCATAAGGGTGAGTCAGAAATAAACTAGTTCTATGAGAGCCTATGGGCAGTTTTCAAAAAATGAAAAAATCCTAAATTCTTAAACTGGATTACAGTGATCCCAGATGGAAAATGTCTCTAGATACCTGACAGGAATACATAAAAATTTCTTCTGGAGAAGGATAACATCTTGGTCCAAATGTGCTTCCATTTATAATTATTCAAATATAACATCCAGCATGTAGTGATAACTTGTCACATAAAAAAAGCAAACACTGACAGCAAGAATCAACAGAAAAAATAAGCAACAGAAAGAGACCTATGGTAACCCCTAATTTTGAATTATAAGACACAGACCATAAGGCTGTGCTTATTATAAACCTAAGACCACAGACTATGCTTGTTATGAAATAAAGCTCAAATGAGAATTTTGGCATCTAGTTAGAAACTGTAGTGTTATAACAATTTTTTAAATAATCAAGCCAAGTACAGTTGCTCATGTTTGTAATCCCAGCAATTTGGGAGGCAGAGGCAGGCAGATCACCTGAGGTCAGGAGTTTGAGACCAGCCTGGCCAACATGGAGAAACCCTGTTTCTACTGAAAAATACTGAAAATACAAAAAAAAAAATCAGCCAGGCATGGTGGCACATGCCTGTAGTCCTAGCTACTTAGGAGGCTGAGGCAGGAGAATCGCTTGAATCTGGGAGGTGGAGGTTGCAGTGAGCCAAGATCGCACCACTGCACTCCAGCCTGGGCAACAGAGCAAGACTCCATCTAAAAGAAAAAAAAAGAAAGAAAAGGAATCAAACAGAAAATAAATAAATAAATGTGCTTTATAGCAGATAAGAAACAACTGGGCCAGGCATGGTGACTCACATCTGTAATCCCAGTGCTTTGGGAGGCCCAGGCAGGCAGATCACCTGAGGACAGGAGTTCGAGACCAGCCTGGCCAACATGGGGAAACCCCCATCTCTACTAAAAATACAAACATTAGCCAAGTGTGCTGGTACACACCTATAATCCCAGCTCCTTGGGAGGCTGAAGACAGGAGAATTTTTTGAACCCACGAGGCAGAGGTTGCAGTGAGCCGAGACTGCACCACTTCACTGCAGCTGGGGTGACAGAGCAAGACTCTGTCTAAAAAAAAAAACAAAACAAAAACAAACAAACAAAAAAGAAACAACTGAAGAGAAAACTGGTAAAATAAAATATAAGGGGAAATTATTCAGAATAAAGTATGAAAAGTCTAACAGTGGGAAAATATAGATGAGGGAATGCAGAAAAATAATGCCATGAAAGGTCTAATGCATCTTAGTTGGAGTCCCAAAAGAAAATAAAGAGGCTTAACACATGTTTAGTTGGAGTCCCCCCCAAAATGGAGAGAAAGTTTTAAAAGCAATAATTGTAAAAGTAATGGTTTAGGATTTTCCAAGACCAATGAGAGAAATTAAACCAAAGATTCAAGAAGGCCAACAAATCTCAAGTATAATAAACAAGAAGAAATCCACAGTAAAGCACAAGTAAAATTAAGGAAAGAAGAAATGTGAGGGGGAAAAAACAAAGGAAAAAAAACAACAAGAGAAAAAATAACAGTAAACGGAAGGAAGAAGTTAAAAACAGAGAAAATTTTTTTTTTTAATTAGACTTTAAATTCTGGGATACATGTGCAGAACGTGCAGGTTTGTTACATAAGTATACGCATGCCATGGTGGTCTGCTGCACCCATCAACCTATCATGTACATTAGGTATTTCTCCTAATGCTATCCCTTCTCTTGCCCCCCACCCCCTGACAGGCCCTGGTGTGTGATGTTCCCTTCCTGTGCCCATATGTTCTCATTGTTCAATTCCCACTTATGAGTGAGAACGTGTGGTGTTTGGTTTTCTGTTCCTGTGTTAGTTTGCTGAGAATGATGGTTTCCAGCTTCATCCATGTTCCTGCAAAGGACATGAACTCATTGTTTTTTATGGCTGCATAGTATTCCATTGTGTATATGTGCCACATTTTCTTTATCCAGTCTATCATTGATGGGCATTTGGATTGGTTTCAAGTCTTTTCTATCTTGAACAGTGCTCCAATAAACATATGTGTGCATGTGTTTTATAGTAGAATGATTTATAATCCTTTGGGATATACCCAGTAATGGGATCACTGGGTCAAATGGTGTTTCTAGTTCCAGATCCTTAATGAGTTGCCACACTGTTTTCCACAATGGTTGAACTAATTTACACTCCCACCAACAGTGAAAAAGCATTCCTATTTCTCCACATCCTCTCCAACATCTGTTGTTTCCTGACTTTTTAATGATCACCATTCTAACTGGTGTGAGATGGTATCTCATTGTGGTTTTGATTTGCATTTCTCTAAATGACCAGTGATGATAAGCTTTTTTTCATATGTCTGTTGGCCACATAAATGTCTCCTTTTGAAAAGTGTCTGTTCATATCCTTTGCCCACTTTTTGATGGGGTTGTTTTTTTTCTTGTAAATTTGTTTAAGTTCTTTGTAGATTCTAGATATTAGCCCTTTGACAGATGGACAGATTGCAAAAATTTTCTCCCATTCTGTAAGTTACCTGTTCACACTGATGATAGTTTCTTTTGCTGTGCAGAAGTTCTTTAGTTTAATTAGATCCCATTTGTCAATTTTGGCTTATGTTGTCATTGCTTTTGGTGTTTTAGTCACGCAGATTTTCCCATGCCTATGTCCTGAATGGTATTACCTAGGTTTTCTTCTAGGGTTTTTATGGCTTTAGGTCTTATGTTTAAATCTTTAATCCATCCTGAGTTATTTTTTGTATAAGGTGTAAGGAAGGGGTCTAGTTTCAGTTTTCTGCATATGGCTAGCCAGTTTTCCCAACACCATTTATTAAATAGAGAATCCTTTCCCCATTGCTTGTTTTTGTCAGGTTTGTCAAAGATCAGATGGTTGTAGATGTGTAGTGTTATTTCTGAGGCCCAATAGAGAACAATTTTTAAAGCAGACACAGAGAAAGAACAGATTAAAATCAAAGGAAAACAGTTAGATTGAGAATTGATTCTCAACAGCAACTGAAAGATGAGAAATATATTCAATGGGCTTAAAGAAAATAAGTTTCAATCTAGAATTCTATATTCTTCAAGAACAGAGGTCAAATAAATTTTCTCACCAAAACAAAACAAATACCAGATATATTTTGCCACCAGCAGATCTATATAAAATATACATTTTTTTCTAACATCCTCATGGACTCCAGGGAAGCAGATCTATATTTTTAAAAAATTCTAAAGAATGTTCTTTAGGCAGAAGGAAAATTATCCTAGAGAAAATTGATGGTTGCAAAAGAATGAAAAATCAATGAAAATAATAAATACGTGGATCAATCTATGTGAATATTGACTATATAAAACAATAATAATGTCTTGTGGGATTATGTGTAAACTCATGCACCACATAACAATATTTTGGTCAATAATCAACTGCGTATACAACAACAGTCCCATAAGATTATAACAGCATATTTTTACTGTATGTTTTCTATGTTTAGATATATTTAGATACACAAATACATAGCATTGTGTTACATTTACCTACAATATTTATTACAGTAACCTGCCATACAGGTTTTTAGCCCAGGAGCAATAGGCTATAACATATAGCCTGGGTATGCAGCAGGCTACACCAAGTTAGTGTAAGTACATTCTGTGATATTTACATAATGGCAAAAATAAACTAACAATGTGTTTCTCAGAAGGTATCTCTGTCATTGAGTGACACGTGACTGTATATACATGTGCATGTATATATGATATGTAAATATATGTATATATGTATTTATATGTATATATATTTATGTATGTACGTATACATGTAATAATCTTGCATTTTCTACCTATGATGGGTTTATCGAGACATAACCTCAGGGGCATCTGTGTATATATATATATATATATATATATATATATATATATATATACACATAGGTAGAAAATATCGCAAGTTGAAAATGGATTTAATACCCTGGTAAACCCATGATAAAGTTGAAAACTTGTAAGCTGAATCATTGTTAAGCTGAGTCATTGTAAGTCAAGGACTGTATGATGAGAGAGAGAATATTATTAAAATTTTCAAAAACAATAGAGTGTAATAGAACTTAAAAAGTTTTCTAAAGTACTTGCTTTGTTTGTGAAGGGGGCAAAAATATCAGTAAGTCAAGGATGAATGTGTAATTTCCAGAGAAATCATTTATAACACTGTAAATGGAGTATATAAATTACCAACTAATAGCAGGAAAAATTGGAAAAACAATGAACATAATTTAAGGACATTATTAATCAAGGCAGCTTAACTGCTGTAACAAGCCACTTCAAAATCTCAGTAGCTTAACACCATAGAAGTTTATTGCACACTGATAATACAGTCCAATGGAGTTGACAGAGTTGAGAGTGGAAATATTGGTTGCTGCTCCTTAAATTCATGAAAGGGGGCAGATTGTCTCCTTCTAATGGCTCTGCTATCTTCAACTTGTGGCCTCCAAGGTCACTACAGAAGCAGGAAACAGAATGGACGAGGGCGCCACGAGACTTTTACAGATCAGCTTTGAAAGTAATGGATGTCACTTATCCTCATATTTCATTAGCCAGAAGCCAGTCCCGGAGCCATATCCTAACTACAAGGATGCTGGCGAAAATAGTTTAGCTGTGTTCCGAGAAAAAAATGTGAAATTATTTTAGTAGTGCATGATATTGTCTTTGCTGCAAAGGAATAGGTGAATGAAGAATAGTGGTTAAGAAAAGTTCATAATTTGAATTTAAATACATTAATTTTGAAAATTCAATCACCACTTTCTAGACTTGTGTTTTTACCTTCTTCCTGGAAACATACAAGACAAAAGTGAAATTTCGGTGACACTGATTTTATAGTGTTACTTTGATTATTGTCAGGTAAAAATGCATGTGAATATGGAAAAGTGTAGTTATCTAGAGACCAGGATTTTAGTCTAGCACCTCACTTACTATTTAACCTTGAAAACATCCCTTTCTTTCTTTCCTTTTTTACACAAAACTTAAGAGGCTTTTTTTCATCTGTAAAAAGAGCATAGTAATGCTTGCCTTTCTCCTTTCAACACTATCAGGCTCAGATGAGATATATAAAGTGGAAGCATCTTAAAATTCTGAAGTGCTACTCAAATGTAAGCTATTATTATCACATTCTCAATCTTATTCAAAGCCATGTGCTTTTGAATTGTCCTATATAGACTCATTATAGGACACAGATTTGGAGAACATTTTAAAGATTATTTAGCGCAAACTTTGCAGATGCAAAAATTAAGAGCCTAAGAGATGAAGTGACTTGACTGAGGTCACGCTGTTGGCCAATGACAGTCAAATCTTGAAGACCATTGGTTAAGTTTCAGTGGCTTCCAAATGGAGAAATGGTATGCTTGTGGCATAAGACTCACTGGGTAAGGTGTTAAAAATACAAAGTTTCAAGATTCAATTCATGTAAATTTTGATTTAATAAATCTGAAAAGAGGCCAGTAAATCTGTATTTTTTAAAGTAAATCAATTGCCATCATAACTTGTTAGTGGCTCAAAAGGAAGTTAAATTGTGGGTTATTTTAGCTACTCTGCAAAATGAGAATAGAGATAGTATTCTTATTTTTTTTTTTTTCCTTTAAGAGACAACTCCTTGTACTTCTGAGAGGAGCAGCAGGCCAGCCCTCTACTCATCTTTCACTGAACAGCTTAATGACAGTCAGCACATATTTAACCAATGACAGATTATGTGTGAAATCTGTAATTAGGCAGCTAATCTTTTTTTAAAAAATGTATTTCCAAGTACTAATATGTACATTTTCAAGAGTCTAAATGCTAGGTAACATCTCTGAATATATTTGAGTCTCTTATCTTTTTTTCCCCTAAGAGCACTTTATTTTTTAATTTAATCAAGTAATTAATTAATTTATTTATTTTGAGATGGAGTTTCGCTCTGTCACCCAGGCTGGATTGCAGTGGTGCGATCTCGGCTCAGTGCAACCTCCACCTCCTGGGTTCAAGTGATTCTTGTGTCTCAGCCTCCCAAGTAGCTGGGACTACAGGTGAGCTAGAAAGGGCACTTTAACTAGAACAGTAATAGCGCAGAAAATGAAAATACTTGTTACTTTAGGGACAATAACATTGTAGTGACTAAAAAGGATAAAACAGAAAATCCAATTGTATATAAAGTATACATATATGTAGGATGTACATCCTCTGTGTTAATCACCCATATCTGTTACCTAATTTATACAGTTAGTAGTTAGAACATCTCCAGGGGCCTAAGCCTTACGGTTGTGAATGAATAAGTCTGTCCCAGGGGATAATGGGATCCAGACCCTCCCACTTGTCTCAGGCAGTTAGAGAGAACAAAGAGAGGTGATTAAGAAAATCAGAAAGACTTCCTCTAGAGGGAAAGTCTGTGTTTTGGAGGGTACATTCCCTTTTACTGAGAGGAAGGCTGATGAGTTGAAACATCTTCACCTTAGTGGAATGAAACACCTTCACCTTGGGGAAGTGTAGTGACTCGGTGACTACAGATCTCTAGAGACAATACTCATGTTTGCATTATACCCTGCCAGTTTTTCCTAAAATCTCAGAGACAGTTGCACCTTTCCTTCTTTTTTATTTTTGTTTGAGAGTAGGAGTAATTTTGAAAACTCGTAACTCAAGAATCTTCTTCCATAGGAAGGTCCTGAGAAAAAGGAGGTAGACACTACTTCCCTCATTGGAACAACCTTGAGTTTTTCTCTGCCCAGGTTAGCAGCCACTAGTTAACATTTTACCAGAATTCTGCCAACTCCTTTTTTAAAAGTGTTATTATCAAAATAATATTGTTAAAATGATCATACTACTCAAAGCAATCTACAGATTTAATGCAATCTCTTGAAATACCAATGACATTCTTCACAGAAATAGAAAAAAGAAAAAGCCTAAAATTTGTGTAGAACCACAAAAGAGCCTAAATAGTCAAAGCAATCTGAGAAAAAAGAATAAAGGTGGAGGCATCACACTACCTGATTTTAAAATATCCTACAAAGCTACCATAACCAAAATAACATGTGACTGGTATAAAAACAGACACATAGACAAATGGAACAGAATATAGAACCCAGAAATAAATTCATATATTTATAGTCAAGTGATCTTTGACAAAATCACCAAGAATATATACTGGGGAAAGGATACCCTCTTCAAGAAATGGTGCTGGCACAACTAAATATTCATATTCAGAAGAATAAGCTAGACACCCATCTCTTACCATAAACAGAAATCAAGTCAAAATGGGGTCAACACTTAAACATAAGACCCAAAAGTATACTACTACTAGAAGAAAACACAGAGTGGATGCTACAGGGCATTGGTCTAGGCACAGACTTCATGGCTAAGACCTCAAAAGCACAGGCAACAGAGTCAAAAAACAGACAAGTGTGACTATATTAAACCAAAAACCTTCTGTACAGCAAAGTAAACAATCAAAAGTGAAGAGACAACCTGCTAAATGGGAGAAAATATTTTCAGAGTATTCAGCCTACAAGAGATGAATATTCAGAATATAGGTGACTTGAACAACTCAATAGCAAAAGAAATAAATAATCACCTTTAGTAAGTGGGCAAAAGATCTGAACAGATATTTCTCAAAAGAAGACAGACAAATAGGCAACAGGTATGTAAAAAAATGCTCAACATCAGTAATCATCAGAAAAATGCAAATCAAAACCATAATGAAATATAATCTCACCCCAATTAAAATACTATTGTCAAAAAGACAAAAAATAGGCCAGGCTTCGTGGCTCATGCCTGTAATCCCAGCACTTTGGGAGGCCAGGGCAGGTGCATCAGTTGAGGTCACAAGTTGGAGACCAGCCTGGCCGACACAGTGAAACCCTGTCTCTACTAAAAATACAAAAATTAGCTAAGTATGGTGGCATGCACCTGTAATCCCAGCTACTCGGGAGGCTGAGGCAAGAGAATCTCTTGAACCTGGGAGGCAGAGGTTGCAGTGAGCTGAGATCGATTGTGCCACTGCCCTCCAGCCTGGGTGAGAGCAAGATCCCATCTAAAAAAAAAAAAAAAAAGAAAAAAAGAAAAAAATAACAAATGCTGGCAAGGATGCAGAGAAAAGGGAACTCTTATACACTGGTGGTGAAATTGTAAATTAGTACAGCCATTAAGGAAAACAGTATGAAGGTTTCTCAAAAAACTAAAAATAGAATTACCTATGATCCAGCAATCCCACTTCTGGGAATTTATCCAAAGGAAAGGAAATCATTACATTAAAAGGACACCTGCACCTCCATGTTAACCACAACACTATTCAATATGGCTAAAATATGGAATCAACTTAAGTGTCTATCAACGAATGAATAAAGAAAATGTGGTGTATATACACAATGGAATACTATTCAGTCATAAATAAGAATGAAATCCTGTCATTTGCAAGTTTGCAAACATGTTTGGACTGGAGGTCATTATGTTAAGTGAAATAAGCCAGGAATAGAAAGGCAAATATCGCATGTCCTCACTCATATGTGAAATCTTATGGAGGTAGAAAGTAGAATGATAGTTACCAGGGACTGGGAGGGAGAGACAGGTGAAGAAAGGTTAGTTAGCAGGTACAAGATAGGTAGAGTTAGAATAAAAAAGTTCCAGCGTTTGCTAGCACAGTAGGGTGACAGGTGACTATAGTTAACAACAATATATTGCATATTTCAAAAATAGCTAGAAGAGAAGACTTGAAATGTTCCTAACACAAAGAAATGATAACTGCCATGTTGAAGGAGATCCTAAACACCCTGATTTGATCATTACACATTCTATGTGTGTATCAAAATATCACGTGTGTGCCATAAATATGTGCAAATATTATGTATCAATAAACAAAACCCTCTTAATTCAAGGATCTCCTTCCTTAAGAAGGCCCTGAGAAAAAGGAGATACTTCTTCCCTCTTTGGAGCAATGTTGAGTTTTTCTCCATCCAAATTAGCAGCCAACAGTTGGTTGTTTTACTAGCATTCTGCCAGCTCCCTTTTAAGAACTGGAGGCAGTTTCTGAGGTTCCAGGTTTTGAGATTTGTGACCCCATAGAGAGAACTCGAATTTCAGAGGACTGCCGTGGTGTTTGCCTTTTGATTCCAGAAGGGCTTGCTCTTAGAATTAGATATCAGTGAAACTGAGTTCTTTCATTTTTCTATACCCTTGGACTTGACCTGAGAAGTTTAGGAAAAGAAAACAAGATTTTCGTATTGGTGTTTAAAAACCCCGGACCCCAGAAACTTGAGCCGTGACTTCTGGAGAAGTAGGGGAAGCCGTAGCAAGTCCTTAGAGACTGGGTCAGACATATCTTAACCCAGACCACCATGGTTCAAATCCTGCATCTGCCATTTATGAGCTGCGAAGCCTTAGGGAGGTTACTCCCAGCCTGGGATTCATTTTCCTTGGACATAATAGTACCACTCTCTCACTATTGTTTCAGGAATTCATGAGGTAATACCTGGAACGTGATGCATAGAACAGAGCCCAGCACATGGTATGAACTATGGAGAGGTAGGGCATTTACCACCTTGGCAAACATTTGTTTCCCCTCACTGAGGTATTGGAGTCAGGTTGTTGATTTCATGAGGCCAATATAACTAAGGCAAGAGGAACTTCGGTAGTAACCAGTGTGAATGAAAGATGAACTGGTGTCTTCAGATGTTTTCTGAGTGAAACTCAGAGACTTCTGCAGAATCCAAGAAGTACGAGACGACCCTCTCAATTGGATTTTCAGTGATTGGTGAGATAGGGACTAGAGAGACAGGCATAATTTCACTTAAAGAAAATGGAGACATGAAAGAAAATTTATATTCTATGTATTTATAGGTGTATGCATATGTTTAGGCATTTTAGGTATATACATGTGTAAAAATACATTGAAGTACATACATTTTTGCTTATGTGTTTCTGCATGTGGATATATGCGCGTGTGTTTCTCTATGAAAAAAACAATTCAACATGGCCATAAACCTATTATATAGCTCTCAATTTTAACTCCTGTGACAGCCAGTTAGTTGTCTTATTTCCCAACTGTTAGCACAGTGATGTGTGTGTTATATGTGCCATTAAATTTTGGAGTAAATGGCTGAGAAAGTGAAAATTGTAATAAAAATGGGCCATATAAACTATGTATCATCTGCTACCTGTGCTTCATTCCCCCACTCTCACCACTATGTCTTTTACATTTTCCATTTTAAAGTCCATAATAATAATAACAATATCATAGCTGCAGTTCATAGAAAGAAAAAAACCAGATTCCTGATATAATACAAGCTGAAACAGAGCAAAAAAATTAAGCATAGGAAGGGAGGTGATGAGCACATTTCCCATCCTATCTACTAGGCAAGAAAGCCAAAGTGGAAAGTATTTAGATTTCCCTTTCCTAAGAAGCAGCAGCAAATTATTTAAAAAGCCCACTATCCTTCACACCAAGGCTGAATACCAGCTCACATCTACTTTGAAGACATATAAAACAAATGCTAATGAATGCTAGACTTCCTGTGAAGTAAGCACTTCCAGGTGAGAAAAATGGGAACTTAAAAGAAAGTTAAGTGTCTTAAGGCCACCCAGCTGACAAGTGGCAGAAAAGGAATTCAATTCCAGGTCTCATAGACCACAAAGCTTAAGATTCCTCCTCTTTCCTCCCCTCCCCTCCCCTCTTTTCTTCTTTTCTTTTCTTTTCTTCTCTTTTTTCTTTTCCTTTTCTTTTCCTTTTCTTTTCCTTTCTTTTCTTTCCTTTTCTTTTCTTTTCTTTTCTTTTTTCTTTGACAGGGTCTTGCTCTGTTGCCCAGGCTGGATTGTAGTGGTGTAATCGTAGCTCACTGTAACCTAGAACTCCTGGGCTCAAGTGATCCTCCAGTCTTAGCCTCCCTGGTAGCTGGGACTACAGGCTTGTGACACCACACCCACCTGATCTTTTACTTTTTTGTAGAGATGAGGTCTTGTCATGTTGCCCATGCTAGCCATGATCTTTCTCCATACTGTCCTGTCCTTATGGAGGTACTGAACACCAAGATAAAAACTGAAAAACCTTCATGTCATTATGAATGATGAGAAGAAACAAATCAACAAGCAAAAAAACTGGAAAACTTTCCATCACATATCTACAGTTTAAAACAATCCTAGTTTTTTCAAAAGCCCATTAGCGTTATTTTGTATTGAAGAGAAAACCACTGTATTTCAGGAGGGGCTTCCTTCAAGGAAAGTTGTCCACAGGACCTGGCTACTCTGACCACAGTTGGCAGCTCATCAGAGATGAGCTCCCAACCCCAGCCTTCAGGCAATGAGATGGTCTTGTTCCAAAGTATAGATGGTGGTTGACTGATGCAGTCTCTCTGTCTTTCTATTTTATAATAATGTATGTCTGTTAGTAGAAAAACAGAAGTTGGAAAATACAGACATGAAGCCAGGTGTGGTGGCAGGTGCCTATAAACCCAGCTGCTCAGGAGGTTGAGGCGGGAGGATCAGTTGAGTTCTGGAGTTCAAGGCCAGCCTAAGCAACATATCTTATCTCTAAAAAATAAATAAATGGATAATTAAAAATAAAAAAGAAAGACACAGACATGACAATAAACATAAGCCATGAGTTATTAGAGATCACAGAACAGTCCAAGCAATGAGTGAGCAGATTTTGTAAAACAGAGAGGACCAAGAAGTGAGTCGACAGTGGAAGGAGCAGGTGCAGAGACATGGAGAGCACTGGTGGCAATAAGGCTGGGACATTCAGGCCCAATGCCAGTGAGGCATTAAGGTAGGCTGCTGAAGAAGGATGAGAAGGGATAACTGAGTCACTGCTATTGTGGTCTCTCCAGTGAGGTCTGGGTGTATACTGGTGGTTTCCTGCCTTCTACATTTCCTCTATAGCCTTACAGCCAACTCCGTGAACTAAGTGAGATAACCTGAGTGCATCTCTGTTCTTTGCACCTTGATCAAGCTTAATACATTGGCTTACAATTTTATACTAAAGGCTTAAAAGGTCTAATTGACAATTTACTGTCACTCATGAGGTACACCTAAAGTCAACTGCTCGAGCTGCTTCTATCTTTAGATAATTCTCTGGCAAAAGTGGGTTTCAAAACCAAAAAATTTGAAACTACATTAACATAGACAAAAAGGGCTTTAATTGGGTAACTATCAGATTCTACTATCTAAATGAATTTTCTACTCTATTAAAATAACAATGATTGAAACTTCAAAGCAAACTCAGCCTGGTTGTTTACTCTGCCACTCTAAGTACTTCTGTAAGATATCTAGATATTTTGTCAGACATTTGTTACTGAGCTTAATTTCTCTTTGTTCCTTTTAAAAGTCTTGATTCAGAAAGAACAGGAATGCTTTGAATTTTCTTTCTAATGCAATTCTATTTTATACCTGTGTGAAGAAATGTCTAATTCTGAATGTGTACAAATAGATGGAACCCACAAGTGAAAGTGAAGATGTTAAGAAGAGGTTGGAGGAAATTAAAATACCAAAAGCTCTAAGGGAATTGTGGAATATTTATGAAAATATGTGGTGCGTTTTGAAATGCAGGTGTCTCTGGAACTGGAAATGTAATCATAAGAAGGAAAACTGTCTTTAATAAATCTTCTTAATTAAAAACTATTGTTCAGAAAAAATATAAATCCTCCTTCAATATTAGAAACAGTAGCAAGAAGTGAGAAAAGTATGGATTCAATCAGATTGCAGCAAAGAATTGTTATTAAGAGTTCCTGGTTACAACACTTTTTTTTTTAAGCTAAAGAAGTAGCATTTTTGGTAGACTGAACATAAATTGTTTGCTATTATGGTACCCAATGAGGTGAAAACAATGGAGGCTTGTAGCACAAAAATATATCCAATTATTGATAGGGAGAGAGAGTGTGTTAGAATTACCGTCAAATCACATGTACTTAATTTTTTTCAGTTGCAAGGGACTTGAATGGGTGCTTCTCCTGCTCAAAAGATTCAAAATCAATTACAAGAAATAAACCTGGCTTAGTCTTCCTCTCAGTATTCAAGTCTCCTCTAAGACCCAAACAGAATGCTTAAAAGTGAAAATGTATACGTGACTGCCTTTATGAAAAATATGTTTCTCTTTTCTTCTGAGTCTTCAATTGTCATTAAACTTTAAAAGCACTATGCATTTCAGTTAAACCAGTGCACTATGCATAATTGTCATAAGATGTCAATAGGATGAAGCAAACTAATTTCATAAATAGGTGAGTTGAATTAACCAGAGGCTGAGCCCTGCCTTGCATAGTAGATGGTGCACAATCTCTGACTGAAGACCTCTGTTCACTACTACAAGGGACTGGGGTGTTGGAGTGGCCTGTGGCTATGCACCAGGAAGTAGTAATAAATTGCACACCTTGAATTCATTGGTACATAGTACTTTTACTTAGTTACACACTGCAGGTGGCCCGTGAACCTAGTTAAATACTAGGCGAATATAGTCCCTGGCAAGGGACAACTATCAATGACCTCTTAAATGAGAGTCACAACTCTTCTGCAGTAATCATTCAGAGTTCAACTTTTGAAGAGCTTTCAGTCTTGTTTAGATAAACAGCTTTGTGACTGCTTATTTTATTAGTCTGATAATGGACCTCCATTGTGGATTGCAGGTGCCTGAACAGCAGGTGGGGACGTTAGGGACCTTATTCATGTGTGAGCCTGTTTTCTCCTGTCATGGATGCAGTGTCCTCTATGGTGTTCTGTATATTTTGTGAGTGCATGAATGCTGTGGGCCTTTATGCAAACTGTGAAAATGGAGCTCTGCATATAGAAGGAGGATGGTAAGGTATGATGTTCTCAATGCTTCTTGTAATGTTTAAAATCTTGTTCCTGATAGTGGGGAACAGCATCACTGGTCCACACTATCAGGAGCATTACCTGGAATTCCAGGCATTATCTGGAAACTTATTAGATATGTAGAATCTCAGGCCCCAGCTCAGACCCATTGACTCGGATTTTGCATTTTAATATAATCCCCAAGTAGTTAGTATGCATATTAAAGTTTAGCTGCACAGCTCTTAAGTAATATATTTGTTCTTCTGTATTAGAAAGAATGCCTACTTTTGGCCGGACACGGTGGCTCACGCCTGTAATCCCAGGACTTTGGGAGGCCGAGGCAGGTGGACCATGAGGTCAGGAGTTCAAGACCAGCCTGGCCAAGATGGTGAAACCCCGTCTCTACTAAAAGCACAAAAATTACAGCGCGCCTGTAACCCCAGCTACTCGGGAGGCTGAGGCAGGAGAATCGCTTGAACCTGGGGGGCGGAGGTTGCAGTGAGCCAAGATCGCGCCACTGCACTCCAGCCTGGGTGACAGAGCGAGACTCCATCTCAAAAAAAAAAAAAAAAAAAAAGAAAAGAAAGAATGCCTAGTTTCTTTGAGATGTAGTAAGACTGCTATATATATAATACAAATTTTAAGATTTTGGGCAAATGTCAGTCTAGAAGTGTTTTTTGCTTTGTTTTGTTTTGTTTTTTCCAGAAAACATGACAAACCAAAATTTCCTATCTTGTAGAATGTTTTTTCCTTCAAAGAAATTGGACCAAATTGCAAGGTATGTGGGGTAAACTGGGTGGTTGACATGACCAATCCTGTGGTTTTACCAGTGCCTCATCTAGAGGTTACACTGATCAAATGATTTTCTCAAAGGCACAGATGAAGTCTGGGGGGAAACCTTAGGAAGGTTAACTAAACTGGACTTGGGCAATGGCTATGCCCTTTCTAACTATGTTGTCTTCCAGTGGGACAAAGAGATAGCTCAGTTGGTGGCTAGGCCTGTTGAGAAAAAAATATAAGCAAGAAAAAAGTAAGAACTGAGCAAAGAACTGAACATGATTAACAGCAGTCTATATTTGCTACAGATTTGTTGGCCAAAAATTTCTTCCCTTCCCACTGCTGTGCTGTGAGCCAGTTGGCTTCTGTTTTCTCCCCAGAGGTGGATGCACTACAGTGATGTGGTAATTCCTGCATGAAAACACTCTTATGAGGTGATATGGGATTCATCAGACTGGAGTGCACTATGGAGTAAATTGATATTTTTAAAGGATTAGGAAAAATGAGATGATTAAAATACATATGCATCTTTTGAAGAGTAGATTTAATATGGACATAGATATACTGATCTTGCATAACAAAGGCATAAATTTCCAAATAAAAATGATTCTTTACCAAGTATAAACACCATTTAAAACCATTTAAACAATCTGGATTATATACACTATCAGCGATATAATAATTAAATGAAAGAATGAGAGCATGCCCCAGACAAATTAAACAAATTTTTACTGCATATTGATGTGTATGCTGAAGAATACATGTTTTAACTACTATAGGAGACTAGAAGGAAAGAATTACTTATCTTTAAGATCCTGCTGGCTTGAAGTTCTTTTTGTAGTGTTTTTTTAAAAAATTCTAGTTTATTGTAGAAAGTACAGTGAATTTTCAGAAAAATTTGTGGTTTATTGTAAAATCTAAAAGAATTTTATACACAGTTAAAACAAAAACACATAAGCATATATCTTTTTCACATCAAATTCACCATTATTACAAGAAGTATTGATATGCACATATAAAACAACATGAAAGTATCTATATGCACATATAAAACAACAACAAATTGATATCCACATATTTTTCATTTAAAATCTTGGTAATGTTAAAATCTTAGGTTTCTTAATACTTCAGTCAAAAAGAAGTCAAGTTGGTAGCATTTGTTTTATTTATTTAGATAAGACATCTAAGTAGGAACTTTTTAAACCTCTTATTCATTCATTATTCAACAACTATTTATTGAGCACCTAGTATGTGCTAAGCACCATTCAGTGAGCAATGACCATTGTCTTTGTGCAGTTACAGCCCAATAATATACACCTAATTGAGAATTATATAGACAGAATAACCAGTACAAAATATAGTAAAAAAGAAAAAGATCTTCACTAAACACATTCAACGAAAAATGTGGAATATTGGATTTCCATGGGGGGATATTGTATGATTTTATTCTGGTTTATGGTATTTTAAAAAATCAAATTTCAAAAATGGGGGTGGGAAATATTCAATTTAAATGAGAACGTGAATAAAATATTTTATTTGGCATTGTTATTTTTCATGAATTAGCTATAAAAGATCACATGCGATAATTACTAGATTACAGATAGTTGTACATATAAAAATACATACATGTATGACAAGTATGCATGTGTGTTTCATTTTATGCAATAAATGAGTTCTTGCAGAGTTTAATGTGTCAAAATCTAACAAACACAAATATTTAAATATTTAAAAATTAAAACTCATTTTCTAAAGAAACACTAATATGTATTTTTTTCAAAACTTTTCAAAGTCTTTTTTTTCAAATTAAATAAGTAATTGAAATTTTAAAACTTTGGCTTTGGGGATGCAAAGTGGTTTTAAAGTAGTACAGAAAAACATGACTATCTGAACACATAGGAATCATAAACAAAAATCAACCCAGTGTCTGCAGGTTTGCAGCTAAATCATACCAATTGATCAGTTTATTTGGGGGGATGATGGAAGCTATTTTTAATTTATAATTTTTCTACTTAATGAAGTATGTTTATTAGCTTAGGTTAAAAGTCCACAAACAACTAATGTATGTGTATAGCATATTGAACATGTACTAAGTGTATGTGGCTCAACTACTATACAATAAAATGAAAAGATCTCTGAAATGTATTCTTTTTTTGGTCCACATTCTAAAATGAAACATTAAACAAGTTAAAAAAAACAAAACTGCAAAGATTTGGAATAAAACTTGTTCATGTAAAGCTCAAAAAGTAAATTATATAAAATTATACAGCAAAAGGGAGAGAAATTGCAAATAGTGGGTAAGTCTAAATTTATGAAAACTTAATTATGGCTTGCCATTCTTTATGTTTATCATATTCTTTTTTTGTACAAATACGATAATAAATAATTTTGTTAGAAGTAAGTAACGTGGTAATTAAGGATTTTCCTCAACCTAGGCAAACAGGAGGACTTTTTCAAGGAATAGAAAATCACAGCTTGGGAGTCATTTAAACTTTAAGATCTATAAGGAGGAATTTTAAACATGCTAATTAAGTACTTGTTAACATTTTGTATAGGAATTCCTTTTTGTGAAAGGTGAATCACACATCTCTAAAGAAGGTAATAAGCACTCATCTGAAATTTGTATTGAAAGCTCTGCTTTTTTAAAAGATTGGTTTAAAGGAAAACAAAAAGCATCCTTAGGCAGCATTACTGAAAAAAAAAAAAAAAAGCAAACCACCCTGTAAATTGAAAGAACTCAGTATTTTTACAATAATAAAAATTTGATGATGTGAGAAAAATATCTTCTAAAGTGTGAAAAAATAAAGTTGTTAGCAAGGGTTTTTAAAAATATTTTAAGACATTATTAGGTATTTTTTCTTTTAATTTAGTGGTTTTGTTGTGGTAGGTAAGTGCTTACATGTTTTTGTTTGTTTGTTTGCTTTTAGTAAACTAGCCTTGAGGGTACAGAAACCTTATCTTTCCTGTGAGTGTACAGATATGAAGACTTATTATTCATCCTGTCTCCTTGGATTTTTTAAAAAATCAATTAATAGTTTATTTTGTTTTGAACATTGTCATGTGTATCTGCCACCCCAAGTCTAAGGTTAGCCAAATATTTTATGGCCCTGTACTGTTTTCAGGTAATTCATACTCTCGCACCACACGGTATCAACCAGTTCCTCCCTTTTCATTTAATATGTTTTATTTTCCTAGATTTTGCAATTCAAGAATCATCCTATGCTTGAGTTGGCCCCTATAGTTATTATTTGCTCCAAATAAAGGAGTTAGGAGATAATACGAGGATAAACCCTACAGGAAAATATGTTCTACATTTTGTAGAACACAGGCCTTTCAAGGAGGTAGCAAGTGGGATTAAGGAATATATTGAATAATCTTTATACATCAACTCAAGGATACAGGTTCTTCCACTGCTTTTATCAGAATTTGGAAAACAACTCAAGTTGTGATATATTCTATCTGATATAAAACCAAATCGAGAATTTTTAAGAAGTATAACTAAAGAATGATCATTATTTTTCCAGAAGTATGACTAGCAAAAAGGAAGATCCTTTAAGGTTTGTGGCATCTTACAAAATATGCCTTGGTGTCATGAATGTATCTTGATTGTGTACAATTCTGATTTGATTTCCTGCAAGTTACTTTTCATTGATTTAGAAGTTCAAAGTTTCTACCATAATTTTACACCTACACTGGCACAATTTACAGACAGAAGAAAAATGCAGCTAACATTTCTATTTTATTTCTGTCCCTGCTTTTTTATATCATAAAACTATTGCTGATTTACTTTTTCTATATTTTAAATTATGATTTTAGAAGTAACACTATTTCACAAGAATCATTCCTGATTCAGGTATCACTTTTTAAATTTTAAATAAAGATGACTATATGCCTCCAGAATCCAAATTATTTGGTTTCAATTTGGGGGACAGAAGAGATAATACAGGTAATAGAATAATAAAATGTCAACATGATTTTATTCTTTTAAGAACAATAGTAAGCTTTGACATAATTTTCTACACAAAGGAGTTATATTAGTATGGTGTACATAAAATTTTATAGTTTAAGATTATTCATGCTATTAAGATTTGCGACTATAGCAAAATATAAAGAACTGTAATACAGAAATTATTATAGAATGTACACCTTGATAAAATGAGATTCAAATTAAGAGCATCATAATATCAAATACCAAGACTTAACATTGCAATTCATTAATCTATTATAATTCATTAGACAAATGTCCCAAGGAGAGGGGAGAATGTACAATGAGTGTTTTCTGGAAATGAATTGCTAAAAATTAGTAGAGTCTGAAAAGACTTCAGAATTGGAAGCTCCAGCTGGGTTTAAAAGGATGGGGGAAGGGATTTTACTCACTATTAAATATTTGAAACACCACTTCAGAAAATAAAACCCACAAATGTCTCATCAGTTCTCAACTGCATCAGACCGACTCAGACTCTATCTGATGCCTTTTTTCCTTTGTAAAAATGAGATTTTAAAACACGTATTCAGGACATCTTACATTGATTTAGGCTAGTTGGAGAAAACATGGTTCAGAGTAGGATTTCAAATAGTTCCACTAAATACAATAACATTTGCAGTCAGGGTACCGTTCCATAGTAATTTTAAAAGATTTCATTTTACTTATCATTGCAAGCCATTATCTGATCATATTTGACCTACATATTAATATTTTCATTATTATTCAAGCCCTTTTTGGCTCTGTACAAATTGTCAGTCCTCTTCACCGAGATTATTTATTTACTCTGGAAATATCTGGAATTCTTTCACCCTATCTTTTCCTCCGGGACTACCCCCCACACTGCCCCCAAGTATTGATATTAATGTCTGGGGGAGGGGGACACATCTAACAAAAACCTGAGATAGAAAGCCGTCCCTCTTAATGGTATACTATGGGAGAAGTAGAAAAACAAAGAGAATAAAAGAAAATGATAATTGTTTTCTCTAAGGCTATTATCTAATGCGAAAGCAAATAGTCAGTCTGGAAATCAGCTAACAGAAGGGGATTAGAGAGGAGATCTGAGAGTGGCTTGATTTCTAGCAGAGCTGTCTCTTCAGCCAGTGATGAGACACAGGCAGGGCAGCCGGGAGCGCTCCAGATGGCCGGGGAAAGTGGTCGTCTTGGGTTACTGCAGGGCACTCGGGCCGCCTGAGAGCTGGCGGCCCGGGAAGGCATCATTAGGGAGCCAACCCCACGTCCAGCCTGCATGGGAGAGGGCGAGGCCGGGAGGGAGGCCGCCCGCCAGCCCGCGCGCCCTAGCGTGCCGGGCCTGCCCATTGTTAACATATACTTGACCTCCGTGACCCCCGCACAACACAGATGTCTCCCACCTCCACCTCCCCCACGCCCCGCCGCGGGTCCTCCCCCCTGCACCTGGTAGCGGCCGCGCAGCCGCCTCCCTCCCGACCGGCCGCGGCGCCCCTGGCGCGAGCGTGCGCCGGAGCCGGCCTGATGCGGGCGCTCTCGGCGCACAGCGCGCGGCGCTCCTGCTCCCCGGCGGACGCCCGGCCGCCCTGCAGATAAATGCGTCGCCTTCCTCGAGAGTGAGCGAGGGCGGGCGAGGGAGACGCAGACGCCGCCTGTGACAGTGGCAATTCCCTGCGCCCCACATCACATTTGTCTGCCACAGCAGCAACAACAGAAAAGCGGAGGGAGGGAGGGAGGCGGGAGGAGGGGAGCAGAGCTCCGCAAGTCTTGGGCTCTGCGTGGAGGTTGCGTTTGGCTGGCGTCCCCGACCCCGGGCTTTTTGCACGGCAGCTCTCTCTGCGCAGCGCCGGGCGGCCGTAGTCGCTCCGCGGCGCGACTCCGCGGTCTCGTGGCGAGCGCGCGTGGGCGAGTGGCCGCGGACACTCTGGCCTCGCGAGGGAAGCCGCGCCGCGTCCTCGCCCCGTCGCCCCGCGGGCCGGCCGAGACGACGGGAAGTTTTATTTGCAGCTCGGAGCCTGTGGCGGATGGTGGGACTCTCCGGCCCTGTGCAGTGTAAGTGTCCGCGGTAGGGCTTGGCCGGCGGGCGGGCGGCGGGGTCGGGCCCCTGACTGTTATTAATTACTGTTCCGATGACCGTCATCTTCGTTTGGATTATTCGACCGCGAGGCTCCAGGCTGTACTTGTCGCTCAATTAGGGTAGGACTACGCACCAGGGCAAAGAGGAACATCGCGGGTGACTCCGGTCTGCGATGACACTGAACTTCGCGGGTCAGCCGAGGATGCAGTTTTTACTATTATATTCCCCACAGTGTCTTTTAAAAATAATTTTTCTTCCCTCTCCATAGTCACGGTATGCGAGCAGGAAGATGACGAGTGGGTTTCTCCCCCGACAAAACAACCGATCGAGGTGCCCACAGTGCATTTGGCAGGTGGCCCTATGCCCGCATCGTGGGTTTTTTTCTTTTCCTTTCTTTTTTTTTTTTTTCTTTTCTTTTTCTGTAAACTGGAAGCAAAGACTTGTTTTGATGGTGGAAAACTTAGCCCTAAGGAGTAAAGAGGCGGGATCTTAACTTTGGGACCCGGCTGCAACTAGGGTGGGGGTTTGCTTAGAGGTACCCAGGCGCTCTGCGCCTGCCTGCGAACTTTCCTTGTTACTCCTGGCCGTTTGGGGTGCTGGACTGGGAAGCTCCTGGGTGAGCGGGCGGACGGCGGCTCCCGCCCGAGGCTGGTCCCGGGCTTCGCAGTCAGGGGCCGATGGGGAGAGTCGTCCCCGCCCGACCTCTGCGCGCTCTGGACTCAGCCGCCCCGGCCCTCCTGGGTGTTCCCGTCGCGGCCCCGACTCGGTGCCCGCTTCTTCTGAGTGGGGAGCACAACCTTGTGCCCTGTAGCTCCCGCCCGAAGGGGTCCAGACTTGGAGCCACGTCCGGATAATTCCTTTCGTTTTCCAGAAACCCCTCTGGTGAAGCCCCCGGGCCAGTGGAGACGCGCTCCAGGGCCCGCCGCTCACCGCCCTCTTTGCGAACCTGAAAGGACCGGGTTGGTTGGCGCACCCAGACCTCTTTCCCGGGGGGGACCTGGCGCTGACTGGGGTGCTTTGAGCAAATACGGCTAGGTCAGCACAAGGCGCTCAGATCCATTTTTTGAAACGTGCTATTTTTTATTTTTTGTAAGGGCGGTCAACCCTTGGAAAAGTTTGAGTACTATGATTCCGGGAAGTAGGATGTGAGCCACAACTGTTACTAAAAATAGCCGCCTTCCCTCCCCCTCTCCCCCAAAAGGCCTTTCAGTTTGGAGGATTTGGCTGGGCGGCCGTGCAGCCCATGGTCTCATTCCTTGCAAAGCGTAACGGAGAAACCCTTGAAGACTGGGCACCACAAATTCCACCGTGCCCTAGTCTGGCTGCTGCTTCCTGGGGGAATCTGCAGAAGGTCGCTTTAAGGAATAGCTAGGATTCCCGTGGAGGAGGTCCTGCAGAATAGTGCCCGAGGCCAGAGCTAGGGAGTGAAGACCAGGAGAGCTGGAGAGGCCACTCCAGACAAACTTCATGTGCTTAATGTAACTCTGAGGCCCCTTGAATCTTTAACTTCGCTTTTCTTAATTAATCTGCCCAGAGCCTGTATATAAATGGCTGTCCGCAGCTGCTGCAGATTGATTTATCTCCTGATAAAGGTCGGGTTTCTGACCAAAGCATTCCTTATACCTTCTGTGTGAACTGAAATGTGTTTTACAGGGATTTTTTTCCCTCTCCTAGTCTCCTTTTCAACATCTGTACCATTTTTAAGTGCACTCAGTAGCTTTTATTATCATTGCCCTCCTTTGCATAGAACAGGAGTGGAACTGGGTCTGTGCCCAGTGAGTCCACACTCCCTAGAATACAAATTGACCAGCTTCTCTGTGATAAACGGTTTGTTAGTGTTGGGGGCCTCCTTTTAGTTTATGGCAGCGTTTGCCTTGACCATGTGAGTATTCTGTTGTGCCCAGTTTCTCCTGTCACACAATTCTTTAGAAAAGGTCACCAAACACCATTGTTTCTTAAACTAACATAGCCCCAACCTGAGTGTTTATGTCAGCTGTGATGTGTATACACAGAAGCAAATTTATAATTCTGTGGATTTCCCTCTCTTTTATCCTTAAAGTCTAGTTTGTAATATTATGATTTTCAGATAATAAAGATAGGGTTATTTGATTTCATTTTCGTTTTTTTCCTTTACTGATTTTTTTGTTTGTTTCAGAGAAGTCTGACAATCTCACCCAATAGTAATCAGGGAATCTTGGTTTGATCCGGGCTTTTTTTGCAGCCAGGATGGATGCTGAAGAAGTTGAAGTCCATTATTTCTTGTGCTGTGTTCAGCATTTTATATTTTGTTGGTTTATTATTTTAAAAGATGAAATTCCAACAAAACAACCAATCAGTCTTATACTGGGTGCATAAAAACGGACTTTTTTAATACTGAGGTTAACTTTTTATTAAATATTTTTGTTCAGTCATTAATAATTTTATTATAAACTAGATAGCAGTGACTTTATTTGAAAAGCTAAATATTGCATGGGAGAATTTCAATACTCAGTTTCTCCAGTGTCCAGTTTATACCTAATAAAAGCAGTGGAGAAAACAGTCTATTTTTTCTTTTATGTTTGTACAACTCAAAGCAGACTAGAAGTCTTTGAAATGATATTTTCCTTTGTGGACTTAGTCTCTGTGGTCCGTTAATACCTGCTAATAATTTGTGTTAAAATGATCTTTAAAAGGTCCTTTCTAATAAAAATCATTCTATGTGCAATACAATACATTGCACTATTAAATTGCAAGGACAGTATTTTTGCAGCTATGGGACTGCAGCTTTTTAATATTTGCACAATTTTCTTTTCCTGAGAGGAGTAAAATATTGCTCTTGATGTTAGTATTTGATGATGTGCTCTCCCATTGAGGTGTTAGTCTAAATATTTGTAGATAAAAGAGCACTTCATAAATTGCAAAGAACTACACACATTTAAGGTGCCATTATAATTTATTTTATTGTCAAATCGAACCGTAGCCAAAAAATCTTGCATTTCTTTAAACACTGAAAAAGGATCACAAGAAAGAAATGCTTCCAATAGGAATGCTGGTCAGTGGTTGTCAGTTTAGGACATTCTTCACTGTCAAATCCTGTTTCTCACTTCTTTGATATGAACATCAGCTGACAGGCACTGAATGCAAAGCCTTCTTCACTGAGGTTTTATGCAGGCAACATAGCCCTTCATAGCAAAGCAGTCTGAAAAATTGGCACCTGCAGGATTTGCATGTGAAAAAAACGGAGTCAGTTGCATTTTGCCGGAGTCTATTACTGTAAGTTATGTAAGTTCAGTGAGAAAGGCTATTTATTTGTTGCTGTTTGGGCATTTAAAGGTTCTTTGTTTTATGGACACCTTATTCATCATATAGTGATCCACAGACTTTATTGATAGCAGAAGCAGGGAGAAGTGAGCTCTGGCTTTATAGAAGTTATTTATTATGGAATGGAGTTGCTTTTAACCATGTGCTTGCAGAGTGCACTTACATTCATAGTTAATTTTTAAGATGTGCCTTGAAAGAATGAACTCATTCAACTTTGAGAATAATCTATCAGAAGTTAAATGCATAAAACTAAGTTAACATATCCTTTGAAAATAAGGATTTTAATTTCTACATGTTAATAACAACTTAAAATCTATAAGAAAAAAATTTATTCTTTTTCTAAATTCAAGAAAAATGTTGTCTCCCCCAACTTGTTAAATTATGTTTGCCTTTTAAAAATCAAATTTGACTCTATTTATGCAAAATAACAAATATTCAATCAACTAAAACACCTCTGTGAACCTAAGTATTATCTGTCAGTGGGAACATTTTATCCAGAATAAGCTATTTATTATTATCTAGAGACACCTTCCAACTTCACTTTTTTTCCACAGCCATTAATATAAGAGTTCCTAAATAATGTTTAAAGAACAGTGAACATTTTATTAAAGCAAACATTAGTTCAGTTTAATGGAGGTAATTGTAAGTGATAAGACAGAGCAGGTTATCTCTGTGTTGTTTAAACAGAAGGAGCTACTTTGCACCATTTCCAGTAGCCATCTGTAGAAGAGAAGGGTTTGCACCTGTCTGTCCAAACTAATTATAGATTAGGGCCAAAGAAATGAAATTCGAGGAGGTTTTCAGCTAATGAAATCCATACTGATTTTATTGTAAATGCGTTTTATGTAAAGAGGGTGATGGTTGAGTTCTGAGTGAATAAATCGCTATGTAGCTGCTAGGCACTTGGTTTTGAAGCACAATTCTGCTGCATTAACCTTTGATATTAAAAAAAAGACAAACAACTTAGACATGGATGTTAGCCTTTGTTTGGCATCCATAGCTACAATTTAGTGAGCAGCAGTGAGGTTCAGTGTGCAATTTAGAAATGTGCTGTATAAAGCAGCTTAAACATTAAGAATATTATGATATTCTGAAATGCAGATGAAGTAGAAGGTAGGTTCTGTTTTAGCTTATGCATATAAAACATTGGAAAATTGGAAAGGCTTTTTCTTTTTCCTGCATTTCAGCTTTGTATCCATGAGAAATTAAAGCAAAATGAGTGAAGAATGCATTCTGCAATAAAAGGTCACATGAATGTCTACCACATCTGTTTATAGTAATTATGAACATAATTAACATAAGAATTACAAATGAAATAATGACAAGCTGAGCAATGAGATATTATGCCATAATGGTCATATGTTGGAATTCTCACATTATAGCACACTAGAATTCACATACTCAAAGAAAGAAAGAAAATGCTAGATTTTTATCTGAATTAATGCTTCAAAACTTATCTGCCTGGGGCAGATGGACTTCTTCCTTTTATAGGAAGGTAACCTATTATTAAGAAAAGAACTAGTTGAAATTAAGATTTCTAGTCTCTAGCCTGGACTTTAAGACAGCTGTGATTATAGAAACCACTTTCTGTTTTACACTTCTGTGATTATACTTCTTGATTATTGTATTGCTGTTTTTTTCTTTTAATTGAAAGCTTTGCAGCAAAGTGTTTGCTTTGGAAGAGAGTCATGGATTCTTCCCATTTGAGAATTGGTTGATCTTTTCTATAACTGTGAGCCAAAAGTCAATGAACAAACAAGGTACTAATAGAAATACTGTGCATTTACAAAATAAGACCACTGGCAGATTAGCTTTTGAACAGATTTCTTTATGCCTCTAGTATTTGGGATGCCCCTTTTAAAAAAAGCAAACCTTTTCTGGGTTTGAAAGCAATAGTAATGCAATTTTTTTTAAAAAAATAGCATTTCTTAAAAGAGCATGTAATGGAAAAATCAGGGGGGCACTTGTAAATTGTATTTTTCTTCCTCTGGAGTTTTCTTGGATTTTTAGGTGTTTGTATGTAGTCTGTGTCCAAGCTGATCTAACTAAAATGCAATAAAGGGTGGGGGTATGTGTGGTTGCTTTCGGTTACTCTGAATGCATTTTTCTAGAATAGCTAGAGAAAAGGTGAAAGGTGACCTTTTATGAGAGCTAAAGTGATACGCTAGAAATCTGTTATTAAATTTAAAACATGTAAGAATGACAGATTTTCACCCATTTAAAGCTCACTGGATTTTGTAATGTAGCCAGCCAAGTGTTTTACTTCCTATCCTTGCACCCTTCTCTAACTATTGAACCTGGTCACTTTTTGAAGATTTATGGAGAAATATTACCTTGTTCTCGTCTCAGTGATACCATGAGGTTTTCCACGTTATTGGATTACTGGAGGATTGTGGCAGACCCCTTTTTATCTGACATTCATTGCATGACAAGATTTTCACACATGCCCTTCCCCCACCTATGCCCAGCTTTTTTCACTTTGTGTTACCTATCAAATTTCTTTTAATTCTATTCTTGGGGTTGGAACATTGGTGTGTGTGTGTTTGGGTGGGGTGGGGGAGAGGGGGCGGTGCTCAACTATACATAAAACCGATTTTTGGCCAAGTGATTTGGAGGGGAGTGCCTGATTAAACAATGCTTCTCCTCATTTTCTAAAGGGCCTCTTAAAATATGGTTCCCTTAAAAGGCAGGGGCTAGTTCTCTTGCTATTGTTTTTTTTTCTACTCACTAGCCTTACCCTTCATCCCCATTTTATTCCTTTCTAGGGAGACCCCCTGCATAAAACTATTTTATAACCTGAAGTTTCACAGCAGCTAGGGCTACAGTGCACACCATGAACAATTGTGTAATTTATTGGCTCCTTCATTCTGAACTCACTCTTGATGCTGTAGTGAGAGCTTCTTAACCAAGCTTCAGTGCCTTGAAACACAGCACAACCAAATACTTCCCCTCCCCCAATAAAATAACCTCCTTTGCTGCATTATCTGCACTCCATTAAGGAGCTGATCAGATGTTCACATTGTCTGATGGGTGTATTTAAAAGTGAAAAGGGACTCCCAAGGGACTACTCAGGTGTGTCTCCTTCCTGACCCTGCTGGGGAGGGGGATGAACTCTGGACTGACGGACAAGCATTAGCCCTTGCTTGTTCTCTGATTGATTCTCTGGCTCTGGGTGGGTGAAGAGCCATGAGGCAGCTCAAGCCGAGATTGATTGCCTCAATTTCAGATTCCCACCTCCAAAATAGACTCTCAGATGCACACATAAGGAGCCTCCTCCCCCAACACAATTTCTGGAGGTGGAGCAGGTCTCTAAGAGTCACCTGTGGCTACCAATCACAAGTGTTCCTCCTTATCACAATGATGCTGGCTGCAGGAGTCTTCAGCTGGGACACATTAAAGTTCAGGGACAGAAGCTATTTTATATCTCTGAGTGTGTGAATGTGCAGGGGCTGGAATTTAGGAGTATTGGGGTTAGCAAAGAAAGGGACAAGAACTCCGACTTGAGGTTGGTCTGGAAGGCAGCTTAACTGCTCTATAGACTCAGTAGGTTTGTTTTGCAAAATGTGGCTGTTTGGATGGAGGTGAGATGGCGACTGTCTCCTTAGGCTCTGCCAAAAGAGAGCTCTTGATCCTCCTCTGACCTTGACAGAATCTCGAACATGTTCCAGCCTAGCCCTGGAGCAGGGAAATACAGTTTGCTGGATTCCTCCCTTCTTTGGGTGGTAGGGGCAGATTTGGGCATGCAGGCGACTTCTAGCCTGCCTCTCATTCCCAGATAGCCTTAGGGTAGCTCTCCCCCACTTTCTGGCCCCATCCTGGGGTCTGAGCCCCCGCCCCCTCCTCCATCCCTCCTTCCCTCCTGCCTGTGTCTCTCCTTCCCTCCTGCCTGTCCCTTTCTGTCTTCTCTCTCTCTCTCCCACTTTTCCTCCCTCTCCCGCTCCGTCTCACACGCACCCTCTGTTTATTTTCCTGCCTCCATCTGGGCCCTGCTGATATTGTAATCACCCTGATGCACGTTGGCTTCTCTCCTCTCCCTCCTGCGCTCACACACTCACTCACACACAATGTGCCATCCTGACAAGGCTTTTACTTCTGATAAGCTCCAATGTGTGTTTAATGAATACAAAGCCGCGGTCTGGGTGCCGCCTCGGCCGCGGCCGCTCTCCCGCGCTCCTTTGCCAGAAGGTAATCTCCGTGAACAGGGGAGGGAGGCGAGCAGGGAGGAAGGAGGGGTGGCCAGGAGGAAGGGGGGCGTGGGGAGGCGGCTTTTCTCTCTCCCTCTCTCCCTTTCCAAATGATTCAGAAGTCGATAAGACCAGGAGAAGTGAAGATGTAACATGTTATCTGTCGCTCCTCTTAGCTGGCGGAGAGAATTTACATTTAAAGATTAGCAGAGTGAGAAAGAGAAATCTGCCTTTTGTTGTGTGGGGTGAGGAGGAGGCATCTACCCCTGGCCTTGACGCTATCTCCCATCACCTCTGCTATCCAGACAGGACTCACCGAGGTGAGAATACCGGAGGGCCTTATCTTTAATTGGGTTTAGTTTTGCCAGTCTGAATAGGTTTAAAGAGACTCGATAAAGGGGGAACAATAGATTATTTATTGACTGGACGCTGAAGCCTTTAGATGAAGAAGGGAGAGACAAAGCTGCTTAACAACTTGATTAGTTCATTTTTATTTTAAGGTGAGACTGTCTCTCTTTTGGTGGAAGGAAGGGCTAGAGAACTTTGGTGCAATTTGAATGACTTAAAATGTCTTATTTCCTCTCCCGACAACCCCCTACCCTTCTCAGCACCATGCACCTCCCTGATTTAACAGGAGTTTCGTTTACCCCTTGCATTTAGGATTGATGAACTGAGAAAAGAGGGTAAAGGCTTTGGGATTGATCATTAATGTTTGGTTTTGTGTGACTTGTTTTAAATGCGTGATAAATTGATGCTGACGGTACTTGAATGAGTAAGAAAAGCAAATGAAGCCTACTTTTAATATGGAATTAGTTGACTTTATAGTATGGCTCAACTCAGCCTAGAGGAGAAAAAAAAATCACTACAAGTCTGTTAGGTAGATTTGTATTTTGGATTTGAACCATGAAATCTTTTGGTTGGAGCTAGTTTAAAAAAAGGAGAAAACATGTCTTATTGACTCACAAGTATTTGAAACATTGTAATATCAACTTTAGAAGGTTCTTAAAATGAAGAAAAGTGGAAAAGATGGTTGTTTTGCCTTCTACACATTGTCAAAATAGGTGTTTTCATAGATAGATAGATATGATCCAGTAACTAAAAGCCTAATTAAAATTTGTTTAAAGCCAGGGGGGCATGTTTCCTTGTTGACAGCAGCAGATCGATTGGGTAAGACAATAGAGTCCCATTATTTTACTTCCATTGACTGAACATATTGACATTTCAGGTTTGCTGTTGCCTCAGTGAGCATGATGAAACACTGAAATTCACAGACCAACTGGCCAGAGTGGCACATATATTACTGTATGTCATTTCTGCCTTCAGGTTACCTTATCACCCAGACAGAATGGAAAAGGACAGCCTGGAATCTTTCAGAAAGGGTAGAGCTCTTTTGGCTAAGAAACTAGCAGATAGCATGTCTTAGGAACATCTTTAATTCTACCCCGAATTGGATGTTACAGAGAAATAGGTGGAGCACGTTTAAAAATATGAAAAGCATGCTAGCCATAGATCTTGCATATTTTATATAGAAGGATATCCATTTTCAAGATTTACCTTTACCTGGAGTTATTTACAGTGAGTGGTCAGTCACTATTTAGGTGACCAGTTTGTTGCATGAGTGACATTCATTCTTTTCCAGTCGGGTACTGAAACAGCCAGGCACCTGCTAAATCTATATCTCATAAAATAATGTGTAAGTTCCCTTCAAAAATAGGGCCTGACTCTGACTTTTTGTTTCCAGTTTTCTTTTAGTGGGTGGAATACACTTGATCTTAGCCAAAAGGCCGAGAAGCGATAATGGGTTCAATACAAAGTGAGATGTATGTATTTTACACTCAAGTGCATGCATAGACAATAACTTATATAGATTAATATGTGTATTTCAAGCAAAGGCAGAGAAATACTAAGTATTTGTTATCTTGGTGTAATTTACCCTTTCACACATTTTGCATAGTCTTTAAATAACAAAACTAAGCATTAGGCAGACATTGAGTCAAAGAAATTTGAACCATACAGAGAGTGAATATGAAAAAAAAAACCAGAAGGGACTTAACATATTTTTATGTTAAAGAAATTTATGAAAATATAAATCTATTTTGACTATGACTTATACATGACAATTGTTGCCATCAAGTAGGCAACTGATGCCCTTTACAGTGTTTAGAACAAAACTAGTCCTTTATACAATTTTCATGAAAATGTTAGGTTTCTGTTTGATCAGCAGGTGCTGTTGAGATGAAAGCCATGTGTAAATTTTCAGAAGGCCAAAAGTGTCAATTCAGAAAAGGAAAGTGATAAGAGAAAATGCAATCAGTTTTCCTGTTTTCAATTTGTGCGGGATTTGAAGAGCTGTTTTGTTAAACTGCTACATCTGCTCCAATATGAATATTGAACTACTTCCACTAAAAATAACAACCTATAATTTGGAAGCTACTGCAGTCTTTTGTTAATGTGAGTGGGTTATTTAAAAACAAAAAAACAAAAAAATAAAAAAAAAATTTTCTATTCTGACAATCTCTTGCCTAATGTGCATTTTCATTTGTTGGCACTTTTATCCTCAGCAGATAAATGGTAGTATGCAATTAAGACCTCATCTTGTTTGACTATAAAAGAGGTTTCCATAGGTGAAAATCCTGGTAATAAAAAGGGGTTCACACAAAACAAAATTTATTTTAAAATAACCTGTTTAAATACATGTATTGAAAATCAGATAGTTATTCCTTACATTCTCTAATACTACAATTTTTAACTTACTGCCGGACTGTTGTAACAAAGTTAACACTGTTCTTGCATACTGAGCATTCCGAGATTTATTTTACCTTTAATATACCTGCAAATGTAAGTTTAAACTAATCAGGGATATTTTACTAACAGGGCTTTCAGAATAATCTTTTCCATGCTTAAATAAAATGATTAAATTATGCTTGAGTGCCTGCATACAAAAGCTTTAGCTTCTATAGTACTGCTAATCAAATAAGTTTTATGGACAGGGAAAGCACCACATAGAGAAAAATTGGATGCATTTTACTAGTGACATTGCTAGGAAAGACATGTTCTTTTAAAATTATCTAATTTTAATTAAAAAGGAAACTCTTAAGATGTCTTAAATAATCATAATAAAAATAATACTGCGTCCTTATAACAAGAAAGTGAATGGCAACGCTATCCATATAAAACATGGGCAGAGAGAATTAAACTAGAAGGAAGGAAGACTGGTGAAATTTGGATGAGGTTCAATACTGACTCAACCTTGGATTGCAGTTTGGTGGGCTTGTGGCTATAGTAATTTGTCTGGGGTGAGACCTGATCACTGCTGAGGATCAATTAGCTGAGTTTGTGGCTTCACATGTGAATTGCTAGACACACTCTTCACAGATAAACTCAAAATATTTCAGGAATGTATAAAGGGGAAGGCAGGCACAGTGACACCTTAGCATGTTTGATATTAACAAATGCAGTGTTTCTTCTAAAACACCAACTCAAAAGAAGAGGTAGTTTGAAGAACAATGTTGAATGTGAGTATTTGCGATTACATGTATGGAACCAACCAAAGAAGTATGCTTTTAAGGAATGCAGTTTCCAGTTTCAAGCCCAAAGAACAGTTCAGTATGGCATGTCATGCTGGCATATCTTAAAGAGAGCTGGGCATCATGCGGCTATTTCCTCCAATATAGCACCAGTTTCTGACACTTTTAAGAAAAGATGCTGAATCACATATCAGTGTACAAAAAGTTTATTCACAGACATAATCCCTTCACTTGGGATGTGATCTTCTAATGAGAGTTGTTTTTGAAGCCACGGTACCTTACATGACACCAACAGGGGAGATTCCTGTGCCTCTTTTTGAAATGTTGATACTTGATGAAATCATGTCCAGGCTCTTACATCAGAACTACTGGTAAAGTAATGTCCCATGGTTGATGTTTAAAGTGTAAGACCTGCTTGTTTGAAAGAGCTTAAAACTGTCAATGTTGCCTACAACTACTAATATTTTCAAGGACCAAGAGATACCAACTTAAAATCATCTCCTTTAATAGTTCTAATTGTGATTACCTTTATAAAGTAATTCATGAAGGAATAAAGCAGGCATTTGTTTTGGTCGGTTTCATATCGATCAAGGCCTCTAAAGCAAATCACTATTTGGATGAATAGGGCCTTTAGAATATAGATCTTGTAGAAGAGGAATGCAGAGGGCACAAATGTGAAGTTTTCCCGTTGTGTCTCCAGCAATCTAAGCACCTCTAAGTGCCTTGGGGAATGTGATTGACTGGGTTCATTAATCTTTTAACACCTGGGGCACAGACCACTTCTAAGTGTGCTCAGGGCTCTTGAGGGCTGCTACTTAGTTGTTGGTCTTGGGAGAGAGGAGAGGAATTGATAAATACTAGAGACCTACTATGAGCCTGTCCTTCACCAACCTTCACATACATTCTCATCACTGATTTTAAGTAATTGATTAACCAGTGTTTCACTTTCTTCATTTCAAAGAACTCCAGCCCATTGCTCTGAGACTCTTGCCATAGTTACTCTTCTGGCTTGATCTTTTGCCCCAATTTAGAAAATTGAGGTTTCTTCGTATTCCCCAAATTAATGACTTACTTTGTGCCTGAGCTTTAGTAATTATTTAGGACCTTATTCTCTGAAAAATTGGCTGCATATTCTCTTCAGTGGCCATTTCTACTCATCCATTGTTTTCTTTCAGTTATCCCCTCTTCACCCCCACTTAGGAATCAGAGTTGGCTTCTAGCTGACATATCCTTGGATACTCACAAGTGTGTGCTAGTCTATATTCCTCAGTACCACCTGATCCAGGCTTCTCTATTACCAAATTCTGTTCCTGCATCAGAATACCTTCATTCTACACTGCACTGAGGCCATGAGGATTTAATCTGTTTTTGTTGTTGTTGTTGTTGAACTTATCCAGTATGCTGGAGTGATTTTCTGCCCAGTCCTTAGTTCTTGAGTCTTGTTCCTTTCGTAGTTGGTCACTCCATTATATCTTGATCTCAGCATTTCCCAGTTGGCCAGGTTCAACTTCCTGGTTACCTCTTAAGATAAGGTTAGAGGACTTGTACACCACCTTTACTGCTGGAAAAAAAGAGTTTGTAACTAGTTTCATAGTGTAAAGCTTTCTCCGTATTAGAAAAAAAAAAAAAAGGACCTGGTGTCTGTGTGCAGTCGCTTGACTAATAGGCAAACTGAAGTTCCCTTTCCAGTTCAATCACTGACTTGCTGGGTGGCCTGGGGTGCATTCCAGCCCTCAGGCAAATTTCTCAGAAGGCGAAGGGCAGACTTGGTGATTCTTAGGCTTCCCAACTCTCATACGGACAAGTCTCTGTGTGATACTGAAAGTAGGCTTTGGGGCTTTCCCAGGGTTAGGAGAGTGAAAAAAAAATGCTTTTTTTTTTTTTTTTTTTTTTTTAAATTCAGGGATTGGGGTGGGTGACACTATAAATCTTCATCTAACTGGGAAAGGGATCAGTGTGGAATATTACTATCATTCCAGTCTTCTCCATCATAAAGAAGAGCCATTATGGACTAGGGAGCCATTCTTTCCATAGCTATCCTAAATCTTAGATGATTATCTGAAATTTTTGTTTTTACGATTCCTTTTTCAGAGGTGAATGATGTAGGAATAAATCTGTTTATGTAGTGAGGAGGGAACTAAAGAGTCTGGGTCTTGTCCAAGGAAAATTGCCTTTATGCTTTCGCCTCATAGTTACTGGACAAGATGATGAACTCAGCGCCTAGGGGTGGGAGTGAGGGGCTAGGGGCTGAGGTGGATGGGGTTGCTTGTGTTTAGCCAGGCATTCACCATACCCCCGGTCTCAAAGTTTGGACTCGCTTCACTTGGGAAATTTAGAAAATGACCTCTTTAAGCCATTTTTTGGAGAGAACCTGGTAGCTTGTTTAATTGAACATGGGCACATTATCATCTGGCTAGGAATCAGATCTCAGGAAAGACTAAACAATTCTCTTTTTGTCTGAAGAAATAGTTTGCTATTGCTTCTAAAATAATTAAATAATTCAATTATTACCTATTGATTTTGTACTTTAGTTTGTAAAACTGATGTAGGTGATTAAAATATAGACATTATTAGAGATTTGATTCTAATTTGGGTGGTTATAAATAGTAAACCCAGGCTAGGGTTTCTTTTGAACTTAAGAGTTATTGGCATTCTTCTGGTTTGATCAAGGTGAGCACTTCCTCATCATCCAAAATGACAGTGGAAGCTTACTGTTTACTAGGATGTCAGGGATTGGTTTGGCTTGGAAGTAATGATATTTTCATCTGACATTAGAAATGGATGTCAGAGGAAGCACTGTTGCTTCATAGGCTGTAGAAAATTTTTGCATTGGTATTCAGAGTTCAATGGGAAGTCAAATTGAAGTTCTTTGCCACAAAGGAGAATGTCTTAAGCGTATATATACAGTGAACTCGTAGTTGGTACTAACTGGGTTGAATATTATGTCAGAGAAATATTAGATAAAATATTAGCAGCAGTAATGGTAATTTGTCTAAAGAAGCTCAAGAGATGGGTGGCCACCGATAATATGAAGGGAAACAGTGTCAGAGCAGTAATGAGCTAGACATGGCCACGTAATGAGATAATTAGAGCACTAGGAGAGAGAACTAGCTGTGAGATGTTATTATAAAGAGTATCTGGGAGGACTCTTCCACTAGACTTTTTGGAGAATCCACCTAGTAACTCTTAGTGAGGAGACCAGAGCCTAATATTAGGAAAGCAGATCTATAATGGTACCTAAAAGGGTTGGCACAGATCATGGTGCCAGGGAAATAGCACAGCTGTATTGTGGAAAATACTTCAAATGCACATTGACAAGTGGAGTATCAGAAATTAGGAAGTTATCCCCACTGGTTATAAGCATGGTACAAGCTGCGCTTTAAATGCAGTCTTGGGAAGTTGATTAGACTAGCTTAAACTAGAAGTACTATACCCCTTTCCCTAACCTCAAGATACAGGGGCATGTGAACTGTAAGACAGGTCAGGGAAGACTAATAGCTTATTTTCTGAGTCTATGCATATGTTATGTACACAGTGATGAGCAAATACAGCTGGGAAGAACAGCAGATGATATTGGGATTGGAACTGGGTGTTTATCAGACTGACATAGTAATCCTCCTTTCCTGTGAAAGTGTTCTTTTTAAGTGACTGCTGGGATTCTGTAACTTTTGTAACTTTTATCATGTGTCACACAAGGAGTGTGCTTTACTCCACAGCTCCTTTGCCCACCTGTCACACATTTTCATTCTCCGGTTCAGCTAGATTTATTTAGAAATGAGTTCCGCATTTGACCTCTGATGAGAAACAAATGTGGACAATGAATTCTCATCCTTTTGTTTAAATAAAGGTAGGTAGGTCAGTTCATGTCTAAAGGAAGAGTTAATGTGATCAGTCTCCATTGATGTGCCTAAGATTTGAGTTGGCTCGAGAGAGCAGGTATAAAATATTGGAGGAAAATATAGGTGAAGAGCAATAAAATGTGAACAACCCATTAAACCTGATTTGACTACTTATAAAGAAAGTCACATGCTGTTTTGGTAGCCATGGTAAAGACACCTTTTACAGCATCTGATAGAAAAGTAAAATGTTTACTCTTGGGAGTGAATCTGAAGTACATGGATAAATATTTAGTAAATGTTTTCTATGTGTAAAGCTGTGTGCTAGATGTAGACACAAGCAGGTAGTCGGCTCAGTTCCCACTGAATGATAAACTCAGGACAAATTAAATAGCTACATAGATCGTGGAGCTTGATCAGTTACCAATTAAATGGTGCAGCAAGTGAGATTTTAGAGGCAGGTGTGAATTGGAATTTAAGCTTGTCTTGAGACAGGTAGGATTCATCAAGGCAAAGTTATTGTAATAGGATTGTGGTAGGTTATACAATAGGAATAGGGAATGCAGAAGCCTAGATGTGGAAAAGACTTTGGAGGAGTATTGGGGTGGAGTAGGGGTGGAGAGAGAATAAATTAATACTGTGGCTGCAGCAAAAAGGGCCCTTGGGTGTTGAGTGGGAAATGAGAGCAGAAAGATCATAAATGTCTTGAATATCAAGCATTTTGATTTAAGCTTCAACTTCTGAATTCACCAGACATTTTTCAGCTGTGTCCTGTGGAGTGCCTCAGGGTTGGGAGGTGGGATGGAGGGTACCCAGATTGGGCACAGGGTCTTCCATCCCCTAACCACCATAAAAGCAGAATAGCTCTGCTTTTATAATAAATTGCTTTATATATTTGATTTTCTAGCTGGGCGTCTTTTGAACAGAGGAGTCTGTGATAAAATAGATCTTTATAAAACCAAGGTTAAAATAAAAATTGAGCTAGGCAAAAGGAAACCCTGCATCCAATAACAGTTATGTTTGCAAAGAGTTGGTCCTAATGTGAGGGGCCAGATGGACTGGAGGCCAAGGCCAGGCGAGAAGCTTGTTGCTGCAGTTTAGGTTTTAGATATTGCAGAAGGATGACCAGCGTTGGGTTTGTGGGATGAGAAGGAAGAGGCAGGGGCAGGAGGTATTGCAAAGGAAAAATAATTAGCACTTGGATAGAGCAGTGGATTTAGAGAGGGGGAAGTTATTAATACCAACCTGGATTTACTATCAAGTGCTCTTAACTTGCCAGAAGCTGGGACTCACTTCAGGTGTTTGTTTAGAGGCAGCTTTGTTACCCTACCCCAGACTCATAGAATCACAGCTTCTAGAGAAGAGCTTCAGAATCCATTTGCAGACCTCGGTCCCAGGGCTTCTGGTGGTCCCAGCTGCCTTTCGGAGATGGTGACAGGGCTGTCAAGTGGTGGGTGTTCCTTAAAATGCGGTTGTTACATAAAAGATCTGTTATTTACCACTGTAGGACTTGGCTCCCTCATGTGTTTTGCCTCTTTCCACAGATTTCAAACTCTTCTTTGAGTTTCTCTTTTGCAGGTGCCCTCAGGCCGTGCAGGAGAATGCAAAGTGGTCAGGTGGGCTGGGTTCTGGGACCCTTAACTTCTCATTTGACCAGTGCAGCCTGCTTTATAAATTTCAAACATTGGACTTTGTTTGTAAAATAATTTATAAAACTTCTTTGAATTCTAACATGGTAAGAAGGAGAGAAGGTAGAGATGACAGCATATGGAGTTAAGGAGTAGCTGATGAAAGCAGTGCTTGTAAACCAGCAGGCCTCAGACTTGGGCTCAGTGCTCTTGGAGGAAGAGGGAGCTTGGTTATTTAAAGGTGCTTTTGAATCTAGATTCATTTGTTCAGTACCCCAAGCACTGTCTGTAGACCAAATACTTTTTCATGTGATGATATTTTTCAAATCTACTCTAAATGAAAAGAACAAAAAATGCATTAAAATCTACTGAGTTTAATAGAAATGTCTATCCATTTTACAATTAACAGATAGTAAACTAAATACTATGATGTGCTGAGCCATACTTTTTTTAAATGGAGGAGTTGTTTTGGAAAAGTAAAGGAATTTCTTTAACATGTTAAAGAGCCGTCAATCCTTATTGCTCACTCTTAGTTGACCCCTATGTGAGAGATTTTAGTTATTGGAAGAAACAACAAAAAAATCTACCTGGGTGAGGACTTTTAGGATATGGTTCATTAAGATAATATTATTTCAAGGTCTTTATCTTGTTTTGTCTGATAACACTTAATTTAAAAACATGCTGGCAATTCTTTTTATTTTTTGAACTTTAACCATATTTGGAGTTTGTGGTTTTGTTCTAAAATCTGTCAGAATTGGATTTTTTAAGACTTCTCCCTCTGTAGTGAATTATGCTTGATAAGAACTAATTATTAAGCATAAAGAAATCAATCTTTTTTAAAGAATGAAACATTTATGTGTGTTGATACAGAATCGTTCCTGAGATATATCATTAAATGAGCAAAGCAAGGAGCAGAAGAATGTCTGTAGAATGCTGTGTTTGTACAAAAAAATGCATAGAATTCTACTTGTGCAAGTATATACAAGAATCTGACAATAGTGCTTGCTGTTAGGGAAGAAAGCAGGGCCAGGAAGTAGTGGTGGAAGGAGCCTTTTTGCTGTATGTCCTTTGGTACTCTGAGTCATTTTACAAATCTTTTGCCTGTGTCGCCCAGGTTGACTGGTCTGGGCCTCTGCCCTTCCAGAGGGAAGTGATGCTGCTCTTCCCTGCCAGAAGGCAGTCGAGTATAGTGATGAAGAGACCTAACTCCCAAGTGCTTTACCATTTATCTCCTTTAGCTACCCTTTTCATCTAGAAATAATTTTCATCTGGATAATAATGGCATGGCCTCATAGGGTGGTCATGAGGATGACGTGATATGTGTGAAGCACAACCTTCAGTAAAGGGTTGCTTTTTCTTGGCATCTGACTTGATGGCTATGGAACTGTTCATCACTTCCTTCTCTAAACCCCAGTAGTCTCTCTTTGGCTGCTTCTTCATTCAGCAAATGCTTAATAGACGATCTGGCCCTGATGGACACTGGGGGATATGAGGATGTTGAAGACAAATGACACCCTGCTTTGCCAGGCCTTTCCTGGACCTCTCTCTCTCAGCCTTCTCTAAAACCCTGGGTTGCTTCACGTTTGGACACCTAAGCTCTTTCTGCAGGGAAGCCAAGCTTGGCTCACTTTGTCCTCTCCTAAGCCTCTGGTGACACTTTCATGACCCTTCCTCCCCAAAGATAGAATTTATTACATCCAACTCTGCTATCATCCGTGCAATTCAGACTTCTCTGCTGGTTTGTAAGACCTTCAAAAGTGGGAGTCTGGAACAGTTGGGGTACTTTCTAATGCTTTGTTAAATAATTATTGAGAGCTCATGCCTTGAACTCAAGTGATTTACTTGAAACTGTCCTGAAATATTTCACTGCTGAGACTAAAGTGAAATCTTTGGTTCCAACAGCATGTTGTTTTTTTTCTCAACCTCTTTCCACCTTGGTCGCTTTCATTGCGTTCTCTTGTCAAAGAATGCACAATTTATTGCTGTTATATTTTGGCTTATAAGTTTTGGCAACTAAAAAACATACAATAAAACAAAAGCAAAATCCACCCCCACCCCCACCTCCTACTCCAAACAAAACACCCCATCTTTTATTTTTATTTTTATTTTTATTATACTTTAAGTTCTGGGATATATGTGCAGAACGTGCAGGTTTGTTACATAGGTATACATGTGCCATGGTGGTTTGCAGCAACCATCAACCTGTCATCTACATGAGGTGTTTCTCCTAATGCTGTCCCTCCCTTAGCCCCCCACCCCGACAGGCCCCGGTGTGTGATGTTCCCCTCCCTGTGTCCATGTGTTCTCATTGTTCAACTCCCACTTATGAGTGAGAACATGCATTGTTTGGCTTTCTGATCTTGTGATAGTTTGCTGAGAATGATGGTTTCCAGCTTCATCCATGTCCCTGCAAAGGACATGAACTCATTCTTTTTTATGGCTGCGTAGTATTCCATGGTGGATATGTGCCACATTTTCTTTATCCGGTCTGTCATTGATGGGCGTTTGGGTTGGTTCCAAGTCTTTGCTATTGTGAACAGTGCTGCAATAAACATATGTGTGCATGTGTCTTTATAGTAGAATGACTTACAATCCTTTGGGTATATACCCAGCAATGGGATTGCTGGGTCAAATGGTATTTCTGGTTCTAGACCCTTGAGGAATTGCCACATTGTCTTTCACAATGGTTGAACTAATTTATACCCCCACCAACAGTGTAAAAGTATTCCTGTTTCTCCACATCCTCTCCAGTATCTGTTGTTTCCTGACTTTTTAATGATCACCATTCTAACTGGTGTGAGATGGTATCTCATTGTGGTTTTGATTTGCATTTCTTTAATGCCCAGTGGTGATGGATGAGCTTGTTTTCATGTTCATTGTCTGTATAAATGTCTTATTTTGAGAAGTGTCTGTTGATATGCTTCACACACTTTTTGATGGGGTTGTTTTTTTCTTGTAAATTTGTTTAAGTTCCTTGTAGATTCTGGATATTAGCCCTTTGTCAGATGGGTAGATTGCAAAAATTTTCTCCCATTCTGTAGGTTGCCTGTTCACTCTGATGGTAGTTTCTTTTGCTGTTCAGAAGCTCTTTAGTTTAATTAGATCCCATTTGTCAAGTTTGGCTTTTGTTGCCATTGCTTTTGGAAAATACCCCATCTTTAGGCAAACTGCGAAGTGGTCAAGCCACTTGGATCTTCATAGATGCACACTGTAACTTTTTATTTTATTTTCTTACCCTGAAGTTCATAAATGGGCTTTAATAAAGGATAAGCTTCTTGAAATTATAAGCAAAATTTTATGTATATGGACATTTTTATGAGATCGAACAATTTCTTTGATCAAGGGTCCGAACAAGGCTGAAAACCATTGTAGTGGCTTCCAGATTTTCCCTACCAGATTCCCTCCAGTTGTCCCTTAGTTGCCACGGTCTCCCTCTTCCTTCTCTCCCTCCTCCTTCTCTCCCTCCTCTCTTCCTCTGGATACCCATATCTGCTTTCTGGACAGATCCCCAGTCTGAGTACTCTTCCTCCAGGACCCTTCCCCCGACATTCCTTCCCATCCAGTCTGGTCTTTTGTCTGACATTGTGTGGGATTCCAGCTGCTCTACTGCCTGATGAATCAGCTTCAGAACCACAGATGGTACTGAACAGTGAGGTAGGTCCATCTCAGCCTGAGATGCCGTGGCTCACAATGCGGAAATGGTAAAGAGTCTCACTGTTTTTTCTTCAGGAAACCTTTTTATTGAAAGAGACAGTTTCGGCAGTGCAGCCTTCAGTTTCTTAATGCAAGTGACTGGACAATTTTAGACAGCTGTGTGTGGGGCCTCAAGGGAGGACTTGATGGAATGATGTTTTCATATTGTCTTAATATCGACTTGTGAGTGAGCTAATTTTGTAAGTCACTCTTAGAGATCTACTCTCTTACCCAAGATGACCCTGTGCACATGACGGGGCAAGGTCTGAACCTAGATTTTCTTCAAGACTTCACTATTCCAGAGCTTACTACTCTCCTGGAATTCTTCAAACCCTACCACGTAGGAATTTTCTACATGAACAGGGTCAGCCACACTAATTACAGCAGGGAATGATACTAAAGTACAAATGGAAAACTATCAAAACCTTTCACTGCACTTAGAAAAGTTACTGTTTACAGTACAAAAATACCACAACTTAGGCCAGGCGCGGTGGCTCAAGCCTGTAATCCCAGTACTTTGGGAGGCTGAGGCGGGCGGATCACGAGGTCAGGAGATCGAGACCATCCTGGCTAACACGGCAAAATCCCGTCCCTACTAAAAATACAAAAAATTAGCCGGGCGTGGTGGCAGGTGCCTGTAGTCCCAGCTACTTGGGAGGCTGAGGCAGGAGAATGGCGTGAACCTGGGAGGCGGAGCTTGCAGTGAGTGGAGATTGCGCCACTTCACTCCAGCCTGGGCGACAGAGTGAGACTCCATCTCAAATAAATAAATAAATAAATAAAATACCACAACTTTCCAAGTTTCTGAGAGACAAGAGACAAAGGGAGGGAGGAAGAGAGGAAAGGGGGAAAAAGAGAGAGAGAGATCAGTTGATAGGAGCAGCAGCAACCAGGCCATGCTGGCAACTGGACAGTTGTTATAGCCTCTTGAGATGTGTGACCATCAACCACGAATGCAGATATTTCCAAAGTTCCATTTTTTTTTTTCCAGGTGGAAATTGCTGGCATGGAACAGATGCCTTTATTTGGAGAAAACAGTCTTTGTAAATGATTCTGGTTCTGTCTCCTCTTATTCCCTAGAGAGAGTCTTTCCCAGATGAAATTAGATTTAAAAAAAAAAAAAAAAACTACCAAACATCAGTTTATGTTTTTTTTTTCATCACACCAAAATGTTTTAGAGCCTGCAGCTTAATTCCACATATTTTGGTTTTGTTGACTGATCCTAGGTATTTTGTTTTTATCACTAATAGTGCAGTAATTACTTTCAGAAAGAAAAAGATTATGATTGTACTGATATTTTTGAGTAGTGACCTTTGCTTTCATTTATTTCATATTTAATTATATTAAAATAGGTACTACCTCTTTTCTAGTATCAAATGATAAGAACTGAGCACACTGGATGAAATAATACTTGCACTGGGAGCACTAAGGTAGGCGCTTTACAAGTATTATCTCCTCATATCATCCTGATAAGTTAGGTGTTATTATCTTACTTTGGAGATTTAAATCTGAAGCTTAGAGAGGTTAAGTGACTTGTCCAAGGTCAAATAGCTGATGAGTAAGTGTAAGAACTGAGATTCCAATCCAGCCAGAGTGCGTATACAGTGGGCTTCTAAATGGCCCGCGTGTGTAGGCCACAGTCATTTATAACACTTTATTTTTTGAAAATTAAATTATATCTGCAACAGAGAAGATATTTAAGAGCTTCCTACCATTTAAAATTGCCTGGTTTGTTAACTCACTGGTCATATTGCGTTGTTGATACTTAGTTGGTTGCCTACCTTCTGATTAATTTGTTACTTAAAAATATTTGTAGGATTTTGAAATAATGCCTTATCACAAGAGAAAGGGGCTTGAAGAAAGACCAGATCATATTCCATTATCAGTTATTCCCTGTTTACTCAGTCAGTATTTAGTGAACACCTTTTGTGTGCCAGGCACTGTGCTAGGCACTGGGTATGGGCATTGTTGAATAAACATGGCCATGCTCTTGCAGCCCTGCCAATGGAATGAATAGAGTGCATCAATGTAGGGTCCAAAGGTGTAAGAAATTAAGATTGGATCTCATTTCTACAACAGCTGACATGCTCAATTGTGAGATAATCCAATGCATAAAAAGCTGCTAGAGTGCACTTATGCCTTAAAGGTTGTATGGACTCTGCTGCAGTTCCCAGTCACAGTGTCCTGCTGCTCAGTGTGGGACAAAGGGCTGGCTTCATAGCCGTGGATGTCGTGGGTGATTTCCATGCTGCCCTATCTCTATACAGCACCAGTGGGAATGGGCTTCTGTGAACAGTACCTGGCAGGTAAAAGGTTGCAGAGCCTGATGTAGACCCAAAGTACTATAGTATAAAGAAGAGAAAAAGATCACAGGTCACAGAAGTAGCCACGGAAAGGTTTGCCAAAGTCATGGGGATTGAATTGGGCTTTTGTGGCATTTCATTGAGTGGGATTCATTTGTTTTTCTTTTCATTTGGGGCTACAACTAGGTTCCTAGTCCAGTTCCAAATGTGGAGGGTAGAGTAATGAGCACCCCCCAGATGAGACCCTAGCTCTCACAGAGCTTGCAGTTTGGGTGGGGGAGGGAGAAAGATAAAAAAGAAGTTACTAAGATTATTTCATGTAGTGCTAAATATAATTAAGACAATTAAGAAACAATGTTAGAATGATGCAGAGGGTGGGGGGACATGGTAGTGAGACTTTATTTCAAATGGTTGGGGAAATCATCTGTCAGGTGGTGACTCTTGAACTAAAGCCTGAGGGTTGAGGAAGAACTGGCCGTGCAGCAGTCTATGGGAAGGGCCGTGAAGTCAGTGAACGAAGCCACCAGCATGAGAGGAAGTGTTCCATCAGGGAGTTTATCCAGCCAGAGAAGAGCTGCACTCTGGAAGGGCGTGGTTGGAGTGGAGGCTGAAAACTGTAGATGAGTGCCAAGTGATGGAGGGTCTTGTATGTGAGATTAGGCAAGAATAAGGACTGTGTGTTTCTGTGTGTGAATGTAGGAGATGAGTAGTTAGAAGAGAGAAGGAGAATCTGGATGAGTGTATGCATGGAAGCTTAAGGAAGCTTGTGAAACTAGGATAATGACATTTAGTTCACATGACCTGCGATGAGGGGCACCCAAATCACACAGTGTCTCAGTTACTTCCTGTTGGAAGTTGAGTATAGTCCTGAAGTGAGGCATAGATGGTGCTCTGTTCACTACTCCTTCAAATTAGAGGGACACACAATTGCTTACAAAGAAATGGTGAAGCTTTGACAAAGGTAAGCTACAGTCCAGTGCCAGAAACTGTACTTACCAAGGTAATATTTCCTAAGTCAGATATGCTATAACAGGTTCCTTTTATGGTGATTCCCCTTGGAAACAAAAACTAAGTGTACATTTGTTCATGTAAAATAATAGCTTTTATGATATAAAATGTTTCTATGAAGGAAAAGAAAAGAGTTAGAGTTAAGGTTTGATTCAACCCAGGTTGATAGATAAAAAGAGGTGTGTTTAAATGCTCATTTTTGGAATAACCATGTATCATTTACTAAAGGAAAAAGTGCCCCAAATGTTGATAGAATTCTCTAGAGAAATGTGTTTAGGCAGTGAAAGGATTCCTGGCAGTGATTGAGAAATACAGTAATGGGGAACTGCACTTGATCTCTTTTGAGGTTGATTCTGATGTGTGTAGTCTTTACATCCTATTAAATTTTTGAAAGATAAACTGATACAAGAATGATTTGCCAAGGCCATATGAGGTTAACTGAATTCAAATAGAAGGTTCTCTCAAGTTATTGCATTCCTTAGAAAATAAATACATTGCGCATATGGTTAAGATTGATCAAAAAAGTATTCTGTATGCCAATGATTACATTCCCATCTGTGATTAAGGTTTTCTGTCTGCATCTGGTTTTCACATTATATTTCTGTAACAAGAATCCTTTATATAGCAGAGTTCACTTTCTGTATTTTCTATTAGTTGCAGCTTGAACTACTGCACGGATCGCAGATTTGCACATGTGGTTTTCATTACTTCATACCATTGAGAAAAAGTAATATTTGTTTGGGAATGTATGTTTTCCACAATTTCCATGGTAATACAACATGTTGAGCCTTTTAAATAACACTTGTAGAACTACAAATTGTTTGAGGCATTCTGCTCTTGGTGGAGCTTAGCTTTTAAACTTTTCTCAGTATGTTCCCCTCGTAATGAGGTTTTACAAATTTGAGGGCTGAGCATCCAGATCTGAACAAAGCAATTATTAAAGATAGAGAGATTTTATTATCACTTCCATGTGACAGACTTCAGTGCGGAATAGGTCTCAGAAATACCTGAACATCGTGCTTATTACCATTACTTATTTTATTATTATTTCATATTGGAAGGGCATTTAATGTGTTGGAGATATGAAGCACAAATGTGACACTCCAGTCATTGTTTTGAAAAATCCAAAGATTAGCTCTTTTTTTTTTTTTAGTTACCCTTTTGATTGTGATATATTGTTTCATATATAAAATAGTTAAGTGGTGAAAATCCTCATGGGTGACTTTAGATTTACATTGTATATTGTTTGAAACTGTATTTGTACACTATGTTAACATTTAAGAATTTATAAATATGCACATTTAAAATACTTTGTTATCACCATGTTCCTGCCAATTTTCTTCATTCACTTCAAAAAACTCTGATTAAAATAGATACAAGTGAAGTTAAAAAGTAAAGCAGTATATTCCAAATTGAGAGATCATTTTTAATTGAGAAATTTGTCTTAAAGTTTATCACATGGTAATTTTATGTGCCTCAAAACCAAGATTAAGTACCCCATTTTTGTTAAACCCAGACATTGGTCTGATATTTAGCAGTCATGAGAAGGAAGATATAGACTTAGACTCTAGAGGATTTGTATATGCTTTGCCTGGTTCGTTTGCTCAGTAGAGATTATTAACTATGGCTCATATAGGGGCATGATCCACTTTTGTCAGGCTCTCTGATGGCCTTTGTTGATGGTTGCTGAAGCACAAAATATATATTATGATTGAATCTAAGAAGAGTATACATTTTCTTTTTTCCCAATATTTGTTTAGCCTATATAAAATGTTTTTTACCTTTGTACAGAAACATTGGAAATAACAGAATTGTGCAGAAAAGTTACTCACATTGCCATCTTCCAGAAATAATCATATTTAACATCTAGATGTATTTACTTTCAGTCTTCCCCGCTGTGTGCACCCTCCCCCACTCCACTATTTGAGTACTTACACAACCTATACGTGTACATATATTTATGTATCTTGGTTATAGCATTGAAATTTTTTGCTTTATCATTTGTTAATAAAATTGTTAGTATTTATAGTAAGCTAAATGTTTCCAAGATCCAGCTGATTGTCTTTAATGATCTTTGCTTACTGCAAGGCAATTCCCAACTAAGAAATATCTAGTAATGTATTTTAATTAATCAGTACTTATTTAATTTTTAAACCTTAAAGAGCAAGAAACAACTGATTGCATCACAAAAGAATCATAATGTGGCACATAAACTACATTGATTTTTTAAAAAATAGAACCTGCTTGTTTTATTTACATCAGAATATGTTCACCGATTTTAATTTCTAGGAAGTAATTTGGTCTCAAAAAATAATAGCTACAGCCTTAGTAATTCCTTTTGAGACTGCTTTTAGAAATCTTTCTTCCCTTGCATTTGTTGAGTTCCTACCTTATATGTGTATGATTGTGCTGGACCCTTATATTTCCTAGTTTGTAAGAATTACATAGCAATACTTTTTCTATTCATAGTAGTGATAGTAGTGGTCTCATTTTTAATCATAGTAGGTGAGGAATAGACAATAAATATTGTGAATGAACAAATTCTAAGTTTGTCAAATATAGCAGGAAAAATGAGAAAATTTATATTATTAAAAGGAAGAAAAGGTGTAGAAGTTTGTTGATTTGGTAAAATAATTCAACAATATTTGTTTCATTAATATTTTTTAACTATTCTATTACATAAGGATTATTCTTCACTGTTGTTTTAAACTATGTGTGCTAATAATGGCAATACTGAAATTTCAGAACAGCGAAACAAAATTTGAATAATGAAACAAACCACTTTGTTTTGAAACAGGATTAACTTGTGTGTAAAATTCCATAAATAATAATGTCTAAATTGTTTTCTAAAGAAAACATAATATCTGACAGATTATTTATTTTTTTGAAACAGGTAAAATGTAACATTCTCTTAGGGTATTGATGTGCATATCTTTAAAACCAATTTAAGAAAAGAAGAGCTTTCAGGGTGAGAATGTATCCAGCTTTGAGTCAGATGATTGGAAAATTAAGAGTCCTTTAGAAAACATCATGATAGGAACTGAGACAATGGGGATTGTTTTGGATTCTTCTAAAATTTAGAAGAGCTTGTATCTGTTTTTTTTTTAAACAAAACATAACAAAACTGGCCTAGTGTTATCATGTAAACAGATGGGTATGATACTTCAGACTGGTTGTGATATATGCATTTTTTTTCCCTTTGTTGTTGTCAATAGAAAAGATTGATCTCTGGGCTGGTGAACATAATCTCTGTCCCAGTCAGAAAAGGAGAGAGGAAATTAGCAGAGCGATTGGTGGAGAATGATATCTGTCAAAAGAAACACTTGGAGAGCACTGAGTTTAGTAATAGGTGACTGCCGGAAAAAAGGGAACTTTGAATATTGTCAAGGTAAGGAACAGACAAATATTTTGATTTTGCAATTTACTTACGTACCAGAAAAATCAATCTATTTTTTCCAATAAATTATAATTGTAAAGATTTTCTTTTTTCTTCCTTCTTCTAGTGCCTGTTCTATTGTATGTTTTAAACATTTGTCTTTGAAATCTTTGGGTGTGGGGATTGGGTGGGGATCAATCTGGTGGTGGGAACCCTGTTTGATAGTTTTGGGTCTGAATATATCAAATGATCAAGTACCAAATTTTTTCACCCTCTTCTTGTTGCAGTGCTTCTTGCCATGTTTCATAATACATCTGTTATAAGCTGAGCAATACTTGGAGTTAAAGAGTAAAAACTATGCCATGATTTCTGTGTTTATTGTAACGAGGAGATGGTGTTTTCTGAAACAGTTTGTTGACTAAATAGGCAAAAAACTGCCTTTCAGTTTATTATTTCTTCTGATGTATTTGGATTTTTAAAAAACTTTTAGGCAAATGTCACTTCCTAAGCAGAGTTCATTCCATAGACACATTAAGAAAAAAGGTGATATCTTAATTTAGGAAAACAGCAAATATAAACTAAATGTATTGCCATTTGGCAAGAGACTTCTTAAAGTCTGCAATATTTGAAAATTCAAGGAAGCCCTGAATTATGGGAGAGAGTTCATGTCTCCTGTAGCCAGCTCTGTTCCAGGTTTAGTGGATAGTGGACTTGTGCAGAAGCACCAGGGCATAAGGATCCACTGCTAAGAAAAAGTTGAGAGTCAACACAAATGTTGTGTGATACTGGTTGGCACTCTAGTGGTTGGGAAGAGATTTTAAGTTCTGTGACTGACTGACTGACTACGTAGAAAGAGGGGGAGCGAAATACTCACCCTTGGTGACCACTGTTCTGGAAACATCACTGCTAGCATCCACCCCACAATGTCTACTCTTGCCATTTTTACAAATGCTTATAGGCTTGTTCTTAAAGTTCTCAGGAAGGTGTTGGAAAATAAAGTTGTTGTTTTTTTTTCTTGAAAGACCAGAGAAAATGAAATAATTCCCTGTAGGATGATACACTCCTTTGGGGAAGCCTTAATCATGATTTGGTTTCTGTGTCTGTATTTCCCTTCTTTTCATTCCTCCTTCTTCATACTGTGATGATGTTCTTTTAATACAATTAATGAGAGACATCAATTCAAAAGAGAAGGCAAGGAGTTCAATTGTTTAAGCAGTTGAGACATCTCCCATGACTACTTCTCTTTTCTTAACCTTATGCACTGTTGTTACTAAACATTGGTTTTTTGAGAACTCAGATCTTGGTTGATTAGCCTGCTAAAGTCTTGCATAGAGAAAAAGAAAAGGTATCAATATCTTAAAGGAAAAATCTAATAATAATAACCATCCCGCTTTAGAATTGTTTTCTTGTCATCTTCCACCAGTTTGGGCTTCCACATTAAGCTTGGGCTTAATGTGTCTGTGGAACTCCTTGGTTTCTGCCTTATGTATCTGCGTGGAGTTTGTATTAATATGATAAAGATATCTAAGATGCAGATTAAAAATCAAAAAGGATATTGGACTTTAAAGCTTGAACATATTGCAGATACATAGAGTTACTATCTTTACCCACTCGCATTCCATCACAATCTATTCCTTTCTGGTCATGTGGAATATATCTGTGGCCTGCTGGCAATGAACCATTGCAGCATGGAAGATCTATATTGAAAGCAAAAATGCATGACAAGAACACATATCTTAATATAATTTGGAATGCATTTATTTGTTATTCATGTACGGAACCCCCAGCATCATGTATCAGAAACACAATGTGCAATTTCTTCTTTTTTTCTTCTCTGTCTCTCCTACTCTCCTGTATGTGTGGTGTGTGTACATACTTTAAACATGATGTCTGTATACACATATACATATTTGTATTGACCTATTTTGTAACTGTTGGGTTTTCTTTGTTTTCCATGTGGCATTAAAAATTTACTTCTAGGCCAGGCATGGTGGCTCATACCTATAATCCCAGCACTTTGAGGGGCTGAGGCAGGAGGATTGCTTGAACTCAGGAGTTCTAGACCAGTCTGGGCAACAAAGTGAGACCCCATCTCTACAAAAAAATTAAAAATTCAGGCGAGTGTGATGGCACATGCCTGTAGTCCCAGCTACTTGGGAGGCTAAAGTGGGAGGATTGCTCGAGCCCAGGAATTCGTGGCTGCAGTGAGCGATGATTGCACCGTTTTACTCCTGCCTGGGCAACAGCAAGGCCCTGTTTTTAAATAAATGAAAAAATATACTAACAATAATAATTACTCCTAATTTTTTTTTCCTCTTTGTAATAATATTAGGTGTATAGAAATATGGGGTTCAAACTCAAGAAGTTGGGAAAACAGAAATCACATACTTTACATTTTAGAACACCTGGAATCCATTGGGCTCTTAGAGTTTTGGAGTTGTAATTTAGAAGCAGATAAAGCAAAGGACTATCCATGGCTGAACAGTCGGCATTGTGAGTGAGAATGGCCTGAGGTGGCGCCAGAGAGTCTGGTCTGCGTAGCAAGTTTGAAGCAGGCTGGGGTCTCCTGGAGATGGGCCTCTGTTAGGGCAGAGGCTGGGGGGCAGGAGGGTGGGAAATGATACTAAAGGGGTATGCCACCAGCTTGGGTGGAAGCTGGTAAAATGAGAACGCTGTTGTGTTTCCCACCTGGTGTTTTAAAGCATACCCAAGGTACACACAGTGCTTGGTCCTCTAGAATGCCATTTGGAGCCGTTCTCCTGTAATGCCTGCCATTGTAGGGACCAGACAGATTTGGGACACCTAGGAGTGGTAGTCTGGCCTGAGGAGCTTGCTATCATAAGCCATTGAGGACAATTCTAAGAAGGGTGTAGTATTTGACATATTAAAAAGATCCATATGTTTTCTAAAAGATGTAAGAGGAAGCAGCTTGGGAGGAAAGAATGACAGGAAACTTTTTTTGCAAAGAGTGCCTGTTTATGTTCATGCATATCATGGAATGGGATATATAGGTAGTATCAATTTTTACATATTGTGTGGGTTTCAAAAGCCACATTTGTATTTTGAAAAAGAGGTATTTTTAAAATGCTGATATAGATGATGCTGTGCACCTTTATATATTGGTATCTTTGTTAGGAAGAGGAAAGTTATTTTATTAAGTAAAATTGCTGCTTTTAGAGAGTATCTGCTCTTATTTTTAGTTTTTCTTGGTCATGTTTGAGGGGTCTGATAGCATTAATGGGCTTTACCCCACATGGAGCTTTGAGCTTATTGTAGCACTGCACACTGATCCCAGGTCAGTGTGATGCGTGAAATCAATTTATTTGAATCTCTTTGCCTCTATAGGAATTTGGCAGCATGCCAGTTGTTTTCATTTAATGTTCTTTGTGTTGAACACAGACAAGCAGGCATGCTTTTGTATTCTTCTCTCTTTTGGTCTCTGTCTCTTTCAGCCAATATTTTACTGTATGGATTTTGAGATGAAAGAAGAGTATATCATTTATATGATTCTAATCATTGTTTAATTATATATATGTATATAAATATACCACTTTCTTATCTTTTAAAGGATATGTTTGATATTCCTGAGTTTGGTGACTTTGCACACACAAAATATTTTAGAGTTTTGTTTAAATAAAATTTTTGGTGAAACATAATAAACCAGATCATAGATGGTATTTGCTTACATTAATTACCACTATCAAAATTTAAAATAACAATGTTAATTATGTAACACAACAAATGTTTAATTTGTAAACTGGACTATCAAAATCATTTATTTCTTGGTGAGCCTTCTTTGAATTTGAAGATTTACACTTTAATCAAGCATGTTAAAAATTATAATTATTTGAGTACAATTTTCTTTGATCCATCTTGATTAAGATACCAGCGTTTTACACAGATTTGCTGTATATGAATTTTTATGAAGTTTCTGCCATTAAGGTACTTTTTTGTTTTTTAAAATTTGGAGGGTAATGACTGGGAATAGCATAGAGATTTTTATGACAAATAAAATCAGACCTTTCTCTGGATGTTTTTATAGGCAGGACTTGTTTCTGGGTCAGCTTTAGGAAGAGGTGGAGAAGGAAATGAGAGAGAGTGAGAGGAGAATGTTCTGTTGATGCTCCGGGCAGTTCTTGCGGAAGTTGATATGCAGAACCATGGAGCCGCAGCTTCGGGGTCAGGCTCATACCCAGCAGCCCTGCTTCCTTGTTTAATTACCTGAAGAGCAAAACAGTCAGGCTGGGAGTGTGTGAAAACCCAGTATCTCTCACAGCCGCCTGGCGCTCTGACATCCTGCAAGGCCAGCCCTGTCTGTCCGCCAGCGTCAGGCTGGCTCAAACCCTGGGTTCCTTTCTTTCGGGAGGCATTGTGTGGAAGAGGGTTTGGTCAGGAATTTGAGGTTCCTGCCAATGCTGTGTCCCCTGCTCTCCCCTTGTGGACCACACTGACAGACATGCTTGATTAAAAAAAAAAAAGATCTAAGAATTTGGCTCTATTTTACACTTCTGGCCTTGCTATGAAACAATCTGTTTCAGCAGCAACAGACGTTAACCAGTAGAGGGCTGGCCTTAGTTTGTTGGGTTCTTATTTTCTGAGTTCCCATTATATAGTGTCCTATGTGTGTTGCTCTTTTCCAGTCAGACTCATTAGTAGTCTGGTGTGGAGCTAGTAGCTCAGAGATTGCTTTTATGAGGCGGTTTTGGAATCTTCATCTGCCCATGAAAATAGAATAGTCCACTTTTAAAAAAAGGTGATAGAACTTTTGCACTTGAATGTTTTTTCCTTTTCTTGGAATTGGAATATGGTCTTTGACATTTGCTGTGGGAAGGGCCATACTCTTTGACGAAGCTGGAGGTGGTGAGAAATAATATTTGCACAGTAATGTGTGGCCAATTTGAGGGTAACATGGGATAAATATTCTGAGAAGTGCTTGGAGATGGAGCCATTTGGGAGATCCCATGAATATAAGAGGATTTTATCTTACCAAGAGGAAATCTGTCCACACAGTGGGCTGATGAAATGTCTTTGCTGTGGGTTGGGAAACAAAGGTGGTGGTGGTGGTGTTTCCTGCAAAGGCAGGGGAAAGTGTGACTACATGTGCAGTGATTTGGTTTTTCCAACTACTTCATTAGGATTCTGTCATGCAGACTGAAGGGCATTTACCCTTTAGATGCACATATGTGCCTCCCATTAATGTTAATAGGAGTTATGGGCATGTAAAGAGAGCAGTATATACCTTTGCCTAGTGCATAAGCACAGCTCCAAGGAATTGATTCTGTCCTTTGCAAAGAATAGAGATTGGGCTTTGCAGGGAAGATTTTGGTGGGAATTATTTTAAAAACTTGTTTTGCATATCACATGGAAGTAATGTCAATATTTTATATATTTGTTTACCACTCCAGTAAAACATATATAATAATTTAAATAATTGCATTAGCCTGGTGCGCCTTGTGATGGAGCTGGCATCATCGTGATCTATTATGCACAGCGTAAGTAGCTCTGCCATAAGTGTTATGTGTATCCTCAGGCATGTGCGTGTTTATTTATGTATCAGCCTGCTGCATTTCTTTTAGAGTATTTCTCTTTTCAACATCAGTATAAATATGAAAAAAGAAAACATATAAATATATTTTAAGCCACAGCCAATATTCCTAACTAGTGTTCTCCTCCACCAACAAACTCTTGGCAGGTTTCTTTCAAGCTCCAACTTTTTTGTAGTTCTGTCCACGTGGAGTCTTCTTAAATGCAGGTAACAATAGTAACATTAGGACCATGTGTAGCTTTAAGCTTTGGCAGCAGAGAGTGTATAATGTGAGAAAAATGTGGAAGACTGAAAACTGAATGGGGAGAATTGTGGTTTGCAGGTGGTGTCAGAAATGAAAGAATTTGGGTTTGGAGACTTGCACTGAGGGTGCTCAGTAAGTGTGGACTGAAATGCAAGAAAAACAATCTGTGAGAGAAGAGAATCGGAGGCAGTGAATTACTCTGGAAAGTGAAGGGAAAACATATAACTAATTGTGGACTTGTGTCAATTTATCAATAGGAATGAAAAAAGGACATTTAGGTATAATGGGTAAAAAAGGTACAATAATCCATAATTTTAATAAGATTATGGTATATGCAGTTAAGGAGAATTTTAATAAATGAAAGTAAGAGTAAAAATTTCCATATAGAGTAAGGGAATTGCATTGAGATTTATAGGCTTTAACCATTCTTGAGTGTATTTCAACATATACAGCATTAAATTCTCTTTTGCCTGGTAAAACCCTGTAGGGTCACTGTAAAACATTAATTTAAAAATTTACATTGATATAAAAGCAAATATACTATGCTGGGTATTATTTGAACAAATAGAGCAGTTTTGGAGTGAACATTTGTAATAGAATTCATTGTAACTAAAATTCATTTTTGAGTAACTTTGAATTGTTTATAAACGTGGCAGATTAGTATGTGTGCATAGATTTTGATAATTTGCAATGTGGAGAGATATAAGTGGAGAATTTATTAGAGATGAAAGTCCTGTGAAAGAAAATATGATGAAAAAAATTCTGGGATTTTTTTTTTTATTGCTGTGTATTTGCTCCACCTGGTGGATTTTGTTGAAAGTGTTTTAATCCTTGTTAATGAAAAGAACACTCTTTAGACAATTTCTCTGAACTATAGGGAAATCTTTTGTTTTATTTTTGTTGCTGTGTAAAATAGTTTAATTCCTATCTAGGTCAAAACATTTATGTGTCATTTGTTCAGTTCTTTCAATGCATTGAAAGTAACTTTTTTTTTTTTCAAAATATAATACATGCTCATTTTAGAAGATTTGGGAAATACAGAAAAATAAAAAAATAGGGAATAAATATTGTATATAATTTCACCACCCACAATTGCATTATTTTTAAGAATAGACATTATCAGAAGAGAACCAGTTTGCATTTGAATTTATTTAAAGATATCTGGAATGTTAAATATTATGCCAAAGTATGATGATGATGATTATTACTATAATTATTTTTGGACAAATACTATCCTTAGAATTCCCAGGCTCCAAAATAATGAATATAATCAAGTTCATCAAGAATTGCTTTTATTAAGCTGCATGTCTACAGAAGGCAAAGGTAGTGAGATTAAAGGTATCTCATGTATTCATAGGGTTGTTCATAGCGGTGGTAAGATCTGTTGTTTGCTGGGCTCACACAGATTGCTTTCTCTGAAAATCTTAAGGATTCAGTTGTGCTTTGATCATCTTATTGTTTTCCTTAGGTTATTCTTTTTTTCTCCTGCAGTCTCTCACAGCTCTGTAACAGAAGGTGAAGTTTTGAAAACAGTGTCTCCATATGCAAGGGATTTGGAGACCTTTTTATTGTCTTTAAAATTGTCATTCATAGTCCTCATTAGCATTTATTGTTGCAAGCGTACAAGCAGAAAATGTGAAATTGGTATGTCATGAATAGCCCCACAGAGCTCTCGAGCCCTCCGATTTTGCCTGCAGTGTGGTGTGGGCTGGGCTTTGAGGGAAAGCTGTCCAGATGGCTGCCTGCACAGAGCAGAGCTGCAGGTTTTTGTCTCTGTTGCTGAGAGGAGGGAAAGTTCATTGGAGCATATGCCATCACCCTTGCGTTTTAACAAAACTAACTCGCCATTAGTCAAGATGAGGAGGTGGTGACATTGAAACAAAGGTTTTCTATATAGTGTTACAGTCCTTGTCAAATGAATAAGAGATGGGTAGTTAGGATGTCTTCCATGTTACCTGAGTGATTTTTGTAGCTGTACAAAATATGAGAAAACTGTAAATGGTAACTTATTTGCAGATTTACATTGCAAATGTATAGTTTTTAGGAATTGTTTTATGGGAAATGCTTTTACTTGAAAAAAAACAGCAGTTAACATAGCTAGTGTTCAGCTTGTGGATTAATAAGGAAGTGTTTTACTTAAAAAATTTTAACATAATTTAACCCCTTGCTAGTGCCTATGTAGGAATCTACCTTTAACTGTATTATTATAGTATGTTTAAAATTTGTGTTTAAATAGCATAAAATTTAATCAGTGCAAGTGTTAAAAGCTGTTATAGCATTTCAAAAAATTTTAAAATATTAGACGTTGAAAATAAGTTGGTGGAAATGAACTACAATATATTGTCATATTTTAAAGGCATTGGCACTATCAGAAACAATTTGTAATAATTACAGATATAGATTTTGTTTACTTTCAGTGTGATATTTTGTCTTAAACAGACTTCATTTTTGTACACATACACATAAATGCACACACAACTTAAATATACTAATACACATCTTTTTATTCATGTATAAGAGGACATTGTACTTCAACCAGAGTTAAAAGTCAAATATATTGCTTGAAAAACTGTCAGAATGATATCACTAATATTTTATTCTGTAGACATTGAAGATGGAAAAAAGAATATCATAGAGACTATTTGGTTTATCAGTTTAGGAAGTCATTATTTAAAATATTTTAACATTGGAATCTTCAAAGTACAGTCGTAGAGTCCATTATTAACTTACTTTAACTGATGGAGATGCAAAAATCAAAGTGACCTGAGACCATGAGTTTTACATAAGTCATAGGTGAAGGCTAGGGGTTGTGACTTCTAGCTCTCAGCCTGCCACTTGCCCTGGTAGATGAGGATTTCTAAACAGACCTACAGCATGTCCTCCATGGGCCACTGTGTTCTATAGTGCTTTGTCTGACTAGTTGCATGTGATTGAGGCAGTAAAGCTTTTCCGCGTCTGTAATGTCTGTATAATCACCTATTAAGATAGGTTTCCTCTATCCAGCATGTTTTCTTTTACTTGACTCCATCTCATTGCTAGCACTTAGGCTCTCTTGGACAGCCCTAAATAAACCTTTAACCTCATGATGTTTATACACCCTTCAAATTCTTAAGATGGCAATAATGTCTCCTGTTCTTTTGTCATCTAAGCAAAGTTCTTGTGAGTTCTGCGGGCTGGCTGAAAGTTGAGGAGGTGCAAATGCTTGCCAATCATTTCCCCCAAAGGAAATATTTGAGGGAATAGCGTAAATGTGTTTAGTTGTTTACAACAGACATTTATGTAAGGGAGCTAAAATGACAGATAACCTCTTAACCTTGATGGAATACTTCAATGAACTTTTTCACTTAGTTTTTTCTTTCCCCCTCTATCCCACTTATTTCTTGTGGTTAGCTGTATCTTACATTGTAGCCTAACTAAAACATAAACCATTTGTGTTTTTTTGCAGACAAAGTATAATTGGATTTATCTTTGTCAGGGGACAATCTATTATGGCTTTTATTTAATACAGTTTCAGATGGCTTTCAGTGGCAGAAACAAATTAATGTACATTTTTATTAGGTGTTGTATCTATTTAATTGACTGTCAAAGTGATGAGAAGTTAGGAAATCATCCAAAAGAGAGGTCCATCTCCCTTAGCCCAACAACTCACACATTAGGTAGGTTTGCCTTATCAGTGGGATGCCTTTAGAAAACACTAATAGCTTCCAGCTGGGTGGAAAATCAAAACCTTTGGGGTCTGACAAAACTAGCAGATTTGAATTTGAAAGCAGAGCTAATGCCTCCATTTTATTTTTTACCACTCGCCCATAAAACATTATTTTCCAATATGTCAGCCTCATTTGGTGGCCAGTGGTCTGAAATTGAAAGTGGGACAAGCAAGCGGAGAAATCTGGACATGAGTGAGTCTGCCCTTTCAAGCTGGTGTGCCACTTTGTGGAAGGGTCTCCTCTAAGAGCAGGGGGGTCTTAATGACCATTCATCAATGCTCGTTGGGTGATCATTGAGTGCCTTCTCATTCAGTTTATCAAGTCTTGCACATAAAAAGTCAGAATAAGCCTTATTCAGCTTTGTTAAAGCCAACTAGGAGTAAAATGCTCCATTTGAACCCATTTTGCCCTTGTTTTTTCACTTTGTTAATGCAGCCCTGCTTAAATGAGTGCCTTTATTGGGTCGGTTAGAATATCTGAAACTATTAATTCTCTTGTATTGAATAGTTGGTGGCAGGCCAGAGCAGATGGGGTAGGAAAGTATTTGGTTGGGTGTATTGCTTTCAATTAGGATCAATGAGGTTTCAGCTCCTTTGAATTAACTCACTTAATACCCACTGTGTGAAGTCACAGTGTATCACAACAGCCTGCTAGAAGCCGAGAGGAAAGTTGAGAAGACCTGTGGAAAGGCTTTAACTCAAATTCTCCCTTCACCAATGTAGAGAGCTTTCCTGAACTGCAGCCCATGTCAGTAGACTGCTGGTCCCTGTTGCTAAGTCAGGTTTGAACAGAGGAAAAATTTGTATTTCATGAAAGGTTTGTGGTGGACATAAGTGAAAAATACCTTGGAATCATACAATACCATAATGCCTTTCTAATGAATGATCTAAAGTTGTCAGAAAACAACTTATGTATTTGCTTTTGTGGGAGCCCAGCATTTTGTTGTTGACTAAACTTACTGGTTTGGAAAGTGTTGATTTAGATGACTCTCTCTAAAAAATTGCCTTAAAAATGGACTGTGTTCTTAATTCAGTGACATACATTAACCGATGAGGTTCTCCTGAGGAAGTACTTAATTGGTGAGTAATGTATTCTTTGTTATTGGGATATATTTTAGTTTTATAAAATATGTTTCCTTATGACAGTGTTTTGTACTGGAGAAAACTTTTGCAATATGTATTGTTTTTCTCCATTCACTTGCATAAATGCATTCATCATGTTATTGATTGTCTATTTTTATTATACAATTTGGATGTTAGAGATCTTGGCTCCATATCCTCCTTTTATTTATTTATTTATTTATTTTTATGAACGAAAAGTTATTCTGTCTGAGTAACTGTGTAGAACTACATATCCAGGTTTCCCTATTCAGGGAGAACTGCCAAATGGGGTTCTGCTTTTCTTGCCTCCATGGATTAAAGAATAAGAGGAGGAAACTGGTTTCTTGAGAAAATGCTGAACTAGTCTCAGATGCACACACATTCAGCTAGGCCCCGCTGCAGTCAGACTTCTAGGTGAGAATCTCCAGGGATCCAGGTTTTGTTGATGTGGATCAATTTAAAGTGGCAATTACTGTAGTCAGATAACAGCTTAAAAAGCCTTTTTACACATAGAAAAGATACATAATCACACAGCATATGGAAGTTCAATTGTCTGAGCTGCGGTTTAGGGACTTGCAGTGTACCGATATTAAGACCCCATTTTAAAGCCGGATATCATCCAGTTTTCTCAAAAGTGTATTGCATTTTGTCATATGATTTTCTATTTTAGAAGTGATTCACCATGCATATTGATGAAAGGTTGGGTTTCCCACTGTGAAAATGTTTTCTTTCTAACATAAGTATAGTACTAAAAAAAAAATCAGTGGCATGTAGCATTAAGTGGCTTTTCAAAAATACTCTCTTTAAAAATGAAAGTCTACTAATTTAGGATGCTGGATTCCATAAAGGCCCTTATAGCAGGACTTAATTGATTATCACACTCATGCCTGCTATAAAGCTTTCTATCATAAGAATGTTTGAGCTTGGTGCTTAACTGTACTGAAATCCATTACAGAGAACCTCATTACAAGTGACATCTAACTAAGATGAACAAAAAGATTGGCCTCATAAATAGGGTGCAGTATACTATTAGTGACAGAACAGAGTAATCGTTATGAATTGTGGTCTTTTTACAAGTTGTCTCTGACAATGATGGATTTTTGAGGGGTTCGCTGGATAAAGCAGCCCTTCTTGGGTACAGTATTTAGGGGCTGTAGAAGTTCTTATTGATTGACACTGTTTATCAAGAGAATATATTTTTAGTTTGTGCGGAGAGTGTGTGTGGGTATGCTTTGAAACAGGTTGTGTGCACTCTTGGGAAGAGGTGTAGGAAGATTGAGTAGGTAGAAGTCAGAGTTATTGCCTCTGTTTTCAGAAATTTTTGGAGATAGCAAGTAGTGTGGAAATCCATCTGACAAGGGCTAAAAGCATATGGAAAGTGTAGAGTAAGTAAAGGACATGTTGAGGACTGAAGGAATAGCAAGAGTTAACGGGAATGCTCCTGTCTATCATGTTCATTGAGCTTGCAGGCTGATCAGAGGACCCTGAGTGGAATTGTTTCTGTGTTGATAGTGGATTGTGCATACGATGGAAAGGTAAAGCCTGAGGCAGCTACCTCATCATGTGCCCTGTTGTTGAAACAAACACAGACCTAGGAAAGATTTGCAAGTGTAAAACTGAGAAAGAGTTTTAGGAGAGAACAGTATTTTCCTTCTGCCTGGCATTGTTGTGTGTTTAGAAGAGGCATGCAAGGCAGGCAGGCGTGTGTTTCTCCTATGAGGCAGGGATGTTTTACAAAGGACTAAAGAGGGACTGCTGAGAAGAAAATAGCCAGCTTTAGATAAAGCACTATAACAAAGGCTTCTAGTTTTATATATCATGGTGTCCATTAAAGCTTAATAGGGAAGAGTCCATTGAACCTGGCTGGGTATGTGTTATTCATGGGAAGGATAAACATTTAGGGGTGTGCAAAGAAATCAGGAATCAGGAGGACATGATTGTTCAGCTTTTGAAAAGGCTTTACAATGAAGATTTTGTTTTTATCTCCCATGGATCTCTATGCAAGGTAGAGGAAAGTAAGCTGAAAATGTTTGGAGCATATCAACCCGGGGATCCCAGGGGGTTAAAAGCACTCGAGTAAAATAAAAGTGGTCGGCTCAGCTTCTAAAAAGTGTTCTATTTTACACATACTACTGAGAAGCTGACAAAAGGAATGATTCTGATACTTTGTGCAGGATGATAAACTGGCACAATATACAAAGTCTTATAAAAATGTTTGTAGGCTGTTTGGGATTTCCAGTTGAATAAACAGGCTTTGAGTTCTGTACCTTTTTTTTTTTAATACAGTTCCCAATTATGGCTATGAAAATGAGAAGATGAAGGGAAGCCTTTTATTGTGAGGGGTGGTAGGGGGCCAGGTCTACATTTCTATCTTTTGGCAAAATAAGGGTTAACCTTGAACAGGATGGGGGTGGTGGTGAATAAATTATTCGGCATTTAGCTTATCATTCTGAATTTCACTTTTTGCTTTTTGGTGCTCTGAAACTTGCAGAGAGAGGTGGAGTGCTAAGGGGAGGGTAGGGGTTGTGATACTTTGCACACACATCCCTGTCATTGTTCTGCCTAAAGAGACAGGGCTGGGTTCAAGGCCACATGTGCTCCTGTCATCCTCCACATTTCTGCTCCAAGTGCAATCCGGAGTGTCAGCTCTCCATCTGTCTCTGCCTGGCAGGCGCACGCGCCCAGCACCCTGCCTCCGGCGATGCCGCCCCAGCCCCTCTGATGGCCCTCCTCTCTGCTGCCACTCATTCCAGAACAGGAGGCATGAGCCCGGAACGCGCTTGCTTTTAGGAGACAGCCACTTTCTGTGTGGTACGCTGGATTCAAGGATGCCTGGTGAGTTAGCCCTGTTCTGTGTTCTCTCTGTTTTTCCAATGAAGAAAGCTTACTTTCTATTATGCATGGAAAATACCTTCTGCCCCACAGCGTGTTGTATCTGATGTGGGCAGGAAGAGGCTGGGGGTGACAGAGGTGTGATTGGAAGGTAGCATAAAGAGAACCACAAAGATCTTGATACATGGAGGGGTACAGGGTGTGGAGCCCTTGCTTTTAAAATTTGGGAGATGTATTTTAAAGGTTGAGGGGGTCGTACAGCCACGGATGTTTGTCGGAGTAATTTACTTGAGGGTTTTAGCTCAAGTAAGAAGTATTGTTTCTGTTCAGAATTTTGTGACTATCATCTGTACTTGGTGTCCTGGAAATTTCATCTGTGGAGAGAGTTTTCAGATTATGGCAGAATCCTGGAATAAGATCTCTTTAAAAAGCTGTTTATGTCAGAGAAAGTGAAGGAAGCTTTGGAACTACAAGGAATTTCAGTCTTGTCCTAAATCACAGCCCTTAGATGTCATCAGACAAATAATTGAAATCAGTTAATTAAAATAAAAAGCCTGCTGAATTAGTGAAGCTCTTGTCCTGGAAATTTAGTGCATGTCAGTTTCCTCTGAAAAATATTATTTTTGGAGCCTGGAGTGTTTCTGTGATCGTTGCCAGTGAAGGCTCTGCTTGTGGAGAAGGCTGGCCGGGGAAAGGGTTGTTTCGGCTGTTCTCAAGAACTGTCTAAATTGCCCTGTGCCTAATTTGGAGCTTCCTATCTTCAGATAAAAAAGACAGGGCAGATAGAGATCCTCCAGCTGGCCGATTTATGTGGATTATTTGGGTAGGACAGGCAGAAGAGGCTGTGCTTGGTCACAGAGTTTGTACACCTCACAGATGGTGTTTTGAAACATTATCTGCCAGTTTTCTGCAACCACAGTTGTGTGTAGGTATTGCCAGTTGTTTGAAGAATGTTTTTCCCTTTAGGATGTGTCTCGTCCATCCTAATCATTATTGATATATATGCAGAAAGGATGCATTTGTGGCAGAATTGCACTTTTTCATTAGTAGACTAGGAATGTATGTAGCTGAATTATGGGGAAAATCAATTTACAAAAAGACAATGACTGAGGTCTTTGAAAGGTCATTTTAACTCTTTAAGCTTTCATCTTGATTTATATGCACCATGCAACTAAAGATGTAATGTGCCCTGGGTATATAATACAGAATCAGTGTGAAAGTGCCTGTGTTTTTTATTTCACCAGAATATTGAGCACATTTATCTGATTTTTATGTCATAATTCAGATCTTTTTTATGCTGTTAATAAACGTGTTAAATGATCTGATTTATCAGCATTTTGAAGAGTCTATATGTTAATTTTGTAAAACAAAACCCCATAATAAACCAAAGCCATTTGTGAATTATAATAGGTGAACGAGATTAGTTAGGACCCTTGCTACTTCTAGCTAATTGCATCATTTTAAACTAAGCTTCAAAGCACCCTTATTTAAAAAGCATTGAACTATATTTAGGGATTTAGAGTCATTGATAAGTTTGTTTTAGTGTTGTTGTTAATACATCTGGTTCTACAGCAATAGCCTGAAGTGTGGGCACTGCTTCTCTCTCTCTCTCTCTCTCTCTCTCTCATCAACTGTGTTAGAAAACCTTGTACTTGGATACATAGAATATATTAACAGCTGTGACTATGAGCATGTGCCAGAATGGCGATACTTGAGCAGATTTGACACTTGGCTATTTTTGACACCCATCTGTAGTTTTTAAATTCTACTATTGGATGGACTACCTCTAAATATGTTTTTAGCTTATTTTAGTCCATATATATAGGTTCATTTTAATGGATGATTTTAGCCATCTTGGGCAGGTTTTATATTTTTAAGTAAGACATTATGTGTAGAAGATTAAAAGGTTGTGTTCTATGCACTCTGATATCATCTACTGCTTAAATGACTATATATCAACATACACACACACACACACACACACACACACACACATATATATATATATATATATATATATATATATTTGGTAGTTGAAGTATCAGAACTAATTCCTGGTTGTCTCAGACATGATGTAACAATTGCCATATCTAGGGCCTTTTTTTATAAAATTGAGGATCCCTGGAAACAGATGTGCACAAACTGATCTTATTCAGACATCCCAATCTTTGGGGGTGGGTAAGTAAAAAAGTCTTAGTTTAAGGGGTTCTAGAACTATTTTGGTTTTAAAAAACATGTTTTTAAAGATGTTGCTAGCATATTGTTTCAAAATGAACTATATAAGTCAAAAGAGGCTAAGGATGCTTTAAAGAAATAGATTATTTCAAAATTGTTTAACTCATTATAAAGAAATATCATTTTACTACCTGTCACTTTTGTAACAACTAGATCCTTGTGTTTAAGAAAAGGAAAATGTTTTCTTATGAGAAGGCTGGGAGACCTTGGGCATTATATTGTTTCAGGAGGCAGTGACTCCAAGCTTTCTGAAACACTTATATTTTTATGAATCTTTGTATAATATTATCAAAGAACATATGTTGACCTACAAAATGCTTTCAGGACTATTTCCTTAAAAGGACAATAAGTGAGCACAGTCCCTGTAGCCCAGAAATAGTGCTTTTTCTTTTAGAAGATGGCTAGTATTAGGTCAGACCACCCTTTCTCAATGGTCCTGCTCTCCAGATGTGCCTGGAACTTTTTTTTAAGTTCAAGTTTCCAAAAGAGAGAAAAAAAAGGTTTGTTTTCAAAATCTGGTTTTACTTAAGACATCTCCATCCTGGAGTGCATTTCATAAATTGCCCACATATTTTCCTTAGCAGAGAACTTAACTGGCTGTAATTTTTAACACATGGCCACATCATGTGATATTTTCAAAACACTTACACATAGCTTTAAGAAGGTCCCTGCAGAAATGATCCATCCTCTCACAGCCGGCCCATTTTTTAACAGCATATCTGCATTTTCCATTTAGTAGAGCTATATATTATTAGCTTACATTTTTGGGTAGTAAAACAGTGCATTGCTGATTGTAAAACATGGACTTTATTATTTGCTGAAAATTGATTTGGCATTTATAGCCACTGTGTACTAGACTATTTTTCTGTTTTTAACATCAATGCTTGCAAGCGATGATTTGTGTAAAAAAACAGAAATGAAATTGCCATGGACAGACAACTGTTAGTATCCCTAGTAACTGAACATTTGGATAATGCACTTGGATTTTTTTTTAATAGATGCATCTAAATGCTATTATGCAAGAATAAAAACACTCACAGCAGTCCATTCACTGACACTCTATTTTACTTTGCAAGTTGGTTTGCCATTATATTAGGCTCTTTGCTGTATCAAACAACCCTTGTGCCAACTATAGAAGAAAACTATGTAAGTTGTAAATACCCAATTATAAATGTAGATTATGCAGCATTACTTTTTTGTAGCAGAAATGTAGACAGTCCAGCTTCCCTTCAAACCCTGAAACCCTCTCCCTTCTCTTTACATTCTTTTCTGTTAATATTTCAGAGTACTTGGCCTTTTAGTTCTGTGTATGTAAAATGATATTTGGAAACTTTCACAGGCCATCTTCCTGTGCAGTTAATGGTCTATTGAAAATGATAATTGTTTAATCTTTTTCTTGAAGGGGGTGATGGTTATGACATCTTAAGCTTTCATAAGACAACTACTTGTTTATTTTTATTTCTTAAAGTAAACATTTGCTTAGTAGACATTATATAGCCTAGAAATGTTTATTAACTATCTTATCACTACATTGTTAATGGATGTTTGCAAAGAAGATGCTGTAATTATAATTTTCTGAAAAGCCTTCTGAGCCATCAGGGGAACAGATATATATATTTTAGAGCTTGAAGGTTTATCTTGCGAGCACCTTCAGTTTACAGATGTTGAAACTGAGGCTCCTAGAGATTAAGGGACTTGTTCAGGTAGTTTATGAAAGTAAGAAGATCTTTTGAGGACATTTTCTTAACTGTGCTGTTTGTAAATCTCAAATGTACATTAAATCATGTTAGCATATTAGTGTCAGTCTTACTTTGTTGTCTTTTATCTTCAGTCCTGGATCGCTCTCATCGTATGCTTTCTCCCCTCCCACTCTAGGATTGCAGAGCTACCTGGGAGAAAATTCTGTGACAATAATCACTTGGCCTATGGCAAAAGTGTGCCTATTAAATTTATTTTATAATTGTTTGGGAATTAGGGAACCTATATATAGTTAATTAAGAGAGTATTAAGCAGAACCAAAAATGTAAGGCTACGACAACAGAAAGTTACTGTAATGAGGAAAGTTGGGTAGTAGACATTTGTAGGTTGCTCAAAATGTGCCAGATACCAGATAACCATGATTCAGTCCCTCCATGCCCTCCAAAAGTTTGGAGTTCTAGTGTTCCCAGCAGAGAAGTAAACAGGGCCTGAACATAGTAGATCATGCAGGAGCCCAGAGGGGTAGATACCCACCTGGATTAGGAGTCAGGGACATAGGGGAAGGATGCACAATGGGCTACACGAACGCCTATTGGAATGCCTTGCCTGGCTCCTTCTACTTGCTGCAGATTGGATCTCAGTTCATGTAACTTAGCATTTTTTGGTTTGTTCTTCTTATACTAAGGATAGGGCATTCATTTTGGTTTTTATTAGATTTTAATTTCTGTGTGTGGCAGTGGGTGTAGTATTTCTTGAAAGCTATTTCTTTGTGTACAGTTGCAGTTCTTTGATAGCTAACCATATCTAGAGGAATAAATCATTAACTTAAATGACTCATAACTTGAGAACAATAGGATTTCACACCTGACCAAGAAACAGGTTTATCGTGCTGGCTTTCTCAAACAGCTGTTTGCATTAATTAATATTAATGTAAATGTACTTTCTGAGAAGGTCTAGCTTAATTATATTTTTCAACCCATAGAGTTCCAATCAAAGGAATCAGAAAATCCTCTTAATCTCAAAGGGAATATATAACTGCTGTCTCTGAACGGAATAAATCTCTGATAGTATACTAAGAGCAGCCTTTTATTGAAAGCCTATATATGCCAGGCTGTGGGCTAGGCACTGTGTATACTTTCTGATTTTCACTACAGCTTTGCAAATTGTTTCTGTTACCATGTGATCTATTTGAAGCCTGAAGATCAGATAAATTAAGCAGTTTGCCCAAGGACATAGGTAAAGTTAAATGGTAGAGATGGGATTCCCTGGACTTTGAATTCTCTTTTTGTTTCCTTATTTTATTTTTGAGAGGGGTTGGGTATGTTGTGGCTTGATGGCAGGATCTTTTGTAATGAAGGCTAGATGGAACATTTAAAGGGGAATGTTTGAATCTGAATTATAGTAGCATAGAAGGTAGAGTTCTTTTTGCTGAAAAATAAAAACAGAAAAAGCATTAGCCTTCATCATCAAGAATGATCTTGGATAAAACAGGTTAGCATGCTGGTTATTTCTCTGTGTATTACTATTCCTCTTGAAAGAGAACAATGGAATTAATAGGCATCAGGAGACTTAATGTTATTATTTTGAAAAGCCTAATAGAAATCATAGGGCACATTAAGATACAGGAACAAAAAAGAAATCATAAATTTACTCCCTGACAGAGCTATACAGGTTAACTGAAATATCACCTTTCTTGGCTTTTGGAATGTGGTCATCCTGGCTATCTTTTGTTAATCGGAAGGTCAGATGGATGGTTTTCTGTGTTTTGGATTAGTAGAAAATTAGAAAGCAAATAATATATTCAACACCTTGGCAGACAAAATTGTTAAAAATTGTGTAGCTAAAAAAAAGCACGTTTTTTGGTGGTGAGACTGGTGGGTATCCATGGCTCTGCCCCCAGGAGCTCCTAGACAAGCAGGCACAGTGTTTCCAGTAGATGAGTACATTCTTAAGAAAGCAGATATCTTTTTTTGCCATCCCCCACCTCCTGCAAAGAAAAAAAAAAAAGCAGTTGATTTTTAAAATTGTGGGATGCTTTCTCTAGAAGGCTTGATTTTGTTTTCCACATTTCGCTTTTAAAGGCTAAGTGATAAGTGTAGTCTGGCTCACTTTATTAGAGGGATTCTTTTAATTTTATGTGGTTTATTAACATTATACAGAGTACTTGACACTCATGGAAGAAAATAATTTTAAAAGTACCTATGAGAACATGATACTGGGAAGAGTTTCACTTTAAGAGCTATATAATCAGCTAGGTGAAATGCTTTTTAGGAAGAAGGGATGTAGGAGGGTGTCTTTATCATGTGTTTATGACTTTAACAAGAGTCTTAAAGAGTTTGACAAAGTAAACTGAGCATTTTTCACAATCTGGGATGATTTTGATGGGGGTGCTAACTTTAAAAAAGACAATTGCTGTGCTTTTGAGAGTCTCGTTATTTTACGTTTGAACTTTCCCTCATTTAACTTCACCACCTTCCTCAGGACTTGTTTGCTTTAATGATTCTCAGGTTATTAGGAGGAAAATACATAGTAAAATTTGAGGGTCCTGAGGTAACAATTTATATACTCCTGCATTTGAAATTTAAATATGTCCTAATGAGGATAAGACTGGAAGGAAGAAAGGCTGTGATCCTGACATTTTCCCTGTGAAATGGACATTGTTTCTTAGTTGTTATGGTTGTATCTGAACCTATATACTTAGCAGTTACAGTAACACTTCATTTGAAAGGCCTGTTAACATTTATTTTCTTTCTTTTTGCTTTAGCATTATATTTGTATAGCCTACAGACAAAATACGTAGAGGAAATCAAAACAAATATTTTTGTCTATAGAAAACACTTGTTAAACTTTCTATTCAATATTTATTTTCTTCTAACTTCCTAGAATATTCCAAATACATAGTTGATTTAGAAAATATAGAAAATGATAGAAGTCAGAGGCAAAACCCAACTTTTTAGTTATCCAGGCATTCTTTATATACCAGTGTTTGCTTGCTAAACATAAAGTGGAAGCCAGGCGTGGTGGCACGTGCTTGTAGTCCTAGCCGCTCTGGAGGCTGAGGCAAGAGGATCGCTTGCATCCAGAAGTTCAAGTTTGCAGTGAGCTATGATCGCCCCATGACACTCCAGCCTGAGCAACACAGTGAAACCCTGTCTCAAAAAAAAATTAATAAATTAATACAAACGCGAAGTGCCTCCCAAAGTTGGTAAGCCTAGGCATGACTAGGTTTTCAAAATGTTTTCTATTTTGTACAATTTAGGAATCTTTCTAAAGAACATCTTTAAAAGGAAGAGTTACCTGTTGTTGACATTGTTTAACTACTTACTACATAGAGGAGTGTGTTTCCATTTGGTTTTTTATCTTTATCTATATTTTGATCATATTTTCTGAGTGTAAAACATTTGGTACCATGTCATTGTGAAGTTAATAAACTTTTTCCCAAAACATCTTGGAGAATTGAATCATTTTGTAGTGTTTCTCAAGAGCAAGATTATCTCTTTAAGCCATAGTTACTTTCATTCACTGTTTAAAATTGTTGTACTTACTAATCACAAGCTGATCAGTTTGTGCTGAGTGTATTTTTTTATTTTTTTAATTTATTTATTTATTTTGAGACGGAGTCTCACTCTGTCGCCCAGGCTGGAGTGCAGTGGCGCAATCTTGGCTCACTGCAACCTCCATCTCCCGGGTTCAAGCAGTTCCCCTGCTTCAGCCTCCCTAGTAGCTGGGGCTAAAGGTAAGCGCCACCACGCCCGGCTAATTTTTGTTGTTGTTGTTGTATTTTAGTAGAGAGGGGGTTTCACCATGTTGGCCAGGATGGTCTCAGTCTCCTGATCTCGTGATCCGCCCGCCTCCCAAAGTGCTGGGATTATAGGCATGAGCCGCCGCGCCTGGCCCTGTGCTGAATGTATTTTATCTTTAGCTTTGTGACTTGGGTTTATATTATGAGCAATTAATATATTATATTTTATGAGGCCATCTATCAAAAACACAGAGCATCGAGAATGTCAATGCCTGATTGTGAATCAGTGCTCTTCCATTTACAGTCTGCCAGAGTTTCACTCTCTTTGTCTTAAAAGTAGAAACAGTTATTCTGCCTTGCTAACTTTCACAGGATGGCAATAGTGATTGTAGATATGCTGTGTACCTGTATAAAGAGGTTATTAAACCTCTTTATAGACAGCGATGCTGTCTGGAGTTAAAAAATAGGAGACAGTGTTTAACCCCCCACAAAACAGTGCCAAGTGTTATGCTTGATGCACATTGTCTAGGTTAGATGAAATTTTCTGAGTTTTGCCTATGCTTGATAGGATTTTCTGCCTCATCTTTATGTCAGCGGTTTACCCCTTCTCTATCAGTGTGCCACCCTTTTACACATCCCAGTTATTTGCAAATGTGGAAACCAGATAACCAAACTTAGAATGGTGATCACATAATAAAACACATGCTTAAGTGAGAGCCTGAAAAGCCTGTCTTTTTTTTTTTTTTTTCCAGGTACTAATAAGTGGCACTTTTAATTTGTGGCATCAATTTACATCACTGAGTCTGTCCCCCACTTCTTCCCCACCCCACCCCTACTGATTTTCATGTTTCTTTGTAGGTGGTTTTGCTGGAGAGCTGAATTCTGTATAACCTTTTACTCCACTTCTGTGTTATCCCAAGATACAGCTTCTTTTCTTCACTGTTTAAAATAGACATTTTAAACATCATCAACTCCCCTTGATAAAGCTGCCATTTATGTTCAGATCTTGATTTTCTAGTTCTAATAATTCCATTCCAGGCTACCTGTGAGCCTGGCATAGAGTATGCAATCAGCAAATATTTGCTTAATGAATAAGTGAGTGGATGAGAGGTAGACTGGGACTCACAGAGATTTCAAAAGAAAGAAATAATACACAAAGCATGTTAATTAACAAGGGGAAAAATTAAGAAATGAATCTTATAAAAATTTTCAGTAAGTGGTCTTTACGAATGAGAATTTTCTTTCAGAGTTAAGGAAAATACATATATTTTGTGGCCCACAACTTTATTGGTGGCTAGCTGCATGTTAAAATTCAATGTAATTTATCCTGATTATACTTACTGAAAGTATAATGCAACATACAACACTTAAAACTTTCTGGCATAATTACTAAAATTAGAAACAAAGGGCTTTTGACAGTGTGTGTGATATTTTGGAAATGGACTCTCCCTCCACCTGGGCATTTTCATGTAGTTTGGCCATTTTTCATTCTTGTCACCTAGTGGAGGATGGGTATAATGTTTCAGTCTCCCATCAGGCATACTGGGTAAGATTTTAGCAAAGAGAAGTATTAATGAAATATTTTTATCTTTTACATGATAAATTTAGCCAATAGTTTCTTATATCAATAATCCTAGGTAAGTAACAATTTGATAGACAGGTAAAATTTATCTTAAAGACTCTAGAGCGATTGCTAGAATAATTCATTCTATATATAATATATATTTTCTTTAAAAATTTGAATGATTTTAATTGCTGCTCTCTTTGAATGTTTCTGCCCTTTTATCATTTTTTCAACATTTGCATTGGATCATTTGAAAGGAATAGGGTAAGACTTTTGAGTTTCAGTATCTCTTAAAAGAATAATCTTTGCTAATTCGGCAGATACTTTGTAAGCATTTCTCTTAATTCATGCATTATAAAAATTCTTGGAAGGTCAGTTTAGCTCATCTGTTGAGTTTCCTAATACAAGAATGTTGCTGATTTTCTAAACAGATTAAAGACTCTCACAGGGTCAGTCAAGCACTTTGGAAGCATGGTACAGGATGGTGTAGCCACGTTCTCAACATGGGGTCAAGGGGACCAACAGTGTCTGCCTCACCAGAGAATTTGTTGGAAATACAAATTCTCTGCCCCCTCCCAAGCCTACTGAGTCAGAAACTCTGTGGGTAGACCCAGTAACGTGTGTTTGAACAAGCCCTCAGAGGATTCTTAAGCATATTCAAGTGGAGAACCACTTTTGTAAATTATATTTTTTGTGTCCTTTTATATTCTATAGATAATGCCCCTTTTTGGTCATAAATAAGCCAGGTTAGGTCCTAAAAGTATGGAAATCAATATTGTTCATTTAATCTTATTTTTTCTTTTTATTTTTGTGGACTTGTGTAGAGAAATATGATTTATTTTAAATGATGTATTTTTAAAAATACTTGAGAGATTACAAATTATGTATTTGTTTAATTATGCCTTGGTTTCTGACAGTGTATTCAGATGCCCACACAGCTAAGTTGACTGAGAATCAAGGGAGGGTGCTTTTCGACTTGAATTCTGGTTTGTTGGTTTGTTCTGATAGTTACTTGTAAACAAATGAGTAGAATATTTAGGTAGACTTCAATTTCACAGTAATATCAGTTAGTCTTGGAAGTTTGGATATACAAAGATTTTCTTTTATTTTTCTCTGTTCAACATAAATAAGCATTCAATGTAATTAAAAAATGTTTCATTGGTAATGCCTTGAGAAGATTTATTTCTGATGTCTCCCATATCTTCTGTTGTTCTCTTTTGTGCTTGGTAGGCCTTCAGTAAGTGTAGTCTGACACGCTTTGTGGCCTCTGCCTCCTGTGATAAAATAGATTGAAATGATTCCTGGCACCATCTGGTGAAGAGGAGCAGCCCTGGAGGACTGTGCTTTGAGAGAAAGTGACTGAATGCTAAGAAATGTGGAAGTCTAGGGACACAGGCAAAGGATTTTTTTTTTTTTTTAAAGAGCATGAACATTAATACATCTTCTTGAGGTTTGATGGGACATGTACTGCCTACTGCCCCATCTGGTGCTTATGATAGCATGGCATATTAGCATGCTGCAAGTTCATAATGTATTCAGGGGGAGGAAACATCCCTTGCATACCAATTGAGGCATCCTCTCTTTCAGAACTGCTTTTGAATTTCAATGATGTTTATATCTTCCAAGCCGCGTCTGAACTGAGCATTTCCGCTCTGAGGAATAACTTGAGAGAGAGAGAGAGAGAGTGAGAGAGAGAGAGAGAGAGAGTGTGTGTGTGTGTGTGAGAGAGAGAGTGTGTGTATGTGAGAGAGAGAGAGCATGTGCAAGAGAGAATGTATGTGTATGTATTCTCTCCATTAATTTATCTTCCTCTCTTTTTTGTGATGAAATTAAGTAGTTTTTAATATTATGTTGGTATATAATTTTTAAATTTTTTTTCTTATTTGAAACCATGTACTACTTTGTTATTTCACGTACGGCACTTAAAACATTTTGCCTTGTGGAATCATTTGTATGGTTGTCCTCCTATAGATTGAACACTTTTCGAGGGTTGGGCTGGTACCTAATTATGTTTGTGTCTCCATGGCACCTAGAGTTCAGTCATCCATTTAACAAATATTTATTTATTGAGCTCACACTATGGGTCTGACACTGTTATAGATGCTGAGGAATCAATAGTGAGCAAGACTGGTGAGTCCCTCCTCTCCAGGCATTTGTATTGGAACTGGGAGGAGACAGACAGTAAACAAAGAAACAGAAAAATGAAAAAGATGATTTCAGATAGGGATAAGTACAATAAAAAAAAAGGCTGGAGAGTGACTTACTAGGTGGGGAGCTCATTTAGATTAGATTGTCAAGGAAGACACCTTTAAATAGGTGAGATTTTTGCTGAGAGCTGAGTGATGGGAAGATTTAGTGACAGAGGAATAGCAACCGTAAAGCCTTGAGATGAAAACGATTGCCATTTTCAAAGGTCAGGGTAGCTTGAGCCAAGTTCAGGGGCCAGTCCATTGCTAGAAGTTGGGGATTTATTCTAAGCATGTCTGGAAGCCATCAGAGGGTTAAGCTAGGAAGTGACATGATCTAAATTGCCCCCTTTAAAAGGATAACTTGAGCTGTTGTGTGTCTTGCACTTAGTAGTCACTAACTAACCCTGGAAAGAATGAGATGAGCCTTTAAATCCATTGACGCACCATGTTTAATTGGAATTAGCATGAGTTTTAAGATCAGTAAAATGTCTGTTGGATTCTGGCCTGGCCATTTGCTTTATGTTTGATTTTGAGCAGTTATTTAACCAGTTATTTAGCGTATGTTTCTCATCCGTTGAAAGGGAAAATTAATACCTTAAGGCCATGGCATTATTGTGAAAATTAAATGAGATAATTTGTTAGGAGACCCAGCACAGTGCTCAGTTTTTAATAGGTACCTGATCTATCACTGACATAGGGATCATAATAAAACTTTTGGGATAGTTTCAAGGAACATTTAAACAGTTGGCAGTGTCCAGTTGGAAATCTGTTTCTGGTACTGTTATCTTCTTAATAAAACACTTCAAATATTACCATGATAGTAGCACTTAACATCTGTAGTTTGTTGCTCTTGATCTAGAATTATTTAAGAAAAAATACTCAAGGAATTATATGGCAAAATCTATGCCCAGTGAAACAACCTAGATTTTCCTCCCCCTGATTTCTTCTTCTTAACAAAAATGTATTTCAGTGAATTTGATTTCTTTTACGAATAACAGTCTATCATTTACTTTAAATATATTTTCTTTTTTTTTCCTCAAGACATGTTTAACATTGAAGAAGCCAAACTGCCTTATTAATTGGAATGAAAATTGTGGTTATATATATGAAGGTTACAATGCAGAATTTTAATTCATAAAATAGTAACCTTATTAGTTGCATAGTTATTAGACATAAGCCTTTCAAAGATAATTTTTTAAATATACCGTAATGGACAAAATAAGGAGTTTCTTAGTTTTTGCCTAAATTATGCACTTAATAGCAAGAACAGTCCTTCAACTATTTTCATAGTCTATGAGGTAATGTTTAGCTTCTCAAACTTTCTGTAGAAGGATTGTGGGATTATGAGTAGGAGCAGATAGTGTTGGGGATTGAATATCTAAATAGAGTTCGACTTATTGTGTTAGGCATAATTTTTTGAATATATAGGTTGGATAAGTTATTTGGTATTTGTTTTGGGGTAGAGGTTCTTCCCCTCCTCAGTTGGTAGATTGTTTTGTGTTTTGCCTACAGATATTCAGGAAAACAAATAATGCTTAAGGAATGTGGAGGAGGTAGTGTGGGTAATTCAGGCAAGTTTAGTCAGCACTTATGAGATTCTTGAAATGTTTTTTGATGTCCTGCAGAACTGTAGAGAGCTGTTAACATCTGCATGTTCTGTGAGAGAAGTCACATTTATGGCTGCTGTATTCTTGCTGGAATGTCAGAAAAAGAGGGAAAGCCACAGAAAAAGGCCACAGAAGATTGGGAGGTGGGCATCACAGTTCAGAATAAGGCATCTGACTTTACATCCTAAGATGTATCATTTTCTTTAGGTAAGCCCCAATTGAATTCTTAACACCATCTTAGAAGAGTGATAGGCTTGTGAGGTTTGAGGGTAATTCGAAAAAGATAGTTGCCTTGCTGAGAAACAGCCTTTGTGAAACTTTGTAGGCCATCACAGATATTGTCTGTCCACACCTTATATGTATTTTCATTCTCTTCTGCAGGATGCCGCAAATACAGAGACTTAGGTAGTATTTGTGTTCCACTAGAAAGAGAGGGAAAGAAAAACCAGCTGATCAGGTGAGATAGGTACATTTTGCTAATCTGTGCTAGGTGTGCTGGGCCACAGGCCTCCAGAAGAGACCTGCATGATACAGAGTCGCATGTGACGTAGCCACCATACCTCCTCATTTTAATTTGTTTGGCTTAGGCGCTATAATATTGCAAACTACACTGCTAGATTTCTCCTCTCTTGTCTCTTAAGGACAATGACCATTATCTTGTATAATACCCAATTTGTAATTATTTTCAATTTCAGTTACTTGGCCAATGTGGCCTTTATTTTGACCATTTCTCTCACATGTTTTTCAGATTCCAATAATAGAAAGAGCTCTTTGTCACCCTCACAAAACTTGCTTTCTTAGGATATTAAAGGATATACGAGATACAATGTACTTAAGTAAAATGACCATCATCTCACCCTCCAAAGACCAGGTTGAGTGTCAAATATATGGTTCTGTCTGTCTTTCTATCTTCTTACTTTTCCCCACCCCTCCCTTTCTTCCTCCCACAATAAACTTTAAAACAGATGTTGTACTATATATTTAAAAATTTTTTAAAAAGAGAGATGGGGTCTCACTGTGTTGTCCAGGCTGGTCTTGAACTCCTGGGCTCAAGCAGTCCTCCTGCCTTGGGTTCTCAAAGTGTTGAGATTACAGGTATGAGCCACCATACCCCGCCAGTTGTAATATTTTTAGGAATTAAAATCCGTAACAAGCTTTGGTCATTGTCAAATCACGTTGCATACACAGGGTTTAATAATGATCTGACACACTTTTTCCTTGATAAAATTGAAAGGAAATAGGGCCTATATGTTATTTACTGACACCTCATTTATATTTTGAGGAAACTAGAAGTCCTTAAACGTCTAAAACAAGTGTATTGAATGTTCATTTAAGCAGTCTATCAGTTGTAAATGTTTACATTTAAAGTTAATTGTTTATTGAAAATGGATCATTTGAATTAGTTCATTTGGTGAGCTAAACGTTTGACAACATTTTGATAACAGCAGATATTGAGCATACACAAGTTATACTTTTTATGTGGTCCTTCTTGATAAGCAGTGCAATGGAGTTGTAAAAAAATTATGTGAGAACTTTTCTTAAAGGACTACTCAGCTGCTCAAAGCTCAGATCCCTGACATGCATCCTTTCCATTGTAAACTTGTGCAGTTTACAAAGGTCTGTAGCAGATGTTGGAGGAAGTGGGTAGATAAGATTAAGTGGGTGTGGTGTCCTAAAATAACCTAAGAGGCAATTTTGGAGCAAATTGTTTGAGGTTAAGGACTCTTGTCTTTTCTTCCTTTGTATCTTTTTTTTTTTTTTAAATCCATAGTGCCTAGTACAGTGTTTTACACATAATATGGATGATGCATGTTTCATAAAAATACCCTGTAGCTCAGTTATGATAGGTCTGTAAGTCATATATTCATTTAATCAGTCATGCAGCAAGTATTTATTGAACTCTTAATACATGCTATACTTTTTTCTAGTTACTGGGATGAATCAGTGAATAAAACAGGCAACATTTTTTGCCCTCATAGAACTTACATTCTAGTGTATGTGAGGTGGGTGGGGTGTGGGAGTGAACAGGAGCAGACAATAAATGATAAACATAAAATATAAGTGAGTTCTGTGGTTTGTTGGATGGTGATAATTATGGAAAATCAGGATAAGGAGGGTCTGTAGGGCTGTTGGAGCAGGGGTCAGGTTACAGTTTAAATTTGGGTAATTGAAATGCACCTCTTTGAGAAGGGACTTTTGAGCAGAGATTTGAGGGAGATGAGGGAAGCGGCCATGTAGAGATATATGGGAGAAGCACCTTCCAGGCAGAGGGTAGAGTGTGGTGTGGATTGTTTGAGGAATGGGAAGAAAGACAACGTGGCCAGGTTAGACTGGTATGAGGATGAAAGAACACCTGGAGATGAGACCAGAGAGTAGCAGGGAGCGTGAGGGGCAGATAGCTCATGGAGGGTTCTTGAAGGCCATTGTCAGGACTTCCCTGTCCAATCCATTTAACATCCATCCCACATACCCGCTGCCCAGCGCTTGGTTGAGTATATTCTTATTCTTCCCTGCATAATGTCATAAAATCAGATGCTTAAACATCATATCATTCTGAAGACCTCACTGGGCCTCATGGTTACTCCCGTCATTTATTATTCCATGCCTCCAGATATTTACTGTCATCCAATCCAATTTGTGTTTTCTGTTTTATTTGTTGTTGTATGGCAGCTGCATTCTTTAACCTAAACACTGTTCTATGTAGTGCTAGTCAAGGCTGCATGTTAAGTCTTTCTTGGTTTTGACTGCTATGTTTTAGTGCTTTTAAACTCATTTTAGATATAAGATACCCAAAACAGGCATTTGCTGAAGGTAAACTAACAGTCAGGCTGCAGTAATATTAAAAATCTTGGCCAGGCACTGTGGCTCACACCTGTAGTTCCAGCACTTTGGGAGGCTGAGGCAGGCGGATTGCTTGAGCCTAGAAGTTTGAGACCAGCCTGGCCAAAATGGTGAAACCCTGTCTCTACTAAAAATAAAGAAATTGGTGGGACATGGTGGTACAGGCCTGTAGTGCCAGTTACTTGGGAGGCTGAGGTGGGAGGATCACTGGATCCTGGGAGATGGACGTTGCAGTAAGCTATGATTGTGCCACTGCGCTCTATGTAGCCTGGGTGACATAGTGAGATTTTGTCTTAAATTTTTTTTAATCTTTGTATTAATCATGTGTTCATACTAAGGGGCATTATTTGAGAGTCTTATTATAAACCGTGATCTAGAATCTGCTTCCACATTTCTCTTAGTAAGCAGCACACATACCGAAGACTTGTCTTGTCAGCTTTCCTCATTCCCCTGCAGTGAGTTAAGCTGGTACAAGTTACACTAGTATCCATGAACATATTAAAAGTCAAATGTGTGATACAAATCATTCTTTTCTTTCAAGGTGGTGACAGTCTGAAATGATACATGAGTCGGCAGGTAGGGGTGAAATATCTGTGTTCTTTAGGAGAGCACAGGCCATGGGGTAGGCTTCCTATGTAATACAGGCATGTTCAGTTTAAATTATTTGAGTAATTTCCTTGGACCCACTTAAATTTTCTGACCTCCATGAAGTTGCTGCACCGTCTAAAAGTACCTGAAAAAAATAAAATCTACTGAACTTAAGTGGCTATATAGGTATCCTCTCAAAGTATAACTTTTGAGTTTTAGTGGCTGCACAATAAACAGGATTCAATTCAATATAAAAATATTTGAGTACTGATTCTGGGAACGACTTTCTACTAAGCGTAGCAGGGGTTTTAAAGAGAGGAAGACACAGTCCTGGCACTTAAGGAACTTAAGTGTAGTAGGGGATATAGAAGGAGATTGAAGGATTGAGAGGCAGAAAAGTGGAGACTGATTAGGGAGAAATTACAAGAGGTAGCGCAGGTTCCAAATCAACATGAGAGGATTTTGAAAGCATTGAGTTGAAGTCCATGATTGAAATTCATTGAATGAGTGTCATTATTTGGGAGAAAAGGTGAGAGTGGAATCAAGGGTACTGTTTGAATTTTGAGCCTGCGTAATTGGCAGAGTGGTCTTGCCTCAGTGGAAATAAGAAAGCAGGAAGAACTCGTTTTGCAGAAAGAATAATCTCACTGATAGGTTGAATTGGAGACTCTTACAATAGTAGGATCCATCTTGCCTACAGTTGGGAATGTATCATGGTAGTTTGGGTGAGGAATTGAGTCCTGAGATATAAACTAAAGTGGAAAAAATTGTACATTTATGTGATGGATAGACAATTTTGAGAAAATGGAAAATACTAAATGGGTGTTATCCTTAATCTCATTATCGAAGCTTTGAAATTCCATTGCAATTATATTATGGTTTATTTTGGCGGTGCATAAATTCCCACTTGGTAATTAACTTTTATATCCTTCCTATTTGTGTTCTATACTTTTATTTTCCATATGGAAAATAAAATATATGTATAATATATATATCGATATCTTTTTTTTTTTTTTTGTAGAGCCAGTGTCTCACTATATTGCCCAGGCTGGTCTCGAACTCTTGGCTTCAAGCAATCCTCCCACCTTGGCCACCCAAAGTGCTAGGATTACAGGCTTAGGCCCCTGCACCTGGTCTATTTTATTACTTTCTGTTACTTGTGCATAGCTTCCTCATAGTGGAATTAATTGACTCCTGAGTATCCTTGCTTGAATCAACATGGTTTCCAGGTGGAGGGTAATATAGTGGTTAAGAAGTTGGACTTTGCAGTCAAACAAAACTAGGTATGATTTTCTCATCTTCCCTCCTTTTACTTGCTTTTTGTGCCTGAATTTTCTCACCTGATTCTCTTGAGGATTAAATGAAATAATGGAAAACCATACATGTTGGTCCTCAATAAGTGGTTGGTGAAAGGCAGTAGTGGTGATGAGAATGACAGTAATAATATTTATTCCAAAACTCATTAGGTTTATCCATGCTTCTGCATATTGCAGGCATGGAGATGTGAAGTAGAATAGAGTCCCGCAATGGAACATGAGTTTAGTGGTTGCTCAGCCCACCTCTTCATGGTGCTCTGTGCTCTTTTTGCCATCTCTTGGATAGACTGATTGAGACACAACAGACTTATACCCTCTTGGTCTTCTTCACTCATTTTTTACCATAGATGCACCTCCAAGTCTGGAATTGACTTTTTCACACCTACCTTTCTGTGAGAACTTGCAGAAGTCACATTGGTTTACTCATTCACAAAACATGAATACAGCCAACTGTCAGTTACAGCTTGTTTATTCAGAGTGACTAAATTTTGGCTTTTTCTTTCCTGCTGCCTGTCTTCTGCCCATATCGCTACTATTGAATTTTTGTGTAAGCGAGTGCATATTGGTTCATTTTAGCTACTTATCAAGGATTTTTAAGAGCAGGTAGCGAAGGTGCATTATTTACCATGGGCTTTTCTGAGTTTTGTTTTGTCTGTCTATCCATACATCTATGCTGTTCCCCTGACTCCTGTTATCATGGATAGTAAGATAAACCAAATAAGCACTATCTGATAAAGAATTTAGAAACTTTGGCATAAATTCAGCTTAAGGTTTTTTTTTTTTTTTTTTTGAGACGGAGTTTCACTCTTGTTGCCCAGGCTGGAGTGCAATGGCTTGATCTCAGCTCACTGCAACCTCTGCCTCCTGGGTTCAAGCGATTCTCCTGCCTCAGCCTCCCAGGTAGCTGGGATTACAGGTGCCTGTCAACATGCCCACCTAATTTTTTGTATTTTTAGTAGAGATGGGGTTTCACCATGTTAGCCAGGCTGGTCTCGAACTTCTGACCTCAGGTGATCCATCCGCCTCAGCCTACCAGAGTGCTGGGATTACAGGTGTGAGCCACCGCACCCGGCTAAGGTTTTTATGATTATAATTATTTTTTAAATTGTGATTTTAATACTGTCACTCCAAAATTCCAAGGAAATTACAGCTGAAAATTTTATGTATACCATCTTTAGTGTAACACTCTGTATGTTTGTTACTATAAAAGATATAAAATAATCATACTTTTTATTATTTCATTTATTTTAAAATTTTATGTAAATTTATATTAAATTTTATGAAATGATAATGTATAATGACTTTTAATAAAGTTTTCTCTACTTTTGTGATAGTTTGCTAGAACTAGTTAGTTTTTTTTTCCTTCCTTAGTATATATACTTTTTTGGTTGTTAAGACTGGGACTCAGAGAGGAAAAGAACTCTGTTTCATTTTTGGTAAGGGATTTCACAAACTTAATTTGGGGACACTTGAGGATATCTCATCTAATCTTGGAAAATGGATGTCAGTTTTCTTAAAATAATTTTTAAATTGAATAAAATTAACTTTTTGTGGAAACTTTATTTTTTTGGAGGGGGCAGAATGCTATATAGTCACTAGCAAAGAGGTCTGAGAAATATGTATAGATTGAAATTCTTCCTTAGAACACCTCTTTCTCCACATTCACCCATTAACTTTATAACCAATAAGACATATGCCTTCATGTGAGAGAAATGAGAAATAGGAGAGACTGAGGTCCAGGTGAATTGTCTGGATATGAACAAATTAGGGACACAGGAGAAAGGTGTGAGAAAGCTCACATGCTTGAATAAAAATGTGGTTGTTTTTTCAAGTCTTTTTTGGGTAACTGACATGCTTGAATCCAAACACAGCTCAGGGCACTAAAATAATGAAATGGCACATAGTCTTCCCAAGGAAAAGCTGTGTTTATTTAAACAGTGGATGCTTATCTTTTCCTTTGTGTGTGCGTGTATCATTTCTGTTCAGATTCTCAGATTACAGTAATAGCTGCCATTTATTAGTGCTTTATTATGTTCCAGCTGTTGCATAAATTTTTCACATCCATATTCTCTCATTTAATCTTTAGAAATCACTTACAGAGGCAGTTGCCAGGACCACCCTTACTTTAAGGTGAGGGAAAGCAGATCAAGTGGGTGGGCATGGTGCCCCATGCCTGTAATTCCAGCACTTCGGGAAGCCAAGGACAAAGGATCACTTGAGGCCCTTCGAAACCAGCCTGGCCAACATAACAAGACACCATCTCTACAAAAGAAAAATTAAAAAATTAGCTGGGCATGGTGGCATACGCCTGTAGTCCTAGCCAGTCGGTCAGAAGGCCGAGGTGGGAGGATCACTTGAGTCCAGGCATTAGAGGCTACAGTGAGCCATGATGACACCATTGCAATCCAGCCTGGGCAACAGTGAGAACCTGTCTCAAACAAAGAAAAAAGAAATCCAGTAATTTGCCCAGTTTAAGAAGTTGGTCTGGGATTCCATTTAAAGTTTAGTGATCTCAAACTCATGCTCTTAACAACCTATCTGGACTGTTTCTGCGTATCATCATGATATCATAGGCAGCAGGCACTTTACCTTCAAATAATAAAACCAGAGAATGTTTACATATGAAAGAGATAAAGAACCACCCCTTCAGGCCAGGCACAGATCACACCTGTAATCCCAGCACTTCGGGAGGCTGAGGCAGGTGGACCTCTTGAGGTCAGGAGCTGGAGACCAGCCTGGCCAAGGTGGCGAAGCCCTGTCTTTACTAAAAATACAAAAAAAAATTAGCTGTGTATGGTGGTGGTTGCCTGTAATCCCAGCTATTCAGGAGGCTGAGGCATGGGAATTGCTTGAATCTGGGAGGCAGAGGTTGCAGTAAGCCGAGATCTCACCACTGCATTCCAGCCTGGACAACAGAGAGAGACTATCTCAATTAAAAAAAAAAAAAAACCCACCCCTTCATTTTTTAGCTTAAAAAAATAAAATAAATAAGCCCAAAGGTTTTTGTTTTGTTTTGTTTTGTTATTTGGGACAGAGTAGTGCTCTGTCACCCAGGCTGGAGTGCAGTTGCGTGATCTCGGCTTACTACAACCTCTGCTGCCTGGGTTCAAGTGATTCTTCTGCCTCAGTCTCCCGAGTAGCTGGGGTTACAGGCGCATGCCACCACGCCCAGCTAATTTTTTGCATTTTTAGTAGGGATGGGGTTTCACCACTTTGGCCAGGCTGATCTTGAACTCCTGGCCTCAAGTGATCTGCCCACCTCAGCCTCCCAAATTGTTGGGATTACAGGCGTGAGCCACAGTGCCCAGCCATACCCAAAGTTTTAAACAGTTTTTCATTCAGCCAGCCAATCAACCATCAAATATTTACTGAGTATCTACTATGTGCCAAGTAGCAAGTAAGCCAAACAAAGCCCCGGCCTTTGTGAAATCCTGCTGGCCTTTAGTCATGTATTTGATGGTGGGTTATTGGTGGGAGGTGTTAGTCGAATAGTATAGTAGTTAAACCCGGAGCATGGGCCGTGAAATCATGCATGCCCCTTGGCTTTGCATGCTGTTCATTTGCTGTGGGACAATGGACAAATTATTTATTCTTTTTAAAGCTCAGTTTTTTCACCTGAAAATGGTAATATGAATAAGATCTATTGCATTGTCTTATAGTGAAAATTAAATGAGTTAACTCATGTAAAGCACTTAGCAAGATAACTGGCACTTGGTAAATGCTCGGTGAGTATTAACTGCTATTAAGATAATTAGAAATAGCCTGGGTGCAGTGGCTAATGCTTGTAATCCCAGCACTTTGGGAGGCTGAAGTGGGAGGATTGTTTGAACCCAGGAATTTGAGACTAGCCTGGGCAACAGAGTAAGACCTCGTATTTGAAAAAAAAATTTATATTATTTTATTTTTTTTGATCATATCTCACTGCAGCTTTTAACACCTGGGCACAAGTGATCCTCCTGCCCCAGCCTCTTAAATAGCTGTGACTGTAGGCACATGCCATTACACAGGCTAAAAAAAATTACATTATAAATATTTCTAGCAGTAATTGTATTTCACCCTGACGAGGAAGGCATGTACAAAGATTTTTACAATAAGATGTGAGTTGTATGATGGGGAAGAAATGGAGGGCTTTGAAAGCACAGTAGAGCCAGACCTAACTCCCAGTTGGTTCAGGGAAGGTTCTGGTGCAGCAACACTGTTTTCCTTTTCACCTTTTTTGTTTTTTTAAAACTTGATAACTTATTTGATGCCCTAAATCCTGGTGTTCTTTGACTTAACAGCAGTTTGCCACAGTGTATTTATTCAGAATTAGCTGTGTGCTAAGCATTGTGCAGAATGCTGGGGATGGAATAATCAATAGGATGTAGACTCGGCCTTTTAAGGAACATGTGTGTCCGTGTGTATGTGTATATAGTATACACACGGGACACACACCTGCAAATATAATAGTTGTAATAAGTGATGCTAAGTTTGCTAATAAATGTATGTAAAATAGAGCCCAAAGAAGGTAATGATCAACTCTTTGCTCTGAATATGGGGCAGGGGTAATTTGGGAAGCCTTCATGGGAGAGGTGGCACTTGTTCTGTGTCTTGAAAGATCATAAGCTTGTTGTAGTCAAGGTACATTTCAAAATCAGGGAAGACCATGACCTGGTATGAATTGCCAGGGCTGGAGCATATGCTGTGAGAAAGTAACAGAGGGAAATGTCAAGTCTTATAAGTAGAAGTGGTAGAAAGGGAAGCCACTGGATGCTTTTAAGCAGAGGAGTCACATTGCTGGGTTTGAACGTTAACATCACTCTAGGAGTGAAGGGAAGGGTAGATTGAAGAAGATGAGATTTGTAGTACGCTAGGTGAGAGAACATGAGGACCTGATGGGCCACAGTGTCAATGAGCAAGAAGGGAAGGGAGGAAGGTACAGGCTCTAGAAGTACCAAATAAACAGAACTGAGGGGCTCCAATGATCAGTTGGTATGGAGCCAGGTATGGTGAGCAGTGGTGTCTAGAGTGACTCTGGATTCTGATATGAGCAATTGGTTGCCATCAACCAGAATGGGGAATAATACATCGAGAGAAGACAGTGAGTTCACTTTGAAATGTTAACTTTCAGTTTTATTTGGTGTATTAGTGCAGAGATACTCAATGGCAAGGTGGATCACAGGTTTGTGAGGTACAGATGTATACAGTGAAAAATCATCATTTGGAGTCACTGGCGATAGCTAAAACCTTTTGAGTTGCTCATTCAGGAAGAAAACAAGTGGTATAAAGAGAGGAAAGGCTTGAAAAGAATATGGGAATACCAGGGCACCAGAAAAGATGAAGAGAGGAGAAGGAACTGTTATGGAGGTTTTGAGAGAGTCAGGTATTGTTAAAACAACAAAGAGTTTCACAAAGGGAGTGGTGTACGGGGTGAAGCACTACAAAGGGACCAGGAACAGAAGAGGGGTCAAGATAGCCTTTTGGGCCAGGCGTGGTGGCTCATGCCTATGATCCCAGCACTTGGGGAGACCAAGGCGGTTGGATCACTTGAGCTCAGGAGTTCGAGACCAGCCTGGGCAACATAGTGAAACCTCATCACTGCCCTTCAGCCTAAGTGAGACTCTGTCTCAAAAAAAAAAAAAAAACAACAACAAAAATTGCCTTTTGGATTTGGCCACCTGGAAGGAAAGTAGCAGGTAACTTTGTCCTTTTGTTGGAACTTTTTTGTGGTGGATTGCAAAGTGGATGGAGCCCCTGAGGTCTGCCCTTAAGAAGCCAGGCAGTGGGAGAATGGAGGATGTGCCAGTATAGTCTACAATAAAGGGGAGGGGTGTTAATTTTTCTGGATGAGAGAGACTCCAGCAAGCCTAGGTTTTGAGAAGGAGTGGTTAGGGCCAAACAAGTTGAAGATAAGAGAGAGAGTAATTTCTGGGAGAGTGAAGCCCCTAGAGGCAGAAGGGTGCCTCTTCTGAGCCTAGAGGCATAGGTGCAGATACAGAGGAGTTTCGAGGGCAGAGTTTGCAGAGATGTAGGACCCATGACCTTACTTTGCTATATTAAGTAGACTATGAGGTTATCTGCAGAGGAGAGTAGCAGAGTTTGGCTGGAGAATTGAGATGAGTCAGTGTCTTTGAGATGAATGCAACCTGGTTTTTTTACTGGATGACTTTCTTGCCTCACCTTGTCCGGGGCTGTACCATGTTGGATATGCTTGGGCTCATTTAATCTCGAAAGCCTTCGTTCTTCATTTCCTGTGTCCTGTTTGGCTTTTCCTCTTTGCTTTATCCCACCTCACATCTAACCTTGACCACAGCATGAACTCGTAACTATTCACCCTCCCTTTGTGTTTCTGTTTTTTAATGACATCTCCTTGTTTCTTTTCTTACTGGGTTTATAACCAATTCACTCTCCATTGTCCTTTTAAAAGTTAGAATCCTGCCTTCAGGATTTTTTATGCTTTTTTATACAGTTTTTTTTAATACTTCTATGCCAGACACTGTACTAGGACTGGGATATAACAGTGCTCTGGGAGAGAGATTAAACTCCAATTAAAAGGATATAAAAGAATTTTGATTAGCTGGGTGTGGTGGCACATGCCTATAGTCCCATCTACCCGGGAGGCTGAGGTGGGAGGTTGAGGTTGAGGGTGCAGTGAGCCGAAATTGTGCCATGGCTCTCTAGCCTGTACAACAGAGTGAGACCCTGTCTCACAGAATACATAAATAAATAAATAAATAAATAAAGAAGAATTTTGAGTTGTGTAAGTATTGGGAAGGAAACAAAGGGGTGAAAATTCTCCATGAGATAGGATGGTCAGGAGAGGATTGATTCCATGAGAAGGTGACATTGATGTTGAAAGATAAAGGTGAAAATGAGCTAACCATTTGCAGAAGGGAGAAGGGAAATAGTAAGTCTTAAAAAATATTTATTGTTTTCATAAATAGACATTCCATAAGTATTGGATTAACTGCCTGGAGCTGTTTGTGGTACTCTTGGGTCTTCCCTACTGGTCTTTCCTTGGTTCCTGAAAGCTCCATAGAAGACCTGTAACAGATTATACTCCTCTGCTTTTAAAGCAGAGGATTTTTTTTACTTTTTAAATTTATTTTTTTTGAGATGGATTCCCTCTGTCACCCAGGCTGGAGTGCAGTGGTGTGATTATGGCTCACTGCAGCCTTGACCTCCCGGTCTCAAGCAGTCCTCCCACATTAGCCACCTGAGTAGCTGGGACTACAGATGCATGCCACCATGCCTGGCTCATTTTTGCATTTTTCTGTAGAGACAGGGTTTCGCCATGTTGGCCAGGCTGGTCTTGAACTCCTGGCCTCAAGTGATCTGCCTGCCTCAGCCTCCCAAAGTGCTGGGATTACAGGCATGAGTCACCGCACCTGATGAGAAGGACTTGTTTATGTATTTTTAAAAAAATATTGACTGGAAATGCAGCTGTTACTGAATACCTACTATGTATTTATGGGCAGAGGGAAGAACAAGGCACCTGAACATTTCTTTCACTTAGTTGGATGATGTTTCTGCCCTCCCTCCTTCTCAACATCAGCATCTGTGGCTTCTCAAGGCATTGGTCATCCACAGGACACGGGGTTATAAATTTACACATTGATGAGAAAGTTTATTTCAGAATTTCTCAGGTAATTCTGATTCAGTAGCCCATTCTCCCAACCCAGTTGAAAATCATCAATTTTTATTTCATGAGGCGATGAGGGTGTAGGTATGTATATGAAGTTGCCATCATTAGCCCATCACCATTATATGAATTAGTTGAAATGACTATTGGAACTTCAGTCCCAGAAGTAGACATTTGGGACAAATCTGAAGCTCAGGACATTGAGCCTAGATGGGTGTCACTATTTAGTATCTTTAGCTAGGGAACAATATAAGAGTTCCAGATTTCTTGGAGATCGGAGTTAGAGGGAGGTACTGAAAGGAAGCTAAGCAAAGGAGAACAAGGAAACACTGAAGGTTAACTGTGCTGACCTCATAATTTTGTCTAGAGTCAGCTCAAATAAGTTGACATAACCACATTTTCCAGGGCAAAATCTAGTGTTTTCTTGAAGCCCAAACTTGTACAAGTAAGTTATTGTTCTTTAGAAAAAAGGAGATAAAGAGTAGAATTTGTGTAATGGTTTATTAGGCTTCAGAAACCTTCCGGAGGCATCCTGGCAAGTTCTCCTGAAAAGGAAAGGTATTCAAAGGTGCTGTGTTGATCCCTCAAAACAGAAGTTCCCAACAGTTTTTCTTGCTGTCACTCAAGGAATGTTGACATTGACGATCACAGTGGTCTTCTGTGATAGTGTTGATCACATTCCAAAAATTCTATCCCTTTGCCTTTTAGGGAAGTACTAGTGATATTATCATAGGAATGGTTTTGGATATATCCTAACTTGAGTTATTGTTAGTAACAAGTTAATAACACAATGAACTTAGAAAATTGAGAACACTTTCCTGTATATTTAGACATTTATTGCTTTCATAATTAATTTATCTGACAAATAATATCAAGAAGGTTGTGTTTCTGAAAACAACCTTATAGATCTTTAGCAAGCAACATTTTTCATTTATATGTGGAATGCTCTTTGCAGTTGTCCATCAATGTTTGGTTTGATTCTCGCCATTATAATTCTTCATAAGCTCAGAGAAGACATCTCTAGTGCTATATGAAATATAAATGATTCCTAGTAAGTGGATGGGAATTTAGACTGTCATCTTAATTTAATAACATATATACCCATATTTACAGTATAAATAGAAATGAGGCTACATTAAGAACTTACTAACATTAAATTTATGTATGTGTTCACTTGAGACACTTCCCTGGAACTTAAGGTGGTGTCTGAATTGTAAAAATGTGTCATTCAAATTGTAACTAGCCAGAATTTTATGGTTCTAGGTTCCCCAATGGTTTTCCTGGTATTAAAAGGTATGCTTGCTTTTACATTGTCTGGAAATATGGAAGGTGAAAGTAGACTTACTTAGATGCTTTTGAATATATATATATATATATGCAGATATTTCCTGCTAAGGCAATCTTGATTTTCTGTCCTTAGGGAATATTTATTAGCAATTAATTATTTAGGGTAACTTCTCTGAATTACTTTATTAAGTAAGGTCATGGGTTTCCATGAAAAGTTGTATTATGCAAAGTATTCACTGATGTAGAAACTCTATTAAGAAATGATAAATATGAAATTGAAACAACCGTATAAAATATATGGAGTTGATCTCCCTTTATATTGACCATATTAAGCCAAGAGAAAATCGCCTTTAAAATTTTTTTTTATGTATTTAGAGTGTACAAGTGCAGATGCATTTCTTACATGCATATATTGTGTGGTGGTAAAGCCGAGGCTTTTAGTGTACCAAATGTGATCATTATACCTAAAAGGTAATTTTTCAACTCTCACCTCCCTCCCACCCTCCCACTTTTTGGAGTCTCCAGTGGGATACCTATTATCCCACTCTTATTTTTTTTTTTTTTTGAAATGGAATTTCACTCTTATCGCTCAGACGGGAGGGCAATGGCGCGATATTGGCTCACTGCAACCTCTGCTTCCCGGGTTCAAGCGATTCTCCTGCCTCAGCCTCCCAAGTAGCTGGGATTACAGGTGCCCGCCATCACACCCAGCTAATTTTTATACTTTTAGTAGAGACGGCGTTTCACCACGTTGGCCAGGCTGGTCTCGAACTCCTGACCTCAGGTGATCCGCCCTCCTTGGCCTCCCAAAGTGCTGGGATTACAGGGCATGAGCCACTGTACCAGCCTATCCCATTCGTTACATGTGTACCCATTATTTAGCTCCTACTTATAAATGAGAACATGCAGTATTTGACTTTCTGTTTCTAAGGTATTTCACTTAGGATAATAGCCTCCAGTTCCATCCGGGTTGCTGCAAAATACATGATTTGATTGTTTTTAATGGCTGGGTGGTATTCCATGGTGTGTGTGTGTGTGTGTGTGTGTGTGTGTGTGTGTGTGTATATATGTATATATATATGTGTATATATATGTATATGTGTGTATATATATGTGTATATATATGTATACGTGTGTATATATATGTGTATATATATGTATACATGTATACACACACACACACACACACATATATATATGCCATTTTCTTTAGTCGTCTGTTGATGGATACTTAGTTTGATTCCTTGTGTTGCTGTTGTGAATAGTGCTGCAATAAACTAGGAGTGCAGGTATCTTTTTGATATAAGAAGGAAATCTCCGTTAAATGCATATCTTTCGTTCTCAATTAATGCATCAATATAATTATATGTAAAGAATTTGCTAATATAAGTCACAGGCTGTTCAAATTTGTCTTTGGGAGCCCTTCCAGAGGCCTCAACTTTTAGTGAAACTGCTTTATGGGGTGGGTTCCATTTTGTCACATGGCACTTACTAAATGCTTTCTGAAGAATCTGATCATTTTTTGGGGGATTGTATTCTTATGGTGCTCTAGTGTACTTTTGGATTTTTCCCCAAGGTGATCTCTAGTCTTTTCCTCTCAGTCAGCTAGTGTTTGTGGACCTTTTTCTTACTAAAATAATATTCATTCTTTTATTCAGTGAACATTGATGCTAGGCACTGTTATATGAATGGGATACAAAGGTGAATAAGGCACTTTTTCTACTCGTGTGTGTTCACGGGCTTTCTTGTGCTCCAACCGCTATAGATAACTCCGCCTCTTTAACCCCTTCTCTTCCCTTTTGGTTGTCTTGAATCCTGCTTTTTACCCCTTCACTCCAAAGCTGAATAGCCTTGGTAGAGTTCCAAATTTAAAAAAAAAATTTTTTTTTTTTGAGACAGAGTCTCGCTCTATTGCCCAGGCTGGAGTGCGGTGGTGCAGTCTCAGCTCACTGCAACCTCCACCTCCCAGGTTCAAACAATTCTTCTGCCTCAGCCTCCTAGTAGCTGGGACTACAGGAGCATGCCACCACACCCGGCTAATTTTTGTATTTTTAGTGGAGACGGGGTTTCACCATATTGGCCAGGCTGGTCTTGAACTCCTAACCTCATGATCCGCCCGCTTCAGCCTCCCAAAGTTCTCGGATTATAGGCGTGAGCCACCGCACCCAGCCAAAAAATTTTAATTTTTGTATTTAGCTGGGCATGGTGGTTCACATCTGTAGTCCCAGCTACTTGGGAGGCTGAGACAGGGTTTTGCCATGTTGGCCAGGCTGGTCTTGAACTCCTGGGCTCAAGTGATCAGCCCGCCTCACCGTCCGAAAGTGCCGAGATTACAGGCATGAGCCACTGTGCCTGGCCTGACAATATATTTGAAAGTTCTGCCCCATTCTGAATCACGAACTTAAGAAATAGCTACTCAGTATTCTAATAGAGATCATTATTATACGTACCCTTCTAGTCTTTTTACAAACACATACACATCCATCTAATTGTCTTAAAATAGTTTTCTTAAAAAACAGGATCTTGTAAAACATACTGCTTTGTAACTTCCCCCCATGTGGTAGTAGTATATTTTAAAGATCTTTCCAAGTAAATATACACAACATTGTATTCCACTGTGGATGTATTAGAATTTGAATTGCCAAATGCCTATTGTTGAATAGTTAGGCTGTTTCCAGTTTCCTCATTATGAATTTCTTTGTATACTTGATATTATTTATGTGGAATAATTTCCAAAGAGTGGAATTTGTGTATTAAAGGATATGTATAATTTAGAGGCAATTGATGATATGTATTGCCTAATTGTCCTACAGGAAAATTATTATTTTAGAAAAGTATATTAATTGAAGTGCCAATTTATACTCTAATACCATATTATAATTAAAAAACTATCATTTTGTTGGATGAAAAAAAGATCTTGTTTTAATTTAAAAAAATACTAGAGAGGTTAAACTTTCCCTTATAGGGTTATGGGTCATTAATATTTATTTTGTACATTTTCTATTTGTGTTCTTTTACAATTTTTGTTCTGTTGGGCTGTTGAACTTTTAATTATTGACTTGATGGAGCTATTTCATTTTTTAGAGACAGGGCCTCACTCTGTCACCCAGGCTGGAGGCAGTGGCGTGATCATAGCTCACTGGAGCCTTGAACTCCTGGGCCCAAGTGATCTTCCTTCCTAGCTGTGCAGAGCACTGGGTTTACAGAATTGAGCCACTGCATCTGGCCTGATGGAACTATTTCTATATTAAGGCTATCAATCCATTGTTGCCCGTATACCAATCATATTTTCTTCATTTGTTACTTGCCTTTTTACTTTCCTTTTACTTTATTTATGGTACATTTTGCTGTACTCATGTTTATTAGTAAGTGCCATTATTGGTCTTGGCTCATCATGGTTATTGTCTCTTTTCTCATTCTATGATTAAATAAATATGCACTTACATATTTAATTTTTTACTGCAGTTTTTATTCATACAGAATGAGTGAATTTGAATATATGGCATGAGACGGGTTTATTTTTATGAATTGTTGTCTGTCTAGTAGTTGCTTGGGAATTACTGAATTATTGAATTACTTTGTCTTTTTCTCACTACTATGAGAAATTATTGTATACTAAATTCTTAAAGGTATATCCATTTCTGAACTTAGTATTTTTTCTATTTTTTTTTTATTCTGCTGTGTTGGCCATCTATTCATGTACTAGCAGCACACTGTTGAAATCATTATAGTTTTGTCATGCTTTTTTTTTTTTTTTTTTTTTTTTTGAGACAGGATTCTCGCTCTGCCGCCCAGGCTGGAGTGCAGTGGTGCAATCTTGGCTCACTGCAACTTCTGCCTCCCAGGTTCAAAAAATTCTCGTGCCTCAGCCTCCCAGGTAGCTGGGATTACAGGTGTGAGTCCCGTGCCTGGCTAATTATTTTGTATTTTTAGTAGAGATGGGGTTTCACCAGGTTGGCCAGGCTGTTCTCGAACTCCCGGGCTCAAGTGACCCGCCCGCCTCAGCCTCCCAAAGTGCTGGGATTACAGGAGTGAGCCATGTCTTGCTTTAAATAAACGCCCGGCCTTGTCATGCTTTAAATAAACTTTAGGCTGCTGGGCACTGGTTTATGCCTATAATCCCAACATTTTGGAAGGCCGAGGCAGGAGGATTGCTCGAGGCCAGGAGTTTGAGAGCAGCCTGGGCAACGTAGTGAAACTAAACCTCTACAAAAAAAAATTTAAATTAGTCTGGTATGGTGATATGCACCTGTAGTCCCAGCTACTCCAGAGGCTAAAGGAGGATCGCTAGAGCCCATGAGGTCAAGGCTGCAGTGAGCTATGTTCACACCACTGTATTCCCGCCCAAGCAATAGAGCAAGACCCTGTCTCAAATAAACAAACACACATGCTTACATACATACATACATTAGGCTAAATCTTGTCACACTTTATTTTCAAAGTGTTTCCTGGTTATTTTCATTTTTATTTCAGATTAACTTTTAAAACATTTGTAAAATTCTAGAAAAAAATCTACTGGTATTTTGTTTGTAATGATTTGAGTACACACACAATAGGGGTTGAATGGACACCCGACTATGTTAACTTTTTTAGATGGTTTAGTACAAAAAACTAAGGGCCTACTATGTGCAAGATGCTTATGTTTAGACACCGGAGATACAGCATTGAAAAGATAAGGCATCCTGGATCGCAAAGGTTATTTAGAAGTGGAATTGACAGAATATTGGGATGGACTGTAGCCAGAGGAAGTCTTAGGATGATTGTGGTATTTTGGCTTGGTTAGCTCAGTGGAAAATAATGCTATGCCCAGAGATTGAAATATAGGAGGAGGCACACATTTCCAAAGGACTATGTTAGGTTTGGTTCCACATATAACTATCAATGGGATATCCAGCTAGAGTTGTTAAGAAAGCAGTGAGACCTCTTGGTCTGGCCCTCAGGAAAGTATCCTTCCTTGGAGATATGGACACCTGGCAGAATTTGTTGCATGAGATGTGAAGGCCTGTGTCAGACGCCAGACAGGTTGAAGCCAGTTCAGAAGATGAGGAGATGAGGAAGGGCCAGGGTCCAAGAGAATTCCATTGCACTCCTAGAGATAGCTAGGAGAAGGATGCCACTGCAGAAGAAGAATGAGAAGTGGCTAAACAGATCAAAGGGCACCCAGAGGACAGGTAAGATAAAGACTGAAAGGTATGTTTTGGGTTAACCACAAAAGAGTTGGTCTTTTCACCGGGGTGGTTTAGGTGGAACAGTAGTGATAGAAGCCCCATTGCAGTGGGAATGAGGTTGAAATATGAGAAAGTGATTTCATTATTATCGTCAGTTGTTATTTTATTCTTTCTATTACTGAAGAAACTTCGGAACCCCTTCTAAAGAGAATAAGGAGTCCAATTGTTTTGCTCTACCTGTACCTTCAAATCTATATTTTTAAATAGGAAATTTCTTATATATCCACTGTTTACTCATACTAAGTACTTGGCAATGTGATACGTTCTGGGACTGAGTTGATATGATAAGAATTGATATGTCCCCATTTCCTTATGGGACACTACTCTCTGGCAGGAGGTGTTAGACAAATAATTATACAATTATATACAACAGTTGTGGTAAGCTCTACAAAAACAGATTAGGTAGTACGATATTGCTTATAATACAGTGGGTAGGATAGGGGAGAGGTCAAGGACGCCTTCCTTGAGTAAGTGAATTTGAGCTGAGATGGATTTTCTAGGGAGAGGGAAAGGCCCTGAGGTGAGATGAAGTTTGCAGCTGATTAAACCAATGAGGCATGAGATGAGATAAGAGAGGCCCATATTAAATCTATCTAGGTTGTTGGTCATTTGAAGGTTTGGATTTTATACTAAGAGTTATGGTAAACCATTGAAACACTTTAAATAGGGGAATGACTTGATCGGATCATTAGAATGTAAAGTTCTTGAGTGTAGTGATTTTTAAGAATTTTTGTTCACTGACCTGTCCATAGTGTTTAACAGTACCTAGCACATTTTATATAGCTCAGTAAATATTTTTGAATGAATGCTTTTTTTAAAAAAAATGAGTGAAACATTTGGTTTTACAAGAAGTTTTCATCTGTTGTTTCATGTAAACAGATTGCAGTGTGGTGTGAGAGGTTGTAAAGTCCAAGTGGAAGATAGTGGTGGCTTGTATGCTAGTGGTGGCAGTGGAAATGGAGAGGCACATGGAGGAGGCAGAATAATTTGATAGTGGCAAGTGTGGGAGACGAAGCTACTTGGGATATTTTATACACGAACAGCACAGTACCATTGATGAAGTTGAACTTATCCTGTCCTTTTTCCAAATACTTCTTCCAGCTGGGTTTTGGCATTGGTTTTTAACATCACCATGCACCTCTCGGTTCCTACTTATTCGAGGGCATCTTACTGAGCTGTGTTAACTTGAGCAATACTTCTGAAATATCTCCTGAATTTTCCCCTTTTCTCCAGTCTTACAGCCATTTCCATACTGAATGCCTGTGTTCTATCTTGCCTAGACTATTGCTATCCAGTACTCCTGCCCTGTTGCCACTTTTATCCTATTCATACTGTGCTCTCAGATACACTATAGAAATGAACATCTCATTTGGCTGCCTAAAATCTCAGTGCCTTTTCATTGCCTATAATGTAAAGACTAAACTAACAGTACTTTTTTTCCCCCTAGAGTACATTCAATTAAAATCAAGAAATGTTCATTTAAACTCCTGCTGTTTGCTTGTCTACGATTTAGCCACAGGTACATACCCTGGGCACCTTCCTGATTGTCTCTCTTGATTTGCTAATTACTATCTGGATGATCATAACTGACTCTACTGAGTGTCTGTGCTACCGTTTTTCTGCAGCAGCTCTCTGAACCTTCTCTATAACCTTCTTTATCCTTGTCAAATAAGACAAATGTTATTAGAGTAATAATTGTCAGTTCTTTAGATGATAAAAGGTTTGGATCACTAATGACTTGTTTTTGTTTTTTGTTTGTTTTTTTTTACTTTCCAGAATGAACTACAGTTTGACAACAAAATGTTAACATACATGCTTATGTTCAGTTTTGGGGCCCTTGTGATAACATGCATCTTTCTCTTCTCTTTGGACAAGGAGGAGTGACTTCTGTTATTTGGGCAACTTAGTTTTCCTTCCTAAGTATTGTTAACCTTAAGTAGACATTTGCTATTTGCCTGTGCCAGGGGCTTTAAACTTTTCTTTGTTAAACAAGGACCCTTATTTTTAAATGAGATCTTAAATAGAACACCAGGGTGTAAGTCAGATTAACCTGGAACTAGCCTATTTGAAGTGTATTGACTTCACCTATTTGAAGCTATTTGAAGTGAAGTCGTTAGATCCCAGGCTGCCACTTAATATCCATTTGGTACCTTAGGTACCTCCAAGAAGTGGTGATTAGAATAAGAAGCAAGAGTCACTGGAATAAAGGTGGTAACAGCTGTGGGAGGGATGACATTTCTGAAGGACTTAGACATACAAGTAATGCCTGGCATCCACCAGTATTCCAATGACAGCAGATCTTTCCTTACTTCATGAAATGAGTATTATTTTTCTGTCCAGAACCACCATTTGCTCTATTGAACTGTCTTAAGGATTTGTTTCAAACAGCTAAGTTATTTGATTAAAATAGTGATAAAATTGAAAAAAAAAAAAAAAGAATTACTAATATGTCTCTAGCTGTTTTGGCAGAAACTAACCTTTCTTCCTTCCTTTCATCCATCCCTCCCTCCCCTCCTCCCTCCCTTCTTTCCCTCCTTCCTTCCCACCCCCCCCCCCATTTATTCCATCCGTCTGTCCATCTGTCCGTCCATCCAATGCCTACTATTTCAGGCACTTTTCTAAATGCTACAGAGCTAACAAAACAGAGAAAAATCTCTGTTCACGAAGCTGACATTATGGATGGGGACACATTCAAAAATAAGATAAATGTGCCATGCATAGCTAGCCGGATAAGTGCTATAGAGGAAGGGAAGGGGAATTCCTGTTGTCCCTGTATGGAGATGAGCCAAACATTTTTTTGAAATTAGTTTTCCAAAAATAGTAATCGATTGCCATAGATTTATCTCATTCTCTTACCTGGTTTCCCTCTTAATCCAAGTTCACTCCCATTAAAGACCATAGGGATGTGCTGCAGTCATCTCTGATTCTGGGCCAGCTGCTGACTGGCTCATCCCAGGACTGTGAGCCTGTGGCCTTGTCCTCACTGGCATGGTCACCTTGATGTTTACTGATCACCTGAACTGAGAATGTCTTGTGCCGGCACTTCTTCAGAGCTCATAGCTTACATATCTTTGGGCTTCAGACTTGTTTTTCCTATCTCATCATCATCAAATGTAGAAACCCAGCATATAAAGCAACTGAAAGGTCTGAATGGCAGCGGAAGATGTTTAGGATGAGGCTCCAGACAATCCTCCTGCTCCCCATCCCTTTGGGCTGCCTTGTCACCTCCATGGACTTCTGCCACAGAGCTGTTATTTCTAGGGTAACATTTCAGAGTCATTGTTCTAGGATGCCATTGTCCTTTTCTGATGACAGAAGTGTTTTATAACTGAGCTTTCTAACATAGTAACCATCAGGCACATGTAAATTTGAGTATGCAGCTAGTGTGACTGAGAAACGAAATTTTAAATTTTATTTAATCTTAATTAAAATTTAAATAGTCACATGTGGCTAGTGGCTACTGTATTGGAAGATGCTTTTTTTGTTTGTTTGTTTTTCTTTTTTTTTTTTTTTTTTTGAGACGGAGTTTCGCTCTGTCGCCCAGGCTGGAGCGCAGTGGCGCGATCTCGACTCACTGCAAGCTCCGCCTCCCGGGTTCACGCCATTCTCCTGCCTCAGCCTCCCGAGTAGCTGGGACTACAGGCGCGCGCCACCATGCCCGGCTAATTTTTGTATTTTTAGTAGAGACAGGGTTTCACCGTGTCAGCCAGGATGGTCTCGATCTCCTGACCTCGTGATCCGCCCGTCTCGGCCTCCCAAAGTGCTGGGATTACAGGCGTGAGCCACCGCGCCCGGCCGTTTGTTTGTTTTTGAGACTGGGTCTCGCTCTCTTGCCCAGGCTGGAGTGCAGTGGCACGATCTTGGCTAACTGCAAGCTCCACCTCACGGGTTTACGCCATTCTCCTGCCTCAACCTCCTGAGTAGCTTGGACTACAGGCGCCCGCCACCAGGCCAGGCTAATTTTTTCATATTTTTCGTAGAGACGGGGTTTCACTGTGTTAGCCAGGATGGTCTCAATCTCCTGACCTCGTGATCCGCCTGCCTCAGCCTCCCAAAGTACTGGGATTACAGGCATGAGCCACTGTGCCCAGCCGGAAGATGCAGTTTTAATGTAATGCTAGCTACAGATTTAACGTTTACTGAGTGCAGTTCATATCCCAGTTTTCCAGATCATGAATAAAATGACAGTAGTTTTAGAGGATAATGAACTTTGAGAAGGCATGGATTAAGACCTGACTTAAAACCTTGGGCAAATTTTTCAATCCCTCTGAGCCTCAGTTCCTTTTTTATAAAGTGGGCAAATTTATAGTACCTTTTCATAGAGAGGTTTAAAGTGAGATAAACCATGCCCAACATTTGGCACAATGCCTAAGCCTGATTGTAGCTGATTTATCCTAATAGGGTTTTGTTGTTGTTGTTGTTTATTGGGGCATTTCTTTGGCTTGTAAAATGTAAAATATGCCCATTATAGAACAGAGAAAAATAAGAAAATAAACATAACCTGTACCACCATCCACAGACAAAACAACAGAAAACTTGTAGAATGTAGAAAAAAGTATGTCTTTGGTTCACAATATGCTTTTCTCTTTGTTTTGAATGTGTACATGTATGACTACACTGACACTACTATTGTAAAACAGTTTTTAGAGGCCATAGATCATATGTGTATAAATTGCCTTACAAACTTTTTTTCTAATATCATATACTAAAAAGTCTCAGGAAATATGTGGTTACTGAGAGTTGTTAGAAAACTGGTGAATTGAATAATCCAGTAGTATTTTTCTAGATTTATCTTTAGTGATTAATTTTTCCAGAATATAAAAATTCTTTTGGAATTCTTTTTGGATGATGAGAGGAAAAAAGAGATACATAGATGATTTCATCTTGAGTTAAAGCTGTGTGTCAGATACTGCTAAGTGCTGGGACTATAAAAACAAATAAAATGTCATCATTGCTCTTAAGTAAATTGTGGTCTAAATACTGTGTGATCAGTGCTGCAGGAGGGATCTAGACAGTCTAATATGAGAACTTGGGACAAACCCGGCCAGCTGGGGATAGAAAGGTTGTCAGCAAAAGGTTTCTGGCTGAAGTGACACCTGAAGGAAGTTTTAAAGGAATGATGGACTTAATTAGGCGGTGATGGGGTGAAGAGTATTCAAGGAAAGGGATGCAGTGAGTATGAAAGCCAGAGTGACCATGGGCATTTGGAGAACTGCAGCTGTCTAGTATGGAGGTCAGAGGTGGGGATGGGGTGGATGGCAGAAATGAAGATGTGTCTGGAGCAGCTGCAGGAACCAGATGGGTCACAAAGGTCTTTCTATGTCCTGTTAAGGAGCACAGACTTTAAGGTTATAAGAGATGTTTAAAGATTACAAGAGGAGAGAGGCAGGATCTCTGGTCACACCATTGGCATACATAGAAAAATAACTGGATGTGGTTTGGAGAATGTATCAGAGACGGGTGGGAGTCCATTCAATGACTTGTTGAATAGGTCAGGCAAGAGATGGTAGATGATTCAGGTTGTAGAAATGAGTAGCCCTCTGGAAGTTTGGGTCTAGAATTTGGGAGGGATATTGACTAGAGTTATTCTCATACTGGCCACGGAGTGAATAAAGTCACCCTTTCCGGAGTGCTTACCATGTATCAGGCATTTGACCAAGAATGCAATACACATTATTTGAGTTTATTCCCACAATACAGGGGTTGCAAAACATGGCCAGTTTTACATAGAGGATGGCAAATTCCAGTCCTGTCTCTGAAGCCCAATGATAACACAAATGAAATCACTAAGGAAGAGTATAAAGTGAAAATTTGAAAAGGGTCTAAGAAGGAACTTAGGGGAAAATGTCAGTAGTTATCACAGAGCAGGAAAAAGAGGAGCCCTTAAGAGACTGAAAAGGAGAAGCGAGGAAAGCCAGAGAAAGAGAGTATTAGACTCATGGAATTCTGGGGATGCAAATGGTTCAAGGAGGAAGTAGGGAAGTGTCAGATGCTACAGAGATGTCAGATAAAGTAGTGTACATGTTTCTTGGATTAAGAATAAAGAGACAATTGAGAAGAATTTCAGTGGAGTTTAGGAGGATATCTTGATGCTACATGCCAGGGTTGCTTTTTTTTTTTTTTTTTTTTTTTTTTGAGTTGGGGTTTCACTCTGTTACCCCAGTGGCAGGATCTTGGCTCACTGCAGCCTCTGCCTCCCAGGCTCAAAAAATTTTCCTGCCTCAACCTCCTGCATAGCAGGAACTACAGGCATGTGCCACCATGCCTGGCTAATTTTTGTATTTTTTGTAGAGACAGGGCTTTACCATGTTGGCCAGGGTGGTCTTGAACTCCAGTACTCAAGTGGTCCACCCACCTCAACCTCACAAAATGCTGGAATTACAGGCGTGAGCTACCGCACTCCACCTTGCATGCCAGGGTTATTTTATCAGCATTTCTTGGTTTTGGTGAAAATCAGCTCAATCTCGGTTTTAGGCAAAGTAGGGATTGTTTGACTAGGAATCTGTAGAAGGTTTGGAAGACCCAAATTGTAGGAATTTTACGGATATGACAAGTCCCTCGTATTCACTAGAATGAGGGACTTTATTTACTACTACCATGATAATCTCTCATTACTTCTCTTTGCTTTTTTCTGCCTGTTAGTTGCTGGCTTTTGTGCTGTAGACCTGCTTTCTAGATGTGGAGGGTAGTAGATGGTGCAGTTTTCTACCCTCAACTCTAAATATAAAGATCTTGGAGAAGGACTGATACTGCCTATCTTGGACTAGGTGCTATGTCTGGGCCTGTTGGTGTCTTGGGTACAAGTTCATGAAAGAACATGGTAGTTCCCAAGGTAGTTATGAGATTAGAGGGAATGGCAGTTTCCAGCATGGGAAGAGAAATGTTTAGACAGACAGTCTTATAGGTTTCTGCTCCTAGTGCATGGAAGATGGAGTGGGAAATGAAGAACCAGAGAAAGTGACTATAGATTCTCTTTTAAGAGCCTGGGCTATGAAAGAAAATCCTAGTGATTGTTTTGGTGACAACTAAAGAGGGAGAATTGGACTTTAGAATGCTTATTTTATAACTAAATCATTGATGAGGAGTGAAAATGTATCTGAAAAGAGGAGGTAGACATTAATTTTAATGTTTATGGGAGAAAAATGGACATGCAGACATTCTTGTGGACATGGAAATTTATGTGAACAGAAGAAGGCTAGTTATGATCATCACTTTCAAAGTGATTGTATTTGTGGTCACTTCATTATCAAATATATGTTTTCAGGGTGGTCATCTTTGTGTTTGTAATGATCATAAGCCATATCTATAGAAAGAAACCAGAGAATATTAGTATTTGCAAAAGATCTTTAGAAAGAATACAACCTAATATGCTTAATTCATAGATAAGAAAAGTAGAATTCAAAAAAGTGAAGGGAAGTAATTACTTACAGATAAAATAGTGCCTATTAGAAGAGAAGGGACTATTTGCTCCCTGGGTCCCTGTTTAGAAAGTGAGGATGTCTTTCTCACAACCTCTTCAGTAGACCTCCTTTCATGGCCCATTGTCCAGAATCGAATCACATCACCCACCTCTGAAGCCTGCTATTGAGAAAGAAACTGTGATAATCTGACTAATGTGCAACAAGGAGAATTTGCCCCCAAAGATTGTGGGAAGAGGAAGAGTACCTGAACAAAGTCAGGGCTCTCCAGCAAGGAAGAAAGCAACAAGCATTGCTAAGAACTCAACAGTGTCTGCAACATGGACTAAGCTAAAGAGCTTATATTTTATTCCATGGACAATGGGACTCTCCTGAAGGTTTTAGATCAGAGAATAGGTAAGATCCTATTTGTGTTTCAGCAAAAATGCTATTCATAAAACATCTATGGTCTTAGTCCATTTGTGCTGCTATATCAGTACCTTAGACTGGGTAGTTTAAACAAGATAAATTTATTTCTCATACTTCTGGAGGCTGGGAAATGCAAAATCAAGGTACTGACAGGTTGGGTAAGGGCCTGGTCTCTGCTCTCAAGATGGCAGCTTGTTGCTAGAATAGTGCCTTTTTACATGGCAGAAGAGATGGAAGGGCAAAAGTGGCCTCCTTAGCTCTCTCCAACCCATTTGTAAGAGACCGATCCCATCCATGATGGTAGAGCCCTTATGGGCTGAGTGCCTCCCAAAGGCCCCAGTTCTTAATATTATCACATTGGTGATTAAGTTTCAACACATGAATTTTGGGAAACATTCAGATCACGGCACCTGTGATAAGACATGAGGTGAGACGTCATTCTATATAAGTTAGTTGCAAAGTTGAACTAAATTTCAGGTCTCCAGCATCTTCCCATTGTTATCTACATTCTATCCTCTCTCTGTGTATACTGTTGATGGTGTGTGTTTGTCTTTTACCATGAAATTTGATATCTTTGAACGGATAATAATATAGGGAATGGATTTCTAATAGTTAGAAATGTAACTATCCACAATTATATTACTACATATTTATTAAGAATCCTCCTCAGGAGGAATTTTAAAAAATATCGCCATCAAGTGCTTACCATTTGCATTGGTTGGAATGTTTGGGTGTATAATATATACATGTGTCCATCATACAGAAGGGCTGTGATAAATGTTAAAAGAAAGGCAGAGGTAATGTGATATGGCTGTTGCTCGGGGCAGTTGAGGGAAGCTGAAAGAGGATGTGTGATCTACAGTGAGCAGTGAAGAATGTGCAAGTGGGACGGGTCATTCTAGATGAGGGAAACAGCAAGTAAAAGAAAGGCAGAAAAGCCAGGGAGTACCAAGGTGGCTGGTATTTGATAGAGCCTAGGATTGAGAGAAAAGTCAGGAATGGATCATGGAGTTGAAGACACAAGAGAATGAAGCTCACACCTGCTGGTACCTAATATAAGTAGGCACAGTGCTAGGGTTTAAAACGTGCAATCTCATTCAATTTCACCACATTCCTATGAGGGACAGAGGATCATTTTTGCATTTTTTTCTGATGAGGGACTGAGGCTCGGGAAAACTAACTTGCTTGAGAACTCACTACTAATGGTGGAGAGAGTCAACATTTGAAGCCAGTCTGCCTTAGGAAGTTATTCTGTTATGCCAAGTATCCCACTGTGTCATTTCATGATTCTTAGCATCTTAGTGTTTGACTTTCATTCTCGGGCATTGCAGAAGGGTTCTGAGCAGGAATGGGCATTACCACAGTGCTCATCAGGGAAGGGTGGAGGCTGGATGGAGGGCAGAAGCGACCAGCACCATTGTTCTGGTCCATGGATAGTCTCCTGTAACATCTGACACCCAGACATTGGAGTCACTACATAGCATCATTTTCAGAACTGTATTTGCCATCTTTTCCAGTGAAATAAAAATTAAAGTTCTATACCCACCTTGATGCCTCTCTAGCTTCCTTCTTCTTTCCTGTTTCCTGTTACAGGACTTGCATTTCACTTTGGCTTATCCTCTCTAGTACATACCTTCTAGCTTAGCCAACACTTATTCAAATATGACTAACTCAGACTAACTACTAGTTGTCCAAGAAGTTCCTCCTAATCCATAACATCTCTGAGACTTCGATAATTGACCTGATAAACTGATAGAAAAAGATGTACCACCTACCAATACTTGAACTCCCTTTTTGTTGTTGTTGTTGTTGTTTTATACTGGTCCTCTCTAGAATGCTATGTAAACAAGGAAAATGCAGAATACCTACTTTTTGTACCTTAGAAACACATCTGGTGCTATTTGAACTAACTAAAAGTAAAGTAAGTGCCATGGCAGATTATGCCATACCTTTTCTTTTTATTGAAAAAAAAAAAAAAAAAGGAAATGGGAAACATACCACTTCTAGAAGGCCCTGACACTGAACTGGATATTGAAATCATATAGGTAATGTATTAATATATGCCACATTTGTTTTCCATGCATCAACCATCTTTGGTACATATGTGTTGGATATTTGCCATGTGAGAGAAACGTTACACAGAGGGAAGATCGTCTTGTTTAGAAGTAGTATGAATCGCTAAGGTAGAAGTAAAGTCAGCCCTTTTTTATTTTACTTACCTTTGCTACATGATCTGATGGAGGTTTTTTCTTTTGCTTTTTTCTTTTGACTTTTAATCATTTTGTGTCAGTCTTTGAGTATATGTCAGAACTCCCCTATTGCAACTAAAAAATGGAAATTACATACCAGGACACTATAATTTCCATGAACTTAAAAAATTATATAAGAAATATTATAACTTAATATTGGTTTTACCATGTCCTCTAATTTGAAATGGAGTGAAATGCTTCTGTGGTTAAATCAGCTTGCTTGTGCTGTTTGCTATAAAAGTTTCAAGAATATATATTTCAAAAAAAGTTTTTAAATAATCCAAAACAAATGCAACAGGGCTCAGCATACTTGAAACACATTTTCCGCATTTATCTTAAATCTCTGTGCTCCAGAGAGTGTTCATGTGTATGTGGATTAGGCCTGGCTGGTTATTTCACCATCTATCTCCATCCTGGATTGATTGCACTGAACAGCACAGAATGAGTTACATATGGTCCCACTTTGTCTCAGTTTGTAGGACCTCTGGGCTGGAACTCCATTTGATCAGAGTGAAGCTAACCATTGCAGAAATTTGGCTAATGTAAAAACCCTGAATATATGCACATATACATATATTCTGGCTAGAATGTTCATATTCCTATTAGAAGTAGTGGTGTTTCCTATACATTGTCTCTGTAGTTATTGTTGACATTTCAAGAATTAAAAAAATAATCTATGGATGATGATGTTGCTGTTCTGGATAGGAGTCGTTACAAGTGTGGACCAAGACAATATTCAGATGTTTTCAAATCAAAATTATGAATATACCAAAAACTTTCTAAAATTGGGAAGAAGATAGGAATACAAAGATTATCTTAAATACAAACTTAAAATTGAGGAGGAAACTTATTGTCAAATTTATAGTTTATTTTTTTTAGGGTGGTCTATTTTAGGAAAGAAAAATAGCCTTCAAATATGTTTAAGTTTAGATATTGCTCCTTAACTCTATAAACTTGAGTCAGGTAGGGGGCTGTGCACATTAAGGTCCAGCTTGTAGACACTGAGGGTAAAGGAAGCTGTTGAGGGTAACTTACTCCCCCATCAGGCTCTTGTCTCTCTATTTTGTTCTTTTTCCTCCTCTTCTTTTTCCTCCTATTGCTTTATTTATTTTTTTGTTACTCCCACTTCCCCTCCCCCTCCTGCTCTTCCTTTCTCTGTCTGTGCAACCACGTGCTTCAAATCTGTGTATCTGGACTGCCTTCTCTAACAGTTCCGTGTGAGTGTTAGCAGAATGAAAACCAGATGGACCAGCAGTTCCCACTGTTATCTCCCAGCCGACTCTGGCAAGCCTCCCTTTTTCCCTCCCTCCTTGGCATGACAGAAATATTTGCCTTTATTTAGGGAGACTTGTATTTGCTGCTGTACCTCTTCCCTCAGCTGCAACATAAGTGGGAAGCTATTTATTCCCTTGTTGCTGAGGTTGGTTGAGGTGAGTAGAATGTGCAAATGAATTTAACTGTTGAAGAAGCGGTTTTAAGCCTGCCTAACTTCTGTATTTTTCTAGAATAAGTGACTTACTGGTTGTAGCAATCTGAAGACAAGTTTTTAACAATAGATAAAGGTGAAAATGCTCTTCATGTGTGTCTCTACCATCCTTTCACTCAGAACACTTTTATTCACTATAGGGACATCCGTTGTTATTCAGCCAGAAGTATAGATTCAGAAATGGAGACCCTGATATTGCTGTTAACTCATCAATAATAATAATAACAGCTTATTGTGCAAATACTCTTATTAGAATGATGATTATTTTCATTCTCTTATTGCATCTTCCCTAAAGTGATATCAACATTATTTCAACTTTTAAATGTTGTGTTTTATTGCAACCCAAGTGTTAAGCAATTGCTTTGAACAAAAGTGAGGTAGATTTGGAATTGTTATAGTAGTAATTTGGGTTTTTCTTTTTCTTTCAATAATTGACCTTTAAGTGATTTTGAGATTTTCTCACTGTGGTTATTATAACATTTTTAAAGGCTTGTTCTTTCTTAATAGTTACTTCACTTTTCTAAAAGCCCAAGTGTGAGATATTTGTGTCTATAACTGCAAGAGGTGCCTCAAAATACGTTGGGTGTGTGTGTGTTCATGTGCGTGCCTACACATTTGTGAAAGAATTAGATCTAAAGAACCAAAAATAGAGACTCTGATACTGCTGTTGACTAGCTCATCGTGCAAATGCTCTTATTTGAATGATGATTATTTTTATTCTTTTATTGCAGCTTCCTTAAAATGATACCAAAATTATTTCAACTTTTAAATGTTTATTATAACCAAAGTGTTAAGAAATTGCTTTGAACAGATCAAAAGGTCTGTTGCTTTGATAAGTAGATTAGATTGAGAAAAACAGTTCAGAATGTCAAGGGAAAAGTATACTTACAGCAGTTCTGAAGTATGAATGTCCATTATTGGGTAATCAGGAAATTTCTTCATATCTGCCACATACTCATGAAAAAAATATTAGCAGTGTCTAGTTCTTTTTAGTTCTCTGTTTGGGACTTTTACATTCTTAACTCTGTTTGAGATTATTAATTGGAGTATTGGTTTCATGCTTTTAAAATGGCAGGTCATAAATTTACACCTTTTAAGTAAATAATAGTTTCACTTCATTGTATAACACATTTCACCTATGTAGCAGTGATTTTTAAAACAGGGCAGGAAAAATTGAAATGCGAAATATGCCTGGAAGACGATAACCTATTTCATCTAATAGGCCAGAAAACTAAGGACAGCACAGGGATGGCAGGTGTAAGAGAAAATCATTACAAAGAGCTGGCTCCTACCAGTATCTCACCTGCATAACAGACTTCAGGTTTTTGTTATTTCTGAGCTGTCATGAGGGGTTCATTATCATCCCACTTCCTCATCTATTTTCTACCTCTTGCTAACATTGGCTTCAGCTTCCAGTGCAGTTGTGCTGCTGCATATAACACTACCAAGGTAGCATCTGCCTAAGCCAGAAATAACAATAGGATATAATATAACCTAGTTACAAATGAGGTCCTGCCATCTGTGCTATACCTTCTTAAGTGGGGTTTGGATGATAAAATCCTGATTTAAACGTCAGTAGATAAGTGTATTTTATTGATAGAAGATGTTGAATTTCTTCTGTTCACTTGCTTTTAAAAAAGATAAACCCCACTTGAAAAACTGAGGTGCTTAAGGAGTAAAATAATATGTTCCTGGTGGCATCCTCCAGATCGTACTGAGAAGCACTCCACAATGCCAGACTCACCTGTGGATGTGAAGACGCAATCTAGGCTGACTCCTCCAACAATGCCACCTCCCCCAACTACTCAAGGAGCTCCAAGAACCAGTTCATTTACACCGACAACGTGTAAGTAGTCATTTCAGGCTTTTGAGTTTCAGTTTTAAAGTTTAAATTAAATTTTTTTCTGCAAATGAAAAATCAAGGGAAAATAAAATTCAGCATCAATGTATTATGCAGAAATGAACCAAAAAAAATCATTTGTTTGCCAGTAAGTAGGTACTGAGCACAGAAGTATCATAGCTTAGGTCTAATTTGTGTGACTGCCAATATTTGCCTTCCTTTTCATTATTGCTTCGAAGTTGCAGTCTGCTATGATTTTAGCAAATGAAGCAGCATTTGGTCTGTAATTCCAGTTGTTACCACTGTAACTTCTAATTCATCTTAATGTGGAGCTCTTTATTTTAGTTTGTTCAGCATGACTTGGAACATGGAAATGTGCTATTATTATTTCTAGGTTACTTCTTCTAACACCATTTTCATCTATTTCAAGTGGTTACAAATAATGTTAAAATATAATATCCTTGTGTTAAAAAGGGTATTGATATGCAACAATATCATACAGAAAACTTTCTGAAGTGAGAAGTGCCTTTCTTGCCCTTTTTTTTGGGTGGAGGGGGAGGACAGAATCTCGCTCTGTCACCCAGGCTGGAGTGCAGTGGCACGATCTCAGCTCACTGCAACCTCTGCCTCCCAAGTTCAAGCGATTCTCCTGCCTCAGCCTCCTGAGTAGCTGGGATTACAGTCATGCGCCACTGAGCCCAGCTAATTTTCATATTTTTAGTAGATACGGGGTTTCACCATGTTGGTCAGGCTGGTCTTGAACTTCCGACCTCGTGATGCTCCCACCTCGGCCTCCCAAAGTGCTGGGATTACAGGCGTGAGCCACCGCACCCGGTCGTGTCTTTCTTGTCTTGAACCTGTCAGACTCTTATTAAAACTTTACTCCATTCCTGCTTGGCTCAAGTTCTGAGTTCTCTCAATAGAGTGTATTGCTTTCAGTACAGTCCAAAGGAAAGGATAGAGAATTCTGACAGAATTGCAACTTCCCATTCTTTCCTGTGTATTTCATTAGGGATAGTGAGTAACTGTTTTAATAAATCTCAAAGTCCTGGTTGAAATTGTCATCAAGGAATTGTGAAACTAATAAATGTTATCGGTTGCAGCTATTTTGCACACCATGTGCCATGAAATCCATATGAATGAAAAATAACTAAAAGGCAAAAGTAGATCTTTGGGACTATAAGGGATTAGCAAAGTACGCATCTCAGGCTGTTTATGCAGTGTTGCACTGCCATTTAAAAGACCTTTCCAAATGTGTAAGGAGCAGGTGACTGTGCAATGCCAAGTTGTAACCGTGTCATCTTATATTTGGTTTGTTGTTACCCAAAGCCACAGGGGTAAGCATATGTCTCCTGTGAGATGTCCTGGTGAGCTGGCATTTCTTGACAGGTTATTATGATACTCAGTTGTGACAAGAGAACCATTTTATTATGTCAAAATTGAACTTTTAAGCATAACATGGTCTTTAAAACATTTTCAAACTATATCAAAATTATATTAAAAAGATGGGTTTGATAAAGGTCTGCTTATCAAATTAATTGACTTAACATGATAAAATCAACATTTTCTTTAATGCAAACGATGCAGATTTTTAATTCTAGTTCTTATGGATTATCAACTTTTTGCTTTCTTTTTATGTACTTATTAATGTACATATTAATGGGTTACAGAGTGACAGGGATTATCGTCTTGATGTTCAAACAAATTTTATCAGAAATGAATTTACTGAATTATCACCACTCCATGCTCTTGGCTGGATTTAGGTGTCCCTTTTTGATTTCTTGAAGTAACTCCTTGTTAAACACCATATCCATTTTGGCTTTGTACATAAAATATGCATTTTTCCTAAAGAAGTGGTTAAGAAGTATGAGGGGGAGAAAATAGCCTTCTAATTGGGTGGTGGAAGGTTAAAACTTGAAAGTCCTATTCCTATAAACACAGCTGTCAGTTGTGTGTACAAAACATGATTAAAAATGTTCAATGATAAATTTAGTCTCCACCAAATGTACACTTTCTCTAGGGGAGCAGTTTGGAAAGGAATAGTCCTGTTATATTGATGTAAGCCTGCGACAAAAAGCTGACATCCGAAGCTGTCTGTTCTATTTTTGAAACATTTCAGGTGGTTGGCATATGTGCACATGGGAGGCAGGGCTGGCCCTGGGTTGCAGCAGACTCCATTTATTGTCAGCCTCTGTGCAGGATACCATCACTCAGTATGAGGAGTAGACCCATTTAGTTATAGAGTACCTGAGAATGTAGTAACCCTGTGAAGTCCAAGCATTTTTAAAAAGTCCCAACATTTAAAAACTTATAAAACTAGTAGATGTAAAAGGTAGGAAACTTGGTGGCAATTTCCTCATGCATGTTCTCTGTAAGTTTATGACTTCCTTCTGATTTTGTGCTCTTGACAGTAACTAATGGCACGAGCCATTCTCCTACAGCCTTGAATGGCGCCCCCTCACCACCCAATGGCTTCAGCAATGGGCCTTCCTCTTCTTCCTCCTCCTCTCTGGCTAATCAACAGCTGCCCCCAGCCTGTGGTGCCAGGCAACTCAGCAAGCTGAAAAGGTTCCTTACTACCCTGCAGCAGTTTGGCAATGACATTTCACCCGAGATAGGAGAAAGAGTTCGCACCCTCGTTCTGGGACTAGTGGTAAGCAAATGGAAACCAACCCAGTTTTCTTGGTGTAAGGGATAGTGTGGGTGGGAGACTCAGACATGTAGACACCGTTCTCGCAAGTATTTTGTTATAATAGTTTCTACATCTGAAGATTGTGTGCAAGTCTGATTCATGCTATAGTGACAGTCTTTTAAATTCTGCATTATATATTGACCCCACCAGAGTTTTTTTTCTCACTGTTTGACTAATAAAGATATGGTTATACAAATTTATTGTTATATTGGCCATAAACATGTTATATATATAAATGTGTGTGTGTGTGTGTGTGTATGTGCACGTGTATTTCAGTATTTCAGTAAGTACACTTTCCTGGCATGCCTAGTGGTTTTCAATGATGACAAAATGGTTTTGTTATGTTGAGTCACTCAATCTAATTGGATGCTCATTTTAATTTCATTGCTTTAGTGGATTTTTATCATTGGCCCAGATGAACAAGAATTTGTAACAACACATTCTTCTTTTATCTAGTGTCATTTTTAAGATGAATAACATTGAAATTTTTTATTGTGGTAAAATATACATACAGTTCATCATTTTAACCATTTTTAAGTGTACAGTTTGGTGGCATTATGTATATTCACATTGCTGTATAGCCACCACCACTGTCCATCTCCAGAACTTTTTCATCACCTCAATCCGAAACCTTCTGTATTCATAAAACAGTAACTCCTCATCTCTTTTATCCCCAGCTCCTGGTAAACGCTAATTCTTTTTTGTTAAAAAAAATAAATCTTTGTTATAGGTAGAATTACCGAAACCACTAGTTTGAGAAGAGAACTGTTGGTTTTTGCATATTACACTACGTTCTGCACATTGTCACACTAGAAAATAGAACATATATCTTTTTTTGCGTTCTAAGTCACTTTTCCATGTGTTGTGATTTTCTGTAGAAGTGGAGGATTTTCGAGTATTTAGGAAGGCTAGTCTCCCATATCAAACTGAGTCACGGAGAAGCTATGAATCGTATATGCAGTTCTTTCATTGTCCAGGGTTATGGTCGTCTCCACTTTCTTGAAATAGATTATTTATTTTTATTATATGGACCTATCAGGGGCAAAGCCATACCAGTTGTGTTTTGCAAAAGAAGTTTCAGAATTAGAAGTCTGGGTAAGAGACTAGCTCAGAAGACATGCTTCAAATCACTATATCCCACATTTGACAGAGATTTTGCAATTTAATTTTTAACCATTAACTGCCTCTCCTCCCTACTCCAAGAACAAAAGACTTCCATGTTTCTCACAGTCCATCAGCTCCACCTCATAAACTTCCAAGACAGGAAGGTGATTTTCACAAAAGGTGTGTTGGCATACTTCAGATACTTTTGTCAGTCACTTATCTTTTCCTTTTTATTCATTCTTGAATTTGCATAATAAGCTTTTTTAACATGTAAATAAGTTAGACCAAGGAACCACAAAGTAAATCCAAAGTAATAATTGTATCAAGTAAATGGTGAATGTGTTGTTCTTAGCAAAATTTTTTTTTTTTGAAAATTGCCTTATAAATTTGACATGTTCTTTATTAACAGTGGTTCCATAATTGAAAATGCAGAAAAACTTGGTAGCTTTAAGTAGATTTTTCCCAAGTGGCATACTTTTGCGTGAAATACTTTTAAAAAATATATTTTTTAAAATCTAAAAGCCTAGAGAGGAAAATAGGGGAGGACATTAATTCATTATAACTTGCATATAATAGGCAGTAAATATTCATTGAGTAGCAGACTTCTGTTAAACATTTGGCTTACAAGCCATTTTACATAATTCTCAGGACTACCATTTGAGAGAGTGATTTTTTTTTTTTTTGAGGGAGTGATTTTTATACACATTTGACACATGGGCAAACTGAGGTTATAGAGGTTAAGTAAAATATGCAAGGCCACCCAACTGGTAGTGACAGATTTGAACCTAGGTACTAAATCATGCTGATGCTTAGGTGGAGTTAAGAAAATGTTAGGAAGTACTGTCTTTTTTGTTTTTTCTTTTAAACATTTTTTTTTAGTAATTTTTTTGAGACAGGGTCTTTCTCTGTCACCCATACCCGTTCTCTGTCACCCAATGCATTCGCATCGGTGCCAGCAAGGCTCACCGCAGCCTTGACCTTCCAAGCATAAGCAATCCTCCCTTCCCAGCCTCCCCTGAAACTAGAGGCACACACCACCACACCTGGCTAATTTTTTTGTGACATCATCTCACTTTGATGCTCTGGCTGGTCTCAAACTCCTGGGCTCAAGTGACACTCCCACCTTGGCCTCCCAAAGCTACTGGGATTACAGGCGTGAGCCACTGCACTGGACCGGAAGTACTGTCCTTTTGAAAAGGAGTCATAGAAACAAAATGATAGATTTTAAAAAATTGGCTCCTTGACATTTATTGTTACACATAGGAAGTTATTGTTTATTCATAGTTTCATATGAAGATGTTTTGAGTGTGGGGGTATGAAGAACTTAGAACTTGGTGCTCGTGTACTTTGTTATAAAAGGAAACATGCACAAAAAAGTGGGTGGAGCAATATTGTAATGACGTTAGGTCACAAATTCCCAAATTTTGTCAGTCATCAGAATTATTGAAGGGACTGAAGAAGTTGAGAATGAGTTGTGATCCTGCCTGAGAAACTAAAGAAAACGAATGAAATGAGGGTTAATTTACTCAATGCCTTTATAATTGCTTTGTTGTTCATTAAGTAGATGCTTTTACCAACACACATTATCTATTGTAGGATACAAATCCTGAGTATTTGGGGCTTGTTTTTTTATATAAGGTAGGTTAGAAGTGAATCTGAGTTAATTTTGCTTAGTCTTGTTTGGGTCAAGCAGTTGCCTCTAGGATAAGTGGAATGTCTTCGATAATTGGGATTTTTCTTTCACCTTCTACAAAACTCATTGACTCACAGAAGGGTCAAACCTTTTCTTTGGCTTTATTGGCATAGCACACTACCCAACTTTGATGTTCACCCTGAGCAAAGATGCTTTGGCAGACAAAGAAAGAATACAAGATGGAAATACAGGAGGAGGAGAAGAATATTTCCACCAGCAGTAGTGCTGATGTGACACGTGGGATAAATCTTGACTGAGAATTCTGACACTTGCCCTCGGTCCTTTAAGTGATCTGTTATGCTTTTAAATACATCCAAGTGTGTTTGTTTTCCATAAAGGCAATATTAGAAGATTCTTCATAATTGCAAAGACTTCTCTGATAATTAAACCATGCTAGTGATCATGCACATTATCCTCAAAGTACTATACATAATGTGTTTCATTTTCAGATGTAGGTTTTAGAAGTGAGTGATGCAATAAACTGTGTGATCATTTTTACAAAGTCAATAGGTTTTATTGAAAATACTGGTTTCTGTCAGTATGTTTGCTTGTTATTACACTGTGTTGTACCAGTCTTAATAATTAATTTGTTTGTGTTTTTACTATTTACCAACAGGCTAATGTATTTATACTACATATTTTCTTCCATAGAACTCCACTTTGACAATTGAAGAATTTCATTCCAAACTGCAAGAAGCTACTAACTTCCCACTGAGACCTTTTGTCATCCCATTTTTGAAGGTATTGCACAGTTCACTGGTCTGTAAAGTATTTTAAACCATATTGTTGCTAGGTCATAACTGTGTGCTTTTTTAGTACATTTAGGGGCTCTTTGATTTAATTTAATGGATGAAAACTATCTGAATCGATTGTATTTATGACCATTTCCTAAGTAGTCTGAAAATTACAAGGAGTGTTTTAAATAATTACCTGAAAAGAAGTAAAGTTTGAAGAAGAGTTTAGAAGTCTCTTTGAATAAAGGTTTTGTTCATTTTTTTGGTCATATGAGATATGTTATTTTACATTTTGCTTGTCTTTAGAGTGAACAGAAGATTGGTTGAGCTTTGTAGTTGTTCAGGATTTTTTTATCCTCCTAATTTTATCTTTGTAACAACTTAACGGGAAGATCAGACCGTCATCCTTTTGTGCCAGTGAAGAAGTTGGGAGTAAGTGACATGTCCAAGGTGTGCCTGGCTGAGGACTGATTGAGGTGTGGGATTCGAAATGGTTTTTAAGTCTCTGCTGTGAGCTTTCTGTCTCCTCCAACTGCTGCCGCTTCAGTAAAGCAACTGGAAAACAAACAAACACAAAGTTCACAAGAGAAAGAAGGAACATTTTTATTCAGCATAGCGGGTAGTTAATTCACTGATGGATACTAAAATAACTGGTAGTTTTGGTAGAAAAGCAGATTACTAAGATCCCTTTTACTTGGGTAAGCATATTGCTTGGGCATAGTGGATTCTCAATAAGTTTATACTAACAGTGGGCTTAGCAGATTGATAAATGTGAAAGTTTCATTTGCACTCCCCTTTGAAGGTCACTTTCAAAATGAGCACTCAAGGAAGCCTCTGATTTAATTATTTGCCAAGGAGGATTTACCTTTCTGTCTGGTTCCTAGAACTTTGTTTGGGAGACACCAGAAATATAACTGATCAGATCCTGTGTGAAATTTCATCTATTTTTAAAACTGTATCAGACACATAAGGTTCAAGTAAGTATCCAGAAGCCTAGAAAGGTTTGTCTGAAATGAGCCCCAATTCTGAACTTTCTGGATATTAGTCTTTCCTGTTGTTATTATTAAGGTGAAATGAAATATTCTGCTTTGTGAGTACCTACAAACCAGAAATTAGATCTGTTTGTGTGGAAACCCAGATTACAATTATATTCTTTTCGTTCTTTTCTAAGTTGTACATTTAAGGTTAAAGGTATAATGTGTTAGTGTTTTCTCCCAAAATGGCTTATACTATAATACTATATTCTTATTTAAAAGCAAATTGTTTGTTGAACAATTTGAACAAGTTTGTTGAGACTAGAATCTTTGCCTTTCTCAGAAAGCGTTGTTTTCTGTAAAGATTTCATCATATGAATGCCATTTCCTGTGCAAATACCACTGGTTTCTGTGCTAAAAAAGAAAAAAAAAAAAAGAAGAAGAAGAAAGAAAAAATAGGCTCCTTTCAGGGTCAAGTTGGCAGCCAAAAAAAATTTAAAAAGCTTACAAGGACACTTCCAGATTCTTCTATCACTGCTGCACACCATATGGTTACCATATCATTTAGTTGGGATCATTGGAATCAAAGATATAACTTTTTTTTCTAATTTTAGTGCTTTTCCTCAAAGGAGACATTAATGACAAAAACCATATGGTTGTGGGAACTCGGGCCTTAATAAGTGCATTCAAACACTGCTGTAACAATATGCATTAAAGTCTTGTTTTCATTAAGCTAATGTAACCCGCAGACCCTCTATTCCATTTTGCATTTATGGAGAAACATTTACTGGAAGGATATTAGACACCATTCTAATTACCTAATCTGGCACCAGAATTAGAGCAAACAAAATTGCTTTGTATTACCATATTTTTTAAATTGGAAGAAGATGTTTATGGAATCGCTAAATTAAACTGAGTACCACGTGTGGAAGCCTCTTGTCTTGTACCATCCATACGTTTAAATTTGAAACTGGAGGCATGCATGTTTCCCATTAGTCACTCAGCTGTGTGGCAATGAATGTATTAAACATGAGGTTAGGAGCCTACCAAAACACAGATAAGATGAATTCTAAAGAAAACTTCTTCAGTGAAAGCAGTCATAGATACAGCATCTTTTCTTATTAGTATCTTAATTTTTAGACATCAATGAAAAAGTTTATGCTTTAACCACACCCAATTTCTATAGTCTCTTTTGTGAAAATATATTTGCTTCATCCTGAAACTAAGAAATTGCTATCTATCTATAACACATAGCCAAATAAATGTGCATTTTATAACTTCTCTCCAGAAGTACTATTTAATGTATCTTAAAAATCAACTCTTGTACTGAATATATTAAGGCTGTTTCTGGATGGGAGCCAGCGAATGCTTTGCCAAAAGACATCTGCACACAAGATGTCCAGCCTGTGAGTCAATTCTCCTGATTATCATTCAGGAATTTGTCTCTCTGAGCTGGCATAACTATGTTTGCCTGCTTGGTTCAATATTGCTGGCATTCTTAACAGAAGGAATATGATTGTTTTAGAAAGGTCTCTATATGTTCAGATAGAGCCTTTACCTGAGGTCCCAGCTGACTCTATTTAATACAGAATGGCACATAGTCTCGTGTGTGTGTGTGTGTGTGTGTGTGTGTGTGTGTGTGTGTGAGAGAGAGAGAGAGAGAGAGATATGTGGCACCCAAATAATTCTTTTTGATAAGAAGAATGTGGGAGACAGTATTAGTAAAGTCAAGCAACAGTCTTCACTTCCCCCCCGCTTCCTCATCGTTCTGAATATCATGCTCTGCTAATAGAGTCCTGAAGATACTGTTTTTTGTCTCCTCATTTGTTACTCCATTTCTTGTTCTAGGATTTCTTATCTTTGGGATCCCTAAAGAACCAAGAGCAGAGAGCTTTGCAGTGTATTGTTTTGGACAATTTAAATCTTATGCATATACAGTCATGTGCTACATATAATGTTTCAGACAATGATGGACTGCATGTACAATGGTAGTCCCATAAGATTATAAATCATATTTTTATTGTGTCCTTTTCTTTTTCTTTCTTTCTTTTTTTTTTTTTTTTTTTTGAAACAAAGTCTCGCTCTGTTACCCAGGCTGGAGTGCAGTGGCACGGTCATGGCTCATTGGAGCCTCGACCTCTTGGGTTCAAACAGTCCTCTCACTTTAGCCTCCCAATAGCAGGGACTATAGGCATGGGCCACTGCATCCAACCGATTTTGTATTTTTTGTAGAGATGAGGTTTCACCATGTTGCCCAGGCTGGTCTCAAACTCCTGGGCTTAAGTGACCTGCCTGCCTTGACCTCCTGAAGTGTTTTTCTATGGTCAGAGATGTAAATACTTGTCATTGTGCTATAGTTGCCTACAGTATTCAGTACAGTACATGCTGTACATGTTTATAGCCTAGGAGCCGTAGACTATACCATATATTCTAGGTGTGTAGTACTAGGTTTAAGTACCCGCTTTTGATGTTTGCGTGACGAAATCATGTAACAATGCATCTCTCAGAATGCATCCCCATTGTTAATCAGTGCATGACTGTACTTCAGAATGATTTTTTTTTTTTTTAATTAGACTGAGTCTCGCTCTGTTGCCCAGGCAAGTGTGGTGGTATAATCTCGGCTCACTGCAACCTCCATCTCCTGGTTTCAAGCTATTCTCTTGCCTCAGACTCCCACGTAGCTGGGATTACAGGTGCGTGCCACCACACCCAGCTAATTGTTTGTGTTTTTAGTAGGAATGGGGTTTCACCATGTTGGCCAGGCTGGTCTTGAACTCCTGACCTCAAGTGATACACCCACCTCAGCCTCTGGAAGTGCTGGGATTACAGGCGTGAGCAAGCCACTACACCCAGCCCAGGATGAATTTTAAAAACTTTAAAAATGTTCACATAGAAATGTTATTTTTGCTTTATTATTTTATGACACAAGGTATCTAAGCTCTCTCTTTACTGAGGACAAAAAATAGTTTAAAAAATATATACAATATATTACCCACATGTTCATCTTTACTAATTACAAAGAGTTTAATTTTAGCATTGTTATCCTGTAGGAAGTCATTTCCATTGTTACAGTGTATGGCATGCATTTATCTTTAGCAAATATCCTAGTATTTTATATCTTGTGTAGAAATATGCTTTGGTGTGATTATGAGATGGTTTCTTGATTAATACTCTTAGAAAACTGACTTGAGGGCGGTTGGTGGGTGAGGGGAGAGAAAGCATTAGGACAAATAGCTAACATATATGGGGCTTAAAACCTAGATAATGGGTTGATAGGTGCAACAAACGACCATGGCACACATCTACTTATGTAACAAACCTCCACACTCTGCACCTGTATCCTGGAACTCAAAAAAAAAAAAAAAGTTAAAAGGAGTTCTTCAGAGTAAAGGAAAATGATATAGGCCAGAAACTTGGCTCTACATAAAGAAATAAAGAGCACTGAAGGAAAAAAAAAATGAATTTGAGGTACAAGTAGCCAGCCGTAGTTCCTGTCCATGATTCTCTAGAAGGCTATTTTTTAAGGCTGTTGGGCCCAAAAATTGAGGCAGCTGGGACCTCTCCTGTATTCAGAAATGCTTTTCTACCTGATGGGTTAATCGGTGTACATGGCACCTGGTTCCTACAAATGAAATCTTCAAGTTGCAAAGAGATTTATGTGATTGATCTTTCCTGGAATTAAGTGTGATTGGGGATGAGTGCTGTTCACTCTTCCCAGTATCTTCTCCTTTCCTCTCCCTTACTGCCCCTCCCCAAACAATAATAAAAATAAGAGAAAGAGAAAGCAATGACAATCTGGATTTATAATGTCAAAGTAAGTTCAGAGTAAAATGCCTTCTTAGGTTTTCATTTTAATGCCTTTACTATGTGTGAAATTGCCTCTTTCTCTCTTATTACATTTGAAATTGCCAGAATTACCGATCAGCCTATCAACCAGCCCGTTCTTTATTCAAGGTGCTGACCTAGCTGAGGAGGAAGAGTGACCAGTATACAGGATTTCTTCTAACATTAGAAGAAATATGTGTGTGTGTGTGTGTGTGTGTGTGTGTATTCATTCCTTAGAATAAGACTGATACAAAGAAGGCAGTTTACTTTTGTAGACTACTAGAATATACTGCTTTATGCATTAATTCCATCTGGGATATGTGACTGTACCCAGGCCATTACTTAACTATTGTCTGAACTTGATGACTATGGAAAATAATCTCTATGTTCATGTCTATATTTTTAAGTGTATTTTCATTAAGTTAGTACTTGACAAAAGATATTTTCTGGGATTAGCCTGCTTGACCTTTGTGAGTCACCAGATACAAAATTGAGTGTGTCAGGGAAACTATTCTGAAATTAATTGGACTGTGTATATATTTTTTATACCCTCTATCTTCCCTGTGGAGAACAAAAGTTCTTATGATTGGAGCTAGGTTCTCACATACCGTAGAACATACATTCAAGTATAAAGGGACCCTAAAAATAATGTGCCACTTGCAATGTTATCAGTGAAGAAATAAAAGAGAGGTAAAGTGATGTACAAGGGTCAGTCACCTCACACTTAGGGCAATCTGCGCACATGGTAGCCCAGTGCTGAGAATTGTGCCTGTGGTTCCAGCCCATGGCATGCATTTGACCTTTGATGTAGCTGCATTGCATACTCTTCTCCAGTGTTCGAAAAGCAGAGTAAGTCAACAGGACAGAAGAAAACTTTCAGTCCGTCCTCTCATTCCTGTCATTCCCTTGCAGGCCAACTTGCCCCTGCTGCAGCGTGAGCTCCTCCACTGCGCAAGACTGGCCAAACAGAACCCTGCCCAGTACCTCGCCCAGCATGAACAGCTGCTTCTGGATGCCAGCACCACCTCACCTGTTGACTCCTCAGAGCTGCTTCTCGATGTGAACGAAAACGGGAAGAGGCGAACTCCAGACAGGTGAGAGGGAGGAGGAGCCTGGATGAACCATGACCTTTTTCCCATACCTGTGGCATGAGGAAACATTTCATGTCACAATTAAACCGCTGGCCTATGTCATTCTTGCACAATAGCAATAAGCCATTGTGGCCATCTTGAGAATCTGGCTCTGGCCTGGGATTTTACAGAGTTTTGAATCTCTGGCCTGGGACAGTTTGGCTTTTGTGTAGGTTAATCTTTTCTGCTTGTAGTATTAAAGCGAAATGGTGAAGACGAATGATTTTTCTGATTTGCCAAGTACCACTGATGGCTCTTAGATGCACATCAATATTAAAATTCTCATTCATTATGTAATTTAACCCAACCACATATTTTACTTCAATATTCTGAAATTGGCTGTTCCTAGTTTCCTTAAAATGTGATGGTTTGGAAGCTTGTCTGTATGTATTTCTTAACACAGTACAGTAGTTATTTGTTTTGGTTTGTATATGAACTAAGAGAAAACTTCTGGGACACTAGATGAACTGAGTGAAGATAAGAGTTATACAGTAGAGACAATAGATGGTATTTTTGCTGAAAATTTTACTTGTTAGATACTGTTCTATCAGATACTGTGCTCTCATAACTAAGAATTCTAAGAAATGTAAAATAAAACCACTTCTCCATTAAACCCTACAGAGTAATTGTTGAATAAAGCATACACATGAAATTTCCCATTTACCGTAGTAAAATAATTTTTATGAATACCTCATCCTCATCTATAATTATCTTCTGATATAGGAATGCAAAGTCTTATTAGCATCATTTTGCATAGTGTTTTTGAAATATGGAGAATTTTACAATGAAACTATATTCAAAAACTTATTTAGCATATACTTTGCTTTCTTTCTCTGCTTATCTGTTCTCTTTTGCTGCATTTCATCAGGCATGGGTATAACAGCCTTTGAGAGGTTAACACCCTGACACAGTTATGTTCCACATTCATAGGAGCTTAAGATCTTTGGAGCTGCTCAGAGACATCTATTTGTGACTGACTTAGCTATCCTTAAATGTATTAGCTGCTTTGCAAATCAGAATGTTATTTAAAAGCCAGCCAGTTTACATACTGTTATTACATAATCCTCTGTTAAGCAGTTTTTATGCTACAATCTCTGTAATTTTGTTCCCCTTGACATAGAACCTCTTAATAGTTTAAAATTCCTAAAGCAAACAGTTAAATATTAGTCCCCTTTTGACGTATTGTAGGCCTACCTTCATATATGACCTACAAACAGAGCTACTTTCTTATTCTTGCAAATCATATTTTGTTGGTCACATTTAAGAGTAAAATAGAGCACTTAGTGCTTTAGCTTTTAAAGGGAACTGCTTAATCCTGATGCCTGAGTGGCATGTCCACATGATGCTGAAAACCAAGAGGTGGCTCAACAATAGGTGATTTACATGTGCATTCCTGTTTGACCTGAACTGATTTACCCTGCAGAAAATGAGTATGACATACAGATACTGAGATGTTTTAGCTCCATGGTAAAAGAATGAAGGAGAGACTCGATGGAAAATTGGAAGAAGGAAATTTATTTAGGGTTGTTGGGGTGGAGGAGAGTGTAACAGGGAAAGATTTAGATAGCTAAGATAAATGTAGAGATGATCCTGCAGGCAAAATTGAAAATGGACACAACTTACTCTGGCATTCTGAACTGCTAAATAACCATAACAGGGAATATGAAAATCTGTTTCATTCATTTCTCTGTATTTCCAGCTATTTTCCCACCAGCTCTTTCCCAGTATTTCATATTTGAATGTATTGTGACTTTTGACTATCCTTGCACAGTCTTAAGGTAAGTGCTGGGCAGTATGTTAACACTGATATGAAAACTTCATCTTAAATTCCACAGAGGCTCAGCATTCTTGTTTTGATGCTCTGTCGCTGTGCATGCATCAGTGTATGCATTCAGTCAGGTAGAACTCTCCTAAAAAGAGTCTTTGGTCTGATTTTCCCTTTGGTTTTTCATGGATGGTTGCCAGAGTCAGAGTTCACATGGTTAATCTTTGGATGGAACATTCTTTATCAAATGGGGCACTGAAATATACATTATATCTCAAAGATGGCAAATGGGTTTCCTTAGAGTTAGGAGGAAGGGTAATGAGAATATGTTGTGTAAATACATTTGTATCTTGTGGGAATTTGATCAGAGCCAAGAAAATATGGGCCTCTACAGTATTTTTTCTTTTTGCATATATTTTCTGCATCTTGTTTGCATATGCATTTTCCTCTTCTCTGGTTATTTATCTGTATATCCAGATCTACTATATGAAATTTTATAGAGTATGGAGCTGTCTGACAGCAGAGCTTTTTTTGTTTTACTGAATGTTTTGTTGGTGCATATGGTCTGACATGGATGAGCAGCCACGGTGAGATTTTGGAGTCTATTAAACTGGCTCATTAAAAAGATCAATCTGTTTCTGTAATAACACTGGGAGCCATCAGTCACTAAAAGAGGGAAAAACTGACACCTGAGGAGAAAACACATTTTGGTAATTTGTTCATGACATGTCATGAACAAAAGAGCGCTCTATATTTTGTTTACAACTTTGGGAGCTTAAATTCTGTGACGATTGCTGAGTTAATGTACTAAACAGTCATCATGTGTTTCAGGGATGGGTTTTGGCAAATTTAACTTTCTTCTTGTCCTTAAATATGATTGTCACTGGTTATGTTTTTTTTCTTTAAACATTATTGTTATTTACAGAGAAATGAGTACTCTAGGGAAGTCTATGAAATTGTTTTTTGTTTTTTGTTTTTTGTTCCTGTATGGAACAGTGAAATGTTTTCTACTTTCTTTTAAATGTAGCTCTGGGGAGTGTCTCTGAACAAGTGTTACTGATTTTGTAGGTCTGTGAGAGAATATTGTAGAACCCAAAGTAGAAAAAGATAATTTTTATTATAAAATTATGTTATTTCTTTCCTAAAATATTAGGGAAAGTAAGTAGAAAATTCTGATTTCTATTCTTTGTTAATATGTAAACGTCATTTATAGTAAACATTTATTCTTTTACCATTCTGTGGTGGGAGATGCTGAAGAAAGGAATGTGATCGTTTGTTTTGGAGCCATGTAAACGAAATGAACACTCTTACAGATAGAGAGTAGAAGCTAAGAGCCCTCTTTAAAACTGCTCACCGTGGTGACTCGTAAAGACACAAGCACTTTTGTGTAGGAAGAGGGAAAAGAACTGTTAGATAATGCTTTCTTTCTTTGAGACTGCAGAATGGATTAAAATTATTAAGATTTAAAGAAAATAATTGTGTTAGGATGATTATCATTGCTGTCTTTCTTTTCTCAGAGCTTTGATATCACAGCTTTTCGATCTAATTTGCCTTCAGTATTGTGTTCTCACCTGTTATGCTACTTTTCTGGTTTAGGATTTTTCTTGCTTAAGAAATCAAACCAAATAATCTTTGCTTTTGTGTGGGTAACATGGTTGTTTTGTTTCCCATTTTGTACCCCCTACTATCTCAAATGATGGATGTTAAGTATGAATCCCCTTCTTATATGCCATTATTTTAATGTAATTATGCTTTACATTACTCTCAGTTTAACGCTTCTAAACTTTCAATGCAAAGGCCATGTAGTTGGATTAATATGTATTTCCTCCTCCCCCAAGGGTTAAACATTATTCTCTAAAAATAATTGGTTGAACTTCAGAGTTATGTAATTTGTCAGCTGGGAGGGATCTTATAGATACACCAGGCCCCATTCTTTTTATGTTTTTTTTCCTTAGGCATGGTCTGCAATGTTGCCCAAGCTGGTCTCAAACTCCTGGGCTCATGTGATCCTCCCACCTTGGCCTCCCAAAGTGTTGAGATTATAGGCATGAGCCACCACACCCTGCCTTTTTACATTTCATACCAAAACAAAAAAATCACACATATTTTAAATTTATGGATTTGCTCATGGGATGTTATCTGTATTTTTTTTTTTAAGACAGTGTCTCGCTATGTTGCCCAGGCTGGTCTTAAACTCCTGGGCCCATGTGAACCTGCTGCCTCAGGCTCCTGAGTAGCTAGGACTACAGGTATGCACCACCACACCCAGCTGGCCCCCATCTTTTTATTCTTGCACAAACTAAGGCCCAAATAAATTGCCTAATGTTGCAAAGCTTCTTAGTGGAGAAACAAGCATATTTGCATACTTGAAATCTTCCAGTTGCATAAAATATGTTTTAATGTGCAGAATTTAAATAAGGAAACTCAACTAAGACTTAAGCTTCTCTTTTTTCACCTTACTTTCCCTCATTTATTTTCTATAGTTGCTCAAGTGGGTAGATGCCATAGTATAACATTCTGAGGTTTTATATATATTTTTAACGACAGAAGAGCCACAGCTAGCCTGTGTTCCTGGCTTAATGAGTCAGTTAGAAAATGCTGAAGGTTGGAGGATCAAAGGCAATCATTTTAAAATCATGTTGGTTGTATTTGTGAGATTTGTTATGACAGTACACACCAACTAAACTGAATAGGTCCATTTTTTTGTTTCTGTAAAATGAAAGAGATTTCACTATTTTTATCTTTCTAAAAGAAAAAATAGATACACTTTACAAGGAATTGTAGGGTCAGTTGTGCAAATAAGAATTAAATTTGTATAACCTGCATTCGGTTTTCTATGAAAAAAATGTAGGGATTTTATGACACATTTATTTATTCTAGTTTGTGTTGCATCTATTATGTATTCCACAGTTGCAAGGAGTGATTTTTAAAAATATTAATCACATCAATTGGGAGGCCTTTCAGTGAAATAGCACAAAATTACATTTATTTATTTTTATTTATTTATTTTTTTTGAGATGAAGTTTCACCCTTGTTGCCCAGGCTGGAGTGACTGATCTGGGCTCACTGCAACCTCCACCTCCTGGGTTCAAGCAATTCTCCTGTCTCAGCCTCCCAAGTAGAGAGGTATCAGATGCCTGCCACCATGCCCGGCTAATTTTTTGTATTTTTACCAGAGACGGGGTTTCACCATATTGGCCAGGCCGGTCTCAAACTCCTGACCTCAGGTGATCCACCCATCTCGGCCTCCCAAAGTGCTGGGATTACAGGCATGAGCCACTGTACCGAGCCACAAAATTACATTTATATGTTAAAGATAACACAGTTGTACGGGGCATTTTGTTCTCTCCACATTCCAGCTTCAACTTTAACTTGTTAGCCTGATTTCTTGCTGCTTTGTTAGGGTCTAACTTTACTGCATACTCCTCACGCCTTAGTCTCTATTCCAGCTGATGGTTTCTGCTGTCTTTCCTAATTCTTATATGCCATAATTCTATTAATACCTCATGGCCTAACTCAGTATCTACTATTTGAATGAAAGCTTCCCAATTATAAATAATATAATAATGGTTACTATTTACTGAACACTTCAGATATGCTGGGCCCTGTGCTAAATAATTGACAGACTAACATATAGCACTTCTTTCCTCACTATCCTATGACATAGATTCCAGAAGGCCAAATAATGTGTGTGAAGTCACATGGCTTGTCAGAAGCCCTAATGGGATTCTAACCCTGGGTTCTCAGACTCAAATGCCCATGCTCTCATAGCCGTGATTCTGTATCATCAGCCTCTGAATGCCCCTGCTTGAAAACAAAATGCTTTGATTAACTTATTGAATGCCAAATTCATGTTAGGTTCTTTTCTTAGATTCTTTCCTATAGTTCTCTCCATAGCTTTGAGATAATCATTTCCCATTTTGCAGGCAGAAACACTGAGGCTCTTAGAGGATTAAGCCTCTTGAGTTTATATGGCCAGCAAATAGCAGAGCCACAATTTGAAGCCATCTCTATGTGACTCCAAAACCTCTGTCCTTATGAGTACACATTCTGGAGTAATCTCTCATTCTGCTCTCACATACCACATTTGTTCTGTTTTTAATGGTACCTTCTGTATACATGTCCTGTATGAAAGTATAGAAGTCTTGTAGCTCCAATTAAATCATTTTAATGGTAAAGAATTAAAGTCTGCCCTAAATAATAATCTTATGGAAGGTTGAGGGACCATGTTTCTCTCATCTTTGTACTGCCACTGAAGTGCAGGATAGTGCATTACACATACTGGGGACCTAAAACAAAGCAAAACACTACAAACAGAACAAAAACCACTATTGAACAAATAATTCAAATTAAACTTAATGCAGTCATTTTTAGTAGTGTATTAAATGGTCTCTCTTCCAGGCATCTTTATTTTTTTGTTTAGTTAAAAAATGCATCTCTGAAATACAATAAAAACAGCCACAGACAGCCCAGGAACCAAATGCTGTGATTGGTTCACTGACCAGAAAAAACTGGAGGGCTCCAATAGAAACATACAGGTGACAGATTCGAATAAGAAAGCAGAGTTCCAAACAGCAGGAGCAGCAAAAATTGAATGCTTCAGCAGTGGCAGAGATTAGAAAAGGCAAGGGAAACAGCCAGTAACAGCCTAACTGTTGAGCAGATGGTCAGCTTCAGACACGTGACGGAAGCATTCCACCTTCTCGCTGCTGGAGGGAAGGCTCAGATGGCTCCCCCAACCTGCATATTGCAATCCTTGAAGGTCTGGGCATCACGTTTGTGTGTCTGGAGTGGCACGTATCCATCTGCCTCTTACTTACTTCTAAAGGTATTAGCACACTGCTCAGAAAGTTCTCACTGCTAGGTGGTTGTTTAGCAATGGAGAGATTAAAGGTGCTTCTCTCCACCTGGCCCAATAATGATGGTCCTGTGGCATTCAGCTCTCTGTTCTTCATCATCTAAATGTCCCCCTCCCTCTAGAGTGATAGCAAAACAGAGAAACCACTGCAGGTTGTCATGAAGAATTAGGTTTGATTTTCTTTTTAAGGACGCTGGGGAATTTGTAATGTATTTTGTTTCAATACCTTATTCAATACCAATAAAAGTGTGTTACGTGAAATTCATATCTAAAGTCACCTCTTTCCTAACAATTCCTGAAGAGATCTTTTGCTGAATTATGTTTTAAAAATAATGATGATGAGAGTGATTTTCCCCCCCTTGATTCAATGTCTAGTCATTCTATGGCAATCTTAACAAACTGCACGTGTTAGAAAAGGAAAGGAAGATGTGTTTGATGTTATTAATGTCTTTGGTCTGCGTTTAATAGAACTACCTTCCTAAGATTTAGATACAGACTTCTAAAATATAAGAATAAAATAAAGTAAGTCTCCAGACTTCTAAAATATAAGAATAAAATAAAGTAAGTCTTCAATGCCTGGTCTTAAAAGAATTTTAGACCCAGTGTCTCACTCTTACTCATTTTTCAAGGAGCTACAGTCTAGGGATGGGACTTGGCTGGGCTGTGGAGACAAACAGCAAACAAATCTGGGGGCCTGTGGCTCTGGGGGATACTGGCAAAGTGGGACCATGGTGTGACAAGGGCCAAGATAAAGGTATCCTGGGGCAAGAAGGAGGGACCCGTATAGAGATGCTTGAGATCAGCAATAGGACTTGGATTTGGAAAAGAAAGTTGTAGAGTGACTTCAAGTTTCTACTCGGGTGACTAGGTAGAAGATGGTACAGAAAGCAAAAGAGAAATGAGGCCAGTTTGGACTTGTGAAATGTCTGTCGAAACTCAGATAAGTGAGTGTGTAAGGCACATAATTTATTTAAATAAATAAATGACAGGATGAATATTAGAAATTAAGTTTCTTCTTTCTTAGGTTTATTGTGCTCTACCAATTTGCCTTCCCCTAAAACAATATTTATAGTGGTAGTTCCTCACATTAAAAAAAATGTTAATGTAGAGAAAAAAACTTACACCCGCTTCTGCCATGTAGATTTGTCCTCTTGTTCTACTTATGTCATGATTTTATGATGGATTTTTTCATACTTCCCCGTTTCCTTGAATGTTATACACTGTTTTATATAAATGTTACTAAAGGGATTACCAGCACACACTAGCTAATCATCATCTTAAAAATATTTCATGTAGAGTTTTTGTTTTTATTTATTTTTATTTTTTCCTTGAGATGGAGTCTCGCTCTGTCACCTAGGCTGGAGTGCAGTGGCGCGATCTTGGTTCGTTGCAACCTCTGTGCCTCAGGTTCAAGTGATTTTTTTGCTTCAGCCTTCAGAGTAGCTGGGAATACAGGCATGCTCCACCATGCCTGGCTAATTTTTTTTTTTTTTTCTTAGTAGAGACGGGGTTTCACCATGTCGGCCAGGCTGGTCTCAAGCTCCTGACCTCAAGTGATCCACCTACCTCACCCTCCCAAAGTGCTGAGATTACAGGCATGAGCCACTGCGTCCAGCCTCATGTAGTTTTTAAAGGACATTTATTTTCTTTTCCTAATAGTTTACAGTTTCTGTTATTGAGGAGCTGGAAAAAAAAAAAGAGCCTGAGATAGGGTAAAGTATAAATTAGGTTGTCTCTTAATTTGTTAGTCCCATTTCACTGAGCAGAATACTGAAGCCAGAAAGTTAAGTAACTGGAGATCACACGGCTGAGTCCTAAGGATCCCCTGAGCTTAGAACATTAAACCTCGAGAGAGAAGTGATTGGGATCTAAATGTTGAAGTGGTTAGATTGTGTTGAGGAAAATGTCTCCTGGTAAGGAGATATAACATCCTCAGGTAGACTTAAAAAACAAATAAGCCGGGCGCTGTGGCTCACGCCTGTAATCCCAGCACTTTGGGAGGCCGAGGCGGGCGGATCGCGAGGTCAGGATATCGAGACCATCCTGGCTAACAGGGTGAAACCCCGTCTCTACTAAAAATACAAAAAGTTAGCCAGGCGTGGTGGCGGGCGCCTGTAGTCCCAGCTACTCAGGAGGCTGAGGCAGGAGAATGGTGTGAACCCAGGAGGTGGAGCTTGCAGTGAGCCAAGATTGCACCACTGCACTCCAGGCTGGGCGACAGAGCGAGACTCTGTCTCAAAAAAAGTAAAAATAAAAATAAAAAAAATAAAAAACAAATAAAATAAAACTTTCAGAAATCCTTAAGACATAATACAGTTACCTCTCACTTCAGATTTCTACTAGAATTTGAGTTATTTCAAGGGTATACTGGTATGGGACAATGAAAAGTCTTCGCTAATTTTGCCTGATACACTGAAAAGGGCAATGAAGAATGCAAATATGGAGTTCAACCGAGCAAATGAGATATAGGTAGTTGTAGGCATTTCTAAGAAGCAGACAGACAAATGGCAATTAATTGTTTGAGTTACCCTTCTGAACATACATGCTTTGAATAGAACTGGCCTTGTAAGTAGACATTAGTAATTTGAGGAAGCACCAGAGAGATCCTTCATAGCTTTATTTTTGTGGACAGTGAAAGTTTTTGTGTTTTCTTTTTTTCCCCTTTTTTTTGAGACAGGGTCTCACTCTGTTGCTCAGGCTGGAGTGCAGTGGTGTGATCATGGCTCACTGCAGCCTCAATCTCTTGGGCTCAAGTGATCCTCCTGCCCCAGCTTCTGGAGTAGTTAGAACTATGGGTGTATGTCACCATGTCCAGCCAACTTTTTGATTTTTGTAGAGACAGGGTCTCACTGTGTTGCCCAGGCTGGTCTTAAACTCCTGGGCTCAAACAGTCCTTCCTCCTGAGCCTTCCAAAGTGCCAGGACTACAGGTATTAGTCACTACACCCCTGCAAGTGTTAATGTTTCACAACTGTTAGAATGTAAACTATCCTTATGAGGTGATGAGCTTTTATTATTTCAGTAGCTAGCAGGGTGATGGGCCCCAGGATAGGACAGTAAGACCTGATTGAAGTGAGAGAACAGACTCAGGCCCTAGCCTGCCTTTTAGGACATTACTGCCCTTGCTTTAGAAAAAAAATGCTTTTTACCTCCCATTTAATTGGGTCATTGAAGTAATAGCACTGAACAAAGGGTTTATCTAAGGATGAAGATAAATTGTGTATCTAACCATTTAAGAATTATTAAAATTACTCCAGTGTTGTTGTTTTTGCCTTCATTGATCAAGGAGAGAGAAAACTAGTAAGTTGGGGTGGTTTGACCCAAATCAGTCAAAGATGTTTCATTATTTAGAAATTCTGCAGGGGCTGCCCTAAGATAAGAGGATATTTTCTAATTTTTGCACAAAAAATAAGGTATAAATAATAAATTGTTCAAACCAAGGAATGGAGAACTTGGCTAAGGTGGTTGCCTTAGATACTTATGGTTTGGCCAGAGGACTATCAGCACTGTGTGTTTTGATCTGCATAACTATGGCATTTAGTTGTAAATATAGAATACTTGAATTGCAGAGTTTGCAAACTAGAAGGGACTGCAGAAATCATCTAGTCCAGTGGTTTTCAAACTTGATTTTAGCCGCAGACTTTTTCCTTTAAAAATGAAATCTTAGGTGGAACCCCAGTGATTGAAACAAATAATAAGAAGTGGGTTCCTCTGGCACTTTAAATCTTGAGAATCTTGATTGTTTTGGGGAAAAGTTCTTCATTGCCTACCTTCAGCACCTCAGGTGGCACAGTTTGAAAACCACTGATCTAGTCCAACCCTTTCATTTTACAGATGAATAAACTGAGGTCCAGAGAGGTTAAGTGACTTGACCAAGGTCACACAGCTAGTCATGGAAGAGCCAGGACTAGATCTCAGGTCTCTTGATTCCCAGTCCAGTGCTCTTTCCACTACACCACAATGCCAGTAAGGTAGGTGCTGTGTTAGCATTACGTTCATAGCCACTAATAGTCTTCAGTATTTTCCAGCTGATTTATGCTGATAATATGCATTGAATATTGAAGTGTATTTTTTAGAAATTTGTGGGATATGCAAATACAGATTAGAATCACATGGGTATATTCTTAGATGATAAATCAGTATCTAGAATGTTTCAGTTTACTTTTAAAAATTATTTTAAAGCAATGCAATTAGGTAATGTCTGAGCTACATTGGATATTTTAGTCTGATATCAGTGATCAATATGTAAGGAGTCAGTATGTTTTAGTGTAGACACATACTTTGAAGGGAGCAGCATTAGGACTCCTGGCCACCACTCCCTTGGGGGCCATGCTTTGCCATCATTTCCAATATTGGCCAGTCTATTCAGAATAGTGCATCCCTCTTAGTATGTAGTGGGCATGTTCTTCAACATTAAGCTCTGCAGATTTACCCTCAGTTTTTTTGTTGTTGTTGTTGTTGTTTTAAGAAAGAGTTTTGAGTTTGTTGCCCAGGCTGTAGTGCAGTGGCACAATCTCGGCTCACTGCATCTTCCGCCTCTGGGGTTCAAGTGATTCTCCTGCCTCAGCCTCCCGAGCAACTGAGACTACAGGCATGCACCACTACACCCGGCTACTTTTTGTATATTTAGTAGAGGCGAGGTTTCACAGTGTTGGCCAGGCTAGTCTCGAATTCCTGACCTCAGGTGATCCTCCCGCCTCGGCCTCGCAAAGTGCTGGGATTACAGGTGTGAGTCACTGCACCTGGCCTCATGTAGAGTTTTTAAAGGACATTTATTTTCTTTCTGTAATAGTTTACAGCTTCTGTTATTGAGGAGCTGGGGGGAAAAAAGCCTGAGATAGGGTAAAGTATAAATTAGATTGCCTCTTAATTTGTTTTTACAAATGTTGTTTCCTATCAGTCCCATTTTACTGAGCAGAATATTGAAGCCAGAAAGTTAAGTAACTGGAGGTCACACGGCTGAGTCCTAAGGGTCCCCTGCCCGCTCCATAATAGTGCATCCTTCTTAGTATGTAGTGGGCATGTTCTTTAACATAAAACTCTGAAGATTTACCCTCAGTTCTTTCTATGCCTATACCTTCTGTCTCTAAGTCCTTTATTCTTCTCAACCTGGTGTGTATGAATTGTCACTGGGGCGCCCACCCTAAAGGGCCATAAAGGATGGTTCATTGTAGAATCCTGTTGCCCCTGATTATCTCTGTTGTTGATTCAGTTTCCACCTGAATTGCTCTAGTGTTAGCAGACAAAGACTGGATGCCATCACTAGATGCCGGGAAAGTAGAAGAAGTGCCTCTATGCTGTTGTTTTACTATCTAAAATAAAGAAGGCATGTAGATGTCTGCAGCCACTGTGAACTGGTAGAATTCTTATGAGAAAACGTCCCTGGGAAAATAGATGTTACCACCTGTCTAAAGATAAGAGTGCTGGTCTTGTAAGTAAAAAGTAAGTTTGGGAGCAGTGATTAGTCAAATTTGAATATGGTTTGTTTCTATCTTATTGAATATATTAGGGGCTAGTCTCTATGCAGTAGAAATATATACAGCCAGAAATTACTGCTTTACTCCTACTTTTATTTGAGAATCAAGGAATCGTGACTAGTTATCAGGTCTTATTTATAGAATGCATTCCTTCTGAAAGCCAAGTTTAGAGTTCTGTGCATCACCTGATGGTGTGTCGTCAGGGTGTTCCCGTCCTGCCATGTGACCTGATAACCCCAGACAGGATACATTAGCTCTCTGGGTATGTGTTTCCTCAACTTTAAAATAAGGGGGTTGACCTAGATCTTCCTTCTAGGCCAGGCTAGCTCTGTATGACTGCTGATTGATTACCTTGGTGACTCAAGATAATGTCAGGGTCCCAGACATTGCATTGCATACGGTATTTGCTCAGTTTGATCCTTACTTTCCTATAGAACTTTCTGTGATGATGGAAATGTTATGTATCTGTGCAGTCCACTACTGAAGCCACTGGCCAAGCGTACCTGTTGAGCACATGAAATGTGGCTAGTGATACTGAAGAACTGAATTTTAAGCTTTATTTAATTTTAAGTAACTTACATTTTAAGTTAAACAACCACATGTAGCTACTGTATTGGACAACACAGTTCTTAGATATTCTCTGACACAGAAGTCAGATACCAAGTGGAATAGGTGTACCTTAAGTGTTCATCAAGAGAGTAGTGATGTTTTACCTTGATGAATCTTCATCAAATACAGTCGGTCTTAGGGTAACTTGTTAGAAATCAAGCACTGTTTTTTGAATGAAAATGTTATCTACAGGAGTCTTGAGTTTCCTCTTGTTTGTGACTTAACCACATGAGCTTCAACTGAAAAGATATTTGCTAATTTGATGAGAAGTGAAGGATTTTTTCCTGTCTGCAGGCTTGTGATCATTTAGGTCTCGACACAGGTCTCAGTGAATTCCCGTATGTTTTCTGGGAAGCTGAGTTTAGAAGGTTTCTGGCCAATAAAAAATATTCTGTTTTTATTCCAAGCTCAAATATGAGTGACTGAACTGTGCTGGTTTCTGAATAGATGATGAAACAAACTCTTGTTTTTTCCCCCTTTAGAACCAAAGAAAATGGCTTTGACAGAGAGCCTTTGCACTCAGAACATCCAAGCAAGCGACCATGCACTATTAGCCCAGGCCAGCGGTACAGTCCAAATAACGGCTTATCCTACCAGCCCAATGGCCTGCCTCACCCTACCCCACCTCCACCTCAGCATTACCGTTTGGATGATATGGCCATTGCCCACCACTACAGGGACTCCTATCGACACCCCAGCCACAGGGACCTCAGGGACAGAAACAGACCTATGGGTAAGACTGAAGGACCTGTTCACTTCTTACGGGATTGGGTGCTTGAAGACTTGCACCATTATTTCTGAACTTAACTTGAGGCTTGAAATCTGTGATAGGGATGAAGATTCTCATATCTTGCTTTATATTGTCTCCTTTATGAAAAAAACTTGATTGGTATTAATAGACTTTTAACAGCTGTACTTTCTCTCTCCTAATCACTTGTATTCTTTAAGACAGTACACTAAATTTCTTTGGAGGAGGGCATCTAGATTAATACAAGACCCTCAATTGTTGTGTTGGTAACAAATGCAAAATAAATTTTTAGCTTGAATTCTCTTTCAACATGAGACTTCATATGCAGTCTGCCTGCCACAAATATTTTTAAAAATCACTTGATTTTCTTGTGTTGTATCTTTTGTTTCAGATAGTCTCTACGTTTATTTTGATTTTTTTGAGCCTCCATGATATTCCATATTTCCAAAGTGTGATATGGCATGCTATCTGTGGCTTAACAGATGTTTCCCAAGGAATGATTTGGTACTTTTTTTTACTTGAAAATGCCAGTGATTAAAGTTAATATTGACAGTTTTGGGTCAAGGATCAGAATACTGAAGAAGAAGTGAATTTGGGCAAATATGTGTTCTATTTCCCTGTGTTCATTCCTTCTTTGCATAAAACTATTAGAAGTAAAGCATTTTGTCTGGGTGCAGTGGCTCACACCTATAATCCCAGCACTTTGGGAGGCTGACACAGATAGATGAGTTTGAGCTCAGAAGTTTGAGACCAGCCTGGGCATTATGGCAAAATCCCGTCTCTACTAAAAGTACAAAAATTAGCCGGGCATGGTGGTGCATGCCTCTAGCCCCAGCTACCTGTGGGGCTGAGGCAGGAGGATCGCTTGAGCCCAGGAAGCAGAGGTTACAGTTAGATGAGATCATGCCACTGCACCCCACACACTGCACCTCAGCCTGGGTGGCAGAGCAAGACCCTGTCTCAGAAAAAAAAAAAAAAGTAGTAAAGCATTTTGAAGACATTGCCTTCTATAGAACAAATGTCTACCATGAAAAATGAGAGAGAAGATGAACAAGGTAAGTTTTTAAACATATGATCAGTGGTTCAGTGGTGGAGATGATAGTGTATCAGAGGGTTATCAGTAAGTACACTGTTACTGGGATGTCTTCAATTCCTAATTAGTGATGAGTCTCACTGAGAGCAATAGTCAGTCTCCTCTTCTTTTTCCATCTCCTGTGTCCACATCACCCACTAACAGGACTTAATCTCTACCTTGTAACTAATTGCTGGCAAACTTTCCTGATGAGGGCGACTTAGTGACCTGGACACTGGAAAGAGCAAGGGATGAAATGCAAGTAGAAAACCAGAAAGTGGAGCTGAGGATACAGAATTCTGGGGAATGCAGCCAGCCAGATATTCACTACTTGATTACAGTGATGGTGGTTGTTTTTTTGTTTGTTTTTTTGTTTTTTTGCCACAGGCAGAGAGAGCCTAATATATAGAAGTTTACATTCAATTTCCAACTACATTGCTAGCAAACAGGGGCTCCACGTGTAGGGCCTTTTTTACCTTTCTACACCCAACTCCCCAAATGTTTAGAAAGCAGAAAGAGAGTCAGGGTGAGAGGAGGGGTGATTGAGGCTTTGGTTGTAAGACAGTAAATTAGTAGTTCTGGTTCTCCACAACAGTAATTTCTACGTTTATATAGTGTGTCAGACAAATGGCTATGCATATAATTTGTGCTTTCTTAATAGCCAGTCTGTCTAATGTTCTCGCAGGTACCATTTCTGAAGAGCTTTCAAAGGTGGTTATGCTATTTCTTGATCTGGATTGATATTTTAACCCCAAAATCAAATGTGATAACAACTCCCTTCTACACAAAGCCTTACCACTTATTTATGACTTAAGGACTGAAAACCATGATTGCATGTTTTTAAATAGCAGTGGAGTCTTCAGGTCACGGTGAGACCAGTTCAAGGGATCCCATTTTGTAGATGTGTTAGCAAATGGCCTGTTTCTTAGGCAGCAGGTGCTATTTTGTGAAATATTAGTTCCAGTGCACTATACAGTAATCAGCAAGGAAGTAATTACACTTATGTGCAATGATTATGTTTTCATCAAGTAATATAAAATATCCCTTTATGAATTATATCTGTATCCATTGGTTTTATGTGATTTTCTTCAGACCATGTTCCTTACCTTTTAATTATATTAGCTTATAAAACCAATAGTGCTAATCTCTATAAATATGTGCAGCTACTAAACCATCCCTAAAGTCTGGCAGAGTTTAGTGTGTGTTAATGTAAAATAAAATCTTGATGTATGAGCAACAAATTATGGTGTTACATCAGGCTGCCATTTTGAGAATATAAAAATTGTCATAAAGATATACTTAGTCTGGTACGATTTATAAATGCCTATTATGTGTAGGGACATATACTCACGAGAATCCTTCAGTAAAGTAACTTCTTAGCAGCATTAGTTTATAAGTAAGCTTAGAGTTTTATCCTAGTTAGTTAAAATATTCTAAAACAAAATAATCAGTTGAGACTCAACATTAGTGTCAAATTTCCCACAAATGAAAATGTGATTATGAGCTATTTAATGATTACGAGATATTTCCCCCGGTACATCCCTCTGGTATTATGACTATAAATAAAAATTGTGTGCTGCTGAATATTTAAGTATCTTAAATAGAGAAATTAATAAACATAAAATCTTGATTTATTTTTTATTTTTAAAGATTTGATTATATCTAACAAATGACTTTCAAAGTTCAAAAGCGGCAAATGAATCTTACATTTTTTCACCAAGTACTTGAGCTCAAACATGTTTCTAATGCACTTAATATTTTTTTAAAAATGAGATGAAGCTTAGTACTGTTTCACAAATGCTGAAATCCCACCACCACAGATATCCTGTTGCTCATTAATATTACTCCAGGCATTACAGCTTGTGTCATTATTGATTTCTTCTGCTGAATTTTTCAAGCTTTTGAGACCTCTGGAATTCTTGTCCTTAAAGGCAAATATTCAGATGCCTCTAACATGAAAGTCACTGTCACATTTATATCCTTATCACTTTCTGGTTGTTTTGTATGGTGACTAATTTTAACAGTAGTGGTTTTTCTCTAAAACCCAGGCAACAAATAAGTTAACAAAAATTACATATTTGCAAACATTTCAACTTGAAATAATCACAACAGAGCAGTAGCTAAATACTATTCTTTCCCAATGTCTTTATATTATGCAAATTAATAAAACATATTTGCACTTTTACTTTTTTACCAATAGGTGGCATTGACAATTTTAACTTTTAAAATATATCTCAGAATATGTTCTAATTGGACAGGAATGGTACAAAGCATCTTATATTTAGCTTTTTATTTAGTCTGAGAAGGGGCTATCATAAATTTGTTCACTTCCATCAGTTGTAAATGAAATCGTTTTATGTGGTTGGCTGAACAGTCATGTGACTCATCTTTATTTGTGTAAATCAGCTAAAAAAAGGGATTTATAACCACTTAAATCTCACAAAAAGTAAAATTCAGTGTCTTATAACTCCTATGGTCATTTAATTCTTACATAAGTTCCACAGAGAGATAGCTCAGTTATCTAGAAACCCAAACTATAAGAAACTTTATACATAAGTTCCACGAGAGGAAGCCCAGTTATCTAGAAACCAAACTATAAGAAACTCTATTTGCTGTTCAGAGTAACATTTTGAAAATTGGTAACCAAAAATAATAGTTTTGATCATTTAAAATGCAAAATAATGCCACAGCCCAGGGGCTTTTCCTATACAGTAGAATATAAAGTGAATATGTAAGAGGAATAACACGTTTCCAGATTTCTCTGTTCGGAGCCTTTCAGCCTCTCTTTTTAGTGAGACACATTTACTTCCTATTTTAATGAGCATCCTAGCTAACCGCTTAATTAATATTGGTGCTCACTTGGTAAACACTTATGTATTACTTTTTCATGGACTTCAAATTAGGATTTTCAGTTGGTTCACTTGGATTTATGATATTTGTCAAATTATATCTGGTATATTAATTTTTTTTTGAAGAATATCCAATTTACTTTTATTTTTTAATTTTTGGTAAACTGAATGAGTATATGTAGCTCCATATTATACAAGCCTTTTCTTCATGGTCTAATTTTATCACGGAGGTATATGTATTAGGATTGTATTCATTTACACAAGGCTGACATGTAGAAAAATTTACCATGCTTGTTTTGGGAAAGCATAACCCTTCCTATGTAAAATGACTTATGCTGTCTTTATTTTTAATGCAGGACAGCAATGCTTTAAAAACCACTTAATGTCTACTTGTGGTTTCTTGTATTTATTAAGAGTTAGAATATATTTTTACTTACAGAGTGTTGCATGGATAACTAGTTGTGGAGTTGGTGTCACTTAACTGTCTCCTTATGTGTAAAATAAAGGCTTCTGACCAGGTGACCTCTAAAATTCCTTCTAGTTCTAGTATTTTATCATTCTATGAGGAATCTGTTAGGTAATTCTGAATCTAAATATGACTCATGTCTCCATCCAAAATCAAACGTATTTTTACATCGAGTTTGCCCACATAGTCCTTGCTATGAGTCTGTGTGTTTATGGGTTGTGTACTGAATGCTTTAGGGTTATTCAGCCTTCTCTATTTTTGTAGGGTTGCATGGCACACGTCAAGAAGAAATGATTGATCACAGACTAACAGACAGAGAATGGGCAGAAGAGTGGAAACATCTTGACCATGTAAGACATCAGTAATCATTTGGGATTAAAAAATGTTTGGAAAACAACTGGAGTGAGGTTATGTGATAAAATAAAAGCTTGGTGATCCTTTGAAGGCATTGTTTTTCCTGCTATCCTTGAAAAAAAAATGAGCGAGAATATCTGAAGTAGAATATAGGATTTGATTTCTAAATTGATATGAAAGTCACTTGAGAGAAATGTTTAGATCTTGGAAAGGAATTCTCAAAGCCAGATCGGTGGGCTACTGTTCTATTGTGAAAAGGTCATTTAATTTATAAAGTAATGGGATTAGTATTTGGAGAGGTGGATTTACTGGCTATAATGCCTTCAGGTGAAATTTCCCTTCTGACTCGTGTTCATAACACTTATCTTCTCATTCCCATTGAATTTTCCATCTATTGGCTCTGAATTTCAAATCTAGTCATAGAAAATACTAGACTGAAACCTTCAGGGATAAAATTGCTTCCTTCATTGTCCTGAAATGGTTTGTTTCACTACTCAGCAAAATCTTTAATTGTGATGATTTATATGCTCTTCCCTATTCTCCCCTTTCCCAAATAGCTGTTAAACTGCATAATGGACATGGTAGAAAAAACAAGGCGATCTCTCACCGTACTAAGGCGGTGTCAAGAAGCAGACCGGGAAGAATTGAATTACTGGATCCGGCGGTACAGTGACGCCGAGGACTTAAAAAAAGGTGGCGGCAGTAGCAGCAGCCACTCTAGGCAGCAGAGTCCCGTCAACCCAGACCCAGTTGCACTAGGTAACTTTTCTTCAGATGAGTATCTCGAAAACACATATTTCTTATGCTGTTAATGCTGACTTCATTTTTATTTTTAAAATTAAAGGATATGCAAGGAATTTTAAGACAATAAACAATTTACATATCCTCCAATATGTCTTGTCTATCTGTTAGGAATTTGGGCAGATTGGCATAGACAGAGATAGCCACAAAACTTAAATTCCTTTTCCAGGTGAGTGTATTGAGCTGATGGCAGCGTTTCAGCACTGAACCAGATTTTCATGTGCATAACTAAAACTTGTGCTCCTTCGTAATGCCTCAAAACAGCAAAAACAATCTCAGGGAGTGGGCCTGGGGCTTAGGCACTTCCGTCAAGGTCTCTAGTGAATTCTGCCACTGCATACCAATGTTATCACTGCACATGGGGATGTATGTTTCAAATTATTAATTCAGAAAACAGCCTGTAAGACAATCTTGTTAGTTGAATCATATATATATATATTTATATTTTAAACTTTTTTCTCAACCCCCCGCCTCCAGGAAGAGAGACCTAGAAGCTATATATTTTGCCTACAGCTATTTTAAAATTAATGATAAAGATGTAGCACCCTTCCTGTGATTTGATCTTAACTTAGATTACTTAATCATGATTATATTAATTCTAGTTTTATCTAGTTTTATAATAGGACTCATAATATAGTTGTGCCTTAGAAATGGAATGTTAGTATGTAACTATTTCTTATTGATATTTGGGAATTGTTGGGGTTACAGATAGAATATAATCCCATATATGTTGAAAGAAATCTTCAACCTGAAAGAATTTTTGTGTGGCCTGTGAACTTTTACCTAAATTAATAATACGGTTTTGTCATTGACATTGCCACCCATTACGTGTGAATACTTTTTGAGTAAACTTACGAAGGTGGATTTCTGTGGATTCTTGTTCTCTCATATTATCTTATGCGTTGGCCCCATACCCATCTGCTAACTCAAGTTACTGTCCATGCTGCAAAACGTGCAGATTAAGTTCATAATTTTGGCCTCATTAGTACCATGGCTGATTATCCAAAGTTTAAAACTTGAAGTATATTATCTGTTGATCACATTACTGTTTTCAATTTGTTCCCAGCCAGTGTAGTTTCCTATGCACTTAGGTTTGTAGATTTCTGCTGATCTCTGAATGCCGAATGCCTATTATCATAAGTATTAAATAATGAAAGAGTCTAAGGCAGTTAATTTACCTAACAAGCATTATTCTGAAGCATATTTTAAAAACAAAATTGTATTTGTCAGGTCACATTAAGGCAAGCAACGAAAACAGAATTACGTTTGGTTTGAGCCAATATTGGTCGAAGCCAAACTATTTAGAGCAGAGTGGAAAAAAAAATCTTGTGTTTATTTCCTTATTATGAACAAAAATTGATTAATCATCAGAGATTTGCTTAGGACAGAGGGGATATTTATAACCGTCCAGTCTAGGCAAAAATTGAGAGCTTTAAAGTAAATAAAACTTAGGGAGTTAAAACATCTAGTTTGGCTTATTCTATTGAACACATTCATTGAGTCAGTACTTATTTATTGAGCACTTACTATGTGCCAGGCAATGTGCTAGGCATTCTAATGAAGGAAAAAGTCTTCATTTCTTTCTTTGAGGGCCTTTGGGTCTAGTGGAAGAAGGCAAGGGAATAGCTAGTGTTCAAGCCATAGGATAGCTACCTCAATTCAGTCGGCCAAACTGACCAGATTGCTATTATCTGCCATCCACTATAAAAGAAACATCTCCGAAATTGATCAGACTTCATACCTAAGCGAGTTATCAGCACATAGAACAAGGGCCATTTTGTGTATAGTCACTACTACTACACACAGATTCTGGTGATATAGGTATATATCATGTTCTCCAGGAAGAGAGGTTCATTGTCCCTGCTACATAACCAAAAGAATAAACTTGGTTTAAAAAAACTCCTTTTTAAAAGTATACAAACTATACTATTTTTTAGTGATGTTCAATGGATTTATATTTTTGTTAAACCTGAGATATTTGTTTGGCCTTAAGCTTTTGTAGGTTGTATTAGTCAAAGGGTACAAGCATTTAATTTCTTTGTTTATAGACAACATTAAGACATTATGTTCTTTATTGTCACAGAATCCTAAGTTGCCATTAAGACACTATCATAACTTTAGAGAAAATCTGTGTAGAACTCTGCAGTGTGCAAGTTTTAGCATCCAGTAGTGCTTTTACAGTTTTTTTTCACTGTGCATCCTTACTAGCTGATTCTTGCAGCCTTGTGTACTATTTTCTGGGACTGAGCTATGGCTGTAAATAAGAGGACAGGTGGTTTGTAATTATGGGCCACAATCATTTACATTAAGTGCTTTCTAAGTCCCTCTTCCAGGCTTTGGAGTTGAATGGATTGATGTGTGTAATGAAAGGATTGGAGATTATTGGCTGATAAATCTATTTTCTGTGACTGGGAAGTGTTTAATGGAGTGCATGTGCGCAGATAAAGATATGGATATGTCTATATCTTTATATACATTTAGATCTCCGTATCCCACAGTTGTATGTATTTCTTTTAGCCTAATTATTTTGCTTCTTAAACTACTGTCTGGTCTCAAATGAGATCTTCAGAATATATTATAGAAGATATCTTTGGTTCAAAATATTGCCCTACTTATATCCCTAACTTGGAAACACTGGGAACGTTTAGTCATACACACATTCTTAGCATTTTAAAATTATATTTGGGGACTGCACAGGGGAGAATGTAACTTTCATGATTGATGTGTTGTACCTGTTAAACTCAATCCCATTCTCACTTTTGAAATATATCTGTAGTATTGAGTGAGTATAGGGGGTTAGTAAAATAACTCGATTAATCTATTACTAATTGAATTTTAAGAGTTTTCCTGGCTGGGCACAGTGGCTCACACCTGTAATCCAAGCACTTTGGGAGGCCGAGGCAGACGGATCACGAGGTCGGGGGTTGGAGACCAGCCTGGCCAACATGGTGAAACCCCTTCTCTACTAAAGATACAAAAAAAAAAAATTAGCCAGGCATGGTGGCGCATGCCTGTAATCCCAGCTACTCGGGAGGCTGAGGCAGGAGAGTCACCTGAACCTGGGAGGCAGAGGTTGCAGTGAGCCGAGATCACGCCATTGCACTCGAGCCTAGACGACAGGGCAAGACTCTGTCTCCAAAAAAAAAAAAAAAAAAAAAAAAAAGTATTTTCCTAAGATATTAAAATCTCTTTTTTGAATAACCTCTGACTGAAACAATTTTTAACACTGAGTATACACTGAATTCATAATGGTATTTCTATTCTTTAAATAAAATGCAAGTTGACATCTTGAAGGACTTTTCATAAAATAGATTTTCTTGAAATAATAGATATTTATCGTTTTTACTGTTGTTACTCATTTACTTTCCAGGGAAAACTCCAAGTATCCAACTCTTAACAAAATTAGAAAGCAAATTTTAACACTGCTGTCTCTATTTTCAAAGTATGACTTATTTATACATTTAAGTTTTATTACATGGTATGCTCCACAGAAGAGCAAGATAATGTGATCAGAATTGACAGATTTGACCATTGAAGTAGAATTACTTTTATATGTATAGAAAGGCAGTTGCTGGTTAGCACTTTGTATGTTTTCCGAAGTGCTTGTCAGAATCTCCTTAGTAGCTCTTTTTCCTTTCTTTGTCTTTGGTTCCTTTTTCTCTCAGAATGTTGTCACATCACTTTCTTGGCTCCTGACATTTTATTTCTTTTAAACTACTTTCCTTTTTACTGGCTTTTGACTATTCTAGAATCTTTCTGTAGTTTGTCTTGTATCTGTGTGCGCTCTTTTTGTTTTCTAGAAGTCTTCCACATCGTTAGGGTTAATTTTTTTTTTTTTTTTTTTTGAGACAGGGTCTCACTTTGTTGCTCAGGGTGGAGTGTGGTGGCATAATCTCGGCTCACTGCAGCCTTGACCTTCTGGGCTCCCACCTCAGCCCCCTAAGTAATTGGGACTACAGGTAGACCACCACCACACCCAGCTAATTTTTTTGTATTTTTTGTAGGAGTGGGGTTTTGCCGTATTGCCCAGTCTGGTTTTGAACTCCTGAGCTCAAGGGATCTGCCTACCTCGGCCTCCCAAAGTGCTAGGATTACAGGCGTGATCCACTGTACCTGGCCAAAATTTTTTTCTAATGATAGGTTTAGGGCTAATGTCAGGGGCTGGACATAAACTCTGAAATATAAATGCACTTTCCCTGTGCTTTTAAAACATGTATGAACATTGTGATGACATGGTAGTAAATTTAGAAAAATACCTTCACTCTGTTTTGTTAAGAGTTTAGTATTTGCCAGAGAAAGAAATATCAAAAAGTTTTGTTTGTTTAAGTGTAATGAAAAATCAAGCTTAGCATTTATAAGAAACTTAGAGCCAGGAGTGTTGGCTGACGCCTGTAATCCCAGCACTTGGGGAGGCCGAGGCGGGCAGATCATGAGGTCAGGATATCGAGATCATCCTGGCTAACACGGTGAAACCCCGTCTATGCTAAAAATAAAAAAAATTAGCCAGATAATGGTGGTGCACCCCTGTAGTCCCAGCTACTCGGGAGGCTGAGGCCGGAGTATTGCTTGAACCCTGGAGGAGGAGGTTGCAGTGAGCCAAGATTGTGCCACTGTACTCCAGCCTGGAGGACAGAGCGAGACTGCCTCAAAAAAAAAAAAAAAAAAAAAAAAAAAAAAGCTTAGTAACTTAGGAGTTTGTTGAATTAATACCATCCCCTGTCCCAAGTGGGTTGGTAGAGGAATTAGTATTTTAAAATACTGCTAGCTGGCAAGTTTTATGATTGTCATATGATTGAATTATGGAATTTCTCATTGCTCTCTAAATCCCCGGGAAATCTAGCATGAAGACTGAAAGCACAAACTCAGTCAGTAGAATTTCTAGATTCGAATTACTCATTCCTCTTCATATTAGTTTTGTGGCCTTTGGCAGGTCATAATCTCTTTGTGCTTCAGTTTCCTCGTGTAAAATGGGGATGGTAATATATATTTCATAAGCATTTCTGTATAATGAGTTAATAGGTAAAAACATATGAGACAGTGCCTGACACATAGTAGAAGTGTTATGTCTTAGCTGTTATTTAGATGTGCATTCTCAAAAAGAACTTTCTGCTGGGAGTAGAAGTGTCTCATGCCTATAATCCCAGCACTTTGGGAGGCTGAGGTGAGAGGATCCCTTGAGTCCAGGAGTTTGAGACCAGCCTGGAAAACATAGTGAGACCCCATCTCTACCAAAAATCAAAAAATTAGCTGGGCATGATGGTGCATGCCTGTGGTCCCAGTTGCTCAGGAGGCTAAGATGGGAGGATTCCTTGAGCCCAGGAGGTCAAAGTGACAGTGAGCCACGTTTATGCCACTGCCCCGCAGCCTGGGCAACAGAGCAAGACCTTGTCTCAAAATATAAAATTAAAAAATTTAAAACATAAAATCAAAAAGAACTTTAAAGAATAGTGGTAAATGAAACTAGTAAAGTTTTTCCTTGGCATTCAAGATTGTGAAGTTACAGTGGATTCATAAGTATTTTTTCATCTACAAAGTACTTCTAAGCAGGTGGCTTCTTTAATAGGCACAGAGATTAGAAAAGATTCCTGTCTTAAATGTAGTAAATCTGTTGTACCTTTGGGACCCTAATTCATAATACAAGGCTATGGAAAAATAGATTTCTCCCAGCCAATGAAATATTTCAACTTCTATACTCTCAAAATATGAAAACCACAAACAAGTTATTCTGTGTATATTTGCATGTAAATGTTTGGAGTTTTGTACCCTTGTATTGATTTCTTTAAATCACATCATGAAATTAATCTCACAGTCATTCAGCTGACTTCATAATGCAAATGCCTACTGTACTTAACTATATTGGGTTTAAAAATATGGGACTATTAGTTAAATATGTCCATCTTTTAAAATTAAGAGGAGATGGTTACTTCCTGGAGCATTAAGTATGTTTGTTGTAAAAGATGGAAATCCTAAAGCAGTTGCTAGCTTCTAGGTTGGATTTGGGCTTCTGAAACCTAGTGTGAAGATTTCTGAATGTATTATCCTTAAAAACAAGTGGCATTTGTAAAGATAAAATTACTTAACTCTTTCTTTCTTTTGATGGTTTTTGTAATAGATATTATCATGATCACAGCCTCATTCTGCCCACTACAGGATGAAGGCCATACCTAGGTGCTGCCCAGCTTTGAGCATTGCTGTCCTGGGTCATATGAGGTCACATTGCTTCTCCAAAGGCTATCAGCTCATCCCTTCATGTATATTGATGGCGGCCCTTGCAGTATCTAGTATCCAATGGTCTCCATCCTGTCGTAAGTGTAGTGCATCTTCCATCTCTTTCATACATCATAGATTGCTCTTTCTGTTCTTTCACATTTCTTACACCATTTTCTGTCACTCTGACCTGGTCTCCTCTCTTCATAGATGTGAATTATTTTCAAGAGGCTCCCTTCATCCTCATCCACTCTCACCACCACCCCCCGCCCCAAGCAATTTGCATCCCAAAGCAAGCTAGACTTAATTTAGAAGGACTTTTCTATAATGTTTTCATCTTTCAGTAGTTGCATATATATATACGTTTAACATTTTAGACCATATCATAGACGTTCTTCTGTCTTTGCATCTACCACTACATTTTAGAATGATGATTCCTTTTTCTAGCAATTGATATTTTATAGGTACTTAAGAGTTAACGGGTAAGAATTAGCTTCTTTTGAATCTAAGCCTTAGAATCTTAGGATGTTTTAGGTAGATGTGTTTAGATTAGCCAGTATTCTAAAATAGTAAAGTCCTAGGAGAGAATTGTCCCTTGTTTTGTTTTTCAAACTCAGTTTTCCCTATATAGATTTTGATATTGCTGCTGCTTAATCAGAAGAGGAGATATTAAATGTATTAGTCATTTGGTTTCTGAATCTATTAAAGTAGTGTTTATCAAGGTATCAAATAGATTTCTGAGGAGTATACCTACTACCAATCACTCTGTTCTTTCTGTTGGTAGACCTGATGTTTATCAAGTACACTAACTTAGAACTGGAGAGGATATTGTAAAACACGTTTATATAATTATTTCCCTTTAGATTCTGCTATTTTGAAAAACTGTCTTTTAGAAGGTAGGTTAGCATTAAGAAAACTTTTGCATAATTGGCTTTAGCATTTCTATTGGGTTTCTATGTCAGTTAAAGTTTGGGCCTATGTGGACATGGCAGTATGTCAGTGAGAAATTTAGGAAGGTATAGCCAAAGTGAAACATTGCACAACTTTCCAGTGTGGTATATGTACCCCCAAGACACCTGTGCAGCCCATAGAAGGTGGAAGGTCAATTGAGCCTGGCACGTTAATATTTGAGTCAATTTGGGTGTTATAAACATTCATGGGTGAGGCTCAAGTAAAATTTTTGAAAGTGTCATCTAAGAAATTTGAAGATTTTGCTTCCAAGGACAAAGGCAGTGAATTGTGAACTATAGAAATATTTTCTATTTCCAAGTGACATAGATTCTGGGAGTTTAAAAAATTACTTGGTGTATATTGCTTAATCCAAACTTCTTCAATGGCTTTGTTCTCTTCAAAATTTGTGGTATTTGGATTTTTAACATTGAGAGAAAAGATAAACTTTAAAAGGAAATAATTATATAGCCATTCTTACTAGACCACATAGTAAGTAATAATAATGATAATAATGAGGATAATAGCAAGTACCAGATAATGGGAGTTTAGGATGTGTATGTAATAGGAGGTACTTCCTTCAATCTTCACAGCAGTGCTCTCAAATAATAGTAGTATTGTCCTCACTTTATTATAGATGAGGCATCTGAGACATGGACAAACTAACATACCCAGTGTTCCATGGTCAATAGCTAGCTTCACTGGGTGCTAGAACTAACTTTCTTCAGCCTATGTTGCCTGGGGCTGGTAATTAGCATCTTTCATGCATGGACTTTGGATACCTAAACATTACCTTTCCTGTTCTTTATCATAATGATTGACTATTTAATAAAAAAAAAATGTTTATAGGCTGGGCATGGTGGCTCACACCTGTAATTCCAGCACTTTGGGAGGTCAGGTGACCTGACGTCAGAAGTTTGAGACCAGCCTGGCCAACATGGTGAAACCCCATCTCTACTAAAAATATACAGGTTAGCTGGGCTTGGTGGCATGCACCTGTAATCCGAGCTACTCGGGAGGCTGAGGCAGGAGATTCTCTTGACCTGGGAGGCACAGGTTGCAGTGAGCTGTGATCGTGCCACTGCACTCCAGCCTGGGCAATGAGCATGACTCCGTCTCAAAAAAAGAAAAAAGAAAAAAATAAGTTTTTATTAACTACAGGTCTCTTCTTAACACAATAAATGAAAAAAAAATTGCTACTTTGAAGTCACGTTTTTTTCTTTCTTCAAACTTTACAGATCTGTTCTTATTCTTATCCAATAAATTATGCTTAAATCCAAGTCTTTTCTCCTTAAAAGTTGTCTTTTAATGTCATAAGTAAATCTCTGTGTTGTACTGTGTCACATGGCTAAATATGAACTTGATTGCACTTTATTTCTTCTGGAAATAGTTATAGTGGTAAGGAAGATAATCTTGATAAATCTAATTAGCTGTATCACATTTCCTTTTAGGTTGTTTATGCAGCAGTTTTATCTCGCCTTAAGAATGAAAGTTACTTCAGTAAAAACGTTTTTATTTTTGTCATTTACTTTATAGAAATGAATATACACAGGAGAATGCATAGATATTTCCAGTCCATCCTATTATTAAGTAGTCATGACATCACAGTGTAAACTTTTGAAAATAAACTTTTAAATATTTGGAATAATTTTAGATTAAAAAATTGCAAAGATGATATAGTTTCCATATATTCCTCACCAAGCTGTAGTAAATTTTTGCTAATTCAGAATAGTTGAGAAAATCTAATGTTCTTGCCAGTTGATAATCTGTGTGCCCTGCAAGAATTCAAAGCATTCAAATGTATTTAAAGCATTCAAATGTAACAACATATACTTAGCTAAACTCATCGTGCTTTTCTTTATTTTTGACATTGTGTAGCACCATAAAATATAGGAGACTGGACTAAATGTCTTCATCTTCAACATAACCATTAGATAAAGCATTTAAAAATATATGCTACTCAACATTTACTGTACACATAGAGAAAATTTCAGTTTTCCTCAGAATTTATCATGGGCTTATTAATTAAGTTTTATAAAAGTTAAAATGATTTTTTTCTTACCGAACTCTTCTATATAAGGAGGCTTTTATTGAAAATCCAATATGGAAGACATGAAATGCATATTTTAGCTATGGAAGACGGTATACACTTTGTTTACTTTTGAGCATATGTAAGAACTATAAAATGTTTTGTGTTAATTCCATGAACATATTTTAGAAGTTAGCATTCCTATATCAAAGTTATTAGTTGTTTTCTTAAACTTTTAAAATTTGAGACGCCTAGTAAGCACAGCATTTAATTTAAAGTGGAACTTCATTTCCTTTTCTGGAAAGCATGGGCTAATTCTCTCTGCTCAACAGAATGTCTGTGAATCCATTCTGATGAGTCTTTCTGGCTTTCACGTATGTCAAATCCATATGATCTAATTTGTGTGAAAAATTTTAATGGTCACTGAGATTTTTAAGAATTAAGTATGAGAACTGGTTAGCCATAGAGTGGAGCTTGCTATTCATTGAAAGGTGGCAGAATCAGAGCTCTGTGGAAATTACATTACCTGAACATTTGATTGTTTAACCACCAGTTTGACTCATGAAAGGAAAACTACCAAATACAATTTATATTCCTTAACAAAATATATCTATAGAAGTCTCCATAGTCAGAAAGTGCTGAGAACAGTGTTCCCAAACATCATATTGTATAATGAAATCAAGTTGCTTTGGCTTTGAGCATGCATGGCATTTAGACCAATGACCCTCTGTTTTCCTTGGGCTCTGATGACAGGCCTTGCTATTTTTATGTGTTTTCAAGAAGTGAAATGTTTAGCCTTTTAAAATTGCGTTTTTGTAGAGAAGCCAGGAGAATGGGCATTGCTTACTTTCACTCTGTGCGATGACACAAGTGTGCTTACAGTACTCTCCTCCTCTCTCCACCCCCTTCCCATCCTTTTCATAGACGCGCATCGGGAATTCCTTCACAGGCCTGCGTCTGGATACGTGCCAGAGGAGATCTGGAAGAAAGCTGGTAAGAATTGTTTAAAAACATGAGTTTCGTGTTCTGGCAGCTGTGTGCAGTTGTTAATGTAGTGATGTGAGGAATGACAAGAAAGGACTTTACTGCTAACAACAACAACAGCAAAAACAAAACAAAACAAAAAAAACCACTAAACAAAACACCTGATTAATATTCTTAAACCAGGCCTGATTACAAGATGAAATCATTTTTATTTTAGTAACATCTGCCAGTTTCACTATAATTGAGAAGCTGGCAATATTTCCATTATAAAACTCCATTTTTTTCAGGGCCATAATGATTTCAGGCTGAAACTTGGCATAGGAGGTCTTAGCTTGCATGCATTTTTTTCTTTGATGAAAAAATTCCAGTGTCTTAGAAATTAAATTGCATACTTCAGCCTTTTCTCCTGCATCCAAAAAAAAAAAAAACGAAACCAACATCAAATCTAGTTGACTTGTTAAAGTACTCAGATAATTTTTTGGTTACAATCGACTTTTAAAGTTGTTCTTCTGTACTAATTAGTATTCAACGATCAGAGCTAAATTACTCTTTAAGTGAAATGACAAAGTTACTAAACATTTATTTTTGCTTTTCATATACACTATCTGCTTTCCATTACAAGATGCTGCTCTATATTTTGTAATAGTAGATTTAAAGCTCCTCATGACCCACTGACTTGTTATTGGGCTTAAAGAAGTCCAGATCTGTGAGAATTTTGGTGGAACCACCTAGCAAGCAAAAACCTTTATGAAAACCAACTCAGGAGATGAAACATAAACCTGTTTCAAGAGTTAAAGAGGCCATGAAAAACATACTGTGGCTTTCAGCTGCTGTAACTCCAGCTCTTAAAACAGTTTGTCTTTTTGAGTTGGGAAACTGGGAAATGCTACTTCTACAAACAGTGCAAATTGAAGAGTCAGGGGACAGATTTTTTGTTTTTTTCTACAGAAGATTTCTCTTTGGGATTTCACTCAGCTGTGTTTGTAGTTCTGTGTAACTTGCTGACTCTCTAGTCACATGTATCTTATCCAAGTATTTTTATACATTTTCCAAGAAATACCTGTTTTTGTAAGAGTGATAATGAGCTTTAAAATCTGATAGCATTCTAGGTTTAGTAGCCCAGATTAAGAATTAGAAAGCTGTCTTGCACGTCCAATACGCAAATTAGATAGGTCCATTTAGCTTAAAGGTTAAAATACATATGTTGCTGAACTGTGTAGTTTTACCAGATTTACTGTAATAGTCATGTAGTATTCCCAAGCTGTTAAAAATATGCCAAGTACCACCTACCTGAAAAGACGGGCAACATCTTCCTTCTGACCATTTTTCTCTTCCATTTCTAAGCTGTCAGTGCAACTTATTCCAATAAGAGGTACAAATAATTGTGATTTTGGACAGAAGAAGGGTGACTTTATGTTCAGAGGAGTGAGTCTTTTCTCTGCACTTCCCTTTTTAAGTATATTTAAGTTAAATTCTTGATAGTTCATAGAGAAAAATTACCAGTAAGGTCTTGTGTAATCCGAATTCTTTTTGTGCTATTATCTGCTCAAGTCTTTGTTTGACTGCTATTAAGTGAGAATAGATTTTTCTGAATATAGCACCTTTGTTGGAAAGTCAACTTGAATAGCTATGTACAAAGGAAGTCCTACCATAAGTGGTAAGCAATTGGACGCAGATTCAAAACTGCACTATGTATTTTCCACTTAATCAGTTGTTTATTTTTTCCTACATGGCATATTGTTATCTATTGACTCCACTATTATTTTTCTTTACTGTCTGTTTTGGGGGTTTTTAAACCTAATTCTGGGTGTAATTTAGGTTTTGGGGACTTAAGAGAGTAGAGAAAGAGCACTACTTGTTTTTGTTGTGTGCTTGCCCTCTCCAAGAAGGGTTAAACCTTATCTAGGAAGTGTTTAGATTATTTATTACAGTGTCTATCATCTACAGTAGGTTTTCAATCTAAAATATGACATTAAATTTGTATTCTTCTCACAGTGGTATCCCTAAACTGCTGCTTAAAAACAGTTTGGGAATAGTTTTCTATGGATATATGCTAAATTTTAAGGAGTATATTAAATCCACAAAGTATGGATGATAGTTTCATCTAGAAATCTCCAGTAACTACTTATAATATTTATCTTTATAGGTTTCTTAAATGGCATTTCTAGTGTTCAGTGTCAAGGCATCCAACATGATGAAAACACCAAGGGCAGAATGTGACATCTGCACTCAGCTTGTTACAATTTGAAAGCTTTTATCCTAGCTTTCTAAAATTGGCTATGGGCAAAAAAATTTTTTGAAGAAAATCTATAAAGTGTGTCTTTGCAATGAAATTATTATACATTATCTTTGTTGCAAAACATAGGTGAATAAAGTATTTGAAAAATACAAAAGGGGCAGAACACCCAAAACTTGATGTAGCATAACAAATGCATCCACTTTCACAGAAAATTGTAATTACAAGTATACCCTGTGCTTGAAAGTACATCATATAGCTTTTTGCATCATTTTATTTTGAAATGATTTCAAACATGCAGGAAAGTTGCAAAAAAAAAGTACAAAAAATTCCTCTATAACTTTCACCTAGATTCCCTTATTTTATCATATTTGCTTTAGTATTTTCTCTTTTCCTCCCTTTCATCCTCTTCTTTCTCTTAAATATATATATATTTCTAATCATTTGAGAGTAAGTTGCAGACATAATTTCTCTTTACCTTAAATGATTTGAATGTCAGTTTACCAAGAACAAGAATATTCTACATAACTTCAGTACAGTTACCAAATCAAGACTTTATCACTGATAGAAGACTATTATTTAATCTACAGACCCTATGCAAATCTTTCACATTGCCCCCAATAACACAATATAATAACATAACAACACACATTTTTAAAGATTAGAAATCCAAAAAATTGTTCAAGGCCATATTCTCCTCTAAAAGTAGTATTTTTTAAAGCGAAAGTAACAAATGCACTCAAAAGTTACAAAGGTCTTTATGAAACTGGAAAAAATCTAACATAAAGATGGTTTTAAAATTGTAACAATGTTTTCTTCAGTATATTTCTTTTTACATGATCAGAGAATGTTTGCAGTTGGTAATAAATATTCAAGCACCTTGCAAATGTCCTACCAATTCTCTTTGCTGATCTGTATATGCCTGTGGGATTAGAATAGGAATGCATAATTTAAATGTAAATTGCCTGATTTGCATATACAATTAGTCAAGCTACAGCTTTGATCGTAAGCAAAAATTATTGTTCTGTACTACCACTTAGATAGAATTTTAATTCACCTTGAATATTCAAACTAAATTAGACCCTGGCTGTATAGTTAGAAGGGCAGTACTTCCCTTGTGCCCCAAGTCATTTATGATAGGATAATAAAGGCATCTTTTCACCTCCTGGTGAAGAAGGTGCTATAAGCTGTTTGCAATACTCTGATTCTGTACAGATTTTAAATGCATATCTTAAAGCAGCTAACAACGGCTTAATATAATTTAGTTAATATTTCCACTATGGATCTTTTACTTATATTTTAGTTTATAAAACCTAGCAGACAGTAATTGCAAAGAAATGTACTTCAGATATAATGCTGCTAAAATGACAGAGGCTACAAAAGTCATGACAGTTAATTACTAGTGGAGAGCTTCTGATGACTCTCAAGTCATGGACAATAGATGTGTGAAATAAACCAGAGGAATTGAAGAAACAATAGGAGTACTTGCATCTCTTACATTTTTAATCTACAGTAAAACATTTTTATTAGGAATCTATGTTTTTAATTAAACAGAACATTTAATTAAGGTGCTTTTTAAGTGGGTGAAACAATTAAGTGCAAACACTTGAATGAAACATGTCATAATTAGTTTTAATAGAGTGTTAATTGGTACTAGGTTTGCCAAGTTAATAATTACTGCTTATTAAATTTTCAATTAATCATTGTCATTTTGCTTTGAATAAAGATGAAAATTAGATAAACTAATTCAGGGGGAGGATATTTTCCCCTGTTAATTAGAACAGTTAATTTTTTAAAATGGAAATTACTTGTTTTAGTTGTCAGTCTTATGTTGTACATTAGTTGAATCTTTGCACCCTTTCCTCAGCCAAAAATAAAGAGCTTATTTGACACCTTGCAGACTCATAGTCAGGCCTGATTGTTTTGGCCTGTGGTATGATTCAGTTATATTTGTCTAGTGCAACAGTTGGTTATGCAAAACCACTGTATATATTTGGTAAAGTAAATGGACAACAGCTTAAAATGTAAAAATGAGATTATTTTTTAAAACCTCTATCATTTAACCTATAAAGGCACATATTTATATTACTCAGGAAATGACTTTTCAAAAGTAAAACTGGATCATCCATTATAGCATTGATTTTTCATTAAAAGGTCTATAGTAACTTAATTGCTATCTGAGTTACCTTTTCACTATTGTGTTGTAGATTATGCCAGCAACTAATAGTTTGCACTTATTTGTTTATGTGTAAAATCCATTCTCGGCCTCTCTTTTTTTTCTGAACTCTTGACCTGTGGACCCTCCTATATTCATGTTAACTTATAGCATTGTGGAAAACTGACTTTATGTGTCTGAATTATTCAGACAGGTTTCTTGCGAATGACCTTGTCCTTTAACTTCTTATCTGGTCTCAGAATCATTTCTGGAGGCATTAGTTTGGTTAAAAAAATTATAATAATGATATAGGAGTTTCAAAAAATATTTCCATAAATTCAAGTTAAAGAAACATTTTCACCCTTTGTTTTCCTAAATGTATGTCAAAAGATCTGCTAGTTTTTAGACTGCTGGAACTGCCCAATAATTTGGATGAGAGTCATGCTTCTTCTATAGAATTCTACAAAAAAGTAATCAGATAGTGGGCATGGTGGCTGGAAGGCTCCTGTAATTCCAGCTGCTAGGGGAAATTGATGCAGAGGATAACTTGAGCCCAGGGGTTCGAGACCAGCCTCGGAAAGAAAAAAAAAATTAAAAGAAAAGTAATCCGTATCCAATGACTTCGGCTAACTGAGAGGTGTTTTCTTGTCTGGTTTGGCCTGACTGGCACACAGAGGAGGCCGTCAATGAGGTGAAGCGCCAGGCGATGACGGAGCTGCAGAAGGCCGTGTCTGAGGCGGAGCGGAAAGCCCACGACATGATCACAACAGAGAGGGCCAAGATGGAGCGCACGGTCGCCGAGGCCAAACGGCAGGCGGCGGAGGACGCACTGGCAGTTATCAATCAGCAGGAGGATTCAAGCGAGGTGAGGCATCTTGGGAAGCTCCAAATAAACAAGATAGTTTTCATTCATTAGAGTGCTCATTCTTCATTCAAGGTGATCACTTTAGATAAATATTTGGAAAAAAATTTAGAACAGTGTGGGGAAAGTCAAGGTATTCATGAAATTTGCCAAGAGCTGATCACATTTGTCTTTTTATTGAACACCTAATCTTTGCCAAAAAAGGTTTTGAATGTTTGGTAGGTTACCGATCAAAGTGAAATTCTTATAACTTCGCAGCATTATTTAGAGACTCATAGCTTGGCTGTGTGTGTCTGTTGTGTATGTGTGCATGTGCATATGTGTATGCTTGCTTTCCAATTGAAGGGATTTAATAGATACTGTGTAAGCTGTGGTCTCCAAAGCCATCTGGCAGGCTTGGGATTGAAATCACTGCCTTAGCTATTGGTCCTAAAGTCCAATGCTAAAACAATGTTTGCATCAACTGAATATTTCTAAGAGATCTTAGAGACAGTCTGTACTTCCACATTATTTGTGGTAACCCATATGATGGTCATTTCATAGCATAACATTGCTGCTAGAGGTAATGTTACATATATTATTGTTCCAGTATAATAATTCTCACACACACACACACAACACACACACACACACACACACACAGCTAGCCTAAATGGCTCAAAGATCTGCAAAGTAACTAAAACACAATATCTAACAACATGATTTTTAAAATATTGCCTGCAAAATCAGCAGAATAGTAATGCTCCACGTTAATTAATATAGCATCACGATCCTTAACCCCAGAGTAACTTTAGATAAAGGACTACAATGGGCTGCTCTCACCAAGCCGAACTCACAATGGCATGGACTGATAAATCAATGGTCTACTACAATACATATCTATAATTTGTGAGGGAGAGTAAGTATTTAATTTGTACCAGGCTTTTCTGTAGATGAAAGACTCTGCAGGAATCTCTCAATGCCCAGAGTTTCTATTTAATGTGTAGCAGATGAATAACAAGGGGACAAAAGGAATTGATTTTCAACATTTGAAAGTTTCTCAGGAAAAGAGGGACAAAGGGAAGTTTATCTGCCCTTTAACTGCTGACTTTTCCATTGTTCAATTAAACTAGACATAAATTCAGTTTTATTGGTATCTTGTGGCTAAGATATAAGGACTTTATGTTTTTTATTTTAAAAACATTATTAGCATCTTTTGAGGAGAATTTGTCCTTCTCTGTTCAAATGAGCAATATCGTGAGGCACAGTTGATGTCATATCATTAAAACTGTCACTTTCACATGAACATTTTAGGGCTGTTAGGTATGTTAAGAGTACTTTTTAGGTCACCAAATTCTAAAGACAGATGTCTAGGAAGAAATTGTCAATTAAGTCTTTGTACTCAGGCAGTAACATGCTGTATTCCTTCAGTATTTATAAGCTTTGTGTCTTTATTCCTAAAACCTATTTAGAAAATATGTGATCTTGACACCAATATTTAGCATTATAAATAAACCCTGTTAAACAGTATCTGTGATAGGTTATTCAGTCATATCTACTACTAATGTAAGAATGATCTTCTGTAATAATTGTTTTTCTTTTTTTTTTTGACCTCTTGGGGGAACTGATCTTTAATATAGCATTACCAGTGTCTTCAGTGACACTTCCCCAAGAATTTTAAAGCAGACCATGGTAGAGGAAAGGGTTTGGAATTCAGAGGGTCAAACTTAATTCCTGGCTCCAATTCTTACAATTCTTTGATTTTTGAGAAAACCACTGAACCTGTAAAAGCTTCAATTTTATCATGATCTGAAGAAGAGTGGAAGTGTCTAGTATATGGCTTGAACCTTGAGTCATGCTATGGATGAGGAAACTTACCTGGCTAAAGTTACACAGCTAGGAAATGGCAGAGCCTCAACAGGATCTCACAGCATGCTTTCAGTCCCTATGTTGTTTTGTAACAATGAAATAAGGATCTTTTCATAGGGATCATTAAGATAATTTTTGTATGCAGATAAAGACAGGCAGCTTAGGTCTGTTTTCTTATTCTTTAAAGTGCAAGGACCACTTTTAAGACTTGGGGAGGAATCATCTCTAGAAGGATTAAGCCTCTTTTCTCCAAAAATGCTGTAAATAATTTCCCAAGAATAGAAGAAAGAAAGATGGAAAAAAAGATCTCTTTACGCCCAATAAGGCCCATATTGCCTTGTGCTTTAAGTATTTTATGGATTGTTCTGTTTTCTAAGAAAAATGAATGTTCTCATTTCTTAGAAGTTTAATGTGCAAAACTTACCGGAGAGTGCACTGTAACCTAGGGTGCAGGGCAACCACACCTCCCACTTTGGGTGGAGCTGTCCATTGACACCTAGTGTCCCAATATAATTATTACGAGCGCCCCCTTCCACTGTCAGGTGTCCTGTCTTCATTGATAAGTTGAATGGTCCCACCTCTTAAAGGCCATGTTCATCTGATCAGATGATCGTCTTCTGCTAGCACAGCTCGGAGGCAGATACGTGTGGCAGAAAGTATCTGAGAGGAGGACCCAGAAGTCCTGAATTATGGCCCCAGCTCAGTTACTGTCTCAGAGGTCCTTCGGCAATTCATTTTATTCCTGTCAGCCTCCATTTCTTCTTAAGGAATGGGACGATATTCATTTACCTTACAAGGTTGTTTAAAAGATTTTTAAAATAGTGTTTTTGAAAGCTATAACACAATATATTATTATCTGCTCATATTTCCCACAGTTTTTAAAAAATCACAGTATTTACTAAAGTATTCCTACTGAAACAATATTCTTTCCTCCCTTTCCCTTTCTTTATTTGAAGCCACCACCTATTGTAAACATCTGCCCATCTCTTACCTAGGTCAGGTATGAACTATATAATCCAAATCTAAAACAACGTATATGTGGTAAGATACACACATTATTATTCTCTTTCCTTCATAGGGATTGTAAGAAGGAATCTAAGATTCGCGATCAGAAGACCAGAGTTCTAGGCCTAGCTTGGCCATTTATGTTTCTTCTGCGCTATTTGTGTTAACTCTAGATACCTCTGAATTCTTCTCTCTGTAATTTCTGAATTTGCCCTTTCTCTTCCTATCTCAGTTTTCTTTCACATGTATAAAACGGAGCTAATGATGCTCATTCTGCTTAGAAAAAACAGTGGTTCTGAAAGATTGGCAGTGGAAATGTTTCAGAAGGAGGAGAGGAGTTGAGAACATTTGACTGGGGAGACCAGCAGAAAGAAGGCTTGGAGGCAGGAATGAATAACTCATGGATATTATTTGTAGGTGGGCGGGGGAGGGGGGCGTGTAAAATTTATCATCCAAACTGGGATGCCTTTTGGAGTAAGAAAGACTGCTCTTGCTTAGACAGACCAGTCCGGTAAACCAGGCCATCCCAGGCTCATGGGAACCCACAGTCAGCCAAGTTATCGGAGGTTGCATGAAGTTTGTTTTGCCTGAGATGAAATAAGACGACCTACGATGAGTGTTTAACTCTGAACCAGGCATGGTATGAAGTGCTTTCTATACTTTAGCTCGTTTACTTCTCACATCGGCTCTGACAAAGTAGGTAGTGTTACTTTCCTCATTTTACTGATAAAAAGCTGTGCCTTGAAGGGATTAGGCCACTTGCTCAGTGTCTCATGGTCAGTAAGTGTGAGCTGGTCCTTAGTTCAGGTAGCCCGACTTTCAGGCCACCTTCTTAGTAGCTACATGGCAGGAGTGGGAGGTTTTTGTTTGTTTGTTTGTTTGTTTTTTCCTAATTGTGTACTGTATCTATTTTTCACTGGACTTCATGATTATTTCTACCTAGTTCTCAAACTTTACTTGGATTTATAGGCTGATAGTTGGTATTACTATCAGTTAGAATGACACTGGACTTGCGGCAGATATCTAAGCAATGTGATGCTTACTGTACTTTCTCTTTTCCCAGTGGATTATATATTTAACCCAGAATATAATGCCAACATTAGCATAAATCAGAAATTTACTGAATCTGATCATCTTAAATTCTTTTATTTTCTCCATATTTATTTCTATTTTTCATTTCCTATCTGTGTACAGATAAAGCTTTTTCCAATGAATGCTCTCAGATTGCAGCTATTTCCAAGGAAACTTCTACAGCTTTCTTTGAGATCCATACCTTATACTAGCTTAGGTGATTGAAGCAAGAAACTGCAAGTGAGCACAGAAACAGATAAATACTTTTATTGTTCTAATAGTTTAGAGTTTTAAACTACCAAAGTGATGTTTTTCCCCCAGATTAAAACAGCCTTTATTTATCATTCTTATATAGGTGCAGAGCTGCACAGTTATACCAACCTCAGTGGAATCTGTGAAGTTTGGCCCAAACTGGAAATGCCACCTGTGTAGACTCTGAATAAAACATAGGGACCTCACAGCATGGGTCCTGTCAAAGCCTTCACAATCTCATCAGACCAGTTGATTCCCAGAAAAATTTGGAGCTCTCAGAGCATGAGCTATGATGCTATGTTACATATATATATATATATAGTTATACAATATACAATATGTACAATTATATATATATATTTTATAAATATATATATATATGCCAGCTGTTTGATTCCGTAGATGTTCATGGTATAGTAGACAGGGCACTGGGCTAGGATTGACCTTTGGTTGCTCACCTCTTGAAGCTTTGGTTTTCTCATCTGCAAAATTTGGGATAACGTTTCTGTGATCTGCCTGCTTTGCAAGGTGGTGGAGAGGTGCCAATGAGATGAGGAGAAGTATTTTATTAAAAGAAAAGTCACCTTACAAATGAGCAGTGTGTCTATGTAAGAACGAAAGAGGAAAACGGAGAAGAAAAACAGTTAAGAAATGATCCTAACAGGAAGGGTGGCGAGAGAATTAGAGTAGTGACTATGCGATTGAAAAGGAGAGAGACCACAGAAGTAGTCTGTGGGGTTTGGCACTGAATGGTTCCAGGGGCTAAAGAAAGAGGGGTTTGCAATAAAGTGACAAAGTCTTGGGCATGAGTGTTGCCAAAGACTGAAATGGACCCACCAGAGTTGGGTTTAGGGAATACTGACTTAGAGGAGCATCCTGGTGGAGGTACCTACAGAACAGGCAGTTGAAATAGGAGCACAAAGCTCAGGAAGAAGATAACAAGGAGAAACAGGTTTGAGAGTAATTTGCTTACAGCTGATCATTGAAACCACAAGATCTCACAAGGGGCAGCATGAGAAGGAAAAGATATTCCTTTTCTTTATGCCAGCATCCCTCCCTCCCTCACTGTCAACTACAGGGAAAAGAACAAACAGCAGAAGAAGTTATTGTATAAGAAAGAGAATTTTAGTAGGGGAAATTTCAACAAGAGGCATTTAATAAGGAAGAACGGGGAAGTAATCAGCAATGGTAAATCTTCAGAAATTTTGAGGACAGCAAATGAAGTTGCGGAAGAAATTATTAGTCACTAATGAAGTATGAGGAGAAGTAAGTTAATGTTCTTCTCCTGTAGCTGTCAGTGCCCATGGGTGATAGCACTTAATTTGAATGGGACCATCAGCCTTCTAATTCTAAAGGTTGTAAGGTGCTGGATCTGGAGCAAGGACTGTATCTACTCTCTCTTTCTTCCAGTCAGTACCAAAAGGAGGGAGTGGTGGTAGTACCTGCCATTTATTCAGGACCTATGAACATCATGCACTGTGCTTAGCACTGACATAACCCTGAATAATCCTGCAGTTATTATTCCTGCTTTACATGTTCTGTTGCTCCAAGGGTTAAGTAAGTGGCTTGTGGTTCTAAAGCCACAAAGTGATGAAGTTGGAAATGAAATGAAGTTGGCCTGGCTTTTGAAGCCTGTGCCATTTTCATTACACACTCTGACACCTTGTCTTTGCTGCCTCTGACTTTATGGTTCAATTTCTGTCCATTTTTGGGAGTTAAGTGCCTGCTAACCTGTTCTTGCCACAATGAGAGCTAATAAAAGATCTGAAGTTGACAAAGTGTGGCATTTTAGAAAGAATATTTTTAATTTGTAATCCAAACATCTGGGTGAATCAAACTTTGGCTATGTAATTTTATATTTTTGTGACTTGGGGCAAGCCTTTTACTGTGAAAATTATTTATTTTGAGGGTCCCAGTTTCTGAAACTGCAATCATGTGAAAATGATTTTAAATTGTCAAGTGCAATGCAAGTAGATGATGATGCAATCTTAATGTGAATTTAAGTCAATGTGTTGCCTTCTGTAGGATTCTTAACATTTGAGGAGTTTCAATTACAATCATTCTATTATATTTAAATTTATTACACATCGATTTTGTGCAAGTTTTTCTGAAGAATTATAGATATGTAAGACCTGGAGAGACTTAAAGCAGTTCAGAGACAAAATAAAAGATATTTTGTCCTTCAGAAAAAGATTTTTCTGCAGTAAGAACCAGAAGGGATATATGCCTGTACGACAGAAAGATCATTCTCTAAATGTTTTT